>NC_000003.12:186205574-187455574 GCF_000001405.40 Homo sapiens | reverse complement strand
AGAGGCAGAATAACCAGTAGGGAGGCGAGAGGAGGGGCCATCCCGAAAGAAAGAGGAGAAAAAAATAAGAGGAAAGGAGGACAGGAAAATCATGTAAGACAATGAAAAACAGAGAGTAATGAAAGAGAAGATAGCAGAATAGACAAATGTCTCATCATTCAGATTAAGAATGATAGAGCAGCAAAGAATTTTAGATTCCTAATGTGTGGAAGAAGAAACTAAGGTAAAGAGGAAACACATTATCCAATGTCACTCACAGTGTCAGGGCTGGACTGCAGGTCTCCTGGTGACACAGTGTAGTGCTCTTTTCCCTAAATCAGGCTAGTGCCGTGGTACATCATAGCTTTTTTTTCAGTGTGACCAGTTCCTCATGTATGGTAAGTGCATGCACAATAATTGTTTGTGGAATGGAGAATACGATGGAACATGCTGGCATAGTAAGAAACCATTTGTATTATTATTGGACCACTGGCTTTTATTTTTTAAGGCAAAGATATTTTAAAAGGCATATGTTTCATTACCCCTCCACAGTGCCTTTCTGCTGTGCTTTACCAGGCACCCCTCTCCCATCCATGCCGCCGACTTCCTAATCTCCTAAAGCTCCTTATTTATTTATCCTTTTATATATTGTGATGGCCACTTTTTACCTGTGGTATCCACCCTTCTTTTTATGCATCTTGTTTTCCTTACTTGATAGTAAACCCTTTGAGATGAGAGATCCCATCCAGTTGTCTATGATACGGGGTCAACTGCATTGAATTAGGAGAGGTGGTAGAGAGCCAGCTTTGACCCCGTTAAAACTGAAGGTCAGTTTCCTCATCCATAAAATGCCGATAAGTAGTTTCTAGATTCTCCATCTCAGAGGATGCTGATGAAATTCACTTGCAACGTTGTGAACCGCTACAACAGTTCATTTGAATGTTCTAAATGAGAAGAGTGTGGTTGCTGTTGACGTCTGCTTCTCTTGTAGCACTTAGCATAAGTTAACCACCCTGCAGGCACATTTTTGTTGAATGAACAACATAGCAATCACATTAGCATCTTCCATTTTAAACTGGCCCCTTCTCCTTCCAAAATTAACAGAACTTTCTGTTTTCCAAAGCTTTGGTGATGAATTCCAAAACTTCATTTGTATTTCTTTTTTTAGTTGAGAAAACTTCTTATAAATCCTTTTGGGTCACTCCATTCTCTTCCCATCATTCTTGGACAAAAATACTGGATCAAGCCCCTCAAAGATCCTTAGTCTATGCAAGGCAAAGGCATACATATGCCAGGCACTTTCTATGCACCATCGAGTTGGTGCCTCACCATGACTATATGAGAGAAGCACTATTATTAGCTCCATTACACATGAGAAAATTGAAGTACAGAACTAATTTACCCAAGTTGCTTTTCTCTGTTCATGTGAAAATTTATAAAACATATGGAATAGAAACACCATCTTCTATCCCCACTTCCCTGACAACTGTGACATATTATCTGAGATCATTGATTTGGCTAATAAAAAAGGATCAGAATCATGAAATCATGTATTTTTATTTCCCTCTCAAGTCTGATTTTTTTTACCACTGATTTTTTTTTGTGGTATCTTGTCATCTGATATCTTCCCAGCTTGACTTGGTAGAAGTGACAGATCCTCACCCTTAGTCTTCATGGAAAAATCCAGTCAAGTCTCCATGCAGAGACTTTTGAAATACTGCACTCTCAGTCAAAGGGGGCTAGAAAGACTCTGTTTTATTAAGTCAAGCTGTTTTATATTGCTGCTGTAACAAATTACCACAAACGTAGCGTATTGAAACAATACATTAATTCTTTTACATTTCTAGAGGCCAGAAGTCTAAAATCAAGGGATTGGCAGAATTGTGTTCTCTTGGGAGACTCTAGAAGACATTTTGTTTCCTTGCCTCTTCCAACTTCTAGAGGTGCCTTTCTTGTGTACTTTGTCTCATGGCCCCTTCTGTTTTCAAAGCGTATCATTCCAATGTCTGCTTCCATCTTCAAATCACGTTCTCCTCTTTGTGGTCAAATCTCCCTCTGCCTCCCTGTTTATAAGGACAGTTGTGACTGCATTTAGGATAATCCAGGTTCCCTATCTCAAGGTCTTTAATTTAAACATATTTGCAAATTCTCTTTTTTCTATATAAGGTAACATTCACAAATGCCAGGGATTAGGATCTGAATATCTTTGGCACCCATTATTCAGTATACCACACCACCCAGGGACATTATAAAGAAGCATATAATGTCTTCATTGAGATTCTGTGTTGATAAAAAAAAAAAAAAGAAAGCCTTTCATGCATCCATTCTATGAAGGAGCTTAGAGTTAAAAAAAAAAAAAAAGTACACCACCTAATCACTGTGGGAATTCCTATACCTTAATATTTACATTAAAAAATGTTCCTGGGGTCATGATATTTCTGGGGGCACCTACCAAAAGCAACTGCAATGCTTTTCTGCAGGGACACTTCCACAACCCAGACCACATCTAATTTCTACCCATCTCCATATTGTCACTGAAAATGTGCTCACATTCAAAAATTATAGAATATATATGAAAAAAATGACAGTAAACAGATACAAAAAATGAGAGTTTGCATGCTAAGAGCTTGAGATAAAGCCATCTAAGGGAGACTACAAAATAAATGTTTCAAATAATTAAAGATGTGAAATTAAAAATAAAACAGTAAGAAAAAAAAATACTCCATGAAAACAGAATAGGCAGATTTGAGAAACAGCCAAATAGTACATACAGAAAAAATAAAATTATTGAAACTGAAAATTTGCCAGACAGTTTAGAGAGGAGACTAAACACAGTTATAGAGAGAATTAGTGCACAGAAGACAGATTTTGGATATTAGAATGCAGACAACATTCTTTTAGTAGGAGTTTAAAGAAATGGCTAAGAATTTTTTATAGTTGAAGAAAGATATGAAACTTTAGATTGGAGATTTACAATACATTCAGAGCAGCAAAAAGAAAAATGAATTTATACCTATGAGGTGGGAGAATAGAGCCTGGAGGCAAGGAACCTAAGGACTTCCTAGAACTCAATCAAACAGAAACACTTCAGCTATGATAGGAAATATCCTCTTCATTTACGTAGAGTGTACACCAAGTTAATAGCTTTGTAACTTCACTTCAGCCTCTTCATTTACGTAGAACATATACCAAGTAACCAATGAAAGCCTCTAGAGGGTATTTAAACCCCAGAAAAGTCTGTAACCAGACCTTTGAGCTGCTTGCTCAGGCCTGCTCCCACCCTGTGGAGTCCGCTTTCATTTTCAATAAATCTCCACTTTTGTTGCTTCATTCTTTTTTGCTTTGTTTGTGCATTTTGTCCAATTCTTTGTTTAAAAGGCCAAGAACCCAGACACCCTCCACCGGTAACACCTAGATTCTTTGAAATGAAAATACAGAACAAAACAAGGAAAAGATCTTAAAATTTACCAGAGAGAAAAGAGGAATTATACACAACAAAACAAACTGGACAAACAGCAGACTTCTTAGTAGCAAAACTAGAAACCTGAAGACAATAGAATATTATCTTCAATGTGTTAGAGCAATTAGATAAGAAAATGTATAAATAACATGTGTCTAAATCCAAATAAGCACAAAGTATTAAGAAAACAATGACTAATTGGGATGCTTAAAAGAGGTAGAATTAAACAGTCGACAATTCCAAATACATGGAATTTAGGATGAGAGTTATTGGATTATTGGTGGTTTTACATACTGGTATGAGAAAGATTTTGATTAAATGAAGATCATTTTTAATGTTAAGTAGGCATATTAACAATTTAAGGGTAACACCTAAAAGAAAAGAGATACAAAGTATAATTCCAACCAGTAGAGGGAAAAAAAGAATAATATTCAATGAATTAAATGGAAAATGGATGTTTCATATGTAATAAAAATATTAACAACAATAATCACATAAGAACATTACACACCAATCTCAGGATGGCGGTTACTTATTAGGATGGCCACTTCAGGGTTTGGAATTCTGCTGGAGTTTAATGGTATATTAAGAGGGGGATGGGGGAGTAAATATGACCGAAAGTTAACATTTTATACTAACGAGGTACAAGTTTTATTATGGGAGTCAAATAGTTTGATATATTATTCACTCTATTTTAAAACCACATGATAACTAAATGAAAAGAAGCAAATAGCACAAGATTAGGAATTAAAATGTCTGGATCGGGTTCAGGCTCTGACCTTAACCTGCTGTCTGACCTTGGACATCACTAACCTGTTTTGTATCTCACTGTCCTCTATTGTAGAATTAATGTCCTAGGGTAGATAATCTTTTAGTCACAACTCTGGAGTTTGATGACTCTCCAGTCATCTCTCCATTTTGATTTGCTCCCTGAACCACAGAGCTGAAAGGAAATACAAAACCCCTTATTTTATAGAGGTTTAGATTAGATGATCCCTGTATTTCCTCTGAGCTGAAAACTGAAGCGCAGTTTTCCTTTCAGCAGAAAACTGAAGTCCAGAAAGGAGGCATGTTTTTGGCAACGTCACACGGAGTTCAAGTGAACAAAGAACTGTTATCCTAAGCTACAGTTCAGGCTGTTTCTTCATGCTCTGAGGCTTTATCTGTCTCTCAGTGGTGGTCTGAGGACAAAGGAGACAATGTCCACAGTAGGGAAGGCACCAGAATAGATAAGGACAACCTATTAGCACTGGGTTAAATGAGACCCAATATTATCCTTTATTAAGTCAAGCTGAGAAGTTGAATGCAGGGGGCGTTTTATATGTCAGCACTGTACCAATTATGAATGGACTGATTAATAAATAAACAAACAAATACTAGGAAATCAGGCCTGTTTTAGTGCTTCAAATTCACGGTAACACCCTGTTAACATGAACTTCAAGCATTAACACTAATAACCACGCTAATCACAGCATTGAAAACTCCAAATTAATTCAAATGCTGCTCAATAGACCATCACTGCGTCATCACTGCCTGAGACTTTTCTATCTGTTCAGATCTCTATGCAGTAATTAAATCCATTAACATGTAAAACTGGCTATTATTCTCAAGGGGAAAAATGAAAAAGGGAGCTGAATAACAAAAATCCTGGTGATGGAACTGCAACTTCTCACAACTTCAATTACATCCAAATTCTTGGCCTTTTCTTTCTAAAATAGCAGCTCTCCTGCTCCCGGCTTTGCATCCAGACCCAAAGCATTTCACACACACAGAAATATGACATAACTTAATGAAGGGGATGAGCATAGATCTTAGAAACAGGAAACTTATACTGAGATCATGACTCTGCCTCATGTATATATGTAAGACCTCAGTTTTATACAGCACATTCTTTCTCTGGCCTTCATCGTCCCCATTTGTGAAATGGGAATGTCAAGTGCTCTCCCAGGCTGATTGTAGGAATCAAATGAGATGATCGAAGTGAAGGTGCTTGGCGAATACTAAATGACTTTACAAAATGAGCTGTTATTCTTCATGATGTTCAGAAGCTCACAGGAGATTACATTTATTCTGGGTGAGGTGTGGGAACAGTGTAGAATGAGAAAATAAGATGTAAGTATTGTGCACCCTAAGACCTACTGAAGAATACCTTTTAAAAGAAGATATACTCATGACTCTCCTATAGATACAAAATAAATACATGCCAAAGGCTTTATTTAACTCATTAATTAATGAGGGAATTGGTAGATATTACAATGAATTCAAAAGCAAATTGGGAGTGTCACACATTTTTAGTCAAATATGGAATGCTGAAATGAATTTACAAAAGGATACAAAGGTGGTCACTATCTGCTGGAAAAAAAATCAGTTTCATTCCATTAGATCCAATTTGCATTTCCATGGATAATAATTATTTGTATTCCTATCAGTTTTCTATAACTTCATTTCTATCGTATGGGGTTGTAAAATAACCTAGTCAAAGATACGGAGAGAGCTGGGCACAGTGATGTCCTCCTGTAGCCCCAGCTACTCAGGAGGCTAAAGCAGGAAAACTGCTTGAGCCCAGGAGTTCAAGACCAGCCCAGGCAAAAGAGCAAGACTGCCATCTTAAAAGACAAAACACAAGTCAAAGAGAGGCAGAGATAACCTAGGTAGCTGAATGAATCAGGACAGCCGTCAAGTGTCAACATTTTTCACAAATATCCCTTACAGACCCTTTATTGTAAAAATCCAAGATCTAGCCAAAACAGCTTTCTGAATTCTGGCTTCATTACTTGGCTGGGCTCCAGGATATTTACTCAACTATCCTGGTTTTCCAACTAATTTGCTGTGTGGGATAACTTTAGGCAAGTCCTCTTCTCCCAGCCAGGTCTCAGATTCCTTGTCTGAAAAATGAATGCATCAGATCAGTTGATCATTGGCCTTACATGACAAAGCAATGAGAGAGTAGACTGAAAATGCTTTATACAATTGAGTTAGTTAATCTCTCCATGAGGAAATATTTATGTTAGTATTATTTGACCAACTTGAACAGAGAAAGAAACATCATATGGCTCCCCAGTTGTTTTACCTCTTAAATACATTTGTTTAGAAAGACAAACAAAATAAGAATTGTCAGGGAGAGACCATGGAGAGTACTTCTGCATGCTAACGCATAATGTTAATTAATTTTATGTGTCACCTTAGAGGGTGTTGTTGGATGAGACTAACACTTAAATTGATCAATTTTGAGTAAAGCAGATTACCTTTCAGAATGCTGGTGGGCCTCATCCAATCAGTAGATGGCCTGAATGGAAGAAAAACATCAGCCTCACAAGCTAGATAGAATTCTCCAGCAGACTGCCCTCCCAGTGAAAGTCTGGGAACCCTGATTTGTGGGAGGGAGAAAGGCCTGGTTAGTGGCCCCAGTGGCCACAAAGGGCATTCCATGCAGCCTATCAAGGGACCTCAGCTCTAGTTCAGAACCACCACTTCCTACCTGGGCAGGAGTCACATCAACAGACATTCTTGGCTTTCCTGACAAGTGAGCTATGAGGAAGTGTCAGAGAACTTGAGCACTGAATGGAAAGGATGGAGAAAGGATCATGCCCAATCATAAAGCTCCTGAAAGAAGAAACGACCTCCTAAGATAAGGCTTAGTGCCCACTCTTGCTGAGACTCAGAATAAAGATACAGTAGTATCATAGAAAATTCTGTAATATCACTTACTGAGTCCTGCTGATGTGCCAGGAGCTGTGCTAGGTACACTTTACATAAACTGACACACATGATCATCTCTGTGTGATCTGTGTGCTGTGTTTCAACTGTGCTGAAAGCTAGAAGCATCATTCTCATTCAACAGATGAGGAAACTAAGCTCAGTGTAAGAAAATAATTTCCCCTAAATCACCAAGCTCTAGGAAAAGATGTCCCAAGGAAAGAGTATGCCTGAAGACCAAGGGCCATCAAGGCAGAGACTAAGGACACCAGTGAACACCCACAACATGAGCTCGGGCAAAGAGGGAGGGTGGCAAGAGATTAGGAGATGTTCAGGCAGGCAGGCTTGGATGGGGGCCAGCATGTCTACCTGTCCCTCCAAAAAACTCGCTGCCGTTCATTATAAATCAGTGGTCACCAGCAACATGTCACCTCCTCCTAATTAAACCTTATCGTCAGCCAAGGAAGAAGTTATGGTTGGTTAGATAAAGCACTTGTGGGCCCAGCCAGCTAAGAGCAGAGCAGTTTACCAGTTACTGATGGGCTTTAATTTGATAACAATTACATCACTTTTCAGAGAGACTAGGGAGCCACTGATGCAACCTCACATTTCTTGAGGGAGCTCATTGGAGATGCTAAGTGAGGCATGTGATAGGAAATGGATTACAAGAAAGAAGAGTTACCTGAAATATTGACTGTCTTGAAAAACAGTGCAGGTCTGAGTATGAGGTGAGTGAGTTAGAAACTTCCAGCTCTGCCACCTTGAAGCCGTCCATTCTTGAGCAAGCAGCTTACTTTTCTGAGCTTCTGAAAACGGAGATGTTACCATAGGCCTGTGGTGACCACCAAATGAATGTGCAAATGTGAATGGGTTTTTATATATTAAAGTACAGGTCAGCAAACTTTTCCTGCAAAGGTCCAGATGTAAGCAATGTAGGCTTTGTGGGTTAAACAGTCCCTACTGCAACTACTCAACACTGCTGTTGTAGTGTCAAAGCAGCCATAAACAATATACGACACATGGTGCAGGACAGTTCTCCAGGTGGCCTTGAACCAACCCAGCTCTCTCCCCTTCTCACTGTTGTTCCCTGGAATAACTGTAAAATATGCTGAGAATGCAACATCCTGAGACAAGGAGAGACTGGCTGGAACAGGCTGGCTCAGTTCCAGTTTCCACCTGGAAACGGGATGTTCTTCAACACATTTGCCTAGTGTGTCCTTTCATACCCTGGGGAGGGTGTAACACCCAGGGTTGTCTGCTTTTCAGGGTCCCTCAGTAGCAATGCAAGTGGGGCACATGCAGATGAGACCTCATTTACCTGGCAGTTTTTCTGAGTTTGGGGGGAGAAGCTCACAATCAATCCTACACTTCTGTTATCCCTTGCTGTTTATCTGTAAATAATAAATTTGTTTCATGTAATTTGTTATGTTTAAGGATCTTCTGCCTTACCAGACTCAGACAAGTTGGTAACCAGTGCACAGTGAACCTGCTTCACAAATGAGTGTGGCTACGTTCCAATAAAACTTTATTTGTAGATGCCAAAATTTAAATTTTAGGTAATTTTTACACTTCATGAAACATTTTTCTTCTTTTGATCTTTTTTTGACTATTTAAAATACAAAAACATTCTTAGCTTTAGACCATACAAAAAGAAAGTGGGCCAGATTTGGCCACTGGGCCAATTTCTGCCCCAAAGTGGTATGTAAATGTGGAAAACACAATAGAGAAGGGAGTTGTGCAAAGAGATAAATAAGACTACATCTTTCTTATTGAAAAAGCCACTAGTTGCTAAGCATTGTGGTGCTAACATGAAGGAATGAGAAGTCTGGGAAAAGACAGGCCAGTGTAGTCTGCAGCTACTGAGGAAGGGATTCCCAGAAGGTGGGGAATTTGGTTTGAACTGGAAGGTGGAGTGAGATTTCAGTAGGTGAGGCCAAGGTAGAAGGATGGGGATTTAAGAAGGGAAGGGAGAGTGAGGGCACAGAGGAGATAATAGAAGACCTAATGAAAGACAGCCAGACAGAGGAATGAGGTAATCACAGGTGGTGCTGGGACTCCAGCTTGAGGCTCCTGGCTGCCATGCAAGTGTTCATTCCATGTTCCAGCTGCCTGATAAATTGTGTGGACGCATCAGAAAACTTAGAAGTGCCCTGCTCTAGGAGAACTTATCGTCATATTGGGAGATAGAAAGATATTCTGGAGAAAGATATTTTAAAATACCCTAATAATTGACATGAGAGAAACAGTAATGAAATAGTAGTGCTCTTACTGAGCACCTCCTTAATTGAATATTCAGTATTCTGCAGGTATTATCTCACTTGGGACTCAAAATAACCTCTTGAAGAAGGTCTGAGTATTCTCATTATTCCCATTTTATAAATGAGAAAATTGAGAAAAGAGGGGAGAATTTTCCATGAGGCTCAGTGACCAGACTTAACAATGATAAACATTCGCATGTTGTTTCCCAAAGACTCTCAGAGGGGATTGAGAGATCAAGTAATGATCTAAGTACTGTGGTCAGCTGGCCTCCAAGGTAGATGGAAGCCTGTCAGAGGTGGAGCAGCTGGAGTGGTCAGAAGGAGTGGCACAGTGGTGGTCCACATAAGTGACTCAACACCAGCCTGATTGTTTACAGTGGTTGCAGACTTCTTTCATCCATTGGCAAGCCTGGAGTGGCTCATGAGAATGAATACAGATGCCTTGCTGGGAATGGATATTCCAGAAGGAGTCCTAGTAGCAGCAGTATGGGGGTTAGAAATAATTAAATAACATTTTCAGCTCTCCTGAGAGCCATTGGCCTAGAACAAAGAGGCAACTGAGAAGAGGAAGCTGGGAGTTATTTGTGTGTTGTTAATGGGACTTTCATCAACAGACCCCCACCCTTTCACCAGCAGCAGCCGGTCCCTGCAATCTGCAGAGACTGTATTCTCACAAAGCACCCATTCAAGTAACATGAATGCTGGCACAATGCAGCAATCAGACAGGCCCTGGCTTCTCCATGGCGCTACACCTGCACCTGTTATCATGGCAGGAGCTTATTTATCAGCCCTTAGAAACTTACATAATGGAGAAGTTTATCTATCATCAGTTCTCTTTCAGGCCATGGGGATAGAGATATTTATAAGCCAATACTAAAGGCAAACCAGTCTCTTTCTAGAGAACCAGTAAGCCCATGTGAATCTGGGCAGCTACAGGTCTACCATCGATGTTAACATGACGGAGTTCCTTGGACTGTGAACCACCTCTAGCTCTGGGTGTGGGGATAAGGGTGGTATTAGTGGCTGTAGCTGGAATCAGGGGGATGGGAGCTGCAATAGCATCCACCCCACCACTGTTGGTGAGAATGCATGAGCTGGCTTGTCAGGTGCGGAAGGAGACTGAATGCTTTTTTGATTGCTATAATTGCAGCAAATTGGATGCTTGAGAGTGCCTCTTCAATGAGAAGAATCTCATGAATGAGACTTAGGGAAGAGGGCCCTCTTTGGATCCCTCTCCTTTGTCCCATATGTATGAAATAATTCCCCAGCCATTATGGACCGTGAATAAACTGCTAATTTTAGTTGTTCAAGCCGAACAAAGACCCTGGTTGGAAGATCCGGAAGGTGATTCATCCTATATGATGTTTGCATGGTGGAAGCTAAAGGTCTTGATAGGAGTCCCTGATTATTCCAAACTTTCCATACAAAGAGTTAGACAATTTTTTTTTTTTTTTTTTGAGAAGGAGTTTTGCTCTTGTTGCCTAGGCTGGAGTGCAATGGCATGATCTTGGCTCACTGCAACCTCTGACTCCTGGGTTCAAGTGGATTCTCCTGCCTCAGCCTCCCAAGTAGTTGGGATTATAGGCGTGTGCTACCACACCTGGCTAATTTTTGTATTTTTAGTAGAGACAGGGTTTCATCATGTTGGCCAGGCTGGTCTCAGAGAGTTAGATAACTTTTTAATTGGTCATCTCAACACCAGCAACCAAATGGACTCCAGTACCTTCTCTTCTATTTAAGGTTCTCTCTTGGCAATCCTGGGTGCTTTGAGTGTGGGCATTCTCCTCTAAGTTTTCTTAATTGGGAAGACTCAGAAAGGCAGCAGTGAAGCCAGAGTCAATGAAAGACCAAAAGTCAAAAGCCATAGAGACACAACATAAAACCAAGCCCTGTGGTCTTTGGCACCTCTGGGAAAAACAGACAAGAGTTGAAAGAACATCAGAACCTAAGTGGGAATAGAGGCTCTGGAAATAGATCAGCAAAGGCTTTGGGATGGATGAGACAATGAACAAGTTCTTGAGAGAAAAGTAGAAGACTTTAGGTAAAGTAAGAAGAACTGTTATTTTAGCAGAGGAAAAATATCCTCAGCATATTCAAAGGCACGTGTATTAATGCAGACGTTTTCTATAAGAGGTAATGGAAAAGTCCAACTTGAACTATTTCAAACACAGGATAACACAATGACTCAGTTAACTGGAAAGCCTAGAGTTCAAGCAGGCTTCCGAGATGGTTGATTCAATGGCCCAATGATGTTTCTTTCATTCTGCCATCCATAATGTTGACTCTAGGCTACAACTGGTTCCTTCTGTGTTTGTCAGCTGCGGATAGCACAATCAGTGTGATAATTCCTTTTCAGTATCTAGTGGAAGAGGAAATGCACTTCCTCCAACCATTGAGTAAATATCTGGCAACCTCCGACTCCTAGGTTCAAGCAATTCTCCTGCCTCAGCCTCCCGAGTAGATGGAATTACAGGTGTGCACCACCACACCCAGCTAATTTTTGTATTTTTAGTAGAGACAGGGTTTCACCATGTTGGCCAGGCTGGTCTCAAAGAGTTAGACAATTTTTTAAGTGATCATCTCAACACCAGCAACCAAATGGACTCTAGTACCTGGCTTAGGTCTGGGTAACTTGAAGCAACCACTGTGGCAAGGAGGTAATGCTTAGCCTGATTTACTCAGATGGATGTTGGAGAAAACAACAGTATCCATGTTATCACAGTAGCAAGAGGCTTCAAAGTAAATTGTCCCATATATCGTACTTCATTTCGGCGGAGTAGCAAGGGATAAGAGGGTAGAGAAATAGGATCTAGATTGATGACCTTTGAGTATTAGGCAAAAGCCACTTGACATGGTCTGATAACCTATCTTTTAACAAGCTCCACCCTAAAACACTACCATTGTCTCTCCCTTGAAGCATGTATCTCTTTGGCCTTTTATTGTACTTACCAATGCAGTTTTCTTCTCTGTAAGCAAAGAAGGGAGTCCTACCTGCCTGACGACAGACTAACTGGCACCTAGCAGTCCCTCAGTGAATGTATTATTGAAACAGACCCATCATCTCCTTGGGCTTTCCCTCTGTAGGTTTAAGAAACATTCAGAGGGACACCTTCTTAAGTTCTTTGTGGCAACCAGGAGGCTTGACTATCAGAAGCTGAGTAGCCTAAGCCTAGGTCTTTCTCTCTCTCTTCTCCCAAAAATTTGCTGTGTGACCTTGCCTAAGGTACTCACCAGCTCTGTTCAGTTTCCTGATGTGTATTAAGAGAAATTGACAATATGATGGTTTTTGTACTTTGTCAACTTAGCTAAGCTGGAACTGCAAATCTTAGAGTCCCCTTGGCTATACAATTTCAGGTTAAGGTTGGCCACAAGTTAATGTTCCAAGTCATGTGAGATTTGAAAGGGGAAAGTGAAGAAGGGCTATTTTATTTTCTTTATCCTCTAAAGGTTAATGAGGGCAGCTACAAGCTCTTGCACGTGGTCACTGATATGCTGGCTTACTTGGTTGGTTTAGAGCACAGTTGATGCTGCAGCTCCTTCAGCTCCTGCCAGATCCCCTCTTTCAACTTCTCTGAGTACTGGGACAAGAGCAGGTGTGACCCTATGGTGCAGGCTGCCAGCTTATCTTGTAGGCCAACAGCATCACCGAGATTGAAGAAGCAGCACATATTGTTCCAGCTAATTCTTGCAGATTCTAGTCTGTCCTCGTTATTCCTACTTGATGTCTATCTTTTCTTCTATGTTTCTAGCCCTGCTGACATTTGGGCCAGCATCAAAAGCAGAAACTGCCCCCTAAAGTAGCAACATAATGAGTTCCCACAATTATGTCTGGTCTAAGCCTTGTAATATATCCCATATTCTATACTACTCGAAGTGGTCCTGTTTTTCTGATTGAACCTGAAAGATACAAATAATTTATTGAATGTTCACTATGTGCCAGGCACTTTTCCAAAACTTTGACTATATGAATGCATTTAAACCTCATAAAATCTCTCATGAGATAGGTAACATTTTATATTGTTTCTGTTGTATAGATGAGAAAACTGATGCACGGGGTATTTAAGTAACTTACCCCAAATCATCCAGCTTGTAAGAGGCTGAGCCAGGGTTTGAACTCTGGCAGGCAGCTACAGCCTAGGCCTCTATCCACTTTCTCATTTGTAGAATGAAAGGCTATTCTACATACCTTTGAATTGTCTTCCAGTTTTTAAAACTCTATAAAATAGGTTCTGTAATTATTTTTTAACTCCTGAATAGTATACCTCAAAGTGTGATCTCATGATCATTTATACCAGAATTACCTGGAAAACTGGTTAAAACATAGATTCCCTAGGCCCTGTAGGTCTGGGGTGTGGCCCTGTATGTTTATAAATTTTCCAGGTTATTTTGATGCACACTGAAATTTGAGAACCTCTCACTGCCCTAAAAAAAATAGGAAAAAGGTGTGTGTGTGTGTGTGTGTGTGTGTGTGTGTGTGTGTGCGTGTGTGTAGGGGTGTGTGTGTGCACGTGTGCGTGCCTGTGTATTCGAAGAAAGTAAAGCTGGAATGAGTTCCTCCAGAGGTGTGTCCTCCTCTAGGCCTACATTTCAAGTGGAGGACTGTGCTGAAGCCTTAGGTATGGAGTCAAGAGGACAAATGCCATAGGGTTGGTATCAGAAAGCTCTAGCAGGATTTGCCTCTGCTTCTCCCAAAAGCACCCCTAGAAACAGTTTCAGAGTTCTTCAGTGAGACAAGTTGTCATCCACCTGCCGTGATGTGCCAGGAGGCAATGAGAGTGGCAGCAGCCACAGGGGCATCAGGGCCATTTGCATCCTACTCCCTGACCGGCCCTCTGTTAATGAGAAGTGTCGCTCTCTCCTCTCTTGGGGGGGGCCTATCAGTCTTTTATCTTCTCTTGGGAAGTCACAGCCATGCTGGCTAGGATGAGCGGAGGTTCACACTGGTGACCTTGGCTATTAACAGCCCCTGGGGTCTGGCTCCTGGAAGTGAAGCAACCCATAGGCTGTACAAATTGGAGTTGGAAGAAGACAAGGTGTGGTGATGAAAAGCCTCTTCAAGGCCGCTTGTGGTCATCATTAGCAGGCACGCAGGGCTGATCATAAGCCCTCTTCCATGCACTGATGCTGGCTTTGGGGCACCAGCAGTCTTGCTGAAAGCAAGGAAGCAGGCCCCCTCAGGTCTAAGATGGTCCCTTTTAGGCAGAGAACACTTAATAGCTTGCAACAGGTTTTCCTAGACCCTGTCTCATTTGAGCTTCTTCCCACAAATCTTGGGATAAATAATCTGAGGAACTTAGAAACTGACTGGGGAAAATATTAATAACTAATAATTTCTTCCTTACATATTTGGCCTAATTTTTCTCACAAAGTGTGTCATTTAAAAAAGGTATTTTAACTTTCCTAGATGTGATGGTATGAGGCAAGTATTAGGTGACAGCCAAGTACTAGGTACTATATTTGGATAATTACTTCTGTGATACAACTTAGTGCTGCTAAAATATCATCAGCCCCATTGGACAGGGGAGGAAACTGAGGCTCAGAGAAGTTACATAGTAACACATTAAGTTTTCTCAAAAATAATCTTATGGGAATTTGAGGAGGTATTGATGCAATTGCATGATGCAGGTGGAGGTGTAAGCTAAAGAAAAGAGCTGATTACTGCAAATGCACCTTTGTACCAACCTCCTGATAGGGAATTTCTCAAGGCCAGAAATTGGTCCTAACATTTCTCTCCTGAGTCAGTTACATTTTCAAGCCCAGCGCAAAAATAAGCCAATCTCATGCTACCTTGACTTTGAAATCAGGATAACCCTAGGAAGCAATTCTCCTTTTCTTGTGAAAGAACTTTCATGGTGCTTGCATTCCTGGCCAGCTTTCCTAAGAGGGTTTGGCCTGTGGCTTCTCTATCCCACATTGTTTTTGCTCGAGAATAAAGAAGAAAAAAATCTTCTCACTTCATTTCTTGACTCCTTTTAAGAAGAATCCCAGTAGAGGTCTCATCACAGGCTCAGATGCATATCCTATAAACATGAATTCTAGATGCTTATCTTCCTGTGTTGGGAGATATTTAGTAGAAATTTCAGTCAGGCTCTTACTTAGTGCAACAACTACCTCTAAGGTCAGGGAGATCACTACATAACCAACTACCCTCTCCCTTTGCTGAAACGTCTTAAATCCTGTAAAATCCCACCACCCTAAAACACTGAAAGATTGCATCGAAATATTAGAATAATAAGTTTAGAAGAGAGACTGTAAATAATTTGAGGGAAGGAATTATGTCCGGTTTGTTCACCTCTGATTTCCAGAGCTTTGACCTACAGCCCGGCACATGGTAGGTTCTTCCCACATAATTGTTGAGTAAATAAATACATGAATAAATGAATGAGTGAATGAATGAATAAATAAATAAATACATGGACAAATTTATTAGATTTCCTGACAACCCTTCCACCACTGGCTTGTCTCTTACCTGGTCCTCCTGCTTCCTGGATCTCCACTCTAAGCCATGCTAGGACATCTGCCCCAGATTGGTGGTCCCATCACACTACTTTTCATCAAGTGACAACTCTGCTAGAAGTATTCATGGGCTCCCTCTTGATGGAGTTGGGATGAAGAAAAGTTTAAGACTTAAATGGCTGGATCCGGACCCTTTGAATTCTGTTGCTAAATATTTCTAGGAACTCCCCCCAAAAATATATGCCAGATACCATGTAAATAATTCTTATGTTTCTCCCCATTCTACTGGTAAGTACACAGGTCAAGCAAGGTACCTTACTTCCTATTGTCAAACTCAAATCTAAATCCTACAGTTGTTTACCTTTCCAATGGTGAGAAAAGGCCAGCCCAGAACATGCTCAACATCAACAGCAACAAAAAAGGAATTTTCCTTGATGCAGGCTTATCTAGACCTCTGGAAATGCGGCCAATCAATACACTGGGCCTAACCAACCATGGAAAAAGGCTTCTTAATTTGTTGTTCAAGGCTCTGCACAGTCACACTCTGTCAGGGACTATAGCCAAACTAACACAGAGTTTCAAAGCAGCCTCCTTTCACTACCAATATGGGTCTTTCCCCATCCAGCCAGACCACTCTACTCAATATTTGCTAAGCATCCCAGCAAACTTCTCTCTATATATCTTGGCTCTTAAATCTCCCTGTATTGTCGTCCCCTCCTATGTCTCCACTGCCCACTGTTTTTCCAGGACCAGCTCAATATTCCCCTCCTCTCTGAATTCTCCTTCTCCCATGTAGAGGGTAAAATATAAAGGCAAAAACCTCTTGTGCTGTGTCTAACCCCACCACCCGATGCACAGAACAGGCATGCACCGAGTAGAGTAAAAAGAAGTACTGAGTTTGGAGACAAAAGTTCTGGGGTAGCTTTATACTTACTAAATGTAGAAATTTGGCCTACTCACCTAACCTACCCAAATTCCAATTTCTTTATCTTGAAAATTGGGATAATTTCTACCTCACAGAGTTGTATGACTTAAGTGATATCTAGTATTCACCCAACTGGGTTTTCTGGGTGCCAGGTGCACAGTGACTGATGTATAGTTGGTGTTTAATAAATATTACTGAATGTTATTAAATACCAACCTTATTTGTAGGACTTGTCCAGTTATGGAAGAGAATTATTAGATTGAACATGAAATCTGTCTTGTAGTTTGAATGTACCCTCCAAAATTCATGCTGAAATTTAACCACCAGTGTAACACTATTGGGAAATGGAATCTTTAAGAGGTGATTAGGTTATGAGCGTTCCACTCTCATAAATAGATTACTGCTGCCTTCTAAATGTTGGGTTAGATATTGAAGGAATGGCTTTGTTATAAAAGTGTGCTTTCTTTGTCTCTCATGCTTGCTTCTATTTTCCATCCTTCTGCCATGGGATGACCCTCACCAGATGCTGGTGCCATGCTTTTGGACTTCCCAACCTCCAGATCTGTGAGAAATACATTTATTTTCTTTATAAATTACCCACTTTGTGGTATTCTATCATAACAGCATAAAATGGATTCAGACAACCTACTTTCACAGTCTTCTCCTTCTTATCTTTTTTGACTGTGCTGGACACATAAACAAAAGGAAATAGAGCAGAATTGATGACTTAATATTCCATGTTCCATATTCCACCCATTATCTATATCCTAAATCTAACAATTTGAATTTCTGCTGGATGCACTACTGAAATATCTAGCATAAAAAGAATAGGTATGAGCATGAATATGTTTTCTCATCTTTTTTGCATCAATCGCATGGCATTTGTCAGGTAATATTGTATTCAGCCAGCCTCAATGTTTAGCTAGGACAGTAGAAAACTTGGGAAGTACATGGTAATTATATTTTTCTTTTTAATTTTTAGAGGTGAGGTCTCACTCTGTTGCTTAAGCTAGATTGCAGTTGTGGCAGCACAATCATAGTTCACTACAGCCTTGAACTCCTGGGTTCAAGGAGCGATCCTCCTGCCTCAGCCTCCCAAGTAGCTAGGACTACAGGTATGCATTACCACACCCCGCTAACTTTTATTTTTGTTTTTGTTTGTTTGGGTTTTTTTAGAGATAGGTCTCACTATGTCACCCAGGCTGGTCTCAATCTCCTGACCTCAAGTGATTCTCCTGCCTCAGCCTTCTGAATTGCTGGAATTACCAGTATAAACCACGGTGCCTGGTGGTAATTATCTTGAAATACACAAAAGCCTCTCATAAAAAGATGAATTAGACCTTATCTGTGTGTCCGCAGCAGAAAATTATTACAGGTGGGTGGAGATTATAAGAAGGTAGATTTCCTCTAAGACATAGTAAAAAGAGTCAGCACATCCCTTCAGATATGTGTGTGTCTGTGTATGCATATGTGTGGTTGGGGTTGGAAACCACTGAATCCAGTCTGCAGCATGAGACTTTTATGATTCCATCAGAGATCAAAGCTGAGTAGAAAAGAAGCCAGACACTTCTTACTCAATATTGGGAGCTTCACTAACTCCATTTTCAATTGACAAATTGACTGCATTCTTAATTGATAAAAACCCACTCTACCTGAACCGTCCTCAACACCCACTCCTAAACCTATTCACACATGTGCACACATGTACATGCACACACATACACACAAACTACACACACACACACACACACACACAACTGTTGTTTGTTCTTGGGAGCTGATCTTATTTTAATAGGTTCCTGGAAAGAGTAACTGACAGCCTCAGCTTTCACAAGATGCCATCAAATAAAAAACTCTAGAATGGGACACTGCTCACTTTGCCCCAGGAATTCTGTGCCTGCCTGTCTGAACTTTGGCCGATGACCAACATCAGTGAAGGCTTGGGGTGCTAAGATCACATGCTTCAATCTTAAACCCTTCTTATATCTGGAAAAGATAAAGAATCTGAGTAAGGGGAATCTCATCCTTTGTAAAGAGGTAAGGCTTCCTAGAAGGAAGTGGAGGGGGTGGAAATTTGGATAGAGGCCCTTGAACAATGAGGCCCTCGGTATGAAAGAGGCAGAAATTACTGAACCTGAGGACAGAAGAACCAGACTGAGATTTGGTAAAATGGCCACAGAGGACCCCCTCACAGGTCTTTAAGTGCCTTCATTTTTGAGATTCAAAGCAATGTTTACATTTGCTACAACCATGCTCTCTTCCTTTTTATGTAATAATTCTCTTTCAAGATAATTGAAACTCCTTAGAAAAGAAATTTGCACGACACCATATACCCAGAAAGAATGGTGTTAAGAAAATGAAGAAACAGAGTGAAAAAAGAGAAGGAGGAAGCCCTTGTGCTCCACCCGTACTTTCAATCTTCCATGTTTTCTAGCAGACAGGGCATTGGTAGAATGAAAAACATGACACACTCCATTAAGACATGGAGTCGATTTCCCCACCCTAAAGCTCGGCTGGCTTTGTGATTGGCTTTAACCAATAGAATGTGTCAGAAATAATGTGCTATTTTCAAGGTTAGGCCTTAAGAGGCCTTGTAAGCTCCATGTTTGCCACCTTGGAAAGCCACCCAGAGACCATGTCAGAATGCCAGTTGAGCCTAGGGAAGAACGAGCAGCCACTTGTGGGAGAACCAAGGAGTCCTAGTCACTGTCAGCACCAACTGCAATACCTGACACTCAGGCCATGTTGCCTCTTCTAGCCTAGCCAAGCTTTCCAACTGAATGCAGCCCTAGCAGGGATCCCAGGTGAAACCAGCAGAGCAGACTCCCCAGCCAACACTTCAGATCATAACAAATAATGGATCATTGTTTTAAGCCACTACATTTTGGGGAGGCTTATTAAGCAACAGCCCCTTTACTGGAGCATGAGCTCCAGATGATGCCCAGAGGATTTGCAGGGCAGCCATAGAAAAACCAGAGCAATAGGAGAACTCCCCAGTGCTAGGGAGAACTCCAGTGAGGGTAGAGCCATGGGCAAAGATAGGAGAAAGCTGTTTTCCTGTACAGATTGGAGAATGCCGGTCTCTGAAAAGAGAAGGGAGGTGACAGCAGATACTTAAGAACTAATAAAAAGAAGAGCTGTCTAAGAATGGAATCGACTGTTTCAGGAGGTGCTGTGTTCTCCAACATTAGGGGCAATCAAGCATAAGCAGGATGGCAACTGAAGGGCAGAATTTGAGCGCTATGTAGTTGGATCTCTGAGGTCGCTTTCAACCCCAGGCGTTTTATTAGGTTCTCCAAGACCTATTTGAGAAGATGGAAGTATATGCATGATTATGTCAATAAATCTGTCATGTTATCTTCAGAATAGGCCCTGGTTCATCAAAAGTAAAGCATACATAAGAGAGAAAATTCCTCTGTGCGCACAGTTTATTGACATTTATCTGACCAGGCTAGTCAGAGCACACAGACAGATACCCAAAACAGATGGCAACAGAGGACTGTGACAATGGATTACCAGAAACATATCTGACTTAAAAATGAGGCCTCTGGGAAGAGATTACATCTTTTTTTGAGACTTCTTTTGGGGCCAGGCCCTGTTGTTACCATTAAGTGAATGTGTAATATGATCATAATAATGACAACAGCAATAATAATGACGGTAATAGGTAGCAGTCTGACTCCCTGTTGCCCTCTTACTGCCTGCAACAGATCTGTCACTAAGATGAGCTGTCTCTCCACTCCCTTCAGAGGGGTTTGTAAAATGCCAAGGGATGTGTTTGCCTCTGTAGCAAAGTGCTGCTTCCTTCGAGAAGGTGGACCCTCTTGAAATTTCTTAATAAGAAAGGCTGCAGGATTGATGCATACTTATTACATTGCCTTTCAACAACATTCTTTTTGTGACATGCCCAGAATCAGATAAATAACCCAAGGAGGCAGCTGAGCTGTGATTAAGAAACCATCATCTAACGAATTTTTTACCTGGGAAGGACTATATGGGATCATTCAGGCTCAACCAGAGTTTAATGCTGTAATCTGCAATTGGAAAGACAAGAAGCTCGGAGCTGGAGTTTGGCAAGGAAAGGGGTTTGGTATTGTGCCAGGGCTGTTCTAATTAAGAGGTAAGCCTGAGGAGTCAGTCCATAAGGAGAGGCATATCAGAAATCAACCTAAGTGAGACATACCAGCCAGTGTGATGGCAATGATGATGAACTGGGTGCCTCAAAGACTCAGGATTTAGTTCTAGTTCTTTGGAAAACATACATTTCTGAGCTTCATTTTTACATTTGTAAGATTAGAAAAATAATCCTAATACTGTTTAATCTCATGGGGTAATGTTGTAAAGTCCACATAAAAACATTGGTAGAAAAGTACTTTGTCAACTAAAAAATATCGTAAGAGTTATAAGGCATAACTGTAAAGTCTTTTTATTACTGAAGTATAAAAATTGCTTACCTATAACTATATATAATAGAAGTCAGATATATATGTGTGTGTGTATATATATGTGTGTGTGTGTATATATGTGTGTGTGTGTATATATATATATGTGTGTGTGTGTGTGTGTGTGTGTGTGCATTTTCTCCCAGTTTAGTTTGACTATTCATTTTTCTTAATGGCTTTTTCTAAGAAAGTTGTGCTTACACTAGGATCACAAATATATTCTACTAAAAGTTTCATAGTTTTAGCTTTTATGTTTATAACCTATCTCAAGTTAGTACTATAGTATGATGTAAGCTATGGATTAAAGCTTATTTTATTATCTATAGGGAGCCAGTTTTTGCAGCACCACATGTTTAAAAGAATGTCTTTCTTCATTAGATTTCTTTGGCACTTTGGTAAAATATCAACTCACCATATACATGTGGGTCTATTTCTGTACTCTCTGTTCTATTCCATGAAACTATTTGTCTGTCTTTCCCTAATACCACACTGTTTTGATTATCATAGCTTTTAATAAGTTTTAAAATAAGGTAGTATCTGCCTTCCAAAGTTTATCTTCTCTTATAAAACTGTTTTGGTTATTTAAGGTTCTTTGCATTTCTGTATACATTTTAAATTCAGCTTATTAATTTATGCAAAAAAGCATTCTGGGATTTTGATTGGGATTAAATTGATTCTATAGATTAATTTGAGGAGAATTAATATTTTAACAACATTTAGCCTTTCAAATAATGAGCATGGTATACCATGCCATTCACTTAAGTCTTTTAAAATTTCTCTCAGGAATATTTTATAGTTTTCAGTATAGAGGTGTGCACATATTGCATTACATTTATCCCTAAGGATTTTATGCTTTGAAAATATTGTTGTAAATAAATTTTCTCTAATTTAAAATGCTTTAATTTTAAAATTTTATTTTAAATTGTTTTGTATGGAAACACAATTGGTTTTTCTATTGATCATGTATCCTGCAACCTTGCTAACTTTATTCATTAGCTTTTGTACTTTCAAAGGATTACTTAGGATTCTCTCCATTTGCCAATAAAGATAGTTTAACTCTTGTTTTTCTCTTTCTTTCTTTCCTTTCTTTCTTTCTTTTCTTTCTTTTCTCTTTCTTTCTTTCTTCTTTTTTTTTTTTTTGAGACAGGATCTCATTCTGTCACTCAGGCTAGAGTGCAATGGCATGATCTTGGCTCACTGTAGCTGGGATCACAGGTATGTGCCACCACACCCAGCTAATTTTTTTAATTTTATTTTTGTAGAGATAAGGTTTTGCCATGGTGCCCAGACTGGTCTTGAACTCCTGGACTCAAGCTATCCACCTGCCTTGGCCTCCCAAAGCTCTAGGATTACAGGCATGAGCCACTGCACCCTGCCAAGTCTTCTTTTTCAATCTGTATGCTTGGCATCTCTTTCTTTCTTTTTTTCTTTCTCTTTCTTCTCCCCTCTCCCGCTTCCTCCCTTTCCTATCCTCTTTCTCCTCCTTCTTCTTGTTTTAAGACACTGCTTAGGAACTCCAGTTCAACTCTGAATACAAGCAAAGTGGACATTTTGATTTTGTCCCCCAAAGCATGTGTTGGAAACTAAATCCCTAATGTAACAGGGTTAAGAGGTGGGACCTTTAAGAGGTGATTAGGCCATGAGGGTGGAGCCTTCATGAATGGACTAAGGCTGTTATCTTGGGAGTAGGTTTATTATAAAAGGTTGAATTTGGCCCTGTCTTTTTCTCCCTCTCTTGCCCTTCACCTTCTACCATGGGAAGATGCAGCACAAAGGCCCTTGCAAGATGTAGCTGCCCACCCCCCCAACCCCACCCCACTCCAGTCTTGGACTTCCCAGCCTTAAGAATTATGAAAAATAAATCTCTCTTCATCATGGACAAAGTACTGACTAAGATGATGAAGATAAGCCCCACTTGGTTTTGATATATTATTCTTTTTAAGATTTGTTAGATTTTATTTAATGATGTACTTTTAAGGAAATTCATGTCTACATTTATAAGAGATATTGGTTTGTGGTTTTCTTATAATGCGTCTGATTTTGGAAACAAGATTATCATAATATGTGTTGAGAAGTCCTGTCTCTTCTTTTTTCTGGAGAATCTGTTATAAAACAATCTCATTTCTTCTCTAAACATTTGATGAAATTGATGAGTAAAGTCACATAGACTTGAAATTTTCTTTTTGGAAATCTTTCTAGTAACTTTTGATTTCATTAACAGATATTGGGCTATTTAGATTTTTTCTTGTTTCTAATTAGTTTTGGTAATTTGTATCTCAAAAAATTTGCCAGTTTTGTCTAAATTACTTAATTTACTGTCATTAAAGTATTAAGATTTTTTAAATGTCTGTAGATAATAAAATAGTGTTCCAATGTTAGTAATTTGTGTTTTTTCTTTTCTTCTCTTTGTAATCAAGCAAGGCTATGTGCTTGAGGTATATTAATCTTATTAATCTTTTCATAGTAGTAGCTTTGCTTTTTATTAATTTTCTATATTATTTGTTCTTTTTCTATTTAGTTGATTTCTGTTTTTATCTTTTCTACGTCCTTCCTTCTGTTTATTATGGCTTCAATCTGCTCTTCTTTCTTCTAAGTTCTTAAGAAGTAAACATACATTGCTTTTAAACCTTCTCCCATAAGAACCATAAATTTCCCCATAAGAACTATTTTAACTACATCCCTGCAATTTTGATCTGTTGTATTTTCATTATTATTAAGTTCAAAATATTTGCTGACTTCCTTTATGTTTTCTTATTTGACATATTTTGTATTTAAACATATGTTGTTTAATTTCAAATTATTGAAGATTTTCCATACATATTTCTGTTGTGGTTTCCAATTTAATTCCATTATGGACAAAAATATACTCCACTCTAATTCCGGCAAGCACAGGAAACTGGTGGGTTCCTGGGAAGCTGTGAGACCCATGCAGACCTAACCCTGGGTATGGGCCACCCATAAGGGCGGGGGAGTACAGCCCGCTAAAACCTCCTCAGAATAAAGAAAAGGAAGGCACAGCACCAACTACTAAACGTGGCAACACCCAGCGCCCGGGAACAGGCATGGAGAGGGGGTCATCTCCCAACGCCCGGTACACTGTTATGGACACAGTAGTGGATCTTCCTTCTGGGGAGCAGTGTGTATACTCACAGAGTGTTCTTCGTTCTTTTCTTGGTTGCTCCACTCTGCTGAAGGTGATCTCAAGATGCTTGGGTTTACAGAGAGGGCAAGGGCCAACTTCCGCTGCCTACACACAGTGGCAGGCTTCTCACAATGGAAGACAGACAAATTGTGGAGTTGCCTGCCCTGGACCGGACTGGGGGAAGAGGCCCTGCCCCGAGCCCATTTTTGTGGTTGCCCTCAGAGGGGGTCTCATTACTTCTAGCTCAGGAAAAGGAGCTGGTGCACACATCCCCCACTCCCACTGCTTTCCCCAAGACCTCCGCACATCCCAACACTCTCTTCCCACCTCTGCCCCCTGCTTCCTCCATCAAGATAGTCGTTTCCACCAGACAGCAGCCTACCTGAGGGCCAGCGGGCTCTTACTCTTAAGCGCCTCCTACTGGTCTTCAGCCTGAACTGAACCACCAAAATTAAAAACCTGCTACCAGAAAGGCTTAGTACTAGTCAATGAGATAAACTTCCTGACGCCTCTGCAACCTCAGCCCCATAAGATGTAGTGTGTTGTTGACTCATACATTCAATACATCACTACAAAAAGCAGCATATGAGAAAAACACCACACAGAAGCTATCCACAACCAAGGAACCCATACAATGCCTCGGTCCCCTGAAAGCACCCAGAAACAACACCGAATGATTATACATCACATTCATACACTAAAGGGAAACAAATTAAAAATTAAAAAGTGTCATCCAAACTCAAAATTAAGAAGTTACAGATCCCTCAGAAGAGAAAGAATAAGTGCAAGAACTCCAGCTGTACCAAAAGCCAGTGTCTTGACACCTCCAAAGGATCACATCAGCTCTCTAACAATAGATCTTAACCAAACTGAAAAGTTTGAAATGACAGATAAAGAATTCAAAATATGGATTGCAAGGAAACCCAACGAAATCCAAGTTGAAACCCAATACAAAGAAACAAACAAACAAAAAAACTACTCAGGGTATGAAAGATGAGATAATTATATTAAGAAAAAAACCACGTAGAACTCCTGCAACTGAAAAATTCACTAAAGGGGCCAGGTGTGGTGGCTAATGCCTATAATCTCAACACTTTGGGAGGCCAAGGTGGGATGGTCGTTTGAGTACAAGAGCTTGAGACCAGCCTGGGCAATATAGTGAGACCTCATCTCTGCACTAAAAAGAAAATAAAAAAATTAAAAACGAAAAATATTAATATATAAAAAAAGAAAAATTCACAAAGGAATTTCAAAATATAGTTAGAAGCTTTAACAATAGAATAGAACAAGCAAAACAAAGAATTTCAGAGCTTCAGGGCAAATCTTCTCAATTAACCCAGCCAGACAAAAATAAAGAAAAAATAATTTTTTAAAAATCAACAAAGCCTTCAAGAAATATGTGATTATGTAAAGTGACCAAACCTATGACTTATTGGCATTCCTGAGAGAGGAGAAGAAAAAACAAGCAACTTGGAAAACATATTTTAGGTGATAATTCAGGAAAATGTCTCCATCTTACTAGAGAGGCTGGCATCCAGATACAAGAAATTCAGAGAAAACCTGAACGATACTATACAAGATGGCCATGCCCAAGGCATATCATCATTGAACTCTCCAAGGTGAATGCAAAAGAAAAAAGTCTTAAGGGCAGCTGAAGAAAAGAAGCAAATTAGGAATAAAGGAAATCCCTATCAGACTAACAGCAGACTTCTCAGCAGAAATCTTACAAGCCAGAAGAGATAAGGAGCCTGTTTTTAGCCTCCTTAAATAAAAAAATGCCAGCCAAGAATTTCATATTCTGCCAAACTAAGCTTCAAAACAAAGAAGAAATAAAGTATTTCCCAGTCAAGCAAACCCTAAGAAAATTCATCTACAAACCATTGCTCAAGGAAATAAGAGAGGACAAAAACAAATGGAAAAACATTCCATCCTCAGGGATAGGAAGAATCAATATTGCAAAAATGGCCACACTGACCAAAGTAATTTATAGATTCAATGCTATTCCCATCAAAATACGAAAGGCATTCTTCACAGAATTAGAAAAAACTACTTCAAAATTCATACGGAACCAAAAAAGAGCCTAGATAGCCAAGTGAATCCTAAGCAAAAAGAACAAAGCTGGAGGCAACATGCTACCTGACTTCAAACTATACCACAAGGCTATGGTAACCAAAACAGCATGGTACCAAAACAGACATACAGACCAATGGAAAAGAATAGAGACATCAGAAATAAGACCACACATCTACAACCATCTGATCTTTGACAAACCTGACACAAACAAGCAATGGGGAAAGGATTCCCTATTTAACAAATGGTGCTGGGAAAACTGGCTAACAATATGCAGAAAACTGAAACTGGACCCTTTCCTTACACCTTATGTTAATATTAACCCAAGATGGTTACCCTCAAAGGGAAGCCCATCAGACTAACAGCGGATCTCTCGGCAGAAACCCTACAAGCCAGAAGAGAGTGGGGGCCAATATTCAACATTCTTAAAGAAAAGAATTTTCAACCCAGAATTTCATATCCTGCCAAACTAAGCTTCATGAGTTAAGGAGAAATAAAATCCTTTACAGACAAGCAAATGCTGAGAGATTTTGTCACCACCAGGCCTGCCCTAAAAGAGCTCCTGAAGGAAGAGCTAAACATGGAAAGGAACAACCGGTACCAGCCACTGCAAAATCATGCCAAAATGTAAAGACCATCGAGACTAGGAAGAAACTGCATCAACTAACGAGCAAAATAACCAGCTAACATCATAATGACAGGATCAAATTCACACATAACAATATTAACTTTCAATGTAAATGGACTAAATGCTCCAATTAAAAGACACAGACTGGCAAATTGGATAAAGAGTCAAGACCCATCAGTGTGCTGTATTCAGGAAACCCATCTCACGTGCAGAGACACACATAGGCTCAAAATAAAAGGATGGAGGAAGATCTACCAAGCAAATGGAAAACAAAAAAAGGCAGGGGTTGCAATCCTAGTCTCTGATAAAACAGACTTTAAACCAACAAAGATCAAAAGAGACAAAGAAGGCCATTACATAATGGTAAAGGGATCAATTCAACAAGAAGAGCTAACTATCCTAAATATATATGCACCCAATACAGGAGCACCCAGATTCATAAAGCAAGTCCTGAGTGACCTACAAAGAGACTTAGACTCCCACACATTAATAATGGGAGACTTTAACACCCCACTGTCAACATTAGACAGATCAACGAGACAGAAAGTCAACAAGGATACCCAGGAATTGAACTCAGCTCTGCACCAAGAGGACCTAATAGACATCTACAGAACTCTCCACCCCAAATCAACAGAATATACATTTTTTTCAGCACCACACCACACCTATTCCAAAATTGACCACATACTTGGAAGTAAAGCTCTCCTCAGCAAATGTAAAAGAACAGAAATTATAACAAACTATCTCTCAGACCTCAGTGCAATCAAACTAGAACTCAGGATTAAGAATCTCACTCAAAGCCACTCAACTACATGGAAACTGAACAACCTGCTCCTGAATGACTACTGGGTACATAACGAAATGAAGGCAGAAATAAAGATGTTCTTTGAAACCAACGAGAACAAAGACACAACATACCAGAATCTCTGGGACGCATTCAAAGCAGTGTGTAGAGGGAAATTTATAGCACTAAATGCCAACAAGAGAAAGCAGGAAAGATCCAAAATTGACACCCTAACATCACAATTAAAAGAACTAGAAAAGCAAGAGCAAACACATTCAAAAGCTAGCAGAAGGCAAGAAATAACTAAAATCAGAGCAGAACTGAAGGAAATAGAGACACAAAAAACCCTTCAAAAAATCAATGAATCCAGGAGCTGGTTTTTTGAAAGGATCAACAAAATTGATAGACCGCTAGCAAGACTAATAAAGAAAAAAAGAGAGGAGAATCAAATAGACACAATAAAAAATGATAAAGGGGATATCACCACCAATCCCACAGAAATACAAACTACCATCAGAGAATACTACAAACACCTCTACGCAAATAAACTAGAAAATCTAGAAGAAATGGATACATTCCTGGACACATACACTCTCCCAAGACTAAACCAGGAAGAAGTTGAATCTCTGAATAGACCAACAACAGGAGCTGAAATTGTGGCAATAATCAATAGCTTACCAACCAAAAAGAGTCCAGGACCAGATGGATTCACAGCCAAATTCTACCAGAGGTACAAGGAGGAACTGGTACCATTCCTTCTGAAACTATTCCAATCAATAGAAAAAGAGGGAATCCTCCCTAACTCATTTTATGAGGCCAGCATCATTCTGATACCAAAGCCGGGTAGAGACACAACCAAAAAAGAGAATTTTAGACCAATATCCTTGATGAACATTGATGCAAAAATCCTCAATAAAATACTGGCAAACCGAATCCAGCAGCACATCAAAAAGCTTATCCACCATGATCAAGTGGGCTTCATCCCTGGGATGCAAGGCTGGTTCAATATATGCAAATCAATAAATGTAATCCAGCATATAAACAGAGCCAAAGACAAAAACCACATGTTTATCTCAATAGATGCAGAAAAGGCCTTTGACAAAATTCAACAACCCTTCATGCTAAAAACTCTCAATAAATTAGGTATTGATGGGACGTATTTCAAAATAATAAGAGCTATCTATGACAAACCCACAGCCAATATCATACTGAATGGGCAAAAACTGGAAGCATTCCCTTTGAAAACTGGCACAAGACAGGGATGCCCTCTCTCACCGCTCCTATTCAACATAGTGTTGGAAGTTCTGGCCAGGGCAATTAGGCAGGAGAAGGAAATAAAGGGTATTCAATTAGGAAAAGAGGAAGTCAAATTGTCCCTGTTTGCAGATGACATGACTGTATATCTAGAAAACCCCATTGTCTCAGCCCAAAATCTCCTTAAGCTGATAAGCAACTTCAGCAAAGTCTCAGGATACAAAATCAATGTGCAAAAATCACAAGCATTCCTATACGCCAACAACAGACAAACAGAGAGCCAAATCATGAGTGAACTCCCATTCACAATTGCTTCAAAGAGTATAAAATACCTAGGAATCCAACTTACAAGGGATGTGAAGGACCTCTTCAAGGAGAACTACAAACCACTGCTCAAGGAAATAAAAGAGGATACAAACAAATGGAAGAACATTCCATGCTCATGGGTAGGAAGAATCAATATCGTGAAAATGGCCATACTGCCCAAGGTAATTTACAGATTCAATGCCATCCCCATCAAGCTACCAATGACTTTCTTCACAGAATTGGAAAAAACTACTTTAAAGTTCATATGGAAGCAAAAAAGAGCCCGCATCGCCAAGTCAATCCTAAGCCAAAAGAACAAAGCTGGAGGCATCACACTACCTGACTTCAAACTATACTACAAGGCTACAGTAACCAAAACAGCATGGTACTGGTACCAAAACAGAGATATAGATCAATGGAACAGAACAGAGCCCTCAGAAATAATGCCGCATACCTACAACTATCTGATCTTTGACAAACCTGAGAAAAACAAGCAATGGGGAAAGGATTCCCTATTTAATAAATGGTGCTGGGAAAACTGGCTAGCCATATGTAGAAAGCTGAAACTGGATCCCTTCCTTACACCTTATACAAAAATCAATTCAAGATGGATTAAAGACTTAAACGTTAGACCTAAAACCATAAAAACCCTAGAAGAAAACCTAGGCATTACCATTCAGGACATAGGCATGGGCAAGGACTTCATGTCTAAAACACCAAAAGCAATGGCAACAAAAGCCAAAATTGACAAATGGGATCTAATTAAACTAAAGGGCTTCTGCACAGCAAAAGAAACTACCATCAGAGTGAACAGGCAACCTACAAAATGGGAGAAAATTTTCGCAAGCTACTCATCTGACAAAGGGCTAATATCCAGAATCTACAATGAACTCAAACAAATTTACAAGAAAAAAACAAACAACCCCATCAAAAAGTGGGCGAAGGACATGAACAGACACTTCTCAAAAGAAGACATTTATGCAGCCAAAGAACACAGGAAAAAATGCTCACCATCACTGGCCATCAGAGAAATGCAAATCAAAACCACAATGAGATACCATCTCACACCAGTTAGAATGGCAATCATTAAAAAGTCAGGAAACAACAGGTGCTGGAGAGGATGTGGAGAAATAGGAACACTTTTACACTGTTGGTGGGACTGTAAACTAGTTCAACCACTGTGGAAGTCAGTGTGGCGATTCCTCAGGGATCTAGAACTAGAAATACCATTTGACCCAGCCATCCCATTACTGGGTGTATACCCAAAGGACTATAAATCATGCTGCTATAAAGACACATGCACACGTATGTTTATTGCGGCATTATTCACAATAGCAAAGACTTGGAACCAACCCAAATGTCCAACAATGATAGACTGGATTAAGAAAATGTGGCACATATACACCATGGAATACTATGCAGCCATAAAAAATGATGAGTTCATGTCCTTTGTAGGGACATGGATGAAATTGGAAATCATCATTCTCAGTAAACTATCGGAAGAACAAAAAACCAAACACCGCATATTCTCACTCATAGGTGGGAATTGAACAATGAGATCACATGGACACAGGAAGGGGAACATCACACTCTGGGGACTGTTGTGGGGTGGCAGGGGGGGAGGGATAGCAGTGGGAGATATACGTAATGCTAGATGACAAGTTAGTGGGTGCAGCACACCAGCATGGCACATGTATATGTATGTAACTAACCTGCACAATGTGCACATGTACCCTAAAACTTAAAGTATAATAATAAATAAATAAATAAATAAAAAATTACCTAAAAAAAAAGTACCAATTCATCAAGAAAACATAAAACATGATCCTAAGTGTGTATGCACCTAAATACACGACTTCTAAATACACTAAACAAAAACCGAGAGAATTGAAAGAAGGAAAAAAATCCACAATTACAGTTGGAAATTTCAAAACTCCTCTCTCAGGAATAAATAGAACAAGAAGGCAACATCTAATAAGGAGATAGTCTTGAGCAACACTATCAATCAACTTGCCCAATGGACATTTATAGAAGACTTTACCCAACAACTGCAGTATACAGGTTTTCTTCAAGTACACATGAAACATTTGTCAAGAGAAGCCATATGGTAAGCCAAAATCTGAGTGTTCATAAATTTTTAAATATATACAGAATATAAACATCTATTATATATACAAATATATAATAGGTATATAACTATAATATATATATAGAATATAGACATATAATAGATTATATATGTATCTATTTTATATATATAATAGATTATCTATATCATAGATTCCGGGGGTAATGTGCAGATTCGTTACATGGGCATATTGCATAATGCTGGGTTTGGGCTTCTAGTGAACCTATCACTGAAATAGTGAACATAGTATCCAGTAAGTAGTTTTTCCAACTCTTGCTCCCTCACTCCCTCTCCCCTTTTGGAGTCTCCAGTTTCTATTGCTTCTATCTTTATTTTCATGAGAACCTATTCTTTAGTTCTCACTTGTAAGTAAGAATATGCAGTATTTGATTTTCTGTTTCTGCATTAATTCACTTAGGATTATTGTCTCCAGCTCCATTCATGTTGCTGCAAAGGATGTGATTTTATTCATTTTTATGGCTATGTAGTATTCTATGGTGTACACGTATCACATTTTCTTTATCCAATACACCATTGATGGACACATAAGTTGATTCCATGCCTTTGTTATTGTGAATAGTGCTGTGATAAATATACGAGTGCAAGTGCCTTTTTTTTTCCTTTTCAGGTCAGATGGATAATGTGCTGATGTCATAACAAGATTCAGAGGGTGGCACATCTCACACATGAGCATGAACACCCAATCATCATGTTCATGAACTGCAAAAGGATCTGCAGGTATCTTTTTGAAAGAATCATTTCTTTTCCTTTAGGTAGATACCCAATAATGGGAATTGCTGGGTCGTATAGTAGATTGATCTATTTTTAGTTCTTTGAGAAATCTTCATATTGTTTTCCATAGGGGTGGAACTAATTTACATTCCCACCAACAGTGTATAAGTGTTCCTTTTTCTCTGCATCCTTACTAACATCTGTTATTTTTTGACTTTTTAATAATAGCCCTTCTAACTGGTGTGAGATGGTATCTCCTTGTGGTTTTAATTTGCATTTCTCTGATGATCAGTGATGTTAACATTTTTTCCATATATTTGTTGGCTGCTTGTATGTTTTTTTAAGAAGTGTCTGTTCATGTCCTTTGCCCAATTTTAATGTTTATTTCTTGCTGACTTACTAAAATTTCTTATAGATTGTGGATATTAGACCTTCTTTGGATGCATAGTTTGCAAATATTTTCTCCCATGTTGTAGGTTGCCTGTTTACTCTGTTGGTTGTTTCTTTTGCTGGGCAGAAGCTCTTTAGTTTAATTAAATCCCATTTGTCTATTTTTGTTTTTGTTGCATTTGCTTTTAATGTCTTAGCCATAAATTCTTTGGCTAGGCCAATGTCCAGAAGAGTATTTCCTAGATTTTATTCTAGCATTTTTATAGGTTGAGGTCTTACATTTAAGTCTTTAATCCATCTTGAGTTAATTTTTGCATATGGTGAGAAGTAGGGGTACAGTTTTATTCTTCTAAATATGGCTAGGCAATTTTCCAAGAACCATTTACTGAATAGGGTGTTGATATAGCTTGATATTTGTCTTTGCCAAAATATCATGTTGAAATGTAATCCTAGCCAGGCATGGTGGCTCATGCCTGTAATCTCAGCACTTTGGGAGGCCAAGGCAGGTGGATCATCTGAGGTCAGGAGTTCTAGGCTTGGCAAACATATTGAAACTCTGCCTCTACTAAAAATACAAAAAAAATTATCCAGGTGGAGTGGTGTGTGCCTGTAGTCCCAGCTACTCAGGAGGCTGAGGCAGGAGAATTGCTTGAACCTGGGAGGCAGGGGTTGCAGTGAGTCAAGATCCTGCCATTGCACTCCAGCATGGGCGAAAGAGCGAGGCTCCATCTCAAAACAAACAAAAGAAAGAAACATAATCCCCAGGATTGGAATTGGGGCCTGGTGAGAGGTGTTTGGGTCATGGGGGCGGATCCCTCATGGCTTGCTGCTGTCCTTACTATAGTGAGTTCTCAAATGATCTGGTTGTTTAAAGTGTGTGGTACCTCTTCCCTTCTCTCTTGCTCCTACTCCTACCATATGAGATGCCTGCTCCCCCTTCACCTTCCACCATGATTGTAAGCTTCCTGAGGCCACTGCAGAAGCTGAGCAGATGCTGACACCATGCTTCCTGTACAGCTTGCAGAGCTATGAGCCAATTAAACCTTGTTTCCTTATAAATTACCCTGACTCAGGTATTTGTTTATGACAATGCAAGAACAGCCTAAGACAGATGTTCTTTCTCCATTGTTTATTTTTGCCAACTTTATTGCAGATCAGTTGATTGTAGGTGTATGGCTTTATTTCTGAGTTATCTATTCTGTTCTATTGGTCTATGTGTCTATTTTTGTACCAGTACCATGCTGTTTGGATTACTCTAGCCTTCTAATATAGTTTGAAGTCTGGTAATGTTATGCTTCTGGCTTTATTCTTTTTGCTTAGGATTGCTTTGGCTATTTGGGTTCTTTTTGGTTCCATACAAATTTTAGACCAGTTTTTTTCTAGTTCTGTGAAAAACAACATTGGCAATTTGATAGAAATTGCTTTAAATCTGTAATTTACTTTGGCAAGTATGGCATTTTAATGACATTGATTCTTCCACTCCATAAGCATGGAATGTTTTTCCATTTGTTTATGTTGTTTCTGATTTCTTTCAGCAGTGTTTTGTAGTTCTCCTTGTAGAGATCTTTTACCTCCTTGGTTAAATGTATTCCTAGGTATTTTGTGTGTGTGCGTGTGTGTGTGTGTGTGTGTGTGTGTGTATCTATTGTAAATGGGATTGATATCTTAATTTGTTTCTTAGTTTAAATGCTATTGGTGTATAGAAATGCTACTTGTTTTGTAGGTTGATTTTGTATCTTAAAACCACTGAATTCATTTATCAGGTCTAGGATTCTTTTGGAGAAAATTAGGGCTTTCTAGGTATAGGATCTTGTCATCAGCAAACAGAGAAGATTTGTCTTCCTCTTTTCATATTTTGTTGCCTTTTATTTTTTTCTTTTGTCTAATTGGTCTGGCTAGGACTTCTAGTACTATGTTGAATACGAGTTGTGAGAGTAGGTAACCTTATCTTGTTGTAATTCTTAGGGGGAATGCTTTTAACTTTCACCTGTTCAGTATGATGTTGGCTGTGGGTCTGTCATATATGGCTCTTATTATTTTGAGTTATGTTCCTTCAATGCCTAGTTTGCTGAGGATTTTTATCATGAAGGGATGTTGGATTTTATTGGATGCTTTTCTTTTTTCTGGGCCCGTTGAGATCATATAGTTTTTTATTTTAATTCTGTTTATGTGGTGAGTCACATTTATTGATTTGCATATGTTGAACCATTCTTGAGTCCCATGAATAAAAAACACTTGAGTGTGATAATTTATCTTTTTGATGTGCTATTGGATTCAGTTTGCTAGTATTGTTTTGAGCATTTGTATGCCTATGTTCATCAGGGATATGGGCCTGTAGTTTTCTTTTTTGGTTGTGTCTTTGCCAGATTTTGATATCAGGATAATATTGGTTTAATAAAATGAGTTAGGGAAGAATCCCTCCCCTTCAATTTTTTGGAGTAGTTTCAATAAGATTGGTACCAGCTGTTCTTTGAATGTCTGGTAGAATTTGGTGGTGTATCTATTTGGTCCAGGGTTTTTTTTTGATGGTAGACTTTTTATTGCTGATTTACTTTCATAACTTGATATTGGTCTGTTCAGGATTTCAATTTATTGGTGGTTCAATCTTGGGAGGTTGTGTCTTCGGGAATTTATTTCTATTTCCTCTAGGTTTTCTATTTTATGTGCATAGACATGTTGATAGTAGTCTTTGAGGGTTTTTGTATTTCTGTGTTATCAGTTGTAATGTCACCTTTGTCATTTCTGATTGTGCTTATTTGAATCTTCTCTTTTTCCTTCTTAGTTAATCTAGCTGGAAGTCTACTAATTTTGTTTATCCTTTCAAAGAACCAATTTTGAAAGGTTCTTTGATCATTTGTATGGTTTTTTCATTGATAATTTGTATGTTTTTTTTTTTGTTTTTGGTCTCAAATTCATTTAGTTCGGCTCTAATCTTTCTTGTGTCTTTTCTTCTGCTAGCTTTGAATTAGGTTTATTCTTGCTTTTCTATTTCCTTTAGGTGCAACATTAGGTTGTTAATTTGGGATTATTCTATCTTTTTAATGTAGGAATTTAGTGTTATAAACTTTCCTCTTACACTGCTTTTGCTGTATCCCAGAGGTTTTGGTATGTTGTGCCTGTCTTCTTGTTTGTTTCAATTTTTTAAATTTCTGCCTTAATTTCATTGTTTATTCAAAAGTCATTCAGGAGCAAGTTGTTTAGTTTCCATGTACTTGTGTCATTTTGAGAGTTTCTATTGGCACTGATTTCTAATTTTATTTCACTATGGTCCAAGAAAATGCTTGATATGATTTTCATATGTTTGAATTTATTGAGACTTGCCTTATGACCAAGAATGTGGTCAATTTCAGAAACTGTTCCATATGCAGATGAGAAAAATGCATATTCTGTGGTTGTTAGGTGAAATATTCTGTGTATGTTTATTAGGTCTATTTGATCAAGAGTCTGATTAAAGTCCAGGGTTTCTTTGTTAATTTTCTGCTTTGATGATCTGTCTAGTGCTGTTAGTGGAGTGCTGAAATCCCCTACTATTATTGTATAGCTGTGTATCTTTTTTTTTGGTAGGTCTAGTATCCTTTTTTTTTTTTTTTAAATGTTCCGGGATACATGTGCAGAACGTACGTACAGGTTTGTTACATAGGTAAATGTGTGCCATGGTGGTTTGCTGCACCTATCAACCTCGGTATTAAGCCTATTAAGCCTTGCATCCATTACCTATTTGCCCTGATGCTCTCCCTCCCCTCGCCCAGCCAACTGGCCCTGGTGCATGTTGTTTTCCTCCCTGTGGCCATGTGTTCTCATTGTTCAGCTCCCACTTATGAGTGAGAACATGCACCGTTTGGTTTTCTGTTCCTGTGTTAGTTTGTTGAAGATGATGGCTTCCAGTTTCATCCATGTCCCTGCAAAGAACATGATCTCATTCCTTTTTATGGCTGCATAGTATTCCACGGTATATATATACCACATTTTTTTAATCCAGTCTATGATTAATGGGCATTTGGGTTGATTCCATGTCTTTGCTCTTGTGAATAGTGCTGTGGTAATCATATGTATGCATGTATCTTTATAATAAAATGACTTATATTCCTTTGGGTATATACCCAGTAATGGGATTGCTGGGTCAAATGGTATTTCTGGTTAAAGATCCTTGAGGAATTACCACATTGTCTTCCACAATGGTTGAACTAATTTACATTCCCAAGAACAGTGTAAAAAGTTTCCTATTTCTCCACAGCCTCACCAGCATCTGTTGTTTCTCGACTTTTTAATAATCGCCCTTCTGACTGGCATGAGATGGTATCTCACTGTGGTTTTGATTTGCTTTTCTTTAATGATCAGTGATGTGCTTTTTTTCATATGTTTTTTGACCACATAAATGTCTTCTTTGGAGAAGTGACTGTTCATATCCTTTGCCCACTTTTTGATGGGGTTGTTTGTTTTTTTCTTGTAAATTTTTAAAGTTTCTTGTAAATTCTGGATATTACACTGTTGTCACAGAGATTGCAAAATTTTTTTCCCATTCTTTAGGTTGCCTGTTCTCTCTGATGATAGTTTCTTTTGCTGTGCAGAAGCTCTTTAGTTTAATTATATCCCGTTTGTCAATTTTAGCTTTTGTTGCAATTGTTTTTGGCGATTTCATTATAAAATTTTTGCCCATGCCTATGTCCTGAATGATATTGCCTAGGTTTTCTTCTATGGTTTTTATGGTTTTAGGTTTTACATTTAAGTTTTTAATCCATCTTGGGTTAATACTTTTTTTTTTTTTAAGTTTCTTTTTTTTTTTTTTTATACTTTAAGTTTTAGGGTGCATGTGCACATTGTGCAGGTTAGTTACATATGTATACATGTGCCATGCTGGTGCGCTGCACCCACTAACTCGTCATCTAGCATTAGGTATATCTCCCAATGCTACCCCTCCCCCTCCCCCCACCCCACCACAGTCCCCAGAGTGTGATATTCCCCTTCCTGTGACCATGTGATCTCATTGTTCAATTCCCACCTATGAGTGAGAATATGCGGTGTTTGGTTTTTTGTTCTTGAGATAGTTTACTGAGAATGATGGTTTCCAGTTTCATCCATGTCCCTACAAAGGACATGAACTCATCATTTTTTATGGCTGCATAGTATTCCATGGTGTATATGTGCCACATTTTCTTAATCCAGTCTATCATTGTTGGACATTTGGGTTGGTTCCAAGTCTTTGCTATTGTGAATAATGCCGCAATAAACATACGTGTGCATGTGTCTTTATAGCAGCATGATTTATAGTCATTTGGGTATATACCCAGTAATGGGATGGCTGGGTCAAATGGTATTTCTAGTTCTAGATCCCTGAGGAATCGCCACACTGACTTCCACAGTGGTTGAACTAGTTTACAGTCCCACCAACAGTGTAAAAGTGTTCCTATTTCTCCACATCCTCTCCAGCACCTGTTGTTTCCTGACTTTTTAATGATTGCCATTCTAACTGGTGTGAGATGGTATCTCATAGTTGTTTTGATTTGCATTTCTCTGATGGCCAGTGATGACGAGCATTTTTTCATGTATTTTTTGGCTGCATAAATGTCTTCTTTTGAGAAGTGTCTGTTCATGTCCTTCGCCCACTTTTTGATGGGGTTGTTTGTTTTTTTCTTGTAAATTTGTTTGAGTTCATTGTAGATTCTGGATATTAGCCCTTTGTCAGATGAGTAGCTTGCGAAAATTTTCTCCCATTTTGTAGGTTGCCTGTTCACTCTGATGGTAGTTTCTTTTGCTGTGCAGAAGCTCTTTAGTTTAATTAGATCCCATTTGTCAATTTTGTCTTCTGTTGCCATTGCTTTTGGTGTTTTGGACATGAAGTCCTTGCCCACGCCTATGTCCTGAATGGTAATGCCTAGGTTTTCTTCTAGGGTTTTTATGGTTTTAGGTCTAACGCTTAAATCTTTAATCCATCTTGAATTGATTTTTGTATAAGGTGTAAGGAAGGGATCCAGTTTCAGCTTTCTACATATGGCTAGCCAGTTTTCCCAGCACCATTTATTAAATAGGGAATCCTTTCCCCATTGCTTGTTTTTCTCAGGTTTGTCAAAGATCAGATAGTTGTAGGTATGCGGCATTATTTCTGAGGGCTCTGTTCTGTTCCATTGATCTATATCTCTGTTTTGATACCAGTACCATGCTGTTTTGGTTACTGTAGCCTTGTAGTATAGTTTGAGGTCAGGTAGTGTGATGCCTCCAGCTTTGTTCTTTTGGCTTAGGATTGACTTGGCGATGCGGGCTCTTTTTTGCTTCCATATGAACTTTAAAGTAGTTTTTTCCAATTCTGTGAAGAAAGTCATTGGTAGCTTGATGGGGATGGCATTGAATCTGTAAATTACCTTGGGCAGTATGGCCATTTTCATGATATTGATTCTTCCTACCCATGAGCATGGAATGTTCTTCCATTTGTTTGTATCCTCTTTTATTTCCTTGAGCAGTGGTTTGTAGTTCTCCTTGAAGAGGTCCTTCACATCCCTTGTAAGTTGGATTCCTAGGTATTTTATTCTCTTTGAAGCAATTGTGAATGGGAGTTCACTCATGATTTGGCTCTCTGTTTGTCTGTTGTTGGTGTATAAGAATGCTTGTGATTTTTGTACATTGATTTTGTATCCTGAGACTTTGCTGAAGTTGCTTATCAGCTTAAGGAGATTTTGGGCTGAGACGATGGGGTTTTCTAGATAAACAATCATGTCGTCTGCAAACAGGGACAATTTGACTTCCTCTTTTCCTAATTGAATACCCTTTATTTCCTTCTCCTGCCTAATTGCCCTGGCCAGAACTTCCAACACTATGTTGAATAGGAGCGGTGAGAGAGGGCATCCCTGTCTTGTGCCAGTTTTCAAAGGGAATGCTTCCAGTTTTTGCCCATTCAGTATGATATTGGCTGTGGGTTTGTCATAGATAGCTCTTATTATTTTGAAATACGTCCCATCAATACCTAATTTATTGAGAGTTTTTAGCATGAAGGGTTGTTGAATTTTGTCAAAGGCTTTTTCTGCATCTATTGAGATAATCATGTGGTTTTTGTCTTTGGCTCTGTTTATATGCTGGATTACATTTATTGATTTGCGTATATTGAACCAGCCTTGCATCCCAGGGATGAAGCCCACTTGATCATGGTGGATAAGCTTTTTGATGTGCTGCTGGATTCGGTTTGCCAGTATTTTATTGAGGATTTTTGCATCAATGTTCATCAAGGATATTGGTCTAAAATTCTCTTTTTTGGTTGTGTCTCTACCCGGCTTTGGTATCAGAATGATGCTGGCCTCATAAAATGAGTTAGGGAGGATTCCCTCTTTTTCTATTGATTGGAATAGTTTCAGAAGGAATGGTACCAGTTCCTCCTTGTACCTCTGGTAGAATTCGGCTGTGAATCCATCTGGTCCTGGACTCTTTTTGGTTGGTAAGCTATTGATTATTGCCACAATTTCAGCTCCTGTTATTGGTCTATTCAGAGATTCAACTTCTTCCTGGTTTAGTCTTGGGAGAGTGTATGTGTCCAGGAATGTATCCATTTCTTCTAGATTTTCTAGTTTATTTGCGTAGAGGTGTTTGTAGTATTCTCTGATGGTAGTTTGTATTTCTGTGGGATTGGTGGTGATATCCCCTTTATCATTTTTTATTGTGTCTATTTGATTCTCCTCTCTTTTTTTCTTTATTAGTCTTGCTAGCGGTCTATCAATTTTGTTGATCCTTTCAAAAAACCAGCTCCTGGATTCATTGATTTTTTGAAGGGTTTTTTGTGTCTCTATTTCCTTCAGTTCTGCTCTGATTTTAGTTATTTCTTGCCTTCTGCTAGCTTTTGAATGTGTTTGCTCTTGCTTTTCTAGTTCTTTTAATTGTGATGTTAGGGTGTCAATTTTGGATCTTTCCTGCTTTCTCTTGTGGGCATTTAGTGCTATAAATTTCCCTCTACACACTGCTTTGAATGCGTCCCAGAGATTCTGGTATGTTGTGTCTTTGTTCTCGTTGGTTTCAAAGAACATCTTTATTTCTGCCTTCATTTCGTTATGTACCCAGTAGTCATTCAGGAGCAGGTTGTTCAGTTTCCATGTAGTTGAGCGGCTTTGAGTGAGATTCTTAATCCTGAGTTCTAGTTTGATTGCACTGAGGTCTGAGAGATAGTTTGTTATAATTTCTGTTCTTTTACATTTGCTGAGGAGAGCTTTACTTCCAAGTATGTGGTCAATTTTGGAATAGGTGTGGTGTGGTGCTGAAAAAAATGTATATTCTGTTGATTTGGGGTGGAGAGTTCTGTAGATGTCTATTAGGTCCTCTTGGTGCAGAGCTGAGTTCAATTCCTGGGTATCCTTGTTGACTTTCTGTCTCGTTGATCTGTCTAATGTTGACAGTGGGGTGTTAAAGTCTCCCATTATTAATGTGTGGGAGTCTAAGTCTCTTTGTAGGTCACTCAGGACTTGCTTTATGAATCTGGGTGCTCCTGTATTGGGTGCATATATATTTAGGATAGTTAGCTCTTCTTGTTGAATTGATCCCTTTACCATTATGTAATGGCCTTCTTTGTCTCTTTTGATCTTTGTTGGTTTAAAGTCTGTTTTATCAGAGACTAGGATTGCAACCCCTGCCTTTTTTTGTTTTCCATTTGCTTGGTAGATCTTCCTCCATCCTTTTATTTTGAGCCTATGTGTGTCTCTGCACGTGAGATGGGTTTCCTGAATACAGCACACTGATGGGTCTTGACTCTTTATCCAATTTGCCAGTCTGTGTCTTTTAATTGGAGCATTTAGTCCATTTACATTGAAAGTTAATATTGTTATGTGTGAATTTGATCCTGTCATTATGATGTTAGCTGGTTATTTTGCTCGTTAGTTGATGCAGTTTCTTCCTAGTCTCGATGGTCTTTACATTTTGGCATGATTTTGCAGTGGCTGGTACCGGTTGTTCCTTTCCATGTTTAGCTCTTCCTTCAGGAGCTCTTTTAGGGCAGGCCTGGTGGTGACAAAATCTCTCAGCATTTGCTTGTCTGTAAAGGATTTTATTTCTCCTTAACTCATGAAGCTTAGTTTGGCAGGATATGAAATTCTGGGTTGAAAATTCTTTTCTTTAAGAATGTTGAATATTGGCCCCCACTCTCTTCTGGCTTGTAGGGTTTCTGCCGAGAGATCCGCTGTTAGTCTGATGGGCTTCCCTTTGAGGGTAACCCGACCTTTCTCTCTGGCTGCCCTTAACATTTTTTCCTTCATTTCAACTTTGGTGAATCTGACAATTATGTGTCTTGGAGTTGCTCTTCTCGAGGAGTATCTCTGTGGCATTCTCTGTATTTCCTGAATCTGAATGTTGGCCTTCCTTGCTAGATTGGGGAAATTCTCCTGGATAATATCCTGCAGAGTGTTTTCCAACTTGGTTCCATTCTCCCCATCACTTTCAGGTACACCAATCAGACATAGATTTGGTCTTTTCACATAGTCCCATATTTCTTGGAGGCTTTGCTCGTTTCTTTTTATTCTTTTTTCTCTAAACTTTCCTTCTCACTTCATTTCATTCATTTCATCTTCCATCGCTGATACCCTTTCTTCCAGTTGATCGCATCGGCTCCTGAGGCTTCTGCATTCTTCACGTAGTTCTCGAGCCTTGGTTTTCAGCTCCATCAGCTCCTTTAAGCACTTCTCTGTTTTGATTATTCTAGTTATACATTCTTCTAAATTTTTTTCAAAGTTTTCAACTTCTTTGCCTTTGGTTTGAATGTCTTCCCGTAGCTCAGAGTAATTTGATCGTCTGAAGCCTTCTTCTCTCAGCTCGTCAAAGTCATTCTCCGTCCAGCTTTGTTCCGTTGCTGGTGAGGAGCTGCGTTCCTTTGGAGGAGGAGAGGCACTCTGCTTTTTAGAGTTTCCAGTTTTTCTGTTCTGTTTTTTCCCCATCTTTGTGGTTTTATCTACTTTTGGTCTTTGATGATGGTGATGTACAGATGGGTTTTTGGTGTGGATGTCCTTTCTGTTTGTTAGTTTTCCTTCTAACAGACAGGACCCTCAGCTGCAGGTCTGTTGGAGTGCCCTGCAGTGTGAGGTGTCAGTGTGCCCCTGCTGGAGGGTGCCTCCCAGTTAGGCTGCTCAGTGGTCAGGGGTCAGGGACCCACTTGAGGAGGCAGTCTGTCCGTTCTCAGATCTCCAGCTGCGAACTGGGAGAACCACTGCTCTCTTCAAAGCTGTCAGACAGGGACATTTAAGTCTGCAGAGGTTACTGCTGTCTTTTTGTTTGTCTGTGCCCTGCCCCCAGAGGTGGAGCCTACAGAGGCAGGCAGGCCTCCTTGAGCTGTGGTGGGCTCCACCCAGTTCGAGCTTCCCGCTGCTTTGTTTACCTAAGCAAGCCTCAGCAATGGCGGGCGCCCCTCCCCCAGCCTCGCTGCCGCCTTGCAGTTTGATCTCAGACTGCTGTGCTAGCAATCAGCGAGACTCCGTGGGCGTAGGACCCTCCGAGCCAGGTGTGGGATATAGTCTCGTGGTGCGCCGTTTCTTAAGCCGGTCTGAAAAGCGCAATATTCGGGTGGGAGTGACCCGATTTTCCAGGTGCCGTCCGTCACCCCTTTCTTTGATTAGGAAAGGGAACTCCCTGACCCCTTGTGCTTCCCGTGTGAGGCAATGCCTCGCCCTGCTTCGGCTCGCGCACGGTGCGCGCACCCACTGACCTGCGCCCACTCTCTGGCACTCCCCAGTGAGATGAACCCGGTACCTCAGATGGAAATGCAGAAATCACCCGTCTTCTGCGTCGCTCAGGCTGGGAGCTGCAGACCGGAGCTGTTCCTATTCGGCCATCTTGGCTCCTCCCCAAATTGGTACTTATTAATCATTGTGAAATTTCCCTCCTTATCTCTGGTGATACTGAAATGTTCTGTATGTACTTTGTTTTATATTAACAGAACCTCTCCAGTTTTCTTATGATTAATATTTCCTTGTTTGTCTTTTTCTATCTTTTAACTTTAACTTATATATTTTATATATTTATATATTATATAATTTATATATTTTATATATTTATATTTAACATATGTCTTTTATATTTAATATGTGTCTTTTGTAAACAGCATATAGTTAGCTATTTCCTTTTTTTTGTAGAGTCAGGGTCTTGCTTTCTTTCTCAGGCTGGTCTCAAAATCCTGGCCTCATGTGATCCTTCTGCCTCAGTCTCCCAAAGTACTGCAATGGCAGATATGAGTCACCCTGCATGGCTGGTGTTTCCTTTTTAATCAAATCTTAAAATCTTTTTTTGACTGGATTTTTTGGTCTATTTATATTTAATGTAATTATTATGTGGAGTATTACTGTGCCAATTTGATATTCACTTTCTAATTTTTGGCTCTGTTCTTCATGATTTTCTCCCTACTTTTCTGCCTGTTTTTGAACCAACTAAATACTTTCTATTATTTTATTTTATCTTTCCTTTTGGTTTATTAGCCATCCCTCTGCTTTATTTCTCAGAGGTAATTTTAGGGTTCATAATACACATCTTTAGCTTATCACTGTCAACCTTCAAATAATATATATTACTTCATATATAAATACTCTTTAACACTCTATCTCCATTTCAGCCCTATCTTTTGTGCTGTTGTTATGTGTTTTACTTGTTCATGTGCTGTGAACCCTATAATACATTATTTTTTCTTTTTAAATAGTTGTCTTTTAAAAACTTTAAGAGTTGAGAAAAAATTTAAATACATACATGTATTTACCATTTCTGGCTCTCTCAGTTTTGTTTTTTGTTTTTTGTGTTTTTTTTTTTTGAGACAGAGTCTTGCTCTGTCGCCCAGGCTGGAGTGCAGTGGCTCAACTCACTACAGCCTCCACTTTGTGGGCTCTAGCAATTCTCCTGCCTCAGCTCCCCAGGTAGCTGGGATTACAGGCACATGCCACCACGCCCAGCTATTTTTTGTATTTTTAGTAGCGATGGGGTTTCACCATGTTGGCCAGGCTGGTCTCGAACTCCTGACTTCAAATGATCTGCCCGTCTCAGCCTCCCAAAGTGCTAGGATTACAGGCATGAGCCACTGCGCCTGGCTCCATTTCTGGCTCTTTTTATTCTTTTATGTAGCTCTCAGCCCAAAGGAAGATGTGCTAGCCGCAAAGTCTCTCAGCTTTTCGTCTATCTGAAAATACTGTATTTTGCCTTCATTTTTACAACATTTTCTTTGGATGTGATTTCTAAGTTGACAGGTTTTCTTGCCACCACATCAGATGTTCCAATTTTCTCTGATTTGAGTAGTTTCTGATAAGAAATCAGTGATAATAGATAATTGAGAACAACTCATAATCAGTTGTTCTCATGTTTGTTTTTGATATGTCTTTTCTTATTCCCTCTGGCTGCTTTTAACATTTTTTTATTATTAATTTTACATATTACTGGTTTACATCAATTGGATTATAACATACTATGGACTAGTTTTCTTTGTGTCTATCTTGCTTGAAGTACACTGAATTTCTTGTAGCCATGGATTTATATTGTTCATGTTATTTAAAAGGTTTCAACCATTATTTCTGTAAATATTTTTCCCCACTTCAACTTCTCTTTTGTCTCCTCCTGGTATTCCAGTTACACACTTACTAGACTCCTTTATATTGTCCCAGAGCTCACAGAGATGCTATTCACTTCCCTCAGCATTTTATTTTTTGTGACATCCTCCCATTTATATAATTTATATTCTTCTATCTTAACCTCTCTTATGGACTGTCTAATCTGCTATTAACCTCTCTTATCGACTGTCTAATCTGCTATTAAACTCATCTCATAATTTTTTCCTTTTAAATATTACATCTTTCAATTCTAGAATTTCCATTTTATTATGCTACATTTCCCTTTATTCAGATTCCCTATTTGTTCTCTCACTATGCTTATGCTATCCTTTAAATTCTTGAATATAATTATAACAGTTGTTTTCAAATTCTTATTTACTAATTTTATCACCTTTCCCATTTCTTTATTTCTATTTTTCTGACTTTTCTATAGTTATGGATCACATATTTATGTTCATTTACATATGTAGTAAATTTGATTGTACAGTTGATATTGTAAAAATTACATTTTTGGAGAATTTTCTCTTCTTTCATAATAGAATTTTGTGTTTTGTTCCATTCGGCATTGAATTTGCTCAAGGATTAACATGTTCCTTTTGAGATTTATTCATAAACTTTTAAAGACTAGAATTATGTCTACCTTAGGGTTCTACTAATTCTATTCCTAAAGTATTGCTTTTCTATAAGTTTTATTGCATATCTGGGATGTTTAGCAAAATGTCTCCACTCTGGCAGATCAGAATGCAATCATCTTCTAGCCCTGTGCAAACTCTGGGGTTTGTTTAGCTCACAGTTCCCCAGTATTTTTTCCCTCTGGTAAATGCTTCTAGCATAGCTTTATGAAATTTTTCTGTGTATATACACAGGCTAATACTCAGCCAAAGACTCAAGGGGCTCCCTATGCAGATTTCTGGAGTTCCTTCTCTACTCAGCTTCCTTTTCCCTCTTATCCTGTTTCCAGAAACTCCAACTGTTTCAGTAGTCTTAAATTCTGGCCTTTATCTTTTTTAGCTCAGTGAGGCAACTGTGATGTTTTGGCTTTTTTTTCACTGCCCTACAGTCCAAAAGTGCCTTCAGGCAGAAAGCCACGGTTATTGTGGGGATTATCTTGTTTGTTTCCCAGCTCTCAGAGAGCACAGTCTTCCACTACCTTTGGTTCAACATCAGAAAACAGTTATATTATTTATCCAGGCTTATGATTGTTTACTACAAGAAGGCTAGTGCACTTCATCATGGCAAGAAACTAAAGTTCTAACAAATATTTAATGTATGACTACTTGGTACAAGTGCTGTGTTCATCTTTGAGCTTTGCAGACAAATGGTACCTCTCAGGCCTCACGTAGTACAGTACCTTGTGGGAAAGACACCCAGATAATTAAATTCAATGATTTCAGAGAAGTTTTAATAGAGGAATGTATTCAGTGACATAGAGATTGAGAGGAGAGACATTTAACTGTCTGAAGAAGTCAGCACAGGATTCCTAGAGGAAATGGAATTTTGCAGGGAATTTTTATTTTGCCAGTTGGAAAATAGAAAGATACCTTAAGCACGTGCACAAAAGAATGAAAGTGACTATGTGTCTCTGGAGGAAGGGGATATAGTAAGATGCACTAGGTCACTATTGTATAGATTACATAAGGGTGGAGAAAAACTGTTAAACCTGAAAAATAAGGTCCAGACCATGCAAGTCCATTAATGTCACGTTATATAGACAATTTTAGCCTGTATGGGAACATAACAGCATAATGATTAAAAGCAAGGTTTCTGTGAGTTCCAGTCCATGACGTTATAGCTGGGACTTTGGGTACATTTATAATAAACTTCATGGACCCTTTTGATTTGTTTTTTTTTAATAGGATAATATTAGGACCTGTCTTCTTATCCTATTGATGGTTACTTTAGCTAACGTCTGTTAAGCACTTAGCCCAGTGTCTGGCATTTAAGTACTCAAAATTGGTAGCTGCATATGTCATTGTTACTATTTGTGCCAAAAAATGTAGCCAGAGTTGGTTTGTGAGATGCTTTGTTTTGTGACTAGGTATGTATTTTCATTCAACCTTGTTGTCTGAATGAGGGATAAATCGCATGTAGGAGAATGATTTAAAGAAGGCTAGAAAAGGCAGAATATGGAATGTGCTGGAAGGTATGCTCAGTAGAGATCAAGAAGGTCGATCTTCTGTGTGTGGAAATGGCATGGTAAGGGTGGAAAGCAGTGCCTATTTGCCTTGACCCTTTTGAGGTGTGTTTTACCTGCATTTGCTCTACAGCAGAGATGCCCAATGATGGGAGGTGATACTGAGACACTGAAATCTCATTGCCAGGTGTGATAAGCTCATATATTCATTTAAGAATGTTACAAAAATGGTGATAGCATTTTTTCTATTTGTGGAAGATTGTACTTTTTTAAATGGCCATAATACTATCTCTAATCCCAGATATTTGTCTTATAATGTAATGTTGACCTGAAGCAAGTAAGTCTGGGTGGGTTTGCTATGGGAGCAGGAGTGAGTTCTGTGACTTGAGCTGAGGACACCTGAGTCCAAGTGACCTTAGTCTGAATCATAAAAGATGATACAGGTGACATCAGGTTTTCTTGAGATACTTGCTCTTGAAACCCAACTACCTTGACATGAGAAAGCAAAGAGACTATAGAAAGAGGCTATGTATAGGTTTTGTGAGTGACAGTCACAGCTGTGGTCCCACAATCAGTATCAACAATAACTAGAACACCATTTTATATTTTTTCTCTTTAATAATTACTAAGCATACCACCACCAGTACTTAAAATCCTCAGTTATTAAAAAGGGACCCTAAACTCACAAAAATGTAAAGACTGACCGAGCTAGAAATTTTAACTGAAAAAGTGTAGCAGAGGTCGTTGTACCAAGGATATTGTTTAGTTTATTCTCATTAAACACTATTTGCTGCCTATAAGAAACTGAAAAGAGTTTGCTGAAACTGGATTCTATCTCCCATAGCGATTATTTTGACAATGTATTTGCCTTTTACCCATGATAATGCATTTATTTTCTACTGAGGCATCATTTGTTTTTAAAAACAAGAAAATTATGCCTCTCTTGATGTAGACAAAGCCAGGTGAGTTTAAGTAATTGGGGGAAAAGGCGTCACTTAAAATTATTTCTGCCAATTTGTCTCTTTTTCTTTCGCCTCCACACTTCCTCCACATGGCTCCTGGCACACACTCTCAAATGTGGTCATAGCAGTTGTCAATAACAACCAAACATTAGGCTTTGTGTGGAGAAAAAGACTGAAAAAAAAATTGGAGCTGGAAACACCTCTAGTGGTTTGTTCCATTCTCCTTGAGGTTGATTCATGCGAAGACAGCTCTGCTGTTCATGGTTTGGGATAACATCAGATCTCCAAACAGCCTGAAAAATGTTATTAAGGCCTTACACATAGGAAAGGACTGTGCAAGCTATTGAGGCACCAAAGACAGATGTAGCGAACATTAAAAAAATAATAATAATAAACACCAGGACACACTGATCCAATGGATGGACTGAGAGTGGGGCAAATCATTTTAATCTAAGACTTGTGGTCTGTTGCTCTAACAGAAAAGAGTGGAGAAAGTGTTCTAACAGCAGCTTGATTATCCTGATCCATTTAGAGTCTATCCCACCCCCATTCCAACAAACAGCATATCTCCATCAAACTGGCCAGATTCAACTTTTTTTTTCATTTCTACCTACATGCCGATACCGCTTCCTGTGACATACAGCGTTTTTTTTAATCCATTAGTTCTTTTTCTTATATCAACTGAATTCTTATATTTAAATATCACTTTATTCAATTTGTATTCATATCTCAGAAATTCTTATGTAGCTCTTCATCTACATCCTTCTATAATTGACCACTACACAAAGACCTAGAAATTGTTCCTCCAAAAGGGAGATAAGATGTTTAATAAGTGCTTATTGATGATTAATCACTGAAATGGAAGTAGTGGTCTGCTGTTATGTTTTAAAACAACTGATAAGAATAAATGGCTTAATACAGAGCTAATTTTGTAGGGAGCCTAAAAATATAATTAAACTGAGAAATTTGTCCCAGAAAAGGGCACAGGAGCACAGGGTATATAATTCTAATTATAATTTCAGGAAGTTCATGGACTTCAGGTCAAGAACCCCTGTCTATGGCAATTCTGTGTGGAGCATGAGCTAACTTGTTAGTATTCAGAATCAATCACCATTTATTACAAGATTACTATACGTCAGGCACTGAGCTAGGCACTCCTACTTTTACTTCAGCATAATCCTGATATAGACCAGAAGTGTTCTTCCTTCTCTTCTGTTTTCCCCATGACAACTATTAACATTTCAAAAACAGAGTGTTCTTCCAATGAGTGTATTTTGGGAAAGGCTAATGTAGCCAAATTCTTATTTTAAAGGTAAGAAAGCTAAAGCCCAGAGAGAAGTAACACGCCTAAACTCAAATGGTGAGTTGTTACAGATGGGAGCTAGGGTCCAGGTCTGTCTCCTAGGCCTGAGCTCTTCAACTACATACCTCTACCATGAGAGGACTCGAGCCCAATGAATGACAAATTACCATAGTTCAGGTTACACCAGAAACTCACCTTGAAACAAAGATACAATAGCAAAGCAGTTTATTTGGGTGGTGAAAGAAACACTGGTGAAAGAAGGGGAAAATGAGACAGGGAAGGCAGTCGACATGGGGTTTATTATCAAATCATCTATTACTGTGGATGACTGGAGCTGAATCCTGTAGAGGAAACCCTGGAGAACAGTGTTGGGCACACACCTTAGAGTTATCCCATATAAAGGATGAGGGAGCTCCAGTATTTATACACCTACTGCAGGAAGTTACAGGTTGAGTGTTATTTGGGGGATGCAGGTGGGTTGCACTTCCAGCCTCCTTCATGATGGGCTTCAGTGGCCAAAGAAGACTCTTAATTAAAGAAATGTAGATGCTGGCAGCTGCAAGTCACTGGACATATACAGGAGATGGGAGAATATAGACAGGCCACTGATAATGGCTGCTACATGTGCATATCCACGTTACATTGTCAGATCTGTGAGCCAGTGCATGGTGTATTACGTGGGAATTGGGAGACCCAATTTCTCGCTTAATATGTTTAAGCTCTGTTTGGAAATCCATAACTGAACACAACTTAGAGACCCAGGGAAGTGCTTCTGAAGCCAGCAGCCGAGATAACAAAAGATTTATAAAGCAGGCCAAGTTGGTTGATGGCTCTGGGTTTATTTAGCCTACAGAAGGGAAAGTTGAAACAGAGCTTAATTAAAATCCACTGAATCTAATCTCTTTGTAAATTCTGTTAATTCTATATCCACAGTGACTTTCTTTTTCACCCCTCAAGCCCTTGTCTAAGCTGTCAATATTTATCACCCATATCGTCATTTTCTTGACTTTTAGATTGAATGCTCTTTTTTCTAAAAAAAAAAAAAAAAAAAAAAACAAAGCACACAAACACATGCACATAACAAAAGCAACAACAACAAATATTTTGTGATATCCCATTTAGTATCTGGATATAAAAATCATAGATAATGTAATCTATAAACATATCATTTCACAGACTGCAATATAATGCCCCGAACTTAATACATGAAGAAATAAAGGGAAGTAATTTGTAAAAAATAATAACATTTTAGCAATGCAATTGCTGGAGCACATCACACTCGAGTACCTGAGCAAGTAGTGAAATGCTTGCACTTCTTCACAGAATCAGATTGCATGCCATAGCTACAAATGCACAAACGTAACAGCACAGGTGTGTTACAATGGAATTCAAATGCCATTAGCAGTGTGAGTATACATATAAAATAGAGTTAAATGCTAGGGTCAGACTAGCATATGTATATATATATGTGTGTGTGTGTATATATATGTATATATATGTGTGTGCGTGTATATATATGTATATATATATATATATAGAGAGAGAGAGAGAGAGAGAGAGAGAGTTAAATACTAGAATTAAAAAAATTACCATAGTTCGGGTTACACCAGAAACTCACCTTGAAACAAAGATACAATAGCAAAGCAGTTTATTTGAGAGGTAAAAGAAGCACTGGTGAAGGAAGACTAGTATAAAAAGGTCAGACTAGTATATATGCCAGGTCAGACTAGTATAAAAAAGATTATTTAACTTTCACATGGAATGCAGGACACTTCTTAGTTGTTTGGAGCTGTCCTTTGCAATGCAAAAGGTCTGTCATTCCTGGCTCTTGTCCACTAATAACAGTAGCAAATCAAATGATCCCATTAAATTTTAAAACATGCCCCGTGACCAGTATTAGTTCCAGTGAGAAGCACTGACTCATTACAATAAAATCTTCTGATGGAAACAACATGTGATGTTAAAAACAAAGAAGTCTATAGATCCTAAAGTCCGTAAGTAAAGCAAAGCCAATGTTCCAGTAACTGCTCTGAGAAGCTGTGATATGCTCTGGGTTGCACAGAAACGTGGGAGACTATCAAGGCCCCTCCCATAGTTCATTCTCTCCCAGTGATTCAGGTAGTGAGTCAGCTAGTAGCGGTGTTCACAAAAACTTGGAAGTTCCTAGTCCACATGTTTGTGTGACCTCTCTGTAGCCTCTGTGTCTAGGTTCTTGAGTATACAATGCACTGTGGACTGTTTGTGGCTTGGTGCAATCAGAAGTCATGGAAGATGGATAGAATAAATAGAAAGGGTGGTAATGGAATTGTCAAACCACAAGATTGACAACTTCTTCTTCTGGGAAGGGTCCCAAGCAACAGTCCTCCAGGTTCCTCAGGTTAGGTGATGCTGAGGAAAGCCAAAGAGCACCTGACACCATCTCCTAGTTCTTGGTACCTGTTAGCATATGCCTTTCATCAGTCTTTGTCAAACATATCCATCCAAGTCCCTGGATGGCCAAGGAGAATGAATAGAGATACCTCTCACAGGGGTGGGAAGAAGATGTGAAGTGGAGGGCAGGAGGTGAAGGAAGCCTAGAAATGTAGGTTAAATTAGCCTGCTGAAAACATAAAATGTCTTTAGAATCTCATGCTTTATCTTTCGTTATTTATTTATTTATTTGAGTCAGTAGTTCATTGCTGCCCAGGCTAGAGTGCAGTGGTGCAATCATAGCTCACTGCAGCCCACAACTTCTGGGCTCAAGTGATCCTCCCACCTCAGCCTCCGGACTACCTAGGACTACAGGCACACTCCACCATGCATGGCTAATTTTTTTAAACAAATTTGTAGAAACAGTGCTCACTATGTTGCCCAGGCTAGTCACAAACTCCTGGGCTTAAGCAATCATCTCTTTGTGGCCTCCCAAAGCACTGGGTCTACAGGTGTGAGCCACCACAACCCAGCCTCATGCTTTATCTTTAAAAATTTATTATTTTTATATTCCATAGTACATCAATGTTTGTTTTTTATACATATTTTGGTTTTGTGTGTAGGTCTCTGGGTTTGTGTATATATACATAATCTAACTAACTAAAGCAGGTTTGATCAAAACTAACACTTCAGAAATAAATGTTATCTTTCTCCTATGGCTTCAAGTTACCACCAGTGGGTGCAAACATTTTCACTTAAAAGGTGTCGAGCTTATTGTTATTTGAACATAGGGTATTTTAGGTCCTTTCTAGATCCCTGTAGCTCTTCAAGGTACTGGAGTAATGATGGTGCATAGGGAGGATGGATTTAGCAGGAGAAAAATCTACACTTTCTGATATATATATATATATGTGTGTGTGTATATATATATACGTGTATATATATGTGTGTATATATACACGTATATATATATGTGTACACGTATATATATATGCATATATATGTATATATATATGCGTATATATGTATATATATGCGTATATATATGTATATATATGCGTATATATATGTATATATATATATGCGTATATATATGTATATATATGCGTATATATATATGTATATATATATGCGTATATATATGTATATATATATGCGTATATATATATGTATATATATGCACACATACATATTTTTATATATAGAGAGAGTATATATATATATATATACACACACACACAGTCTTTTGTGTCTGGCTACTTTTACTCAGTGTAATGCTTTTTAGATTAATCTATGCTTTTTTTATATATCTGCAGTGCATTCTTTTTTATTTCTGAGTAGTATTTTACCATATATATGTATTAAAATTGTTTATTTATACCTTCTCCTGCTAATACATATTTAGATTGTTACCAGTTTTTAATCTAGCATAAATAATAATTCTGTGAAGATTTGTATACAAGCATTTTTATGGACACATGTTTTAATTGCTCTTGGATAACTGCCCAGAAGTGGAATTGCAGACGCCACAAGGCTCCGTTAGGAAAGCAGGATCATGGTGGTGCTGCTGGCGTTTTGTTTGAACACCTATCTAGTGACGGCTCATGTACCATCACCTTCCCTATTTCATGAAAGAGATTGTGTATAATCATTATTATTTCTTCCTTAGATGTTTGAAATTATTCACCAGAGATGTCATCTGGGCTGGGATTTTTCCTTCTGAAGCATTTTTAGTTACAAATAAAATTATTTTTAGATAGACTATTTGGAATTTCTATTTTCTCTTGTCAGTTTTAGTCATGTGTGTTTTTCAAAGGATTCTTCCATTTCCTATCAGAAGTTAAATTTATTGGCATAAAGCTATTTATAATAGACCTTATTATTCTTTTAGTGACTGTAAAATTTGTAATCATGTTCCCTTTTTTGTTCTTGATATAAATAATTTGTGTCTTCTCCCTTGTTTTCTTGGTGTGTTTAAATAGAAGTTATTAGTTTTATTGTTCTTTTTTAAAAAATCAGCTTTTGGTTTCATTTATTTTCTCTGCTATTTGTACATTTTCTATTTGGCTGATTTCTGCTATTATCTCTACTATTTTATTATTTCCACTCACTTGAAATTTTATTGTCTCACCTTTTTGTGGCAGATTAACATGTAAGTTTAAATCATCGATTTGACTTTTCATTACTTTCTGACATAATCATTTGAAGTTATACGTCTTCTAGGTACTGTTTTAATTATGTCCCACACATTTGTTTTTATTTTCATTCAGTTCAAAATATTTTTAAATTCCCCTTGTGATTTCTTTTTTAACCTGAGTTACTTACAGCTATGTTGTTTATTTTTAGATCCCTTTTTGTTTTTAATTTCTAATTTAATTCTGTAAAAGCAGAGAACATATTCTTTATTATTTCAATCTTTCACAATGTGTTGACTTTAATAAATTAAAGGATTCACTTTGTTTGTGTTCCTATTCCCAGTAATTACGATCTTGTGATGTCTATTATCCAATGTCTGAAAATGGTTTTTTCCTCATATATTTTGCCCAGTTTTTTACTTGTTTACAGTGGCAGTGCAAGTGCTGCACCAGCTACTTCATGATGATGCAAAGCATCCCTGACTTACTAAATCTGGCTCCTAGTGATTAATTTCCTTTACTGTCATCCATTCAGGTCTTAACACAGACGTCATTTTCTCTTAGAGGTCTCTCCTGACTGCTCACCTCGCTGAAATCTTGGTTAGAACTCTCTTTCATGTCTTTTTTTCTTCAGCATGCACAGTATTTACTCCTTACATAGCACATATCCTACACTGTTGTATTTGCCTGCTACTTTTTCACTTCCCTCCAATAAAGAATACACATTTTATATACATATTAGTTTGAGCCATATAAAATTTTTGCTATTTGACCATTTTTGAGATACAAAATGGAAGGTTTCCCCTGATTCAAACTAACATGTATACAAAAAATTATTATTTATACATACACAGAGAAGTGGTGGGATCTCAAATAGCACTGGTCTCTTATAACATGTTATTAATGGGAGAGTTCTCCTTTATAGTAATCCTTTCCCGGAACTTTTGAAAGTGGCCCTACCACATTCTCTAATTCTTATTAGAATTACAGAGACTGTTATGAGGATCAAATGAGATCATGTATACAGAGTGCTTTAAAAAGTGCTGGGCCCATGATATGTGCCCAATAAGTTTAGTTGCGACGGCTATTTCATTGGTGTTTTTATGCGGTGGTTGCTTCAACTAGGCCTTGTCTTTGTTGGATGCCAGTCAAGTTCCTCAGACTGTGGCTCTCCATGATGTCCCTGCCTCGAGGCAGCCCTTCTGGACCTCTTTTCAGCCTTTCCTGCAGCTCCCTACTTTTGGTTAACCCTGAGGAAAGGGAGTCCCTTCTTTTATGACAATGATCAGTTACCCTGGGCTTCAGGTTCGTTGGGAAAATCCTTGCACTTGATCCCTTAATCTCTCCTAGAAGTGTCTCAGGTCTCTAGAATCAGCATTTTTACCAGCTTCTCTCAGCCCTGAGGTGGAGAGGGGGCTTTATCTCAGGCACATGTACTAGCACTTTTATGCTTTTCATTTTAAATCTCTTCAGCAATGTTTGGCTTTCTTGACCAGAGTTTCTAGACTGAGCTCTGGGTGTCCTAGAAATAATGTTCTTCCGATGGCAGGAGCCACTGTCCCAGAGACCTGGTGTTTCTGTTACTGCTCCTGAAAGAAGCTCCCAGGGATGGAAGGTAGAAGTGGCATCACTGTCCCGCCTCAACCTTCAGTTGAACAATGGTGAAGAGGGCCCATGTCGGGAGGTCTTAAAATCTCATTCTTGGCTACCCACTTGGCCAAGCCCTGCTCCCTGCATAGACTCCAGTTTCCTCATATGTTCAAAGTCCTTTTAGTTCTCAGGTTCTCAGGTTCCATGACCTGCTTGAGTTTATTTTGAAATGTATTTTAGGGATTTCTATACCTAAGAAATTGGGGAAATCCTTTATTTCTCAACCACTTTTTTCTTGTACAACACAAACTCTAGTAGCTTTTTAGCTGAAGTTTCCCTCCCCTCCCCCTTAAGTGGATGCTTAATTAATTACTTAGGAAAGAGCCTTGTGCCCTCAACTTAACAGCAGGGAATGGACCTTAATTCTAGAAGAACTTTGCATCCTCCCTCAATCGTGTGAGCGAACATGTCAGCTCCCACCTTAAGGGTACCACTTTTCAATAATAACTTGGAGGATAATGGTTCTTAGCCACCTACCCACATCAGAGTGTTGCCAATACACAATATTTAAAAGGCACTCTAGAGTAGTGCTTCTTAATGATAACTGAGTGGAAAATGGCAGTAATCACAGGTGCATATACATTTGTAGGCTGTATTAGCCATGGTCCTTTGGAGGCAGTAGGAGCTGCTGAGTTGATGGGGAAATTGTAGGCATGTGGGCTCAGGTTCCATAAGGAGCAATTACAGCACTGACTGCAGAGCCATTGTGGGAGGAAACTGACATATGTAATTGAAGAGCATAATATGATAAGTCAATGGTGTAAAAAGGAGAGAAAAGCATGAAATCCACAACAGCAAGATGGCAAAGAAATGCCTTGTTTTAGATTATTTTGTGTCCTGTTTCCCTGTCTATAAGGAAGGACCCTATAGAAATCAGGACAGGACTGAATCCTAACTTTGCCTTTTACTAGTGGTACTATCTTGGGCAAATCACTTACCCTCCCTTAGGGTTAGTTCCTTCCTCTGTGAAAACTAGAGTAGTAACGCTTTGCAAAATCATCCCAAGGAGTAAAGGAACTGGCATATGTAAAAAGCAGCTTGTGATGACACTTTAAGTCAGCAAAAATATTTTCTGAGTGCTTATTGTATGCCAGGCACTGTACTAGCCATAAAGGAAATTCAAACAAAAGTGAGACAATTCCTGCCTTTCAGGAGAATAGAAGCTACTGGATGAGACAGACATAATTACTCAAGATCAGAAGGTAAACTTTTGGTTTATCCTGAGAAAATCCAGCTCATTTTAAAACATTTTTTTCAGATACTTTAAAGATTTGTCTGCTCCCATTTTATTGTTAAAAAGGATCAATTCCATAATCAAGTAACAGTGGATTTATCTGCATATTTCATTCAAGGACATCACTGTGTTACCATTTTAGCAACAACTATCATAATCATGAACTAATCTATTTGTAGTGCCATCCATGATTCTGAGGGTTTGAGAATACCCCTTTTTAAAAATTCAATAATTAAACTGAATTGTCAAGTAAAGCCAATGTTCTACATTGTATTATTCATAAGCAGTAGCCATCTAAAATGAGAGGTGGATCCAAGAAAACTCAAGATTAGATTTGAGAGTGTAGAGAACAAGCCATTGAAGGATGGAGATTCCCTGGGCCCAAAATAATCAATTTGGATTCCCCTAACTCTTCACAAATCTTGGTCAACCTTCTTGACTGTGGAGAATGTGAGAGGAAGTGCCTGAGGTTCTTAATTGAATAACATTGCTATGTTCTTGTCTCCTTTATAAGCATTGTCACTTTGGGTCCTGTCAGTCTTTCTAAGCAATCAAACACTGTTTAAATGCTGCCACTGATGCAGTCCCAGAATGGAACCAATCCATATGTCCACCAACTGGTGAATGTAAAAACAAGCATATCATATGCATACAACAGAATACTCTTCAGCAATTGAAAGAAACAAATTACTGATAAATGATAAGTGAAAGAAACCAGACACAGCAAACCACACATTGTATACTTCCATTGATACAGCCTTTTCAGAAAAGGCAAACCTATAGAGACAGAAAGCAGATCAGTGGTGGCTGGGGGTTAGCTGTGGGAATGGGAATTGATCACAAGTTGTTATGAGGGACCTTTTGGATGATAGAAATGTTCTAAAGTGGATTGTGGTGATGACTGTACAACTGTGTAAATTTACTAGAAATAACTCAACTGTGCACTTAGGATGGGTGGATTCTATGTTACATGTTTTATATCTCAATAAAGCTGATTTTAAAAGAAAGCATTTTAAAAAACAATTGTGCCTTGGAGGCAAATAAAAACATATTGTGGATGGAAAAGAAACACAGTTATGATAATTGCCAAGGAACCAATGTTTGGCATATTATTAACTGCTCTACTCTGCAGAAGTTGAATGCTCAGAATTCAACTTGAGCCCAATTCCCAATATGTCTGGGAATATGACCTTCTCAGGGGCCTCCTGCTTGACCAATCGTCTCTTAGCTTTGTCAGCTTTCAGCACACAGAATGTCAATACAGGAAGGCGCATAAAGTACCAGGGCTTCAGAGCCTGATAAACTTTGGTTTGAACTCTGGCTTTGTCATTTACCAACTGTGTGATGTGGGGCATATAATTTGAGTTCTCCAACTTTTGGCTCTTTCACTCATAAATTGAGACTAATAATTCATCTGTACTGGGCCAGTTATGAGGATTATATAAGATCATTCCAATTAGCTATTGCTGTTTGACAAACGAACCCCAACTCAATGGATAAAAACAAACATTTTATTACATCTAATGATTCTGTGGGTCATGAACTTAGGACGGGCTTGTTTGGACAATCTGTGTGTGATCCACAGGGTGTCAGCTGGGGCAGTGTGTGCTTGGATCTACTTCCAAGATATTTTCCTTACTCCTGTGGGGCTCCTTCATGACCCTTGTGCTCTTTCTCCACATGGCATCTCATGCTAGGGCCTTTCTGTGGGATTTGGGCTTTTCACAGCATGGTGGTCTCAGATACTTGTATTTCTTAACTGGCAGCTGGCTTCCTATGGGCAGGAAGCAGAAGTTGCTGTGAGCTAAACAATGGTCCAACTTCACTTCTATGTTATTGGTCAAAGCAGTCACAGGGCCCACCCAGACAGAAGCTGACTTCACCTCTTGATGATGTGAAACAAGTTCACATTTTTACAAGAGCATATGGGTTGGGAGACACTATATGGACATATTTGGAAAATGCAATCTGCCCCAGAAATAATGACCACAGAGTCCAGGGGCCAGAAAACATTTTCTATAAGAGCCAAATAGTAAATATTTTAGACTATACAAGTCACATGGTCTCTGTCACAGTTACTTAACTCTGCCATCATAGCACAAAGGTGGTCATAGATAATACCTAAATGAATAGTTACAGATGTGTTCCAGTAAAACTTGATTTACAAAAACAGAAGAGGATAGACTTGGTCCGTGGGCTATAGTTTGCTGACCTCTGACACAATGCATGACATGTAATAAGTGCTCAGTAGTGGTAAAAATTATTATCGTCATTGTTACTAAGAACCTTTGGAAACCATCCAGTCCACTGCTCAACCTCCTGTCTCTTTACAGAGGTAACCCAGCTGAGCCAGAATTTAGTTTAGTGCTACTGGCCACCTATCTGCATGCTCTTTTACTTCACCCCATAACTTGTGCCTATACTTCGGGTCCCAGTTAATATCATCCTCTCTTCCAGCAACTCCACACCAGGCTCTTTCTCTCTTCGTCACAGGTTTGGTGGGGTCTGAAACCTATAAAATATGATTGGGCCCTTTAAGAGTACAAAAATACAAAGTTGGGGTGAAAATGAATGTTTATTAGAATGAGAAAAGAAATCACAATAAATTGCAAATTTAAGAATGCGGCCAGATACAACAACTATAACAAAATTCAAAAATGTCACATAGCCTGACATACTGTAATACTGTATACACTATAATTTGATCGATTTTTAAAAAAATTTTGTGATGTTATTTTCTGTAAAGAACAAAGATATAGGTCAGGCGTGGTGGCTCATGCCTGTAATCCTAGCACTTTGGGAGGCCAAGGTGGGAGGATTGCCTGAGCTCAGGAGTTTGAGACCAGCCTGGGCAACACAGTGAAATCCCATCTCTACTAAAGATACAAAAAAAAAAAAAAAAAAAATAGGCGGGCGTGGCAGCGTGTGCCTGTAGTCCCAGCTAATCACGGGGCTGAGGCAGGAGAATTGCTTGAACCTGGGAGGCAGAGGTTACAGTGAGCCAAGATCATGCCACTGTACTCCAGCCTGGGTGACAGAGTGAGACTCTGTCTCAAAAAAAAAAAAAAAAAGAACAAAGACATACTTTTCTTCTATCACGGTTAGTCAATTTTTTTAAAAAAAGTATTAATAGTTTAGATTGCGGCTTCCTAATTAGTGAAAAGGAGTCAAGCTGGTGGGACCAGGGGAAAGCAAAGAGATAAAGCAGGTAAGTTGTAGGTCTGCCTTTCTTTATGGCCCAGAACATACAGCCCTCCTGTGCAAATAACATACATAATTCACACATCTCCTGCCTATCGTCAAATGCCTCAATTTATCAAACACCTAGACTAACAGAAGAATGCAAGTTAAGCTCCCTGCTACCTTGGTATTATCAATCAGCCCAAGAACTATCCTTACATAAAATCTCAAGCAATCAGCTTTTCCTTGCAATCAACTCCTCTCTTGCTGGCTGTCCTTTGCCTCCTTGCAACGTATTTTCCTACTTTCTCTAATGAATCTGCCTTTCTCTACCTACTACTGTCTTGGTAAATTCTCTTACCCCTGCATTATCAGCCCAGGTAGTCATCACTCATCTGCAACATAGATAAATTCCTTTCAGCTTTATAACTCTTTATTAATTATGCCATGCAAAATGTTAGGATTATTGTCCAATTAGGGAAAAGCTTTATTGAGTTGCTTTCATATGGAAACAGTATGTCTTCAGGTTTCTTTGTATCGTGACTTATCTTGAATACTCTTTGAATTAAGGAGTAACAAGTTTCTTAGCATTTTTTTAAAAAATAAGTTTGTCAAAAACACCCTTTTTCCAGTGGCAAATGATTGGTTTTATATTATCTTCATTGCTATTAGCATTCTAAGTCAAATCTACAGAATATCTTCAAATTTTTCAATGTACTATATGATTCACTTGACTCATTAATTGGAGTATCAAGCCACCCAAGAGCCTAGTCTTTATTGCCGTGTGAAAGTTATCTTTTCCTTTTAATGAATTACTTCGTTTGGTAATTTTTGTTTTTGTTACAATTTGCTTCTCAATATCAGAAAACTTCTGTCAATTTCTTTGCTCATCTTGATCATTATTGTTTCATGTTTCATTCATTGTAAACAGTTTCTAATTTTTATTACAAAAATGTTCAAATGTATAAAAAATTGAAAAAAAATTATGCTGTGAAAGGAGAATTAAAACTTGGGACCCCATTCATGATGCCAAAAGAAAAACAAAAAAAAAAATAATAAGCTGAAAGCTGAGTCACGCAAGAAGCTATCTGTCCTTTTGTCCCTAAGCAGATAGCTCCAGATAAAAGGCCAAATACTGCCACAGGTAGCTACTCTATGTTCACCTTATCTTATATGTAGTGCCAATTACTGAGGAGACAAATACATAATTGACTACTCACATACCTGCTCCTGTTTCCTTGCAATATGTAGATTCAGTAATGTGACCACATGCTCCCTCTTTCCCCTCCAGCCTGCTTTTCCCCTTTAAATTTGAAGCCCTCAAAATCATCTTTGAAGGAAGGCACATGTTAGAGTAGGCAGATAATTAGACATGAGCAGGAGAGGAAGCCCCAGGGGGAGGAAGCTCTGCAAAATCTCATGCCCCAGAGACCACCCAAAACCTACATGCTAAATATGAGCAGAGAGGAGGGGAGATTCTGTGCGGAAAGGAACTCCCCAGGACCCGCCTTAAGATGCCCAGTAATCACTCTTTCTGTGGTTAAGCTGTGAGAACATAGCTAGCTACATGCTGGTAAGAAGGGAAGAAGGACAAAGGCAAAAGTCCTAAGAGGTACACAGGTACAATAAGTACAGATTTAACCGCTATACAACCTTCTTGGGGTGGCACGAATGAGCAACACCACAATTAGATGGGAGTTGTATTGATCCCATGCCTGCACATGAACGTCAATGGACAGCAAGGGAGAATCCCACAAGCCTGGGAGGGAACTATATGGGGACAAAGGTGGAGACTTAAGACAAAAGCTGGAACTTAAAGAAATAGTCCAGCATAGTAAAAACCGCAAGGCAGAACTCTCAGAGCTGCTCCCAGCCAGCTTAGCCCAACTTCTCTCTTGGAGTGTATTATTTCTCTCCCATTAATAAATCTTTTGCCTACTTTACTAATTGGTCTCTTGGCCAAATTCTTTCCTCCGAGAAAACTAAGAACTGAGGACCGCACACTTCCTTGTAACACACAGACCACAGACTGTTTCTGAGTCTGTGTTTTTTCTCCCAGGGATTGTCCTTAACCTTAGCAAAATAAACTTCTAAATTGATTGAGCCCTGTCTCAGATACTTTTCGATTTAGAGTGCAATAAATATCCACTAATTTTTATCTGATTTTTCCTTCTTTGATAATTCTGAAGGGACAAAACAAGGCATCCTTTGTGTATGTCCAAATCTAGAGTCAGTAAATCCTCACTTGATTTAATGAGATGTCCAATATGTCTTTCCAGTTAAAACGGTGTATTGAGGCCGGATGAGGTGGCTCACGCCTGTAATCCCATTGGGAGGCCAAGGTGGGTGGATCACCTGAGGTTGGGAATTTGAGACCAGCCTGACCAACAAGGATTGGGAGGCCGAGATGGGTGGATCACCTGAGGTCGGGAGTTCGAGACCAGCGTGACCAACATGGAGAAACCCCATCTCTACTAAAAATACAAAATTAGCCGGGCATGGTGGCACATGCCTGTAATCCCAGGTACTCAGGAGGCTGAGGCAGGAGAATTGCTTGAACCCAGGAGGCAGAGGTTGCAGTGAGCTGAGATGGCGCCACTGCACTCCAGCCTGGGCAACAAGAGCGAAACTCCATCTCAAATAATAACAACATAAAATAAAATAAAATGATGTATTGAAATGTTCCCAACTTTCTGCATAAAATTTTGAATCTTACTCATGTTCAGATATGTGAAATACATAACATCTATTCTACTAAATCCAGACCTAAGTGTATTCCCATTCCAGCTTCCTCATGGCTGGACCCCAAAAATGCCTTCAGCCTATCTTATGCCACGTGACACTACTGAATGTTACATGACGGTAGGGTCAGAGTAAAAAAAAGATCTAAGTCTTAACTAAAAATAATAAAAATATCTTAATTTTGAAAATATAAGAACAAATGAATACATGCTAAATTTTACCCCCATGTAAGTTTTGTTTTCTAAGAGTAAGTGGAAAAGGTAGGTAATGTAGTACAACAAGAATTATGGGTTACAAACCAACAACCTCTTCCACTAACTGGATTGTGACACCCACTATAAATCTGTCTTTTTCTTCAAGTCTGGTTCTGTGTACCTAGCTCATTGAGAATCAACTTTAGCCTAGCTTCAATTGCAAAAATACAAGGACTGAAGAAAATGTCAGATACTCAAGACAAAGTCATGAGAAACATTTGATTGATGTAATTTCCTTGGGTTTTCATTCTTGGTATTATATCTCGCCAAACTTTATCCTTCTATAAACAAAGGACTGAAGGATTTTCACCAAGTCTCCATTTTGTGCATCACAAATATAATCAAATCATACCCTTTAGTTAAAAATGTATTGCCCCAGAGGCAAAAAAAAAAAGTCCACATAATTCCCCATAATTTCCTACACAATGATTCCAGAAAGCAGAAGGCAATTGATTTTCACCAGCACACGCATTAATTTTTATGACACCCTCTCTGAGTTTTGGAAACAAATGAAGTTATTAATATTTGAAGATGTCGGGTAGTATTTTCTGGCCCATCTAATTAAAGAGACTCCATTGCAACCAGACAAGGAGGGGGATCTAAATCCAAAGTCTAGAATTCGAGCTGGGCCAGCGAAAAGCTCTGCCATTGTGAAGGGAAGTTGGGGTTTGGAAACATTGCAGGCATTGAACGCATTCTTCAAAATTGATGTTTCTCAATCTCATGTGAACAAAATGGGAAGCATGAGGGAATAGGCAAAAAGAGATAAGAATTCCCAATTTGAGTCTTCAGTGCCACCCTGAAAAAGGGCTGAGATTGGTTTTTATCTTTCTACAGTAGAAACAACGATCTCTACCTCCAGAATACAATTGAAAAGAAGACCAGGCTATAAAAATGAGGGTTTCTTTTAACTACAGAGCTATGTAAAAATGTTAGTACTGCTTTCAAAATGGCCACTTATTTAGAAACATTTTTTAGTTACCATCAAATTGTCCTACTTTTTAGTGATAAACGGACCTAAAAATAAATAAGGAGTTGTGTTTAAGGAAATGATAGGCCAAGTTTTCCACACTTTCCCATCCATTCAGTGATAATTATTAAAGGTCACCTTAATATTCTCAAAGAGTAGAGATTTGAACAGTTTCCTTCCTCTGTCTGTTTAGTTTCCCCAGATGAAAAAGAAAGTGTGTTTCTGTGACTTCTCAGCTTCCTTTCAGTCACTCCTTTCAGATATTTCCCAACTCCAAATATCTAACAATGTCAAAAGGTTACTGTTGCCCTTCACCTCTCCCACAACTTTTGGGAACTTCTCTATAGGTGACAACTGTGGTGTTTCTCCTGCACAACCTAAGAATGGAAGAGGGGCCCTCCCCCTGAACCCCACCATCAAGCAGTCCTGTATGACCAGGCACATAGGGAGGGACGACACTGAGAAGCCATGCTTACAGAGGACTTTTTAAATGAGCACTGAGATTCTTTCACTAATGAACTTTATTTTTTAAAAAATTCAATACTTTTTGGGGAACAGGTGGTTTTTGCTTACATGGGTAAGTTGCATAGTGGTGACTTCTGAGATTTTGGTGCACCCATTACCCAAGCATTGTACACTGTACCCAGTGTGCAGTCTTTTATCCCTCACCCCTCTCCCACCTTTCCCCACAAGACTTCAAAGTCCATTACATCATTCTCATGCTTTTGCCTCCTCATAGTTTAGCTGCAACTTGTAAATGAGAATATACGATGTATGGTTTTCCACTTCTGAGTTACTTCACTTAGAATAATGGTCTCCAACTCCATCCAGGTTGCTGTGATTGCCGTTATTTCACTCCTTTTTATGGCTGACTAGTATTCCATGGTATATATATCCACATTTTCTTTGTCCACTGGTTGGTTGATGGGCATTTAGACTGGTTCCATACTTTTTCCATTGCAAATTGTGCTGCTATAAACATGTGTGTGCAAGTGTGTTTTTTATATAATGACTTATTTTCCTCTGGGTAGATAACCACTAGTGGGATTGCTGAATCAAATGGTAGATGTACTTTTAGTTCTTTAAGAAATCTCCATACTGTTTTCCATAGTGGTTGTACTAGTTTACATTCCCACCAGCAGTGTAAAAGTATTTCCTTTTCACCACATGCATACCAACATCTATTATTTTTTGATTTTTTAAATTATGGCCATTCTTGCAGGAGTAAGCTGGTATCACATTGTCGTTTTGATTTGCATTTCCTTGATAATTGATGATGTGGAGCATTGTTTCATATGTTTGTTAGCCATTTGTATAACTTCTATTGAAAATTGTCTATTCATGTCCTTTGCCCACTTTTTGATGGGATTATTTGTTTTTTTCTTGATTTGTATGAGTTCCTTGTAGATTCTGGATACTAGTCCTTTGTCAGATGCATAGTTTGTGAATATTTTCTCCTACTCTGGGTTGTCTGTTTACTCAGCTGATTATTTCTTTAACTGTGCAGAAGCTTTCTAGTTTAATTAGGTCCCATGTATTTATCTTTGTTTCTGTTGCATTTGCTTTTGGGTTATTGGTCATGAACTCTTTGCCTAAGCCAATGTCTAGAAGAGTTTTTCTGATGTTATCTTCTAGAAGTTTTATGGTTTCAGGTATTAGATTTAAGTCATTGATCCATCTTGGTTAATTTTTGTATACAATGAGAGTTGAGGATCCAGTTTCATTCTTCTACATGTGGCTTGCCAATTATCCCAGCACTATTTGTTAAATAGGGTGTCTTTTCCCCACATTATGTTTTTGTTTGCTTTGTTGAGGATCAGTTGGCTGTATGTATTTGGCTTTATTTCTGTGTTCTCTATTCTGTTCCATTGATCTATATGCCTATTTTTATACCAGTACCATGCTGTTTTGGTGACTATAGAGTTACAGCATGGTTTGAAGTCAGGTAATGTGATGCCTCCAGATTTGTTCTTTTTGCTTAGTCTTGCTTTGGCTATGCAGGGTCTTTTTTGGTTCAATATGAATTTTAGGATTGTTTTTTCTATTTTTCTATTTGAAGAATGATGATGGTATTTTGATGGGAATTGCACTGAATTCATAGATTGCTTTTGGCAGTATGGTTATTTTCACAATATTAGTTCTACCCATCCATGAGCATAGGATGTGTTTCCATTTGTGTCATCTATGATTTCTTTCAGCAGCATTTTGTAATCTTCCTTGTAGAGGTCTTTTATCTCCTTGGTCAGGTATATTGCCAAGTTTGTTTGTTTGTTTTTGCAGCTATTGTAAAGGGGGTTAAGTTCTTGATTTTATTCTCAGCTTGGTCACTGTTGGTTTACAGCAGTGCTACTGATTTGTGTACATTGACTTTTTATCCTGAAATATTACTGAATTCATTTATCAGACCTAGAAGCGTTTTAGAGTAGTCTTCAGGGTTTTCTAGGTATACAATCATATCACTGGTGAACAGTGACAGTTTGACTTCCTCTTTTATCGACTTGGATGCCCTTTCTTTCCTTCTCTTGTCTGATTGCTCTGGCCAGGACTTCCACTACTATGTTGAATTGAAGTGGTGAAAGTGGTCATCCTTGTCTTGTTCTACTTCTCAGGAAGAATGCTTTCAATTTTTTCCTGTTCAGTATAATGTTAGCTGTGAGTTTGTCATAGATGGCTTGTATTACCTTAAGGTATGTCTCTTCTATGCCGATTTTGCTGAGGGTCTTAATCATACAGCGATGCTGGATTTTGTCAAATGCTTTTTCTGCATCTATTGAGATGATCATGTGATTTTTGTTTTTAATTTTGTTATGTGGTGTATCACATACATTGACTTGCTTATGTTAAACCATCCCTGCATCCCTGATATGAAACCCATTTGATCATGGTAGATTATCTTTTTGATATACTGTTGGATTCAGTTAGCTAGTATTTTGCTGAGGATTTTTGCATCTATGTTCATCAGCAATATTGGTGGTTAGTTTTCTTTTTTTGTTATATCCTTTCCTGGTTTTGGTATTAGGGTGATACTGGCTTCATTGAATGATTTAGGGAGGATTCCCTCTTTCTCTGTCTTTTGGAATGGTGTCAATATGGTTGGTACCAATTCTTCTTTGAATGTCTGCTAGAATTCAGCTGTGAATCCATTTGGTCCTAGACTTTTTTTTATTGGCAATTTTTTTTTATTACCCTTTCAATGTTGCTGTTTGTTAGTGGTCTGTTCAGAGCTTCTATTTATTCCTGGTTTAATCTAGGAGAGTTGTCTATTTCCAGGAATTTATACATCTTCTCTAGGTTTTCTAGTTTGTGCACATAAAGGTGTTCCTAGTAGCCTTAAGTGATCTTTTATATTTCTATGGTATTGGTTGTATTAGGTTGGTGCAAAAGTAATTGCGGTTTTTGCCGTAACTTTTGTGCCAACCTACTACTATCTCTCATTTTGTTTCCAGTTGAGCTTATTTGGATCTCCTCTCTTCTTTTCATGGTTAATCTCACTAATAGTGTATCCATTTTCTTTATTTTTTTCTAAGAATCAGCTTTTTGTTTCATTTATCTTTTGTATTTTTTCTTTCAATTTCATTTAGTTCTGCTCTGATCTTTGTTATTTCTTTTCTTCTTCTGGGTTACAGTTCAGTTTGTTCTTGTTTCTCTAGTTCCTTGAGGTGTGACATTAGGTTGTCTATTTGTGCTTTTTCATATTTTTTGATGTAGGCATTTAATGCTATGAACTTTCCTCTTAGCACTGCTTTTGCTGTATCCCAGAGGATTTCACAGGTTGTGAAACTATAGGTTTGATAGATGATGTTCAGTTCAAAGAATTTTTTAATTTCCATCTTGATTTTATTGTTGACCCAAAGATCATTCTGGAGCAGATTATTTAATTTCCATGTATTTGTATAGTTTTGAGGGATCCTTTTGGAGTTAATTTCTAATTTTATTCCACTGTGGTCAGAGAGGTACTTGATATGATTTTGATTTTCTTAAATTTATTGAAACGTGTTTTGTGGCCTATTATATGGTCTATCTTGGAGAATGTTCCATGTGCTGATGATAAGAATGTATATTCTGCAGTTGTTGGGTAGAATGTTCTGTAAATATCTGTTAAGTTCATTGGTTATAGGGTATAGTTTAAGTCCATTGCTTCTTTGTTGATTTTCTGTCTTCATGACCTGTCTAGTGCTATTGACAGAGTATTGAATTCCCCCACTATTATTGTGTTGTTGTCTATCTCATTTCTTAGGTCTAGTAGTAATTGTTTAATAAATTTGGGAACTTCAGTGTTAGGTGCATATATATTCAGGACTGTGATATTTTCCTGTTGGGCTAATCCTTTTATCACTATATAATGTCCCTCTTTGTCTTTTTTAACTGTTGTTACTTGAAAGTCTGTTTTGTCTGATATGAGAATAGCCAGTCCTGCTCACTTTTGGTTGCCATTTGCATGGAATATCTTTTTCCACTCCTTTACCTTACGCTTATATGAGTCCTATGTGTTAGATGAGTCTCTTGAAGACAGCAGATACATGGTTGGTCGATTTTTATCTGCCATTTTATATCTGTTAAATGGATCATTTAGGCCATTTACATTCAACGTTAGTATTGAGACATGAGGTAATATTCTGTTCATCCTGCTAGTTGTTGCCTGAATACCTTGTTTCATTTTTTTTTTCATTGTGTTATTGTCTTATAGGTCCTGTGAGATTTATGCTTTAAGGAGGTTCAATTTTGGTGTAGTTCAATGTCTTGTTTCAAGATTTAGAACTTCTTTTAGTATTTCTTGTAGAGCTGGCTTGGTAGTGCTAAATTCTCTCAGCATCTGTTTGTCTGAAAAAGACTTTATCTCTCCTTCACAGTACCTAAGAGCAGGTTTGGGAGTGAGGTTTCTGGCTGTATGGTCACCAGCTTTGGGGTCTTAGGCAAGATACTCAATCTCACTGAGCCTCAACATCCCCATTTATCAAATGAAATTAACTGCATTGGCCTTAGTATTGCTATGAAGGTTAATTGAGTTACTAGAAGTGGAGTGCAAAGAGCTTGACATTTAATGAATGGTTGATAATCATTACTATTTTATTATTATTTCTGGAAGAAATGAGGAGACAGCATATGGAGAAACTGTTGGGGAGTGGCATTAGCAGGAGATGACAGTGAGTCCTGGAGGCCTTGAGAGCAGAAACTTGGGACTGATGAGGAAAAGGCTTAATTTGAGGACAGGGAAAATGAGCTGAAGTTACTCCTTCCTGTCTGTTATCTTTGCTTTATAGCTCAAGCCTCAGAGAAATATCCCTCACTCACTCCTTGGGCAGTTTAGTAAATAGAGTACTAGCTTCCCCATCTTAGAGTTCTGTTCCTTCTGCCTCATCCCCTCTAAACCACACAAAAAAATGTGCCTCAACACAGGCTGTGGGAGCTTGGGCAACTTACACTCCGTCTTTGGGGCTTCATCTCTCAATCTGTAAAATGCTGATGTCTCATATTCCTTTGGCCTTACCATACTGTGAGTAAAATAACAAAATTGAAATCTTGGCCCAGCATTTTTGAAAGATTCCTATTTCTATCCCAGAGTTGTGGTCTCAACCTTATATTATGATGGTTCTCAACTTTACTAGCCATAAGGAACTCTTTCTCCTTTGAAATTTTCTCTTATTATTTAGAGGATAAAAAAGAAAGCAAAAACAAACCTGGGAATCAGGGTGTGGGGGTAGATGATTCATTCCTGTCATGTTATCTTTTGAAAGGTTAATAGCTACCCCTGCACTACCCCATTCCTTATCTACCTGAATTCCATTTCAGGCAAACAAACAAAATGATCATGAAAAAGGCAATCTTAGAGAGACACTGTCAAGGCTGATAGACTCTGGTAATGAAATTATTCCAACCTCTGCCACCCACATAGAGCTGGCAAGAACAAAAGGATGGGTGTTTGTGCAGATGCCTTGTCATGGTGGTAAGCAGCTCAGTGTCACTTGCCTCAGGCCTTCACGTCTCATCCTCAGAACCCTCCCAGAAGGAAGGACATTAGTATTCACTCTGATGAGGAACCAGGAAATTAGACTTTTCCTAAAACCAAAAAAAAAAAAACAATGCCAGCTTTGCAAACCCACCTGAGTCTTTCTAAGTTGCATGTGCTGTTTATCATTCCCATTTAGGGGAATAAATTCCTACAGAATCTTTGAATTTAAGCACTGACAGGACTTTAAATGGCATCTATGCCAACCAAGCACATTCAGTATTTAAGTCCTCTTGCTTAGTACTCAGCCAAAGTGTCACCTAGCCTCACTTGAACACTTCCAATGAGAGTTCCAACTGAGAACCTGTAGGAAGAACTCAGAGAGGCAAAAAGGAAGTCACAGGGCGCCACAGAGCTCAGAGACAGCTGAATATGAGAACTGAGTGAGTGCATGGTGGTGGTACTGTTAGCAGTGGACGAGATCTGAGTTACCCCCAGTTACCCCAAGTTACCAGCAGTGTATCTGTCACAGTCCATAGCAACTTCAGTCCTCGCCTCCTCAAAAGAAATAATTTGACTAAGGGGCATAAAACAGGAAAAGATACCCAGGCAAGTTCCAGATCAGGAATGGAAGTTTATTAAAAAGACTTTAGAAGGGTAAAGGAAGGAAAGAACCCTTGGAAGAGATCCAAGTGGGTGCCTAAAGGTTAAAGAGAGAAAAAAAGGAAGCCGCCTTTAACCAAGGTTCTAGGATTTGATAAGCTCGCCTCTTCCCCATGATTCTTCTCTTAGGGTGTGCTTTCTGCATGCATGGTGCCCTCGTTACCCTTGGGAATTGAGCATGCACAGTGCGTTTAGAGAGTTTATGAGTTTATGAGGCTTTTTTCCCTTTTTCCAGTGGCATGTGCCCCCAGAATGTCATACTTCACCATTTCATCTCTTAACATGCGTGCCCAAGGGGCTTCTCCTTGGGGCCTGCATTCAATTAACATTTTGATGTTAACAGGCGCGGATCCTCAGGAGATGGCCTCTCCCTGGCACTGGCTGTCAATTTATCACTTTTAGAGAGGCAATGCGATAATTGCCAAACTGTCACCCGACATTTCTAGTGGGTGGGGGAAGAGCCCTCTCATGCCCCTCTCATGCCTAACTATCTGTAACAGTAGGGTGGCCAAGGGATCCTGTGGGATGCTGGAAGGAAGAAGGAAAGTATGGAGACCTTGCCTTGGGTTTGGAGAATGTGGGAAGTTTGGGCTTCCTCATGGGGTCAGTGTTTCCATAAGCAGCACTTTAGGAAGGGTAGGTGAGCTGGGCTAACAGGGAGTAGGAGATCCACCTCTTCCCTAAATTTAACTCTTGGACATCTTGGTCTTTCTGGATTGTGTTGCAAGGACAAAAATATTGGGTTGAGCATAATGAGACTTTATCATTATATATCTGCTATCGGTTATCAGTGAAACCATGAACAATTTTTAAAAAATCATCTGAAATTTACATACAGGCCAAAGAGATTATTGGGTAATCTTTCAGTGCTGAACCTAACTTTCTATTTACTGGATTATTTTACTTCACTGTAAAGGAAAGCCTCACTTATAAATTTAGTTCAGTAGACATATAAATAATCTCTGCCCAGTGGAACTAATAGCCCCAAAGTGTACAGTTTATGATCCTATTAAATGTAAACCAGTCTTTATATAGCTTATTACACACCAAGCTATTAAATTGCTTGTATAGACCTAGCTTCTCAAATGTTCTTCGGGGTGGTTCTCAATCTTATTGTTTCCCCGCTAACTAATGAGTTCAATAAAATCTTTGAAACATGTTCACTATTTGTATGAGGCATACTTTTACCTTTTTGAAGATTATACTCTAACCGGAAACTCACTTCTGACTCCAAGGATTTGGTTTTCTTATCTTTTAAAAGATGCATTAGGATTAGAGGGTCTCTAAGAGCCCACTCTGAGATGTCTGAGCCACTAAGCCACCTGGGCCCCGTCTTCTCCACCATCCCAGGGTCTCCAGGGAAAGGCCCTCTTAACTCTCTGGAGCTGAGAATTAGCGACTGCCGATACTGCTTCCTGCCATGGCCCCCCAGAAAAGGTGGTCAAGTCACATTTGGACACTGCAGGCCTTCAGCAACTCTGAGATTCTTTAGAAGTTCTCAGGAGACAGAATACATTGTTTTTCCCCACTTATTCCCATTCCCCAGCCTCTCCCTCCTCCTAACCACTCTCTACTTCCCATTACAAACCTGAAACATTCCTGGTTCTACATACCCAGCTTTTAGTTCAACCCAGAGCCTAAGGCATCACCCCTGAGTGCTCACCTCTTTGACATCCTTAAGTGGAAATCAGCCGTGCCTTTTGGCCTCAGCTGAGGCAGCGGGGGTCAAACAGCTACTCCTCTCACTCCTGCAGAAGGGGTGTAAAATCGCTTCCGGCTCTGCCGTCTGATGAATCTGTCCTTCCGAACCTCCAGAGGCTTCTCTGTCTCTGCCCTTTTGGCCTGAGGTTGTTCAGAGGGCATTATCCTCTAAACTGAAAGTGTCTGAATTCACTGAGGGCGAAAATGTGGTGTGTAGATGGGGCAGAGAACATGAAAGGAGGTTCAGGAAAGGCCAGAGATTACATTTAGCATTCCTGAAAGCCCCTTTTGGCCTTTGGCAACAATTAATGATCAACACATGGAAAAAGCCTTTTCCATTTCAAGGGATGACTGATTTTGTTATCAGCAACTTTTGCTGAGCCTTCCTAGGTCAGATGTCTGTGTGCGTGAGAATAAGCTCAGTGTGTACAGTGTTTATGAAATAAACATTTTTCTGTTTCTGATGCCAAGTTGGCTATCAGGCCTGACTGCTAATACTCATGGCTTGGTCAGGTGCTGATAAATTTCTCTTGGTACCTTTCTTCCTTCTAGTGATGACCCCATCCATTATTTTAGGAGCCAAATTAATTCCCCAGTATGGGGAGGGAGTGATGCTTCCCAGGCTGCCAACCACAGCCTGGGCCCTCACCCCTCCTGTACTATGCAGTTGGATGGGGGGCTCGGAGGAGGGGGTGCTGAAGATTAAGCCCAAATGTCTGATAAATCACATAATATTTATTGGGCTTTGAGTGGTTACACAGGGTGCCACAGAGACAAAATCCCCAAAAGTTTGGATGTGAATATCCTGAAAATATGAAATGAAGTCAGCCAATCCATGATGTATCTATGTGACACACTGAGAGGGTGTTTTTAAACACCTCCCTCCCGTACACAACAGAGACCTTAGGGACCGTCTGCTTCAGTTTAAAGAAAAGTTTCCCCAAAACGTTGTGGGCATTTGTGTCTCTGAGAAGGAAGAAAGCTGAAGCCAGCTCCAAACAGATTCCACACTTGTTTATAAGTCTTGAGCCTCTGGGACATAATTCTCTCAAAGATCACATCCCCAGCAAGAAAAAAGAGTCAAGAGAGATGGATACCCGGCTAGGGCTAGGGAAGGAGTTGTCCTCTCACTCTTGGCCACTCTTGGAATTTCTTGAAGTAATCAAATCTTGAGCCTGGGGATTTATCCACGGGTTGGAGCGATACTTATATATGTATTATTAAAACTTAACAGTGATCACAGCAATTATTTATAATTTAGATCAACAAAATGTTATTTGGGGGAAGTAATTCATCACTGACATTGTTCAGAATTGGTGGGATATAATGGTAATTTAAAAATTGTTCAGAATTGGTGGGATATAATTGTAATTTAAAAATAAACAACTTTTATGCGTTTTATTATGAATTTAAAATTCTATACAGTGAATGTCCCCTTCATTGCCTAGACCACAGCCCTCCCACTGCCCTTGCCTGGGTATCTACCTCCAGCTAATGAACTTGGGTCTTTAATAAATAATGTTAGTCTAGGGCTGCCTTAACCTTTGCAAAGTAAAAACATCTGTACCGTCTGCATTTCTATAATTGTGATTATATTTATTTATTTATTTATTTATTTATTTATTGAGACAGGGTTTCGCCCAGTCTGGAGTGCAATGGCACAATCTCAGCTTATTACAACCTCTGCCTCTGGGCTCAAATCATTCTACTGCCTCAGCCTCCTGACTAGCTGGGATTATAGGCACATGCCACCACGCTCAGCTAATTTTTGTATGTTTAGTAGAGACAGGGTTTCACTCTGTTGCCCAGATTGATCTCAAACTCCTGAACTCAAGCCATCTGCCCTCTTCAGCCTCCCAAAGTACTGGAATTACTGGTGTTTCTCACTGTGCCTGGCCGTGATTATATTTAAATTGTGGTTGGAAGAGGAGTCAGAGTAAAGAAGAAAAGAGGAGACTAGGTAATATAAAAAGAAAAAGGAGTTTGAGACCAGCCTGACCAACATGGTGAAACCCCATCTCTACTAAAAATACAAAAAAATTAGCCAGGTATGGTGGCTCATGCCAGTAGTCCCAGCTACTTGGGAGGCTGAGGCAGGAGAAAAGCTTGAACCAGCGAGGCGGAGGTTGCAGTAAGCCAAGATTGTGCCACTGCACTCCAGCCTGGACGACAGAGTGAGACTCCGTCTCAAAAAAATAAAAAGAAAAGAAAAAGGGGAGAGAGGCATATCAGAATAAAGAAAATAAACAGGGAGAATGTAGCCAGGAGTGGGGGCTGCACCTGTACTCCCAGATGTTCCAGGAGCTGAGGTGGGAAGATTGCTTGAGCCCAGGAGTTTGAGGCCAGCCTGGACAACATCACAAGACCCTATCTTTGTTTTTTGTTGTTTTGTTTTTTTATTAAGAACAACAACAACAGAAAGGGAGAATGTGACAGGAAGAGATCTTGGAAATCTATTAAGCCATTAGTTTCTTAAAGTGATGTTTTATTTTAATTTTTATCAAAGTCATATGTGGGCATAGCTTAAGAAAAGTAGAGTCATTCTATAATGCTTATGGCAAAAATCAGCCCTTTCTGGCCCCTCCCAGCTTCCATTTCCTCTCCCCAGAAGCAATCATCTTCCTTTCTTTTAGCTTTTTCTTCTAGTATTCAGCTCCTTGTTTCTGTTTCTTGATTTTTCACTTTTTGATATTAATCACTGATTTCCTCCACCAAGATAAGCATTTAATTGTCTTTCACCCTCAGGCTCTAATCAGGCACGCTTCTCTTACCTTCAAATTCTTTTAAATCACATTTTTTGTTAAACCAATATTCAGTCATAATACTTAATGACTATTTGAATATTATTTATAGCTAAGCAGTGTAGAGTACTCTAATTGCATTTATTTTCTAGTACAAGCTCTTGTTTTATCCCTGACGTTAATAGTTGCCTTGGTTTTCATTTTTTTTTTTCTCTGCTTACTTTTCCATGTTTCCATTTAACTCACTCTCAAACTCTGTTAGAAATGTAAACTCCTCTTTAAACATTCAAATGCACCAGGTAACCTCTTGTTTCCTTTTGCTTTTTCCCTTGGGGACATCCCCCCCCGCCCCGCCCATAGCCTTCCATCACATGGCCCCAATCTAGATGGGTTTCTCTCTACGCTGGCTGCACAGTGAGTGTTCTGGGAGCTTTTTAGTGTCTCACACTTGGTCTTGGACAGAGAGCCAAGGATACTTTGATATCGGAAGAAATCCTCTACCATGAAAGGCAGAGGCCAAAACAAGCAGACAGGGGGAAAGTGAGACCGAAGAGGTAGTCAGTGAAAGCACCAGAAAATGGTACACCCAAACAAAGGCATTAATGCCTCAGATACTGAGATGTTAAGTACAACCCCATTATAATTCCAGGTCCTGTATATGTGACCTGTTTCTGTTTGTTTGTTTTTATGTTTATCTGTTTCTTATTTTGTTTTTATCTCCAAAGGCTTTTAGGGTATCTTTATATCTTAACGTCAGAAACTTCATAATGGTGTGACTCGGTACGAATTTTTGTCCATTCACTGTGTAGGTGGCCCCTTGGTGAACCCTTTAAAGTAGGCAATCATGTCCTTCAGTTCTAGGAAAGTTTTTTAAAATATTCCTTTCATAATTTCCTTCCCTTCATTATCTCTGTTTCCTATCTCTCTGGCGCTCCTGTTGTTGGATATTGGGCCTTGTGGACAAATCCACTCGTTTTATCTATTTCCTATTTTCTATGTATGGGCAAGTAGGTGGGCAATAAGTAAGGATATTTCTTTTTTTTTTTTTTTTTTTTGAGACAGAGTCTCGCTCTGTCGCCCAGGCTGGAGTGCAGTGGTGTGATCTCGGCTCACTGCAATCTCCACCTCCCGGGTTCACGCCATTCTCCTGCCTCAGCCTCCCAAGTAGCTGGGACTACAGGCACCCACCACCACACCTGGCTAATTTTTTGTGTTTTTAGTATAGACGGGGTTTCACTGTGTTAGCCAGGATAGTAAGGATATTTCTTAATTTATACAATTAAAAGAAAGAAATGAATGCTTAGGAGACTGAAAGCTGCGCGCGCGCGCGCGCGCACACACACACACACACACACACACACGCACACACACAAATCAGGACTCCTTTTCTTGACAGAACTGAGCTGATTTTCAGACTCGTAACTCACTGACTGAAAAGGCCAGGTCCCCAGGAGAAAGAATGCTACAGGAACTCCCAGTCCTTGCCCAAAGAGATGTATAACCATGCATTTGGCTAACTAGATGCTGGGGAAGGGAGAATACACAGACATTCTGAGAACTTTCGGATTCATGGTCTGAATTGGTCCCCAGGCCTCTAAAGCAAATAATAGCCCATTGTTAGAGATGAAGCATGTGGGAGTCAGGTAATAAAAGGAGTTCTAGTTCAGGTTAGACTCACCATGGGTATACTGGTTCCACGGACTCACCCAGTGGCCATTTCCCCAGTTCCTGAATTTATCACCGGAAAGGATGCATGTGGTAGATGGCAGAACCCCTTGCTGATTCCTTAGTCTGTGGGTTAGGAGCTGCTATAATGAAAAAATCTGAGGACCCTCCTTAAAAATCCAACACAAAACCTTAAAATATTATATCCCAAGGGAAAGAGTGCCATCCTTAAGACCTAAAAGATACAGAGATGGTAATCTCCAGCATATTTTCATTTAATTCATCAGTCTGGCCCCTACAAAAAGGAATCAGATCCCAGAGCATGACACTGGACTATCTCAAACAACGAAGTGGAAATCTCAATTGCAACTACTGTGCCAGAAGTGATACTTTTGCTAGGGTAAATTCACATAGCTTCAGATATATGGTATATGGACATTGATCTGGCATGTGCATTCTTTTTCATCCCTAAGAAGGAGGATCAGAAGTAGACTGTATTCATTTGGGAGGATAATAGCATACATTTACACTTTTGTCCCAGGGTCATGTTAACCCTCTCACCCTCTGCCATAATACAATCTGCAAGACCTGACACATCTGGACATTCTGAAGAATATCACATTGGTTTATGCTATCAATGACATCATTGATGAGTCAAAAGTGGCAACTGCATCAGAAGCCTTGGAAAGACACATTCACTCCAGAGAGTGTGAGATAATCTCTGTAAAGATTCCCTGCCAAATCAGTAAAACATGTAGGGGCATAGTAATTTGGAGCATGCCAGGAAAAGACTTCCAAAATAAAGGTCGAATTATTGCATCTGGACTCTCCCACCACTAAAAGGAAACACAACACCTGATAATCCACACTGCTCTGACCCATTTACCAAAAGACAGAGATAGCTGACAGCTTTGAATAGGACCCAGAATAGGAAAGGGATCTGCAGCTGGTCCACAATGCAACGTAAGCAGCTTCACCGCATGGGCCATATTATTTGGCAGACCCTCTGGAATTAGTTATCTGTAGTGGGAATTGATACCATGTGTAGTTTATGACAATCCCAATGCAAAACAAAATACAGTTCATAATACTTGTGCTCTGAAGCAAGGCCATGCCTTCTTCATCAGAGGATTGTATGTCATTCAAAAAAAACAACTCCTGCAATCTATGTGGCTGTGGTTGAGTTAGAACTCATGACCATGAGACATGCAGAGATAACGGGGCCAGAGATGCCCATCATGGCCTAGGTTCAAAACGGCCCATTAAGTCCTAAAACCACTAAAAATCCATCAAAATATGGGAGCAGTGCAGCCAGGCTAGAGAAGGATAAGTCCGGGCTAGAGAACACAAGTGAGCTAGAAAACCGGTGGTCCAGCCCTCATGTCAACCACCACTGTTGCATTAGTACCTCTCCCTCAGCTCACATCTGGCCATGTCGTGGCTGTGGTGGTATGCAGGTGGGGGGATTGTCACTTTTAACCAGCCAACAGATGAAGGAAAAGGCCAATCATGGTTAACCAATGGTTTAGTTCAATATGTGGTAAAAGCTGAAAACAGGCTGTGGCTGCATTACACCCTCCATCAGGGGTGGCCTTGAAAGGTAGTAGAGAGAAGAAATCCTCCCAATGGGCAGAGCTTTGATTGGTGCACCTGTTCATCCACTTGATTTGAAAAGCTAAATGGACCAGTAAGCATAAGTATAGACTCATGTGCAGTGACAAATGGCCCAGCTGGTTGATCAGAGGCCTGGAAGGAGAAACCTGGGAAGATTAGAGATAATAAAGTTTGGGGAAAAGGAACGTACACAGGTCTTTAAAAGTGAGCACAAAATGTAAAGATCTCTGTATTTTATTTTGATTCCCACCAGAAAGCACCCATCATGGAAGAGGCACTAGACAATTAAGTAGACAGAATGTCTATGCCGGTTGCTGATAGCAGACTGTGCCATCTGCCACTCCAGTACTGGCACTATGTGTGCATGAAAGGAGTGGCCATGGAGGTAAGAATGGAAGGTATGCATGGGCCCAACAGTATGAGTTTCCACTCACTAAGTTTGATATGAATAATCCCACTGCTGAATGTCCAATCTGCCAACAATACATGAGCCCTCAATGTAGCACCATCCCTTGAGGAATCAAACCAGCTATTTGGTGGCAAATTATATCCCTTCCATCATGGAGAGGGTAGTGATTTATCTTGACTGCGCTCAGCACATACTCCACATATGGCTTGTGTTTCTTGCGTGTAGAGCTTTGGCCAGCACAAATCTCCAAAGACTTGTGGAGTATTTGATCCGCAAGCCCAGGATGCTTCATGTAATGGACTAAATTCTGCCCCCTCCCCCCAAACAAAAGTATGTTGAAGAGCTAAACCTTAGTACCTCAGAATGTGACCTTATTTGAAATTATGGTCATTGAAGATGTAATTAGTTAAAATGAGGTCATACTGGAGTCCGGTGGCCCCCGATCCAATATTACTGCTATTACTGGTGTCCTTATAAAAAAGGGAAATTTGAACACAGATATAAACACAGGGAGACTACCGGGTGAAGATAAAAAGCAAGAATTAGGGTGACGCTTCTACAAGCCAAAGAACTCTAAAGATTGCCAGCAAACCACTAGAAGCTAAGTGATAGGCAGGAAACTGATTCTCTCTTACAGCCCTAGCAAACTAACATAGCACATAATGTCACATTAGACCAAGGGACAAAATTTGTAGCAAAAGAGTTACAGAAGTGGCAATATGACCATGGAATTTCCTGGTTTTACCAAATACTGCATTTCCCAGAAGCCGCCAGCCTGATAGATTAATGGCAGATCAATGATCTTTAAGATGCAGCTGTGGTGCAATTTAGAGATGCTATCTCGTAAAGATGAATCACCATCCACCAGAACGCAGTATACAACCTGAATCAATTACCATCACATGATGCTGTGCTCACAATAAGTAGAATACATGGGTCTGGAAATCAACAGGTGGTTTAGGAGTAACTCTGTTGACAATGCTTCACATTAAATCACTTGCCATTTTCTGTGCTTCCCATTGCCACAACTCAAGGCTCTGCAGGTCTAGAGATCCTAGATGGCGAATGGTTCCACCAAGAAACACAGCGGAAGTCCCTATGTCTTGCTATGGCTGATCATTCCAGAGATCCTTTGCCAAGAGTGCAGCAGACAAGAAAGAGAGTTATGCTCCTGAATGCAAATCAATACCATAATGTGGTATTGCAAATCAATACCACAATGATATACCATCTCACACCAGTCAGAATGGCTATTTAAAAAGTCAAAAAATAACAGATGCTGGCAAGGTCGTAGAGAAAAAAGGAATGCTTTACACTGTTGATGCCAGTATAAATTAGTCCAGCCATTGTAGATGACAGTGTAGTGATTCCTCAAAGACATAAAGACAGAAATACTATTTGGCCCAGTGATCCCATTACAGGGTATATACCCAAAGGAATATAAATCATTCTATTATAAAGACACATACACGCTATATGTTCATCACAGCTCTATTCACAATTGCAAAGATATGGAATCAACCTAAATGCCCATCGATGATACAATGGATAAAGAAAATGTGGTACATATACACCATGGAATTCTATGCAGCCATAAAAAAGAATGAGATTATGTCCTTTGCAAGGACATGGATGAATCTTGAGGCCGTTATCCTTAGCAAACTAATGCATGAACAGAAAACCAAATACCACATGTTCTCACTTGTAAGTGGTAGTTAAATGATGAGAACACATGGACACATAGAAGGGAACAACTCACAGTGGGGCCTCCCAGAGGGCAGAGGGTGGGAGGAGGAAGAGGATCAGGAAAAATAAGTAATGGATACTGGGCTTAATACCTGGGTGAGGAAATAATCTGTATAACAAACCCCCATGACACAAATTTACCTATATGACAAACTTGCACATAGACCCCTGAACCTAAAATAAAAGTTTAAACAAAAAAGAGTTATCTTCCTGATCATCAGAGGGAAATAGGACTACTATTAAACAATGGGTGTGGGAAGAATATGTTTGCACCCAACTGATTCACTGGCGCATCTCTTGGTATTTCCCTAAGTTTGATAATATTTAATAGATGGACAAGGGAAGAAGCCACAGACTGAGAAGGACGTGGTGACCCAGGGCTCACAGTCCTCACGATAAGCATTTGGATAGCCTTATAGGTAAGCCACCTAAACCAGCAGAGGTGTTAGGATAAGGAAAATCAAGAACTGGAGGTAGAAAAAAGAGATTATGGGTGTACATCTGCTGTCCCAAGACCAGATGCAGTGGTAGGGGCTAAATTTATCCACTAACCTTCCTCTTGTATGTTTCTGCCAGAAAAGAATCCCAGAAGACCTTTCTCCAGATGTAGACTTTTTATACAAAGCAAGTAGATTTGAGTTTTGCAAGATGTGGATTGTAGTGGAGGCTGTGGTGCACCACTCACATCACTTCCTTGAGGACTAAGGTGCTCATTGTCCAAGCTTTTGGGAACATTGCCTATTGGATGCTTGTAGCTGAGACTCTACCACAGATCTGATTCCAGCCAAAGGTAGCTGTCTCATCTAGGGTTATCCCAAAGGATGATGTCTAATTCTTGTCTAATGAATATTATACCCTCTCTTACCTCACTGAGGTATAATAGTTTTACTTTTTAAATGTTTTTTTGGCTTTCTTATCCTGTAATCATCTCTATTTCTTCAGAGTCTTTTTTGTTTTAACCTTTTTTCTTCTTTGCCTTTATATTAGGGGACTTTATCAAACATTTGAGAATCCCTTGGCAGTCTGTCCAGTCACATTTAAGGTGCAAATATGAGACCTTAAAAAGCCACCTGCAAGCTCTGGCGGAGGAGATTCCATCCGATGGGTTCACTCTGAGGTTATCGGAATTGGGGCCCCCACCCCCTTTCAATGTACATATTTTCTTTTATCTTGAGCAGATCCATTTTTCTAGAAAAGGAGTCCTCCACTGTTATGTGTCTATGAGGGATGGGCAGGTAGGTTATAAAACAGCTCCAAGGGCTGATAGTGGGGTAAGAGGGTCTCATTAGTCAGTATGTGAACAACCATGGTCTTTTTGATTGCTTGTGGCTCCTCCTCTCTTAAGGATTTCCCTGAGCCATAGTCCCTATGAGAAATGTCTTCAGAGAAGCAGCCTCCATTCTTCTCCCTCAGTTGGGTAAAGTGTGGTTACGAGGCTGCCTCGGAGAGGGGAAAGAAATTTGGTATAGTCTTTCAGCCAACACTCCCACTTTTGCCTTCCCAGTGCCCACTTTCAGAGCTACTTCATCCTACAGTCTGGAGCCTTTCTGGAATTGTGCAACATGAATCACATCTTGGTTTTTCCACACTAAACTTATATTCTGGCTCACCCTACTCTGCTAAGTCAGTTACCTGCCACTAGTCCATCAGTGTTCTATCTTCTAACCATTCTCCTTGCCCTTCTCTATTGATGCCTTTATTTCCTTTTGCTGTCACTCAGTGTGGTTTCAAGAGAGATCAGAGGTAAATATATGTGATCAACTCTCCATGTTTTACCCCCACCTATTTTATAGATGGAGAAACTAAGGCCCCGGAAGGGATTATGACTTGCTGAGGTCATACAGCATTGCTAGGCTATAAATAATATTTTCATGTAGATCCCCAGGCCAATGTTCTTTGTGAAGAAAACAGGAGGAATTCAGGAATTCAATAGTGTGGTTTGGTTTGGGGAGGGGGTATGTATACAGAGAGAGCACTGGTAGGGGGATCCTGAAATAAAATGAAGAGATGGGCAGAAAGAAGGGAGATATTTTCATCCTTAGGTCTTTTGGTCGCTTATATTTGTCTTCAAATTCTTTCAAGATATTTATTGTGTACAGGACCCTCTTTCTGTGTTTCCCACTATTCTATTGCAAGACAGACTTCTCACTATTTCTATTCTGTACTCCATTCTTTCCCAAAAAATAGATGGTATTTTAAAAATGTGGTTCTACTCAACTTGCCCATATCCTCAAATGCTTGCAATGACTCCACATTGCCTATGGGATAAAGTCCAAATCCCCTCGTTTTTCAATAATTTTGAACTAGGTGAGGAGAGAGGATGACAAGGAAAAGTAGAAGGAAGAGATGGGAGTAACTTGACAAAAGAAGGGAATAAGTGTTGCTGATCAGGAGAGGTTGAAGATGACTCTGAGGTGAAAAGTTTGGGCGACTTGGGGGATTTAAAACAGGAGAGTCAGAGGCGTTGAGCTTGGCTTTAAACATGACAGCCACACAGAAATGCCTAGCAGACAGATGAAAATAGGAGGTGAAGGATGCATCAGAGGATCTCAGGATTGGCAAGTTCTTCTGTGATTCCCAATCCAATGCTGAAAGAAGTGAGAATATGATAGCTCCAAGGATCATCAAATCAAAGGGAATCTCTTTGAGATGGAGATATTTGAGTGGGTTTAAGTAGGGGAGAAAGAAGAACAAGAGGAGATGGGGCTGACTGGTATTTCTAATGTATAAAGTGCTCTTTTTTCTATCAAACCTGAAGCATACCTAAAACATAATTCCCTGATTCATACTGTAGTATTGATAACTATATTCATTTCTTATTGCTTCTCTAATAAATTACCACAAACTTAGTGCATTAAAACAAGACAAGTTTATGAGCAAGCAGTTCTGAAGGTCAGATGTCCAAAATCAGTGTCACTGGGCTAAAGCCATGTGCAGGCAGGGCTGGTTCCTTCTGCAGACTCCAGGGGAGAATCTGTTCCTTTGTCCTTTTGGGTTTCTAAAGGCTGCCTGTACTTTTTTGCCTGTGACCTCTTCCTCCAACTTCAAAGCACTTCAACCTCTTGTTCCATTGACAAATCTCTTTTTTCTGATTTTGAGCTTGTTGCCTCCCTGTTACAAAATCCTGGTTCTTATCCACCCGGACAATATGAAATAATCTAACCATTTCAAGGTCCTTAATTACATCCGCAAAGTCCATTCTACCATGTAAAGTAACATGTTTACAGGTTCTGGGGATTAAGTCATGCATATGTTGGGAGACACCATTATTCAGCCTCCCACACTTTCTGAGCTAAGTATATTGATATCACTGAGTGACTTAGTGAATGAATGATTGAAGACTTTTTAGCAATTCGACAATATTTATTACTAAATCCATTATGTACTTGGTCATGTTTCATACTGTTTTCAGAGGATGGCTAGGAAACCAGTGTTTATTCTACAAACTTGATCCTGCTTGGTCTCAAAATGAATTTTCAGTTATATTAAAGTGGCAGCCAGTTCATTGACTACCATGGAATTAAAATAAGAGAAAGTGGCAAGCCTATTTTCATCATTCTGATGTAAAGCATTTGACTACAATAAATACAAGCAGCAAAATAAAGACACAGATGTTCAGTGGATCTGGGTCTCGACTGGGCCCTAATTTCTCATACCCACTCCCCTTAGCCTCTTTTGCCTCAGCTGACTGGTTCTTGGCTTGGTTTGCGAGGTACACAGCACCAATTCCAGGTGAGGAATTCCCAGTCTTTAGGTGGGGGAGTAGGGATTTGGACGGCTTTGTCATGCAGCTTTTTAAGCCCTGTCCACAGATGCCCAAAGTGCATGCCTCACAATTGGCTGTGTCATGGGATCCTTCCAGGGACACTTCCAGGATTACTGGCATTTCTGGAGACTTCCTCGTGCCATTTCCATAGTATTTCTTCAGTATATGCTGCACCAGGTTGCTCAGAATCCTCATGGTGCTATCCGAGGAGAACTCAGGCATCTCATATTGGGACCAGGAGCACTTCTGGCACCTTTGGCCAAAGAGCCTCATACGCACCTGACCCTGGGATGTCCAGTGCTCCCAGTACGTGTGGCACAGAATCTGCACTTGGGCGGAAGCCCAACTTCGCTGGCAGGAGGAACACCGGAACCTGCAGTCAGAAGGAAGACACCCATTATGCCTTCATCTGGTTGTTAACCTGAGGGAAAATGGTCTTGGCCCCTGTCACTAACATCCTTTTCCATTTGAAAAAATGCATGTGATTTAGATTGTCCCAGTCATTGATAAACAGGAACAAGAAGGACTATGTTTCAGATAAGGCTTTTTCCTGTGACCTACTGAGTATCCACCCATATGTTACACCCAAGTCTACCTCTTTGCTAGTAAAACATCTCCAGATGCCTCTGAGGGAAAATCATGTCTGCCATCTTCCAGAGAAACTTATTCCTAATTTTGGTCATAGAAAGCTTTGGTAAAGTATCTATTTTGATGCATACAATATAATTGGTCTTTATAATTTTATCCCATTTCATCTGTGAAGTAAGCACTATTAAACCCAATATCCAGATAAGGAAACTGAATCATGAAAAGGATACGCAACCTGCTTAAGGACACACAGGGTAAATGTTAGAGGCATGCTGCTAATCTCAGGCCATCTGAAATTCAACTCATTTACCTGCTGTAACACGTTGCCTCTGGTGAGTAGTGTAGCTAATCTCTCACACCTGGAGAAACAGACTGCATCCCTCATACCTGGGTTGAAGATCCAGTTTACATCAGGAAGACCTTGGGCAAAGCCCTTCCCTTCTATAACCCTCATTGTTTGAATCCATAAAAAAAAAATTCAAGGGTTATATTGGCAGCATCAAAAGAGACGATGTATGTGAAAACACTTTGTAAACTACAAAATGCTTTTCAAAAGCTGATTGATATTTTCCAAAAGTACACTGGTAGGTTGCTTTTCCGATCTCGAAATGACAATCAAATCAAATCATCCCAACAGGAGAAACACCTTCTTTCTGTTTGGAGGAGTGCCAAAACGTTGTAAGACATCATGAGTCCCTCAAAAAGCTCTGGCTGGTGTGGACAGAAATATTTACACATTTCCCTGGATTAGAAAGCAGAGCAACATGACTGCTATACGGGCTCTGACAAGTGACTTGAGAACTGTTCTGGAGACGTTTAGGAGGCTTTATTTAAACAACAGATTCTGCAGCTAAAAATAAGCATATACTGTATTTGATACAATATATAATAATACATATATTATTTATAAATTTATTATTCTGAAATACATAGTACATATGTATATATAATTATATATCATTTATGTATACATATACATATATATTTTATCTTATCCCATTATCTTATGGGAATGTATACGAAGGAATACTTACTCTGCCTAGGAGAACCAGAGAATGCTTTTAGGAGGAGGAGGCACTAGAGTGGGCCTTGAAGGATGAGCAGGGAGGGGTGAGGGGAGGGTCTGCTGAACAAGCAGAACTCCATGAACAAGAGTGTGGAAGTCTGAAGATGCATGGCATAGCTAATAGTCCATAAGGAATGGAGTAGGCCATACCTGAGGCAGGATGGGGCAGGCAGGCAAGCTGAGTAATAGGTCAGATGAAAACTATACCGAAGGTCCTGTGTGTCATTTAAAAATAAATTTGATTATCCAGGTCAGCAATTCTCACCCTCCTAACATGGTCAAGGAAACTGGTTCCTGCAACCTGGAGGCTTGCTGGGGGTTAAAGAGGGAAGTGGTGAGTAAGGGAGGAGTATTACTTGGTGACTCCATGAACTGGGTTTTAGATTTAGTTTTTGCAACATCATTCTATACTATTATCCCCAGGCCTTCAGTAAAGCAATGTTCAGAGTAACTGCTTGATCTTAGCCAATTCTTAAGATATTTAAAAAAAAAAAAAAGGCTCCGTCCCAGGCTTGTACTGAACAGTGCCAAGGCTTGGAGAGCTGGTGCAGCTGGGGGAAGCTGGTCAGGACTGCTGGGGAGACTGCAAAAGACTCTAGAGGTAGTCTGGAACAAATGACGTGGTGAGAAACTAGAAGGGAAAATTTATGGAATAGGGAGCCTTCTCCAGGGTTTTCCAGAAATATTTACGGAGGGAAACCTAGTAAAAGAAGAAACTTCCAGCAGTTAAACAAAATGGAGGTTTGGAGTCGTCTTATCATGTCGACCCTAAAGAGTACTATGACCACAATAGGATGGAGGCCCTGGTGACATTTACTCCTTCAACAAGCTCTCAGAGGAATAAATCATGCTAAGCTGAGCCTGAGCCTCTCTTCTCAGAAGAGCTATTGCCTGGGAAACCCACACTCACCAGCCAAATGCTCTCTGTTGGTATTGCTTCCACCCTTGAGCCAGGCAGTCTAGCTGAAGGTTGCCATCCAACTTCAGCGTCCATGTGGCCCGGGGTTTTGCCTCTTGGATTAGTTCTTGAAATGTCTGCTCCCAAGTCCAGAAATCTACAACCATTTTTTCCCTCTGAAGCTGAGAGAGTAGCTTTCAGGTTTGCTCGTTTCTCAGGAAGAGACAAACAGTTTCAGTTTCGGTGTTCGGTTCAGTTTCTGTTTCTGTGTATGGACATGAGCTGTTTTTTTCAACCTTCATTTTAGACTGTCTGAGTACACAGAACAAGTCTTTGTTCTGAAAACAGACAGCAGCAAAACTGTGTTAGTTAATAGGCCTTGCTGAGAGAGAGATAAAGAGCTCTGTTCTAGATTCTGGGGTCACATATAAATTCGCTTTTATTTTCTCTCTCTCATTTTTTATAATAGGCAAAGTGAGAGGTGACAGCATGCTGGTAGCCCTCGCAGCCCTCGCTCGCTCTCGGAGCCTCCTCGGCCTCGGTGCCCACTCTGGCCGCGCTGGAGGAGCCCTTCAGCCAGCCACTGCACTGTGGGAGCCCCTTCCTGGGTAGGCCAAAGCCAGAACCGGCTCCCTCAGCCTGCTGGGAGATGTGGAGGGAGAGGCACGGGCAGGAACCGGGGCTGCATGCAGGGCTTGCAGGCCAGCTAGAGTTCTGGGTGGGCGTGGGCTTGGCGGGCCCTGCACTCGGAGCGGCCGGCAGGCCCCCAGCCCTGGGCAGTGAAGTGCTTAGCACCTGGGCCAGCAGCTGCGGAGGGTGCGCCAGGTCCCCCAGCAGTGCCGGCCCACCGGCACTGAGCTCGATTTCTCGCTGGGCCTTAGCTGCCTCTCTGTGGGGCAGGGCTCGGGACCTGCAGCCCGCCATGCCTGAGTCTCCCCACCCTGGGCTCCTGCATGGCCCAAGCCTCCCCGACGAGTGCCACCCCCTGCTCCATGGTGCCTGGTCCCATCGACCGCCCAAGGGCAGAGAAGTGCGGGCACACACGCAGGACTGGCAGGCAGCTCCACCTGCTGCCCCCGGGGCGGGATCCACTGGGTGAAGCCAGCTGGGCTCCTGAGTCTAGTGGGGACTTGGAGAACCTTTATGTCTAGCTAAGGGATTGTGAATACACCAATGGGCACTCTGTATCTAGCTCAAGGTTTGTAAATGCACCAATCAGCACCCTGTGTCTAGCTCAGGGTTTGTGGATGCACCAATCAGCACCCTGTCAAAACGGACCAATCAGCTCTCTGTAAAACAGACCAATTGGCTCTCTGTAAAATGGACCAATCTGCAGGATGTGGGTGGGGCCAGATAAGAGAATAAAAGCAGGCTGCCCCAGCCAGCACTGACAACCGGCTCGGGTCCCCTTCCACGTGGTGGAAGATTTGTTCTTTTGGTTTTTGCAATGAATCTTGCTGCTGCGCAGTGTTTGGGTCTGCTCTGCCTTTATCAGCTGTTAACACTCACCCGGAAGGTCTGCAGCTTCACTCTTGAGCCAGCAAGACAATAAACCCACCAGAAGGAAGAAACTCAGAACACATCCGAACATCAGAAGGAACAAACTCTGGGCACTGTGCCTTTATGAGCTGTAACACTCACCATGAGGGTCGGTGGCTTCATTTTTGAAGTCAGTGAGACCAAGAACCCACCAATTCCGGACACAAAAGCACTGTTTTTGGCACTGGGAAAAGAGTATCCTGTAGCTAAGAAACAATTCCTGCCCCCACAGATGCTCACACCCAGGTGGAGACAGGGAGGTTAGGAGCAGCGTAGGGGAGCACGTGTTTAATGCTCATCTCCTACACCCCATGTATCCTCACCAGTCCCGCGAAGGATTATTCTTGGAGTTTTGCAGGTTAACTGCACAGAAAGCTGGGGTACTTTGTCCAAATCCCCTCAGTTAACGAGCAGTGGAAGTGAGACTTGAACCCGGGTCTGTGTGACTCCAAAACCTGCCATGTGTCCGCCCACCTCACTCCCTGAAGAGAAGCTGAGAATGGCATTTCAGGTTCCAGGCTGGCACACTGGAGCCAGTGTCAGAGGAACCGTAGGGAGATTTCCTGGGTCCTGAGGCAGGAGGTCAGCTGCATGAAGGGATTATCAAACTCTGCCCTCCACTCTGTAAATTATGTGGAAGGGCAAATACGCACAGGTGTGGGGGCCGTCTTTCAGTGGTAGGATACAGAGAATTCCCATTTTGGGGTAAGGGATTGAGATGAGATGACCTTTAAAGACACTTGTAAGTCTAAAACGCGGAGATTCCAGAGAGTAAGCTTTGTCCTCCTGGGGCTTAAATTCAAATAGGGGAGATAGGACAAGCAGGATGCTTACTTAGGTCTTTAGAACACCCGCTACAGCTTCTGTGTCTGAGACAGGATCAGCCTCAGTCTTCCTGGGTTTTCTAGGCTTCCATGTGCCCTGTCAGCGACTCAGAGACACCCTCTCTCTTTCCTTCCCTTCCTGGATACCTGTGTCTATACACATGATATAGGAAGCTCTAAGAACTTGTAATTGGATCCACAGGATGTTAGAGTTGGGAAAACCCTTAGAAATCAACTTATCCCTTTTCCCTTTAATTTTTATACACGAGAAAACTGAGGCTGGGCACCGTGGCTCACGCCTGTGATCTCAGCACTTCGGGAGGCCAAGGAGGGTAGATCACTTGAGGTCAGGAGTTTGAGACCACCTGACCAACATGATGAAACCCCATCTCTACTTTAAAAATTACAAAGTCAGCCAGGCATGATGGCGCATGCCTGTAATCCCAGCTACTTGGGAGGCCAGGGCAGGGGAATTGCCTGAACCCAGGAGGCAGAGGTTGCAGTTAGCCGAGGTCATGCCATTGCGCTCCAGCCTGAGTGACAAGAGCATAACTCCGTCTCAAAAAAAAAAAAAAAAAAAAGAGAAAAGAAAACTGAGACCCAGAGGAATAAGGTCTCTTGCCTAAGGTCACACAGCAAATTAGTGCCAATACAGGGCCTGGCTTCAAGTTCTGCTCTCTTGCTCCACCCATGCATAAATCATTTCTCTACCCTTTCTCTTCACTTTCCGCTGGGTTTAGGATCCCAAGTCCACTCTACTTATTCTGTATCTTCAGAGTGTACCTTCAGAGAGTCCCCTTACCCCTGACACCTCAAATGCTCTGTTTTTCCCAAAAGGTAGCTTGATCCGGCGCATTGCATGCCTTCATGATTTCCTTCTGCCTCTTCTTCATGTGTGCCCTTTGATATACCCAATTGTTCAGGTCAGCCTGGTCCTTTGCATGGGGGTTCAGCAGGAAGATTAAGGGTAACATGTGTTGAAGAAACACACTCAAAGTGCTTTTTCTATTCTGTCACTCAGTAGCAATCAACACAAAAGACTTCTAACCTAATATGTGGGGAGTTTCCTCACCAAGCAAGCAGTCACTTAATTCTGCAGAGGACACCAACTAGATGACCTCTTATTCAATTCAGTTCTAATACTATCTACCCCAACCCAGCATGAGATCCCAAGGGTGGAGGGCCCAGTCCACAAGACTGTTCCCCTACAACTTCAGGCTGGGGCTTGGGGCCAGTTGAAAGCCCCATGTTATTTTACCTGTGCTTCTGACCAACTGGTTATACATTAGGATTCCCTCCTTAAGTTCGATTAATTTGCTGGAGTGGCTCATGGAACTCAGAAGAACACTTACTTATGTGTGCCAGTTTATTATAAAGGTATTAAAGGCGATACAGATGAAGAGATGCATACGGAAAGGTATGGGAAGGGGCATGGAAGCCCACCCTGGGCACACTATCCTCCAGGAGCCTCCTTGTGTTGGGCTATCCTGAAGCTGTCTGAACCCTGTCCATTTGGAGCTTTTATGGAGACTTCATTACGCAGGCATGATTGATTAAACTATGACCACTGGTGATGAACTTAGTCTTCAGCCTTAGAGATTAGGGGATGAGACTGAAAGTCCCAACACTCTAATTCTGCCTGGAACTTTCTGGCGACCAGCTCTCATCCTGAAGCGACCTAGGAGCTGCCGGCCACCTGTCATTTCATTAGCATACAAAAAGATCTCTTCAGAGATTCTAAGGATTTTAAGAGTTGTATGCCAGGAAATGGAGTCAATGATCAAATATATATTTTACAGTATCACTTTGAGATTTGAGGGCTGGATGAAGCCCACTACCTACCTTCCTCATTACCAAGAAGGAACGGAAAAAGAAAGAGAAGGAAAAGAAGAAAATACAGCCCCTTCTGCAACCCTACAGTGTACTTAAGCCACTTGGTGGGTGGTTTGTTTGTTTGTTTGTTTGTTTTCACCAAGGCATTGTAACTCCAGAATAATAGAATTGTGGGACTTGGTCATTGAAAGAGACCTTAGATATCTTGTGACAGCCCCTCCAATTTCACTGAGACCCAGTGAAGAAAATGACTTACCCAAGGAATGCGATGTGATAGTTGCAACCTTCGAGCTTTCAACTGTTGACGGTTTATCCCAGATTGGTTAAACAACTGCTAAGAGACAGCTGGAAAAAAAAAAAAACTGATGAATTCTGAAGAAGCGGGGCATAGCAAAATTTAGATTCTTAACCGTTCAGAGCTGAAATGAATCTACAAGGTCTTATAATCCTGGGATGGCAAACAATGTCTCTCCCCTTTTCTTGTGTAAGACAGACATTGCCAATCAACCTTCTCACCTTTCCCTCGGGGTCTGGGTGTTACTTAAGAATTTCCCTCATCACAGCTTTCTAGGCAGCCACTAGAAACTGATTGGTATATGAAACATTTTTGCCATTTCTGCAATAGTCCAACAAATTACAAAAACTGAAGTCAAGATAGATTTGGGTTAATCAAGGCTTAAGTTCAGTTTTTGGAACCTTAGGCATGTACCCATTTTTGGAATATCATATGACCCATCACAAATAGGGCTAGCACAAAACTTAACACATAGAAATATGTTCTTCTTGGGGACATTTTAGGCTTGGGAAGAAAGGAGGCTAGACAAGAGTGATAAGAATTGGTGGGTATCTGACTGAAAGAGATGAACGTCTATGGCACTTGGCTGGCAAGGCCAGCTCTTACCCCAGGACACTTGTCCAACCTCTGTCTTGGTGGCCAACTGCTCTGTAAAAGGTGAAACAAGAAGTAAAATGAAGTGTGACACCCAGAGCCAACTGCTACTCAGGCCTAGGGGCTAAGCCTGCTAAGAACACCATTCAGGAGGGCAAAGATTAGATTAAAGGTAACCTCTGAGAAATAGCAAGAAGAAATGTATAAAATCAAAAGAACTAAAATAAAAACTTACAAGTTTCCAAAGGGGCCGTTTGTTTCACAGCTTCTGTGAAAATCTGCTGGGCCTCAGGCCTCTTGAGGCCCATTGTTCAGATGTGGAATTTGCCTCAACAGACAATCATTTGGATATTTTTTAGTAGAAAGAATGTCTGTGAGCTTAATGAAAGCTAAGCCCTGGAGAGGTGACCAGTTGAGACCACTGCAAATAGAGACCCCGACTCCTATTCTTGACAGCCACCTCCTCTATTTCAGCACAAATGGTCTTAAAATCAGAGGCAGGACTTTTTCTGCTCTGTTCCAAGGCTGTGGTGAACATAGGTACCCTACATATGCAGAGTGTTTAATCACCCCCATATCAGGCCAATGTCAGGAAACAAGCAGGCCAAAGCTATACTCTGTAAATGAACTTTTCTCCTGTTCCTGATTCACTTTACCAATCTCTCACTCCTGCCCTCAGGGATCACTTTTCATATTAACTACTTGCAGCAAGTTCTTGCCTCAGGCTCTGCTTTTAAAAGAATTTCAACCAATACAGAGTGCAACTTATTTTCTTTTTCTTCTTCTTCTTCCATGTGTAAAAAAGTCCGTTTCCAGTCTGACTTGTAAGAAGCTTGGAAGTCATCACCCCCATCCTCATAGCAAGAGAAAAGCTGAACGAACTGAAAATCAACAACTCTTCTTTTTTTTATATATATATTTTATTTTATTATACTTTAAGTTCTAGGGTACATGTGCACAACGTGCAGGTTTGTTACTCTTAAGTACATCAGAGAATTGAAGTCACAGGGCAAACTGCTACCCTGAAAACTAGAGCAATAGATGGGCAGATACAGGGAGTCACAGCTTATCAGAGCCAAAGCCCAGGAATGGAAGTTCACAGCCGGAACTAGTACTGGTAGGGTAAGAACACTTTAAACTGAAATTGGCAATTGCTGGAAGCTCAGTGAGAACAAGCTTGAGAATTAAATAATTGGGGGGCAAGGGCTCGGTTTTAGGAGAACCCTCACACTTTCAGGAGTTTTACCTCCAGGAGCCCCACCAGGTTGTCACTATGAAGATAGAGAAAAATCTTCTTGTGCATTCATCATGTGAGGAGAAAAATAACCATTTTTGTTAACACTCAGACCTCTCTGTTCTCCCTAACAGTCTGCCCTCAAGGGCAACTGTTTCACCAGAGTAACACACTTGAGTTTACCAATGCCTAATCAACCTGAGAGAAGGGAAATGTGAGCGATAGGAACTACCTCCACTTGTTTCATGTGTGACTTCCTTTCTGCATGACAATGAGGACACAGCCCTCCATGCTTACAGGGTCAGGAAAAGAGAGTCTGGCATAAGCTCAAGGAGTCACGGCTGCCTGTGTGCTTTTTTCTAGGAGAGGAACCAAGTCCCACACAGTTCAGACTAATTATCTACTCAGCTAAAAATATCTGGGAGAGAAATAAAGAATTCAATCAGCCATCAAAATTTCTAAATATATTACAATAATAATTAAACCACCAAGCCATGGAAGAGATTTTAAAGGTTCCCTAAGTTCCATTTATTACTTGCTGGCTTTGTAATAGTTAACAGCTAAGTTACAAGTAAAAACTTGGATGCTATTCCCAGAGTTAGCCCATGGGAAAAGCAATGAACTTAAAATTAGAAGAAGACAAAGTTATCAATTCCACTTCCAATACTTACTGAATTACTTAATCTCTGTGAATCTTAATGTCCTTGGCTGTAAAATGGAAATAATACTCATTCCATTAGATTTAATGATGTATATACTAATATGACATATACATGGACAGTAATAAAAAAATAGATAGGGTTATTTCGAAAAAGAAAGACTATGAAGTGGCATAAGTTAATAGGACTTAAATGGAATACAACATTTGAACTCATTATTTAATGAATGAGAAAGAGATAGGGCTCACATATGGAAAGGAAAGAGATATTTAGAACAAGAATCTAGAAAGTGTCTGTGTCTGTGCGTTCAGGAGAAGAAAAGCAAAAGATAAAATGAATAAGATTTGGAGCACTTTATCTCTTCGAATGCACCTTTATACCCATATCTATATGGTTTCTACAATAACCCAATGGTTTATGTCCTTTATCAAGAAATGTTTCAGAATGGATGCATCTAATGGAGCTTTGTAAAATATAGATACCCAGGTCCACCTCTGGAAATTGATTCCACAGGTATGGGGTGGGACTTGTATTATTTAAAAGCTTCAATAATGATACTGAAATACTCCTGGATAAAAATCACTATAAATAGAAAATATGAAGCTCGAGAAGTTTGACTGACTTGCCAAGATCTCACTTTATGAGTAGCAGAGGTACAATGTGAAACAAGATGCTTTAACTACCACTTGTGTGCTTTCTTCCGTGGTGAAAATCTGGAAGGCAGGGTCAGCCTCTGAGTCTATTCATTATGGCTGAGTTGACCTGGCACTGGAAAGCAGCTTGCTGTCTGATGGATGGAGTCCAGGAGACAGCCACAGTCATTATGTATGAATTTAATTAACAGCAGAGGACATTGAAAGCAAGGGAGGAGAGCTGTGAGAAACAGAGGCAGATCATTTGGGGCTATTACAATGCAAAGCTGAGGCGAGGCCACACAGCCTGCCAATTATAATGCCAATATGTAGTAACTTGACTTTTTACCTCTGCAGTCTCAGTCTGGGCATGAGAATGCAGCTCGGGCCTCAGTGAGACCCCTGTATCCCCTCTTGATGGCAGTGAGAATTTTACGCCTGTGCAAAGAGCAGCCAGGAGCCCAGGAAATGAGAAGGAAACAAACAAGCCCACCCAGGGGTGGTTTGATGAGTGTGTTAAAGGACTCCTGATTTTCACCTCAACGCAGATGTTTTGCAAACATTCAGACTCCTTTCCCCCAGGACAGTTCACAGGATTCACACTGTAGTAGTTTCAGAATTTGACCTAAAGTCTTCCACTGAAGTTATTGATTCTCCTGAGTTCCTTCTGATGGGTCATTTTCACAGCCTGTTTTGTGTACCTCTCTGCGGGGCACTCTTTTGTTCTCAGCCACAGGATCACAGATTTGGTTTTTCATTGTTGTTGGGGCAAAGAGGTTGATTCCCTCTTTCTCTGCCAGCCCTTCAGACAGAGATTTTCTTTTTTCATTTTCATATTTAAAAATCCAGATACAGGCTGGCCCTATGAGCTTCAGTTTTGAGGTATCAGTCGCATACATCAAGAATGTAGAGAGGGATCAGTGTCAGTGCATCCTACTGCTTCAGAACAAAACCCACCGTGCACAGGACGGGCTCTGAAGACGGCGAGGCTGGGAGATCACAGATGATGAATGTTGCTCAGGGCAGCAGCCACTATTGCACACTTTTCTCTCCTTGTGCTTCCCTTACAGCCCCAGGATTTATAATGCTCTGTCTTATCCAATTTTGGTCACAGCCTGATGGATGTCATAAGGCTGTAAATACTCTGAGGTTTTACTTTTCTATGTATGTTTTCTCCTACTTTGTATTTGCTATAATCCATGTCATCCAATAATGGATTAATTTTTAGATCCGCTTTTTGTTCTTGCTAAGCTCCTGAGATTTGGAAGATGAATATTGATAGTATGAATATGTGAAACTGAGCTGAAAAATTATTCTGGCACAAATATATAGGGAGAACAAAATGCAGTATTGTCCCAGGGAATCTGATAAACACAAAGAGAACCAGATTAGAGATAAGAGGACCTGGATTTAAATCCAACCTGTGCCACTAGTCAATTGCCATGATCTGGATGAGCTGCTTCACCTCCCTTTCTGTATAATAAAGCACTGGACCAGGTAGTCTCCAAGTTCGGTTCCAGTTCTGTCATTGTATGGATGGATCAGGGCTCTGGTTCTCCATTAGGAAATGCAAAGAGTCTTCCCAGATCTCAACTTGGTGATGTTGACAGCACCAGGCTGTCCCAAATGTGCAGTGGAGTGATGAACTTGAGCATAGTCCTCCTGAAGGCCAGAGACCTGCCTCCTGGTAGAGCTTACTTTCCCTAGAAGAAAGCAGAGACTTGAGGTGAAGCTGGAAGAGGGAAGGGTGATAGGGTAGATGGGACTGGTCGCCTTGAGGAAGGGAAGTTGCACTAGAATCTTGGCTACTTGATAATACCAAATAAAGATGTTCAATGTGCAAGAGGAAGCAGTTTTATCCCCAGTGGCTCCAAGGGGCTGAACTACATGCAGGAGACAAGAGCCTCAAGGAGAGTAGCTGTTTCAGCATGAATACACACAACCATCATTCCAAGCTGTGGGAAACTATGTAGGTTACCCCACTCACTGCTCTCTCCAGCTCCCTCTCCCAAGTGGTAGCCCAGGAATTTTGATATAGCATAAAGAAGGCCAGGTTAAGAATTAAACACTTGGATTCAAATCCAAGCTCTGCCAGGACTGGGTTGTAGTGACTGGGTGGAGTGACCACATGGTGAGGATATTGAGTAGTTCAGCATCAAATGTCAGCTGGGGAAGATGACTCTAAGGCCTCTTCCAGTCTTAGATTTATGAAAATCTTTGGGTATCTCTCCTTCTTTCCCTGAAATCAAAACTAAAATATGGAAGAAATTGGCATGACTCTGCTTGGTCTGGTGCCAGTCAAACTCTTGGTATAAGTAGGTTAAGTGAGCATTTGTTCACAAAAAGATGGTAAAATCTAGGCTACTACTTCTCCATAGCTTCCTCTAACCCTCACATCAATGAGCACACAATGATTTATATTCATTTGTAGCCTTCTGAAATGTTTTCATTCTTCTCTGTAATTTCCTTAAGTGCAAGTATTAGACAGATTTGAAATATAACAAGTACTATTGAGTCTAGCATTATGGATAAAATCCAATTGAGAATTGAAACAAAGCAAGACATTACTTAGAATCTGCACTTAAGCAAAGAGGCATGATATACATTTATTCTGCCAAGACAAGTCAGGTTTGATGAAGAAAATCCATCCTACACTCCTGACCCCATTCATTTTCAGTGCCCTTCACCTCCATTTATGTAAGTCAGCCAGTTTCATGGCCACATACTAGACCTTGTCATATTCCAAGCTATCTATCTGTCTAACCACATCCAGCTCTCCAATTCAGCTACTTCCACCAAGTCCAGTATTAGACCTTGCAAATCCCTGACCTCTCCATCCATCAGTGCTCTGCTGCCTTTACCTCCTTCTCTCTCTAGTTTAAAAAAATGTAGTTCGACACTAGGAATTGTCCCATATTGCTTGTAAAAATCTCAACCTAGGATTAATCTACTCCCCACTTTATTCAAGCCTGCTGAGTGCTGTTAGGAAAACACACACACACACACACACACACACACATACACACATACATTCATGGCATTGCACATTTATGTTCCCCTATCTCAGTAGAGCCTTCCGTATGGTCCATAAATCTCTCTGCTTTCTTTTTTCCCACTTTACTACAGCTATTTCAAACTGTGTCCACTATCCACAAAATTTCAACTCTGCTGTTTCACTGGCTTACTCTCAGGAAATGACCTTACCTCCTTCACAGAGAAAGCTGAAATCTTCAAATGAGAATTTCCTAAAGTTTATGCCACCAAACCTATAAACTCTCTGTGTTCTGTACCCATGTTTTTATCCTTTGCTCCTACTTGGATAGTAGAAGCATCCTTCAATCTATGTTGAATAATGACTTCAGTGCTTCCCCCAAATCTTGACATTTTAATTTCCCCTGCTCTGTGTATCTAATTTTTTGTTGTTGGCCCCTTCCACTCAGCGCTTAAACATGTTAAAGTAAGTCTTTCTTGTCTCAAATGACCCCAACCTTAACCCTGTATCCCCTTCCCACTATCATTGATCTCCCTGTCATAACCACATTTCTCAAGTGAGCTGCTTACACTCATCACTCTGCTTCCTTCCCTTTCAGCTACTTCTCAACACACCCCCTCTGATTTCTGTCCCCAATACACCACTAAAGCCCATCTCAACATAGTCGCCTTCAAACTCCTTGTTGCTAAGTCCACTAGGTGATTCTCCATCTTCCTAGTGTATACTATAAATTGTATATTGTGGCCTATTTGAAATCATCTTTCTTTGACTTCTGTCATACTGCACAGTCCTGGTTTTGTTTGGTTTTGTTTATTTCCTCAAGTTGCCTGCCACTTTCTAAATAGCCTTTGGATTCTTTCTTCTATGCCTGTTAGTGTTCTTCCGAGTTCTGCCTTCTTATCTCATGCCACACTCCTCTTAGGCGGTGGCACGCATTCCCATGTACAATTGCATTATATATCCTGATGCCCAATACACAGCCCCAATCTCTCCAGAGTTTCCTGATCTTATCCTCAGTTACTCCCTAAAAGTCTCCACTTTGATTTTGAAAATGACAAAATCCAATTTGTCATTTTCTCCCTCAAACCAGCTCCTTCACCTTTATCTGCTGTGTCAGCCAAGGGCCTTATTGCCATCACCTACTAGCACAGCCAGAAGCCTGGATCCCAAGCTGCTCCTCTTTCTCCTTCTTTTTCTGAACATTGAATCAAACAAATCACCATACCCTGAGAATTCTTCTTAGTGAATTAATATCTTTTAAATCCTTCCATTCCCTCTGCTAGCACACTACTTAGGTCACCATTATCTCTGTCCTCCCTGATTCTCTAATCTGTTTTCTAAGCTGTACACAAAGTGACGTTTTGGGTATTCAGTGGCAATTTCATCATGCCAATCCCTCAATTAATACCATTGTTTCTTCTTTAGAGCAAGGCCAAACTTCTCAACTTTACCCCATAACTCTTCATGGCCTGGTCTCTTACCTCTTCAGACCAAGGTTTTTCAACTTTGGCACTCCTGACATTTTGGGCCGAATAATTCCTTGTTGGGGAGGTTGTCCTGTGCGTTGTAGGCTGTTTAACAGCATCCATGGCCTCTACCCACTAGATGTCAGTAACACCACCATGCCAATTGTGATAATTAAAAATGTCTCCAGACATTGCCAAATGTTCTGTGGAGGGCAAAATTCACCCTGGTTGAGATTTACCACGTTAAACTAATTTATCACTACATCCTACACCCTATATGTTTGAAGTTCTAGCCATACTTAACTTTCCTCTACTCTGCTAAGGAACCATTTTCATTTTTTAAAAAATGTGTAATAGTTTTATTGAGATATAATTCACATAGCATACTATCCATTCATTTAAAGTATACAATTCAATGGCTTGTAGTATAATCACAAAGGGGGACAACCATCACCACAATCCATTTAAGAACATTTTATTAACCAAACAGAAACATTATACCCATTGGCAGTCACTCAGTTTTTCTCCAATTCCCCCAACCCTAGGCAATCACCAGTCTACTTTCTGTCTGTGTAGATTTGCCTCTTATGGACGTTTCATATCACATAATACATGGTCTTTTGTGGTTGGCTTCTTTCACTTGGCATAATGTTTTCAAGGTTCAGCCATGTTGTAACATATGTCATTACTTCATTACTTTTTATTGTTGAGTAGTATTCTCTACAATTCTCTACTTTGTACATCATTGCAGTCTCTACATGGAGGTTTGTTCTTACTTTATGGACACTGAATTTTTTTCTCTTTCATTCAAACATTGCTCTTATATTTGTTATATCACTGTCCTTGTACACTGCCAACCCACAGTCTCTACTCTAAGTTCTAGAAGCACAGGTGTATTATGAGTGGCTTCAACAGGCCAATTTAGAAGCCATCTTGCTGTGATCTCATATTAATAATTGGGTTTCTCCTGAATGAAGTCTTTCTTAATCCTCTTTCTCTATCAACCTCCATTCCTCACTTCTCTTTTCATCCTTGCAGTTGAGTTTGGTAAGGTCAGAACTTTTGGGTTGTTACTATAGTGCCCTGTGCATATTTTTATCAAAGCATCACATCATCTGATACCTGTCTTTCTCACTAGTCTAAACATTTTGAAGGCAGAAACTATATGTTACTACTAATATATCCAGTACCTGACACATTGTCTGGCGCAAGTTAAGCATTTAAATAAATTTTTTGTAGAAACAAAGAAAGGAAGGAAGGAAGGTAGAAGGAAGGAGGAAGGAAGGAAAGAAGGAAGGAAGGAGAGAGAAAGAAGAAGAAAGAAGGAAGGAAGGCAGAAAGGGAGGAAGGAAGGAAGAGAAAGAAAGAGAGAGAGAGGGAGGGAGGGAGAGAGGGAGGGAGGGAGGGAGGGAATTAGTCCTTTGATAACCTGCTTTGTATTGTGATTTTCTTGGATGCAGGCCTGGCTTGGTGCTGGTCAGGCTTCCCAGAGCTGGAGTCTTGCCTTTTCACAAAATATGGAAGTGGCAACAAGAACTTCCTGTCAGTCTCTGTGACGACCTGCCCAAGTCACTGATGGCTGCCTTGCCTGGCTTTTATCTTAGATGTACACATGACCACTTCTCCTGGATTCCATGTTGGTGCTCTTCCCATGGACTCACTGACTGAGCTGCTGTCTCTCAATGTTCGTGGTTCTTTTCTGAGCTTGTGTGTGAGCATGTCTCTTGAGCCAGCTGGAAGCTCAATGCAGGCAGGGCAGGGGAAGCAGACAAGCTCATTTAGGAAGCTGGATCCACTGCTGCGGAGGTCAGGGAGTAAACATGGCGGCCTCCAATGGGAGACACTAAAGAGTAGATTCTTTCTTACTCGTTGTTGATTGAGGCAGTATGGAAAGATTTGTTTTGTTTTATATGTAGGTTTAATTTTATTTTTTATGTAACAAACAAAGCCCTGTTTGAAGTGTTTTACAAATGTTAACTTGCTCAATCTTCATAACAACTTCACGGGGTAGCTGCCATTTTTATTATCCCTGTCGAAATACTTTGTGCACACAGCTGATAAGTGGAAGAGCCAGGATTCCAAACCAGATAGTTTAACTCTAGAACCTTGCTTTACTGCCTCTCTCATTGCTGGGCCTTCCCACATGAGCTCTCCTTGTCTGGAGGCTCCTTCAGCATCTCTTTACCTGGCCCATGCCGACCTGCCCTTGAAGTATTACTCAGTATTCTCCTCTAATAAATAAGCTTTTTCTGCTTCCCCAGGCCTAGATTTGGTGCCTGCTCTATGTGCTTCCGTAGCACCCAGGGCATCTTGTATAACAATTTCACACTACAAACCTATTGACTTGACTGATCTCTTCTATGACTTAAACTCTTTAAGAGCAGGAACATTTCTTTGGCTGGTACACATTGCACTCTCACGCTCAGTAATGAAACACAGTTGACCCTTGAACAGCACAGGTTTGAAGTGAGTGGGTCCACTTATACATGGGTTTTCTTCACCTCTGCCACCCCTGAGACAAGACAGCAAGACCAACTTCTCCCCCTCAGTCCACGCAATGTGAAGATGACAAGGATGCAGACCTTTATGATCATCCACTTTTACTTAACGAATAGTAAATCTATTTTCTCTTCCTTATGATTTTCTCAGAAACATTTTGTTTTATCTAGCTTACTTTATTGTAAAAATATAATAAATAATATATATAATACAAAATACATGTTAGTAGGCTGGTTATGTTATCAGTAAGGCCTCCAGTCAACAATGTGCTATTAGGAGTTAAGTTTTGGGGGAGTCAGAAGTCGTACACAGATGTTTAACTGTGTGGTGGGGGCGGGTTGGTGCCCCTAACCCCCACATTGTTCAAGGGTCAACTGTACCTGGCAAGTAGTACATGCTAAAAAAAATTGCTTACATATATAAGTAAATCTAAATATTCCTATTTTAATATTAAAGTATAATGTCATTCTATAAATGCCCATTAGCCTCCCTGCTCCCCACTCATTGAGTTTGACTTAACAGAGTATCAAAGTAAAATAAAAATAACGGGTAAGAGGTTTTCCCAACTTTGCTCTCAAAACTGAATCACACTATTTAAACAAACTACATGATTAATATAGTAGATTCACAAAAGTAAATAAATCTATCCCTGTGTATCTCTACCACTTGCGCACTTGGCTAATTCTGAGAACACACTTAGAAGAGGCATTAAAAACCTGAATATATTACGGATGACTATCCCTTAGCCATTTAACCCTTTCACCTGGGTAGCAGCTGTGTGGCGGAGCAGGAAATAGTGAATTAACGCCACCTCAGCCCTGGAGGCAGCGGCAATGCCAATATGAGTATAAGCCAATTAGTGAGACCTCATGCTTCTTCAATAACAAGGAGTTCAGGTATTGCAGTCTGACCCAGTCAGTCCCATCTCCTACTGGGTCATGTGCTGTGCAGACGTGAACTGTGGGAACTGCTGCAAATTTTTTGTCTCCTTAAGGGAGGTCTGGCTTGGGGTGAAGACATCTGGAAAGCAGAGAACAAAGACTAAAAGAAACTTGGTCCTTGACAACCTCATTAGGCTATGAGGAAAAAGTCCTGTAGCGTTCAGCTTATCTCAGTGAACTGAGTGCTCATTCCCTTTATTGCCTAGACTTGTTTGGATTAGGTTTCCTGGTCCATGCACCGTGAAGGGAGTGCCAGCACACTGGAGCACGCCCGAGGACATATGAGCCGGGTGGCATGGAACTCTGAGGGTCAGCAAATGAGGCCACTGCCCCAGCTAGCTCTCAGATCACATGAAACATGGGAAAGGAAAGAAGCCTGAGCAGAGAATTCCAAGACCCTGACCATCATTTTCTCGAGCCTTCTGCCTACCCTTGTCAGGCTTCAGGAATGCAGACAGGCAAAGAAGAACTGCTGTATATCCAAACCTATTCAGCCCCTCCTTGTCTAGACCTAAAAATTTAAAAGGTCCACAAATAGTTCTTGAGCGATTCAGGCTCAACATCCAATACTGGGAAGGACAGGCTTCTGAAATCAGAGAACTTCATATTAAATAAAATTACTAGGGAATAGAGAGAACATTTCATTTGGATTCTGAGAATCTTAAATAAATATTTCTTTTAAAATGACATCATGCAGTTTTAAAGACTGCAAACAAAGAATATCACCAACAAAATTCAAACGGCAAAGGGGCACTAAATATCATGGAAAACCAAAGCAGGAGGGCAAAAGTTCAAAAACGTCTCCCAAAATCAAAGAAAAGAGAGAAGGTGGTGAACCATTGAAAAACAAAGATGTAAAGAACAAATGCAGAAGATCCCATTTAGGTATACAAAAAATATGGTAGGAGAAAAGTGCAAATTGAGGAGAAACAATTAAAGAAGAAAAAAAATGTTTCTGAGTCAAAAAAGACATGTTCGGGTTTGAAAGGACTTCATAAGAAGCAATCAAAATTAATCAATAGAGTTTTCTACATACACATACTCTGGTAAGTTTTAAGTTTTTTTAGATTGGTTGGGTGAGGTGTCTTACATGTATCCAGGCAGGGATGGGAGGAAATGGCTTACCTACAAAGCAACAAAAATTAGGTTGGCTTCAGGTCCTTTCTCATTAATATTAAATTCCAGCAAATATGATGCAACTTTTGCAGAGTTTAAAGGAAAAATATTCGAGTCTGAAAAATCTATCAAGTTATTTTCACTTGCAAAATGGAAAGAAAAAAAGGATCCTTAACAAGTAGAAACTCAATATATATATCTGCGCTTCCCAGAAACCTTATTAAAATTGTGCTCTAAAAGATAATTAAAATAAATACTCTAGGATGGGAATGTCTTTAGTGCTGCCATATTTAACATACATTTTGCTTTTAGTATCTAACTTTTTTTAACCATATTTAAACTTTCTTACTATTCTGCATACAATGTTAAATCCTAATATGTAACCTCCACAAAGCAGGGAGTTTGGCTTGTTTTTGTTCACTTCCACACCAAAACCAGAAAACCATACAGAATTGGTCCTTAAGAAATGTATGTTGAAGGAATGAATGAACTAACCAGAAATGAGTGCTAAATCAAGTATAATGCCTTTCCCCACATGATTTTTCTTTTTAAATAATTAATATTCTCATTTATATTCATAGACTTCCTAGTACTGAGCCATAACCTAGGAGTGAGCACATAACTCACTCCTGGCCAATTAGAGCACCAGATTTTCTGGCCACAGTGAATGGTTTAGTGATGGCATGGGAACTAAGCCGGACCAGTGAGATGCCACTATGGGGACTTGTGCTGGAGTTGCCAACAGAGAGATGCTCTCCTTCTGCTGGAGTACCAAGCTAATAGAATGTCAGCTTGTACCTAGACAGCTTGCCACAGCCAGGTGAAAATGTGCTTGAGAATGAAACCAGTACAAAGGGAAGCTTTAAGTACTTGTTTCCAGCATGCCGAAGAACATTCTGCCATATCTTTTGGTAATATGAACAAATCAGCTCCCTTTTTTTCTTAAGTCACTTTGACATGATTTCATTTACCACTTATAAATTAGAATTTTCTATATGTTTATGTTTTGTGCTCTCATCAAGTTTTAGCATCAGACATATCAATGCTAGCCCCATAAAAAGATGTAGGCAGATTTTCATATTGTTTGCATTCTTGGAACATGTTGGAAAGCAAATAACGCATACCTCCTTCCACCTTTATTTACAACACATTGAAAGATAGACACTGACCTGGGGGAAATTAAAATACCATACACCCTTTATTACCTGCAAAGATGGCCTGAAGGACATGAGCTCTGCGGACAAAGTGGGATCCTCCTAACAGAACTTTCCAGGCAACTGGAAGGTTCTGGAGAACCACAGCCTCTCCCACTGCCACCCCTACACCCACATACACAGGGTGGGGAGGGGTGGAGAGCCTTGTCTGGAGTCAGTTTTGGTTTTCTAATTTTCCTAAAGAATTCTGTATTTTGTTTAGATTTTCATCTAGTTATACTTTCCTCATTTCTAATGCTTTATATTTTTATTTTCTCCCTTCATTCAAGGCCCAAATTCCAAAGGACTTGCCTTTTTTTTTTTTTTTTTTTTTTTTTTTTGAGACAGAGTCTTGCTGTGTCAGCCGGGCTAGAGTGCAGTGGCATGATCTCAGTTCACTGCAACCTCCGTCTCCCAGGCTCAAGCAATTCTCCTGCCTCAGCCTCCCGAGTAGCTGGGATTACAGGTGTGTGCCACCACGCCCTGCTAATTTTTGTTTTTTTAGTAGAGACAGAGTTTCACCATGTTGGCCAGGCTGGTCTTGAACTCCTGATCTCAGGTAATCTGCCCGCCTCGGCCTCCCAAAGTGCTGGGATTACAGACGTGAGCCACTGCACCAGGCTGGACCTGCGTATTTTATTTATCTTTTTGAAGAATCGCCCCTTTTATCCATTAATTGTATTTTTTCATTTTTAGCATTCAGAGTCATTAATTTATGCTTTTATTTAATTAATTGTATAATTTTATATATGCATCTATATGGCTTATTTTGTTAACTTTTCTGTATTGAATTGAAGGCCTGGTTGTTATTTTGGGCCTTTTGAATTTAAATGTATGAATAGTGCTTATGCTTAGTACCAGCCCATACTTTTGCTGTATACTGTTCTTATTTTTGTTGATTTTTATATCTCAGAATATAGTTTTGATTTGATTTACAATTTTTTAAAGAAATTTGAGATTTTACTTGTTTAGTTTTTGTTTTTTTCAGTAGGTCTCAGTTTTGATCTAGCATTTATGTGGATCTAGCTTGATTGTGTGATAGTCCTAGAATGCAGTACACATTTTTTTTCCTGCTTCTATGGGCATATAATATACATTCTTTATAAGGTACCATATGCTAGATTATCTAGTAAATTCATCCTATTAATTATGTGACTAAACTCATTAATATTCTATTTTTGGTCTATTTGGTCAATTAAATTTAAAGACAAGGTGTTTAAAAACTCTTTTTTGTACAGAAAAATTGGAATGAATAAAAATTATTTAATTCTAGTGAGTCAAATTTTATTCTTATATCTAAGAACTGTGCTTTCTATATCTAGCAATACATTGTTTAAAGTGCATATAAGTTTATGACAAATATGGTCTTGATGTTTTAAATCAAATAGAAAATATTATCTTTTTCCATTTTTACTCCTGGCCTCAAAATTTATTTTTGAAATGTTTTTACATGTGTGTTTATTCATTTATGTTTGTTTTTGTTGTTGTTGTTTCTAGACGGAGTCTCGCTCTGTCACCAGGCTGCAGTGCAGTGGCGTGATCTCAGCTCGCTGCAACCTCCGCCTCCCAGGTTCAAATGATCCTCCTGCCTCAGCCTCCCAAGTAGCTGGGACTGCAGGCACGTGCCACCATGCCCAGCTAATTTTTGTTATTTTTAGTAGAAATGGTGTTTCACCATGTTGGCCAGGATGGCGATCTCTTGACCTCGTGAACCGCCCACCTTGGCCTCCCAAAGTGCTAGGATTACAGGCATGAGCCTCCACGCCCAGCCTATTTATTTTATTATATGCTTTTATGAGGCAAAATGTGATTTTTTTATATACGTGTACATTGTGGAGTGATTAAATCAAGCTAATGAACATATCCATCATGTGACATGCTTATTTTTTATGGTGAGAACTTCACAATTTTCAAGTATACAGTACATTATTATTAAATATAGTCACTAGGCTGTACAACTGATCTCCAGAATTGACACCTTCCATCTAATTGAAACTTGGCACCCTTTGACCAACATCTCCCCTTCACCACCCCACTCCTGCTGCCCCAGCCTCTAGTAATCGCCATTCTATTCTCTGCTTCTATGGGTTCAACTTTTTTTAGATTCCACACACAATTGGGAAATAGTCTCTTCAATAAACAGTGTTGGGAAAACTGAATATCCACATGCAGAAAAATGAATTTGGACCCTTATTTTATCCTATATATAAAAGTCAACTGAAAATGGAGTAAGGACTTAAATATCAGCCCTAAAACTATAAAACTTCTAGAAAAAAAGTAGGATAAAAGCTGCTTGTCATCGGCTTCAGCAAAAATCTTTTGGATGTGACTCTAAAAGCACAGGCAACAAAAGCAAAAGTGGACAAATGAAATTGCATCAAACTAAAAAGCTTACACATACCAAAGGAAACAACAGAGTAAAGAGACCAACTCTAGAATGGGGGGAAATATTTCCAAACTATGTAACTGATAAGAGGTTAATAGCCAGAATATATAAAGAACTCAAACAATTCAATAGGACGAAAGAAACCCAATTTAAAAATGAACAAAGGACATAAATAGATATTTCTCAAAAGAAGACATTCAAATAGCCAACAGGTATATGAAAAAAAATGTTCAACATCACTAATCATCAGGAAAATGCAAATTAAAACTACAATAAGATATTACCTCACACTTGTTTAAATGGTTTATATCAAAAAGACAAAAGATAACAAGTGTTGGTGAGATGTGGAGAAAAGGGAATACTTGTACACTGTTAGTGGGAATATAAATTACTATAATCATTATGGAAAACAGTGGAGGTGTTTCTCAAAATAGAACTACATATGATCCCACTACTGGCTATATATCCAAAGGAAATGAAATCAGTATGTCAAAGACATAACTCCACACTCATGTTCATTGCAGCATTATTCACAATAGTCAGATGTGAAATCACCCTAAGTGTCCATCAGTGGATGAAAAGATAAACAAACTGTTGTACCTCTATCCACTGAATACTATTTGGCCTTAGAAAAACCTGTCCTTTGTGGCTGGGCACGGTGGCTCATGCCTGTTATGCCAGCACTTTGGGAGGCCAAGGCGGGTGGATCACAAAGTCAGGAGTTCAAGACCAGCCTGGCCAAGATGGTGAAACCCCATCTCTACTAAAAATACAAACATTAGCCGGGCAGGGTGTCACCCACCTGTAATCCCAGATACTCAGGAGGCTGATGCAGAGAATTGCTTAAACCCAGGAGGTGGAGGTTGCAGTGAGCTGACATCGCGCCACTGCACTCCAGCCTGGGCGACAGAGTGAGACTCCCTCCATCTCAGAAAAAAAAAAAAAAAAAAAAAAAAACAAGAAAAATATGTCATTTGCAACAATATAGATGAACATGGAGAACATTATGCTAAGTGAAATAAACCAGCCATAGAAAGAAAACATTTGGGTTTTATGGTTTGTTTGGTTATAAAATATTTGATTACAAAATATAGCATACAGAAAAAGATGCATAAAACGTAAATGTGTGACTTAAAGAAGACTCATCTGTTCACTACCCAGGCCCAGTAACAGAATGTAGAATATGATGGAACTCTAAAAGCCAACAGTTCTTTTCAATCTTACCCTCAAGTATTAACCACTCTCGTGACTTTTATAGGAATTGTCTCCTTTCTCTTCTTCATATATCATCCACCAAAGTGTGTATTCCTTACTTCAAGGTTTAGATTTGCCTTTATTAAATTTACACTATAAAAATTATTTAGTATAAATTTGTTGTTTTACTTCTTTTGCTCAGTATTATCTTTTAAAGATTTACTTGCCTTTTGGGGAGCTATAGCTTTTTGGGTTGTTGATGATGCTTTATACTATTCCATGGTTTAAATATATGTTAATTTATTTTTCTCTTCCACTATTGTCTGCCATTTGGGTTATTTCCACTTTGGGGCTATTTCATATAGTGCTGCCATGAATATTCTTAAACAAATTTCTTGTGCATACATTTACATTGATTACACAACAATAAGTAGATTGTATTGTATGATACACATACTGTGTATCATCAAATTTGGGATTTGCCAAATATTGTACAAAGGGATTGTATCTATTTATAAGTCCCACAGACATGTATGAGTTTCTGTTGGCTCACATTCTCAGTGATACATGATTAGTCTTTTTGACGATAATGATTCTGGTGACTATATAGTGATACGTTCCAGTGGTTCTAATTGTGCATCCCTGAGATTACTAATGAAAGCGGTGCTTTTTCACATGTTAATTTCCCATTAAGTTTTCTCTTTTGTGCAATGTCTGTTCAAAATTCTTGGTAACTCTTGGGTTGTCAGCCATTTTCTTATTTATTTGTTTTTTGAATTATATTTTCTTCATACGAATCCCTTGTTGTAAAAATCTTCTCCCACTCTATGGCTTGTTTTTTCACCCTCAATAATATCTTTTGATTAACAAAATTTCTTCATTTTAATATACTCAAACTTCTCATTCTTTTATGGAAAAGAAATGTGTGTTTTTCGTGTCTTTTTAAATTAACTTTATAGGCCGGGCCCTCTGGCTCACACACCTGTAATCCCAGCACTTTGGGAGGCCGAGGCGGGTGGATCACCAGAGATCAGGAGTTCGAGACCAGCCTGACCAACATGGAGAAACTCTGTCTCTACTAAAAATACAAAATTAGCCAGGTGTGGTGGCACATGCCTGTAATCCCAACTACTCGGGATGCTGAGGCAGGAGAATTGCTTGAACCCGGGAGGCGAAGGTGGCGGTAAGCTGAGATCTCACCATTGCACTCCAGCCTAGGAAACAAGAGTGAAACTCTGCCTCAAGAAAAAAAAAATAAACAAACAAACAAACAAACAAATAAATAAATAAATAAATATTTACTGGAAATAGAAATTCTTCTATTTTATCTTATAAAAATATGTATTTTTTTGTTAAGTCTGTCACACTTAGGTCTCAAATCTCTTGAAATTAGTTTTTGCACGTGTTGTGAGATAGGGATCAAGCTTAGTATCTTTTACTTAGATAAAAAAAATACCCTTTCTCTACTGCTCTGCATTATGACCTATATCACATATCAAGTACTTATCTCTGCTGGAGTCTGTCTGTGGCTTCTCTAGTCAAGTTCATTGACTACATCCTTGTGCTGATATTATAGTGTTTTAATCACTGTGATTTTATAATGTCTTCATACCTTATATAGCATGGCTTCCTACCTTGGTTTCTTCTTAAAAGTATTCTGGGTATTTGACTTTTTAAATTTCCATATAAATTTCATAATCAGCTGAAGTTCCTTTGGGAAATTTGGGAAAAAAAGAATTCTTTGGGATTTTGATTGATATTGCATTGAATTTTCAGTATAATCTAAAAGAAGTGTCATATTTACAACACTATCTTCCAGTCCATGAGGAGTGTGTTATATCACTCCATTTAGTTTGTTCTTCTTTAATGTCTCTCAGAAATATTCTGCTCATCTTAAGAGAGACCTTGCACATCTTTTGTTAGATTTGATCCTAGATATTTGATATGTTTTATACTCATAATATATATTTTTAGAATTTTATGTGTTAACTGTTTGTTAAAGGTATGTATGAATACACCTGATTTCTGTACATTAATTTTGTATCTAGAAAACTTACTAAATTTTAAAATTATTGTAATAATTTATCTATAGATTTATTTAGATCTTCTACATATATAATCATATGTCCATGAAAATTACCATTTTAATCTGTCCTTTAAAATCTTTCATACTCTTTTATTTACTTTACTTACTACTCTAACTAGAGTCCCCTGAATAATAGTCAATACAAAAGCAGAACTTGGGCATTTTGTATTGTTCTTACTTTGAGAGAGAAGCTTTCAACATTTCACCATGATGTGTGAATTTGCTGAAGGTTTTATGAAACTACCTTGCAGGCTTGCTAAGAGCTTTTATCATGAATAGATCTTAAATTTTACTAAATATTTTTTCTTTATGTTTCTGTGATTATATGATATCTTCTCTTCTATTCATGTGGCAAATTCATTTATGATTTTTTGTTGTTGTTAAATGATCCTTAAATTTTTATAAGAAGTCAATTTAAATGGGATGCATTGTCTTTTTTATATATTGCTAGAATCCACTTGTCACTATTTTGTTTAGGACTTTATATTTCAGTGAAAATGAACTATAATATTTCTTTTGCATACCACTCTTGTCAGATTTTGATATCAAAACCATATTAACCTTAAAAAAACAAGTTAGAGATTGCTCCCTCTTTCTATTATATGAGATAGTTTGTGTAAGACTGACATTACTTCTTCCTTAAATGTTTAGTAGAATTATTCACTGAAACCATTTGAAAGCTTGAGGTTTTTGTTTGTTTTGTTGTTTTGTTTTGTTTTTGAGATGGAGTTTCGCTCTTGTTGCCCAGGCTGGAGTGCAATGGCACAATCTCGGCTCACTGTAAACTCCGCCTCCTGGGTTCAAGCGATTCTCCTACCTCAGCCTCACAAGTAGCTGGGATTACAGGCATGCACCACCATGCCCAGCTAATTTTTGTATTTTGAATAGAGACAGGGTTTCACCATGTTGGTCGGGCTGGCCTCGAACTCCTGACCTCAGGCGATCCGCCCCCCTCAGCCTCCCAAAGTGCTGGGATTACAGGCGTGAGCCACTGTGCTGGCCGAAAGCTTGAGTTTTTTATTTTGTATTTTGCCCTCAAGTAATGTATTACTTACCCTTTTTTCTTTTCTTATCTGAATTTATTCTTTTGTCTTTTATTTCTGTTGTGATTTGTTTTAGTTCTACTACGTATTTCTATTTTACTAATGGTTAGTTTTAAACATTTAACAAACACACTTAAACTTTATGCAAATACAAAACTTAGAAAGTGAAGTAACTATGTTTATATTCCCTCAAGAAGAGACTCTGAGTGCTTTCTCCTACTCTGTCTTCCTTGTGCCTGTTAAAATGATTGGAATTTCTACTCTGTCTGAGTTGTTAAAATATTTCTTTTAGTGCTTCCTCTTCCATAAGAAACTTGATTTATATTTTAAAATAAGACTTACTGGATTCATTGAGAATCAATATTTTTCTTGTGTATTTCATCTCCCCCAATCTGTCTTTTTTCCTGATTAAATTTTAATTTGGAAGGCATGCTTTTTCAAGTTCTCTGTAAGAGGCTCATGGGTTCATACTTTTGGAGTCCTTCTAGTCTCTGGCTGTGGAAGATCCTGTAATCACAGCCCTCTCCCACTGATATTCTTTGAATATTTCCCAGTGTCTTTAGCTTCCTTTGTTGAAGATAAGAACCCTAATGTCAAATTATTTCCTTTCCCTTGTAAGTAACCTATTCTGTCTTTTTAAAAACTTACAAAACGTGCTTTTTTATTCCTGGAAATTAGAGTTTTCACAAGAAAATGTTTCTGTTATTTCATTAATTATGTACATAATTCTTTGACTTCCAGTCAAAAATCTTTTTTCAGCTCCAGGAATTTTTTTTAAACTTTTTATGTTATTGTTTCTTCATTCTTTTCTCTTTCTCCTCCAGAGCTGCACATCTTTTTAAGTTATGCATCCTGAATCTACCCTCCATTTCTCTTTCATTTTTACTAACGTTTTCATTAATTTGTCTTTTTTTTTTTTTTGCTTTATGTTGTGGAGTATATTTTTAAGTCTGTCTAAAGATCAATAATTCAATTTTCAGCCTCTCCACATATTTTCACTCCTTCTAAAGATCATTTTAATTTCAGAAATCATTTTTAAATTTTCTTCCTAATTTCTGAGATTTCTTTCTTACTATGAGTTTTCTCTTAAGTAATATCTTCCTGAATCTCATTGAGAATTTGTATCAGAGTTCTCTCTTTTGATCTCTTCTTTCTCCTATTCTGTTTAAACCAGCCCTACTTTATTTTGACTTGTCAATATCGTATTTCTCCCTTTAGGCTTCTATTTCCCTCAAATGTCCGCTATTTATGTCATAGTCTTTTACTTTTTTTTTTTTTTCTATTTTCATTCTTATGAACACAGGCCTAGACCTACCAGCACCATCAGCCAGTATAAGTCCCTTCAACACTACGAAGGCTAGGCTGTGGAGGACTTACTTCAAGGTGTTTGTCCCTTTCCAGGTAGATCAACAGCAATGGGGTAGAGAGGAGTGGATTTCTAAACTGAGGAGAGAGAAAGGCCATTAGGTTCACCAACTTCTCCAGGTTCAGGGAGAGGGAAAAGTGAGCACTGCTAAAGAGCCGTGCCCCTCTACAGGACTGAGACCCACCAGGATAGCTGGTGTCAGCAAGGCTGAGCTTCTCCTGGGGCTACGAGCTGTATACTAACTGTAAGGCCGGGCTTCTCCCACACTTTTCTCCTTGTCCTCTGAGGGGCAGGCTATCATCCATGGCAAGCAGATCCCCAGACACTGCCTAAATCATCTCCATGAAAACCGAGGCTGCAGTCAGGTAGGTGGGACCTCTTCCAGGCTTCCTTTCTTCTCTGGTCTCTGGCCACATAGTGAGTGCTGAGACAGGGAGTGAATTCAAAGCATATAGATAGAATATTTCATTTCCCTTCTACCCCCTTAGAAAATACATTCCATTATTTGTAAATTGGAAAGTAAAAATAATTACTATCTTTAAAAAGGGACTTTTTTTTCCTGAGATGGAATCTCATTCTTGTTGTCCAGGCTGGAGTGCAGTGCTACACGATCTTGGCTCACTGCAAGCTCCACCTCCTGGGTTCAAGTGATTCTCCTGCCTCAGACTCCCAAGTAGCTGGGATTACAGGTGCACACCATCACGCCAGGCTAATTTTGTATTTTTGTAGAGACAGGGTTTCACCATGTTGGCCACGCTGGTCTTGAACTCCTGACTTCGGGTGACCTGCCCACCTTGGCCTCCAAAAGTGCTGGGATTACAGGCATGAGCCACCACGCCCAGCTGGGAACTCCTTTTTGAAAGCACCTTATGTGTAGAGTCAGAGGACCCTGCACTAGATTCATGGTGGGGAGCCAGAGGGACCTATGTTCCTCATCAGTGAAGCAGTCATGGTAGAATAAACCCAGGCTACTCCCCAGTAACCTTGTGAAAAATCGAACAAAACAAACGTGAAAATACTTTATGGGAGATAAACCACCATTAGAAAGAAAGCTGATGTTGCTATTAATGTCAATGAGAATGAGAGTTATAATAAAGAAAAAAAAATGGACTGCCTCAAATAGTAATAAAACATCCCATCACTAGAAGCATTTGTAAGGAAGGCACGCAACCCTCTCTCAGAAATGTTGGGGGAGATTGATGCATAGGACCTTCAAATCCTTAATCTCCGAGTCCCTTTTCAATTTTCTAAAACCTGTGATTTATTCAGTACTTGGCAAGTGTTGTAGGCCTGGGAACCAAAATCTCCCTGAAGTTAAATTTAACTCCATGAATTTGAAATCAAGGAGGAGCAAATATGTATTGTAAATTGGGGTAAAGTATGACTGCAACATGTGGCTAATGCACACAGACTTCTCTTTCACTAATGACAGAAAAAATTACAATGGGAATTCTCCAGTAAAATAACTAGCTGCAGCCCATTGGCATCACCCTGTCAGGCAGAGGGAGAGAGGAATCCCAGATTAATTAGTAAAATTTGACAAATTTTCTCTCGAGTCCTAGACTCCAAGCCCACCTGCTCCTACTACTTCAGAGGCTCAGAACGCAAAGCCTCCAGTCTGGGCCTAGATGTGGTGTAAATGGATACATTTATAGGATACAAGTTATCAAGAAAGTCCATTCCCCCATGCTCGAAAGAAACTTGGATGAAAATCACATCTCTGTCAGTTATGTCCAATATATTCTGAAAACTAATGAGCCTTGTTAGGAAATGAATGAGACTTGAAACTGACAGTAGAGCCCCATCCTCATGAAACCAAAGTGTAAGAAGAATGCAAAATGAAAGGAAAATCAATCTGGCTGTTGAGGCTTTGTTTGATTTACCTAATTGATGAATTCAACCAACACTTACCAAGAATCCTTTATATATTGAAGCCCTTGGTTCAGCACCTTGGAGAGGATCCAGAAAAGACCTGGAGACCTATTTTGTTCCTAAGATATTTATAGTATCAGGTACTAACAAACTATGACAAAGTAGAAAATAACTGTGATATGTAGAAGTAGGAGGTTCAATTAAGGAGTGAGTGGAACTTGGGAAGATTATTCTTACCAAGAGAATCGGGAAAACTTTCCTAGCCAGTCAATATTGGAGCTGAATCTTGAGAATGAGAAGAATGCAGACATGCCAGGAGGAAGGTGAGTCAAGGCACTACCTGAGAGGCAGGTGAGTGTGAGGACTGTTCATGGTACAAGGAGCTAATCCACAGCATTTATCAAGTGCCTACTGTATGCCAGGAGTTGTGCAGAGCTCTTGAAACAAATTATTTCATTTGATTGAGAAAACTGAGGCACAGATAGGCTGATCACCTTGCTTGAAGCTTAGAAGTGACAGAATGGATGCCATGTCTGGTAGTAGTTATAGGAGTTTGTATAAAAGGTGCTGACGCTAAATCAAGAGGACTTTGGATATCAAGCTTAGGAGGCAAATATGTCCAGCTCTTGAGATATTCTCTATAGGTCTTGTTACTGAAAAGATTGAACATATTAGTTATTAGCTAAATGTTTCTCTCATCGTAGTGATTTGGGATGTCTTGAAAACCTGGGCTTCTATGGCAGAAGTGAAGATGTTCAACTGCTGTTACTTTTTCTTACCACATGGTTCTTGCCTCTAAATTAAGCAGAACTCTGAAATAATCTAAGAAAAGTCTTACTTCAGTTGGAATCCTTTGACTCTGGCAGAGGAGAAGTAAGGAGTCTTGCCACAGGTAGGCAACAGACTGGTTTAGAAAGGAGTCCCCACCACTCACTTCAGCCTGAGTAAGAAAGCCCTATTGTGTGGAGAATAGACAGAAGAGGCTAGAACAAGCACCTACAAACCAGGGATCAGCAAACCAAGTTCAGCTTTCCACTTGCTTTGTAAAGAACATTGTAATGAAACAAAGCCAGGCTCATTCATCTATTTATTGTCTATGGCTGCTTTCACACAACGATGAAGTGTTGAGTAGCTGTGACAAAGTCCATGTGGTCCACAAAGCCTAAACCCTCTGGCCCTTTACAGAAAAATGTTGCTGACCTCTGAAACAAAAAACTCAGAAAATCCTAGCATATCCACATGGGAAGGGAGAGTGGCCATCCTGTAATCCAATTACCTTCTCCCTCTCCACCCTGCTGCCGCCCACACACCGATAAAGAATCTGAACCCAAGAGAGGAAGAGATTTGCCTAAAATCACAGAACTGGTAAGAGAGCATACTTGGGGTCCCTAACTGTTAGACTAATATTCCTTCTGTTAATACCACACCAATCCTGAAAGGCTAAGGTAAGTTGTTTTCTTTTATTTTTTTCCTTTTCTTTTTTTTTTTTTTTTTTTTTTTTTTAGACAGAGTCTCACTCTGTCACCAGGCTGGAATGCAGTGGCATGATCTTGGATCACTGCAACCTCCACCTCCCTGGTTCAAAAGATTCTTCTGCCTCAGCCTCCCAAGTAGCTGGAACTACAGGTGTGTGTCACCGCACCCAGCTAATTTTTGTATTTTTAGTAGAGACGGGGTTTCACCGTGTTGGCCAGGATGGTCTCGATCTCTTGACCTCGTGATCCACCTGCCTCGGCCTCCCAAAGTGCTGGGATTACAGGTGTGAACCACTGTGCCCAGGCAGGTAAGTTCTTTTCTAAGCAACTATTCAATAACTACTTCCTGAAACACTGGGTGCCCAGCACCATCCCTTCTCAGGCTGCTGTGAGGAGTACAAGTTGCAGAAAGGAAGCCTGATGCCTTCCCATCATGTGGTCTGCACCAGAAGTGGTGGGAGACCTCACACAGTGGAGCAGTACCCTAAAACCTGCAGCTTGCGAAGGGAAAGGATACAGCATCATAATTTCCCTCTTAACCCTCTCAGAAAGTCCCCACAATGCAGATTGACTTTACATTCCTCTATGAGTCCGATGCCAGCAGTCGGTCCTCCAGGGCTGGAAATGATTTCTGCTTGTGGATAATGCCTCAGATGAAGTCGCCAGCTTGCGTTTAGCAGCCGTGTAATTCAGGATGCCTACAACTCTGAGCAGCACTCAGGGAATGAGACACATTGAGGAAACGGCAGGCACTCGGCTGCCATCCTACCCTCAGCCTGGGCTGGGGCTCTGCTTAATGAGCAGAAGGTCAGGCGGCCTCCCCAAACTGTTCAAATTACTTTCCTGCTCTTCTTCCCCATCAAGCTCAGGTAGTTAAATGAGAGCAAGTGTGACTCCACTGAACATAGGAAGCAATTCGAGCGTGGGGTTGTGTGTGGTAAAGCTTTCAGTGTCTAATGCAGACTGGCCATGTAGGGGAAGTGTGTGGAGTGTATGTGTGTGCGGGTGGGGGGGTTTCTAATGGTTAGGAACCCTAATTATGCTCCCTTAGCAGTTCTGTAATTTTAGGCAAATCCCTTCTTCTCTCTTGGGCTCAGATTCTTGTCATAAGCTAGTGGGAAGAGGAGATAACAGAGTGGATTATGACTGTTTGATCCACCCCCATGAGTAGATTACATGGGAGCACCATGTTTGGGGAGGTGAGAGATTTCCTCAAACAGGAAAGTCTTTTCTGGAAATAGCGGAATTGGATCTGGACTTTTTATCAGAGATTTATAGAATCATGCAATCAGAATGTCACCTGAAGGTCACTGACTCCCAGGTGATGCCCAGAGTGAGAACTGCACCTGAAGCATCTGAGACAGACAGGCTGTGCTGAGTTATCCCAGCGGCACGCTCACTATTTCCCGGGGCGCCCGCCATGTATTCAGACAACTTCAATTGTCAAGTAATGATTCTTTACATTGAAATGAACTCACAGTTTTCAGTCCTGTCTTCAAGTCCACATAGAATGAGTCTGTTCTCCCATTCCTCATGTTGGCACTGAGGGTGTTTGCTTTAGGCAGTAAAGTCCCCTTTCTATCCCCTCTTCTGTCCTCCTGATCATGGAGCAGATGGATGGATGATGTGTGTGTACATATGTGAGAAGACATGTGTGTATGCACATGTACATATGTGTTGGGATATGCACAGGAGAGAAGAGGGAGTAAATACAGCAGTTCTGAATTAGTACAGTATAAAAGCCAGGTGGAAGAGAGGGTAGAAAAACAGGCAGGCTGTACTGCAGAGGGCATTATATGTGAAACTCACGCAGCTAGACTTGAAGTAGGAGAGTGACACAGCCAAACTGGCAGTTTAAAAAGATTTCTCTGTGGCTGGGCTCAGTGGCTCAAGCCTGTAATCCCAGCACTTTGGGAGGCCGAGGCGGGCCAATCACCTGAGGTCAGGAGTTCGAGACCAGCCTGGCCAATATGGTGAAACCCTGTCTCTACTAAAAAATACAAAAAATTAGCTGGGCATGGTGGCGCATGCCTGTAGTCCCAGCTATGCAGGAGGCTAAGGCAGGAGAATTGCCTGAACCTGGGAGGCAGAGGTTGCAGTGAGCCGAGATCGCGCCACTGCACTCCAGCCTGGGTGACAGAGGGAGACTCTGTCTCAAAAAAAAAAGAAAAAAGAAAAAAAAGAAAGATCAATCTGCCCTATGTTGCAGAGGAGATGCCTGCAGGACCAGGACAGGAAGATTCGGAAGAAAATATTCTAAGAGGTCCAAGTGAGAGACAGTGAGTGCTGAGCAAATCAAAGGACATAAAGATGGAGAAACAAAGTTACCTCCAAGAAATGTTCAGGAGGGAACCTTGGCAAGACCTGATGACTGGTGTAGAGTTTGACATGGAGAAAAGAGTCAGGGATGATGGCAAGGGGTTGGCTCGGGGTGATGGGACAGTCAGCAGATGGAACATCTTCAAAAGTCTGCCGCTGCCAGAGAGTTTTATTTTGTGGCCACCTCAGAGCCCTCCCAAAGGAGTTTCTGCAGAGAGAGAAGTGATACATTAACTTCATGAGTTGGCAAGGCATGAGGAATAGGAAACACTAATTACAGGCCAAGATAATTAACCAGCAGGTCTGGGATCAGCTGCATGTAACCTCAGCTCATCTGCTCCTGAAAATGACCAAGGGAAGATGTGGAGGAAGAGTGTGGGCAGGACATTTTGCAAATACTGAGGGAGCAGCTGAGCTCAGGCCTTGATGACACTTGAGTTTGATGTTCTCGGCACTTTGGCTCTGGTTTCTGGAGCCCTTGGGGGTGCCAGATGCACTGCAGCCGGCCAGCCGGTTGTCCAAACATCACTTATGCCTCTGGGCCACTAATTACAAGGCTCCCCTTTAGCCTTACTGCTGTGCTCCATTAGGGCTTGCTGGTGGCAGGCACAGGAAATGGACTAGAGGCCATTAGACCATCCAGATTGAGAAAGGTCAGGTCTTGCCTCTTGGGACAAAAGCCTAAAGCCTAGCTTTATAATCTGATGCTTGAAGCAGGAAAAAGATCTCAGGACTAGGAAAGAGGGATAAGTTCTCGTCCAAGCCCAGCCATATGACCTTGTGCAAGCAAATCATTTCACTTCACACAGCCTCTGTTTGCTTACCCCTTACCTAGGCATAAATAAGCCCTGGTTGGGAAGATCAGATGATATCAAAAGCACGGAAACACCTTGTGAACGGCAAGTGCATTTTAAGAGCTATTTTTACTGCTGTTAATGTTAATTTCTAGCACAAACATTAAGGCACACTGAACTGGGAAGGAAGAAAACAGGGTTTTAATCCCATTTCTGACTCTGATCTTCATGTGACCTTAGGCAAGTCACGTCTCTCCAGGCCACAGTTTCATCTGAAAACTGAAAACGTTGATTTAGATCAGTTATTCTCAACTAAAATTTTGCATTAGAATTGCCAGTGGAGCTTTGTAAAGATGTCCATTCTCCACCCCAGATATGCTGAAGCAGATTCTCTAGAGAAAGGAATGGTTCTCACGCCCACTGAGAACCATTGGAATGGACGGTCAAGTTTTGCCTGCCTCCCACCTCTGCATACCTGCTCCCTCCACTGCTAGAACTATAGGACCCCTCTCTTAGGATAAGGCTGGATGCAACCTTCAGCACTGACCCTATCCTTAGGCTGAGGCACTTAAACCACCTCAGGCCCAAGCTCTGGACCTCAGCGTCAAGTCCTCCGAGCCCCGAACTGGCTCTGATCTCTTGTCTCAGTCACATCTAAACTCCACCCAGACATCAAGATGTGGTGCTCACCTCATTCCCTAGGAGAGCTGCATGATGGCCTTGTCCAGCTCTGCTTGGAAAGGCATTGTCTGGCTTTTCTCAGAGTCTGAACCCTAGGCTGATGGGAGACCTGCTGCTAATGGAAAGATTGCCCTGCTCTGACCACCTGCAGGGATTATGCAGCTATCACTGGCTGTCAGACCCTTCCTTTTGTCATGCCACCTGCCTCACAAAGAACTCCTTCCCATCCTGAATTCGTGTTGGACAGCATGATGGGCTTCCCAGGACTACATGTGGCCTGTTGTGCAGCGGAGCAGGTGGCATTTTCTGCCTCTAGGCTGCCTACTCTATCCTTCCCTACTCCAAGCTTATTCCTACAGTGTTCAGCTGCAGCCAATCATTTTGTCCATTTCTGCCCCACATGTGATTTCAGTGGTTGCTAATATCCCTCAGGGCTGAAAAGAACCACAGCGGTTTCTCCGGACTTCAGGAAAAGCACTGAGCCTCTCTGGGCCTGTTTGCTCATCTGTAAAATAAGAGTGGCAACCTCTGCCTTGCAGGAGCATTAGCTGACTCAAATGCTCCTCCCCATCTATTAACTGAATGAACTTCCTGTCCTCTGGCCTTAGGTCTTAAGTGTTGCTTCCTAAAGAAGGTCTCCCTCACAAACATTCCCCCGCAACTCTTCTGTGCTCTGATAGCAACCTGTACTTTTCCTCTGCAACTCCTTAAACTTGTGTAATTTTCAATTACCAGTTGAAAGTCTTTCTCCCGGCCTGACACAGTGGCTCATGCCTGTAATCCCAGCACTTTGGGAGGCCAGGGTGGGTGGATCACTTGAGGTCAGGAATTCAAGACCAGCCTGGCCAACATGGCGAAACTCCATCTCTACTAAAAATACAAAAATTAGCCAGGCATGGTGGCGGGTACCTGTAATCCCAGCTACTCAAGAGTCTGAGACAGGAGAATCACTTGAACCTGGTAGGTGGAGGTTGCAGTGAGTTGGGATCACATCACTGCACTCCAGGCTGGGCGACAAGAATGAAATCCCATCTCCAAAAAATAAAATAAAATAAAAAATAAAGTCTTTCTCCCTTACTATTTCATAAGTGCCATGAGGACAAAAACTGCCTAACTCATCACTGTTAAATCCCCCATACCTGGAACATAGCGGACATGAAATACACATATCTGATGACAGACAGATGAAATGTTGAATGTGTCTGACACATAGCTGGTGCTCACGAATATTATTCTCTCCTCTCCTCTCCTCTTTGAGAGTAGACCACTAAGCCCTCCACAGGCAGTGATCCCTCAGCACAGAGCAACACAGAGCAGAGCTGAGCTGCTGCATGAGGCCGAGCCCAGCCTCTCTCCTGGGTCCTGTGTGATCCGAAACCCAAGCAGCAGCCCCAAGTCACTCGAAGTCTGGTGAGAGTGATGCCCATATCAGCAGTTATCAATCCTGAAGTATTCAGTATTTAAGAATTTTCATCTGGAAATCTTTTTTAAAATAGTGGTGCCTTGGTCCTACTCATAGTGATTTTCATGTAGTTGGTCTGGAATGTGGCCTGGTCTTTGGTATTTTTAAATAATTTCCCTAGGTGATCCCAATATACAGTAATGGATGAGAACCACTGATCTGGTTCAATCACCATTTTTCAGATACAAAGGCTGAGGCGCGAGGGGGAACGGAGTTAGCCCAAGAACCTCCAATACCTTTTGCAGAGCTGGAGCTAGAAGTAGAAGAGCTAACTTTCCACCCACAGCTCCTTCCACTGCACCAAGTAACAAATTGAAATCCCCTTTATCAATAACAGAGGCTGCTTTCCTGGCATCAGACAAAGCTGGGAGCAGAGAGCTTGTTTTTTCACCCTAAAAGATCTGTTATTAAAAGCCTGTTTATGCAAGAAGGGTATAATTAAAAGTGAATGAGTGCCATTTTTTATCGCAATGAATATTAATTAAAGGAAAACACTGAGTCAATACTCATTAGAAAAAGACGGAGGCTGAAAGGCAGACTGCTCATACCAGGGTTGTCAATCACATCAAGCAGTAATGAGATGACAGGACCCTAATAGCAAAATGTTGCTCTATTTTCCTCAAATCCTCTTGGATTTAGAAGTTAGCCAAAATGCAAATCTCAGGCTAGGCTCCGTGGCTCTGCATTCTGCTTGGGCACAGGACTGTCTTGCCTAGGACACAGCCCTCCGTGGGAGTCAGGCTGTAAATGGTTTTACTTATGCAGGGTTAGAATGCTAGAGAAGTAAGTGGCCTCTTCAGCCTCCCTAGAGAGTGAGGGGCCAAACAGATCCAGTGATTCTTGCCACATTGTTCCTGTCCCTGAGCCCTGGGAGAAAGGCAAAAGCACAGACTTTCCCAAAGAAGAATCCTCAAGTCATCAGCAGGTCGCCAGAGCTGATAAATTAGGCTCAACTGGGAGGCTTTTAAAAATGTGTTTGCCAGGCCTTGCCTTGGTCCTACTGAATCTGAATCTTTTGGGCTGAAGAGACGTAAATGGGAGTAAGCATTTAACAGATTCTCATGTTAAACTCTGGTTTTTAGCCCAGCTCAAGATCTTTGCTTTCCTTTGTCAATTGGGGTCTTAGATGATTTTAGTCATCTAAGAATCAATCAATCATTGATTCATTCATTCAGCTGATAAATATTTATCTTCATTAGGCACTGTGCTAGTCACACGTGAAGACAGAGACTTGACCTCTGTTTTCTAGTTTCCTGTGGTTTAACAACAGAAATTACCATCGTGATGACTGCGCCATGAAGGAGGAACACAATGGTGAGGGAACACAGAGATAGGAGAGCTCAGCTCTGAATGGGGAGTCCATGAAGGCTTCTAGAGATGATGAATGGAGAACTAGGTTGAGTGGCATGTTCTCCCAGCAAATGTGCAGAGCCTTAGAGAGGTGGCTGGAGAATCCATTTTAACTGGAAGGCAGAGGGTGTGGTGTTTCATGAGGCTGATGAGTGCTGGATGGGGAAGAGCTCATGCCATGTAAAGGCATGTGCATTTCATCATGTCAAACACAAATTGTACCTAAATTGTCTGACGGAATACAAATATCAGCAAAGAGGAAAAGAAGCGAATGGTTCAGGAGACTGACACACACACTGGTGGGTTCTAGTGGGAGCACATGCAGAGACGGCAGGTTTAAATGCTTCTTCATTACACTGGACATTGGAACCAAACAAGTGTTTGGGGGAGTGATATGGTTTGGCTTGTGCCCCATCCAAATCTCATTTCGAATTGTAATCCCTGCATGTCAAGGGAGGGAGGTGACTGGATCATGGGGGCAGTTTCCCCCATGCTGCTATCATCATAGCTAGTGAGTTCTCATGAGATCTGATGGCTTCTTAAGTGTTTGGAAGTTTCTCCTTTGCTCTTCTCTCTCCTGCTGCCTTATGAAGAAGATGCTTGCTTCCCCTTCGTCTTCCACTGTGATTGTAAGTATCCTGAGGCCTCCCTGGCCATGTGGAACTGTGAGTCAAGTAAATCTCTTTCCTTTATAAATTACCCAGTCTGGGGTATTTCTTCATAGCAGTGTGAAAATGGACTAATACCGGGAATTTCAAAAGAAATGCCAGATAGGAAGGGCACATCCACTTAGGAGCCAAGATAGCAAATATTTAAGTAATAATGGAAGACAATTAAAAAAAGAGACCAGAAGTTCAGAGAAAGGAGTGATATCTTCCCAGAGAAGCTGAGTAGATCCTGAGCAGGCAGGGAGGAGAGGAAAAGGAATTTTAAGCTGGGCAAGTCTTGGCCCTGGGACCAGCAGCTGTGAGCAAGGGCCCTGACCACTATTGTAAACCGAGAACATCTTCCTGGGCTTTTTGACCCATGGCTGTGGACAAATGCCTAACAAATTCCTAAAGAGAAGGGCCCCATGTCTGGTTGCACCTGCACAAACAGAGCAGCAGGATGGGTACCAGTTCTGACCACCAGGAACAGGTGAGCTCCGCACTCATGTGGGTCCATGTGGAACATTTTAGAAGAGAGTAAGTGGATTCTATTTTTTCTGAGACTGGTCTTACAGAATTGGGGTTCCTCAGCTCTGGCAGGGCCTGCGGAGCTCCTCCATACCAGCTCTCACAACTCAGAGAGACGCGAGATTTCAAAATGAATGTCTGAGGGTACAGGGACCCTCCCACTATCACTCTGCCATCTAGTCCCACCTGAAATGAGACCTTTTCCCTTGAAGGACCTGTTCTCTATTCTTCTGGTTAGCAAACCCAGCTTCACATTGCATTGGACTCACCTGGGGAATTTTAAAACTTGTTGATGCTTGGGTCCCACCTCTAGAGATTTTTTTTTTTTTTCTTAGAGACAGGGCATTGCTTTGTTGCCCAGACTGGAGTGCCATGGCATGATCATGGCTTACTGCAATTTTGAACTCCTGGGCTCAAGCGATCCTCCTGCCTCAGCCTCCCAAGTAGCTGGGACTACAAGCACATACCACCATGCCTGGATAATTTATTTTTGTTTTTTGTAGAGACAGGGTCTCACTATGTTGCTCAGGCTGGTCTTGAACTTATGATTTCAAGCCGTCCTCCTGCCTTGGCTTCCCAGAGTGCTGGAATTACAAGCATAAGCCACTATTCTAGGCCAGAAATTCTTATTAACTGATGTGGAGTGGGGCCTGAGCATTAAGCCTTGTAAATATTGCCCATTCTTACTCTCATTTAGATAGTCAACCAACAGATGTTAGAAGGAAGTTAAGGAATTATTCAGCAATTGAGATGTTCGCTAAGAATGTTATTCCCATTTTAATGAAGGAGTGTTTTCTTTTTCTTCTTATTCATATCTTGTTGATTTTCCTTTCAAACTCCAAAAGCAGTTCACACTTATTGCTATAGTCCAAACAACACAATAAACATTTTTGTATATCTAAAATTAAGCTATCTATAGTCTCCCTTATTTATAATAACGAAAACAATAACTTCCTACTACCCACATCCTACATAGGGATCATTTGGGGGTTGGGATCTAGCATAATATTGATTTTTTATAGTCCAACAATTATTGAGATTTAATTTTAAATTTTCTTTCGTTACTCAAGAATGTTTCTCTCTCTTATGAATTCCCATTGTATTCCTTTTTCATTTTAAAGATTAGAGCTTTCAGGAATTCTTATAGTGAGAATTGTGCAGACTTTTGTATCCTGCAATACTTTTATTTTGATCTTGCCTTTCAATGATCACTTGAGTCGGTACAGAATTCTGGGTTCAAAATTATTTTCCCTCATAACATTGAAGATACTATACTATTCCATTGTCTCTTGAGGCCATTATTGCCAACCAGAAGCTTGTTGTTTATTATTGTTCTGTTCTTTCTCCTTTGTACATAATCTTTGGTTTCTTTCTAGAAGCTTTTATATTGTTTTTGCCTTCGTTTTCCAAAATTTGGCTAGAATATATCTAGGGTTGATTTGTTTCTTCCCACTCATTTTGCTTAGAAACCTGGTGTGCCCTTTCAATCTAAAAATTCTGGCACTAGGCTGGGCGCAGTGGCTCATGCCTGTAATCCCGGCACTTTGGGAAGCTGAGGTGGGTGGATCACGAGATCAGGAGTTCAAGACCAGCCTGGCTAAGATGGTGAAACCCTGTCCTGTCTATACTAAAAATACAAAAAACTTAGCCAGGTGTGGTGGCGGGCACCTGTAATCCCAGCTACTTGGGAGGCTGAGGCAGAGAATTGCTTGAATCCGGGAGGCAGGGATTGCAGTGAGCCGAGATCATGCCACTGCATGCCAGCCTGGGCAACAGAGTGAGACTCTGTCTCAAAAAAAAAAAAAAAATTCTGGCACTAGGATATTATCTTATATTGTGTCTTTGATTTTTTTCTCATTCATTTTGTCTGTTCTCTCCATCTTTTACTCTTATTATTATAGATACCGGAATTTTTACACTATCCTCCGAATGTCTTAACTTTCCCCATATATTCTATCTCTTGGTCCTTCTGTTTGTTTGTTTGTTTGTTTGTTTGTTTTTGTTTGTTTTGAGATAGAGTCTCACTGTGTCTCCCAGGCTGGAGTTCAGTGGCGCGATCTCGGCTCACTGCAACCTCTGCCTCCCGGGTTGAGGCAATTCTCCTGCCTCAGCCTCTGGAGTAGCTGGGATTACAGGTGTGTGCCACCATGCCCGGCCAGTCCTTCAGTTTTAAGTACTGGCAGAATCACTCCATTCAGTCTTGCTGCACACAACCTTTCTCTTCACGTATATCCAATGAGTCTTTGCAGCCCATTTATTGACTTTCTTCTCAACCAGCTTTTTTTTTTCATTTCTAAGATCTTTAATTGGTACTTTTTTATAACAGCTTGTTCTTATTTTATAAATGTAAATATTAATTATAGTTTCTACATTTTATTTACTGAATTTTCTCTTTCCTATGGTGCTATTTTCTGTTAAGTTTTGTTCCTTTCTTTCTCAATATTTGTTTCCTTAAATACTTAGCGATTATTTGTGACATATTCAACTTTGTATTAGAGATGACTTTCAAGGCCATCTGAGAGTGCTCTTTCTTTACCAAAATCTGACTCTAGTCCTGTGGTGGAGGAATGGGATATGTTCTAGGCAATGAGTTGTGGCTGTGCCCAGACTTGGGCATGGGAGGTGGAGGGGTTCCAGCTTCTCTTGGATGTCACAGGTACATCCCTGCCTCTGGGGCCACAGCACTAGGAGGCACTGTCCTGTAGCACTCATTCATCCGGCTTGCTGCTTGGCTCTGCGAAGGGAGTTCAAGGTGAAGACTGACAGCACTACTAGTGGGTCTTGAGACCCTCTAGGTCTGGGGAAGTAGTCTGCCAATGCTCACATATAGAGGAAGCGGGCCTCTCTTTGAATTTTATTAGCACTGGGCTCAGAGACACTTGGGAAATACATGAACCCAAATATAATCCAAAGACAAAAAAAAATCCTTTAAACATTTCACTATGTTGCCTTTCCTTATTCTAGGGTGAATGCATGAGTTTAAAAGGCCAGACCCTAGTGGTTACGTGTGCATAGTTAACTTGAATAATTTAAGTGTTTTCCACAAGACCTGAAGCTTAATAAATTAGAGCCACTATGAAAAGACATTCAAAGAATGTATTATAGTCATCAAAAGTCATACGCTCTCCTCTTTTCCCCTCTATCTCTACTGCTTCTCTTTTTAAAATCAGATTTTAAGTTAGAATGGGTCTTAGAAGCCATTTACTTCAATCCCTATATTTTCACTTTTTTGAGGTTAATACATTAATATTTCAAGGTTAATTAAAACATTTTCATTGCAGCAAATATGGAAAGTAAAGATAAAACAATATGAAAAAAGTCATCCATAAACTCATTACCAGAGACCAGATCAGCTCCATAATGTATAAGCTGTGGCTCAGGAAGGAGAAGTGGTGGGCCGGGAATCTGGCTAGCAGTGAGTAGGTCATTTGTCAAGTCTTCTCCATGCCAATCCTCTGTCCTTCCCCCTGAAACAGGAAGACTTTGTTTTTTCTATTGGTTGGAGAAACACAAGATTGACAACAAGCCTGGGTAGGGTTGTGGTTTTGCAAAGCGAGTACAGCACACAGAAGAGAAGGAGAGGCAAGGGAGTTGGGAGTAAATACAAGGAAGTTGTAGCAATAGACCCTGAAGGAAACATTACTGTCTTACCCAAGAAGCCTAGATGAAACCTCAATTCTGCCTGCTCATGCCCTCTTTCCTGTCCCTAATTGTGTTGGTCACAGTGTCTGTCTTTTGAATCTCATGGCCTCTCAGAGCTGAAAGAATCATTCTGCTCTTTGCTTGTCTTAAAGTGTGAGTGTGGTACGGGCTTTGTCATTCCAGGTGTGAGGCCGTGCCAAGACCAGTCTCGGGAGAGCTGTGGTGGCTGTGCGATTGTTCCCCTGCACTACCAGGAAAACTCTTCTAAGAAGCTTCAATGTCACCTCCAACTTGAAGTCCTCCTTCCTCTGCCCAGGTAGTGACTCAATCCCAGCTCTGTGTTCCTTAATACTTAGGGCATATTTCTCCTACAGCATTTATAGGGTGAATGTTTATTTATAGGTCTGTCTTAACTGAACTTCCTAAAGACAAAGATATAACAGCTAGAACAATTCCAGGCACATAGCAAGGGATTAATAAAAGTTTGATGGATTAATGAATGAATGTTCAAATTAATACACTTCACTAAGGAAGCTTACCAAATATTTTGGAAGCATTTTTGTTTATATAGAAAACAGCCCCAAGAACAAATAAGATAAATTCACCTGCCATACTAAACATGATATAAACATTCTAATTAAGGCTTTCTTCTGTTAACATAGACATTTATTCCCTGACATATCCTAGAATCAAGGGTGGAAAGCATGTGAGCAGTCATTTACTCTAACACCACAATCACTGCTTGAATTTATTCTGCAGAATCTCAGAAGAGTGCTAATCTAGTGCAAACTCCTCCACTGTCAGGGATACACCTGCTCTCCAATTCACCTATTTCAAACTCAGGAAAACACTATTTTTAGAAGAAAACATTTTAGGAAATGGAAAGAGAATTGAATTTAAAGTTAAAGATTTAGACTTGAAGTCTAGATCTGCTATTAGCCAGCTTTTGTGTTCATCTCTTCACTATCCCAAGCCACATTGTATTATCTTGAAAGTAGAAATAATAATAACTGCTATCATAGGTGACTGTGGACACAAAGTGTGAAAATGAATATAAAAGATTTTGTGAATAGTGAAACATTGTGTACATTTAAGGAAAGAAAGGAAGGGAGGATGGGGGGGTTGGTAAAATTAAAGTGATCCTTCTCCAAAGATGAGAGGGGAATCATTGCAGTCATGGAATATCATATTACAGGGAACAGGAATGCCTTCCTTGAGGTTACGTGGGGAGTCAGCAGAAGGAATCAGTTTTGTAACTCTAATCTGATGCCCTGTCTTTCCTGCCTCCATCCTCCCACCTTTCTGATCCTGTGTCTCTCATAGGGAGCTATGTGCTTTGAGCCACACTGCCTGGGTTTGGATTCTGGCTCTGCCATTGATCAAACCTCAAAAAGTACTTAACTTCTCTGTGTATCACTTTCCACACCTGTAAAATTGGTGTAATCATAGTATCTCCACGTAGGGTCCTTTCTTCCCTCTTATCCAATTTTTTCTTCAGGGTCTATCACTACAACTTCTTTATATTTACTCTCGACTCCCTTGCCTCTCCTTCTCTTCTGTGTGCTGTACTCGCTTTGCAAAACCAATACTCTTGTTAATCAAAACTCTCCTTTTACTCTCTGCCTACTACCATGCAACTGAGAGGAGCTTGAGAAAAACCCATGACCACACAAACTGCCCTGCTTTAAATATAGGACAAAGGACCACAGGTGTGCCCTTAAAGCTACCTGGCTACCATATTGTATTTTCTTATTCTACTCACTCTCCTACCTGCTAGAAACAATTTTGCAGCTTCCCCTCTCCTCAATCTGCCATTGCCCACACCTGCGGCCACTGACCTTGCTTTCCACATCTCTGAGGGAATGGAAACAATCAGACGAGCTTTCTATGGAATGTCACAAATATATCCATAAAACTGCCAGCATGTTCAAACGAATCCTCTACCTTCCCTTTTATTACTAAAGACAAATTTTCCATCTCTTTTCTAAAGCTGTTATGGGTTCTTTGTGTATTCCAAAAATTCATACGTTAAAGTCTTAATCCCCATGGCCTCAGGATGTGACCTTATTTGGAAATGAGGTCATTGCAGATCTAATTAGTTAAGATGAGGTCATACTGGAAGAGGGTGGGCCCCTAATTCAATATGACTGATCCTTAAAAAGAGGAAAAGTGTATTCACAGACGTGCACATGGGGAGAATGCCATATTAAGATGAAGGCTGAGATCAGAGTGATGCACCTACAAGCCAAGGAACACCAACGATTACCAGCAAACACTAGAAGCCAGGGAGCAGCATGGAACGGATTCTGCCTCACAGCTCTCAGAACAACCAACCCTGTTCACACCTTGATTTTGGACTCTCAGCCTCCAGAACTGTAAGACAATGAATTTCTGTTGCCTAAACCACCCAGTTTGTGGTACTTTGTTATGGCAGCCTAGTAGACTACCATGAAGTCCAACCCTTCAATTACCTACAGTGGCTAGGTCTTACCCCCTTTCAACTACTCAAAGACGTTGTTTTAAAAACACTTCCTTTTCTCCCCTATCGTGTTAGTTTTTCCCACTCTGTTGCATCATTCTTATTGGCATCCACACAGGCTGTTATTTGTCCCATCATAAAAAATAATAGTTTTTAGCTTCCTTTGACTCCACTTCCTCTGCCTTCCACCCCCTCTTTTCTCTGTAGTACTTTGCAGCAAAAAATCTTGTGTTGATATATTCACTGTCTCCAGTTCTTCTCCTATTTTCTCTTAAAGAGACTCGAACTAAGGCTTTCATGCTGATGACTCCACATGAAGAGCTCTTGTCCAGGTCACCAGTGACTCCACATTGCTAAGCCCAGTGGTTGATTTTCAGCCATGCTCCTACTTAAGCCACCGGCAACATTTGATGCAGCCAATCTTTGCTTCCTCCTTGAGGCATTTCCTTTCCTTGGCTTGTGGGACAGCACCACTTTGTCTTTCTTTGTCCTTTTTCACTGACTGCTCCTTCTCATTCTCATCTTCTCTGAGACTCCTGACATTGGAGCCCACAGGGCCCTGTCCTTGGTCCTCCTCTGTGTGTGCATACATTTCCTCAGCAAGCTCTTCCAGGCTTAAGGTTTTAACTACCACTTGTGTACCAAAGACTTCTAAATGTATACCTTCAGCCAAGCCTGTTCCCTGAATCCCAGACTCACCTGTCCTGCTGCCCACTCTGGTAGATACCAATAAGCTTAACATGTCCCAAACTGGACTCCTCATCTTCCTCCACATGCCTACTCACCAGTATTCTTCTCCCTCTCAGTAATGGCCAACTCCATCCTTCCAGGATCTCAGGCTAGAACCTGGTAGTCATCTTTAACTCTTCACTTTCTCTCACTCCACAGACTCACTAAGTCAAGAAGTCTGATTGGTGCTACATTTAAACCATATCTGGCATCTAAACGTTTCTCACTTCCTCTGCTAAGCTATCATCATCTCTCCCTAGAATTATTTCAATCGCCTCCGACTGGTCTCTGGACTTCCACTTTGGCACCCTATGTCATGGGGGTAACTGGCTGGGGCTGACTTCGTAGGTGGTAAAGGAATTTATCAAGAGAGTTGTAGGTACAAAAAGGCAGATTTATTAGAGAAAGCATGAAATTTTTTTGCAAGGTGGCAGTGGGCAGCACAGCAGAGAAAGGACTATCTGCAAAGATGCAGGGGCTGGAGGAAAGTTTTTTAGCATCCTGCTGAAGGGGGATATGTGTGGAATAAGGTCATTGTGCCTGCCAAATAAGGTCATCATACCCATGGATTGTTCTCCCCCACCTGGGGCCCCTTCCTCATTGTTGCTTCCTTACCTTCTCAGGATTCCACACCCTACAGTCCATCTCAACTCAGCAGTCAGAGAGATCTTGTAAAACACAAGTTGCATTAAGTCAGCTCACTTTTAAAGTCCTCCAGTGGCTCCCTACTTGATCCTACCGGATTTGGAGAGAAAGCCAAACCCTTACAGTGGCCCCTTAGGCCCTTCATGGCCTCTGCCCATCCTTTTATCTCTGACCTCATCTCTTTTATTCCCCTCCTTCCTCCACTCCAGCCACAGGACTCCCTGCTGGCCCTGGACCATCAAAGTTGCTCTCCCCTGAGAGTCCATGCACTGGCTGGTCCTTCTGCCTGGATCGCTGTGCCTCCAGCTACCCACAGGGATAACTTTCTTACTGCTTCTGCTTAAATGTCACTACCTCAATGAGGCCTACCTGGATGACAATTATTTAAAATTGTAATCCCTGCTCTCATTTCCTTTTCTTTTCCCTGACCCATCACCTCCTAACATACAATATAATTTACTTATTCATGTGATTATCATATATGTTCTGCCTCCCTGTGCTAGACTATAAGCTCTGGAGGGCTGGGATTTATTTTTCTGTTTTGTTTATTCATGTATGCAATAAGTGTTTGTGAAAGGAAAATACATCTCAGGACCCCCAAATCACTAAGTGAAAGGCAAAAGTCAAGCTGGGAACTGCATCAGGCAAACTGCCTCCTCTTTTAATCCTAAATAAGATAGCTGCAAATATTTTTTTAAAAAACTATATCCCTCCCTCACAATTTGCCTGCAAGGAAATTCATTGTGGGCCTCAAGATCTTTGCCCTAAACCAGTTCTGTGGAATTTCACCCTGACAACGTAAATTGATAGCTTATCTTCATAGGTGCAGGACAAAGGACAGACAGAATCAAGGTAATTCCTCTGCTCACCTGAGACAAATGCATATCCAATTGCTTCCTCTGTCGTATTGCTTATGCAAAAATGCAGATTCACTGAGCCAGACTAAGGCATAAAAGACCATTTCTCCTCTACCCCTTCTTATATGTAGCGTGTGTCTTCAGTGAAATATTGATCAAAGACCCAAAAGAATGCAAGCTTTTGTCTCTTATCTACCTATGACCTAGAAACCCCCATTTTGAGTAGTCCCGCCTTTCTGGACAGAACCAATGTATATCTTACATGTCTCATGTCTCCCTAAAATGCATAAAACCAAGCTGTGCCCCAGCCACCACTGGGCACATGTCATTAGGACCTCCTGAGGCTGTGTCACAGATGTATCCTGAACCTTGGCAAAATAAACTTTCTACATTGATAGAGACCCATCTCAGATACTTTTGTATTCACATACTCAAAACAGATTTGTTGGATGAGTGAATAAATGAATGGATATAAAATTTTTAGAATAGTGCCTGGCACCAAAAGGGTGCTTAATAATTATTTGCTATCATCAATATTACTGCCCATTGTTCAGATCACATTTGCATTATAAAGATCTAGGAACTTGGTTGGCAAAGAACCCCTTGAAGGAAAAGACCATGGGCGAGGAGGAAAACGCAGGGAATGTTTGCGGATTAATGAAGCTCATCCAAGACTCATTTATTTCCGGTAGACTTTGCATGGGCTCTTTGATTTTTCCCCAATCGATATGTTATGCCAGCCTTGAATGGATCCCTTGGACCTAACCCTGGCAGAGCTCTGCTAAAATCACCGCTCTGGGTTTCTCAGGAGAACCACAGGCCCAATTTAGCTAGCAGGAAGTAAAAATTAACAACTTCGAAGAAACCTCAACCTATTTCTGCTGTTATCTCATTTCCAGAAATTTTCTGTCTTTAAGAATAAATAAAAGAAGTAAACTCTAGCCAAAGAGCTGGTAATGGTTAATGCTACTAAACAAAGAATAAGCAGGCTCTGCACAGTCTGTCAGGATATTCCAGTGATCAGTAGAAAATACAAATCATTTAAAAATTGTTTTTAATAGAAGGGCTTACAAGGGGACTGACTTAATAAACCCATGTGACTTCTGCTTTACAGGATGACTCTGGCTGTGGCTTTTAAAACAGAGTGTAGGGTAGAAGTAGGGAAACCAGCTAGGAGGCTACTGCAATCATCCTGGAGAGAAGTGATCACAGCTCAGATCACAGCAGTGACAGTAGAAGATGTGACAGGTGGGTGGGTACTAGATATGTCTTGAAAAAGGGAGTCAGTAGGACTTCCTGGCTGGCCGGATGTGTGATGTGTGGCATGAGAGAAAAAGAGAGGTCAGAAACACCAGCACAGCTTTGGAGCTGAGCATCTGGAAGGGCAGAGTTGCTCTCAGCTGGGTTAGAGGGAGCCCTCAGAGCACCTCACCCCACCCCTAGGACACTGCTGATGTTCAGAGAATGTGTGCGTGCGGTTGCCTTACATTTTTTTTGTACATGAATATTTCACGTCTTTTTTATTTTAGTTTATTTTATTTTATTTTTTTGACAGAATCTTGCTCTGTTGCCCAGGCTGGAGTGCAGTGGCACGATCTCAGCTAACCGCAACCTCCGCCTCCTGGGTTCAAGCGATTCTCCTGCCTCAGCCTCCTGAGTAGCTGGGATCACAGGTGTGCACCACCACACCCAGCTAATTTTTTTTTTTTTAATAGAGACAGGGTTTCACCATGTTGCCCAGGCTGGTCTCGAACTCCTGACCTCAGGTGATCCACCGCCTCAGCCTCCCAGAGTGCTAGGATTACAGGCGTGAGCCGCATGTCTTCTTTAATGCAGAACTGACATGTATTTTTCAATTTTCTCAGAAGCAAGAGAGAGGAATTCAAAATCCCTAATCATTAATTCCTCCCGTCCCTGCCTTTTTCACTCTGTCCAGAAAAATTAGTTTTCTGAATAATTTTCATGGAACAGAAATAGCTCAAGTCTGACATGTTCTTCAATAAAAATGCAGATATTAGTGACCTTCACACACACAGAGCCTCTCCCGAGTGAACATAGCCCCTCAACGTGCAAGTCTTGCCTGAATGCCTCGATGTCCATTTAAAGCCACCTGGTAAGAGGAGCAGGTATTTCTGTAACTGAGAGGAGTATTGGGAAGAGGCTAGAGACAACATTTTATATTTCTGAGCCCTTGGGATAAGAAAGAGCCCCATTTTCTTGCCTGAAGTCCTCTGAGCAGTTAGAACCACTGGGCCACTGCTGCTCATCTGTAGCCCATCCACTGATGGCTCCTTGCCCAGACACAGAGCCTGACCCAGCCAGTGGACCTGGAGAGGAAAAGGGGATAAGATGAGAAATGGGAGTTGAGGGCCTCCCAGCTCCCCATTACTAATATTAATTTACTTTCTATATGCAACTATGGCTATGGGAATTTAGGACCACATGAAGCAATAAGATCAAATGGAAATCTTGACCTGCTTGTTTGGGTGAATCAATTTTCCTGGAAGGCTCAGGGCACTGTGGGGAAAAAACGCATACGAGGTGAAAACATGGCTGTTGCTAGAGCCCAGGAGACCCTATGAGTTCAGTCAAGGCTGGGAGAGAGTCAGGGGCTCTACCCTGTGACCCCCAGGAGAGTTTGCACCCACCATGTCACAAGGGCACTGCTATATGCTCAGAAGGGAGCTGTGTTACGAATTTTCAAATGATTCACTGCTCTCTAGATCAAGGTTGTTGTTATCAAGCAAAAGCAGTAGGAAGAGTGTGTGAGTAGAGCACTCCGTAGTTAACAGAAGGTGTTCAGATACTTGCTGATTTGATTCTCAAACTACCCTGGACTGTCGGCTTCATCAAGACAGAGAATCATGTCTGTCCCATTCATTGCTATCAACTGTGCTAAGGACGGGGAGTGGCACGTAACAGGCGCTCCGTGCATATTTGTTAAATAAAAATAAAAGAACCCAATAAGATAAGAAATAGGAGTTATTATTCCTATTTTATAATTGAGGCCGAGAGTCCCACAGTTAATAAACGGCAGAGTCAAGACAAGACTGAGCATCTTAATCCCAAGGTCATTGCTAGCTATTTTGTCTTATGAAGCTTCTAGGTCACAAGCTTCAGGATGCAAAGAACTCCAAAGGTAGGAGCATATGGAGGAGCTGTACAGCGCAGAGAAAAGCAGGCAGAGTCCCTGGAGCTTCCCAGAACACAGAAAGATTTACAAAGAAAGCTCAGGACTGAGATGTGGACACCGACATGGCAAGAAGCTTCACTTCCTCCCTGCGTGGCCAGGACACATCCCCAGCGAGCAGGGACTCATTGGGGATATGTGTGGCTCTTTAGCCTCCCCTGCAGGAGAGTTTCAGAATGCACCCTCTCTAAGGGGCTGAAGTGCTCATAGGAAAGCCCAGATCTGATGGATGATCCACTATTGAGGTATTCCTAAACAGTGGGATGCATCACCCCCACTTCTCCAGAGGAAATAACCAAGAGTTTAGTCTTACTACAAATTAGAAAGCTGCTAATGTGCATAGCTCGTTATGAAGTACAACTATAAGACATTGGGTTCTTAAAGCTGAGAGGAACCCTAAATAGTCCATAGCCTGGGTTCCTAGATAAAAGGTCTGCGAAGCTGCTGAAATAATCTGCATATTATGAGTATTCTGGAGGGGATTGTCCATGACTTTCATCAGATCCTCAGAGGCGTCTCAGATTCAAACCCAGCCACAGGAGGGTCTAGAATTACCTCCTCAGCCCCTCAACTAAGCAGATTTGCTCAAAGCCGCAGGGATGGGAAGTCCGTCTTTCCCAAGGCAGCTGAGGTCATTTCCTGTGATCAATTCCTGCTCCCCACAGAGAGTGAGGAATGTACAGATGGTTCCACTAGAACCCGAACAAAACAACTCCCTCCATGTGTCCGGCATATGAGGTCCAAAAATGAGCTGTAGGGTGGGAGTACTGGGACAGCCTTCAAAATGCACCAGCCAGCACGGAAAGGGCTGCTTTTGAAATTTGTGCATTTAAAGACAACTAACGACTAGTTTCATTGCCTCCCCCAAAGTGAAGTTTTTAAGTGACAGATTCTGCTCCTCTGTCTCATAATATTCTTACATAAAGGTTAGGCATGGAGCTGATGGCACCCATCAGCCCCAAATTCGAGTAGACCACCCCCAGAATGAAGTCTAAGTCATGGAGACAAAGCCCCGCGCTTGTGCTGAATGAGATCCTCTAGTGCTCTCTGGTGGCTACGACTTGTTACTGCACCTTTCACAACACATTTGTACGAAGTTTGTATTTCTGATTTTTTTTAAGTATTCCAAAACTGAAATCAGTTTAAAGTCCTCTCTTTGCTTACATATGAGTTGGGGCTCAAGGATTGTATAATCAATATGTCATGTGACTTATCAATGGCAGAGCCAACACTGGGGCTTAGGCCTTTCCTCTTGTTCGGGAGCTGTTTCCCACTCTGAGATTTGAAGGTGGGTGCAAGTGAAACATGGTGGAGAGCAGGAACTGCCAGGCTCAGGGTGGGAGCAAGCAGGTGTGTTAAGGATATCTCCGGGGCACAGAGCAGATTTGAGAGTTGGGGGCGACCCAAGAGCTGCACAGGGGCCAAATCACCAAAGGTCCTTTATGCCAGGATATGGAGCTTAGCGTCTGTTTGTAAGGAGGAGAGCCCCATGAAGGATTTTAAGGAGGAGAGCAATGGGATGGGGTCAAGGCAGCAGTGGGGAGGATGAACTGGGAAGCATTAAAAAGTAGGCCCACAGGCCGGACACTGTGGCTCGTGCCTGTAATCCCAACACTTTGGGAAGCCAAGGACGGTGGATCACTTGAGGCCATGAGTTTGAGACCAGCCTCGGCAACATTATGAAACCCTGTCTCTACTAAAAATACAAAAATGGTGCATGTCTGTAATCCCACCTACCCAGCAGGCTGAGATACGAGAATCTTTTGAACCCGGGAGGCAGAAGTTGCAGTGAGCTGAGATCCCGGCACTGCACTCCAACCTGAACAACAGAGTGAGATCCTGTCCCACACACACACACACACACACACACACACACACACACAGAAAAAGTATGACCCACAGCCTGGGCTAAATAGCAAAGCCTCATCTCTACAAAATATTTAGAAATTAGCCAAGTGTGGTGGTGCACACCTGTAGTCTCAGGTACTTGGGAGGCTGAGTTGGGAGGATCTCTTGAGCTCAGAACATGAAAGCTGCACTGAATCGTGATCATACCACTGCACTCTTGCCTGGGTGACAGAGCAAGACCCTGTCAGGGTGGGTGTGGAGTGGGGGCGGGGAAGTGTGGTCCAGGGAAAGTGTCAGAATCTCCAGGAGAGACAGCTTATAATGCCTGTTCCTACCCACCTCCAGAGACTCCATACAGTCGGTCTGGACTAGAACTCCAGTCACACCTTTAGTAAGCAGAAAGCTCCTTGGGTGTTTCTGACACAAATGATTCCAGAGCCACACTTGAAGAGTCACTGGAGGAGAATGAGAGGAGGAGGCAGTCAAAGACAGAGGCAATTTGCAAGGGATGAAAGGGAAAGAGTGCCTTGAGATTTCAGCTGAAGGGGGGCAGTCCGGGGTGTAGGAAGGAGAAAGGAGAACAGACAATGTGTGAAAAACTAAAGGAAGATTGTCTTAAGAGGGAGACAATCCTTCACAAAAACATACTCAGCAGGAAAGTTAAAGTAGGTGTGAACAAAAAACGGGTTCATACCTACTCTGTGGATTGGATGTGGCCACTCGGAGGGTCCCTAATGGCTCCACCTGGCAGCAGTTTTATTGGAAAAACGAGGGCAGAATCAGACAATAGAGAAGAGGAGCTAATTGGAGAAGAGAAATAAAGAGAACTCAGGAAATATTCCTCTCTCCAGAAGCTTGACTGGGAAAGAAAACGAGAAAGAGGATGAAGGCTGAATGGGAAGGGAAATTTTGTGCCACAGAAAGATTTTGTTTTACAGATGGGAAAGATTTGAATATCAGTCTAAGCTGTGGAAGACGAGCAGGCTGAGAGTCACAAGCAGTGGATACAAGACAGAGCAGGCATCGCTGGAGAGGGGAGGTTCCTGAGGACCAAGGAGGAAGGCCCCTTCCCTCTTGAGGCAGGTGGCTAGAAGCAAGGGGAGAGTGTGAGGGAAAATAGATTTGCAGGTTGATTAAAGGCAAAGGCAATGAAAATAAATGTCCTGAATACAAAAGCTCATTTGGTAAAATTTGAGATACTATTAATCTGGGAGAATTGATGAGTTCATTAAACAACTGAAGATTCAAAAAGATATTTACAATCTAGAGTGAAGAGCTACAAACTGGCTTCTGTAGTGTAAGTGGAAATTCTGCAGTTGATTTTTAAATTAGCTTGTGCAAATACAGGAGGGTGACTTGATGTAATGGCAAATGATAACATAAAAAATTAATTGATGGTATCTCCATTTGACTAAAAAGGCTTAGGAGGCTTTGAAAAGCCAAGAATTTGAGGTTATCAATGTGGGTTCTCAGGGGTTTGCAGAATTCTAGCCTAACAACTATTATACCAATTCTTTCTAAAGATGCAAAGGCAAGGAATAGTGGGTGGTGTGATTGTTGAGGCAACTTAATCTATACTGTTCTTTATAATATTTTAATGTCCTTTATTTGCAAACCTTGCTATTTAAGCTATAATTGGAAACCAGTTCTCTGTGATCTATCTCAAAACTGACTATACCAAAGGATGTGGCTACAAATGAGGCTCATAAACCTCCCTGACAACCTGGGAATTTTTTTTTTTTAAATAGAGTCTCGCTTTGTCACCCAACCTGGAGTGCAGTGGTGCTATCTCAGCTCACTTCAACCTCCGTCTCCAAGGTTCAAGCGATTCTCTTGCCTCAACGTCCTGAGTAGCTGGGATTACAGGTGTGCGCCACCATGCCCGGCTAATGTTTGTATTTTTAGTAGAGATGGGGGTTTCACCATGTTGGCCAGGCTGGTCTCGAACTCCTGACCTCAAATGATTTGCCTGCCTCGCCCTCCCAAAGTTCTGGGATTACAGGCATGAGCCACCATGCCCGGCCTGGAAAAACTTTTTAAGAAGTGTCCCCACAGAAATTCCAATTGATTAAGTCTGGGCAGGGGATGAGGTCAATGAATCATTCTGATGATCAGTTAGATTTGAAACCACTGAACTGCGTAGGAAACTAGTCATTAACTGGTTTGGAGGTGACTGGTTCCCATCCTAAACACCTACAGAGAGATAGAACTTTTTTCCTTGTGCTTCGCAAGCATTCAGAACAATTAGATTGGGCCTGTAGTGGGTATGACAAACTTATGTGCTTGAATCTGTGGCTAATTATGATTTACTAGAGGCATTTGTTGGTATTGGATATAAAAATGTAGAAAGATCTGCTTAGACTTATAAAACTCATTTTCTTAAAACAATTCAGTTTTCAAAATAAATTCAATCAGTATGTATCTATTCTTTTTAATATTTTCAAGTGAATAGTCATTAATAAGCAATAGCTATGTGTAATGATGCTGTGGATGTTATGAAGAGAGATGAATAAAGTCATAAGAGGTGGTTTGGAACTAACTCGTCATACCCAGAGAACCTACATTTTAAAAAATGAACAAATAATTTATCATCTGTATTCTTTAGGTTTAATTTTATTAGTCGTCATATTTAAGTTATGATTGATATACCATGAAGTCCATGCTTCGTAAGTGTATTGTTTGATGGGTTTTAGTAAATCTGTCCCGCTGTGTAAGCACCATCACCGTTCTAGAACACTTCCATTTTCTGACAGCAAAGTCCCCTCCTGCCTGTATACAGTCCCACAGCCTCAGTGAATCTCTGATCTACTTTCTGTCTCTATTATTTTTGCCTTTTCTAGAAATTCCCTATAAATGGAATCATAAAACCTTTAGGGTTTTGTGATGGGCTTCTTTCACTCAGCATAATGTCTGTGAGGACGATCCTATTCTTCGTGTGTATAAGTGTAATCAGTCACTCCTTATTTTTCGCTGTTGCATTTCTGTCTGTGATCCATTTACTAATCAATTTTTTGTGTATCATGTGAAGTAAGACTCTAAGTTTATGTATTTATGTATGTATGTATTTATTTATTTTTGCATCTGGATAACCAGTTGTCCCACTACTATTTAAAAAGACCATCTTTCCCCATTGAGTTACCTGGGCACCCTTGTTAGAAATCAATTGACCATAAGTGTACAGATTTATCTGTACATTCTCTCTTCTGTTCCATCAATCTTTATGTCTGTTCCCACAGAAAGCATAAGTATTAATTTATGAAACCTTTGTTTCAGTTATATAAAGTAGGCTATTGTGTAAAATGTATTTCCTACTGAGGATTATGGTAAAAATATTTTTTAAACGACATTTGTCTAGGGAGTGCCAGATAATATTCACAATAAGACACAAAAAAGAGTCCTAGAATAAATAGGCTGTTGGAAACCCATAAAGATTGCAGAACCAGGTACACCCTCATGCTTTGCAGAAGGGGAAACTGAGGCTTATGGAGAGAAACTAACCTTCCCAAGGTTATGACAGAATGCAAGACTGGAGGACCCCTGCCTGGAAGACCCCATCTTCCCACTGCACCTCCCAGCTTCTTCTATCTCCTCCCTCCACCAAGCTCCTGCTGGCAGCAGCTGGCAGAGCCCACGGGGGCACAGGGCTAGGCAGCAGCCCACTGGTGCTCCTGTCTTAACCCCTCTCCTCAGCCTCCTCTCTGAATCTCTCTGAAAACAGTCTCCCCAGATGCTGCAGAGCCCTGCCAGGTCCAGATGACAGTTCCCTGGGCTCCTACCCCTTCCTTCTTCGGAGATGAAGGAGCTGGCTTTTCTTCAAGGACTCTTCTCAGAATGGAAAAAAGAAAGCAGTGCCACCGACGTCAAATGGCTCTTACACAATGGTGGAGTCTTGCTCAGAATTGTGTAAATAACTGGGGAACATATGAATTAAATTTCCCTCTACTTACCCAGGGATGTAATAAGTCAGGACTGTGAGAAAGGCTGCCACTCGGCCCCAGCACTCAGAACACCTGAAGGAGTTGTCATGTCCCCAACCCTAGTGGCTTCTTACCCTGGAGCATTTCTATCCCTCTCAAGTTCCAAGGGCTCCTATGCTCTGCAAGGCACCCACACATGGGCTTGCCTCTGTCCCTGACAGGGTGGCCTCGGTCATGACTGCAGCGTCCCAGGCAGCCTCCACCCCTTCTTCATAGGGAGAGCATGCTTCCAACCTCTCAGACAGGGCTGGATATGTCTGATCATTAGTTCATTCATTCATCCCTTCACTCAACTAATACTTGTTAAGCACTGTGTTGGGAAATGCTGTGCTAGCAGTGGGAATGCAACAGTGAACAAGAAAACACAGTCCTGCTCTCATGCCTAGTGAAAGAACTTTCTGGCATTCCAAGTTAGCAAAGCTTTTAGAGACAGGTGAGTTCCTAACACTGGAAGTGTTCTGCAGAGGTTGAGACTCAAGCATCAGTTGAAGAATTGAATGGTCAGCCTCCAAGATCACACCCAAGTGCAAGGTTTCAGGAGGCTTTTAAGTGCCTTCAACGCTGCACCTGCTCTCTTCCTCCCTCCTGCCTGTGCAGTTCTCTTCGGACAGCACCTGCAGAAGCTTTCAGCCAGAGGTTTCTGTTGAGGGCATGGATGGTCCCTGGAGAAGCAACGATGAGTCTGAGTAAAGCAGATGCTCATTTTTCCTGCCTGAAAAAATAATTTTAAAAAATCATTATAATTTTTTAAAATGTTCTGTCTTCTCTGTCCCTTCAGAAGAGATCTGAGAACTTTCTCCTGAATGTGAATAAACCTGAAGAATAAAACAAAAATACTCAAATATAAAAGTTCTAGAAGAGATGTTCCCATTGGGAGAAATTGCATAAAGAATACATGGGAAATCTCTGTGTTATTTTTATAACTGAATGTTATAAAATTAACTCAAAATAAAAGGTATAACTAAACACCCCAAGAGTTCTTGATGCTTGTACCATGGGTATGTAAGATGTTACAATGAGGAGAAGAGGAGTGAAGCAGGCTTTAGCAAGGGAGCTGCAGATCCAAGCCTGGGAGACAAAGAGAGGGCATAGCCTGGGAGACAGACAGATGACAGCCTGGGTGAGAGAGAGATGGCATGACCTGCGAGAGACAGAGATGGCATGGTCTGGGAGAGAGAGAGATGGCATGGCCTGTGAGAGAGAGAGAGATGGAATGGCCTGGACAAGAGATGGCATGGCCTGGGAGAGAGAGAGATGGGATGGCCTGCAAGAGAGAGATGGCATGGTCTGGAAGAAAGATGGCATGGCCTGGGAAAGAGAGATGGCATGTCCTGAAAGAGAGAGAGAGAGAGATGGCACGACCTGGAAGAGAGAGAGAGAGATGGCATGGCATGGGAGAGAGAGAGATGGCATAGCCCAGTAGAGAGAAATAGATGGAAGGCCCAGGAGAGAGAGGTGGCATGGCCTGGAAGAGGGAGAGAGATGGCAAAGCCTGGGAGGGAAAGAGAGAGATGGCATGGCCTGGGAGAAAGAGATGGCTTGGTCTGGAAGAGAGAGAGAGATGGCATGGTCTGGGAGAGAGAGAGAGAGAGATGGCATGGTCTGGGGGAGAGAGAGAGAGAGATGGCATGGTCTGGGGGAGAGAGAGAGAGAGAGATGGCATGGTCTGGAGGAGAGAGAGAAAGAGATGGCATGGCCCAGGAGAGGGAGAGAGAGAGAGATGGCATGGTCTGGGAGAGAGAGAGAGAGAGAGAGAGATGGCATGGTTTGGGGGAGAGAGAGACAGAGATGGCATGGCCCAGGAGAGAGAGAGAGAGATGGCATGGCCAGAGAAGAGAGAGAGAAAGAGATGGCATGGTCTGGGGGAGACAGAGATAGAGAGATGGCATGGCCCAGGAGAGAGAGAGAGAGAGAGAGAGCTGGCATGGTCTGGGGGGGAGAGAGAGAGAGATGGCATGGCCCAGGAGAGAGAGAGATGGCATGGCCAGAGGAGAGAGAGAGAGATGGCATGGCCCAGGAGAGAGAGAGATGGCATGGTCTGAAAGAGAGAGAGAGAGATGGCATGGCCCAGGAGAGAGATGGCATGGCCTTGGGCATGGGAGATCAGAACAGGTCTCATTCCTCCAAGATAAAGGGTAGAGGGAGAAATTGCTCCAGCTTCTCTAATTTCTCCTTTCCTACCTACAACAAAGCCCTGCCCTCTATAAACCCCACCCCCTCCCCACCCCCACCCCTGCAGCTCCAGAGCCAGGAGGCTGGGACTCAAGTTCAGAGAAGGGAGGATGGGGCTCAGGCTGAAGTGCTGGCTGCAAAAGCAGAGGGAAGGAAAAGAAGGAGTGAGGGAATTTCCCCAAAGTCTAGAACAAACAAGCTGAGAGGGGAGAATTGAGCAAATTTAGTCAATTCCGGTGTGGGGGGAATGTTCCTGGGTAATCTGGGAAACTAGATAAGTTGAAGGTTGCCTGTGATTGTGTTTGTCAACACACAGGTGATCTAGTGGAAAGTTACATGGACGATGAAAAAAAAATGGCTAACATTCAGGAAGCATTCAAGTCAATGGCTGACTCTACACTAAGCAGCTTACATATTATGTCTTCATGAAGTAGGCATTATTCCCCATTCATACATGGTGACTGTATGTCATACCAGTACCTGAGTTACATGGACACCCAAACTGCCTGAGGCCTGGAATCAGACTCTTGCTCTATCCACTAGGTTGCTTTATAACCTCCTGGGCTCTGTCACTGCCTACAAGCTTTACGACTTCCAGCAGATTAACTTTTCTGAGCTTTAGGATTTTTTACCAGTAAAAGAAGTTATGCTAAGTATTCCCCAAAAGATTTTGAGGTTCAGATAAAATAGCAAGTTGAAATGCAGGTTGCTTCATGAGTCTCAAACACCAACCTAATCGCTATTAGTAGTGGCCATGGCCTCTGACATTCACAAGGCCAGCCACTTAGAGAGTGGACATTTAGTTCTCAGCACCACTGGGTTGACATTTTAATTCTGTTTTAAATAAAACCATTACTCACTAATGTAACTAATGTTTTATTGTTGCTAATTCCAGAACCATTACACTATGGAGCCAGAAGTTAAAAAGAATTTAACTGAAGACCAAAACATGCTCAGTAGCAAATGCCTCTTTTATAAATAATTTCTGTTCCCAATTCTAACTTGGAAATTAAACAATACACTCCTGAACAACCAAGGGATCAAAGAAGATATCCAAAAGTATCTTGAGAGTAGTGAAAATGGAAACACACATAACTAAATGTGTGGACTTCAACAAAAGTGGTCCTAAGAGGGAAGTTTATAGTAATAAGTACCAATATTAAGAAAAAACAAAGGTCTCAAATAAACAACCTAACTGTATACCTCAAGGAAGTAGAAAAAAAGAACAAACTGAGCCCAATGTTAACAGAAGGAACTAAAGATTACTTCTGAATACATAAAACAGAGACTAGAAAGACAATATAAAAAATCAACAAAACTAAGAGATCTTTTTAAAAAAGGATAAAATTAACAATTATCTGGGCTATCTAAGAAAAAATAAAGAGAAAACTCAAATAAATAAAATTATAAATGAAAAAGAAGACATTAAAAGTGATACCACAGAAATTCAAAGAATGTATTTTATGTCAACAAATTGGATAATCTGGAATAAGTGGATAAATCCCTAAAAACATACAACCTACCATGAAGGAATAGAAAATCTAAACAGTCCAATAATGAGTAAGGAGACTGAGTGAGTAATGAAAAACTTCCCAATAAAGAAAAGCTCAAGACCAGATGGTTTCATAGGTGAATTCCAACAAACATTTAAAGAGGAACTAAAACCAATCCTACTCAAACTCTTCCAAAAAAAAAAAAAAGATGAAGAGGAGAGAAAACTTCCTAATTCATTTTATGAAGTCAGCATCACCCTCATACAAAAGCCAGACAAGGATAATACAAGAAAGGAAAACTATAGGAAAATATCCCAGATAAACATAAATGGGAAAATGTAATAAAATAAATATAGCAAACTGAATTCAACAGCATATTTAAAAAATCATTAATCGTGATGAAGTGGGATTTACCCCTGGGATGCAATGATGGTTTAACATATGCAAATCAGTAAATATGATATACTACATTAACAAAATTTAGAAGAAAAACTATATGATCATCTCAACGGATGCAGCAAAAGCATTTGACAAAATTCAGCATCCTTTCATGATTAAAAAAGACTCTCAAGAAATTAACTATAAAAGAAATGTAATTCAACACAATGAAGACCATATATAACAAGCCCACAGCTAACATTATACTCAATTGTGAAAAGCTGAAAGCTTTTTCTCTAAGATAAGGAGTAAGACAAGAGTGCCCACTCTGGCCACTTCTATTCAGCACAATACTAGAAATCCTAGCCAGCGCAATTAGAAAAATAAAAATAAGGACATCCCATTCAGAAAGAAAGAAGTTAAATTGTCTCTGTTTACAGAGGTATGACTTTATATACAGAAAGCTCTAAAAACGCCATCAAAACAGTTAAAACTGATAAACAAATTCAGTAAAGTTTCAGAATACAAAGTCAACATACAAAGATCAGTAGCATTCCTATACATTGACAACAAACTAGCCAACCCCTGCCCCCGCCAACAACAACAAAAAAAAACAAAACTGAGAGGCCAGGCACAGTGGCTCATGCTCCCAGCAGTCTGGGAGGTCGAGGCAGGCAGATCACCTAAGCTCAGGAGTTTGAGACCAGCCTGGCCAACATGGTGAAACTTGCCTCTACTTAAAACACAAAAAAAATTAGCCAGACATGGTGGTGGGTGTCTGTAGTCCCAGCTACTTTGGGAGGCTGAGGCAGGAGAATCACTTGAAGCCAGGAGGCAGAGGCTACAGTGAGCCGAGATCGTGCCACTGCACTCCAGCCTGGGTGGCAGAGTGAAACTCCATCTCAAAAAAAAAAAAAAAAAAAAAGAAAGAAAGAAAGAAACAGAAGATTCCATTTACAATCCCATAAAAATATTAAAATACAGTCATATGGTGCTTAATGACACGGATATGTTCTGAGAAATGTCTTAAGTGATTTTGTCATCGTGCAAACATCATGGAGTGTACTTAGACAAACCTTAATAGTACAACCTGCTACACACCTAGGCTATATGGTATAGCCTATTGCCCCTAGGATACAAAACCAAACAGCATGTTACTGTACTGAATACTATAGGCAGTTGTAACACAATGTGTATCTAATAGAAAAGTTAATGTGCTGCACTGCAACGCTAAGGCAGCTAAGACATCACTAGCGATAGGAAATTGTATATGTGGTCCAACATTAATTGAAACATTGTTATACAGCACATGACTTTACTTAAGAATAAATGTAACCAAGGAAGGAAAAGTTCTATACACTAAAAACTACAAGACATTGAGAAAGAAATTGAAGACATAAACAAATAGATGTCTCATGTTCATGGATTGGAAGAATTAATATTGTTAAAATGCCCATGCTAACCAAATTGATCTACAGATTCAATCCAATTCCTATCAAAATTCCAATGGCATTATTCACAGAAATAAAACAAACAATTCTAAAATTCATAGGGCTCCATAAAAGACCACAAATATCCAAAGCAATCTGGAGAAAAAAGAATAAAGCTAGAGGCATCACACTTCCTGACTTCAAACTATATTAAAAGTAAATAATTAAAGCTATAGTGATCAAAACAGCATGGGACTGGCATAAACACAGACACATAGACCAATGAAACTGAATAGAAAAACCAGAAATAAACCCATGCATCTACAGCCAATCTTTGGCAAGGATGGTAAGAGTTCACAATAGGGAAAGCTTAGGCTCTTCAATAAATGGTGTTGAGAAAACTGCACATCCTCATGCAAAAGAATGAAATTGGACACTTATCTTATACCATATATGAAACTTGAAGTGGATTAAAGACAAATGTAAGATCTGAAACTGTAAATCTCCCAAAAGAAAACACAGAGGGAAAGCTCCTTGGCATTGGCCTTGGCAATAATGTTACGGATATGATCGATACCAAAAGCACAGACAACAAAAACAAAAATAAAAAGGTGGGACTACATCAAACTGAAAAGCTTCTGCACAAAAAAGGAAACAATCAACAAAATTAAAAGGCAACCGACAGAGAAGAAGATATTTGTAAATCATGTATCTGATAAGGAGTTGATATTGCAAGATACATATACAAGAAACTCATAAATCTCAATAGAAACAACAACAACAAAATAACGTGATTGAAAAATGGGCAAAGAACCTGAATAAATATTTTCCAAAGAGCACATACAAATGGCCAATATGTATTTTAAAAAGTGCTCAACATCATTAATCTTCAAGAAAATTCAAATCAAAACTGCAGTGAGATATTACCTCACACCTGTTAAAATGGCTTAAAAAATAAGAAGTGTTGATGAGGATGTGGAGAAAAGGGAACTCTTGTACACGGTTGCTGGGAATGTAAATTTATACAGCCATTATTGAAAACGGTATGAAGATTCCTCAAAAAATTAGAGATAGAACTACCATACAATCCAGGCAATCCACTTTGGGGTACATATTCAAAGGAAACAAAATTAGTATCTCAAATATCTGCACCCTCATGTTCATTGCAGCATTATTCACAATAGCAAGATATGGAAACAAGCTAAGTGTCTGTTGATGAATGATACATACACACACACACACACACACACACACACACACACACAAATGGAATATTATTCAGCCTTTACAAAGAAGAAAATTCTGTCATTTGTGACAACATAAATGAACGCAAAGGGCACTGTGTTAAGTGAAATAAGCTGGGCACAGAAAGACAAATACCATGTAATCGCACTAACATTCTACTCTCAAATTCTATGAGTTCAACTTACTTAAAAAGTAAGGGGCTGGTAGGTGGGAGTGGGGATGCACAGGTACTGGTTAAAGGATGCAAAATTTTAGTTAGATAAGAGGAGTAAGTTCAAGAGCTGTATTGTACAACATGGTGACAATAGTTAATAACAATGTTTTGGATTTTTGAAAATTGCTGAGAGTAAATTTTAAGGGTTTTTACCACAGAAAAAGTATGTGAGGTAATAGTATACATGGGCTAATTAGCTTGATTTAGCCATTCTACAATGTATACATATTTCAAAATATCATGTTGTACACCATAGACATATACAATTTTCATCAATTACAAAGTAATTAATTTAAAAAATAAATTAAATTAAATGTTTACACATAAAAAAAAAAATGCCTTATGATTAGCCAGCTTCCCTGAGATGGTTTTTTGTGAATAAGTATTTTTATTTTTAAAATCCTGCTTTTAAAAAAACTATTGTCATTCAGATTTGCTGTGTTGTGGTAGCTGCAGTGTTTAAATTTGCCCTGTGGTTTGGCCAGAGAAGCCAATGGACCACCCGGCCCCTGTGCTCCATACCCATGACCCTCAGGCAAGACGGGCTCCGGCTGAGGACCCAGAAGGTCTTTCCAGCTCTTTTCTGAGTGGCCTTATCTGACATTTTTCCTGAGCCTAGGGAGGGGCATGAGAATCAGGAGACCCGGGTACTTGGGTATTGTTAGCTCCCTGGCTTACCCTCCGGTCTCTCACCCACTCCTTCCCATCCCCCATACTACTATCAAACGGTGAATTATTATTATTATTATTATTATTATTATTATTATTATTATTATTATTTGAGACAGAGTCTCGCTCTGTCGCCCAAGCTGGAGTGCAATGGTGTGATCTCGCTCACTGCAATCTCCGCCTCCCAGGTTCAGGCAATTCTCCTGCCTCAGCCTAGCGAGTAGCTGGGACTACAAATGCCCATGCCCGGCTAATTTTTTGTATTTTTAGTAGAGACGGGGTTTCACCGTGTTAGCCAGGATAGTCTCGATGTCCTGACCTCGTGATCTGCCTGCCTCGTCCCCCACAAAGTGCTGGGATTACAGGCGTGAGCCACCGCTCTCGGCCAAACAGCCAAGCCAAATCACTTCTGGCCATATCATTTTCTGTTTTAAAAAGACTTTGTGTAGCCCCATTGCCTAAAAATGTTGCAGTCCTCGGCCCTGGCCCACTGTCAAGATTCTGGATTGGTTGGTCTGGGGGATGTGGCAGAAGTTTGAGTTCTTAAAGTTCCCCACGTGACTCTGATGTCCAACCAGGGTTGAGACACACTAACCCATGCCATAAATTTTCAACACTGGTCTGGCAGGGGAGGCTGTTTACATTCTGACCCCTGCTTGACGCCCACTCCCCTTGTCTTCCCCATCTCGGTAAATGGAGCCAATTCTTATGCAGAAATTCTGATACTTATCTTTGCTTTCTACCTCTCCCTTATCACTCACTCTCATTTTATGGCCAGATTCAGGCTTTTCTTCTTACAAAACATCTCTTGTCTTTGCCTTTGTTTACTTGATTCCACGTCCACTGTCCCCACTCTGCTCTATCCAAGTCATACCCAGGGCCTCTTTATGACCTCCATGGGCCTCCTCATCCATCAAAAAACATTAAAAAGTATATATTTAATGCTATGTTGGTATAAAAGCAGATATAATCCAAGCTGGATTTATTTTTTTTTATTCTGATTTTTAAAGAAATCAAAATTAAAACATTTTCATGGGCCCCTAATGGTGCTGTGGCCCCAGGCTCTGCGCTCACTGTGCCTGTTAGTATAAGTGGCCTGGATCCTGGCCACTGCCACAGCCTCCCAGCTGGTTTCCCTGTCTCCCCATCCTCCAAGTCCATTCTCCTCATAATACAGACAGAGACATTTTATAACTGTGAATTACATTGTTCCACACTCCTGCTTATAATGCATCAGTGATTTCCTGTTGTACTAAGAATACAACCAAAACCCTGACCATGGCTTACAAGGCCAGGCATCAAAAGTTTGGTGTATTATAAATAAGAATAAAGCCTCTTACTATTGTACCCTCCACATAAGTAACTTTTAGTGTTTGAATGTTTAAATTGAAGTGTGAGTAGTCATTTGATTTGTGGGTGGGGAATTGAGCAGGGACATTTAGACTAAAGAAATAGTTTGTCTGTGATCAGTAGCTAACAATTTTTAAGTCTATAGTGGTAGAGTGTATGCAACATATTCAGGAATGATGGTTGAAGCTGAGCTTCAGAGCTTCAGGCCTCAGGAGAGCCATCGGCCTCTTGAAATTATATGCCAAGTTTTGAGAATATGTGTTGTATTTAAGTTTTTCTTGGAAGAAGCTACATTCCACAAATAAGTATTAATTTCCTACTATGTACAAAACAAAAACAAAGGCACTATCCTTGGTACTAAGACTACAACAGTAAATAGGGAATATAAAAATGCTTTCCACTTGGAGATTTTATTATTCTAGTGGGGTAAAAAGCAAGCAATAAACCAATAAGTAATCAAAATAAATAGCCTCTTAGCTAGTTGTCAGTGCCATGAAGGAAAATAAACTAGCTTATGGAGATAGTGAGTGGGGATAGGAATAGAGGCTGCATCCTTAAACAAAGTAGTCACAAAGGACTTTGCTGAAAAGTTGACATGTTTAGAAAGAACTGAAGGAGGTGAAGGAGTGAACTATGAGACTTTATTTGGGAGTGTCCCAGACAGAGGGAATCTAACTATCTTTAGATCCTCAATAATTTACCAGAAGATGAAGTACCGCTTCTTTGAAGTAAGAAGAGAGTCAAGAAACAGGCAGAAAAAGAGTCATCTAAGGAGTGCTGGTGACTGGTTGTGGAATTCAAGGAAGATGTAAGGCCAAGAGATTCTGATAGACTGGTATAAAATGAAGTAGTGGCAAAAAAACTAGATGAGGTGGAAATCTAGACAGAGGTTCACTGAAGGAGTGCAAGACCTAGAAAGATAGAAGACTGTAATTAGAGAGTGGGGTGTAAGAATTTCAGATTTCAGAGGTAGACATGGCTATGGGTATAATAGATGGCTAAGGTGAAGTGGAGGAAGTCATCTTTGAAGGTGAAGAGGTCAAGGAACTGAGAGCCCAGTGTGCCCAGGGCACCAGGAGCAATTGTGAAGGAGAGGTAAGCAATGGTGACACATCCCCAAGCAAAAGGAATGAAGGATTGGACAAAGAGGTTGAAAGGTGACAGTAGCAGAGATGAGTAAATATGGAATAGCCAGAGTGGAAGAAGAGCAGAAGAATTTGGAGAAAGAGTGGAAAAGTAATGGTCATGAAACATCAGTAAGGAGTTAGGGAAGTGAGAACCCTGATTCTCCCATGATCAGAGTCATGCTCCCCAGATGTTGGGACCATGCTGTATGGTCCATTTGCTTCATACGGCCTACTTTCTCATATCCTATGGTTGAGTATGCTTGGTCCATGTGGCTGTAGCATCGGAAAAACCTCTGGGAAAGGGGAGACAACATGAATGGATAGAACTATAATTGGGCTGGGTGCAGTGGGATGTGCCTGAAGTCCTAGGAGTTGGAGTCCAGCCTAGACAACATAATGAGACCCCATTACTAAAAAGAAAGGAAAGAGAGAGAGAGACGGAGGGCGGGGGAGAGAGAGAGAGAGAAGGAAAGAAGGAAGGAAGGAAGGAAGGAAGGGAGGAAGGGAGGCAGAAAAAAAGAAAGAGAAAGAAAGAAAGAAAGAAAGAAAGAAAGAAAGAAAGAAAGAAAGAGAAAGAAAGAAAGAAAAAGAAAGAAAGAGAAAGAGGAGGAGAGGAGGGAGGGAGAAAAGGAAGGAAGGGAGGGAGGGAGGAAGGAAGGAAGGAAGGAAGGAAAAAGAAAAGGAGAGAAAAGAAAAGAAAGAGAGAAAAGGAGGGAGGGAGAGAAAGAGAGAGAAAGAAGGAAAGAAAAGAAAAGAACTATAATTAATATAAAATAAACTTAGGTGAACAAAGGTAAAGAAGGTATGGATGAGTATATTAATTTGCTAGGTTGACATAACAAGACACCACAGACTAGGTGGCTTAAACAACAGAAATCTATGAAGTCTATTTTCTTACAATTCTGTAGTCTAGAAGACTAAGATCAATGAGTTGGCAAGTTTGGTTTTTTCTGAGGCTTCTGAGGCTTCTCTCTGTGGCTTGCAGATGTGTCTTCTCCCTGTGTCTTCACATGGTCTTCCCTCTGTGTCTGTGCCCTGATCTCCTTTTATAAGGACACCTGTCATATTGGATTAGAGCCCACACAAACTATCTCACTTTAACGTATTCACCTTTTTAAAGATTCTGTCTTCACATTCAGTCATAGTCTGAGGTAGTGGTGGGCGAGGACTTCAACATATGAACTTGGGGAAGAGACAATTCAATTGATAACAGATGGTATATGTATCAAGTACTTAAGAACTCGGGGAGCCCAAAGCTGGTGGATCACCTGAGGTCAGGAATTCAAGACCAGCCTGGCCAACATGGTGAAACCCCATCTCTACAAAAATTGGCCAGGCATGATGGTGGGTGTCTGTAATCCCGGCTACCCAGGAGGTTGAGGCAGGAGAATCGCTTGAACCCGGGAGGTGGAGGTTACAGTGAGCCGAGATCATGTCATTGCACTCCAGGCTGGGTGACAGAGTGAGACTCTATCAAAAAAAGCAAAAAACAAAAAAACAAAACAAAACAAAACAAACCTCCAGAATTCTTCCTAATACCTCACCCATGCTCCTGCAAGATTACCATGGGGAAAATAACCAAAAAGGAAACCAGATATCCTGTGTTACCAGCTAGGCTATTACCTGATTTCATAGCATTGGACTCTTCAGTAATTCTGGGTTAAATGACAGGGCTTCCTTTGATTTAAGTGGGGCATCCCTAGCTCCTGCCAGAGCTTAAATCCTAATCTTGGTCTCCTATCACCCTTTGTCCAAGTGCATGGAGAAAGAAAGACAAAGCCAGAATGATTTAAAGGAGGCTGGTCTCAAGCTGTTTTTTCACTGTATGAAATAGGGCAGAAAGCAGGAGAATAATGTATAATATGGCCAGTTGATGACACTTTCACTGCCCCCTAATAAACAGACTTTGGTCTGGATAAGAATGAAGAAGAGGGTGGGAAGCAGGTTGGGCTGAGAGGCTGGAAAAAGGGGAGAGATGTCCTTTCTTACATAGTGACTGAAGTAGGTTCTAGAAGTGATCATCCTAATGGCAGCCGAGAAAGTGTGAGGATTTTGTTCTTCAGGAGAAAAAACATCTCAGTGTACCTTTATTTGACAATACCATGTTCTAGAAAGCCAGGCTGTGTTGACCAAGCAAAGGTCACTTTGTACCTTCAAAAAACAATTAAGTTTCTTTTTAGGGTACTTACTCTCAAATAGAATGGTCAAAAACCTAATATAAAAGAATATGAGCATGGCTAAGATATGGAATGAATCTAAGGGTCCATCAATGGATGAATGGATAAAGAAAGTGTGGTGTGGTATATATACACAGTGGAATGCTACTCAGCCTTCAAAAAGAAGGAAATCCTGTTCATTTGTGACAGCATGGATAAACATGGAAGACACTATGTTAAGTGAAATAAGCTAGGCACAGAAAGACAAATCTCACATGATGTCACTTACATGCATGTCTTAGTCCATGTAGTGTTGCTGTAAAGAAATATTGGAGACTGGGTAATTTATAAATACAAAGGGTTTATTTGGCTCGCAATTCTGATATTTGGAAAAGTTCAAGATTAGGCATCTGGTGAGGTCCTCAGGCTGCTTCCACTCATGGCAGAAAGTGAAGAGGAGCTAGCATGTGCTGAGATCAATCACATGAAGAGAGAGGAAGTGGGGGTGGAAGGGCATGACAGGCTCTTTTTTTTTTTTTTTTTTTGTGATGGAGTCTCGCTGTTGTCACCCAAGCTAGAGTGCAATGGCTGCAACCTCCGCCTCCCAGGTTGCAACAATTCTCCTGCCTCAGACTCCTGAGTAGCTGAGATTACAGGTGCCCACCATGACCAGCTAATTTTTGTATTTTTAGTAAAGACGGGTTTCACCATGTTGGCCAGGCTGGTCTCAAACTCCTGACCTCAGGTGATCCACCCTCCTCGGCCTCCCAAAGTGCTGGGGTTACAGGTGTGAGCCACCAGGCACAGCCACCAGGGTCTTTTTAAGGCCCACTCTCATGAGAACCAATAGAGTTAGAACCCACTCATTCCTGAGGGAGGGCATTGATCTATTCATGAGGGATCCACCCCCAGGACCCAAACACCTCCCAGTAGGCTCCACCTCCAACACTGAGGATCAAACTTCAACATCAGGTTTGGAGGGGACAAACATCCAAACTATAGCAACGTGTAATCTAAAAAAGTTGAACTCAGAAGTAAAGAGTAGAATGGTGGCTGTTAGGGTGTTGGGGGAGGTAATGTGGTAGGGAGATATTGGTGAAAGGATACAACATTTCAGTTAGATAGGAATGTATTCAAGAGGTTTATTGTACAACTATAGTAAATAACAGTATATTGTATTCTTGAAAATTGCAGAGATTAGTTTTTTTAATGTTCTCAGTGCAAAAAAAAGTATGTGAAGTAATGCATATATTAATTAGCTTGATTTATCCTTTCTACAACGTATATATAGTTCAAAACATCATGTTGTACACAATCAATATTTACAATTTTTATTTGTCAATTTAAATAAACAAATGTTAAAAAGAAAAAAAAGAGCATGAGTACAGGGTAATCGGTGTTCATGATCCCAGCCTCACCTACCTTCTGTGTGACCCTGGGCAAGGTATTTCTCTCCTCTCGGACTCAATTACCTCCTCTTAATATTGCTAATTTGGTAAGTAAAGTAAAGATGATAATGTTTGACTTTTTTGTTGTTTTCAGGATGAAATGAGTATTAAAGGAGAAACATTCATTTTGGGAATAACATCTTGTTTCATACCAGAGTGCACCCCCTTTTTAAAACTGCTTTGAGAGCCTCTAAAACTATGATCCAGTCTTAATAATAACGTAATAGGTATAGTTCCACACACTGAAATAGAGATGTCATAAACTGAGTAGAAATGTGCTTTAAACACACACACACACACAAGCACACACACACAACACCAAATCCAGCTCAACATTGTGAATTAGAAATCCAAAGCCCAAGGAAGACCAAAAGTTCAAGGTTGCACATTGGGTTAGGACAGAAATTGGCCTCTGTCTCAGGCATCGCAACTCACACTACAGTCCTCTCCCACCTTGCTGGGATGCTTTCACTAAGTCTACTCTCCAGAGCAATGTTTCTGTATTAGTAAGGATCTCCAGAGACATAGAACCAGTAGGAAATATATAGATTTATAAGAGGGGATTTATTATAGAAATTGGCTCACATGAGTATGGAAGACAAGAAGTTCCAGGATATGTCATCTGCAAGCTGTAAAACCAAGACAGCCGGAGCTGCATTCAGTTAGAGTGCAAAGGCCTAAGACCCAAGGCAACCAGTGATGTCTAAGTCCAAGGCTGAAGGCCTGAGAGCTTGGGAGGGTGGGATAGGCATGTAACCACTGGTGTAAGACCCAGAGTCCAAAAGTCCAAGAACCAGGAGCTCTGATGTCTGACGGCAGGAAAGAACGCATGTCCCAGCTCCAGAAGAGACAGCAAACACACCCTGCCTCTGCTTTCTTGTTCCACCAAAGCCCTCAATGGATCGAATGATGCCCACCACATTGATGACAGCAGATCTTCCATACTCAGCCCGCTGGTTCAAATGATGATTTCTTCCAGAAAGGTCCTCACAGACACACCTAGAAATAATATTTTACCAGCTATCCGGGCATCTTTTAACCTAGTCAGGTTGACACATGAAAGTAACCATTGCCATTTTTAACACTTAATAATTTATCTTACATTTTTTCATATGTCTTAATACCACCTATATTATTATTTATTTCTATATTTTTGATTAAATCTATTCTGGAATTTTTAACTGAAAGCCACATATTTAAAAGTGTGTCAGCCAGGTGCAATGGCTCACACCTGTAATCCCAGCACTTTGAGAGGCCGAGACAGGCAGATCACTTGAGGCCAGGAGTTCAAGACCAGAGTGGCCAACATGGCAAAACCCTGTCTCTATTAAAAATACAAAAATTAGCTGGGCATGGTGGCAGCACCTGTAAACCCAGCCAGCTACTCAGGAGGCTGAGGCTCAAGACTTCCTTGAACCCGGGAGGTGGAGGTTGCAGCGAGCCAAGGTTTCGCCACTGCACTCCAGCCTGGGCAACACAGCGAGACTCCGTCTCAAAAGAAAAAAAAAAGTATGTCACTACCACTGATAATACCTTTTTTTTTTGAAATGGAGTCTCATTCTGTTGCCCAGGCTGGGGTGCAGTGGTTCAATCTTGGCTCACTGCAATCTCCGCCTCCCAGGTTCAAGCAAGTCTTGAGCCTCAGCCTCCCGAGTAACTGGGATTACAGGCGCCCGCCACCATGCCAGGCAAATTTTTGTACTTTTAATAGAAACAGGGTTTTGCCATGTTGGCCAATCTGGTCTTGAACTCCTGGCCTAGAATGATCTGCCCGTCTCGACCTCCCAAAGTGCTGGGATTACAGGCGTGAGCCACCACACCCAGCAATACTACTTTTTTTAAATTGTCAAATTCTAGAATACTAATGCCTCCATAAGCTCTGAATCTGAGACCCATCATTCCTTTTTAAGAGGCAAATTAGTGTTAATGGCATAATGGCCCCTTGAAGCTTTCTTCTTAACTTTCTTCTTAATAATATCAGGAATGAAAGACAAATGAAAAAGGCAGGAACTTCTTGGCACGTATGGTAACGACTCATGCAACACCCATTTCCAACCTCGGTCTTCCTTGCTGCCTGCCTTGCCATATAAGCTGCAAAATAAGAATTTGACTTCCCAGCCTCCCTTGCTGCTAGTGCAGGTTGCACAACCCCGCTCTGGCCTGTGAGACACAAGCAGAAATCTCCCAGTGCTACCTCATCCTTGTCCTCCTTTTCTCCCCTCCCACTTTGAATGTGAACATGACATCTGGAGTTACAGCAGCCTTTCTGTGACCAAGAGGTGACAAGCATGAGGAGAAAAGCCCCATCCTAAGGTTGGCAGATTGGAAACAATCTTGATCAGTTGCCCCAGCCCCACCTGCTTCCTTACTTCTTACTCTGTGAGAAAAATAAGTCCTATCTGCTTCAACGTTAGTCAAGATTTCTCTTACTTCCTACCAAACAGAGCCTTAACTGACCCAGTGTTTGTTAATTCTGTGAATGTGATGTGTGAAATCAATGTGACACCCCTGGTGATGTGGGTTTCATGCTTTGGGAGGCCCTTCTGTAAGCCAGCTGTATTCATTTGCCAAAGATGCCATCACAAAACACCACAGAGTCGGGGGGCTTAAATCACAGATATTTATTTTCTCACAATTCTAGAGGCCAGAAGTCCAAGATGGGAGCTGACCATAATCCCAAATGCCATCATCCCCAATGTTAAAATCCTGAAAAACAAAATTCCAAAAATATTTTAGAAAAAACTTTTTCAGCCGGGTGTGGTGGCTCACGCCTGTAATCCCAGCACTTTGGGAGGCCGAGGTGGGCGGATCACCAGAGGCCAGGAGTTCAAAACCAGCCTGGCCAACATGGCGAAACCCCATCTCTACTAAAAATACAAAAATTAGCCAGGCATGGTGGCGGATGCCTGTAATCCCAGCTACTCAGGAGGCTGAGGCAGGAGAATCGCTTGAACCCAGGAGGTGGATGTTGCAGTGAGCCGAGATTGTGCCACTGCACTCCAGCCTGGGCAACAACAAAAAAAGCGAGACTCCGTCTTAAAAAAAAAAAAAAGTTTTCAAAACGTTGTAAAATATTTACTTACATTTTTAAAGGGGATTTATTTAAGAAACATGCAAAAACATGACAGAACTCTTCATAGGCTACTTTACACAATAAAATGGACAATAATACCATATTTTTGCAAGCAGAAACACTCAGATATACTAACAACAGTCACATGGGTATAACAGTTATGAGCAGATGAACCATATTCATAAATAAATAAATCAAAAAGCAAAATATAAAAATGTATATCACACTGTGGTTGGTAATTGTGTGCCCCCAGCTTTATACAGCAGTCATCTGAAATGCTGTGATTCTTAGACTCTTCTAAGTCTTTTGATAAGATTGATCAAAAACCGTGATGAGTCACTACCATATCACCACCACATCAGTTGCCCAAAGAGCCAAGGCATTGAGAAATTTTATCTTTCATAAAAGCAGATGTACAAAGAAGATACATTTTCATTTGTCGAGGAAGTTTTAATGTCTTTATGCACACACATACTGCTTACACACAAGTTCAACATTTTGAAAATGCACTTTCATGGAGTTACATTTGCAAAAATGCACAAAGCAAATTAGGACTCTCTAAAACTCTTTATACGATGCATGCAGTATTGGAAATGATGCAAAGATGAAATAGGTAGCATGGCGAATTATAAAAAAATAATGCTGACAATTTCAAATAGTGAAAAAAACTAAAAATAAAAACTAAAAACTAAAAAGAAAATTCAACAAATAAAAAAGTTATGGAGCTAGATTATGGGCAATTGCATGGAGATAGTCCATAAGAGCTGGCCAACTTTCACAGTCATTAACTATATTTTTAAGTCTCACATCACAAAAAATAGCTGCTTTTTTTCTTTTACGACATGGCTGTCCTTGGAGAATATGTTCACATTTATTTTCCATGTGACACTGCTCTTTTCAAAATTCTTCTATGGTTTAGTATACAACTACATGAGTATTCCCCATTTTTTCCCATCTTCTGTGCCATGCTTCCGTGTTGTGGGTCTGTGGAAATCTATTCCATATGCACACATATATAGACCACAAATCTGGTGGAAGCAATACTGGTGATTGAACTGCAACAATACTGCCCATCATGCACATAATCGTTTTTGAACCAGTTAGTAACTTCGCTGGCTTCTTCAGGCAAATGTGGCTTTAATTCATTAAAAGCTCCTGGAATGCCATCAGCTGGAATGAATGCCAATACTGAAGTTTTTGTCATTGCTGTATCACGTGACCAGTCCACTCATCTGAAGTTTCTGCCAAACACATTGGACAGAATGGAAAAAAACAAACTTTATTGGTAATACCTTGAAGTTCACCTTTAGAAACCTCAATCACACCTAATTCCAAATCTGTCTTTATGGTTTGAGGATTCAATTGAAATCCATTTTCCTCTGCATAAAGACAGTGACAAAGTAAAGAGTTCCACCTAATATGATGCAACTATCTTGTGATTTTGATTTTGGGGATTTTAGATGTTAGGGATTTAGACTTTAGAGGTTTTGACTTTTTGGAATTTCCATATTTGGGATTATAGATTTCAGGCTTGTGTCTTTCGGGACTATAAACAAAAACTGTCCGAGATGGAGGTGTTGGCAGATTTGGTTTCTTTTGTGGCTTTTATCCTTGGCCTGCAGGTGGCCATCTTCACCCTACGTCTTCACATGGTCTTCCCTCTGTGTGTGTCTGTGTCTTAATGTCCTCTTATAAAGACACCAATTGTATTGGATTAGGGCCCATTCTAAGGATCCCATTTTAACTTAAACACCTCATTAAAAGCCCTTTTTCCAAACACAGTCACCTTCTGAAGTACTGAGGGTTAGAAATTCAACATATGCATTTGAGGGGAATGTAATTCAGCCCATAACAGAGCCTAATCATTTATTTTTTTAAATAGAAGCTATTTTTTGTCTTCTGTAAAATCTTGTAATCACATGACAGCATGGCACATGAATGTTCAGAGTCCACAAGAAGCACGAGAAATTTGCAGACGACAGGGAAGAGCTTTGCACTTGAGATCAGGGGGCCCTGGGCTCTAGACATACATCATTCACTTACAGGCACGGGCAGGCTTAGTTTCTCTGAACCTCAATGTCTTTACTTGTAAAAAAAGATGTGAATACTATATGCAATAATATATATAAAAGTATCTGGCATATACAAATGACATCTTATCAAATCAAAGGTGCCATCAATTATAAAATGTATCATTATGTTATTTGTACCAAAAGTGGCAAAATCATGCCAGGGGAGATTTTCAAATTACAGATTCAGGAGACTTACCCACAGATTCATTGGGTTTGAATCTCCTGGGATGAAGCTCAAAGATTGTCATTTTTTAAAAATATTTTCCCCATTATTCTGTTGATAGACTCAGAAGCCAGGACTTTCGGCATGCTGTCAGTCAATGTGCTGAAGAACCCAGATTTTCATTCTAAGCTGCCATCTTTGGAGCTATTTATCAGTTTCTCAAATATTCTGTAGGAAGCCTGGATTTCAGCCCTTACCAACAAAAAGTCATTGCCCAAATTCTTTACGTTTTCTAACCCATTCATTGAATTCCAGAAGCTCTAGCTCAAAAGTTGCATAAAATAAATACTTTGGTAGAACATGTAAACCAAAACCTCTTCCAGTGGTAGGAATATTGCCGCATTTACCCTTAGTAGGCAGCTCTCTGATCCCTTTCCCGGACTACAGGACTATAGTGCGCGGGTGCTGAGCCCACCTCAGTCATTCTACGCTTTCATGATTCTAAATGATGTCAGTTCCTTGTATGCATTTTTTAATCGCTTTTGCCAAACTCAAAAAACTAGTTGAACCTTTTTAAATATTACTTTTTCTGAATATCTGTGATTAAATTCTTAGTATCAGTAATATTATGAGCACAGAAAAAGCCAATGTCAAGATTATTAGAGCTATTTTGGACTCCTTGACAATCTTTTAGGTCTAGCAAACTACCTAACCCCCTCCCAACGACATCATTTCATAGTCTTCATATCCACATGTTGATATCTATGATCTCAACTGAGTCCCACCCCCTGATTTCATAATTGAACACACTGATGCCCCACCCCTCCACCCCTCAACCCCCACCCCTGAGAAAGTAAGTGACTTACCCAAGGTCACATGCAAGCTGGCCTATAGTCACTGAGCCCAGTTCTGTTTCCAGCCTAATGTCCCTTCCATTCCTCCCACCCCTGATGACCCATGATCTCTTAGTGACACTTCAGGGAGATTCATCAAAAGCATCAGACAATATGTAGTGTAACCAAGTAGAAAACTGTCCTGAATCACATGCAGATCATTCCTGGGCCACGTAGTTCCTGTTTTTATGCAGATTTCCTCTGAGCCTTGGCTAACTCCCAGGGAAGCGCACATATCAGATCTGCTATATATTGGCAGAACTTTGGCTTAGAACACATCTCGAATGCTTTCCATTGAACATTGGCAGCCTTGAAGAAACATGGCTAGAAAATTATTCCAGGAGGCCTAATTGCTCTGTGACACTTTCCAAGGAGAAGCTGATGGCTTTCTCGCCCAAGCTCTTCCCTCTGTACCCAGAACAAATGACTGCAGTTCCCAGTATATGCCCTAAATTAGGAGAGGGCAAACTCCGTGGCAGCATGAATTGAGGGAATGTCTTTACTGGGCAGGGGCCCTCTTCCCAGCACAGTGTGCATTTTGCCAAGCTCTTTCTCCTTCAGTTTTAAAACCCTTGTGTATTCCAAGAGAAATGTCGTCCATGTGTTTCTGATTCATTTACACGTAAATCATTAAAATGTTGTTTTGTGAGAGTTATTTAATGTGTGCGGAGCCTGTGAGTCTTCTTAACGGGAATGTTAAAAGCTTTTTTTCCTGTGCTGACTGAGACAGAACACATTTTGCTAAAACAGTGCCTGAGTTCAAACATATCCTCCCATCTCATATACTTGTACCTGCTTTATCAACCACAGCCTCTTGATAATGCCAAGCTTGGCAAGGCTGGCATTCAAAAGTGTGAAAATTAGAGAAACTGGAGAGAAAATGGAGTAAGAAGTACAGTGAGAGTCAAGCCACTGTTCCCCAGAACGTGCCAAAGGAACGTTATCTGAGGGTAGACAGTGCATGTGTCTGCCGCTTTGGTGAGTGTGGCTGGCAGCCCTCTCTCTGGTACTCCCCTGGACACTTCTACAAGCACAGTCTTATTTAAGCCTCATAGTAACTCCCATTTTCCAAATGAAGACACAGAATCAGATACCTTAAGTATTGTGCCCAAAGTACACAGCTGTCTTGGGTAGAAAGGAAAGATTACAGCTAAACTCTGAGTCTAATCTTCTTTTCAAAATGACTCAGATTGAGTTTCTCTATGAATGCCGTCTGTGTGTGTGCATTTGAAATTCCATATGCATTATAAAATGTTAATGAGTAGCAGTGTAATACAGTGGCTAACACTTCAAATTCTGCCTCTATTACTTTCTAGCTGTGTGAACTTGGGAAAGTTACTTAACCTCTCTGGGCAATTTCCTCTGAAAAATGAGAATATTGCCAGCCATGTATACAACATATAAAGATGACTGAAAAGAATTCATATATTAAGTGCTTAGAGCAGTGCCTGACACGTAGCACTCAATAGCTGTTAGCTTCTAGTGCTAGTGGCAGTGGGGAGTCATAAATAACTGGATGATCTTGGCAAGTGGCATATTCTCTCTGAGCCTTAGTGTCCTCACTTGTAAAATGAGTATAACAGCAGCACTTTCACCAGTTTGCAAAAGTAACTTGAGATGATGTTAATGACTAGTACTGTGTCTAACACAGAAAAGGTGCACAGTCAAACTTAACTTTTACACCCAGATACACCTCTCCCTATTCAGTGTTGGTTGTTGTTGTTGTGGAGGGGGTAATTTTCTTATTATTCAGCTCATCTTAGATCTAGTGTTGATTTCTCCGGAAGCCATGGGTATAGACATATATACAGGCCCAGGTCTTTCTACACCCCTGGGGAGGTGAGATTTCTTGCTGCGATGGGCCCTTTCTGGGCTGGAGTAGAGCCGCACACACTCCGAGCAAGTAAACAGTGCCACAGGTATTGCTCATGGGGAGGAACAACCAGCCAACTTCAGGACTTGGTGCTTCCCCAGTTCCGGGCCCGTGGCTCTGTTCACAGGAAAACCTGTCGTTGTGTGTGACTCTGATCACGAGAAAACCTGTAGTTATTTGGGGCTCTGCTCACAAGGAAACCTGTAGTTATTTGCAGACAGACGCTCTGGGATTTAGACCTTTTTTTTTTCTTCTAGTGTAGGTGCTAGAATTGCCTTCTTAGTTGGTTGTTTCTATTTAATTGCTTTTCTTTCATGGGTGTCCTGAAGAAAAGCAGAAAATTATAGTCATCTGGCAAAAAAGACTAAAGAGAAATTAGACTTTGTCCCCTTTCACTCTCTCTCTCTCTCTCTCTCTACACACACACACACACACACACACACACACACAGAGTGATACAAATACCTGCTTGAGCCCCTCAGTTATTTTCTCTCAAGGGCTGAAGTCAGCCACACAGGATAAAGGAGGGAAGGGAAGGAGCAGATCTTTTCGGTAGGAAGACAGATTTTGTTGTCAGGTTCCTGGGAGTGCAAGAGCAAGTCAAAGGAGAGAGAGAGGAGAGAGGAAAAGCCAGAGGGAGAGAGGGGGAGAGGGGATCTGTTGCAGGCAGGGGAAGGCGTGACCTGAATGGAGAATGCCAGCCAATTCCAGAGACACACAGGGACCTCAGAACAAAGATAAGGCATCACGGACACCACACCGGGCACGAGCTCACAGGCAAGTCAAGCTGGGAGGACCAAGGCCGGGCAGCCGGGAGCACCCAAGGCAGGAAAATGAGGTACGTGCCAGGGGAGGAGAGGGCACGGTTCCCTTTTGGGGACCAGTGTCAAATAGCAGGGAAGGTCTGACCTTGTCACTGACAGACTCACCTGCGTGTCCTGCATGTGGTAGTGAGGGGCTTTCTCATCAATTCTTAGGGCTCTGAGAAGGGAGCTGTGGGTGGGCTGGGTGCCTTCCCCAGGACTCCAGGAGACATAAAACTTGAAACGGGAGACTTCGTGCAAATCCTGCTCCGGACGCTGCTGAAGCTCAGATTTCTCCCACTGCCTGCACAGGGTGCTGCCTGCTGGCGAATGTGACTCTCCTCCTGTTCACCCACAAGGCTGATTTTTCCGTGTTCCTCCTCTGGAAAGAGCATTGCTTTCTCTCTTCCAGCACTTTGTGAGTTAGATATGTGTTTGTGTGTTCATTCCTTCTGACCAGAAAAGAAACCAGCTTCCCATAGCTTGGCTCTGTGGTTTCTTCAACCTTTACAAGTTTGCCAGTTAAACCTCAATTTAGAAAACTAAAAATCTGTCCCCATTTTACAGTTCCCTATAAATTTTCTGCATTTCTCATTGAAATCAGAGGCAGCTGGTGGCATGAATCAGGCTATGAAGTACACCAAATGGCTCTTAAAGAGATATCATACTTAAAAAAAAAAAAAGGATTTTAGAGTTCTGAAATCAAGAACTTCAAATTCTAATTGGTTTTAAACTCTTTAACCTTTCTTATTCCTCATTATACTTGACACTCCTTACCAGACCTTTCATACAAGTTCTATCCTGCAAGTCTGAAAACCCAACCACCCTAGTTATTTTTATTAGTTAAGTGTTAATGCTGTTACACACACACACACACACACACACACACACAATGCTCTGCAGATGTGTAAGTCCCTAAACACATCTTTTACTATTAATTTTCTTTTCACTTGGGAAAGTGTTTTTATTTGTTTCTCTTCTGCAAAGTAACCTAGCAACTTTTCTGGACCTGAGACCAATGAGAGGCTTCAGACTATGTTAACTCTTTGAACTCCGATTACCTGTGGTTCAGAGAGATAACCAGGTCCTTAAAAAGTGAGTGCAATAATTCTGTTCTTCTTAAAGCCATAGTAATTTTAAACCTGCCATTAAACATCATTTTTCTTTCTCCAAAAAAAAGTGATTTATGTCAATCTACATTGAATGATAATCTCATTTATCTGTCAATGATCTGGTCTGAATCCCACCCTACCATTCAGTGCCCCAGCCCATATCAAACTACTTGGCTGAGTAACAATTCTGTATCTTTGCATATGCTCATCCCTCAACCTGGAGCAACCTTCTTCTTTATTTTCCACCTAGAAGACCTGATTGTTCAAGCTGGCACAAATATCTCTTTCTCTCTCCTGACCACCATATTCCAGAGTGAGCATCCCCTCCTTTGTCCTTTGTTCTGTTTCTGTCCCTTGAAGCTGCATCTCTTATTGTCCTTGTAGTATCCCCTTGTTTAAATGTCCACCTCCCCTTACAAGTCTCAGCACTCCTTAAGTTACATGATCTATGTCTTCATCTTTGTATGGCCAGCACCTAGCATAATGTCTATTTCCTACCAGCCATTCAATACCTATTTGTTGAATTGAATTCAATTTTTGAATAGCCAAGCAACTACGAGAAAGGTGCTCTGCTAGAAAAGTCTCCAGCAGGTCTTGTCTCACATGGATACAGTATTTCAGTGTTTGCAGAGCACTTTCAAGAGCACTGTCTCATGGGGGTTTCAGATTCTGGATGAAGTAAGGATTTATGGATAAGTAGTGGGTATAAAAGCAGTTAAGCAACTTGCCCAAACCACACTGATGATCATGAAAAGGTCCAGATTCAAATTTGGGTCTTCGGGCTCCAAGTTCAGGATTTTTTCTACTATATTCCACTAGACTTTCAGCCAAGTGTATTATTCTAAACTGACGGCTCATAATTCTGACTGTACGTCGGAATGATCTGTGCTGCCTTGAAACATGCCAGTGCTCAGGCCTCACCCCAGAGCAATTAAACCAGAACCTCCTGAGGAGGGACTTTGGCATTAATATTTTTAAATTTTTTACGTAAAGCCATGGGTTTTTCAATTATTTTTCACAGGATTAATTGCTTTGGCCAGATGCCTGGGCATGATATGGGCATGGACCCAGCTTCTTCTGTGAGCTCTTTTTATTCCCTTCTTCTGTTGAAGTTAATTCACCATATGGTATTGAGCATGATGTGACATCTCTTGGGGTATCCTTTTCATCGTCTGTCAAATTAGGGTGCTCTGTAAAGGATCCATGCAGTCCCTTCCAACTCTTCAATTCAAAAATGGAGTCTTGGTGTGGAGTGGGTTGAAACAAGGGGCGTGTACGGACAGTGTATGGAAAAGATAGCAAGTGCCGTTCATGCCGCAATCATAGATATATGCAGGCATTTTTACAGAGTCCTGCTAGCCTGTTCCTACGGGGGGCCTCTGAAATCTCAGCTCTATATATTACTTTTGACATTTCTGCAATGTAGCTAAACTTTTTGATTAGCCGGAGGATAGATAGCAGGTGTTGGGAACTATACAGCCGGTGCCTCGTATACAAGAAGCCAAAAACATTCAGAGAGTGTGACGAGGAATGAAAGCTGCCACTTATATTCTTCAATTTACAGCCCCTAACGCAAGCAGGCAAGCATATGCTCAAGCCCATTACATGAAGGGAGATATTTGTTTCATATGTTTGAAACCGTTTTGAGATGCAAACAAAGTAGAAGGGAAAGCTTCCTGGGCCTTCCTCCCACGCTGACCAGTTGCCTACCACACATGGCACCGGGCTTCTGGGCTACACAGGGCTGTCTGCTGCCAGTCCTTGACAGAACCGGCCTCAGGAGGCTCAGTGTCTCCTCGATGTGGTCTGGAAAAAGCAGTCATGGAGGAAGTTGACCTTTCGGCCTTGCATAATTTGGGTGTCGCTATTATAGGGAAGTCCGGTTTAGGAGCCAAAGCTCATTCCTGACTCTTGCTTTTTGGGAACTGGCAGGATGGAATAATTATAACTAATGTTTGGCTAGGGCTGGACAGTTAACAAAATACTTCCCCATCCTCCTTTACGCTGATAGCAGTGCTGTGGGAAGTCGTTATTATTACTACTTAATGGATGAGGAAACAAGACCTCCCATGACCTCCTAAAATGGAAAGGATAAATAAAGTCAAAGCTGGAGCTGAATCTAGCTCTTTTGACCCAGGGCCAGTGCCCTCCCCTCCTCAGCAGGGCTGAACCTGAACTCCCAGCCCTGTTAACACTGGTTCATTTCCTCACTTGAAAATGGGATGCCTGGGCCCTGCCACCTGGTTTTTTGACTCAGCTTTCCAACTAATTCACAGGTTAACTTGGACATATGCCTTCCCTTCCTTCTGCCTCTGAGGCCCTCCTTCCACAGATTGGTTTAAGAAAATATTGACATTGGCTATGGGATTAAGACATTTTGTTTTCTTAATAGAATCTCACATATTGCTATTGTAGGGACCTTGAAAAAAATTAAATAAATGTATTTTCTTTTTATTGAAAAAATAGTACATGGTCCTTCTTGACAAATGTAAACATTTTATATGCACAAAAATGGAAATACTTATATTCCCATTTCAGAGATAACTACTGTCAATACCTTGGTGTATATCCTTTCAGACATTTTGTACTTACCTATTTACACTTTATGTAAATATTAACATGACATAGCTACATAATCTATGTATGTAGTTAACTTGCTCTGTTTACATACCCAAAAACTCAAATGTATGCATTACACAGATATATGCATCTGAATACATGGGCAGACTGGGTATTGGAGAGAAACAACGTCCTGATTAGCAAATATATCATTGTTAATCTGAAGATGCTGGTATGGTTTCCCAGCATTGACTTTTTAGGCTATCTAAGACTCAGGCCCCACTTTCATGGATTCATTCATTTATAATCTGTTATATATCAGACTCTGTACTGGGACCTTTATATACATCACCTTTAGTGCTCATAGGAGCCTTATGAATTAGATATTATAATCTCCATTTTACTTCTGAGGAAACTGGGGCTCAGGGAGACTAGTTGCCCAAGTTTTCACAGTCAGTAAGTGAAAGAATTGGGACTTAAATCCAAGTACATTTCACTCCAAAGGGTGTGTCTAACGTAGTGCAATGTGATACCCACAATAATAGAGAAATGTGCAGGGAGCAGTGGCTTGTGGAGGAGTGAAAGGATACTCCATAGCTGGGAAGCTCTGAGCTGGATGGTGGAGGATAAGCAAGACAGTGGAGGATAAGTAGGTGAGGAGTGAGCAGGGCACATGCAATGAGGCTGGAATGGAAGGGCATGGTGTGCTCCCAGAATAACAGGGGGCTCACAGGGCTGGCTACTGAGATGAGGTGGGAAGGACAGATCAGCCAGATCAAAAGGGCCTCAACAGCCATCCCAGGAGCAGACGCTTTACCCTGCAGACACAGTAGAACAGTGTGGTCCTATCTGTGTTTGAGAAAATCAGCTTTGGCAGAAGACTGCTGGTGGGTGGGTTGGGGATATCAGTTAGGATGCTATAGCAATAAGCCATATAGGAGAATGTAAACTATGTAATTAACTGGAGAGGAGGAGAGATGGATTTCCAAAACACAGGAAGCAGAATAAGTAGGATGTGGTGACTCTTGACTCTGGGGTAAATGAAAAGATGAATGGTTAAAGTTCAGGCCAGGGAACTGGTTGATGGTAGTACCATGAACAGAAATCAGAAATGAGAGCAGGAAAAGATTAGGAGAGGAGTGATGAGGCAAGTTTGGGCCCATTAAGTTCAAGGTTACTGGACCTCACAGGGGAATCGGTCTGTTAGACAGAAGCCTGGTGTGGTGAGTACAGACTGACCAGAAGGGCTTTGACCAGCCTTAGTCATTCTGCCTCGTTATTGCGTCAGCCATGGTGACGTGCTCTGTAAGTTTTATTGAATTTTCCTTGTCTCTTTTGCAACTCTTTATTAGTCTATTATTTCTGATTCCTACAGGAATAAGTTGTAGGTTTTTGATCCTTTTACCAAGAGGAAGAAAACTTGCTTTGCTTATTCTTTCTTTATTAAAGATTTTGCATACTTTGACTGAGTTTGTGGTGAAATACCATTTTCAACGTTAAATCTGTTTAAGGTACTACAGATTCCATCAATGCATTTAAGCCTCACCCAGTATGATAACATTTACTTTTTCAAAAAGAGAATCAAGAGTTAAATGAAGCTGAGCTAAAGAAATATCAACTTTTACTTAATTATGAAAATTACATTTTCAACAGTAAAATGGAAATGTCAGACTCCCAAATGTGATACTTTCTAGGAGTTTAAGTTAACACTATTATCAGAGCTTTGAATGAGCAAAACCAGAAGAAATCTTAGAAATTATCTAGTTACTATATTCCCATAATACAGACTGAGGAGGCAAGGTCAGAAGGGGAAAGCTAATTACGGCAGGCCAGAGACAGAGACATGCTGAGATCTTGTTCTCCTGGCTGTGATTGAGATGAATGGCAGGGGCCTGTGTTTATAAATGTAAGTAGACCTACATTCATGTCTTTCAGGTGGCTGCTTCTCTATTATGCTCTGTGCTTCTCCCTGTCAAAGGCTTCAGCCCACACCGTGGAGCTAAACAATATGTTTGGCCAGATCCAGTCGCCTGGTTATCCAGACTCCTATCCCAGTGATTCAGAGGTGACTTGGAATATCACTGTCCCAGATGGGTTTCGGATCAAGCTTTACTTCATGCACTTCAACTTGGAATCCTCCTACCTTTGTGAATATGACTATGTGAAGGTGAGACTCCTGATGTCCCCTAACTGGGCCAGGCTCTCTTCTGGGATTTAGACAAGGCAATATGAAATTAGACCCTTCCAGGGTGGCATATAGTAAGAGAGACACACAACATCACAATGGTATGAATTCAGGTCAAGGTGGAAAGCTAAGTGCAAGCTGATGGGTAGAACTAGAAAGGTCCATGAAGGAAACTGAAGCTGATTGATAGAGTATGACTCAGCCCAACACAACATCCCTTCTTTCTTCCTGTTCTCAAAGCCTTTAGTGTTTCTACCAGCCTCTGTTCCAAGATCACCTTTAATTCAACAAGCAGAAAAGGGCAGAGACCTCAGAGTAAGCAGTAATCATGGAAAGAGAACCATAATTATGTCCAAAGTTGAGGCATTAGAAAGCATTGTCCAATTTCCCAAATAAAGATCAAGTATTTGGGAAGTGCAGGATATACAGTAGTAAAGAGTCAGAGATGAAGTAGGAAGGTGAGTGGAGGCGAGATTCTTAAGGGCCTTGAATGTCATGCCAAGTAGTTTGCATTTTATCAGCAAAAAGTGTGGGTAGGAAGGGGACGGTCACCATCAGAAGTAGATGTAAAAAGTAAATATGGGGGAAGAGCAGGACCACATCAAAACAATATACCCTGGAATTTAGAGAACCCCCCACAAAAAAAAAAATTCCATGGGTGGGAAGCTGTTCTTCTTTTAAAGTGAGGCTGAAAAAGGTCAGAATATTTCTAAGGGATCAAGTTTATTGCAGTTATATCTAGTTAAAAAAGACGTGGAGACCTAAGAACCTACCTTCTAAGCTCTCTCCAGCTTCCTGAAAGAGGTTCTCATCAAACAACTCTAGAGCATTTAGATATTTTTAGTATTATTGTAGACTCATTATTCCATAGCCAGTAATTCAACATGAATTAACCTTGTATTAACCAGAATATTTGGTCAACAGCAGAGAAGTGAGTTTACAAGGTGCTTTTACAATTATAATCTCAATCAAACTTTAAAACAATTTTGAGACAGGAGCCATGACCCCATTTCACAGGTAAAGAAGTAACCCAGGAAGGTTAAGCAACTCACCCAAGGTTGTACATCTGGTAAGTGATGGATTAAGGTCTCAAACCCATGCCTTGTGTTTTTGAATCACATGCTCTTTTGTCTACACCAAACAACTCCCAAGCTATTCTCCACTGAGCCTAAGATACAGCAGAGGCATACAAAGGCACTGTGCTTCCGCTTATTTTATATGTAGAGTATTGTCATTGTATATGTTGGGTCTGCCTGCAATGTCCCATTTACAATAGGTCTCTGCGTCTAAAAATTTTCCAAAATTGGTGTTCCATGGTAGGGATTTTTAACCTCAGCACTACTGATATTTTGAACCAGATCATTTGCTGAGAAAAGCTGTCTTGAGCATTGTGGGATTTTTAGCAACATCCCTAGCTTCTACCCTAACTAGGTGCCAGTAGCAGCCCCGGCCCCACCAGTTATGGCAATCATAAATGTGTCCAGATGTTGTTCAATGTCCCAGAACCACTGCTATATGGGATGATGCCCTCTTAGAATGCCCTGTGCTAGGGACGGTGGAAATTTTAGGACACAAAAGATCTGGTCCCTTAAAAAGAAAGATGAGTCTTGAAAATAGCCATTGCACAAGATAGAAAACAGTGATGGCAATAAAGACTAACTGATAAAGAATGAGAAAATGTGGAACTGGTTGCTCTAAGAGACAACGCGGATTGGTAATCTAGATGCGATTTCTACAAATTCATTAAAAATAGAACAAATTTCTCAGGGTCACAAGGATCAACCAGGGGGGTCTTCACTGAGGCCATGAGTATGTATCATCCTAAACTGAACTTTCTGACAAAAAGGCCAGTTACGCTTTTCAGGATAAAAGGGTTATCCAGAGTTAAACTCCAGGATAAGATGGATTGTAGGTATGGGTCCTCAGGCTAAGTGGAATCTCCCGGCCCATTCCCCCAAATAATGTTGGTCACAAAATCATGGCATTCTTTAGTATTTTGGTTGGAGAGTTGTCTTAACCGGAAGAAAAATTACCAAACACTGGTTTAATATGACAATAAGTTCCATGGATTTAGACAAGGCTAGATATGAACTTTCTAACCACATTTTTCTCTACTTTCAAACATGCTAACCATCTAGAAATTTTGTCAGTGCCAATAGCTTTTATTGGTACCTGAGGCTCAAGATCACAGAAATTATAGAATTTTTTTGCTCAGTTGTAGGGATGACTTCTTCTCATAATTTGCCCCCTCTCCTCCTTAAGATTTGACTCTTAACTTCATAGTCATTGAGAAACTCTTTCTCTTAAGTTTGATTCTTTTTCAGACAGAAGACAAATTTAACCTTGTTAGGTCTCCTTCATCAAGATGATAAACACACAAGAGAGGATTTAGCTCATTTCTTTGCTCCAAATAAGTGGAGTATCCAAGGAAGGCAGATGAAGCAGCTGACATAAAGCAGCATTTTGTTAATGGGAAAAAATGATGATACTTTTCAAGAGCAATAATATAATCTGAAGACCTCTTCTAACACTGAATTAAAGACACTGGAATAGATTTCTATCCAAAGCTTGACTTTCTTGGCTAGAGAATATTTTGGAAATTGGTTGATGGTTTCTATCTAGAGTGGTGAGACTCCTTCCTGAAACCACAAGTAGATGGACATGGGCCCTCTGGAAGGGGCAGCATGGTCCTGGGCCCTTACATGGAATTCAGGAAATGCCTTTTCTGGTCTCAGATCTGTCACTAACTCCCCAAATGACATGGAGTGGAGAAGAATATTATTTTACAGCACCCTCTCTGCTCCAAAATTAGACAGATGACCTCTGGGCATAACAGAGAAGTAGTCTACTTGAGGCAACTTAGGGACTGAGCTGCCTACCTGAAGTGCCCTACAGTCCTTGCATCTGTGAGTTGGGACAATTTTCCAGTTCCTTTCAAAGAAGAGATTAACATGGTGGCGGCGGGAGGTGAGATAGACTTCTCCACTTGTGCTTGCACAGCTGACTCTCTTCCAGAAGGCCACCCTAATGTCAGCATTAGCCTTCTGCAGAGGTTCCAACAGCCGTGGGGCACCAGCAGGCCTCCCCTCTGCAGGATGCTGCATGCTAGTTGGCTGACTACTGGTGCTCATGTGGAAACCACCCTGTGCCCCTGCCTACACACACCCAGTGAGTTGCCCTCCTAGAGCTGAGAACTCACAGAATGTCAGGCTGCAGGGGCCCTCTGGGGACGCATCTCATCTTAAGTTGTGGTTTTCAAATATATTCTCCCCAGTACACGTTTTCTTCTTCTTCTTTTTTTTTTTTTTTTTGAAACGGAATCTTGCTCTGTTGCCAGGCTGGAGTGCAGTGGCGGGATCTCGGCTCAGTGCAAACTCCACCTCCCGGGTTCAAGTGATTCCCCTGCCTCAGCCTCCTGAGCAGCTGGGACGACAGGCACATGCCACCATGCCTGACTAATTTTTTGTATTTTAGCAGAGACGGGGTTTCACCATGTTGGCCAGGATGGTCTTGACCTCCTGACCTCGTGATCCTCCCACCTCGGCCTCCCAAAGTGGGTTACAGACGTGAGCCACTGCACCCGGCCCACATTTTCTTCTTGAAAATCTTCAGTTAGGCCCAACGTAGAGAAGAGACAGAAGTGAGCTGCTCTAGCTGAAGGTGGTTTTGCTTGCTCATCCTTCTTGGTTACCCTGAAGCACCTTGAGGGATTATGGCTTGAATCTTGCTGCTCTGGCCACATTCCTATTGGACAGAAGAGGAGGTCAGAGTTCAGAGAGTGGGTGAGCAGTCTGCCTCTGAAATCCCAAACCCAGAAGTCTTACACACTGAGTTGAAACCCACTGACTTTTTCTAATCGCCTGGCCAATGCTAGCCCCTAGCATATATGCTTTTTCTGGCTATAAATGGAAGAGAAGCTTTTCCCTTTCCATCTGAATAAAAGCGCAAATATGCCATGTGGCCCCCAGGTAAATCCACATCCCTCTCCAAAATTCTGTTTTTTCCTCTGTTCAGTGAGAGGATGGAACAAGATGATCCCCATGGTCCTTTCAATTCTGGAATTGTAATCCCAATCCTCCTCACCAGAACTTCCAAGATGACCCCACCAAACACTCCTTATCATAGTCAGGATAACACCAGAAAACAGAAATCGTATGTTTACAGCAGCTGCTTCTCAATGTTGCATAACTGCAAGCACTCCAGTAGGAGCCTGCAGCCTGCTGGGGATGCCTTGGTGGTATGTCATCACAGAACTTGTAAACATATCATGCCAACACTGTTCTTTACCAAGAAACTTAAAATATCACTGACTTGCCTTTGACAGGATAAAATTCCCTGTTTTGAGGCATTTTTCCTCTATGACTAAATTCTCCTCACAGGCCTACATAGGAGTAGGTTTAAGAAACCTTCCAACTCACAGGAACATTTTCCAGCCCAGCCCAACCCCGCAAGCTGCCCTTCCCACCCAGGCCCATAGGGGCGATGATGATGGAACTGCTCATACTGCTCATCAGTAGCCTGAAGAAGAGCAGGACTCCCAAGTCTGTGGTCCGGATGCTCACATTTATGAAAATTCCTCTCCTGCCTGATTTCCCACAGTTCTTGGTCTTCAAGACTCATGCACATCTGCACAGCAGCATCTGCTTCCTTGGCATGTGGCTGCAATGTTTAGATTCCTGTAGTGTACGGATGAGGCATACGAATCAAGGCTGGTTAATGCTGCAGGCAAGAGGCAAAGCACAGATACTAGTCAGGGAGTCAGGCAGCCTGGGTCCTGGGTGTCATTCTATACTCATTAACCTTGGGCAGATGACTGCACCTAAAATGGACTCTGTTTCCTCCTCTTTCAAATACAAACGGTTAAACCAGATGGTCTCTAAGGTCTACTTTGCCTTGATGTTCTGTGCATCTAAGACCTTAGAAATCATGATCCAACCCCATGATCAACATGTCCAAAGTCCAGGGAAGGGCAGTTGATTGGCCAACATCATGCTTGTATTAGAATTTACATCTTAAGATTCTCAGTCTTTTCTTCTATTTATTTAACAGAATTATTTAACAGATTAAAAAACAGCAAAGTCCCATCTTGTGAATGACTAGTTTTTATGTTGTAACATAAGACAAATATTGTCTCTAGTCAAACTTACCATTAAAAAATCCCTTAAATATTGCAAAGCATTATCTTTTAGATGCCCAGAAAAGAATTTTTTTCCAAAAATGCAAGAAATTAAAGTTCCTTTGGTTGAGCACCAGATGAAGTGGTCCATTTATACTTACAAAGAAACTATGAAGCTATAGTTATGGAGAGAGTCTAGATAGTTAGAAACCAGAACCAACAAGAGAACAGCAGATTACACGTTCCAATTTCAAGTTCATTTCATGGCATCTATTCACTGTAAAAGGAAGCATAAATCATCTGCATTTGGATTGCACTCTCTTTCTTTCTTTCTCTTTATGTCACCATGTGTAATATTTTAATAGCATCTGTGACATGTTTATGTAATGCAATGCCACTGTTCTCCTTTTAACCCTATATCCTTGATGTATTCGACATTTCTTCCATCCTCTCCACTGCTAATTCCTTAGTTCCAATTCTTATTCCTCTCAACTAGTCTATTGTAATAGCCTTCTATATGTCTACCAGATGTCAGCCTCTCCCCATCTAGCCTACCTTCTATGAGTATCCAGAAGGATCTTCTTGGAACATAGCTTTGATTATGCTACTCTAAAAATCTTTCAATGCCTCCCCATTGTCTATGGAATGAAGCACAGTAATCCTATTGAAAATCTACCATAAGCTGGACACTATGCCAAAGACTGGGTCTGCAAAGATCAGTAAAAAGAATTCTTCGAAGTAAAATGAACTATAAAGTCCTCAAGGAATTCACGGTTCCATAGAATATAATGAAATAAGTGCATAATAAAGCCAGACAAAGTAACACAAGGGTTATCAGTCAGTATATAAGTTTGGGAGTGGTCATTTTTAGATGGCCAGGGAGGGCTTTGGAAATAGTTGATGTTTGAGATTAGTCTTTAGAGGTAAATAATAATTTGGCAGTGCAGTTCTCTAAGTAGGATTTCTTAGCAGAGCTACCATCAAAGCAGGGAGGTTGAAGAGGATGGGAATGATGCAAAACTGAGAATAATCAGAGTTGGCATGTTTTGGGGAGACGTAAAGCCCAGAAAGGTTATCTGAGGGTCAACTGAGAAATGTTTGGTAAATTTGGGTTTAAGCATGTGCTCCCCAAATCACATACGTGTGGTCAAAGGTTGAATTAATTTCACAGATGGATTTTGTTGGCCAGCCTAATATTAACTTATACTATGATTTGGGGGTGTAAAAAAAAGAAAGAATTATGACAACATAAAATTTCCGATCTCACACAACAATCTGCATTTCCAAGTTCTCTTAGAATATTAGAAAATCTGGCAACTCTTGCAGCTTCCTGCCTTCAACAATCAGCCAACACCAGGAAGAGGTGGCCTTGTGGGTAGGGTCCCCACCATTCTCTATAGCTCCCCCATGCTAATGCTTTCTGGCCTCTTAATGGCACCATTGCTGATTTTACAGTAAAGAAAGTGAATCATTTTTCCCCAGTGTCTCTATCAAAAGTAGAAAAGTTGAAAGTTCTTGAGAAAGACACGTATTTCAGGAAAAATTTCTTTGCAGAGTGAAGAATATCCCTCTGTATTTAACACGCAAAGTGTATATTTCTGTCTAAAGAATTCATAGCAGCTTGTTTCACTCATTTATGTTTTCTGCCTGGCATCTTTTAGCATTTTAGTCTAGGACGTCCAATTAGAAGCTGTGATGTGGCGGAGGGGTGGGGCAGTGGGGTTCGGGGATGTGACACAGTCGAGGGTATGCTTGAGGAAGGTTAATCTGGAGCTACATGAGGGATGTCAAGGACTAGTAAAGTCAAAATAAACTGGAGCTGCTGAATGAGGCCATTTAGGTGGCTGTGCTAAATAGATTGGATATGACTATGTGGAGCGTAGTATACTTCAAGAAAGCCCACAGGCCTCCTGGACAGCTATGGAAGAGCAGGTAGGATGTGCAGAGGTAAACTCCACAGGAACTGGCTGCGTATGGGAGAGGAAAAAGGAGGAATCAGAGGCTTTAAGCCCCAGTTATGACAACTTATTGGCTACTTACCCAGAAATTGAGATCAGGAACGTGAAGATGTGTAGATTTAGAAAGATATAGAGTGCACTGAAGTGCATTGAGTTTTGAATACAGCTGGAAATGCTGGTCTAAATTTTGAGACAGAGCTTAAAGAGTCGTAAGAGTGGGTGTAGAAAGAGCACAGAGACAGTGATGGAGAGAGGATTAACACAGTGAGGATTAAATTCTGTCTCTGCCACCATCTGAGTGAGGAACCTTGGTGAAGCTCCTTGATCTCCCTCAGCAATGGTTTTGTCATCAGTTGAAAGGAAGAGTTCCTAATGAATACAACGTCTTCCTCACAGGTTGTGGGAGGATTTGAATGACATGAGGGTCTAAGTGGAATCAGTACTGCAAAACGCAGTTGTGCTCAGTGGTTGGGAGCTCAAACTTTGGAGTCATTCAGACCCAGCGTCAAGTCTTGCCTCCACTTCTTACTGGAGCAGTTGCTTAACCTTGCTAAGATTTTCTTCTCCATCTGTAAAATGGAGATAATAATGATGCTTATTTCATAGACTTACTGTGAATGCCAAATGAAGTAAATGCTTTAATGTCATATGTCCAACACATCTCTAATTAGCTCAAAAGTACTATTATAGTGGTAATGAAGGCAATGGTATGAGTAATAAAGTGTCTGCCTGGTATCACCAGATGTTCAATGAATGTCAGTTTTCTTATCAACTCTGACCCTACCACTGACTGCCTATGTATGACCTTGCTAATGTTACTGAGTTTTTTCTAGCAATTTATGGAAAAGTGCTTCCAAAGCACTATTCGAAAGCAGGAGGTTATTTATTTCTCCTTTGTATTTACCTTGTAGAAACACACATTTTACAGCAGTTTCTAATCTATTAACTCATTTGATTCCCATGGAATAGGAAGAGCACGGATTATTGCACCTAATTTACAAAAAAGGAAACAGGTACAAGTGAATTTGTTCAAGTCTCTGCAGGAAAGCCAGGCTTGAATCCCTGCTCTTCTAACTCCCCAAGTCATGGTTCTGTGTCTCCATGCAGCCTTCCTCAGAACAGGCTTTACTGTGGAAGGGGTCCTGTTGTGTTTCCTGGCCATGCATTATTCCTGAAACAATACTCTATTTGTCAAGATGATTTCATAAAATTTAGTAAAACAGAAGGTCCTTGAGGGTCCCTATATTGTCTAGATTATTTTAAATAACGTTCTCTTTTATCCTTTGAGAGAAAAAAATGTTTTTTAAAAATAATAGAAAATGGAGTCTGAACTACAGTGAATCTGCAAGTGCTTGTATCATCTGCTTGTAGTACATCCTTTCTGATGAGCTCAAGCTCATTCCCACTAGATTGCCAGCCCCATGAGTTCAGGGCCTATGTCTGTGTTTTCTCCAGTAGAAAGCACAGTCCTGGGCAGAACAGGAAAAGGCACATGTCTCCTGGCAGTGGAAAGGGCTCTGGCCTAGAAAACAGCTGCTGACTCCTGCTGAGAGCTTGGGCAAGTCACGTCTTCATTCAAGGCCTCAGTTTCCCCATCTGCCTGATGAGGGAACTGGACCAGCTGGCCTCTCCAAACCCTTCCAGTTCTGATGGTCTGTGACTCCCAGTCCAATGCCCCTTCCCTCAGGCCACATTGGGTCAGTCTGCATCCTGCTGTGTAATTGAGAGGTAAGTCGCTCCCAAGTGGGACTCTTCTGACCCCTAAGCTCCTAATTTCTGTGCAATGCTCTGTGTTTACTTAGAACATGCCCTCGACCTTCCGGCTGAACTCATTTCACCTACTGCATAACTCTGCTCATTCTCTGGGAGTGGACAGGAGGCCTTGGCCCCAGAAGGAAATGAGAAATGGGTAAACATTTCTCATGAATTTCAATTGTAGTCTCCGGTGGAATTCTCCCACTCCAGAGACACCAGGACCCAAACACCAATTCTAGCTTATTCAGAAGAATTAGAAAATGAAAATGAGCTTGCTTCAGGAAAGTGTAATGAAAGCTCATTTTATGCCAAAAGTGCAAACAGCACAGGCTTCAGGGTGATGGAAAACAAAAGGAAGCTCGCAGTGCTGAGGAAGAGCATGTGGGTGAGTGTGAGCTGGGAAGGTCCCAGGTGTGGGTGCACATGGGGTGCATATCTCTGTGCTTGAGTATATTACAGGTTGCTGTTGAAAACACCTTGGTGAAGAGCAGTGCCTGACTTTACTTCGATGTGCTTATAAAGGGAAAAGTTAAGGGACGAAGAGGTATTCATTTATTCAACAAATATTCATCCAGTGCCTACAATTTATTAGAGCTTAGGGTACAGCAGTAATTAGAACAGATAGAAATCTCTGAAGTGAGGCTTACATTGCACTGGGATAAACAGACAATAAACACTAAACATAATACATAACTAAATTATGTACTAAGTAATAAGTTTATGGACAAAAATAAAATAGAGCAGGGCTCTGCATGAGTTGAGATGGGGGCTCTGATTTAAATATGGTGCTCATTGAGAGAGTGACATTTGAGCAAACACTTGAAGCAGGTAAGGTTAGCCATGTGGCTTTCTTGTTGGGGGGGCTACCCTGGGGGGCACTTTAACCAGAGGGAACATTCAGTGCCCTCAGGTGGAAAGTGCCTGGTGTGTTTGAAGAATAGCAAGGATGGCAGTGTGGCTGGAGGGCAGGAACATGAATGAAGACTGAGAGGTACAGATGGGGGGCGGGATGGGAGACTGGAAAACAGGGTTCCTGTTAAATGCTGCCAGCCAATGGCAGGCTTTACAAGCTGCTTTCATGCCCCGAATCTCATTTGACCTGATGCTCAGAGTATTAATGTCCACTTTTTACGTTTGTGAAAACTGTGCCCTGGAGACAGGGGCATGGGTGCTAACAACCAGATTGGGGGGTGGGGGCAGGGAATGGGGGCAAAGAGATGCGCAGTGGCTTATCATTCGACATTCAGATAGCACAGACACAGAGAGCCCGCAGAGCATAGAGCATAGAACAATCACATAATTAGGAAGTAATGAGTTTTCACAGAACTGGTTTTCATAGAACTGGTTTCTAATAGAATGTACTTAATTTTAAGTTTATGAAACTTGATGATGGCTGGATTTAACAACAGGGTAGCAAAATCTCTGAAAAGCTGACAGTTGGCTCTTATAAACTGGTGTGAGCTGCCGGCTCCAGCACACCTACCGCCTGGGGAGGTTTAAGTGACCCCTGAGGTATGAGTGGCAGAGCTATGACAGTTGGTCCTTATTCCAGCACTCTTGTAGGATTTCTGTGCAAAGATTTGAGGATATAAGTTTAGCCTGAGTCAGGGCAAGGTCCTGGGCAGTGTCACAGGAACACAGCAGCTCACAATCCTTGAAACTCTGCTGGAAGACACTGGCCCAAGGCGGCCCCTTCTGTCCACTCAGCACAAGCCTCATCACTGCCTTCACCCACGTCCTGGCTATGACACACCTGGAGCCACGCAGCTTCTGCCGCAGAAGAACACAGCAACCCTTTGTGTTTCCCATCCTCAGGCTATTTTCCCGTCCTGAACTGTTTGGGGCCCAGCCTCCAAGTTGCTGAAGGGATTTGCATATGAATGAGCTCAGCTCTGGAGTCCCAGAAGGGGTGAGGTGGGGGAGTCTGAGCCATTCTCAGGCCAAACAGTGCCAATCCTCCCTGGCTCTCCCTCCCAGACACAATTCCAGACTCTTCCCTCCCACCCCACCCCCCAAGCCCAGCTCCCTCTGAGACGGTGGGCACTGCTGGTTTCCCACCTGCGGGATGCCCGCTTCCCAGGCTCTTGGCAGGACCCCTCCCCTGCCAGCTCTTTCTTCTCCCTCTGCTCATGCTGCCCTTTTCTGTCCAGAGCCCTCCCGAGAATGGGCAATCCTTCCTGGCAGCAGTGGGATTCTTGGACTCTTAGGACCTGCCAGCTGTTTCTCTGGCCCCCACCAGCTGTTTCTCAGGCCCCCACATTCTTTATGGCGCCAAGCATTTGCATGTACACAATACCTGCTTAGGGGCTCACTCAGCTCTGTTAGGAGGTTTTCACCCTAATTAACAAATAAGAACACCATCCTGGAAAGAGCAGTGCACCTAGGCCCCAGTACTGGCTCTGCCATTGACTGACTTTGAACAAGTCTGTTCCTCCGCCAGGTATAGACTTGAGGTCTTTTCATGTTCTTTTCAGCTCTGACCTTTGCTCTGGCAGGTGGCTTATCAGCTGTGTGATTCCAATTATTGAGCCAAACCTGGATGTCAGAACATCCTGATGTTGTCTCAGGTCTGCTACTTGTAGGCTATGTGGACTTGGGGGAGTCATGTCACCTCCATGGACTCAGAACTGTCTCCCTGAAGTGCACTCACTACATGACTGCCATTAGGAGCAAATAAAATAGAGAAGGTAAACGTGCCCTGTCAACTGGAAAGTTCCACATAGAACAAGGAATTATTATCATCATCATTATTTTTATTACTTTTTTTTTTTTTATGGAGTCTCGCTCTGTCACCCAGGCTGGAGTGCAATGGCACAATCTCTGCTCACTGGAACCTCTACCTCCCGGGTTCAAGCGATTCTTGAGCCTCAGCCTCCTGAGTAGCTGGGATTACAGGTGCCCGCCAGGACGCCCGGCTAATTTTTGTGTTTTTAGTGGAGACAAGGTTTCACAATGTTGGCCAGGCTGGTCTTGAACTCCTGACTTCATGATTTACCCACCTCGGCCTCCCAAAATGCAGGGATTACAGGCATGGGCCAAGGTGCCTGGCTGATTATTATTACTCTTTTTTTATGGCCGAAAGACTTGAGCCAGGACTGGAGCATCAACCTCCAGAACCTCTCATTTGAAGTCAACTTGAGCTTAGATCTGCCAGCTGTGTTATTTTTACTTTACATGGCTTTCAAGAGTTTCTGAAGTGCAGCACACACATGCAAACACATACCAGATGCCTCCTTCGTTTCTAGACCCAAGTTTCTATCTGGTATCAGGTGCCTTTAACTTGCTTCTACTCAGATCACTGACTGAAATTAAAGCTACCTGGTGAAGTAGCAGGACTGGGCCATTAACCACTGGCCCAGCAGCTGGGAGTGATGGACTTTCCGTGAAGGTGAGCTCAGGAGTACCGAGCTCGCACAATGAGCAGGAGTCAGCCCGGGGCTGTCGGTGAATCATTGGCCTACGGCTCACGCATCTAGGAAAATCTTTTGAAGCACAGCAAAGTAAAGAGAGAAATTCCTAGACTTAATGCCATCTTCTTGTGGACAGAAGCCTTTAGAGATCCCTCACTTTGCTCTGATCGTCTTTCATAACTTAAGAGTACCCTTTTGATGTCTCTCAGCCCCAGGACTGTTAGAAGGCTTTGTAAAGTGCAAAGAGCCAAACAGCTAATATGCCACCTGCCAGAGGAGGAGGCTGGGCTGGGAGGTCTCTCTAGGTGCCCTTCCAGCTCTATCAGCCTGGGTTGTGAATCCTCACAAAAGGGGAAACCACTGCTGATGGCTTCAGCGAGATTAGGAAAGGAGTGAAATGGAGAAATAGTATCCAGGGACAATCTCAGCTTCTTAATGTTCTCCAAATGCATGAAGTGACCCTTGCCCCACTAGCTGGGAGCCAGAACGTGTCATCTCAGTTGGTGGATGGATCTCAGCAGTCCTGTTTTTCTCATTGATGTACTGAGTGCTCAACGTATCCCGGGCACTTTTCTGAGTGTTTTATGTATATCACCTCCCATCCTATTTACAACAGTTCTGTAATATAAATAGGATTATTTTCACTATTTTACATATGAGAAAAACTATATACAGAGAATATTAGTTTCCTAGGACTTCTGTAATAAATGTCCACAAACTAGGTGGCTGTTTAAGTTGTTAAATTTCTTAACAACAGAAATTTGTTCTCACGCAGTTCTGGAGGTGAAAAGTCTGAAATCAAGGTGTCTGCAGGACCATGCTCCTTCTGAGGGCTCCAGAGGGGGATCCTTCCTTGCCTATTCTAGCTTTCTAGAATAGGCAGTTGTAGGCGGGCCGTCTTTGGCACTCCTTGGCTAGTGGCAGCATAACTCTAATCTCTGCCTCTGTCTTCACATGGCTGTCATCCCTCTGTGTGTGTCTCTGTGTCCAAACTTCCCTCTTCTTATAAGGATATCAGTCATTGGGTTAGGGTCCACTCTAACCCTTTGTAGTGTCATCTTAACTTGATTACATCTGCAAAGACCTGTTTCCATATAAGGTCACATGCAGAGAAACAGGGGTTAGGACTTGAACATGTATTCTAGGGGGACACAATTCACCCTACAGTACAGAGAGTTTAAGTAATTTTTCCAACATCTAATCATTGGAGAAGATCATATAAAAATGAGATGCCCCAATAAGTAAGGCGTTGCATCCTAAAGAAACAGAAAACCTAACAAATTGAAAACAATTCACAATTTGACTCACTCTTGAGAAGTCAACAAAGGGCACAGATGTTCTTATTGCAACCTTTCTTGAACATCTAAGATCTGTCTTTCTTCTCTTTTTCTGTCTCTCTCCCTTTCCTGTCCTTTAGGTCTTCATGAACTCTGGACTAAGAAACTCTTCTCTCTCCCCTTAGCCATCCACTTACACCCACCTACTCACTCCTTGGACTTCACAGTCACAAAAACTGTCCCCTGACATGAGACCCTCCCTGCCATACGCTGCCATCTGTGAGTTTTAGGTATTCTGAGTTTCTTGATATTTTCTCAGAATTTTACTTTTCACCTTATTGTTTATGAAGCAAAGATCTCTTTTTCAACTCTGTTGCGACCCAAGGGCTAGAGAAATGAGAGGAGGTGACAGAGTGCTGAGGAGTTCCCACGCCATGTTCTGTGATGAAGGGAAGACAAGGGGGGAGGAGGGTGATAGCAGATGAATGACCCTGCACTTCCAGGCTAGTTAAGTTGCCCTTCCTGTGTGCTCCCCTTGTTTGTTGACTGGAATTAACCAATTTTATACCATGGGGTGGAAGCTAGAGGGAAGCAGCTTTGAGCTCAAGTTTCTTTTTAAATGTAAAAAGAGAAGAAAAAGAAAAATTACCTATAGTTCCACTAACCATTGCTAACAGTTACTCTAATTCCTTCTACTTTTTATTTTCAATGCGTACTTTCAACATAGGTATAATTATACCATATATACTATTTTTTCTGCTTTTTCACTTAATATTGCCTCCTAAGAATATTTCCATATTGCTATAAACCCTCGATTAATGTGATAATTAATGGCTGCCTTGTATTTAGAAGTTAATGCTAACTTATTTCTCTAGAAAAGGATATTTACAGTTATTTCTAATATTCTAATATCATATGACTGCTATAAATATCTTTGTTTATAAAAGTTTTTTTCCACATTTGGAATATTTTTCCCTAGGTTATATTCCCAGATATGGAACCAACAGATAACTTTCAAAGTCAAGGATAATCCAAAACAGCCTGATCTATCTTGGAAGATACTGAGTTTCTCATCCCTGCAGCTGATAGTGAAAAGGTGGTATGATATTTGCTAAGGGTGTGGTAAAAAGATAATAAGTTAGACTAGGTGACTTTTGAGGCCCCAGAAACCCATGAGATTGTGGTTCTCCAAATTTCAATTTACAAACGTGAGCCTATTCTTTGTCCCAAATCACTTTCTTACTTGCTATAAAAGTTATCTATTGCTGTGTGATAAACCACTCCAACACTTAGCAGCTAAAACAATATCCATTTTGTTTGCTTATGATTCTGTGGTCAGGCGTTTGAGCTGGGCCCAATGAGATGGTCCTTTTGCTGGATTAGCCTGAGGTCCTTCATGCAGCTACAGTTGTTCAGAGGCATGTCTGAAGGTCATCTTTGGCCTTAGTTTCTCATCTGGTAGCTGATAGTGAATGCCAGTGAATTGGTCTAGACATTTTAATCAGATGGTTCATCTCTGCCCTATGTGGCCGCTGAGCCCTATGGCCTCACAGGGCTTCTTCACACAGTTGCCTCAGGGCAGTATTCCACATGTGAAAGTGTTAAAGAAAAAATTATTCAATGACACTTGTTAAAGTGTGGTAAGGCAGACTTTATTCAGGACAGGGATGAAAAGGATAGGGACCACGGCATGGGATTTTTGCAGTGAGGGAGAGAGATTGGGCTCTATTTTGAGTATAGCATGGGCAAGTGGGGATTTATAGCCAGGGAGCATGGTGGTGGTCAGTGGATGTTAAATTACTAATGGGAAACATCAGGGGTAAGAGGGGTTCTAGCTAAAATGACCTAACAGGATTCTTGCTGGTGACAGGCCAAGATGATCAGACAGCACCCGTGGGGATGGTGGAGGATGAAGATCCCAATTGGAACTCTAGGGTGAAAAGATTTCAGGGATGGGGCGTTCTTGCTGCACTGATTCAGCAAAGATTTTGCTAAAACTGAGTTTTACAAGGAAGTGCACAGATGAGTTGAGGAGACGTTTCAGAAGCCTGACTAAAATTTGGCTAAGCAAAGAATCTTTGTTAATAGCTGCAAGGTCCCTTGAGGCCTAAATTTGGAAATAGTATACTGCTTTTAACGCATCGTATACTTGTTGTCAGACCAAGTTAGGCCAATCAATGAGCAGTGAAGTTACATTGCAGAATTATCTGTGTGCAGAAATGGAAGAAAGTATTGTGAATAATTTTTGCAAACAATGTATTATTATCTATCTTAGGGACAAAATAATTCTTGTCCTTTGCATATGTGAAATGTGCTTTTGCCCCTTCTCTCAAAGTTTTATCCCATTAGCCGTTCAGGCTTGAACTCCAGGACCTCATGATCTAAATCATGTCTAGAATTAGATGACACACAAAGGTATAGCTCTTGAAGTATATCTCTTCTTGATCTAGAGATCTCTGAACCCAAAAGAAAAGTTATTTGCTCTCCACATGCTCAATATCTCCTTGTCTTGGTGAGAGAAGAATAAGATAACCACAATAGAATTTCCATTGAAAAATGGAAAAAATGAGAGGCATATAGCAATTACTGCTCCATAGTAATTCTGAAATTTAGCCAGGCACATGTTGCCAACTCCAGATACCAAGAATGTTCCTTGATTAGAGCCCAGTTCTGCTTCCTTGGAGGGGTGAGAGTGGATCCCCAGTCCATTGCTCTCTGGGAGTGGTGAGAGTGGCTCTTGCCTCTGATCTTGACTCTGCCTCTGGCTTCTTAGCTTTGTCTTCTGAGACATTCTTTCCTTTCTGTAAGAAATGGCCCATGTTTGTAGCTGAGTAGTCTATTCAGTTCGCTTTCTGTACATAGAAACCTGAGGCTCAGGAGCCTCTTTTCATTTTGAATTGCCACAGTCATTTCTAGTCCAAGCGGATATAGCTCCCTTAAAATCTTTTTGGGTCTCCAATGTAGCAGAATATAGTTCACTCCACTAGATGAAAAACATATCCACAATTCTTTTCAAAATAGGTCTTCCTACTTTGAAGGGCATGTCAGGGTGCTACAGAATAATGCTCTTAAGATTCTTAGGTGCCTTGTGGTCTGGCTGATAGGGAGTACTGGGTACTGCCTTAAATCTTCTAGGTCTTAACAAATGATTCTTACAGTCACACCATTGATTTGACATTTACCCTGAAGCCATTTTTGGTTTTAAAATCTTTTTTTTTTTTTTTTTGAGACAGTGTCTTGCTCTGTTGCCCAGGCTGGAATGCAATGGCATGATCTCAGCTCACTGCAACCTCCGCCTCCCAGGTTCAAGCAATTCCTCTGCCTCAGCCTCCTGAGTAGCTGGGACTACAGGCACACACCACCACGCCCAGCTAATTTTTGTATTTTTGGTAGAGATGGGGCTTCACTATGTTGGCCAGCCTGGTCTCGAACTCCTGACCTTGTTATCCACCCACCTTGGCCTCCCAAAGTACTGGGATTACAGGCGTAAGCCACCACACCCGGCCTTAAAATCTTTTACTAGTGGATAAACTGTTTTCCAACCCAGCTAGTTCTGGGCCCTCTATATTTCCTCTAAGTTCTGCTCACATATTGAAGACTTACTTCTTCCTGAAGTACATTGCCATACACAACCAGAAGTACACACTGACACTTTCAACATTCTGTCTAGAGATCTCCTTAGCCAGATATGCAAGTTCACTACATACAGTCCTTCCTTTCTTTTCTTTTCTTTTCTTTTCTATTTTCTTTTCTTTTCTTTTCTTTCTTTCTTCCTCTCTTTCTTTCTTTCTTTTTCATAGACAGAGTCTCGCTCTGTCCTCTGTTGCCCAGGCTGGAGTGTAGTGGCATGATCGTGGCTCACTGCAGCTTCAACCTCCCAAGCTCAAGTGATCCTCCCACCCCAGCCTCCAGGGTAGCTGGGACTACAGGCACATGCCGCACCACCACACCTGGCTAATTTTTGTATTTTTTGTAGAGACAGGGTCTTGCTATGATGCCCAGGCTGGTGTTGAACTCCTGGGCTCAAGTGATCCTCTCACCTTGGCCTCCCAAATTTCTGAGATTACAGGTATGAGGCATCACACCTTGCCCATTACATACATTTTTCTACCTTCTAAGTTGCCGCAGACAAGTTTTGCCAATTGATTCACCATTGCATTATTCAAGTGGTCTGTTTTAGACTCCTATAGCAGTCTCTTCACTGTTTTTCTAGAATTTACTTGCTAGCCAATCCTAAAACTGAAGCCACATATTCTAGTTTTTTGTTACTGCAGCATTCTACTTCTGGTATCAATAACTATTTCAGTCAGACTTCAATCAGGAAAGCAAAGTCTTTATGAGTAATGTGAGATAATGAATATTTATGGGTATTAGAACTCGTAATTATAGAAGGAGCTGGGCAAGTAAAAGTTGGAAATGGGGATTTAAAGGATTAGAGAAAAGGTCACCAAGCAGTTCTCTTAAAGCCCTGGCATGGGTGGAAATATTGGCATCTGCAAGGGAATCTGATAAGTCAATTCTACCTAAGGGGCCAAAGTGCAACAATGAAGGGGAGGCTCATGGAAAAGGGTCTCTGAGAAGCTGTTGGCTGTAAGCAGCTACCACCTCTGTGGTTTCACCTGAAAGTATCTGATGATAGGCATGGGCCACTGTTGGTCATCAGAGCCAGTAGTTATAAAGAGCCGGGTGCAGAGTAGAGGAACGTGAGAGCAAGTGAGGATGTGTTGGACACATCTACACATTTCTTTCTCTGTATGTGATTACAAAACAGCCTTCAGTGAGTAATGACTATTGCCTTTCAAACTTGCACAAATTCCTCTTTTGGCCAACTCTAATCTAGAACTATACAGGGAAAGAAAGTCTGGGGAACGTAGCTCCCAGATTAACTAAACTGGCAACAGGGTAATCCAGCATACTCCCTAAATGTCTGCCTAAATTAAGTCTGCAATGCTCCTCAAGGGCCCTGAGCAGATTTCAGAAAGGCTCCAGGAGATAGCTCGGGAACATTGACAAACAAAGTCATGAGGCATTTGGGTTATAAGACAGCCTTTGTTTATTTGCCTAATGTCTTGAGGAGCACTGGCTAGGGAATCAGGATGCTGCAATTGTGGACCTGGATCCACCACTCACTAGATTCATTTATCATGAGATTCATTCACCACTCACTAGATTCACCAGTCACCTTGCCCAATTTGTTCAAATTATCTGGGCTTCAATTTCCTCATCTATAAAAGGAGAGCAATCCCCCCTGGGCTGCTTTCTCTATACATTGCTTTGAGGAGCCAGTTGGTAGCTGTCAATGCATTTGTTTAGCTGATGTAATGAATTTATGGACATGCAGAGAGCAGCCATACATAGCGAGAGTAGCTGTCCTTCCCTAGAGTAGCTGTTCTTCCATAGAGTAGCTGTCTTCCCATAGAGTAGCTGTTCTTCCATAGAGTAGCTGTCCTTCCACAGAAATTTGGCCAATCCCAGCTGCCCTGCCATAGTTTTGCCTAGCAGGTTTGTGCTGTTTCTGCTGAGGTAGAAAACTCATAGAAACCAAAGCCTCTTGGCTTCTCCTTATCAGATGTGCCTTCCCAGCTCTCTGTCCTTAACAGAGCCCCTTTCTGACGCCAGGTAATGGGTAGTGGGGAGGAGCAGCTGAGATTTGAATACCCCAGGCCTTCACTATTTCCTCTCCCTACATACTCTACCCACCCCCTACCCTCCATCTATGATTTCTACCTGCCTACATTCTATTCACGTTTCAGTCTCCAGCTCAAAGATTATTCTCTTCTTCCTAAATGTTTTCTGATTTCCCTCAGCTGGATTCAATCTTTTCCATTCCTTAAACCCCCAGGGCAGCCCATCTTTGATTGCATTTACGATACCCTGAGAATACCCCAACACATATACCTTTGAGTACTTATCTTATTCTTCTACCAAGTGTCACATTCCTAGAGGCAGGGAACTTGCTTATTGAGCTCGTATAACAAATAAATAATTTTTGGCACCCTTCACATTAAAGTGTAGACAGAACTTAGTACACACATATTTGGTGAATTGAGTTGAAAGAAAACAAATTGAGGACATACAGCCACATGTTGGTGTCCTAAATAACAATAGTCTCTAAGGACATAGTCGCCCACAAGAAGAAATAGAAAAATGAAGAGTTTATTATTCGCAGCCACATGGGTCTCCATTATTATGAATGTTTTGTCTTCACTTGATAAGGTCCCTCCATCATGTTGATATGATGACCTCTGAGAGGGGACAGTCCAAATAGAAGCTAGGTCTCAATCTGCCTATACTCAGAGGTAAATGATCTTTATAGAACTCCATATTCCACAGCACAGGATGCAAATATTAACCGGGACCAGTGACCCCTCTGTTTAGGTTATGACTGGAGCTGTCACTGAGCCACATCCTCTCTAAGAGACAGTCCATGCACCCAAGATAAGGTTTCAAGAGGCCTTTGAGCCAGGAAAATTGTTTGGCCAAGTGTCTGTGTCTTTAGTCATGTACTCTCTGGGTTGGTGGGTTCTTTTCTCTCATCTCAGAATAGTTCCCAAAGCAAAACTGATATCAGAAAATGTTCATGTTATCTCTCCAGCCTTGAGCAAGTCACTTCCCCTCTCTTGACCTCTGTTTCCTATAGAAGGAGGCAGATAGAAATAGCTCTTAAAGGTCCCGCCCAGCTCTGATATTCCAGGACTCTATTCTGAGCTGCAGGCTGAATTCCCAGGGCCCCAGGCTACTGGCCTTCTCTTCTCTGCTTCTAAAAGGATGTATGGCTCAAATTTTCCCATGGGCCTCAGCTGGGGCATGCTTCCTGTTCTCTGGAATACTGTGGCTCTGCAGGTGATAACCATTTATCTGATTTATCTGCCATTATGAAAAGGTCCTTCAGCCCAGACGTTACAAGGAGGGAGGTCATTTATCACAGACCCTCAGTAGTATCTCCCTAATCCAAATGACCAGTGTGTTCACTTGAAAATGTTCATGTCCCAGTCACTGCAGAACCCAAGAGGCACTGGGGATACCAAGTTCCAGAAAGAAGCCTGTGTAGCTGGAACTATTAATGCCCAAGGCATGACTATTCATTATTAACAAATTCAAGTTCATCCGCAAGCAGTAATCCTGCATATGTTAAAACTCCTGCTTACCATCTTCTGGTTGGTTTATATAATATATGACTATGATGATTTGTTAGAACTGTGTTAGACTATGATGACTGCTATGTCTGGAATTGGAAAGGAATCTAGAGCTCAGCTAGTCCAAACCCCTGTTTTTACAAGTGGATAACTGAGAGCTAGAAAGGAGATGGCCCAAAATGCAGAATACGGCAGTGTCAGGAACAGGACCCAGGACCTCCAACTGCCAGGTTCCTGTATATCGTATTACTCCAAAGCAGAGGTCACCAAGATGGTGTACTCTAGTTCATGCAGTTACTCACAGAAGAATCCCTTTCCCAGGCCCTCATTCTAAATCTATTTAGCTTTTTTTTATTAAGTTCTAGCAAAAGCAGTTAACTGGTTTCTAATTCACAACATATTAAAAATAAGCAGACAGAAAAGTACAGTGAATAGGCTGATAAAAAGACAGGAAATAAAACATGACATAAAGAAGACTTCAGAAGTTCAAGGCTTTATAGTCCGGCAATGTTTAACGCCAGGTCAAGCGACATTACACAACTCAATATCCCCAAGATTATCACTTTAATATAGTATCACAATGGTTGACATTCATAACAATGTCCCTGGATCACCAAGAAAGGGTTAGCATGTTTCACTTGAGAAAGTGGGTACTTCTTTAAAGTACTTTTTTTTTTTTAAGTGTTACACCAAAAAGAAAATTTTTAGTTATAGTTAGGTAAAGCTTTGGCTATCTGGAAAACTGAGTCAGATAAAATAACACAGCAGCTGGGAGGTTCAAGGAAGTGACATTTCAGCTGTGTGCAGATAGGCACATTCTATAGTAACAAGACTGGTGTGAGTTCGGCTGGTATCTGCAGAGAAGAGGAATAAATAGCAAAGCCATGATCTCATCTTCTGTTTACACTTCAATTCCCAAAGTTAGTGATTAATTGTACTTGCGTTTTGTTGCCAGGGCAAATTGTTTTTCTTTGAAACTCCCACTTATTTTAAATAAATAAACCATTAGTTTCAAAACAGGAGTGTCAAATGTCAAGATATTTCTGACATGCTAAGCTAACGAACAAAACAATGAATTCATTAGAAGCTACTAGAGATAGCCGCCTTTGAGAACTTTTCTCTAATGACTTTGAAAGGCAGCAGGAATCATTCTTGGTAAGAGATTTTTTTCATGCATCTTGGCTAAAATTTGGTCCAGAGGTTGCAAACACAAATACAACTTAAAAGAATTGGATTAGGTATAAGATAATCGAATAGATACGTCAAGAATTTATACTCAAATAAATATACCAACTAGCTATCATACGAAGCTTCCCAAACTCCTGTCTCACATAAAATCAGCTTTAAGCCACCAGTTTAGGATCTCTGCTTGGATCTCTGAATTCGCACAGGGCCTCTGGCTCTTCCAAAGAAGGGAATTCTTTTAGCAAACAGGCATGTTTTTTGCATCTAAGTCTTAACACAAACATGTACACACAGAGATACACACTCAAACTATTTTTGGGTGATTCCAATAAATAGTTTCTGTATTAAGACTGCCTATTAAACATTAGTTTTCATTACATGACTTTCCTGCTTAAAAGTTTTCAGTGTCTTCCACTTACTCACAGAATTAATGGCATTCAAGGTCAACCATAATTTTCTTTCCATGTATCCTTCCAAGTACATCTCCTCCTACAATCCCCACAGACTCCCTGGCTACTCACTGTTCACAGAATGGGGCTTGTACTTTCAGTTCTTGTAAACAAATGTTTATTGGATAACTATTATGTGCCAGGTCCTGTTCCATGCACTGAAGACACATCTATAAAGAAAATAAAGTCCTTCTCTCCTGTAGCTTATATTCTAATGTGGATTGTTTGCCTGCTTTGAGTGCATATGCAGTGCTTCTGCTTGTGTGAAAGCATTTGTCACACTGTGTAATACCTGCCTGTGTCTGTGTTCCTCAATCTCAACACTGCTATTGTGTGCACAGCACTGTGTCTATCTCTCATCACCTCCATCTCATGCTTTGCTCGGCAGTAGGCACACACTGGATACTCAATGAATGACTTATATTGTGTATACAGTTTCCATTCTTTGGAAATGTGGTAAGTTCCTGTTGTGCAGAGAATCTGTCTGCGAGGTTATCTAACTTTTTAAAACTTTCATATTGAGTTATTTTTAATAAATAAGCTGCTTGGTTATTGACAGCAACAACAAATATCAAGCTACTTCTAATGGAACTAAATAAGACGAATGAAACTGATCAGATGTCCACATTGAATTAACTTGTAATGCGTCTTTTCTCAAGAATCCTTAACCTCCTTTCTTTGGGTTTCTCAGGCTGACTAGCCTACTCTTGGGTGGCCCCTTCCTTTTTCTTTCTAAAGATAAGGAAAGAAGCCTAGCTGGGAAACTGCTCATCTTGTTCCCTTTCTCTTTGACCTCAAAGGTAGAAACTGAGGACCAGGTGCTGGCAACCTTCTGTGGCAGGGAGACCACAGACACAGAGCAGACTCCCGGCCAGGAGGTGGTCCTCTCCCCTGGCTCCTTCATGTCCATCACTTTCCGGTCAGATTTCTCCAATGAGGAGCGTTTCACAGGCTTTGATGCCCACTACATGGCTGTGGGTAAGTTGGAGAAGTGACTCATCCTCAGGTCTCTCTCTCTCTCTCCGAAGATGAAAACTGCCTTGTGACCTCTCCTTTACGATGGAAATCTGTGTGTGCACCACATAGATTTTACCATTAATGTCTTAATGCATTTGCTCTATCACGTATCTATCCATCTATCTACCCTCTATCCATCCAGCAATTCATCTTTTACAAAGTGTTTTAACGTAAATTGCAGACATCAGTATACTTCTTCCTAAATAATTCAGCATGCATATTATTTTGCTAGAGTTTCATATTTGTTCACAGCATTTTTTCTTTTTGTGTAAAATTGACATAAAATGGAATATACATATCTCATGTATACATTTGTTGAATTTTGAAAAATCTGTATTTGTGTGTAACCCAAACCTCTAACAAGACACTGAACTTTACCACCAGCCCAGGGGGTTCCTTTGTGTCCCTGCCAGTCAATCTCTGCTCCCACTTCCCTTAGAGGAAACAACTGTTTTGATTTTTTTTCTGCTGTAGATTAGTTCTTGCCTCTTCTAAAACTTCATTTAAATGAAAACATACAGAATACATTTTGGGGGTGAGGATTCTTTTACTCAGCATAATGTTTTTGAAGTTAATTCATGTGTCGCATGCATCAGTAATTTGCTCCTTTTCCTGGCAGAGTAATTTTCCATTGTATGAATATACTAAAGTATGTTTACTCATTCTCTTATTGACGGCTACTTGGAATCTCCCCATTTTTTAGCTCTCACTAACAAAGTTTTTATGAACCTTCTTGTGCAAGTCTTCTTGCAAACATATGTTTTCAATTCTATTGAGTAAATATGTAAGAGAAGAATTGCTGAGTCATAGGATAGGTATACGTTTAGCTTTATGAGACATTGCCAGACCTTTTCCAAAGCAAATGTAACATTTTTTATCTGTCCACCAATGTATGAGAGTTCTGGCTGCTCCACATCTAAACCAACATTAGATGTTGTCAATTTTTAAAAATTTTAATCACTCTGGTGAGTATGTAGTGGTACCTCATTGTGGTTTAAACTGCATTCCCTTAATGACTAGCAATGTTGAACATCTTTTCATGTGCTTGTTGGCCATTGGTTTATCCCTTTTGGGGAAATGTACATTCAAATGCCTAGGACAGGGCTTGACCCACATTAGGGGCAGAAAGAAAGAAAGAGGTAGCATGAGGTAGAAGTTAAGAGCACAAGCTCTGTACCCAGCTTGTCTGTATTTAAATCCTGGGTCTGCCACTTATTATCTGTGTGATTCTAAGTTTGTTAATGCCTCTATGTCGCCATTTCATCCTCCATAGAATGTGACTAGTAACAGAATGCATAGTAACAAATGTGTAATTCTTCCTGAGGTTGTTGTCCCACACACAGTTATTATTATAACTGTTAGAGGATAGTGGTCCCACCAGAAGTCAAGTTACCTGGGTTTGAACTTGGCTTTTTGTGACCTTGGGTAAGTTGCCTAACCTCTCTGAGTTCCAGTTTCCTAGTCTGTAAAGTGAAGATAATGGCTACCTCTGGGCTGTATGAGAGGATTAAATGAGAGAACGCATGAATCTCCTAACATAGTGAGTGGCCCATATCAAGTGCTCTATAAATGTTGGCTGTAGTCTTCATCATCATGCATGTATTGATGGAGAGGCTTTACCTGCCCTACAGATGTGGACGAGTGCAAGGAGAGGGAGGACGAGGAGCTGTCCTGTGACCACTACTGCCACAACTACATTGGCGGCTACTACTGCTCCTGCCGCTTCGGCTACATCCTCCACACAGACAACAGGACCTGCCGAGGTAGAGCCTACCAATGATTGTATGCATTGCCCTTATAGGCCACATCCTCAATAACATTAGATGAGGCTCAGAGAAAGACAGATATGCAATAGGAACAAGTAAAAATGAAGTCAATGATGCACCTCAGACACCACATGGATGAAGATGCAGAAATGCCCACCCAGCCTGGAAACCTGATCTTGGGTTCCCAAAGGAGAGAAGCTCTAGACTATTTGGCCATCTTTCTTTCTGGGGCAGCATTTTTCACTATACAGGTTGCTGTCTCCTATCCTATTGTAGGCAATTGGTCTGGTCAAGTTAGGGGAAAACTTGGGTTTCCCAGTTCCTTCTCTTTGAGCCACGAATTATGCTTTACCCAGCAACTCCTTTTCTCTTCTTTTCCATGGCCCCTAAGTTCCTCTACAATAGAGAGACCTCAGTCCAAAGCAAAGAAGTGAGAGAGGAAAGAGGCAAACAGAAACAGCCAGAAAACTTCCCATTCCTTCTATCTATCTTTGTTTTCATCTATCATCAACGTACCTACTATGCTATAGTCTCGTGCTTAGGGAGGGATGGAGAAATGGAAGGGTTTAGCCACTTTCTAGGAGGAGCTCTTGGGCTAGTGGGGTAATGGGCATGTAAGCAAATGGTGAAGTGTCTTATGGTCTCCATTTTAACATTAATGTTTCCATTACATTTATGTAATGGAAGTATGGACATAGCACAATCAGACCTGTGCAGGCAAACACTTCCCAGAGTTGTGACCCTTGACAGAGATGAAAGAATAAAGAGAAGAAGGGCCTTCCAGGCAGAGAGAAGAGCTTCTGCAAACAGTCAGAAGTGTGGTAGAACTTGGAATGTTTCAGGGAACAGTCAATAGATTAGTGTGGTCCAGGATAAGCATCTGTGCTTGAAATCTCACTTGGAAGCTGAGTGAGGGATCACTGGGGGAGCACAAGTCTGGAGACAAAAGTTTTTTTCTTCCTCCTTCAAAACCTGCTATTTGCTTCTGAATAAAACCCTATATAACACATCAGTATAAAGCAATCCAAAACCAAAAGAACAGGCACGTGCAGGATTTTTCTTAAAGAGTGTATATTTTCTATTTTTTTATTCGGTTAAGTTCTTCTTGAGTATCTACTATGTGTTCAGTACAGTCAGGGCCAAGAATGCTTAGGGCAGAGCAAGGTTTCTCACTCATTTTCTTCATTTTCACCCTTCACCAGGAGCTTTTTTAAATATAATTTTCCTAAGGCCCCCACCATGAAATTTTAATATCACAGATAGACTATATATCTGTTTATGTACTGTATGTCCATCTGTGTATTGTGCATTTAAAAAGCAAGACCTTCCCCACCAAGAAGGAATTTTAGCTTTCTTGAGGGCAAGATCGCCCCCATGAGAATGCTTGGGGTAAAAAATGAAAACAGTCAGGAACTCAGGAGACTTCCATCTTCACCTTGTCCTGCAGCTCATAGCTGTGAAACTTTAAGATAGTCAAGACCCCTTTTTCAGAACTACAGTTTTCTCATTTGCAAATAAGCAGAATGAACAAGGGCGTAGAAACATTGACATCCCAGATCTAGGATGAACTGGCCCAAGGGTAAAGACTTAGTGACACATAAATGTTCCTTAGCAGGGCTAAAGTCACGTCTGGGTTCCCAGGACAGTGGATTCTCGCGTGCAGTAAATGCAGTGGGGAACGAAGCAGAATTCCTGCACTCACAGAACTTACAGTCTACTGGGAGCAAGAAAATCAATATAGGGAGCTGTTAAAAGAAAAACTTCAGACAAATTAAATTTAACAGAGTTTAACTGAGCAAAGAACAATTTGAGAATCCTCCCCTGCACCCACCCTACCACCACCAGAATATGTTCAGAGCAACTCCAGGGTTGCTCATGCTGGATAATATTTATGGGAAGTAGAAGGAAAGTGATGGACAGAAAATGGAAGTCAGGTACAGAAACAGCCAAATTACTTACAGCTTGGTATTTGCCTTGTTTGAAGGCAGTTTGAACAGATGGCCACCCGTGACTGGCCAAAACTCTGTGATTGGTACTGTTAACTTAAAAATCAAGATTACAAATCTGTAAGTTTAGAAAAAGAGAGGAGATTTTATTCCTTATGAAGGGTTACAGCAGGTGGCCGTCCTCATAGTCTGGGAAGCACCACCTCCAGCCAAGACCAGAGACAGGCACTTAAAAGGAGGAGGGGTTGAGATAGGAGCTTTATGCTGAACAGGTTGGCTAAACATACATATTCAACAGGTTATAGGAGGAGCTGTGAATATTCATAAGAGTGGTCCTGACACATGCATATTAAACAAATATGTATGCAACACATGACCCATGTTCACTTTGGGATGGAGACTTCACATTAAATGTATTACAGTTAGGGTCTAAACGTCCTTTCAGGATGGGAGACATTCAGGTGTGCAGCCTCTGTAAACTGGCGAGAACCAGGCCATGGTCAGAAGTCTCTTATCAAAAGAAAGTGACTGAAATCAATGTCTTGTCCATTCAAAGCTACAGTTATGGCTGGTGGAACAGGGTGGGGATCAGACAGTCAGCATCTGGTAGAGCTGAAAATTGTTTTCATATCACTTACCACAAGGCCAGTACTTGTTCAGCTGCTGGAGAAAAAGAAAAACTTTGTAGCATCGTTAGAACATAGTTTATGCTTTCAGTGTAGGGATGCGTGACTTAACCCTTGCCTGGCATGGCCTTAGTTCCTTCATCATTTATAATTTGGTATTTTATTTCCACAAGGAGTCTGTTTTCTCACTCTCATGATCTCTATTTAACATTAATGTTGGTCAGTTGTTGTGTCCAAACTGCAGAGAAAAGGGGATATAGAAGGAGTGTCTAACCTACCACTCCATCATGGCCAGGAATTCCGTTTTAAGGTTTTTCTGGAGATCCTTTGCCACAGGGGGCCCATTAGGTCAGTGGAGGGCTTAGGATTTTATTTTTAGTTTACAGTAAGACAGTAGATTACAGTCTACTTAAAAATCCAGTTAGGTTGCAGTTCACCATGTACGCAGAACCCTTCAGGCTGAATTTAAAATATGTAAGGAGGCCGGGCGAGGTGGCTCACACCTGTAATCTCAGCACTTTGGGAGGCCAAGGCAGGAAGATGGCTTGAGTCTAGGAATTTGAGATCAGCCTAGGCAACATAGCAAGACCCCATCTCTACAAAAACTTCAAAAATCAGCCAGGTGTTATAGCACGTGCCTGTCGTCCCAGCTATTCAGGAGGCTGAGGTGGGAGGATCACTGGGAGAAGGTGGAGGTGGAGGTGGAGGCGAAGGTTGCAGTGGGCTGAGATGGCACCACTGCACTCCAACCTAGGTGACATAGTAAAGTTCTGTCTCAATAAAATAAAATAAAATAAAATAAGTAAGAAGGAAGCTTAAGGCTACATTTAGTTGAACAGAGTGAATAGCACTATAAAGAAAAACAAAACAAAGACAGGGGTTAGACAGTGAGGAGTGAGGGTGTGTGTCAAGGGCCTGTAGGAGATGAGGGATCTCCTGAAGTTCTGGGTACAGGGAGGACATGATCACAGAGGTCCAGGCATCCCCCTGACCACTCCATCTCAAAACCCTTCCCTCTCAGATCCCTCTCCCTGACCCCCATACCAGAGGATCTGATGAGAAGGATCTTCACACAGGGTAAACAGCCCTGGACAGACAATTAGAAAATCTGTGCTTGAATCTCAGCTCGGTAAATTACTAGACATGCGACCTTGAGCTTCATTTTTCCCATCTGTAAAATGGAGATGCCGATACCTTCCCTGTCTACTGCTTGGGACCATTGGGAAAATCATATAGTAACAGATAAGCCAGGCTTGCTATGGCTGTGGTTGCGATGCGCCATTTTCTCTATTATGTTTCCAACAGTGGAGTGCAGTGACAACCTCTTCACTCAAAGGACTGGGGTGATCACCAGCCCTGACTTCCCAAACCCTTACCCCAAGAGCTCTGAATGCCTGTATACCATCGAGCTGGAGGAGGGTTTCATGGTCAACCTGCAGTTTGAGGACATATTTGACATTGAGGACCATCCTGAGGTGCCCTGCCCCTATGACTACATCAAGGTGAGCCTGCAATGAACACTTGTCCTGGAGATGCTGGAAAATCTTGGCTGAGTTGGGAAAATTGATATTGCGGAACCTTCACCTTCTTCTCCCAGGATAGAGAGCCTAGCAGCTAGTTCCTCAAAAAGGCATTATTTAAAATAATATCTACCATCTTAGTTAGATCTATTCCAGGAATCTCTGATCCGAAATGACCCCACTGGCCACTAGGGTGGCTTGAGGAGGAGAGTCGTGAATCTGCATTTTAGAAAGGTCTCTGGCGGGCACGCCCAGCCTCATGAGCACGCCTCCCATGCCGTCACACAGGGCCCTGTGCACAGAAGGGCCTCATGCTTGGTTTAATAAACATATGAAACTATTTTTCTTCTGTTTATTTTTTTAACCTACTACCAAGGCAAAGAAGAATGTATGAAAATTTTAATTTGTTTTAAATAAGGGTCCCCGTATTTTCATTTTGCCCCAGACCTCACAAATTATGCTGCTGGGCCCACTTGCGGGAAGAGGCTATGTCAAAGGCAAATAAAGACGGAACAAATACCACAGGCAAATAACTACTCAACTTGTGGTTATTTCAATATTATAATTAAGAAGGAATGGCAGCCTGAATTTGAGCCATGGCTGGGATAATGGGGGAGATATTTTCGAGATATGTGGAAAGTAAAACCAGCAATTCTTATAGAGTGATCAGCCAAGACATCCAAGTAGAGCTGAATATTAGGGTCTAGCTCAGAAGAGACCCTGAGCTGGGGATAAAGATGGGTGCCATGAAATGTTTAAAGAGGTGCTGATTTAAACTGTGGAAATGGCGGGATGTCCTAGAAAAAAAAAAAGGAAGCTAGAACATAATAGATTATGAGACCTAGATGGAGGAAGAGGAACCCACAGAAGAGGTCAGAAAGAGCCAGAAAATGAGACTGCCCAGGAGAAAGCTGTCAACAGTGAGAGAGGCAGAAAAGCCTGAGAGGACACAGAAGAAAACTCTAGAACTTAGAGCCTGGGCTGTCCCCTACTTGTGTACAGAGGCTAAGAGGCAGCTTGACTGGAGGGGGTTAGCAGGAAGCATAGGCCACCGGTTTTCTATTTTGCTGTGTTAGCAAACTACCACAAACATAACAGCTTAAAACAATGCCAATTTCTTATCCCAGCATTGTGTCAGTCAGAAATCCCAGTGAGCACAATGGGGTTCTTTGTTCAGGGTCTCATGAAACTGAAATCAAGGTGTCAGCTGATGGAGCTCTTATCTAGAGGCTCTGGAGAAGAATCAACTTCCAAGATCATTTAAGTTGTTGGCAGAATTCAGTTCCTTGCAGATGTAAGACTAAAATCCCCTTCTTCTTCCTGGCTGTCAGCCAGTGGTGGCTCTCAGCTCTAGAAGTTGCGCTCAGATACTTTTACATTGGCCCCTGCCATCAGAGACAGTCCCTTCCATCAAATTCCTATTACACTTCAAATCTCCCTGACTTCTGCTGCTGCTACCAGCAGGAGGAAACTGTGTTGAATGGGCTCGTGTGATTGGGTTAGGCCCACCCAGATAATCTCCCTCACTTTAGGTCAACTAATGAATAACTTTAATACATCTGCAAAATCCCTTTTGCCATTTAACATAACATCATCACAAAGTAACACTAGGGGTGAAGGTCAGGAGGACCACCCTAGAATTCTGCCTGCCATGGTGTCCCAGAAGCTACACATGGGAGCCTCACCCAAGCACACAACCTCTTGGGGCTTCATTTGTTTCCCCTCTCCTCAATAAGGACAGGACAAAGATATCACTTGGGATTGCAGAAGTCACCAAATGATAGATAAGGAGTCATGGCCCTCAAAGATGGGGAAAAAACAGGTTAAAGACATGGAAAAGAACCAGGACTGAGAGGTGGGGAATCCGGATCAGATAATAGAGCCTATTGCCTTCTCTCCCCCACTGCCCCCAACCTCCTGCAAACTCATCACCTCCCTCCTGCTCAGCTGCAAAACTTCCCAACTGTTTTTTGTTTTGTTTTGTTTTTTTGCTTCCACTCTTGCCCTACACAATCTATTCTCCCATAGCATTGAGGGTGATCTTTATAAAAGCTAGATTCGATCGAGTTTGCACTTGAAATTAAACCTAAATCTCTCAACACAAAGTGGCGTTTGTCTGTTTTCCAACCTCATGCCACAGCACTCCCACTGCCCAGCCAGCCTGGATTCCTGCCTGTTCCTAACACTAGGCAAGCTCTTTCCCACCCTTGGCTTTGACCTTTACATATGCAGTTTTCTCTCCCTATAAAGTGTTCTTCCCTTCTCTTCAAATAGGCTCATACTCATCCTACATATCTCAGATCCCCAATGCTACCTCAGAGAAAGGCCTTCCTTGATTACCTAAAGTTATTATCTATTATATTACCATTATAGGAATGATTACTTCTATAGGTTACATAGATTTTACATCAATTATAAACATACAGCATATATTTCTTTTGTATATGCATATCATCTTGATTATTTTTATAACCCTTATGACAGCCTACAATTATTTTGTTTATTATTTCTTATTAGTCCCCCCAACTAGACTGCAGGTTCTTTGACAGCAGAGATCATCTCTGCTTTATGCACCAGACAGCACTCTGCCCTTCTCTGAGCCACAATACGTTCATCTTTAAGCAGAGGATTTTTTTTTAATTTTACTTTAAGTACTGGGATACATGTGCAGAACATGCAGGTTTGTTACATAGGTATACATGTGCCACGGTGGTTTGCTGCACCCATCAACCCGTCACCTAGGTTTTAAGCCCCACATGCATTAGGTACTTGTCCTAATGCACTCCCTCCCCTTGCCCCGCCACCCCCTGACAGGCCCTGGTGTGTGATCTTCCCCTCCCTGTGTCCATGTGTTCTCATTTTTCAACTCCCACTTATGAGTGAGAACATGCAGTGTTTGGTTTTCTGCTCCTGTGTTAGTTTGCTGAGAATGATGACTTCCGTCTTCATCCATGTCCCTGCAAAGGACATGAACTCATCCTTTTGTATGGATGCATAGTATTCCACAGTGTATATGTGCCACATCAATGCCAGTCTATCATTGATGGGCATTTGAGTTGGTTCTACACCTTCGCTATTGTAAATAGTTAAGTAGAGGATTATTAACCTGCCTTGTCCACGTCAAGAGCCATTGTAAATTATAAAAGAGAGAATGAAGATGAAACCATTTGGTGAATGGTAAGGCTCACTAAAAACCTAAGTGAATACCAAGGGTTCATATGGAAGCTTCCAGAAAACCCAGAGTGCAGTGGAGAGGTGTTACCTGCAGTGGCCATTTTGGCTGCTCAGATGGAACACTCTATTTCTCTCTCTCTCTCTCATATTTTGCAGATCAAAGTTGGTCCAAAAGTTTTGGGGCCTTTCTGTGGAGAGAAAGCCCCAGAACCCATCAGCACCCAGAGCCACAGTGTCCTGATCCTGTTCCATAGTGACAACTCGGGAGAGAACCGGGGCTGGAGGCTCTCATACAGGGCTGCAGGTAACCTCTTCCCTCCCAGGTCACACCGAGCTGCTGTGCTTAGCCCTTGCAGAGGCAGTGGCTGAGGGAGGAGGTGTGCAGGCTTGGATCTCCTCTGGAGACCTGATGGGACTCCCAGTTGAGCAGCTGGGGACCAAGGCACGTGCTTTCTCCTGACTCAGTTTTCCATCTATAAAATGGGGGCAAGGGCAACAATAATGTTGGGTGGACTAGACTGATGGTTTTCAAAACATGTACTTCAGTATCGCATAGAGAGATTAAAGAAAAAGAAATCTTGTTTCCTGAACTCTACCCCTCACACAGTGATTCAGTAGACTTGAGGAGGGCCTTTTCAGCTCCAGCCTTCTCCAAGTCTAGGGCTAGAATTTGGATGTGGGTTTCTAGCCCAGAATGTTTCATTATGGTGCTTTGCCTCCTTGTGGGCCCCCCATCAGCAAAGCCCATGGGTCTCATGCCCCCATCCCCCAAGTCAGCCAGTCCTGGCCCAAACCTTGATCGAGCCATTCAACCTGCAGTAACTGGTCTGTAGGAACCCAAGGAAGGAGAGGGTGAACATCAGTGACAAAAGATCGCAGCTGGGCATGACTAATCTAGTTCATAAACTAAAACTCTGGCCCTGCCTGCATTATCACATACACTGCTCAGATGCGGGAGAGTAGAGAAGATCTTAACAAAGGAGAGTTTGTCTCAGAAAAAGTGTCAGGGATAGGCCCAGGCCTGAAGAGCCTGTCAGATTTAGCCTTTCAAGGAGAGGACTCAGAGGCATATGATCACAGTCTTTCTAATGCTTTGAAGAAGGGCCTCGGGAAGAAAGAGCAATTTGGGTCATCCTTGGTGGCCCAAGAGGACAAATGAGTGAAAATTACAGGGGCGCAAATTTCAGTTAAGTAGGAATGCAGTGTTCATGTAATCAGCAGAGTCCGTGCCTGAAAGGTTAGGGAGGCATTGAGCTCCCTGTCACTGTGTCCCTGAGCTGCCATGCTTAGCCCTCCCAGGGGTGGTGGCTGAGGGAGGAAAGATGCAGGTAGTGGCTGAGGGAGGAGGGATGCAGGTTTGGACCTGGTGGGGCTCCTAGCTGAGCAGTCTGTTTGGCATCTACTGCGGAGGATATTTTAAGAGAAGCATCAGACAAGGATTGGATTTAATGACATTTAACATTCCTCCCAACCCTGTGTTTTAATGAAATCATCTGGTCAACCATTTCATTCTACAAGTAAGGACATGGTGGTCCAAGTTGGAAACTGCCCTATTCACGGTTCCAGAATTAGTCTCTTGCAGGGCTTGGAAGATCCATGCCTCCAATACCCAGTTCCATGTTTTATTCACCTTCATCAGGCCTTGCTTTCTAGGGACTGGCCCTTTAAGGTCAGAATTCTCTTTTCTCACCTGCTGTTCTTTCATTTGCTCCTCACCAGGAAATGAGTGCCCAGAGCTACAGCCTCCTGTCCATGGGAAAATCGAGCCCTCCCAAGCCAAGTATTTCTTCAAAGACCAAGTGCTCGTCAGCTGTGACACAGGCTACAAAGTGCTGAAGGTGCAGAGCCTTGCCTGGGAAAGGGGAGTGACCAGGCCACAGAAACTCTCGAAACCTGCCCCTCCCCAGGGCAGATGGGCTGCCAGAACTTGTCATAGTTCCAGCACAGAATTTCCTAGCTGCCCATCAACTTCTCAAATGCTCCAGAAATTCCAAAGCATGCGTCCCAGGCGGTCTCACACTCTGAAAGTGGCACAAAAGTTTGTTTTTTTTTTTTTTTTAATCAGAGCATGAGCTGGTTTGAATTTTTAAAATATGGATCCATACAGCTCTATAATCAAGGCTGAGAACTGTAACAAAGTTCATCGGGCTTATAGAGGGGAGTGGAGTGGGATACCAGGAAAGGAAGTAAACAGTTTAAAAGTAGCAAATGGGGCTGAGCATGGTGGCTCATGCCTGTAATCCCAGCACTTTGGGAGGCCCAGGCGGGTGGATCACCTGATCTCAGGAGTTTGAGACCAGCCTGGCAAATATGGCAAAACCCTATCTCTACTAAATAATACAAAAAATAGCCAGGTGTGGTGGCGGGCGCCTGTAATCCCAGCTACTTGGGAGGCTGAGGCAGGAGAATCACTTGAATCCAGGAGGCAGAGGTTGCAGTGAGCTGAGATCACGCCTTTGCACTCCAGCCTGGGTGACAAGAGCAAAACTCCATCTCAAAAAATAAAAAAAGGAACAGATGGGTTCCCCTCACTCTCCCACCCCCAGAAGCAGTAGTTCTAGGAATCACATGGTTCGCTTTAAAAAAATCACCTCCCAGCTCTCACTTGAGATCAGTTAAAGCAGACTTTTTGGGGCTGGGACCAGTGATTGGTGCAGCCAAGCTAGAGGACCATCGCTTTCAAGGAATGGTTCTCAAAGAGGGGTGTTCAGTTTCAGCATCACCGGGAACTTGTTAGAAATGCAAATGCTTGGGTAGGCCAGCCTCACTGAATCAGAAACTCTGGGGGAGAAGCCCAGCAGCCTATGTTTTAACAAGCTCTCTAGGAGATGCTGACCGCTTGCCCTGGTTTGAGAAGCACTGCTCTGAAAAAGGAGTCAATGCTTACCGTTTTCCCTTCAGAGATAGTTGCCCAAACCCCTTCTTGCACACAGCCCTTGCCCCTCTCCAGAGTATGAAAAGGAGGTATGAATTCAGCATGTATCTTTCCCCTACCTTCAAGCTCACCCTTGGAAGCCCATGGGTGGAAAATCTCAGTCGAGATCAAGACACGTGTGGAGCTTGAGTTGGTTTTGCTAGGAAAAAACCCCTGACACCACCCCCACCTCCTTCTTCCCACTCCCTTCTTCCTGTCTCTTCCCAGGATAATGTGGAGATGGACACATTCCAGATTGAGTGTCTGAAGGATGGGACGTGGAGTAACAAGATTCCCACCTGTAAAAGTAAGAAAGCCTAATGGGTTGTTATAAAGATACTGAGCTCCCCAGCACTGGCGGGATCCGAGCAGAGCATGCAAGGGTGAAAGCTTGGCAGGAGCACTCTAAGGGGGATGGGAGCAGGAATTTAACAGACACACAAGGGTTGGGAAAAAAAAGAGTATCAGTGCCCCTTTTGGCAATAAGATGTTTGAATCCCAAAAGAAACTTCTTGTGGGCCCAGTACTTTGTTAAATACCAATTTTACTTCAGCCCACGGATGGGTTGCCAGACTTACTAAAGGAATAGCACGTGTCCAGGTTCAAAACCAGCTTTGGCAATTGCTAATTCAGGAAACTAGTTTGGTGCTGGTGCCCAGAGCTGAGTGACCTTGCTAGTCTTCACATGGCCATCAGCCATATCCCCTTCATCTTCTGAGACAGCTCATGATTTAGGGCTGTGCAGGAAGGGCTGTGGGATCAGCACAGTGGGCCTGCATGAAGCAGAGGATACAGCTCTTCACTGGCTCCTGGGACCCAGAGTTCTTGCCTTGGCTCTGCCCCTAACCAACTCTGTGACTGTGAATAAGACCCTTCGCCTCAACTATAAAATAAGGAGTTTGGACTAGCTTTATATTTTAGAATATGTGCCAGTGGTTTTAAAATGATATAGTCTATATAAATCATCTACTGAGCTTTGTAAAAATACAGGCTTCCAACCCCTTCACCTCACCACCACCCCCTGCAACCACCCCTCAACACCCAGGTGATTTCAATGAAAGACTTATAAGGACCACAGTTTTAGAAACTTATTATGGCCAACATTGATGAGAGGAGGCACAGTGACAGAAATAGTCAGGGAAGGAAGGGAGAGAGAAGGGAGAATTTGCTTTACAATGGCTTGGTGAGGTCAAGAATTAGAGCCTGGCATGGTGGCTCACGCTGGTAATGCCAGCACTTTGGGAGGCAGAAGCAGGTGGATCACTTGAGTTCCGGAGTCCGAGACCAGCCTGGCCAACATGGTGAAACTCAGTCTCTACTAAAAATACAAAAATTAGCCAGGCATGGTGGCGCACGCCTGTAATCCCAGCTACTCGGGAGGCTGAGGCGGGAGAATTGCTGGAACCCAGGAGGCGGAGATTGCAGTGAGCCGAGATCGTGCCACTGCACTCCAGCCTGGGTGACAGAGCAAGACTCCATCTCAAAAAAGAAAAAACAAACAAACAAACAAAAACGAATTAGAGTTGGTCCCACCCATCTTCCTTTCATGAATTTTCATGCAAACTGGAGCGCTATCCTCTTCCCTTTCTCCTACATGGCCTTGATTCAGCAGGCAGACAAATCTCCTGCCATTGTCCCAAGGGGGACATTCCCTTAACGCAAATCCCAGGAAGAACTTTGAAGTAAAATACGATTGTTCTTTTCCTTTTCATATGATGAAATTTTTCCTTTTCATATGATGTAGCTGGAGTCAGAGCCTAGCATGGGGAAGGAGGGGGCATTTTATGACTTTAACAAAATGTTTCAAAAAATGTTGACTGGATGCCTGCACAGAGTTCCATAGGGAAGTCGGACGGAAAAGACAAGGTCCGGGCATGGCGGAACTCAAGTGGTGGTGGCCACAGCCACCACCTCCTCCAATCTGAGGCTCGAGGTGCAGTGCTGTGACTGGGTTCTAAGCAAAGCACTCTGCAGAACAAAGCAAGGGCCATGTTGAAGGAGAAGGTAAAGGAGGATATGGGGTGTCCTGGATAGAATCAGGCTTTGGAATTAGGAAGTTCTAGATACAAATGCAGACTCTACAAGCTGACAGTCCCTCTCAGCTGTAATCAGTGTATTCAGACTCTTTGGCCTCAGTTTCCTGCCCTCAAGATTGCTGTGGGGATTAACTGGGTTAATATACATACCATACCCATGGAGGGCCAGAAACATGCAAAAGATAAACGGACTCCTCCTGCCCCAACCCAATCCCCTCACTAGGAAGTGGTTTCATTTCTCTCATTCACATTTTTGGAAAGTAGGAAACATTAATAATTTTTCCCTGACTTACATTAGCATACAACAGAACACCCTGTCATTTTGTAGTAAAGAGAAACTGTTTCCCTGATATGACCCTATTCTCCCAAAATAGGCTGGATTAAGACTATTAGAATTCCCATTCAGTCATACCCAGCATCTTTGCTCACTCTGTAGGTATTTATTGAGCATCTCTCTGTACGAGGCACTGTGCTAGGTCCTAGGGGAGAGGCAAGGACAGGACTGAGGAGTCGAGAGTCCCCAGGCTTCTGGGGCTTACAAGTTCTATGTTTCTTAAAATTCGCTGATTAAAAATTTTAAAAAGATAGATATCACACCTGAAAGCAGTGGCCCCAGCTCTGTGCCATGGGATATCACAGGTCCTAAACAGTGATAGAGAAAGGGCTGGGGAGTGGCAGCTGGAATCTCTGCTTCCAGACAAGAGGGGTGCACTCTGTGGTAAAGAAACGTGCACTAGAAAAGAAGCTGGGAATTATGGGTCATTGTTCTGGCCCTGCCTCCACCTTGCTGTGGTGACCCCGGGACAAGCCCTGTTCTACTCTAAATGCTGTCAAGTGAGGGTTTGGACCAGATGCAGGCAAAGCTCCCTCCAGGGGCAGAATTTTATAATCCTCATGAGCCAGGATGTATGACTCTGCAAATTCTCAGAACGATACAAATTCCACAATCCCAAACTGTTCTTCACACTGGCTGTACCTAAACTATGCATTCTTAATCAATTCTGGTGGAGTAATTTCTGTATTTCCTGCATAAACTGTTTCTGCTTTGCTTGCTAATCTCTCTCTCTTTCTCTTCCTCTCTCTGCTTCCTTCCTCTGTATCTCTTGATCCCTCTTTGATCTTCACCATGGTGGCAGAAAATGAAATCGATCTGGAGAGCGAACTCAAGTCAGAGCAAGTGACAGAGTGAATGACGGGACCCCACACAATGCAGACATCCAGAAATGGATCACTCCCAAGACCCCTGGGGCCCAGAGCTGCACCACCCCTCCCCACCCACAACACCCCCGTGCCCCTTTCCATGTGGATTAGAATGGGTGCTGAACAACATGATCTCAGCAGTTGAAGCTGCTACGTGTGTGAAAGCAAATTCTCCACTTGAGGGTTTGCCCATCATTCAAACACTATTCCAGAAAATAATGAAAAAAAAATGTGGGATTTATTTTAGCACCTCTGAGTGGACTGTACTTTTCTCAACGGAAAAAAAAAATGCCCTTGGTCCTTGAGACAAAAGATTTAATATACAACCATGTGGCCTCAGGCTGACCAGATCAAAGTGGTTTCTAATCCATTCTACATGTCAAGTTTAAATGAACCAGACTGCCTGTGACTTTATGAATCTGAAGGTATTACCTGTTGCTGCTTTCTTAACCACCATGAGTAGGTAAAGCAAATAATAACTCACAGAGTGTGGATTTTTGAGAATCTGAATGTTTTCTCATTCACAAAAGTATCCCTTCTACCCCTATCTGGCGCAGGGCTGAAATGTCATCATTAGAGGTTCTGTCTTCTGGGGCTTACAAGTTCTATGTTTCTTAAAATTCGCTGATTAAAAATTTTAAAAAGATAGGATCACACCTGAAAGCAGTGGTCCCAGCTCTGTGCTGTGGGACATCACAGGTCCTAAACAGTGATAGAGAAAGGGCTGGGGAGTGGCAGCTGGAATCTCTGCTTCCGTCTGAACATCTGGACACACATGTCAGAGAATCTTTGCATTAAATGGACTGCCCGATCTATTTGGTGATTAAATGGCTGTGCGGTGAGGGGAGAACCCTGGGCAGTCTGGAGACTGAGGTGCCATTCTCGGCTAGAGACACCACCCAAAGAAGAGATGGGCTGGCTACTAAAGACAAGTGTCAGTTGAATAAATGTCTTTAAACCTACAACGTATTAACAGCATTCATACTCAGTGACATACAGGGCATCAGAATTTAAGAGGAAGATTTGATATGTACCCAAATAATTGTAATAGCTTTGATGCAGACAACATTAGATATATTCCATCAAAGAAACATGAGTGAAGAGTTCCAGAACAAGGAAGCAGCCCTGCCCAGTTAGAATTAGAAAGGCTTTCAAGAAGAAGGAGTGTTTCATCAGGACTTCAGGGTGGCCAGAGCATGGACACAGGGTGCCCCGTGCAGCAGGGATGGCACCAGAGAGGCCTGGGAGCAGGAGGCAGCAGGGGAGCACACTGAAGGAGCTGGTGTTCGGAGGGTGGGTGCACCAAGGGGAGGAAAGAAGATGAGGCCAGGGAGGGGGCTAGAGCCCAAACCCCCAGGCCTGAGTGCCAGGGTTAGCTGATTGCACATCGTTCTCTAGAAAGCCCCCCAGTACAGCAAAGCACACTTGGAACTGTAGGTCAAGAAATGTGTGTCTGGAGAAAAATAAGTGGCAACAAGAAATTACCATGGAGATAGGGTGTTGGGCGGTACCTCCAAGGCAAGGGGAAAGAGAAGGGTGTTTTGATTCCAGAGTGCGGAACTGGCCAGACAGGACTTTAGAGAAAAGGATAAAACCCTTCCTAAAGCAAAGAGCATAAGTCAACGGAGGAAGCAGGGTCTAGTGTGTGCTGATTGTGCCAGACAGAGCTGCTCAAGGCCTCTTGTGAGGGGTTAAGTCACTTCCATGTCCCAGAGAAACATGGCTTTTTCCCTGCCACTGTGGACTTGGGAAGAAAGTACGCCCCTCCACACTGCCAAGACCCTCTACCTTCCACTATTTATCACCCCCTCTACCTAGTTGTAGGGCCAGCTGTATCAGTGGGCAAAGTTACTTCTCTGAAGTGATGTGAAAGTAGGTCCTCCACCCAGAAAATATCTATCCGCCAGCATCAGCCACATAACAGGCTCCCAGGGGCCCGTCCATCTAGCCACACTAAAGCCAACCCTGGAATTCCTGAACTGGGCGGTCAGGTGGACCAAAGTTAAGGGAGATGAGTGATACCAATACCTAGGCACCAAGTCAATGGCATTTTCTGAAAAAGGAGGAAAAATCGGCTTTAACAGAAAATAAATTTAAAACTGTTCATAGTATTTAAATAATAAATATTATTGCCTCATTATCCTAGTGTTGAGCTGCACACATTTACCTCACAAAGTAGAAGAGCATCTGTACTTTTGGATCATCAAAACAAATGGAGATGATTTGTCCAGGGTGATTGGACTAGAGGCCAGGACAAAACCAGTTGTCTTGATTGGCCTTCTTAGTGGATAAGAAGTACCTATATTTACTCCCCTCCTTCATCTTTTCCTCCAACCCGGAGGGACTTGAAATTATTTGCATTTTGAGTGGACTCTCTAGCTAATCAAAAAGATGAATTTGGAGTCCTAAAGTTAAAATCACAATGTCTAAATGGCACTCAGGGATAAATTATATCTCACTGTTTCCCAAAATGACCAGGTAAAATTCAGGAGGACATGGAACTTTGGAAATTTTACCAGGGCTCTGGAAATTCTGACAGTTGATGTCCACCATTGGCCAGCTAGTACCTAGAATAGGCCATTTAACTGGAAAACAGATCCTTAAGAACCACTAGTTCCATTTACTAAAACAGCCCTGGGTTTGAGGTCAAATCTTGCTCTCATTCTGATAGTAACTTGCTGTATGTCCTTAGACGAGTCAAGTCTCCTCTCTGGGCTCATAGATAAAATAAAGAGGACATTCTAGATTGCCTACTTCAGGTTTCTTTCCAGCTGTGACATTCTATGATTCATCTATGATTCTTCGACTCTGGCATAGGCTGTTATACCTAAGATTAGGATTTCCTTAAGAATGAAAAGATTGACAAATTTGGGTCCAGAGCCTCTGATATGGCCATGAAAAGATGCCCTGACTCTCAGCTGACTCACACTGGGCTCCATCAGTGCTGACAACTCCCCTAAGACTGAGCTGGACTGGAAAGCTCCCCAAAGACCACCTCTGAGGAGCAGGCATCTTTATTCATGTCCTGTACTGGGAATTATGGCTCAAACATGCGGCCATCAACAATTATAGAAAATGAACAGGGGAAGACTGAAAGCTGATCCACCTCCAACCCTGCCTCCTGGCTTCTATGGCCAAGCAAGCTGCCTGTAGAGAGGCAGCAGGGTGGGGCTGTGTACTCATACAGGAGCTGGGTTTTTTTATTTTTTGTGCCAAACTCCAATGTGAGCACATTAGCTGCTGTTACTCAGCCTAGGATTGGGACTAGAAGAACAAAAGATTATTTAGTTTATGTCAGCTAGAGTTTTCTCACTAAGCCAAGGGCTTCATTCTTGGGCAGAAGAGGCAGAGAGGATTGCACAATAAAACTAGAAGTAAAAGAAAGAGGCCCTGGTGGGTAAAAGACTGGAGTCTGCTTAAACCTCAGTAGACCTTCCCCTACCCAAAATTGACACTGGGCAGGTGAGTTGACCACACAGTAGTACCATAATGAATGGAAGAGACCTCAAAAGCAGGACCATGGGTAGCTTCACAGGCTGTACACTGCACACCCCAGGGGTGCCCTTCAGAGGCATTATAACATTGCTTTCTGGAATTGTGTGCAGTGCACAACCTGTACATCTGCATGAGATAGATCCATCAGATAGCCAAAGGAGGATGAGCAAAAGGCAGTTGAGGGGTCTCACTTCTTCTCTCTCAGTTGTAGACTGTAGAGCCCCAGGAGAGCTGGAACACGGGCTGATCACCTTCTCTACAAGGAACAACCTCACCACATACAAGTCTGAGATCAAATACTCCTGTCAGGAGCCCTATTACAAGATGCTCAACAATAACACAGGTAAGCCATCCATGCTAAGCCATCCCACTCCCGTTTCACACTCTCGGGGCCTCAGGGTTGGACTGGGGGCCGAGACAGCTGTGAAAGGAAGAACTGCTCATAAGTGTGTAGAGCCTGATAATGCAAAACGTGTCACTCACACATCTCAGGTTCTCACTTTTCATGAGCTTGTGTTACTGTGTCCATGTGGAGATGCAGAAACAGTCTCAAAACCAAAAAGCAGGCTTTTTTGTTTTTAACTTTAAAGCTAGCACTGATTTACTAATGAGTTGTTGGTGGGAGCGTGAAGGAGTCACACACTGACACAACTAAGAGAAGAAACGAGACCCTAAAGGAAGCCTGGAATCCCCCAAGTTAAACTCCTTCATGTGGTCTGAGGCTGAGTTGGGGTTTCCAAAAAAAGGCCAGTATTACTGCTTCACCCAGACTCTGCCTTGGCTTCTGGGTGAGGGCAACATCTCACCAGGCCAGACCCATTCAGCAGGTAAGGGACCTTCCTTCAAAGACCTCTTCCCCTGGTACGGACAGGGGTCCAGGCAGGGTTGGGGAGCGAGGAGTGGATCCTCTGTCTCCCCAGGTAGCCCAGCATATCCCCTGACCACAGCTCAAGCACAGCCACAGCAGTCCCTGTCCAGGCCCCATCCATGCCACCTGGCAGAGACCCCTGGCTGCCCCAGGGGCTGGGCAGCAGCACACTGGCCAGAGGGTGAAGGACCAGCAATAACCTGACCATTGGCCACACTGGGGGTTTGGGAGGAACTGGGAGGAGAAATGCTTAGAGACATAACCCGCCTCTCCCTGCCTTGTGGCAGCCCAACACCCGCTCACATGCACTCATAGTCCCTAGCAGAAAAGGAACTCTCAGGGAGAAAGGAGGGCCCATCGGCTCTGCCTCTCTGGCATGCAAGCACTGAGAACATTCTCCTGACTCATCTAAGCCTCCAACTCCTCTTTGTTTTTGTTTTTGTTTTTGAGACAGGGTCTCACTCTGTCACCCAGGCTGGAGTGCAGTGGTGTGATGTCGGCTCACTGCAACCTCCACGTCCTGGGTTCAAGCAATTCTCTCGCCTCAGCCTCCCAAGCAGCTGTGATTACAGAAGCTTGCCACCATGCCCAGCTAATTTTTGTATTTTTAGTAGAGACCCGCTTTTGCCATGTTGGTCAGGCTGGTCTCAAACTCCTGACCTCAAGTGATCCGCCCGCCTCGGCCTCCCAAAGTGCTGGGATTACAAGCGTGAGCCACTGCACCTGGCCCCAAGTCCTCATTTTTAAAAGAGGGAAGAGTTACAAAGCTCTTAGAGCTATTTCAAAATGCCAGTGAGATGGTGGCCACAAATGTATGCTTATTAAAGAGTCTGTCAAATGGAGAAGAAAGGAAAGGGCATCTGTGCAACAGGGAGCCATGTGAGCCCAGGTCTTTGTGACAAGTGAGGCGGAGGTGCCTTCCAGGACCTGGGCAGCGTGGGGTGGGGAGGGGAGCAGCCCTCAGCCAGGCAGGAGTGGGATTCCCCAGAGCTTTGGACAGACACCATGCTGAAGAGTGTGGTGTTTATTTTTGGGGGTGACAGCAAGCCATTCGTGATTCTGAGCTGAGAAAGGACATGGTCACATTCCCATTTTAGAAAGATCCTTCATGTTGCAAAGGGAGTTTGATAGAAGGACTAGGATGGTAGCCCTGTGGGTATTTGAAGATATTTGGAGGTTAATTGGTCCCTTTGGAGGATTGTATCCCAGAGAGTACCTGCCACATTCTTCCTCATTCTTCTTAGTACATCTAGGCTCAGAGACAATCGTATCTGAGCCTAGATGACCATTTGGAGGACTTTGTAATAACTCACTTTAGAGAAATTAAATACCCAGATCTATTTTCCATGTGTTACAAATCAACCATTTTCTCCCTCCTCTCCTAACCTCTTTCACTAATCCAGGTATATATACCTGTTCTGCCCAAGGAGTCTGGATGAATAAAGTATTGGGGAGAAGCCTACCCACCTGCCTTCCAGGTACCTCACCCTCCAAATCCTTTGCCTCACAGTTTTCCATCCAAGGCCCTAGGACCCCAGGTTTTCTGGCTGTTAACAGGGTGATGGGGGACAGGGGAGGTGATGCTTTGGTTGCTTTTTAAGAGATGTCTTCAAAAGGTTAAAGGTCAGAGAAGACTTGCTTCACACCTTCTCAAACCAGCCTGTATTTTCTGCCTGCTCCATCACTCTGAGAGCCCTCCTGTCCCGTCTCTGTGCCCTTGCCACAAGATTTTTCATATAACACAGTTTGCATGTGCATCTGCTGTTGTGCCGGGGAAATTTAAAAAGTGGGCACCCTGTCCTCAAGCACTCACCATGCTATCAAGGAGATGATAACACAAACAACATCATGATAAGACAGAGTGACAAATTCTTTCTTCCAAACAGCAACGTAGTCAAGCCTTTCCGATTCCCATGGTTTACTTACTGACTCCACTTTAAAATGGAAAGAAAATTTTGTGGTAACAGGAAGTGTTACTGTGCATACAGATTTTGAGGATATTTGCTTTAGCATTAAAAGTATAGGCCAAGCGTGGTGGCTCATGCCTGTAATCTCAACACTTTGGGAGGCCAAGGCGGGTGGATCATCTGAAGTCAGGAGTTCAAGACCAGCCTGGTCAACACAGTGGAACCCCATCTATACTAAAAATAGAAAAAAAAATTAGCCAGTCGTGGTGGTGTGCATCTGTAATCCCAGCTACTCAGGAGGCTGAGAGAGGAGAATTGCTTGAACCCAGGGGGCAGAGGCTACAGTGAGCTGAGATTGCACCATTGCACTCCAGCCTGGGTGCCAGAGCTAGACTCTGTCTTGAAAAATAAATAAATAAATAGTATGGGTGATTTGCATTGCAATCACATGTATAGCTATTCAAGTCAACTTAGAAAAGTGTAGCCCCAAAATGCACACTCTACGGTTAAACAAATAATCCACAAAAAGTTAAATTTAATATTCACAACATAGTAATTTACATTTTTTTTAAAAAAAAGCAAGAATGGCAGTAGTTTAATGATACAATCACTCAAGACAGCATTGAGGAATACTGAAAATTAAATGCCTTGTCTAATTCCATCTGCATGTTTGCACAAACAGCAGGAAATTTGCAATATGGTTAAGCATTGGGTGATATTTGTATTTTGCTGAATGAGAGTGTTGGGTAAACTGACATAGTGTATTATATTAATGGTACATTTCAGTAACCCTACAGTATACAGTATAAAGAAGGTATACTAGTACACGGTTGGTATATTAGTCTGTTCTCACACTGCTGATAAAGACATAACCCAAGACTGGGTAATTTACACAGAAAAAGAGGTTATAGGATTCACAGTTCCACATGGCTGGAGGGGCCTCACAATCATGGCGGAAGGTGAAAGGCACATCTTACACGGTGGCAGGCAAGAGAGAAATGAGACATAGCCAGTTTGGGACATAGCCAAACCATATCAGGAGGTTTCTAGATATCAGATTAGACACTAAAATGGAAAGGCTATGGAGTTGTCTACCATTCATCCTTAAGAAGCGAAGAACATGTTAGCATTTGGGAGTCAGGTTTTGACCATCACAGGTGCTATGGGATCCCAGAGAAGAAGGAAGTAACAATGCCTGGTTGTCTATGAATGAAGGGGTAAGAACTGACTAGGAAGGGTTCACATAAGAGGTCTTTATTTCTGAGAAAAACTTATGAGGATGTGGAATAAGGGAATGTTCATCCCACCCATTCCGCTGATTCCATTTACCTCAATTAGGCTTGCCCAGAAGTACAACCAAGGACTCCAGGCAGTGAAGCCTCAGAGAAGAGAGGAATGGCGGAGCTGTAGAGGAATGGTGGGGCTGTAGCAAACCAGAGGATCTAATCCCCATTTGGCTAAAAGACCATGTGAGCAAAAAAAAGCTAGGGATAGATTCCATGCTAGAAAGCCATGTGGCCACCTCTGGAAGGGGAAGAAGCCCTGGGCAAGGAGTCAAGGCCCTAGGTACTAATACTGATGCTGCCATTTCCTAACTGTGATCTTTGGTAAGTATTTTCATATCTCTGGGTCTGGGATCCCATACCTCAGAAGTAAAGCATCAGAACCAAGAGACCTATGATATTCTGACCTTTTTTTTGAGACAGAGTTTCGCTCTTGTTGCCCAGGCTGCGTGCAATGGTGCGATCTCAGCTCACTGCAATCTCTGCCTCCTGGGTTCAAGCAATTCTCTTGCCTCAGCCTCTCGAGTAGTTGGGATTATAGGCATGCACCACCATGCCTGACTTTTTTTTTTTTTTTTTTTAATTTTTAGTAGAGACGGGGTTTCTCTATGTTGGTCAGGCTGGTCTCGAACTCCCCACCTCAGGTGATCCGCCCACCTCAGCTTCCCAAAGTGCTGGGATTACAGGCATGAGCCATGCACCCAGCTATTCTATGACTTTTAATGGTCATCATCCTCTATGTTTGTACAAAGCATCTTGGATACAATGAGTCATGACATTCTTTTAACACCCAGTGTTGGGCAGAACCATGGTGTATCATTGGACTAGGCCAGAAATTTGTAAATTCTCTCTTCGCAAAACACTGTGATTGAACCAGGATGCAGGCCAGGATGGAGAAGGCCATCTCATCTATTGTCAAAAGGCCCACCATTTCAGGGGTCCTGCTAAGCAAATATTACTTGCCCTTTTATTTTATAAATGAGAAAACTATCAGAATAGTGTAGTGATTTGCACAAGGCTACTTGTAGAAAGTCAGGGGCAGAACTGAAAGGTGAACTCAATACTTTTGATGGCAACATAAGCAATGCCGAGCCATTTTTTTACCATGATCATGTTTTATGCCATCCTCAGGAACCTTGAATCCTAGAGTATCACATTTTTTTAAAGACCCTCCCTCAGTAACCACTGTCCTCTAGAACCCAAATCTGGCTTCAGCATAGCCAAAGCTATAACATTTCAAGAAGATCCCTTTCTCCCAGGAAAGACTGGGTGGGGAATGGCAGCAGCCAATAAGAATGACCCCATTTCAATGAGCTCTCCCAAGAGCTTGTTGAATCATTCAGCCTCTTAAAAGGACAAGAACACATCAAGGAGAAAAACAGATTTCAGTGGAGATATGAAGCTAGACTCAGGATAAATAGGTTCGAGTTCTGGCTTTCCCATTAACAACCTTGAGTAAGTCACTTGCCTTCTCTGAACTTCCATGTTTCCATCTGTAAATTAGCTGTTCTCCAAGGTCTCTCCAGATCTGATCTGTGACCTGCAGTGTGCCACTGGCACCTTGGTTGGAGAAAGGTAGCGTTTAATGCTGGCTTTGTTGTGACCATGGACCAAGCCATAGACGTGTCCCTTACCAGATTAGGGCCTTGAAGCACTAAATATATGTAGGACCAGTCACAGAGCTGCATTGAGATGTTGCCTTGCAGCTTGCTACTTGTAATTGGAAGGCTGACCCTCAACTTTGAAAGGCCAGGCCACAGAGAGTTACAAAGACCAGTTCACATCTGGCCTGGGGTGAATGGCAGGGTGCCCCAGGATCAAGCAAGAAGCATCTGGCCTCAGGAAGAAGAGCATCTGAAAAGCATTAGGTTGCTAAAAGCCTGCTCTCCCAAAGTTGCCAAGAAAACTCAAATGTTCCATGATGTCTAAAGGATTGTCAAAAGCACCCAGGCCAAGGAGTGTAGCCTGGCCATTTGGAACCAGGAGGAGGCCCACACTCATAGTAGGTCTACCTCCAAGACCCAAGCACCCTGCCTGGGAAGGGCCATGCAAGCATGTTCTTAGCCAGCGGGGGCCTGGTGCCGAAGACCTTCTGCTCATTGGCCAGAGGCATTTGGCTACAGGAGGCTGGTGGTGCATGTGCATGCTCAGGGTGCAACTCAGTGGAACGAAGTTTGCTCAGATCTTTCTCCTTCCCCTAAAGGTACTACACAGCTCCTGGGTGCAATGATGGGTGGCCCAGAGTAGGGTCCATGCATCATTGCTTATAGATTATGCCACCTTTCCCCAACCCTGGATGCCCTGGGGCTTAATCCATGGGCATCAATTTATAGCAAGATTCTGTTAGGACAGAGAAGAAAAGGTTTGAGGGCCTATGCCCATGGTCTTAATATCTGTTAAGTCCGTGTGGGATACAAGACTTAGAATCTAGTTAAGCTTCTGCTATCTGACTTAAGAGTCATATCCTTTTGGGCTAGTCACTTAAACTCAGGAGGTTTACTCACCTAGAAAATGGTGATGGCCAAGGCAAATAAAATGAAAATTAAAGGATCTCTGGAATTTGAAGGATCCCTGGAGATCATTGTGACCAAATGCCTCATTTGGCAGATCAAAAATTGAAATCCAGAGAGGGATATTTGCTGACTCAGAGTTACATGGGAAATGGAAGAGAAAAGCCAGGCCAAGGCTTCCAGCATCTTTGTTCCCAGTCTAGCGTTTGCTGTGACCTGCTAGATGGTTTTTTAGGTTCCTTCCATCTCTCTGTCCCCATGGACAGAAAACTTTCAGAAGTATTCTAGGTTCCCATAGCATGGACCACTTCTGAAATAAGACCTGCCTTTCTAGAGAAGGAAGGGGAGAAGTGACCACTACTGGAAATAGATGGCTGTAAATGGTCTGGGTCACAAGTGGTCTTAGCCAGAGGTGGTTCAGGGTAGAGAAAGCCCAAGCACAGAGTGGTCCAGTCCAGAGACAGTCCCAGCTACAGAAAAGCCAGACTAGAGATGGGCCAGCCTAGAGAGACTTAGACCCAAAATGACCCTGAGTAGAGCTCTCCCAGGCTAGCATGACCCAGGCAGGTTAGGGTCCCATGGTGGCATAATCTATAGTGGGTGAAATGTGAATTTATCTTTGTGGCTCCTGTCACATGGCTGACCTGACCAGTCTCTGTCTCTTGTCCCTGCTCCCTCTTTCTCCTTACAGAGTGTGGTCAGCCCTCCCGCTCCCTGCCAAGCCTGGTCAAGAGGATCATTGGGGGCCGAAATGCTGAGCCTGGCCTCTTCCCGTGGCAGGCCCTGATAGTGGTGGAGGACACTTCGAGAGTGCCAAATGACAAGTGGTTTGGGAGTGGGGCCCTGCTCTCTGCGTCCTGGATCCTCACAGCAGCTCATGTGCTGCGCTCCCAGCGTAGAGACACCACGGTGATACCAGTCTCCAAGGAGCATGTCACCGTCTACCTGGGCTTGCATGATGTGCGAGACAAATCGGGGGCAGTCAACAGCTCAGCTGCCCGAGTGGTGCTCCACCCAGACTTCAACATCCAAAACTACAACCACGATATAGCTCTGGTGCAGCTGCAGGAGCCTGTGCCCCTGGGACCCCACGTTATGCCTGTCTGCCTGCCAAGGCTTGAGCCTGAAGGCCCGGCCCCCCACATGCTGGGCCTGGTGGCCGGCTGGGGCATCTCCAATCCCAATGTGACAGTGGATGAGATCATCAGCAGTGGCACACGGACCTTGTCAGATGTCCTGCAGTATGTCAAGTTACCCGTGGTGCCTCACGCTGAGTGCAAAACTAGCTATGAGTCCCGCTCGGGCAATTACAGCGTCACGGAGAACATGTTCTGTGCTGGCTACTACGAGGGCGGCAAAGACACGTGCCTTGGAGATAGCGGTGGGGCCTTTGTCATCTTTGATGACTTGAGCCAGCGCTGGGTGGTGCAAGGCCTGGTGTCCTGGGGGGGACCTGAAGAATGCGGCAGCAAGCAGGTCTATGGAGTCTACACAAAGGTCTCCAATTACGTGGACTGGGTGTGGGAGCAGATGGGCTTACCACAAAGTGTTGTGGAGCCCCAGGTGGAACGGTGAGCTGACTTACTTCCTCGGGGCCTGCCTCCCCTGAGCGAAGCTACACCGCACTTCCGACAGCACACTCCACATTACTTATCAGACCATATGGAATGGAACACACTGACCTAGCGGTGGCTTCTCCTACCGAGACAGCCCCCAGGACCCTGAGAGGCAGAGTGTGGTATAGGGAAAAGGCTCCAGGCAGGAGACCTGTGTTCCTGAGCTTGTCCAAGTCTCTTTCCCTGTCTGGGCCTCACTCTACCGAGTAATACAATGCAGGAGCTCAACCAAGGCCTCTGTGCCAATCCCAGCACTCCTTTCCAGGCCATGCTTCTTACCCCAGTGGCCTTTATTCACTCCTGACCACTTATCAAACCCATCGGTCCTACTGTTGGTATAACTGAGCTTGGACCTGACTATTAGAAAATGGTTTCTAACATTGAACTGAATGCCGCATCTGTATATTTTCCTGCTCTGCCTTCTGGGACTAGCCTTGGCCTAATCCTTCCTCTAGGAGAAGAGCATTCAGGTTTTGGGAGATGGCTCATAGCCAAGCCCCTCTCTCTTAGTGTGATCCCTTGGAGCACCTTCATGCCTGGGGTTTCTCTCCCAAAAGCTTCTTGCAGTCTAAGCCTTATCCCTTATGTTCCCCATTAAAGGAATTTCAAAAGACATGGAGAAAGTTGGGAAGGTTTGTGCTGACTGCTGGGAGCAGAATAGCCGTGGGAGGCCCACCAAGCCCTTAAATTCCCATTGTCAACTCAGAACACATTTGGGCCCATATGCCACCCTGGAACACCAGCTGACACCATGGGCGTCCACACCTGCTGCTCCAGACAAGCACAAAGCAATCTTTCAGCCTTGAAATGTATTATCTGAAAGGCTACCTGAAGCCCAGGCCCGAATATGGGGACTTAGTCGATTACCTGGAAAAAGAAAAGACCCACACTGTGTCCTGCTGTGCTTTTGGGCAGGAAAATGGAAGAAAGAGTGGGGTGGGCACATTAGAAGTCACCCAAATCCTGCCAGGCTGCCTGGCATCCCTGGGGCATGAGCTGGGCGGAGAATCCACCCCGCAGGATGTTCAGAGGGACCCACTCCTTCATTTTTCAGAGTCAAAGGAATCAGAGGCTCACCCATGGCAGGCAGTGAAAAGAGCCAGGAGTCCTGGGTTCTAGTCCCTGCTCTGCCCCCAACTGGCTGTATAACCTTTGAAAAATCATTTTCTTTGTCTGAGTCTCTGGTTCTCCGTCAGCAACAGGCTGGCATAAGGTCCCCTGCAGGTTCCTTCTAGCTGGAGCACTCAGAGCTTCCCTGACTGCTAGCAGCCTCTCTGGCCCTCACAGGGCTGATTGTTCTCCTTCTCCCTGGAGCTCTCTCTCCTGAAAATCTCCATCAGAGCAAGGCAGCCAGAGAAGCCCCTGAGAGGGAATGATTGGGAAGTGTCCACTTTCTCAACCGGCTCATCAAACACACTCCTTTGTCTATGAATGGCACATGTAAATGATGTTATATTTTGTATCTTTTATATCATATGCTTCACCATTCTGTAAAGGGCCTCTGCATTGTTGCTCCCATCAGGGGTCTCAAGTGGAAATAAACCCTCGTGGATAACCAACAGCCTTGGCTTATGGGTTTTGTTATTGTTGGGGAAGTGTGTTCATTTGTTTTAACTTTTTTGAAAAGAAATTGGTCTCCTCATTAAACCAAAATCTCCCTTGTTGCAGAAAAAGTACAACTTTTGGTATCTGGACATTATCCAAGAGGTAATGAGGAAAGGATTTGGTTATTGATCTGTCTCCTTCTCAGAGGCTACTTGTTCCTTCATTTAAGTGCCTGCCATTTAAGTCCTTGTCTTCAAAGGACTTGAGCCTGAAGGCCCAACCCCCCACACGCTGGGCCTGGTGACTGGCTAGGGCATCTCTAGTCCCAATGTGACATTGGACGAGATCATCAGCAGTGGCACATGGACCTTGTCAGATGCCCTGCAGTATGTCAAGTTACCCGTGGTGCCACACGCTGAGAGCAAAACCAGCTATGAATCCTGCTAAGGCAACTACAGCATCATGGAGAACATGTTCTGTGCCAGCTAGTTTCTAGTACCAGTTTCAAAGTGTTGAAACTGGCATGCAAGACAAGCTTATGTGCATGTAGGTCTTATATAGGCAAAAGGAGTTAAATGTAAAAGGAACAGAGATTTAAGTACTATAGGAACTTAAAGAAGGGGCTATATCATACAGCTGGAGGGGCTTGGAATAGCTTTGCAGAGGCTTCAAAGGATGTGTGGGAGATAGGAGGGAAGGGGCAGAGTGGAAAAAAGCATGAAAGCTGGCCATGGTTAAAGTGAGAGCAGTGGGCATTGAGTGGGAAGAGTTTTAAAGGGCATGCTCTATTTGAACTGTCCTGAAACGAGTGATTCTCTAAGTTTGGGGTATATGAGAATCACTTGGGGTGCTGGTGAAAAATGCAGATGGCTGGGTCTCACCCACTGGAAAATTTGAATTCAGTATGTCTGAGGGTGGGCAGCATGGTGTGGAAAGTGGACAGGAAGGGGCTGAGCTAGGAAAGCAGTTATGCAACTTCTGCAACTGTCCTGATGAGGGATGGTGCAGACCCACCACCCATAGGGCTGTGACAGTGCAGACAGGAGGAGGGGCAGTTTAAATCGATTTAAGTGGTACATACAGCAGGGCTTGGCCTATAGGCATCTCTTGATAAGTTCAAGCATGAGTGGCACGTGATAGTGAAGTCTCACCATGGGACGCACTCATGGTTCGCCTTTGTTTTTGGTTTGTACCATAATGAAAATGCCATCCTTTTTACACTATTGAGAATGAAAATAAGAGCTTATTTACGCTTTGCACTTTATGGTTTGAAGGACTATCGTGTCTCATGTTCTATTACATTTCCAATTTTTGTTTTTCTTTTGATACTTGGACTTTATGTTGTGACATATTGAGGTACTGAGGTATTGAGGTACTGAGGTACTGAGGTTGTGACATATTGAGGTACATAGAGAGCACTTTGTGACATGGAGTCGGGGAGACACATCACTCTCCTTCTCCTAGGGATTTACCAGCAGCTCAGCGACTGATTGAACATGGGGTTGAAGAAAAGGGAGGCAACAAGGATGTGATTGATTCAGACATTAGCAGACATCTGGAAAAACAAAGGGGAGAAGGTTAGTGAAGGGTGGATACTTGGGCTTGGATTCACTGAGCTGGAAGAGTTTATGAGCAATCCAGCTGGAAATGTAAGTAGGCAGTAAAGAATGGTGAGTTTTAGAGGACAGGGCAGATTTAAAGACACTGATTTGAAGTTCATCAGCACATGGGTAGTATGATGGCATAGAGGTAGAGGGCATCATCTACGGGAAATTTACAGATAAGAAAAGGATACCAAGGCCTGAAACACCAGCATCATGGAAGGCATGAAGAAAAGAGAGGCCCCAAGGAAAAAAAAAGGGGGGGGGGGGAAGGGATCAGAAACACAGGGAGAAAAGTGCTTCAGAAGCCAAGAGGAGGAGTTGTAAAGAGGGATGAAGTAGTCAACAGCACCCAATGCTGCTAAGAGTCCCAATAAAGGACTCCAGGATGGAAGTTCCCTAAGAGAGGAATCAAGTCTCTATCATCATCCCTGAGGGGTATGCAGGCAGGAGGCTCCATGTGTGAGTTTCAAGTCTCTAGGACTTCTCTCTTCCTTTGTCCTCTCTCTCTCGGTCCTCTCTCTGTACTCCCTCCTTCCTCTCTCTCCAGCCTTCTCAGTCTCCCAGGATGGGCTTTTAGCTCTTTTCTCAGAGGTAGGAAACTGCCCATGCATCTTCCCTAAGCCTTATGGTAAAAATTACATGTTCAGTTCTCCATGTTTTGGTTCCTTGAAACCTACAAATTTTTTATTCTTACTATGAAGCCTGACTCTTCAAAATGAAAGTCCGTCTTACCAGACTTTGGTTTCTGCTTTGCTCTTTCAAGTCAAAGCTTTATCCAGCCTTTGCTTAAAACCGTGGATGCTCCAGCTTCAATGGCTTGGGAGCCACAGTGCACAGCGAATTCCTAGGGATGCAAAATGTATCTGATAAGATTCAAAAAATAGTATCCTACTCTGTATGTAGATATCATGGTTGGAGTTCCATTTATGGTCTCAGAGACATTTTATTTCCATCTATTTGTAGACCTGTTAAATATTCAAATGGCTGCCTATTTCCAAGTTTGTGCAGTACATGGCACTTTCTTCTTCTGAATCCGGCTCCAAAGGGGGAGGAAGAATGTGGGAAAGGAGTGTCAACTCGTCTTTTCAGAAGCTTTACTATAGAAGGGAGGAGAAGGAGAGACTGTGGAATGAATGGCAAACGGGGAAATGGAAGCTGATTTTTAGGATGAAAAGTCTTGACTGTGTTTTGGAGGCATAGAATAAGGAGAGATGAAAAATACAAGAGAGGGGTGACAGTCTCCAAGGCCAGGTCTCCAAGAGTTCAAAAGTTAAGAGATCCAGAGTGAAAAATTAGTTCTGAAGACAATAAAGTTTATAGGAAGAAGAGATGGTGAGGAGGATGGTTCCCATTCAGTGGGGTTCCCACTCAGGGAGTTCCCACTCATTGGGCTCTGAGCGTCTGTTGGGAATGGAGGCAGGGCATTAGCTTGGGGAAGCTGGCTGTGGGCATGTGGAATGATGCTGGGAGATGCTGAGGCTGCATCAAGGTTGTGGATGCAGAGCATTTATCTGTGATATTCTCCAGCCTGGTGACAGCTACAAAGGTAGCAGGTGACTGCCTGGATCCAGGGGCTTGGGTTATGAGTGTTCTGGGAAGCCACATAATTAAAAGTTTATGGGGCTGGCCAGAGTAAGAAAAGCCCAGAATTGGGAGTCAGGAGACCTAGAACTATAGTCTTGCTACTAACTCATGGAATACCTTTTGGAAGTCAATTTCCTTCTCCAGGCCTTGGTTTCTTTAGCTGAATGATGAAAAGTATAGACCAGATGGTCTCCGAGGGCTATTCAGTTGTAAAGTGTGTATGTGGGAGCGTGTCTGTCAATCCAAGCCAGTGGAAAATGGGATGGAGCAGGCAGACACTGTGGTGGAGGGGATCTTCAACTCCACAAGGCCCTGAGGAAGGGCTTCTCTGAGGAGACAAGATTCATGTGGCTGGAGCATAATGATTCTTTATTAGCTGTGACTCTTTCATTTGTAAGTGACATAAACCAAACATAAGCAGCTTAAGGGGAAAAAAGGGAATTTATAGGCACACATAACTGAAAAGGCTGTACCAAAAGGCTTCACATATAATTAGATCAAAGGGCTCAACTATTAGGGTGCAATCTCTCTGTCTCTTTGTCCCTCAACTTTCAGCTCCACTTTTCTTCATCATTCTCAGCAGACTCTTAATGAAGTGATTGTTGGCAGATCTGGGCTTATGGCTAATAGCTTGGCAATTCCAGTAGGGAATGACTTTCTCTTCTGTAATATGTTTAGCGAAATTCTCAAGTAATGCTTTCATTGGTCCAGCCAAGGTCACATTCCCATCTCTGAGCAATTGCTGTGACCAGAAAGTGCATGGCTTTGATCAGTCACATTCCTATCCCTGAAACCAGAGGTGAGGTCAATCCAACTCTAGCTGCATAGACTAAGAATAAGGAAAGTGCAGCCTCCAAAGAAAGACTGGGATGCTATTATCAGGAAGGTCAATTAATGGTGGAGGAGCAAAAATAATAGATGTTCCTAACAGGGTGAGGAGCTGGGAGCTCTGGCAGTGGGCAAGATGGAGCCCAGAGTCTGATCTGTCTCTCCCTCCCTCCCTTGGATGCAGTGTGTGGGCTCCCCAAGTTCTCCCGGAAGCTGATGGCCAGGATCTTCAATGGACGCCCAGCCCAGAAAGGCACCACTCCCTGGATTGCCATGCTGTCACACCTGAATGGGCAGCCCTTCTGCGGAGGCTCCCTTCTAGGTAGGGAGAAGGTGGAAGGGGTGGAAGCTAAGGAACTGAACCCCCTCCTTGGAGACTGACCAAGGTTTCTTCATTGAGAATCATTGTGCACACTAGCATCAGGGCACAGAAGCACAGTGCGGTAGAAAGAGTTCTCGGCTAGACTGGATCCTGGTCTGTCTCTGGCACCGGGAAGGACAAAGTCAGGGAGTCTCTCAACCATGAATTTAACAGTACATGGAGGTCAAAGACAGGGCATGCCAGGGCTGTGAGTTCAGGGAGAGCCAGGAAACTCACCCTTGGGAATCAGGGAAGGTCGATTTACAAAGACCTTGAATGCTATGCTTAGGAATTTTTATCTTGTCTTGAACGCTGCTTTAGGTTGATAAGTATGCTCTGGAAAGTTCTCTCCAGAGGCAGCAATGATAAAAAGGAGGGTGAAACTGGAGGCCAGGAGATCAGTGAGACATCCATTGCAGTGGTGGGGAGAGAAGGCATAGCCTCAGAGTAAGAACAGGGTATGATGGATGGAAATAAGGAGGCAGATTCGATAACACTGGGAAATAGGACTGTCACCTTTGTAATGGAATGTGGGTGGGAGTGGGAGCAAGAATGAGAACAGCCGATGGCTCTCCCTGACACAGTTTGGTCCAGGCAATCTAAGATCTATTCCAGTTCTGATGTCAAAAGAAAACTGAATAGCAATCTAGGCTATCTAGACCACTTCTGCATCGGATCCCACCCCCAAGGAAGAAGGCCCGGCTTGGCCCATCTCTGCATGAGCAACTCCCAGGCTGATGGGCATGCCTCTCACTCTGCCCCACCCTCCTCCAGATCCAACCAGGGGTGGACAGCTCTGGGGCAGGGATCCCTTTGGCAAGGCATCAGGTCTGGGCTAGAGCTGCAGCCAAAGCACCAGGGCTACATAAATCCCTACTCTGCAAGGAATTTATCCTTACATTCTCTCAGACCCAAAGATGAATGGTCTCACTCAAAGAAGTCCCCCAGAGAGGTAAAGAGAGTGAGGGAAGGTATTATAGGGCCAGACAGGGCTGAGGGCAGTTCAGTGGGAGCAGAGTCGGGGAGAGGACCAAGGGAGAGAAGGGAAGGGAGACAGAGGACCAGAATTAGAAAGACAACAATGGAGAGGACAGAGAGAGACAGAGAACACTGAGAGATACCTGGAAAATAAGATAGAGGATTGAAGAGAGTAAAGAGAAAAATGAAAGGGAACAATACAACAAGAGGAGGAGGTACTGGCGGGCACAAGATACCCAGGAGAGAAGAAGCCAGGGAAGGAGGGACCTGAAGGGAAGTTGGAGAGAAGCAGAGTGGTGTGGAGGAAGAGCTGCCAGCGAGGGCAGAGGGAGGGAAGACTCTGCTTCACCAGACAGCTCCGATTTTGTTAGAGGGCAAGTAAGAGAGATGGATTGTGTGCACCTAATTTTAAGAATGAATTCATTTTCTTAAACCTTGATTTTTTTTTTTTTTTTTTGAGACGGAGTCTCATTCTGTCACCAGGATGGAGTACAGTGGTGCAATCTCGGCTCACTGCAACCTCCGCCTCTCGGGTTCAAGCCATTCTCCTGCCTCAGCCTCCCGAGTAGCTAGGACAAACCTTGAATTTTTGAGTCCACTAATGTCCACCATGTATTGTGATTCATTGTATGTTTATTCCCTATGACTTATGTTTGAAAAATGTTTGACGTTCACTTCTCTACCCTCGGCCAAGCTGGAATGCCCTCATACTTCGCACTCCCTGCAGCAACCCTGATCTATCATTTCTGTCTCCCTCCTGTCATTCAGTCTTAAAGAGCAGGGGAAGGATAGGAGAGGGCAGAAGAAACAGGAAAGCAGCCAAGGGACAGAGGAAGGGGAAAGCACCTCATTAATGCCCACACTGACACCTGGGTAGAGGGATCTGCAGAGCTGGGAGGCCAAGCCATGTCTCTGAACTGGCCAGTGTACACCCCTGGGTTCATCTAAACAGCCCAGAGCCCCAGACCAAGGCAGGCTGTCCTAACCTGGGTACCTCAGCCCACCTGATCCACCTGGAAAATCTGGTCCTGGACATGGGCAGGGATCAAAAAATGCCCCAGGGCAGAGAAGAGTGGCCTAAGTAGAGCCCTGGCCAGGACCCAGGAGCACATAGCTGCTTCTCAGAGGGCCAAGTGGAGCCTGGAACCTGCTCTGAGACTAAGCACTTCTGCCCTCGACCCTGAACTTTGACCTGATACTCAGCCTCCCCCACCCCTGTGTTCTAGAGCTTTTCTTTCTGCTTGGCTCATCTTGGATATGTCTCTGGGCTCAGCCACTTATGGGCTTGTCATCTGCTCCACATAAGAGGTGAATGGAAGCCTGACCCTGCATTAAACGAAGGGCAGATGCCTGTCCATCCAGAGAAAGATGACAGCTGAGACACAGGAAATGCATTAAGCTGACTATCAGGAGCCCTGGGGTCTGGCCCTGGCCCTGACCCTGAAACCAACCTGCTGGGTGACCCTGGACATCTCTGCTTTCTCCACGCCTCAGGGTTCCTGCCTATATAATGAAAGGTCTAGATCAGAGCAGTGATTCTCCACCCTGGCAGCAGTAGAATTAACTAAGGAAATGTTTAAAACATTATCTGTGCTTGGGCTCCACCCCCATGACATAAATGGTCTAGATATAGGTCCAGACACTGATTTACTCTTTTTTCATTCACCAGGTAATTCTAACGTGCAGCCAGTGTAGGTAGCTTCGGATTCATCAATTTTAAACTTTAATATGCATACAAATTACTGGAGAGTCTTGTTAAAATGAAAATTCTGATTCAGTGGATCAGAGGTGGGGCCGGCCTAAGAGTCTTCATTTCTAAGAAGCCTCCAAGTGATGCTAATGTTGCTGGTCCAGGCACCACACTTTGAGAAGCAAGGCCTGAGAAGGCAGCCAGTTGACCACAGGCTTTCTGTGCACCCACCTTGGGCTCTCTGGCTCTCACCAATGCCATGGGCTTAAAGGATCCCTGAAATCCTGTTTACAATGTTCAGTCCTGGCCTTGGTTGGAATAGGCAGGTAAAAATCACAGATTTAAATCCTCATCTTCAGATTAGGATCATATGAGCATTTGAGTTGGGGGCCATAAAATACAATGGAGAGAAGCATGGCCATTTTCAAGGTCTTGAGGGGTCCTCTGGAGTAGCCTGAAGATCCTCAGCTCAAGACAGAGGGAGGCAAGACCCAGTAGTGCAGGACGATGAGACGTGTGTTCTGTTCCCCAGGCTCCAGCTGGATCGTGACCGCCGCACACTGCCTCCACCAGTCACTCGATCCGGAAGATCCGACCCTACGTGATTCAGACTTGCTCAGCCCTTCTGACTTCAAAATCATCCTGGGTGAGTGAGTGAGGGGCAAGCTGACTCCCAAAGCCAGCTGTGGTTCTGGGAATGACCTACTGGCCCTTTCCAAGGCGTGTCTGCTCACTCACTCGCTCACTCATTTGTCAGGGCAGGACACCTGGGATGGAGGTCCAGGAACCTGAGTCCAAGTGCAAGATATGATTCTCCAGACACGTGACCATGAGAAGGCATTGAAGTCTATGCTTCAGTTTCACAACGATAAAATGAGGAGGCCTCTAGATAATTTCCAAAGACCTGTTAGATTTCCATGAACCTGTGGTTTCAAATAGATCATACATATACGATCCAGATTTCCCCTCTTGTTTATAAAATCAGATGACCAGCTGATTCAATTCAGGTCCACACATATTTACCTACTGACATTATGCCAGGATCTAAGGACACAGTATGATTAAGACCTAGTTTCTGCCCACAGGGAGCTTACAGTCTAATAAAGGAATAAGATGTGAGCACAGAGACCTCTAACGGAAAGTAGCCAGCAGTAAGTTTTGTAGAAGAAGAACAGATAAAATGCCATGGGAGTTCAGAGGGGAAAGACTTCTAACCCAAGAGTCTGAGAGGCTACCTGGAGGAGGTCATGTTTGACACAGGCACTGAAGGTGATGATAGGGATTGAACATGTGGCAGCAGGCATCAGAACAAGCATTACAAGGCAACAGCATCAGTTCCTGAAGAAAGACAGAGGTGGGGACCCATGAGATTATGTAGAGAATGACCAATAGGGTGGGATGTCTGGGAAAGGTGGATGAAGGCAGTGAAAGGGCTAAGGCTGGAAGCAAGGGCTGGATGGGGCTGGGGCGGGGGCTGACAGGGAACAAGGTGTGACCTTATCCTCCATTGCACCCATGCCTCACATGTCTTCTTCTTGCCCAGGCAAGCATTGGAGGCTCCGGTCAGATGAAAATGAACAGCATCTCGGCGTCAAACACACCACTCTCCACCCCCAGTATGATCCCAACACATTCGAGAATGACGTGGCTCTGGTGGAGCTGTTGGAGAGCCCAGTGCTGAATGCCTTCGTGATGCCCATCTGTCTGCCTGAGGGACCCCAGCAGGAAGGTACTTTCCCCTACCTCCACCTCTGCAGGGCAGCTGGTGCCTCCACAAGGAGTCCGTCTTCACGTTGGTGAAGCTCTGGTGCCAATTAAGTCAGCTGACAGTGTCTGCTTGACTCACCAACTGCTTCCCCTCAAACAGCCAAGTCAGAACTGGGTCCAAGGCAGCAAAAGTTGTGGGAAGCACATAGTAAACAGTCAGACCTAAGGGTCCAGATAGAAAAACAAAAACTAGACTAGTTATCGTAACAGAGAGAATTTAATATAGGGCACTGGAGGATTGGAGAAGTAAGAGGGAAGAGCTGAGATCATAGAGATGGTACCTGCAGGAAGAAACCACCAACCCTAGGGCTGGGGAAACAAAGGTAAGAACCTGGAGTTAGAAATTAGAAGCTTGGAAAAGGGGCCCTATGGGGCCAGAACCTGAACCGCTGCAGAAGAGTCTAACGTGCTAAGGAAAACAGCTGGAAACAATGGCCACTACTGGGGTGAAAAACCACTGCCAGGGATGATGCCAACAGCCAAAGCAAGTCTTCCTGCCTTTCTGAAAGTGCCCCCTGTTTTCAGGAAACCAGCTAGCAAAGTAGAACTGCCCACTTCAGAGTCTCATCCCTAGTACCACAAAGCAGAATGTAGAAGGGTAAGTCTCAAGCTGGGGGACAATGGCTTAATACTCAGCACAGGCCGGGCGCGGTGGCTCACGCCTGTAATCCCAGCACTTTGGGAGGCCGAGGCGGGCGGATCACGAGGTCAGGAGATCGAGACCATCCCGGCTAAAACGGTGAAACCCCGTCTCTACTAAAAATACAAAAAATTAGCCGGGCATAGTGGCGGGCGCCTGTAGTCCCAGCTACTTGGGAGGCTGAGGCAGGAGAATGGCGTGAACCCGGGAGGCGGAGCTTGCAGTGAGCCGAGATCCCGCCACTGCACTCCAGCCTGGGCGACAGAGCGAGACTCCGTCTCAAAAAAAAAAAAAAAAAAAAAAAATACTCAGCACAGGCTCAAACACCACTGTGACCATTTCCCAGCTGGGTGATCTTCAGGAAGTTATTTAACCTCAGTAAGCCTCAATCCCCTTACCTCTAAACTGGAGATGCTATCCCATGTGGTGGCTGTGGCATTTCCGTGTTTGAGATAATACTTAAACATAGGTGACCCATGTCAGCTGGCTTCCTTTTCATTCTAATTTCAGTGGTGCCACATCAAGTTCACTTCCTTTAGCTCAAAAGAAAAATGGCTGAGATGTAATCTGAGGAGTATTTAGGGGAACTGAGCCAACAGGAAAGGCACAGGTGTAGCTGGCTTTGACTCATTGGGTGCCATGTGCCCACCAGGTGCTTTATGTTCATTAACTTATTTACGAACCATGCAAGCCTTGCAAGGTGGCACTGTAGCCTCATTTACAAACGAGAAAACTAAGGATCAGCAGGGTGAGGTGACTCACCCGAGATGCAGCTTGTATGAAGCAGATCTAGGGATATAGTACAGGTTTTCTGACTTTAAGCCCAACACTGTTTTCAGTATCCAGGCTCTTTTTCAAATGAGAAAATAATTGCTCTGTCAGTGCTCAACCCACTTCCACATTGCCCCACAGATTTACCAACTTCATAGACTTCTAGAATGTCAACTCTGAAAGGGGTTTTAGAGAATACCAAGTCCAGCCTCCTCATTTTATGGATAGGAAAACAGAGGCTTAGAAGGGGAGCAGAGAGGAGGGCTGGCTAAAGGCACCATAGCACATAGTGGACTAGGCTGGGCTTTTTATTTATTCGCTGTTCTTGATTGAGCACCTACTATGTGACAGCATTGCTATAGGCACTGTGATATAGCAGTGACCAAGAATGAGATTCTGCTCTCATGGACCCTAGGTTTCAGACTAGTTGAGGGTGGGACAGAATAGAAAACTAAACAAGTAAGCCAGTAACACATCATAGAAACCAGTGCCCCTAGCTCTGCTGCAGGTAATCTGTAGCCCAGCTGCCTTTCACGTCTTCCTCCCCACCACACCACCTTTCTCTGAGAAGAACAATCCAGTCTTTCCTCCACAGAAGAGGATGATGGAGCTGCAAGCTGCACCCCTCCAAACACCCCACAGATAGCTTCTCTGTTCTCACAGTATCTTCTCTCCTCCAGGAGCCATGGTCATCGTCAGCGGCTGGGGGAAGCAGTTCTTGCAAAGGTTCCCAGAGACCCTGATGGAGGTGAAGTTCACTTTATAACCTACAGACAGTGACACCTCAGCTCTGCACTGGGCCTTCCTGCTCCGTATTGTTCCCTTAGGGATTTTGAGGCTTGGGTGGGGGTTGGTGAGTGGGAAACTAGGAGCCCAGACCCACCTCCAAAGTTCAATGGGACTTTGAACCCCAGAAAGCTTGATTTGTTTGTTCTACATGTCATGGACTCTAGCCTCTAAACACGGTTAAGTTTTTCTGGTAGCTTATTAAAGGCTTAGCTTATGAAAATTCTCCCAGAAAACAGCAAGTTTAGACACCCCCATGGTGACAATCCAGCTGTGCACCATGAGAACTGTACACCAAATTGGCCAGAATGAGCCAGGCTCTTGAGAACCACAGTCCTTGCAGTAATGAACTTGGCAGTTACACTTAGAAGTTCATATTCCTATCAGTTCAAGGAAAAAAAAAAAAAACACTTAACTAAAAGTAAGGAGCCATAGTTTCAAGTCTTGGCTCCCACTAACTTGCTGGGTCATCTGAAGCAAGTTATTTTGCCTCTCTAGACCATAAGATACTATTTCCAACTGCAGAGTTATGGGGCAACACGAGCTGCCATCAAAGAGTTGCTTGGCTCTGATATCACCGGGGCCTATGACTGACACAGCTAGTTTCTAAATTCTTCCACATATATTATTTTGACATATTTTAAAATTTGGGATTTGCAACAACCATTCATCCCTTCATTCACTAACTCCCGGGGGTCTATTTGGTGTTTCCTTGGTACCAGACACTGTACTAGCTACTAGCTGTGCTGGGGTAAAAGGATAGATCTGGTCCCTGGCCCCCTTGGGCTCATGGTCAAGTGGAATGGACAGAAAGTAGTTATGGATGTGATAAAGGTGGAGAGAGAGAAATGCAGGATGCTCCAGAACATATGAAAGAGAATCTGATCTTGTCTCAGGGGTTCAGGAGGCATTCCCAAAGGAAGTGATGCTGAAATGATACCTGAACGATGAATCAGGTGCTCAGCAGTTGCTGAGGATCTGTCCTCAGGACCACCCTGCCCTGGCTTCCTCTCCCCTTATCCAGGGAAGGCCATGACCCAAGAGGGATCTGAATGGCCTCTGGTTTCCTCCCAGCAAGGGCAACAGGAGTTGTCCATTTAGAGAATATGGCCCATTCAGTTCTTGATTTGACTGAAAGAGAATCATATGTTTCCTCTTTTTATTCCAGACATCTACTCCAACAGTTACCCCCACACTGGATCAAGGGCAATAATAGTCACAATGCCTTATTTTTATGTATCGATTTTGCTGCATTGCAAAAAATATATATATTTTCTGGGTATCTACTAAGCTCCAAGCAATGTAAGATAGAAATGCATAAAATACAGATCCAGCATCGAGACAGATGCTCATACTGTAGAGAGGGAGGACAACATAACAAAGTGCTTGCTGCAAAGCCAGCAGTGATAACTCCACAGTAGCTAATATTTATACAGTGTGTGTAGTTTACAAAGCACTTGTTCCTGCCTCTCCTCTTTGTACAATGATTAGTATATCAAATACTGCAACCTCCATTTTTCAGATGAGGAAAAAGGGTCTCAGAGTCTGAAAAACAATGAGTAAGCCACATGTTCTAGGTCCTACAGTAGGGGTGAGACAAAAGAAAACCAAACTTCATTTTTGTATACATTGTCCTATTGACTAATACATCTCCTAGGCAAGTATTATTACCTCTATCTTACTGAAGAGAGATCTGAGGCCCAGAGAGGGCATGTGACTTGCCCAAGTTCACACAGCCAAGGTCTTCACAGCCAAGACTGCCCTAGAACACGGGCCTCCTGATTCTCCATTCAACTGTTCCTTCACCTGTAGCATGGGGCAGTCTCTTAGATCAAGTCTAAGGTAGACACAGGTCCGTCCAGGTATGGAGTGGAGAGGAGCCGTCTTCAGGGGTGTCAGAATAGCAGAGGCTTCTCAGCCGGGGATGAGGACCAATAACAGCTTTGTGTTCTAGATTGAAATCCCGATTGTTGACCACAGCACCTGCCAGAAGGCTTATGCCCCGCTGAAGAAGAAAGTGACCAGGGACATGATCTGTGCTGGGGAGAAGGAAGGTGGGTTAAGAGGCTGGCATACAACAGGGGCGCTGCCAGCCAGGGAGTGGTGCAGAGCCAGCAAGGGAGCACAGAGGCCTCCCAACCTGGTGGGCTGGCAGTGTGGGGGCGCGGGGGACTGGAGGAAGGCCGTGGGAGGAGGGATTCCACAGGAGAAGATGCATCGGAGAAAAGATATTTACAGGATGCTCATCATTCCCTTCCCAAGTTCAGTGTTTCCCTTAAGAAAGAGGCCTTGGCCGGGCACGGTGGTTCATGCCTGTAATCCCAGCACTTTGGGAGGCCGAGGCGGGTGGATCACCTGAGGTCGGGAGTTCGAGACCAGTCTTGCTAACATGGCGAAATCCCATCTTTACTAAAAATACAAAAATTAGCCGGGCATGGTGGCAGGTGCCTGTAGTCCCAGCTACTCGGGAGGCTGAGGAGGGAGAATCACTTGAACCCAGGAGGTAGAGGTTGCTGTGAGCCGAGATCGTGCCACTGCACTCTAGCCTGGGTGTGACAGAGCGAGACTCCATCTCAAAAAAAAAAAAAAAAAGAAAGAAAAAAGAAAAAGAAAAGAAAAGAAAGAAAGAGGTCTGAATCAGGGCTTTTTAGAATCATTTGAGCTCTGATGCGGCCTGACCTAGAACTGCCCAGAGCTGAGGTTTGGGTCCAACGGTCTGCTATGCCCTCTAGTGCCCAATTCTCTGAACTACAACCCATACATGGGAGAAGGAGACTTGGGCTGGGAAGGGGCATTTTATCTTCATCTATGTCTCTTTTTCACCTAGGGGGAAAGGACGCCTGTGCGGGTGACTCTGGAGGCCCCATGGTGACCCTGAATAGAGAAAGAGGCCAGTGGTACCTGGTGGGCACTGTGTCCTGGGGTGATGACTGTGGGAAGAAGGACCGCTACGGAGTATACTCTTACATCCACCACAACAAGGACTGGATCCAGAGGGTCACCGGAGTGAGGAACTGAATTTGGCTCCTCAGCCCCAGCACCACCAGCTGTGGGCAGTCAGTAGCAGAGGACGATCCTCCGATGAAAGCAGCCATTTCTCCTTTCCTTCCTCCCATCCCCCCTCCTTCGGCCTATCCATTACTGGGCAATAGAGCAGGTATCTTCACCCCCTTTTCACTCTCTTTAAAGAGATGGAGCAAGAGAGTGGTCAGAACACAGGCCGAATCCAGGCTCTATCACTTACTAGTTTGCAGTGCTGGGCAGGTGACTTCATCTCTTCGAACTTCAGTTTCTTCATAAGATGGAAATGCTATACCTTACCTACCTCGTAAAAGTCTGATGAGGAAAAGATTAACTAATAGATGCATAGCACTTAACAGAGTGCATAGCATACACTGTTTTCAATAAATGCACCTTAGCAGAAGGTCGATGTGTCTACCAGGCAGACGAAGCTCTCTTACAAACCCCTGCCTGGGTCTTAGCATTGATCAGTGACACACCTCTCCCCTCAACCTTGACCATCTCCATCTGCCCTTAAATGCTGTATGCTTTTTTGCCACCGTGCAACTTGCCCAACATCAATCTTCACCCTCATCCCTAAAAAAGTAAAACAGACAAGGTTCTGAGTCCTGTGGTATGTCCCCTAGCAAATGTAACTAGGAACATGCACTAGATGACAGATTGCGGGAGGGCCTGAGAGAAGCAGGGACAGGAGGGAGCCTGGGGATTGTGGTTTGGGAAGGCAGACACCTGGTTCTAGAACTAGCTCTGCCCTTAGCCCCCTGTATGACCCTATGCAAGTCCTCCTCCCTCATCTCAAAGGGTCCTCAAAGCTCTGACGATCTAAGATACAATGAAGCCATTTTCCCCCTGATAAGATGAGGTAAAGCCAATGTAACCAAAAGGCAAAAATTACAATCGGTTCAAAGGAACTTTGATGCAGACAAAATGCTGCTGCTGCTGCTCCTGAAATACCCACCCCTTTCCACTACGGGTGGGTTCCCAAGGACATGGGACAGGCAAAGTGTGAGCCAAAGGATCCTTCCTTATTCCTAAGCAGAGCATCTGCTCTGGGCCCTGGCCTCCTTCCCTTCTTGGGAAACTGGGCTGCATGAGGTGGGCCCTGGTAGTTTGTACCCCAGGCCCCTATACTCTTCCTTCCTATGTCCACAGCTGACCCCAAGCAGCCGTTCCCCGACTCCTCACCCCTGAGCCTCACCCTGAACTCCCTCATCTTGCAAGGCCATAAGTGTTTTCCAAGCAAAATGCCTCTCCCATCCTCTCTCAGGAAGCTTCTAGAGACTTTATGCCCTCCAGAGCTCCAAGATATAAGCCCTCCAAGGGATCAGAAGCTCCAAGTTCCTGTCTTCTGTTTTATAGAAATTGATCTTCCCTGGGGGACTTTAACTCTTGACCTGTATGCAGCTGTTGGAGTAATTCCAGGTCTCTTGAAAAAAAAGAGGAAGATAATGGAGAATGAGAACATATATATATATATATTAAGCCCCAGGCTGAATACTCAGGGACAGCAATTCACAGCCTGCCTCTGGTTCTATAAACAAGTCATTCTACCTCTTTGTGCCCTGCTGTTTATTCTGTAAGGGGAAGGTGGCAATGGGACCCAGCTCCATCAGACACTTGTCAAGCTAGCAGAAACTCCATTTTCAATGCCAAAGAAGAACTGTAATGCTGTTTTGGAATCATCCCAAGGCATCCCAAGACACCATATCTTCCCATTTCAAGCACTGCCTGGGCACACCCCAACATCCCAGGCTGTGGTGGCTCCTGTGGGAACTACCTAGATGAAGAGAGTATCATTTATACCTTCTAGGAGCTCCTATTGGGAGACATGAAACATATGTAATTGACTACCATGTAATAGAACAAACCCTGCCAAGTGCTGCTTTGGAAAGTCATGGAGGTAAAAGAAAGACCATTCTGGTATGAAGGTTTTGGGGGAGGAGATATCAATCAAGAAGGCTTCCCAGAAGAGGTGACTGGACCAGAGCCTTGTCCACAGGTAAGACGGAGGAGGCCTTCCACATGGAGGGAGAACAATAGTAAATGTCCACTCAAGATGTCCTTTATTATACCAGCTCCTCCCACAAAAACACATGTCCAGTGGACTCTTTTTCTGGGATCAGAACCAACACCAAAAAGAGCTTTTCTCCTTAAAGTTAGAATTCTAAACAGGACTTGAAATGGCCTCAAGGTTTGTGCACAAATACTGACTTCTGGCTGGACCCAGCTTATTCTGTTTATTTCTCCAATTGCAATTTCATCCTTATCCTGAGAAAATGTCTAAATAGGCCATGGAACCCAGGCTTCCCCGTGACCTACAAGCACTTATTAGCTGTGCCAGCTCCTGCACTGCTGCTAAGGTCCAAGAAACCCAGATCTCTCACAGAGCCATAGAAGCAGAGGGCTGGAGTATCTGTGAGGACAACAACCTTGTCTAACTTCGCGACCTCATTCTTGAGCATTTCTACTGATGAGAAACTCACTACCCCCAATTGCAGCTCATTCAACTTTAAAATTGCTGCTTTTTGAATCACTGATTGTGAATATTAATTTAAAAAAATAAGTAAGAAAATGTTTTAAATGTGCTGCCTCTTTAAAAGGTCTCCTCTTTGTGCAACCAAAACCCACCTCTCTAGAATACAGTTTGTATAACTGAAGCTATAATTTCATACCATGAGTGCTGCTGTTAGCAATAATAATCATGCCCGGATTTTATTAACAACAGAAGCTGTTGCTCGTATGAAAAAACAAACATTAGTTCTAATAAACATCTGCATTGAGTCAAAGCTCCCTGTTTGTTTGTATGTCTTTTATGCACTGATGATTATAGTGAGTTGCTTTCATTTACCAACATTTTGTTGTATTCGTGTAGGATCACTGTACCATGAAGGGAGAGAGACTATGATGGGAAGATTGTTGTAGATACAAAAGCATGTCTTAGGTTTTTGGGTCAGTTCTGTTTAAATACCTGTCCTATTATTCCTGTAAATTATCAAAATATCCCAGAATGTCAATGTTTCTGCATCCACATTACAATTATTAAATGCCACTCATTTATTAAATTTACTATTATCAGTGGCATTTAATAAATTTGAATCATATGTTCAGTGTTTGGTTTAGAAAATATGGTGCCATGTCTATGAGTGGCCTGTTCTGGATTGGAGTACATGCCTTCTTTCTGCCTTGAGTTAATCTTACTCAATGGAGAACAAGAATCAAAGAAACACCACCACCAAGAAGCCCTTCAAGCTAGAGTTGGGCAAGAGTCAGGGAGGGGAATGTAGACCACTCATATGACAGAGGTGGAAACCAATCTTGGTCTAGAATAAGTCTCAAAATCAAAAGACTTGAATTCTAGTGCAGCGTAGGTTGACTCCCTTATTTATTTAATTTTCCCATCTCTACACCGCTAGAATAACCTCTCTCCTGAGGCTGTTGAATCTGATGAATTAGCAGATAGGAAAGAACTTAGAAAATTATAAGTTCACTCAAATGTAAAAGGTTATATGGGAAATAATCACCACTAACATTTTTGAGTACTTACTATCTGCTTGTTATACACATTCTCTAATTTAATTTTCACAAGAAAATTCATGAAAGGACTATACTTATCCCCCTTTTACAGGTGAGCAACCTGGAGTGCAGTGAAGTGTAAAATGTGGGCCGACTTAGGAGCACAAATACCCCAGCAACAATGAGCACTCTTAGTACACAGGTCTTGGTTTCTAAAATATCATCATCCGATAAAAGGAACACAGGCTCTTTGAAGAAATGACTGATTCCGGGATTGGGGCAAGAAACACACAAGCTGAGACTGGAGCATCTTGCAGTCCCAGAAAGTGAAGAAACGCTGAGGATATGTCAAAGGGACACAGGAGCCAAATGAAAGAGCTTCCACTGGCCAAAGCTGGAATGTTGAGCAACAAAGCAACATAGCATTGGATAATAACCCAAAGTATAAAATAAATATTCATGAGTACATACTTATGTGACTAAATTATTGAACAAATAAATCAACTGGAAGAATAGACCAATCTCCCCTTGAAAAAATGCAAAATCGTGCATCCCTCCAGAGATGCAGCATGAGTCCCCATCCCTTAAGTGTTGGCAGCACATAGTGATTTCTTTCCAAAGAATATAGTATAAAAGGTGGGGCAGGACACAATCATTCTGCTGTGCAGAAGCCTGATAAACACTACCTCAGCCGGGTAATCAAGGTTAATACAAAAGTGTTAAGTCACATGGATGCTATGTGACTTTGTGTGCCATGATGAAAATGGCTTTGTACCTCTGTGTTCTTCCCTCCAAATCCCATAACCCCAGGCTAATCATGAGAAACACATCAGGTAAATCCCAACTGAGGGACATTCTACCAAGTACCTGACCAACCCTCATCAAAACTGTTAAGGTCATCAAAAACGGGGACATTCTAAGAAACTATCACAGCCAAGAGGAGCCAAAATGGGAAAGATATGTTAAAGTCCCACCCCCCGGTACCTTCGAATGTGAACTTATTTGGAAATGGGATAATTGCAGCTGTAATTAGTTAAGAAAAGGTCATACTAGAGTACAGCGGGCCCTTAATTAATCCTATAGGACGGGCATCCTTATAAGAAGAGTAGGCCAGGCACGGTGGCTCATGCCTATAATCCCAGCACTTTGGGAGACCAAGGCAGGCAGATCACTTGAGGTCAGGAGTTCAAGACCAGCCTGGCCAACCTGTGAAACCCCATGCATACTAAAAATACAAAAATTAGCCAGGCATGGTCGTGGGTGCCTGTAATCCCAGCTACCTGGGAGGCTGAGGCAGAAGAATCACTTGAACCCGGGAGGCGGAGGTTGCAGTGAGCTGAGATCACGCCACTGCACTCCAGCCTGAGCAACAGAGTGAGACTCCTTCTCCACAAAAAGAAAAAAAAAGAAAAGTAAAGACACAGAGACACAGACACGTGAGGGAGAATATCATGTCTTGATGAAGGCAGAGATTGAAGTTTTGTAGCTACAAGCCAAGAAATGCTAAGGATTGCCAGCAAACCAGCAGAAGCTAGGAACAGGTGAGGAAGGATTCTCTTCTACAAGTTTCAGAGGGAACACCCTGACTGCAGACTTCTAGCCTCCAAACTGTGTAATAATAAATGTCTGTTGTTTTAAGCTACCCAGGTTGGGCAGCCCCAGGACACTAATACAGAACCTAAGGAGATATGACAAATAAATGTAATGTGATATCCTGGATGGGATCCTGGAAAAGACAAAAACATCAGGTGAAAACTAAGGAAATCTGAATAAAATTTGGACTTTATTTAATAATAACGTATCAATCTTGGTTCATTAATTGTGAGAAATGTACTAAACAAATATAAGATGGTAATAATAGAGGAAACTGGTGTAGTATTCATCAGAACTTCCTGTACCATCTTCACAACCTTCCAATACTTCTCAAAACAAAAATGTCATTTAAAAAAATGTGACCCAAGATCTCTCAGCTAGGAGATGGAGAAACCAGGATTTGAAACCAGTTCTGATGGACTCTGGAGCCTAATCCCTTAACTCTAACACCAATGGCTCTCAATCAAGGCTACACACAGGCATTACCTGGGGAGTTTAAAGAAATGCCAATGTCTGTGTCTCAACCACAGAGATCCAAATATGATCAATCTAGAGTAAGGCCTGAGCACTGGGATTTTCTAAAGATCCACAGGTGATTCTAATGGACATGCAATTTGAAAGTCATTATTATAGGCTCTCCCACCAGTGTGCAACCTCTGACTTAGGTCACTCAACCAGCAAGAGACAGAGATGAGATAGATTCCCTGATATTGTAGCCCGTGGTCCAGAACTATTTTGTGACTCTCAGTAGCAACACCATTGCTAAGACCTTTCTGCACTAGTGTTTTCTGGAAAGAATGGTACTGTTTTACCTTGCAGTAGTAAACCAAGAGGAGGAGGAGCATCCCAGGCAATGGGGAGTAGCATATGAGAAAGCGGAGATATGAAAGGACACCAGGCATTTGTGGAAAACTGAATGATATAGTCCCTAGAGAGACAGACAGTTTGGGAGAAAGAACATCACACCATTTGGGAAGATCTCTATGTGCAGGATTATAAAAAGCCTTGAATACACAGCTTGCTTTTGGGAATAGGGAGCCATCTAAGGATTTTAAACCAAAGAGAGATGTGATCAGCTTTCCCTTTCAAATGAGGCATTAAATGCAGTGAACTGAGGGAGACTCAAGATGGCTACAGTACATTAGGCAAGAGACCTAATGGTCCTGAACGAGGCAGGCCAGCTTACAGGGAGGAGAGGAATCTCCTTCTGGGGGCTCTGAGAACCTAGGGCTGGGCTTAGAGAAGTCACTTTTAACAGATTCTCAACCTCTGTTAACACTTCACAGTGAATTAGTAGAGAAGTAGAGAGAAAAGAGGGCAGAAACCAAAACCCAAAAGCAGAAATCGTTTCCCAGGTCCCTGGTCTTTCTGTGACCCACTGGTACCAGCACTTGTCCATAGAAAGGAAGCCATGGGTTCTCTGAACTTGAGGGAAGGAGACAAACAGTGCCTTTGCAACAATTTCCTGTGTTGGCATTTTTTTTTTCAAGAAGAAAAGAAAAATGTCATTTGAATGCAGAAACACAAGCTCAATTCCTAGCAATGAGCTTCTGATAATAAGGAAAAAGAACCAGGACCATTTCAACACCTAGGCAGATCACAAAGCCACCAAGGGAGTCTTCTCTGAGGAATGGGGTATTAGGATAAAGCAGTGTGATGACAATGGGAAGGTGTGTGGGGCCTGGACGGTACCCAGGGTGAGTGTCTGAATGACAAACAGATCAGCATGGGCAAAAACATGTCTTCCCTGCCAGCATCTTTCAGTCCCAAAGGAGACCTCTACAAAGTCAGAGGTTATGATACCCCAATGGATACCAACAGGCCAGCACCAACCAGAGCAAGCCTGGGGATCCGAAGGTCACAGTGTAGATGTAGACCAGGCCTGTGGTCTCAGAAGATGCTGACCTAGTTTGAAAGTGAGGACTCTCTTCTCCCCTTGGGCTATTTGTCCTGTGACGTTATCCCATCTTGCCCATCGCCTGGGACCATCTGGTTTATTTAATCCCTGCCAGTTAAATGCTCATGTGTGGCCCAGGCCTGCCAGTGGGATCCAAGACAACAGAATCCTTCTTTTAACAACTCTGACAACATCTCCCTTTGGTCTGAGTTTGCATGTCTGACGCCCAAATCCATGATAGCAGTCTGGGCCTCCCACCAAGTCTTTTCATTTGAGTGCATTTTAAAGTTATGAAGTACTTCAAGTGCACTGAAAAAAAAATAGAGACAAAAATCCACCTCCTGCTCAGATTCGATGAAACAATGTGTCCCATGCAAGGGACATCAGCAAGATTCCAATACGAGAAGTAGCTGGTGCCATGAGAGAGAAGGAGCCTTGGGCCAGTAGACAGAGCTCTGAACCTGGTTGTGAAGGCCTGGATTCCAGTCCTCACTCTGCTCCCAAAGCTCTGAAAGCCCCAGGGAATCCTGCTCTCTGTGCCTCAGTCCCCACAGTCTCCCTGTTAGTTTCTCCTTATTTTTCCAACCTCTCTACATGGGGATTCCCTGGGCTCAGCTCTTTGGCCTCTTTTCTTTCCTCTCTACCCTCACTCCCTAAATAATCTCATCTAGGCTTATGACATTTAAAACCACCTAAATGCTGATGGCTCTCCAATTTCATCTCTAGCTTGGGCACCTCCTCTAAACCACAGGCGTGATATTTCAACTGCCACCTTCGCATTTCTCATGTTTAATGTCTAACAGAATGCCCATGTCCAAAACTGAGGTCCTCATATTGCCCCAAAATTTGTTCCTCACGGCCTTCCTCATCTCAGAAAGTAGACACTCCATTCTTCCAGTTGCACAGGCCAAAAATCTTGGGGCGTCTTTGACTCCTCTCTCTCTCATACTGCACATCTGAGTCACCAGCAAATCCTCTCAGCTCCACCTTTAAAGTACATCCAGACTCAACCACAGCTGCTACCACCCTGGAACGGGTCACTACAGCCTCTTGCAAGGAGTACTGCAGGAGCCTCCTGGCTAATATTTCCTCTTTCATTCTTGTATCTCTATGGTCTGTTATCAACTGGGTGACAGTAAATTGGGTAACATCACCCTGCCACTCAACTTCTCCAGTGGCTTCCTATCTAATTCAGATTAAAAACCAGTGTTCTGACAGTGACCTGATCCCCGTTACCACTCTGGTCCTACTGCACACATTAGCCTCCTCATGTATGAACATTTCAGGATGCTCCTGCCTCAGGGCCTTGGCACCTGCCATTCCTCTTATTTGTTTCCTTCATCTTTTTTTTCCCCCAGTGTCATCCTCTTAGTAAGGCCTTCCCTCACTACCCAATTTAGATTGTAACTTCATTCCCTACCTTTCCTATCTCCCTTGCCTACTTTGTTCTTCTTCTTAGTATGTAACCCTATCTAATATACCACACATCTCAACTTACATTGTGTATTGTCTAGCTCCTCTATCCACAATAACAGCAATTTAGTAGCTCTTCTCTGCCATATCCCCAAGTGCCTAGAAAAATATCTGACACATAATATGCACTCAATAAACATCCATTAAATGAATGAATCTTGAAAATAGGGAATATTTTACGACATTCTGTAAATATCATTATGACCCTATTAAGATGGTGATGTAGGATTATTGAGCTTGTTTTAAAAGAAGTGAAAGGATAAGAAAAAGACGGAAATTTCATCACTATCACCCAAGTTCTTGTATAAAACAACACCTCTCAAGGTAACTGCCTTTAAAAACTTGAATTCCTTTAGAGAAAAGTCAGAGAGTAAGACATATGTTTGTTTCCAGATAAGAAAGGGAAAGAAAGATGTTATGAAGGTTTCAGATAAGAGGGTCAAACACCAAATCAACCTAGGCAGACTGAAATCCTGGGGTAACAATCAGATGACCTGTTGGAAGGGTCAGGGTTAGGACACCATTCCAAATTCCCCTCCTTCCCCAAAATAGGGCTAAGTAGCAGTTTGTGATTAAGGTCAAAGCTGGCAGAGACCCTTCGGGCACTTTATCTGATTGCTTTACAAATAAGGAAACTGATATCTAGGGGAGAGGAAAGACTACGTCGCCCAAGGCCAGCAGCCTAGATAATGGTTAAACCAGGTCTGAAACCAAGGTTTTCTGACTCCAAGGCCAATGAGCTCTTCTATACCACAACCACTAATGCAACCACCTCTACAGGACTCTGTAACAGCATAGTCATATAACAGGCGGATTTCATTTCCCTGGTGCATGTGGCAGTACCCAAGCAATGCCAAAAATGACTCCAAAGGAAATTCCTTAGCTAGGAGTCCCACAGAGAACCAGAATGGGACTTGGAAAAGAACTAAATTCCTCTGGAGTATTCCAGCCAATGGGAAGGGAGCCCAGAAAATTACTGGTGTTTTCTGTTTAAAGAGATGTTTTTAAACAGCTATCTTTGAAGAATGAAGAGTGACCATCGTGCTTCTGGAAAAATGAAATCATTGCTTTGAAATAAATATGAGGGAAGAAAATAAATAACTCTACAGTTAATAAATAAACCATTTCAAAGCTGCAAAATTAACCCTTGCCTTTTTTTTTTTTTTTTTAAGTATTTACCAACCAAGCTTAACTGAAATCATAGAGAAGGAAGAGCCTTTCAGGACTCAAAGAGGAAGCTGCAAATTAGAAGGGAAAGAGGATGAAAGAAGAGCATGAGCATTCAGTGAGCATGTGCCCTATAGCAGGCATTATCGTAGACAGAGTATTCTTTATTCCTGGCAATAGCCCTCCAAGGCAGATAGGATTATTTCCATTTTGATGAGGAGGAAAATGAGGCTTGCTTGAGGTTACAGAGCTGGTAAGTAGCAGAACCAGCACTCAAGTGTTTTCTGACCCCAAATTTCATGATCTTCTCTTACCCCATGATATACAATGCTAGTCAAGTTTCCTAATTTCTCTGGGCTTCAATTTCTCATCTGCAAAATAAGGGCCCTAGCTCAAAGCATCTCTAATTTGTCTTATAGCTCTGATAGTCTATGGACTTACTATGTCGGACATATTCCTTCCTTGGCAGTCCTCTCAGTTCTCAGGGCTCCTGAACCCCAGAAGGAATCCTCCCATTGAGCTGGTCCTCTGTCAAGATGGGCATGAGGAAAGCAATAGAGATAACAATTTTTCTCAACCCTACACCAAGAATTTCAGCCTCTGGAACTATAATTCAGTGCTTGTAGTTCTCTTCCTGGCTTGAACATCAAGACAAGCAAACAAAAGCTCCAGTGGGAGAGGCCCAGGATCCAGGAATTTCCCTGAGGAGTTTATTTATAACACATAAGATACATCTAACAAGTTCATTATGTGGCATGTGGCAATGTGTGCAAAGAAAGAACTATCACAGAGAAATCTTTGCCAAGACAGAAGCAAAGCCCATGAGCAAACCCAGAATTCCCCATCTGCAGCAAGTATAAGAGGCAGTAAGAGAGGCAGGTGAGGCCTCCTTAGATTGAAACATCTTCCTAGCAGATCAGGAAGAGTCTTGGGAAACAGTTCTGGACTAAAACTAGGTGAGACTTGGATGCTTTGCTCTACCATCACCTGACAGTAGGCCCCGGGGTTAGTTACTCCCACACTCTCACCACATTTTGTCATTTTTGAAATGAAGTGATTGAGCCTCTAATGGTTCTTCCAACTCTAACATCCCATGACTCTGTAAATACTTGCTTCCCTAAGTAGACTTTGAGAATCATAAAGTCTTGCAGTTGGAAGGAGACCCTATGAAATGGAAAGCAGAGGGAAATATACTTGTTCTTAGCAGGAGCATCTATTCTATTCTTGAATGGATAAAATGAAGAGGAAAGAGTGTAGGCTGGAAACGGAATGAGTTGGAATTAGCCTGGCAAAGAGAAAAGAGGAACAGATGGAACAGCATGTGTGAGGTATCATTATGGCCCTGCGTGGAGGCCGGGTTGTAGGAAGACAAGAACAGGGAGAACAGTTGAGTGTGTTGCAGTGAAATGGCAGACGAGGCAGATCCAAACCCATGTTCCCCTCATAGAAACATTAAAACAACCAGAAACTCAATGAAATTAACTTTATAGGAGTGTTGGAAAATGGTAAAAGGTCCACAGCAAAGAAGTGAAGGCTCAGTCAAGAAAAAGCCACATTCAAAACATCAGGAAATTCATGGTGTTTTTACTCACCCTTGACCCACACTTTCCCTGGTGTGGCACAGGGAGATGCAGCAGCCCATGCCCAATATCCTCCTTTAGAACAGAAGGAGCAGATCAGACCTTATTTGCAATGTTTTAACATCTTTGTGGGGCTGCCTGGAGGGCTAATCTCCCTCTTTAACCTAGGGTCGCAGGCATGGGAGTCTGCTTTAAAAAGCTCCACAGACACCTGTGGCGAGACATTACAGGTGGAGCTACACAATAGATCATCTAAGACCCAGAGGAGAAGCTGGAGTGAGACTCTGGGAAATGAAGACATTCAAAAGCAGGCCTGTATACTGGGAAATTGAAAAAGCCATAGGCCCAGTCAAGATGCATGCTCATAAAAGAACTGAAAAGACTTTAAGCTTTCACCTCTGGCTGATCCCTAGGTACAGGGCACGCCCAGCTAATTAGTGAAGGGCTTCTCTGGCACAAAGCCAGTCTGCAAAGACTGGAAGAGGTGGCTATACTCCAAATGCCCCATCTTGAACAACTACAAAATTACCTAAAGAATTGAAAGCAAGAATTCAAACAGATGAATCATTGCCCACTAATGTTTGTGGAAGCATTATTCACAATAGGCAAAAGGTGGAAACAATTCAAATGTTTTTCAATGGATGAATGGAGTTTTAGGTATCCTGTTAGAAGCAACAGAAAACAGACTAAGAGAGAAAATTGCTACCAAGGAGTGGGGTGCTGCTTGTAATGAATACCTGAAAATGTGGAATTGGCTTTAGAATCAGGTAATGGGCAGAGGCTGAAAGAATTTGGAGGAGCAGTCTAGGAAATGCCTAGATTCTGATGAAGGCTTAGAAGACAAAAAGACTAGGGAAAGTTTGAAACTCTTTAGAGACTGGTTAAGTGGTCATGACCAGAGTGCTGATGGAAATATGAACAGTAAAGGCCATTCTGATGAGGTTTCAAATAGAACTGAGGAACAAAGTATTTGAAACTGGAATAAAAGCCATCTTTGTTATAAATTTGCAAAGAACTTGGCTGAACTGTGTCCACACTCAAGAACTCTGTGGAAGGCCAAACTTGGAAGTGATGAGCTAAGGTATCTGGCAGAATAAATTTCTAAGCAAAACAAGCAGCTGCATGGTTACTTTTGGCAGCTTACACTGAGGCTGAGGAACAAAAAAAATAATTGGAAGAATTTATAATTAAAAGGGAAGCAGAGTGGAAAGATTTGAAAATTTATCAGCCTGGCCATGTAAAAAGTGAAAAAGCAAGGATGTAGCCCAGAGGCCATTTGCTAAAGAGATTAGCATGGCTAGAAGGGATCCAGGTGCTATTCCTCAAGACAATGGAAGAAAGACCTCAAAGGCATTTCAGAGATTTTCAAGGCTGCCCCTCTTATCACAGACCCAGAGGCCTAGGAGGGCAGAATGGTTTCAGGGAGCAAGCCCAGGCACTTTCTGTGGGCTTACTGCCCAAGACCACCTCCAGACTCTGTGCCCCAGCACAGTACTCTGAGGACACCCCAGCAAGAACTCAAGCAGGCCAAGGTGTGGCTCATGCTGCAGATCTGGAAGGTAAGTCATAAACCTTGGCAGCATCCACATGGTGCTAATTCTGCTGACTTGCAAGAAGCAAGAGCTGTGGAGGCTTATTAAGCCTTCGTCTAAGTTTCAGAAAATGTCATTGATAACGTGACAGCACAGACAAAGACTTGTCATGACAGTAGAGCCACCACAGAGAGCCTCTACTAGAGCAATGCCAAGCAGAAATGTAGGGTCAGAGCTGCTGTAGAATGTCTTCAGTAGGGCAATGCCTCATGGAGCTCTGGGAATGGAATTCCACCAAGACCCCAGCCTGGAAGAGCTGGGTGGACGGACCCCAATCAAGCTTCAGAGGCAGAGCTGCCCAAGGCTTGTGGGGCCCAACCCCCATACTAGTGTGTAGAAGATGCCAGAAATGGAGTCAAAGGAGATCATTCTGGAGTCTTAAGACCCAATGTCTACTTTCTTGGGTTTCTGAGTTGCTTAAAGCCTGTTACCCCTTCTTTCTTTTCTATTTCTCCCTTTTGGAATAAGAATGTGTACGATATGCTTGTCCCACCATTGTATATTAGAAGTAGATATTTTGTTTTGATTTCACAGGCTCATATATAAGACTTAGGACTTTGAACCTTTAAGTTGCTGCTGGACCAAGTTAAGACTTTGGAGCTATGCAGATGGAATATATGTCTTTGTATGTGGGAAGGACATGAGTTTTTGGGGGCTAGGACAGAATGCTATGGTTTGAGTGTCCTCTCAAAAACTCATATTGAAACTTCATCCCCAATGTGGCAGTATTGAAAGGTGGGGCTTATAAAAGGTGATCAGGTCATGAAGGCTTTGCCTCACAAATGGAGTAATCCATTCATGGATTAATAGGTTAATGGATTAATGAGTTATCATGGGAGGAGAACTGGCGGCTTTATAAGAAAAAGAAGAAAGACCTGAGTGAGCACATTAGCATGCTAAGTCCCCTTGCCATGTGATGCCACCTTGTGATGCCATAAATAGTCCCCACCAGCAAGAAGGCCCTCACTAGATGCAGCACCTCATCCTTAGACTCCTGAGCCTGCATAACTGTAAGAAATATATTTCTTTGCTTTATAAATTACACAGTTTCGGGTATTCTGTTGTAAGAACAGAAAATGGGCTAAGACAAAATAAATAAACAAAATGTGGTATATACATTCAAGGAAATACAATTCAACCTTAAAAAGGAAGGAAGTTGCGATACATGCTTTAATATTACATACCTTGAAAATATTATGCTAAGTGAAATAAGCCAGATGCAGAAGGACAAATATTGTGGCTACTATGCCACTGGAAACATGAAGTCATTGCTTGAAATAAATATGAGGGGAAGAAAATAAATGACTCCCTATATATTAAAGTAAACTAGGTAAAATAGTCAAACTCATAGACAGAAACTTGAATGGTGGTTGTCGTGGGGCTGTGAAATGATTTGATAGTTTCAGTTTGGGTTGATGAAACGGTTCTGGAGATAAACAGCAGTGATGGTTACACAGCAATGTGAATGTACTTAATGTCACTGAATTGTGCAATTAAAAATAGTTAAAATAAAAAATCTTATGGAACACCAGAGGGAAAACATACTTTAGAATCAGTTAGGACATGTTGACTTTGAAATGCCTGTGAAACAGTCAAACAGAGATGTCAAGGAGAACATAAATGTAAGAAGTCAAGAAGAAAATTCATGCCTTGAGATGTATATTTGAGTCATTAGCATACAGATATTAAAGAACACTCAGAATAGATTCAATCAGCCAGAGGACATGGACAAATATGAGAAGATCAAAGAGACTAAGACTTGGAATTGGAGCCTAAAGAATACCAACATTCAGGAGGCAGGCAGAGGCAGAGAAACCTGTAAAGAAAAGAGGAAGGAGACAGAAAAGCTGAAGGTAAATCAGGAGGGTGCATGTCCCTGAAACCAAGTAAAGCAAGTGTTTGGAGATGGTCAATAGTGTTGAACTCCTGTGAGAGGCCAAGAAAAATAAGGTTGAAATGTGTTCATTGTATGTAGCCATAAGATGCCTGATTGTGAGCTGGATGAGGACAATTTCTGCAACATTGTGGGGTGAACGTTAGCCTGTAGAATTAACTGGAAGTGTAAATGTGGAGGCAGCCTATGAACAGTCCTTGAAACATCTCATTGTAAATGGAAGGAGAAAAGGCAGGATTTGGCTGGGCGTGGTGGCTCATGCCTGTACTCCCAGCACTTTGAGCAGCTGAGGCAGGTGAATCACCCGAAGTCAGGAGTTTGAGACCAGCCTGGCCAACATGGGAAAACCCCGTCTCTACTAAAAACACAAAAATTAGCTAGGCATGGTGGCGGGCACCTATAATCCCAGCTATTTGGGAGGCTGAGGCAGGAGAATCGCTTGAACCAGGGAGGCGGAGGTTACAGTGAGCCAAGATCATGCCACTTCACTCCAGCCTGGGTGAAAGAGCGAAACTCCATCTCAAAAAAAAAAAAAAATAGAAGAAGAAAAGGCAAGATTTGTAGGGGAATGTGTGGGGTTGACGCAGGTGCTTCAGCACAGAGAACAGAGAAGTTGAAGGTCCAGGGAGAGGGCAGATGGAGCTCTGGTCTGAGCTTTCATCGTCAGAGTTGACCCAGTGGAGAAGTCCTGGTGTATCAGCCAGAGTCCTTTGGTTGAAACACACAGAGATGGCAGCTGATTTAAGCATAAAAGGGAAAGTATTGAAAAGCTATGGGGAAAGTTCGCAGAATCAGAAAGAGTGGAGAACAAGTATCAGCAAACGACAAAATTTGGCCATGCTGTAGAGACCATCCTGGCTAACACGGTGAAACCCCGTCTCTACTAAAAATACAAAAAAATTAGCCACGCTTGGTGGTGGGAGCCTGTAGTCCCAGCTACTCAGGAGGCTGAGGCAAGAGAATGGTGTGAACCCGGGAGGTGGAGCTTGCAGTGAGCCGAGATCGCACCACTGCACTCCAGCCTGGGCGACAGTGCTAGACTCCATCTCAAAAAAAAAAAAAAAAAAAAAAAAAGAAAAAATTGGCCATGCAGGAGATATGAATAGGAAAAACAATAGAAACAATTTTACAATTATGTCGGGGGCCACCACTGGAATTGATAGGCTCCATCCGTTTTTAGTGTTTTTATCACTTTGCTTATCATTGAAATTCCAATCAACTTCTCTTAGGGCATGTGCTCCTTGCTTGGGAGTTGAGGGGAGGTGCAGAGTTCTTTGATATGCCACCACGTTATATTGCATGGGGTACAGGTAATTCCCGGAAAAGGAAGTCAGAGTGCTATTTTTAAAGGATGTGGAGTGGATGCTGGGCCCCCAGAAAGAAACCCAACCAGAACAGGACTGCAAAAGTCAGAAACTGGAAATTGTACCTTGAGAAAGTCAGAGCAAGGACACTAACCTTGTCTTCTGATACTCTTTCAGTACTTATTCATTCATGTTTTCATTCAATTAGTGTACCACAACCCAGAGTGGAGGGAAGTTAACATCCTATGGGGCAACCTTCAGCTATTGGAAGACAGGAGCCAGGGGATAGATAGCCCTTTACTCCCAAGTGATCTGGAGATGCATTTCATCCGGCTTCTCAGATGGTTTTCTGGGACTGAACAACCCTTCACCAGCGGAGATGGCCAACTTGACAAGACCTCCTTCCATTGGATTTCCCTCCTGCTTTGCTGTGCTCCCTCTGCCTTACTCCAGCTTTCTGAGGTCATGCTCCCCAGTCAAATACTATCACATAAACCTCTGCCTTGACTTCTGCTTTCTGAAAACACAGGCTAAGGTAAGCGCAAGGCGAACCAGGAGCGAGAGGGTGGGGTGGGGGAACAGGTGACAGCATGAAGTAGAAGGCCTGAGAAGAGCATCTGAGTTGAGACTTGAGCCAACACTTGAGGGAGGTCACAAAGTGAGGCAAGTGAATTTCTTGGGAAAGACCATTCCAGGCAGAGGGAACAGGTAGAATAAGGCCCTAAGCACATACATGCCTGTGTATTTGGGGAACAGCAAAGAAACCAGGGTAGCTACAGAAATGAGGGCAAAGAGTACTAGAGGATATCAGTAACACGGCTGAAGCCACACCACGTTTGGCCTTGCAGGATTTGGCTTTTACAGAACACAAAAGGGAGCACAAGAATGGCAGGATCTGACTTAGGTTAAAAGGATTGCCCTGGCTGCAGTGCTGAGAAAAGATCTGTATGGGGAATAGGAAACATCCTCCCCTGTGGGATCCCACTTGTGAGAACCAGAACCAGAAAGTGAAAAAATTCAAACCCTTTTGAGGGAGGCTTAAAAGGAAAAAGTCTTCTTTAAAAGGCAGAACTATCCAAAGATGGCATGAGCTGCCTTGGGTGGTAATGATCTCCTGTCACTGGGGGTGCTCAAATACAGGCTGGAGAACTTGTCATTGGAAAGTGTGTAAAAATGCTTTATATGGGCTAATACAGGATGGCACAAAGACAGACTTCAGAATGCTTCATATCATAAGAGCATCTAAGACCCAGAGAGAATAATGACCCCCCCAAAAGTCCCAGCAGAACCCAATTAAAATAAAATGAGGACCCACAGCTCCCAATGCAGTGTTCAGGCCCCTTCACATGACCCCATGCTATCATCTTAAAACAAAACAAAAATAAAAACAAAACGCCGTCCCTACTTCAAGTACCTTAATTTAAACTGATTTGCTCTGGGATATGTAAGTTCAAGACATAGAAAGAATGAGTGGTGAAGTGAGAAGGAGACTCCGAATATCGTCACAAGCATAATATGCTAGAGAGGTGAGGATCTGGCTGGAGATGGCTCAGCTTATTGGTTCATTTATTCATTCAATACATTTTTATTGAACATTTGTTATGCATTCAATAGAGGTGAATGAAATCCATGGAGTCTATGCTTTTTGGAACTTACATCCTAGCAGGGATGAGTAATTATAACAAGTTTTATGAGTGTCCCAGCAAGGGTGGCAGAGCTCAGTGACAAAGACTCTCAGAGCAGAACACAGCCATTGTAGCAGCAAACCTGCAGGAGCAAGGGAGTGTGAGGGACGGTGAACTCCCCAGAGCACAGGCTGGGGGTGAGTAGGGCAGCTAGAGAAAGGGAAGCCGAGCCCCAGTCCTAAAGAATCCAGGGCAAATCATCAAGGAAGATCTCAGGGCTCATTTTTCATAAAACTAGATGCAAAAGGAAGTCTATCCCTCAGTTAGAAGGCATTACACCAGGCAGTACAGGTCGATCACCTGGGTGTTTTATTCTAATTCAGATGCTCAGGTCCCACTTCCCCCAAATTTTGATCCCATTGGTCTGGGGTAGAGGCTAAGTACTTATATTTCTTTAAAATCTCCCCAGAATTTCTGAAGTACAGCCAGGGCTGAAAACTTCTGTAGCAAGCAGAGATGTCTGAGAAACCAGAGAGCACCCCCTATATTCCGCTGCACCCACAGTATTCATTTCTTCCTCTAGTCTGCATATTCTGAACACCTACTGTCTAGCAAGTAAATCAGGACTTGCTAGATAGCAGGTGTTCAGGATATGCGGACTAGATGAAGAAATAAATACTCTGTGAATGAAGTAAAGGAAGCCATCGCTGCTTACTTGAATTCGAGCCAGGATAGGAGTAAAACTGACCTTATGCTGATCCCCTGAATGACTGACTTCCATCCCTCCTGACTGTGGACGAGACTGGCCAAAAACTGGAGCTAGATAGAGCCTTATGTGGCAGTGGGGTCAGGGGGCAGAAGGGAGAAAAGGGGAGACAGGGTGGCGGGATGGAGGGGACCAATAGCTCATTACAGATCTGGGACAGTGGGGGAATCTCAAACACACATTAATGACTACTAAGCCTTATGGAAGATATCCTGTCTTTATTAAAGTGTCCCATCTTTATATAAGTGACCCCCTTCCTCCATCACTACAGATGATGGTGACTTTCTATTAAAGAGGAGAGTAGTCAAGTTTTTAACAGAGGTGGGGTAAATGAGGCCCCTCAAAAGTGCAGCTTGCTGCCTGTCCCCACCAATTCCATTCCAGACCCCCCACTGTCAGAAAGTGTCTCCTCCCATTTCAAGCCATATCACATCTCATTTTAGAGCCTTGTAAGGTTCTCCCACATATCTGTGCACTTCCCCATGGACAAAGCATTTTACATCTTTAACGCCCTCTCTCTTGCTGAAGATACCCCATCCCTGTGGCTTTAGGGGGACAGCTGATCTTTGGCAAGAGGCCTCATGCTTGGCCAATGTGAGAAAGCCATTCAACTATAATTTCAGCAAAGAACCCAGGAGGCCAGGCCCCTGCTCCTGAATTCTGGCCATCAGCACTGCTGAGAATCTGCTAGACTTGGTCCCCGAACTCTGAAGACCCTCCATTATAATGCCTCCCAGAGATTTTGTGCTTTGCTTCTAAAACTCTGTCTTCTGAACCTCCCCTAAATTCTCTGCCAGTTAATACGCAGTGGGTGAGAAGCCTAACTCTATGAGACCCCACCCCAACCACCATCTTTCAGGCAGGCAGACCCCAGAATCTGCCCTGAGTGGAAAGAAGCTGGAATCTGAGAAACAAAAAAAAGAGACCCTGTGTACCTGGCAGCAAAGGAACAGCCTGATCTCCCACCTCTTGCACTTCAAGGGAAACCTCTGCTGCGTGTGTGAAGGCAGAATCACGGATGAGGCTCACAGGGTGGGCAAAGAAGCTAATTTAAGGCTGCAGCTAGAGAAAGTGGGAGATCATGAGGGGCAGGGGTGAGGGACTAATAAGAGCAAGGTCGAGCTCATTACTGTGGAAAGCCCTTTTGAGATCACCCAGTCCTCTAATTTTCAAACTTTTTAAAAGTAGTTAAACTTTTTTTTTTTTTTTTTTTGGTACAAAAATCTTAAATGGAACCCTATCTAAAGTAAAGCTGTTCTGATCGAAGCAAGAGGAGGAGGTAGGAGTTGGAGGATGGGTGTTTAGATCAGGAGTTGGAGACACCCACTAGCTTAGCCTACTTTCCAAATCCAAAAGTCCCTGAGGCACCTACGCAGAACTTTGGGGTCCTGGGTTTCACTATGATAAACCAATGATCTTGCCCAAACCCTGAGTTTTATAGATGGAAAAACTGTATAATTTGTCCAAGATCCCCACTGAGTCAGTGACATCACCAGCGCTAGAAGTTTACACTATTCTCAACCCACGTCTCTCCTCTACCCTCGCATCAGCTAACTGGCACCCTCGACAGGCTCTGGGCCCAACCACGGAATCTTATACGGAGCTACGGAAAGAGAACTGCAGGTAGATGATCAGCAGCAGGACCGTGGCCCAAAACAAGCACCAGGGGATAGAGCAGAAGTTCCAGCCTGAGCCCGTCTGGTCCTGCGACTTGGTGGGGCTGGGCGCCCGGGAGAAGGTGTAGGTGGTCGCCTCCTCCTCCAGCAGCTTCTCGCTGGGCTTCCAGTGCACGATGCCCTCCTGGCAGGCCTCGCAGAACTCTCCGCGGTGCCGCCGGTTGTCCTGGCGGCTGGCCACGTGGATGCGGTACTGGCCGCCACGCTCGCCGTAGCACTGCTCGCGCAGGCTGGTGATGAGGTTGTCCACCAGGCCCTCGATGTTCTCCTCCAGCATGCTGGACTCGTCCAGCCGCGCCGTGCCGCACTCATAGCACAGCTGCTTGAAGACGCGCATGCGCACCGAGCCCGCCCGCTGGGCGCGGTCCAGGAACATGTGGAAGAGGATGACCACGTAGGGCGACTGCCAGGTGTGCCAGCACCAGGAGCAGTGGAACCTGCGGAGACGGGAGGAGAGGGAGGAATAGAAGACGGGCGGAGGTGGTGGAAACAGCCCTAGGAATGGCGTGAGGGGACGTGGAGGCTAAGCAGAGCCTGGAGGTGGAGGAAGTGTGTTGCCGGCGCCCTGGGTTCATTAGCTTTCCCCAGGAAGCCACTCAGCCTTGCAAGTGCCCCTAGGACTACAGCAGGTTCCTCAGGATGTCACCGGGCATCCAGCAGTGCTCTACCTCCTCAGTGCTTTCCAGAGGCCTAACTCCCACCACCCCAGCATTGGGCGTCATTCTTATTCCTCATGGGCAAAATGCGCTTGGTGCACTAGGTGAGTCCTTCCTTCTCACACCAGATAAGAAACACATAATCCATCTGCACATTTCTATCTGTTAACACTGACTGTGAACAGGCTAGATCCAAATTAGGAGAAAATGACACCATTACTAGCTATCAACGTCCAGGCCAGTGTCAGAGTTAATGCATCACAAGGCCTGGAGGTGGAGGCAGTCTGTGCCCAGATCCCCAAGGCCTGTAGTCTCCCAGGCCTGACTGGGGCCAGCTGGGGATTACAGGTCCCCAGCCAGGTCTGGGGCAGCCACAAGCCCTCCCCACTCAGCCCCCACAGCCTTCCAGGTCTTCAAGAAGCTCCTGATCCTGCCTGTAAGTGTCCAGCCCTTGACACCCCTCCTGTCAGCCAGTTTAGGAGCTTCACATTTTCATTCTCTTCTTGTTCACACATCTTTTGGGGACTGTTTCCTCTCTCAGACCAGACTACAAAACCTGGATTGAAAAATGTCGTAACTAGAGGGACCTGGAAATCACCTAATTAATGTTTTCTTTTATGCTGAGACAGAGTGAGAGAGGCATCCATGTACACACAGCTAGAGGCAGAACCGGCGCCCAGCACGTAACAGGTGCCCAGTAATGTTTCCTGAATTGAAGTGAATTGGCTGAACCAGGGCAAGCAGGAAGGCCTTGCTTCTGACTTCCAGGCTGCACCACTCAGCCTCCCCATCTTATGTCTCAAAGGTAAGCCCCTACACTCTGGACCCATGAACAAGAGTGCTAGAAATTCATCTCAGATAGTTTTTACATACTAATCACCTAGAACTCTTCTTGAAATCAGATTCTGATTCAGATCTAAAAGGGGCCCAAGATTCTGCTTTCTTAACAAATTCCAGGTGATGCCGATCCTGCTGCTCTGTGGACCACAGGCTAACCTCTCACTGTGCAAAAGGAGAAAGCCAGGTCCAAGAAGAAAATCGAGTTCCTCAACAGCCATGGAGCCAATGATAGAGCCAGTTTCTGGCACATCTCATGTATTCAATATTTTAAGTGAAATTAAGTTGAGTTAAATAGATTTAAACCGGTCCCAGGACCAGAGCACGGACGTCTCGACCCCCAGTGGGCCTCAAACCCTTCTTCTCTGGTTTTAAACTACTTTTTAAGAGACTGTTAAAATAGAAAATATGTAAAATGTCAGTGTGTAGGACTCATACGTATATTCTATGTCTTTATTTTCCAGACGGAAAAATTGTGACTCAGAGAGGAAGAGTAACACAGGTGATCAGTAGAAGAGCTGAAATCCAACTCAAGTGTCGTAGTTCCCAGTTAGGGACTCTTTCTCTGACTTCCAGTCTACGCCAGCCTAATAGTGAGATTGAAGCTAAACACTTGGGTTCTACGTAATCTTCCTCTCCTTGGAAGGTGCCCCAGAGCTAGGGACCTAGAGGCGGCCTGCAGGGATCCACCTTCCTGGGCTACTCACCTGCCTGAAGCATGCAATTCCAGGTACTGCTTCCAACCAGGGCTCAGCACATTGTGCTTGAGGTTGGGGTCTATGATGAGGTCCCAGCTGTCAGCCGGCTTTGCCTCCTCCATCTTCTCATAGAAGACTTTCTTCCACTCATCTGTGGTCACGCTTTTACACATGGTCTCGTCAGTAGTGAGGGAAGGCAATTTCCACCTTAGTGAGAACACGGAGAGTGAGGGTAGGTGCAGGGCAGGGCAGCGCAGTCTCCACGGTCTAAAAATCCTCATCGACAAGACCAGGAGGAAGCAGGACCCAGCTCCCTCCTTTGTCCGCAGTGGAACCTGTTTCCACGGCAACCAGGCAGGTTGCCAGAAGACAGAGCTTGGGGAGGAGGGAGTCTCTGAAGAGGTGTTTCAAGGCCCTGAACTGAGATTGCAGAGGCAGAGTTTGTGGGTCTAAATGATCCAAGACAGAGTGGGGGACCTGACCAGAGATTGAGCTTCAGACCATCTCACCCTGGCCTGGAAAGAGTATGGGGAGGTGAGGACTGGGAACTGGCTCAGTTTCACCTTGCCGTCCCCTGGAGGCATCATCAGCATCTGGCTGCTACGGTAACCATGATGCCTTAGGCAGCCAAGGAGAAATGAGGGATGGGGAGATGTAAATTTGTTAGTAGATGGAGCAATAATAATAAACTCTCTCTCGGCTTCCCCAGCCATCTTGTGACCAGCACTTTGCCATTTTCAAAACACAATTGGAGGTCTCTTAAGTTATGATTACTATTGCTGCAGTACAGATCAGGAGCCTAGGACTCACCTAGCCTATAAATGGCGGAGCCTGTATACAAATTCAAGCTGTTGACCCCAGACCGGTTCATTAATTCATTCATTTCAAACATATCCGAGCATGTGGGTAGGGTTTGCAGACATGTGCCAAGCTCTATGTCAGTGCTTGTAGCTGACTGTGTACTGAATAACTGTGCAATAGGATCCATGCTGCAATGGCCTTGTGCAAGAACAGCCACCTGTGCACAAAGGTAGGAGCATTGCATCAGCCAGGCAGGAGCAGACAAGATTATTTCCAAGCTGATTATAGAAGCGCAGAAGAGGAGCACCACCCACAGGCAAAACAGCCTTTACTATACATGCCTCTGCTGCTATTTTTAATAAATTATTTTTCCTTTTAAAAAATCATATGGGTTTATTCTAGAAAAAATACAAAATATAGATGAAAGAAAAGAGAAGTAAGACTCTTCCATAAAACCCCACCCGAGATGACTACTGTTAACATTACGATATGTACATCCCGCTTACCATTTTTCTGTACATGTACAAGTGTATGTGTGTGTATATACACACACATTCTGTACACCACATACATTCTATATACCACATTGTGACATTTTCAAAAAATAATACGTCATGAATATTTTTCTAGGTCATATTCCGTAGTAGTACATTATGGGCTACCTATATTCTGTTATATGGATAGGCATAATTTATTTAGCCAATCCTGTCTTTTAGGGCATTTTGGTTTTATTTCAGTTTCTCACATTACACTCTTCCCATCTATTTGTATAAACTTGTTGACGAAGCTCATCGCATGCATTAGAAACAACACTTCCTACAATTGGAAAACACGTCTCTTGACTCCACTCTCTCCAAAAGCTTGGTGTGGCTAGCAGAATCTGAGCAGGCTCTTCAAACAGTATGAATTTTGGACAGCCAGCAGATCTTGAAGTTTAGTGATGAAAAAGAGGGACTTAAAATCACCCATCTGATACCAGAAACCATCTTCCAAGTGCTTCTCCTGCCGCTTCATGGATGTTTGATGCCTTGATTTACACTATTTTAACCTCAGTTTATTCATCTTCTCAGTGGGATAATAACAAAACAGTATCTGCTGTGATTAAAAGCAGGGGCTTTAGAATGGCTTGCCTGGTTGTGGTGTTGTTGTTGTTGTTGTTGTTGTTACAGAGTCTCGCTCTGTTGCCCAGGCTGGAGTGCAATGGCACAATCTCGACTCACTGCAACCTCCACCTCCCAAGTTCAAGTGATTCTCTTGCCTCAGCCTCCCAAGTAACAGGGATTACAGGCATGCGTCACCACACCTGGCTGATTTTGTATTTTCCGTAGAGATGGGATTTCACCATGTTGGCCAGGCTGGTCTCAAACTCCTGACCTCAGGTGATCTGCCTACCTTAGCATCCCCAAGTGCTGGGATTACAGGCATGAGTCACCGTGCCTGGCTGCTTTTACAAAAAAAAAAAAATTTCCATATAGACTCATAGGTAGCAATTCTAATGTATATAATCTGTATCTTTTCATCCTAGTAAAAAATACGTGTTAATGTTTTATGTGAATATAATTTTAATTTGCATAGTAACAGCAATCACCATATAGCACTTACTATATAGCAATCACTATACAGCACTTACCTGGTAAGTGCTTAGAAAGCATTGTTCTGGTGCTTTATAAATATTAATTTATTTCATTCAATAACAAACTTGACAGGTAGGTAACAGCAGCAGCAGCTCCATTTTACAGATATGTGAGCTAAAGTCTAGAGGTTAGATAACTTGCACAAGATTTAACAGCTAATAACTAGTTGAACTGGGACTTAAACCTATATGACTGTCTACAAAGCCCCAGCTTTAGCCATTGTGATGCTCAGCGTGGAATCTAGAACATAACATCTGCTAATTAAATGTGTGTTTCTTCATCACTCACGTGGCCGTTACAGACCCCAAGAATTGCAAATGAAGTTTATATCATTTCAGCAAATGGTTCACTGGGGCCCCCCCACACTGAGGCCACATCTCCCCAGAAGAGGGGTGAGTTGTACTTGACCCACCAGGCTCCCTGCTACTGCTGGGGATGCTGCCTCTACTGCCAAACTTAATGAAGCAATGGTGTCCACAGACCCCTGATACTCGGTATAAATATTTTAGAGCTGAGAGAGATATTTAGCTTGAAATCTTACCAAAGAAAATATGGTACAGAAAGTCATCTCTAGGCACAGCAACCCTGTAAAGCCTCAATCATTTGATGCCAGGCATCTTGGCTCAATGGAGAGAGCACTGAACTGGGAGTCAGGAGACACATAGCCCAGCTCTGCTCCTGGCTGACATTGTGACCTTGGGCAAGCCACTAATTTCCCTTGGCCTCAGTTTGTCCATCTGTTCAATGAAGAATTAGGGTAGATGACAAAGGTAAGCTCCCCTCTAACTTCAGTCATGTATGGTTTCAAACAGCTTTATACTTAGAAAACTGAATCCTGGGAGGGCAGGAGGTAGGATGGAGGCCACTGGTTGGAAGAGGGAAGCTTCTAAAGAGGCATGGCAGGTAATGCCTGGAGCCAGGCTCTGTTTCCTGGGGCCTGCTATATAGTTGACGATCTCTGGGGAGGTGCTTCTCTACTAGATTTGTACTGAACACAGCAAGAAGGACAGAAATTAAATATATCAAGCCACTGAACATTAACATTGGAAAACCCATTTTTTATGTAGAGACGGGGTCTTGCTGTGTTGCCCAGGCTGGTCCCAAACTCCTGGGCTCAAGCAAACCTCCTGCCTCCACCTCCCAAAGTGCTAAGATCACAGGCATGCGCCATCTCACCTGGCCGGCATTGGGAAAAACTCTTAAGTTCTTCAGGACCCTTCATTAAACTTTCAGTCCTTCAAGTCAGTATTCTTACCTCTGAATTAAGGCAACCAACACCTAAATAAGTAAACTCGTTTAACAAACCTCACAGATATGATGGGAACTGCCTCAGGTGGGAGTTACTGGCCAAAATGAGAATGGGGGCTGTGGACCTTCCCAGAAAATACGTGAAGCTGAGAGGAGCTTATAACAAACAGTGCTACCCAGAACAAATCCTCTAGAAGTATTTTGCAGGTGTTGCTACAATAAACACTATGATGACAGAAGACAGAAAGTAAGAATCACCAGAGGGGTGTGTGTGTGTGTGTGTGTGAGTGTGTGTGTGTGTGTAACCAGCTGATGCAATCCCCATTGGCACAAATTAAGTTTTATTTAGAACCCAAGCTTGCTGTGCAGAGGCCAATATAATGCATCCTTCTGGATAGCAGAGTATTTTCTCTAATAAAAATTTCTATCAAGACAGAAAAAAATACTGTGGTATTGCAACTTGCTCTCTATCAAATGACCTCTAACACCATGGAATCTACAATTTAGAGAAGGCCAATTCAGACATCTCTAAAGCTGTTGGCCTCACCCTGGTCAATTTCTTAAAGTTTGTGATCATGTTTTAAGTGGATAAAATGCTTTAAATTAAGTTCCCAACTAGAAAATAGAGCAATGAAAAGAAAAAACAAGCCTCTAATTTTTTTTCTTGAAATGATGCACTCATGAAAAATTCTCAACTATGCACAATTTTCTATCCCTAAATGGCATTTGAGAAGAAGGAGGGGTGTGTTTTAGGGCTGGACCCATGACTGGAAGTTTCTACTGGTACCCTGTACCAAAGATCTAAATGTGCCTCACAGTCCCAAAACAAAGACTCTTTCCTTCCAGAATGCCCCAACATTGCTGGACCAGAACAGTAAGCCCCTCCATCTGTTGATTTAATGATATTAAGAGCCCATGTAGTAGTCTCAACTTTAAAGGAATTTTTAATTTTCTTCTCTAATGGCAACATTTTTTTTCCTTGGGTACTAAGATTTCTAAAATAGCAGAGATCAAAGTTATGGGTACAGAAAGAAAAGGGAAAAAAAACTAGTTTACCATTAGGGCTAATTTTGAGAAAGCCAGTCCATTCTACCCTTTAATTCTTGGAACTAAGCACTATATCATCATGGTTGCTAATTCTGAGCATGTACCACATCCTGGAGAACATTATCCTAGCCCTGCAAGGTCCTGTCCCCCAGCTGATTCTATAACTGAGTCTTCCAAAGACCACCACATTGTTCAATCAGGCCAACTACTTCAGGATTATGGGTGATATAGTTAAGACTAATGAATTTCATGAGTGTGAGCTCATTGCCAGATTTCCTTTACTTTGAAATGAGTTGCCAGTCAGAAGCAATGCTATATGGAATATCACAATGGTATATAAGGAATTCTCTAAATCCACTGCTAAGTGCCTGATATGGTTTGGATTTGTGTCCCCACCCAAATCTCATGTTGAATTGTAATCCCCAATGTTGGAAGAGGGTCCTGGTGGGAGGTGATTGGATTATAGTGGTGGATTTCCCCCTTGCTCTTCTGGTGATAGTGAGTGAGTTCTCATGAGATCTGGTTGTTTAAATGAGTGTAGCACCTCCCCCTTCGCTCTCTCTTCCTCCTGCTTCAGCCACGTAAGACAAGCCTGCTTTCCTTCACCTTCCGTCATGATTGTAAGTTTCCTAAGGCCTCCTCAGCTATGCTACCTGTACAGCCTATGGAACCCTGAGCCAATTAAACCTCTTTTCTTTATATTAATAAATTACCCAGTCTCAGGTATTTCTTTTTAGCAGTGCAAGAATGGACTAATACAATGCCCAAATTCCAAAAACAGAGAGAGACCAACACTGAACAATTGATTGGGCCATGATTCCATGGGAAACAACCAACGACCTGGTGGCAAGTTGATTACACTGGACCATTTCCATCAAGGAAGGGATAGACCTTTGTTTTCACTGGAAGAAACAATTACCGTGAATATGGACTTCCCTTCCTCTCCACAATGCCTCTGCCATTTGTGAACTTTCATAATGCCTTATTCACCATTATGGTATTTCTCCACTTGGGTCTTTCCTTTTAGCTGCTCAGGCTTCTTCACTACATGGTAGTTTGTTTCCAAGAAGATTCATTCTAGGAAGAATAAATGGAAGCTTCCAGTCCTCCTTAAGGCTAGAGTCAGAAGTCCCATAACATCACTCCTGTCATATTCTGTTGATGAAAGCAATCACAGGGCCAGCCCGATATAGGGGAATGGGAAATAAACTTCAACTCTTGATGGGGAAATTGCCTGTGCCTATAGGAAGGGAAGGAATTGGTGGCAGCCATCTTTGGAGACTTTCTACCACAGTACCTGATTATTTTTCTTCATCCTTCAAAGAGCTTAGTGCCTTGAGAACACGATGTCCAATTCTATGATGTAGGTAGAGGTTGACATTATTTTGCAAAAAAAAAAAAAAAAAAAAGCAAACTAAGGATCAAAAAGGCAAAGTAGCCAAAGAGTAAACTAATCCAGCAAGTCCAATCCCAAAACATAGCCAGATAGGAACAGTAGGGCTGCTCCCTTTGGGTCAAAGCAAAGGAAAGCATTACAGGTACCCAGCCTGCCAGTACCACCCACCTCTGCATGCCCAGTCATGATTTATAAGAACCTCTTCCTTTGCTTCCCCTCCACCCCAACAGCAACCATTGAACTTCTTTTCCAAGCTCTTGCTCAATTTTGTGAGGCATATGTGCCTACCATCAGCGAGGGCCCTTCAGAGATATACAGCCCAAAATCCAAAGTCCCCCAGTCTTCATTCTCTTGAAGTTTTATCCCCATAAAACTCTGTGTTTTTTTTTTTCAGAGATGGGTTCTGTCTATGTTGCCCAAGTTACTCTTGAGCTCTCAGGCTCAAGCAATCCTCCTTTTCAGCCTCCTGAGTAGCTGGAATTATAGGCACACATCACTGTGCCCAGTCTATGTGTTTTGTTTTTTCTATGTTTGTTTTTTGAGACAGGGTCTCACTCTGTCACTCAGACTGGAGTGCAGTGGTTCAATCATGGTTCACTGCAGCCTCGATCTCCTGGGCTCAAGTGATCCACCCACATCAGCCTCCCAAATAACTGGAACTACAGGCATGCACCATCATGATCAGCTGATTTTTTAATTTTTTTTTTTTTTTTTTTTTTTTTTTTTTTTTTTTGTAGAGGTAGGGTCTCACTGTGTTGCCTCGGCTGGTCTCAAACTCCTGGGCTCACGTGATCTTCCCACCTCAGCCTCCCAAAGTTCTAAGACTACAGGCATGCACTACTGCCCAGTCTCTCTGCTTTTTTTTTTTTTTTCAAGTGCAAGATCTTGTCTTTGAGAAGAGCATTCATCAGAAAATGTTCTATGGATATTACCAAGGGAACAGTGCCATGGTCCAGGAAGTGAAGAAGGGCATACTTGAGAGAAATTATCAAGTCCTCAAAAACTAATTTCCCTATTTTCAGGATATTTGATCTAAAATAAAAGACAGCTTCCTTCCCCTTATTCTGAAGAAGGGGCAAGGCAACATTACATGTGGGGAAGCAACAATGTTATTCATTTATTTGTTTTTTAAAACACTCTGAATTATCAACTACCATGTGCCAGGCTCTATACTGGACACATGGGATATAGAGATAAATTAGTCTCACTCATTTCATGTCCAGTGAACATCAATAGCCAGGTGACCCACACTAACCCAGAGCCTTTGGCTTAGGACATGAAGACTGACCCTTAAGCATGTTCCTGTTGCCAAGCAGCCACTATTATGGGAACGTATCTTCAGACTGTACCCCCAAGAGATTCTTCCTGAAGCAGTTTTGGAAAGATATGCAACCGTTCAACCCTAATAACATTTCATGGAAGGTCTAGTAGGAAATGAAGTCACTGTACATTATCAGACCGTCTTACTGTGGTTGAATGGCATACTCATGGAGTTCAGAAGACAGGACACAACTTTCCTTTACTCTTCCATCAAATCTCCAATAGGTCCACTGAGAGTCCACCTAGAATGCATGTCCAGAACTTCCCCTTATTTTTTCTGGTCTCCTTTCTAGGTCTTCTCTTTGATCTCTTCTGCTCTTCTACTTTCTCTTCAGGACCTTGCTTCAACCTTCGGTGTAGAGTATCTATAAGCTAATAACCTTTCTCCCACTAATACTGACCACATTCCATTGCATAGCTGTCATTTCTTACTATGCTAACAAAGTTTATGTCCCTTTATTCTATTATATCAAAGACCTCTACTCACTAGGGTAAAAAGAAAGAAAGAAAGTGGAGGAAGGAGTAGAAAAAAATCCATTCTGATGCACACTTGCCCTCCTTCTGAGCATGATCTTTCCAAGAAAAGCAATAAAACAAGAAAACTTGGTCCTCTCTTTTGCAAATGAGAGGAAACCGCTCTGGACAGCAGATGTGTATTTCACAGTGGCCACAGAATAAACCTGAATCACATTTGCATTCAGTCACTTTGGCTGAGTCTCTACCATATGACCTGAAAATACAAAGATGTATAGAACAGAATTATGGAGTAAAAGGGATCTTGGAAATTATCTAGTCTAATCCTAATCAGATGTGCCAGTGACTCTGAGACATTTCATATGAAGACATAAATAGGTATAAAATAATCAGATTTTAATTTAGTGAGAAGATGGTTCTTCATATAGAATGAGGAGACTTCACTGTCTATCTTTAGACAGACCCAGTGATCTGGGATTAGGGTTGCCTCTGAAATTGAAGTAATAACCAATGCCTATTGAGAGCCAAGCAGTTACCTAGCCTGAATGTGAACATTTCCAGTGATGTGGAGCTCGTTATCCAGTGATAGCAGCACTCTCTAACCCCTGGCTATTAAGAAGCTCTTCTTTACTGAGTGCCACCATCTCACTTTCAAAACCTTGACTCTCTGTGCCTTGCAATAGAAAGCACTTAACAACGTGCCAGCCCACAGTAAGCAGGCAGTTAATATTGACTACTTTTGGGAAGTGAAAGGGGTGTTGTGGTTTTATTGTTACCACTATTAAAGCCTATGTTTATAAGTTGTGAAATTCTGCATTGGCAGAACACCACTGGCTTGTTTTAGTCTTTAAACATGAAAGCTTTTTTAAAGAATACCTTGTAATGAGCTGAAATGCAACTTTAGGAGAAAGACAGAGCACTATTTATTCTACTCTCTGACATAATTTTCCATAATGGCAAAACAATCTCTATTTGTTAATCTGAATATTATGGAAACTTTCAAGCACATAGAAAAGCAAAACAGACAATGAAACTCCATGTGCCCATCACCCAGCTTCAGTAACCATCAGTTATATGTCTTCTAAAACATTTTCTTTAACCCAATATCTGAGATTTCCTTCAAATAATATGGGTAGGGGTGTAGATGAAATATGATTGACCATGAGTTGGTAACGTTGAGGGTGAGTAGTAGATACATGGACATTTATTATACTATTCTATGTATTTTTGTATATTGAAACTTTCCATAATAGAAAGTAAATAAATAAGCATTTTTCTTTTGCTTACTGCATTAGTCAGAATTCTCCAGAGAAACAGAACCAATAGGAAAAAGAGAGAGAGAGAGAGAGAGAGAGAGAGAGAGTATAAGGGATTGGCTCACATAATTATAAGGACTGAAAAGCCCATGATCTCCCCTCTGTGAGCTGAAGACCTAGGAAAGCTGGTGGTGTAGCTACAGTTCAAGTCAAAAAGCTTGAGAACCCAGAGGACCAATGGTGTAGGTTACAGTTCAAGAGATGTCCCAGTTCAGGTAATCAGGCAAAAGAGTGAATTCTTCCTTCCTCTGCCATTTTGTTCTATTCTATCCCTCAACAGATTGGATGATGCCCCACCTACACTGAGGAGGGCAATCTACTTTCCTCAGTCTACAGATTCAAATGCTAATCTCATTTGGAAACACTTCACAGAGACACACCAGAAATAATGTTTAACCAAATATCTGCACCCCATGGACCTGTCAAAGTGACACATGAAATTAACCATCATTGTTCTCTCCTAAATTTTTGCTTTCAAAACAGTGAACTCATGTCCTTGCTCCTTGTAGCTGTGGACTTCTAGTTTAATCTTCTGGGGTCTGAATTTTTCCATACTGTTCCTATCATTGTAATAATAAACTTACATATGTAAAACAGTTCAAAAATGTTCCTCTTACAGCCTCACATATACTTACCAATGAATGTCTATATTTGAAATACTCAGGGAACACATAAGAGTAGGTAATTAGCACAATACATAGGTCTATTATCTAGAAGCCTGGCTTCTCAGGTCAAAAGAATTGTCATTTTTCTAAGGCCTCAACTTTTGATTGGCTTTGCTTTGGAGGTTAATTTATAAGTTTCCACGGAATTTGGGGGTTGTGATAATTTGACATGGGTGAATGAAATTGGAAAGTCATGTACATCAGGCAAACAGGACAAAAGGCAGTGAAACAACCAGGTGCATCCTTCACTACTAGTCACATCAGTTGTGAAGTCCATTACTTTATCAAAAACTGTTCTCACTTTCTCTTGAAAGCCAATGTTGGTCTCTCAAGGATCTAAGTTAATTCCTTTGTAGACCTCATTCAGGAGAAGAGGGCTAAGGGAGTCCTCACTTGTTAGCCACTAAGGAACCAAGAATCCTCAAACTGCAGATTCTCTCTTTGGTGTCCCAGAGCAGATATTTACTTCCCTGGGACACAATTCTTGACCTAGATTAACTCCTGTATGAATCACAGAGAGAAGTTCCAGTAAGAAAGAGCCCTGATCTACATATCCTGGAGGGAGGCCCTTCCCTTGAGCTGGGTATAGGCTACGCCTCACCTTGTGGTTAGGGGTGGCAGGATGGTTAGTGCCAGACACAGCCTGAAAGAGAAGTAGGAAAGGTGAGCCCTGAGGCTAGAATGGGCAATGTCCCAGGACCGAGAGGCTGGCCAGCAGGGCAGGTGTGAGGTCAGTCTTATTGCAGGCTGTCTGAGGCAGCAGCTCCAGGAGGTGCACCTCTCTCAGCTTCCAGGAGCCAAGCCCTGCTCAGGAAGAGAGATGACTTTCATACCAAGTAGGAGGCCAAGGGGCCTAAAGCTCCTTATCTGTAAACCCATGGGGAACAGATTCAGAAGGCCCTCAAATAAACACTCCAGCCCAGAACCGGCCAAGTCTGCACCAGAATAAACTCATGAGTCATACTGACCCTGGTGTTGCCTTACATGGCAGCTAACAAGGCTGGCTAGTCTAAGGGCTTTGGCATCCGTAGCCTTTTTGGTTTAGCACTACCTTTACTATTTTAACTTCTTGCCGTTGTTTGACTGACTGGTATTTCAGGCATCTTGGACCCATGCTTCTGAAAGCAGCTGACATCTGGTGTGATAAAATGGTGACCTATACCCCTGTATATCTATGCAGGTCTGTCTCAGGCGTAAATATGAAACTCAGTTAATACATTCTACATTGATAACTCTCAGAAACTATAGGAGAGAGATAGTATTAGCAAGACCTGTGTGGAAAGAACAAGAAAGGGAGAAATGACAGGTCTGCATTCTGTCACTGCTGAGACTTGCCATGTGACCAAAGAACGTGGCCTCTCTGCTTCTACATTTCTGTGTACTTAAAATCAGTAGAACCATATTACCTGATCTCAAAGTTTCCTTCCTGCTCTAGCAATTTGTGGGTCACAATTACATGAAACACCTATAGCTTTGGTAAAGGCAAAATGACCCTCTCCCAAACCTCTTAGATACTCAGAAACATATATAAGGAGCTACTTTCTATTTTCCCCATGAAGGAGTATTGCTGTGCTCATAAATTTTCCTTATTAAATATTTTCAGAATAAATATGAAATGATGGCTATCTACAAGCCTCCTCCAGTTTTGTAATGTCCAAAGTTATAACCACTCCCTGATCTAGACAGTTCTTGGCTATACCTTTACCCGAATCTATATGTCCTCCAATATTTCCTGATTCCAAGTAAACTCAGCAGGACCTACACAAAAAAGAAAAAAAAAAAGCATGTAACCATGGAAATCAAGCCCTGCTCTCACACTGTAGGGCTGCCCCACTGGGTGAACTGCTCAGCGAGGCACTCAAGTTCCAACCCATGATCTGGTCTCATTTAACTTGCAAAGCACAGCTCCTACCACCTGAGCGTTTCTCAACAGACATAGCGGATGCTTTTCCTTTCCCACAAAAGGCTGCATAATCCCACCTCCATTTCTTTGTTCTTGCTCTTTCTTCTACCTAAAATGTCTCATTCCCCTCTTCATGGCGCATTCTTTTATCCAGCCTGGTGTTCTTCTCTCCTATTCTCTCCTATACTTGGGCTGAGGAGGAGGCAAGTTTCTATACTCTCTTTAGCAGCCCACATTTTCCATACCACAGCATTTATAAGGATTGCTAGCACTTAATGAGCACTTACTATATGCCAAGCAGGTACCCTGCTAAAGATTTACATTTTCTTCTGATATCAACCCTATGATAGGCTCTTGTTTTTCCACTTTCATGCGCGTCCGTGTGAAGAGACCACCAAACAGGCTTTGTGTGAGCAACATGGCTGTTTATTTCACCTGGGTGCAGGCGGGCTGAGTCCGAAAAGAGAGTCAGCGAAGGGAGATAGGGGTGGGGCCGTTTGATAGGATTTGGGAAGGTAATGGAAAATTACAGTCAAAGGGGGTTGCTCTCTGGTGGGCAGGGGTGGATCTCACAAAGTACATTCTCAAGGGTGGGGAGAATTACAAAGAACCTTCTTAAGGGTGGGGGAGACTACAAAGTACCTTCTTAAGGGTGGGGGAGATTACAAAGTACATTGATCAGTTAGGGTGGGGCAGGAACAAATCACAATGGTGGAATGTCATCAGTTAAGGCTGTTTTTACTTCTTTTGTGGATCTTCAGTTACTTCAGGCCATCTGGATGTATACGTGCAAGTCACAGGGGATGCGATGGCGTGGCCTGGGCTCAGAGGCCTGACATCCACCTTTCATGGGTGACTCAAATAAGCCTTGAAATAATTCAATTACTTGCCCTGGGTTGCTTGGCCAGCAAAGGATTAAAGGAGAGATTTGAACTGGGCAGCCTGGTGGCAGCGCCCACTCTCTTAATCACTGCGCATTGTGATGGCAGGATTATTTGTCTTCTCCAACAAAACGGTTAGCTCTCAGAGGCTCCACACCTGGCTTACTCGCTGATGAACCCCAGCATCAAGTAGAGCACCAAAGAAAGTTGGAGTTGAATGAATGAATTAAATCCTGCCTGCACTGGGAAAAGATTCCCCTGACTGTTCCCACTGGGAAATATGCTGTCTCTTCTCTGACCACTAAAAACTCTTTCCGGTACTTCTGTTACATTTCCCATGTATTTTCGTTATGAGTGAGTTGTGAGGTGACAACAGTTCTAATAGTTCACAAGCTCCTTAAGATCAGGTGCTGTGTCTGCCAGAACTACATGGGCTTAGCGTACTTGTTTGTGAACCCAGGGTGACTTGTAGAGGAAGAGGAGGAATATGTTGCACTTAAAGAAACACAGCTACACTTCCTGCCCTCAGGCATCCTGTGATCAGATTGGATCATGCATTCATAATGCCCCTCTAACATCACAAAAGAAGCAAAGAGGCCGGGCACCGTGGCTCACGCCTGTAATCCCAGCACTTTGGGAGGCCGAGGCGGGCGGATCACGAGGTCAGGAGATCGAGACCATCCTGGCTAACATGGTGAAACCCCGTCTCTACTAAAATTACAAAAAATTAGCCGGGCGCGGTGGCAGGCCCCTGTAGTCCCAGCTACTCGGGAGGCTGAGGCAGGAGAATGGCGTGAACCCGGGAGGCGGAGCTTGCAGTGAGCCCAGATAGCGCCACTGCACTCCAGCCTGGGCGAAAGAGTGAGACTCCATCTCAAAAAAAAAAAAAAAGAAGCAAAGAAACGCATCTGCAAATTTACTCGTGCTGAGTAACCACTGCTTAGAGACTATCTGTCAAGGGCATGATTATCTTATTCTCTGAGGCAACAGGCAGTGATATGTCCCTTGGGTAATAGTATTTGTAGACATTTCAAATGTCAGATTACTGAGCTAAGTAACTCACTAACAGGATGCGGAATTTGCTAACACATAAGAGTCCATCACTGTTGTTACTGGGCTGTTTCTAATGATTGTCTTAGTGTCACACTGTTGTGCGATAATACCTCAGGTTCAGACACTCTGATCTTACAAGAGATGAAGATTATAAATTCTGCCATCAGCCTGTCTGCATTCAAATCCTGGCTTCACCACTTACTGGCTGTGTGACAATTGACCAAGTGACTTGATTTCCCTGGGTCTCAATATCCTATCTTTAAAATGAACAAAATAATGGTATCCATCTTACGAATTTGTGAGAGTCAAATGGTGGCATATGTTAACAGTTCTTAGAATAGTATTTATTATTCATAAAAATGTTGCAGAATTTCGCTTAGTTCAGCTAAAACCTGGGTTCTTGTCACATGACTAGAAAAATTTAGGCACGCAGACACATTGAAGGGTGAGTAGAACAGGGTTTTATTGGGTGAAAAGGAAGAAAAGAAAGAAAACTCAGCAAAGTGAGATGGAGTCCTGCTAACAGACCCCTGACCTCACAGATTTAATCCCAGGCCACACAAAGGAACTGAAGAGAGCAGGCTCCTCCTTTGCTTAAGTTGCAAATTTGCCATAATCCACCCACTTCCTCAGTGTGCGTGTTGGGCTCCAGTCGGCTGTGGGCATGCCCACACAAGCCCTGGGCAGGTTCCCTCATCTGCACAAAAGCATCTGCTGCAAACACTTGTGGGACGGGTCAGAGATTCCCTGGGGATCACTTTTTATCCGCCTAGGCATTTGGCTGTCTCAGAATTGTATTTAACTAACATAGTAAATGTTGAATAAATGTTAGTCATTATTGTATTATTTCTGAGCTAGAATGAGCTTTGAAGATCATCTAGGTCAACTGCTGATCCCAATGAAAGAATCCTCTTTGACCTTGTCTGCATTTCAAACCTCTGCTTGAATACCTCCAACTACACTTACTCACTACTTCATAACCTGCTGGATTTTGACAAAGCACTGTCTTTTGTTAAACTCTTTCTTGAGAGTTTAAAATAAAAACGGGCAAGCCACATGTTTTCCTGTTGCATCCATAGTGACTTTATGTTTGCTTTTTGGACTCACATTGACTACATAGTATCCTTTCCACAACTTCATGGCACACTTCAGATATTTAAAGGCCGCAGCTATTATGATCTTTAGAGCTTTCCCAGCCCTCATCTCAAAACACAAGCCTCAGAAAATGGCTCTGTGACTAACGTCCATTACACACAGGATACTAAAGTCATGGGGGAAAGTAGAGAGGTTTCCAGGTGTCGACGAAAAGAGTCAAACTCTGTGAAATATTTGAAGAGATTTATTCTGAGCCAAATATGAATGACCATGGCCCATGACACAGCCCTCAGGAGGTCCTGAGAACATGACAACATGTGCCCAAGGTAGGCAGGGCGCAGCTTGGTTTTACACATTTTAGAGATGCATAAGACATCAATCAAATACATTTAAGAAATACATTGGTTTGGTGCAGAAAGGCAGAAGAATTCAAAGCAGGTGATTCCAGGCCATAGGTGAATTTAAACATTTTCTAGATAACAATTGGTTGAGTTTGTCTAAAGACCTGGGATTCATAGAAAGAGAATGTTCAGGTTAAGATACAGATTGTGGAGACCAAAGTTCTTTTAAAGTCTTATAGTGGCTGCCCTTAGAGACAACAGGTGACAAATGTTTCCAATTCAGATTTTAGTTAATCTGTTTAGGATTGGGAGGGTCTGGAAGAAAAAGATCTAGCTATGTTAGTAGAGATTCTTTACAGATGCAAATTTTTCCCCACAAAGAACAGCTTTGCATGGCTATTTCAAAATATGGCAAAGAAACGTGTCTTGGGGTAAAATATTTTGATTTTCTTGTCTCATAATGTTATGCCAGAGTCAGGTTGGAAAGCAAATCATGATATATAGGGTTCAATAAAACCCATCTGATGAGAATTTATGATTTGTAGGGCATGACTCTCCAGACCCCTTAGACAGGAATTCGGGCAAGATAAACAAATCATAGGTTAGTCCTCACAGGGAATGCCTCCATACCTGCAGCTTCCAGCTGCCTTCCAGGTATGAACACATGGAAGCACCTCCAGGGCAAGGCCTCTTGGGCTTCTCTTCCACTCTATCCTACTCATTCTAGGCTTTACTCCAGGTCTTTAAGGGATATTTATTTAAAGGAATCAGGACTTATTTCTTCACAATGATTTGCAGCTTGGAGGCCTGCACAGACTTCAGCGTACAGTCGTCACTCAGTATCCATGGAGGGGGTTGGTTCCAGGATCCTCAATGGATACCAAAATTGAGAATGCTCAAGTCCTTGACATAAAATGGCATAGTACTTGCATATCACCCACACGCATCCTCCTGTACACTTTAAATCATCTCTAGATTACTCATAATACCTAACGCAGTGTAAATGCTAGGTACATTGTGTCATACTGTATTGTTTAGAGAATGACAAAAGGTCTGTACATATTCAGTGTAGACCAACCATTATAGCCCTAACTACATTATCTGCAGTTGATATTGAGCTGAGCAGCGCTGTCTCAAGAACCCAGCTCCCTGACCACTCCGCCACCAGGCTTTAACTCTCTGCCTAGGCTGTTTTCTTTTTGTTTTGTTTTGTTTTGTTTCAGATGGAATCTCATTCTGTCACCCAGGATGGAGTGCAATGGTGCAATCTCAGCTCTCTGCAACCTCCACCTCCCGGGTTCAAGCATTTCTCCTGCCTCAGCCTCCTGAGTAGCTGGGACTACAGGCATGCGCCAACATCGTCAGGCCTCTGAGCCCAAGCCAAGCCATCACATCCCCTGTGACTTGCACTTATACGCCCAGATGGCCTGAAGTAACTGAAGAATCACAAAAGAAGTGAATATGCCCTGCCCCACCTTAACTGATGACATTCCACCACAAAAGAAGTGTAAATGGCCGGTCCTTGCCTTAAGTGATGACATTACCTTGTGAAAGTCCTTTTCCTGGCTCATCCTGGCTCAAAAAGCACCCCCACTGAGCACCTTGCGACCCCCACTCCTGCCCACCAGAGAACTAGCCCCCTTTGACTGTAATTTTCCTTTACCTACCCAAATTCTGTAAAACGGCCCCACCCTTATCTCCCTTCGCTGACTCTCTTTTCAGACTCAGCCCGCCTGCACCCAGGTGAAATAAACAGCCATGTTGCTCACACAAAGCCTGTTTGGTGGTCTCTTCACATGGACGCGCATGAAATTTGGTGCCGTGACTCAGATCGGGGGACCTCCCTTGGGAGATCAATCCCCTGTCCTCCTGTTCTTTGCTCCATGAGAAAGATCCACCTACGACCTCAGGTCCTCAGACGGACCAGCCCAAGGAACATCTCACCAATTTTAAATCAGGTAAATGGCCTCTTCTTACTCTCTTCTCCAACCTCTCTCACTGTCCCTCAACCACTTTCTTCTTTCCACTCTTCAATCTCTCCCTTCTCTTAATTTCAATTCCTTTCATTTTCTGGGAGAGACAAAGGAGACACGTTTTATCTGTGGACCCAAAACTCCGGCGCCGGTCACGGACTGGGAAGGCAGCCTTCCCTTGGTGTTTAATCACTGCAGGGACACCTCTCTGATTACTCATCCACGTTTCAAAGGTGTCAGACCATGCAGGGACGCCTGCCTTGGTCCTTCGCCCTTAGCGGCAAGTCCCGCTTTTCTGGGGAAGGGGCAAATACCCCAACCCCTTCTCTCCTTGTCTCCACCCCTTCTCTGCTTTCCTGGGGCAGGGGCAAGTACCCCTCAACCCCTTCTCCTTCACCATTAGCAGCAAGTCCCGCCTTTCTAGGGGGCAAGAACTCCCAATCCCTTATTTCTGCACCCCAACCTCGTATCTGTGTGCCCCAATCCCTTATTTCCGTGCCCCGACCTCTTATTTCTGTGCCCCATCCCCTATTTCCACACCCCGACCTTTTATCTCTGCGCCCCAACCACTTTTCCCACTTTTCTGGAAGGTAAGAACCCCCGAACCCCTTCCCTCCATTTCTCTACTCTCTCTTTTCTCTAGGCTTGCTTCCTTCACTATAGGCAACCTTCCACCCTCCATTCCTCCTTCTACTCCCTTGGCCTGTGTTCTCAAAAACTTAAAACCTCTTCAAATCACACCTGACCTAAAACCTAAATGCCTTATTTTCTTCTGCAATGCCGCTTGACCCCAATACAAACTCCACAGTAGTTCCAAATAGCCAGAAAATGGCACTTTGAATTTTTCCATCCTGCAAGATCTAAATAATTCTTGTCGTAACATAGGCCAACGGTCTGAGGTGCCTGACGTCCAGGCATTCTTTTACACATCAGTCCCTTCCTAGTCTCTGTGCCCAGTGCAACTCGTCCCAAATCTTCCTTCTTTCCCTCCCACCTGTACCCTCAGTCCCAACCCCAAGCGTCGCTGAGTCTTTCTAATCTTCCTTTTCTACAGACCCATCTGACCTCTCCCCTCCTCGACAGGCCGAGCTAGGTCCCAATTCTTCCTCAGCCTCCGCTCCTCCACCCTATAATCCTTTTATTGCCTCCCCTTCTCACACCTGGTCAGGCTTAGTTTCGTTCCATGACTAGCCCTCCCCCACCTGCCCAGCAATTTACTCTTAAAACGGTGGCTGGAGCCAAAGGCATAGTCAAGGTTAATGCTCCTTTTTCTTTATCCCAAATCAGATAGCGTTTAGGCTCTTTTTCATCAAATATAAAAATCCAGCCCAGTTCATGACTTGTTTGGCAGCAACCCTGAGATGCTTTACAGCCCTAGACCCTAAAAAGTCAAAAGGCCGTCTTATTCTCAAAATACATTTTATTACCCAATCTGCTCCCGACATTAAATAAAACTCCAAAAATTAAATTCCGGCCCTCAAACCCCACAACAGGATTTAATTAACCTGGCCTTCAAGGTGTACAATAATAGAAAAAAGTTGCAATTCCTTGCCTCCACTGTGAGACAAACCCCAGCCACATCTCCAGCACACAAGAACTTCCAAACGCCTGAACCGCAGCAGCCAGGTGTTCCTCCAGAACCTCCTCCCACAGGAGCTTGCTACACGTGCTGGAAATCTGGCCACTGGGCCAAGGAATGCCCGCAGCCCGGGATTCCTCCTAAGCCGCGTCCCATCTGTGTGGGACCCCACTGAAAATCGGACTGTTCAACTCACCTGGCAGCCACTCCCAGAGCCCCTGGAACTCTGGCCCAAGGCTCTCTGACTCCTTCCCAGATCTTCTCGGCTTAGCGGCTGAAGACTGACACTGCCCGATCGCCTCGGAAGCCCCCTAGACCATCACAGACGCCGAGCTTCGGGTAACTCTCACAGTGGAAGGTGAGCCCGTCCCCTTCTTAATCAATATGGAGGCAACCCACTCCACATTACCTTCTTTTCAAGGGCCTGTTTCCCTTGCCTCCATAACTGTTGTGGGTATTGACGGCCAGGCTTCTAAACCTCTTAAAATTCCCCAACTCTGGTGCCAACTTAGACAGTACTCTTTTAAGCACTCCTTTTTAGTTATCCCCACCTGCCCAGTTCCCTTATTAGGCTGAGACACTTTAACTAAATTATCTGCTTCCCTGACTATTCCTGGACTACAGCTATATCTCATTGCCACCCTTCTTCACAATCCAAAGCCTCCTTTGTGTCCTCCTCTTGTATCCCCCCACCTTAACCCACAAGTATAAGATACCTCTACTCCCTCCTTGGTGACCGATCATGCACCCCTTACCATCTCATTAAAACCTAATCACCCTTACCCCCCTCAATGCCAATATCCCATCCCGCAGCACGCTTTAAAAAGATTAAAGCCTGTTATCACTCACCTGCTACAGCATGGCCTTTTAAAGCCTATAAACTCTCCTTACAATTCCCCCATTTTACCTGTCCTAAAACCAGACAAGCCTTACAAGTTAGTTCAGGATCTGCGCCTTATCAACCAAATTGTTTTGCCTAGCCACCCCGTGGTGCCAAACCCGTATACTCTCCTATCCTCAATACCTGCCTCTACAACCCATTATTCTGTTCTGGATCTCAAACATGCTTTCTTTACTATTCCTTTGCACCCTTAATCCCAGCCTCTCTTCGCTTTCACTTGGACTGACCCTGACACCCATCAAGCTCAGCAAATTACCTAGGCTGTACTGCCGCAAAGCTCACAGACAGCCCCCATTACTTCAATCAAGCCCAAATTTCTTCCTCATCTGTTACCTATCTCGGCATAATTCTCATAAAAACACACGTGCTCTCCCTGCCAATCGTGTCCGACTAATCTCTCAAACCCCAGCACCTTCTACAAAACAACAACTCCTTTCCTTCCTAGGCATGGTTAGCGTGGTCAGAATTCTTACACAAGAGCCAGGACCATACCCTGTAGGCTTTCTGTCCAAACAACTTGACCTTACTGTTTTAGCCTAGCCCTCATGTCTGCGTGCAGCGGCTGCCGCTGCTTTAATACTTTTAGAGGCCCTAAAAATCACAAACTATGCTCAACTCACTCTCTACAGTTCTCATAACTTCCAAAATCTATTTTCTTCCTCATACTGACGCATATACTTTCTGCTCCCCGGCTCCTTCAGCTGTACTCACTCTTTGTTGAGTCTCCCACAATTACCGTTGTTCCTGGTCCAGACTTCAATCCGGCCTCCCACATTATTCCTGATACCACACCTGACCCCCATGACTGTATCTCTCTGATCCACCTGACATTCACCCCATTTCCCCAAATTTCCTTCTTTCCTGTTCCTCACCCTGATCATGCTTGATTTATTGATGGCAGTTCCACCAGGCCTAATCGCCACAAACCGGCAAAGGCAGGTTATGCTATAGTACAAGCCACTAGCCCGCCTCTTAGAACCTCTCATTTCCTTTCCATCGTGGAAATCTATCCTCAAGGAAATAACTTCTCAGTGTTCCATCTGCTATTCTACTACTCCTCAGGGATTATTCAGGCCCCCTGCCTTCCCTACACATCAAGCTCAAGGATTTGCCCCACCCAGGACTGGCAAATTAGCTTTACTCAACATGCCCTGAGTCAGATAACTAAAATACCTCTTAGTCTAGGCAGACAGTTTCACTGGATAGGTAGATTCCTTTCCTACAGGGTCTGAGAAGGCCACCACGGTCATTTCTTCCCTTCTGTCAGACATAATTCCTCAGTTTAGCCTTCCCACCTCAATACAGTCTGATAACAGACAAGCCTTTATTAGTCAAATCAGCCAAGCAGTTTTTCAGGCTCTTAGTATTCAGTGAAACCTTTATATCCCTTACGGTCCTCCGTCTTCAAGAAAAGTAGAATGGACTAAAGGTCTTTTAAAAACACACCTCACCATGCTCAGCCACCAACTTGAAAAGGACTGGACAATACTTTTACCACTTTCCCTTCTCAGAAGTCAGACCTGTCGTCAGAATGCTACAAGGTACAGCCCATTTGAGCTCCTGTATAGACGCTCCTTTTTATTAGGCCCCAGTCTCATTCCAGACACCAGACCAACTTAGACTGTGCCCCCAAAAAAACTTGTCATCCCTACTATCTTCTGTCTAGTCATACTCCTATTCACCATTCTCAACTACTCATACATGCCCTGCTCTTGTTTACACTGCCGGTTTACACTGTTTTTCCAAGCCATCACAGCTGATATCTCCTGGTGGTATCCCCAAACTGCCACTCTTAACTCTTGAAGTAAATAAATAATCTTTGCTGGCAGGACTATGCTGAATCTCCTTAGGCACTCTCTAATCAGATATCCTGAGTCGTCCCAATTCTTAGACCTTTTATACCTGTTTTTCTCCTTCTGTTATTCCATTTAGTTTCTCAATTAATCCAAAACCATATTCAGGCCATCACCAATCATTCTATACGACAAATGTTTCTTCTAACATCCCCACAATATCACCCCTTACCACAAGACCTCCCTTCAGCTTAATCTCTCCCACTCTAGGTTCCCACGCCACCCCTAATCCCGCTTGAAGCAGCCCTGACAAACATCGCCCATTCTCTCTCCATATCACCCCCCAAAAATTTTCGCCGCCCCAACACTTCAACACTATTTTGTTTTATTTTTCTTATTCATATAAGAAGGCAGGAATGTCAGTCAGGCCTCTGAGCCCAAGCCAAGCCATCGCATCCCCTGTGACTTGCACTTATATGCCCAGATGGCCTGAAGTAACTGAAGAATCACAAAAGAAGTGAATATGCCCTGCCCCACCTTAACTGATGACATTCCACCACAAAAGAAGTGTAAATGGTCGGTCCTTGCCTTAAGTGATGACATTACCTTGTGAAAGTCCTTTTCCTGGCTCATCCTGGCTCAAAAAGCACCCCCCACTGAGCACCTTGCGACCCCCACTCCTGCCCGCCAGAGAACAAGCCCCCTTTGACTGTAATTTTCCTTTACCTACCCAAATCCTATAAAACGGCCCCACCCTTATCTCGCTTCGCTGACTCTCTTTTCAGACTCAGCCCGCCTGCACCCAGGTGAAATAAACAGCCATGTTGCTCATACAAAGCCTGTTTGGTGGTCTCTTCACACAGATGCGCGTGAAAACTATGTTCAGCTGATTTTTGTATTCTTAGTAGAGACAGGGTTTCACCATGTTGGTCAGGCTGGTTTCGAACTCCTGACCTCAGGTGATCCACCCACCTCGGCCTCCCAAAGTGCTGGGATTACAGGCGTGAGCCACCACACTCAGCCATGCCTAGGCTGTTTTTACATCTCATGCTGGGAGGAAACTGACAGACCCTACTGCTGTTTTCCTCCCACCCCAGACAACTGCTTTGTTCAGTGGTTGTGGCGAGTTAGAAACCGGGGATGGCATGGCCTAGAGAGAGGAATAGGGGGAGGGGAGTGTCAAATCTGCTATTTGACATCGTCATGACCAGCCTTGCCATTTTGTTTCACAGGTCAAAGTGAGTGTTATCGCCCGAAAGTTTGTCATTCGAAGCTCCTCCATGTCTCACTTAGTGAGAATTTTTCCAGACATTGGCAAGTGGTCTGTTGCCATCTTTAATTCTCAATGCTGTGGCAAAATGTGTTTTTACGGCCTGGTGTGGTAGCTCATGCCTGTAATCCTAGCACTTTGGGAGGCCAAGGCAGGTGGATTGCCTAAGCTCAGGAGTTCGAGACCAGCCTGGGCAACATGCTGAAACCCCGTCTCTACTAAAATACAAAAAGTTAGCCAGGCGTGGTGGCATGCACCTGTAATCCCAGCTACTCGGGAGGCTGAGGCAGAAGAATTGCTAGAACCCGGGAGGTGGAGGTTGCAGTGAGTCGAGATCAGGCCACTGCACTCCAGCCTGGGTGACAGAGCGAGACTCCATCTCTTAAAAAAAAAAAAAAATGTGCTTTTACGCATTTCGGTGGGAAGTAGAGATGGAATATCAAGGATGGTTAGAATGATGGTACATTCCCATGTTTTAAAAAGAGACGGTTGGCAGCCCGGAGTCTGGACTGAAATGAGGAGAAACAGTAAAGTGGCTTTTTGAAGGCCATAACTGAGGCAGGAGAATGGCTTGAACCCGGCAGGTGGAGGTTGCAGTGAGCCAAGATCGCGCCACTGCACTCCAGCCAAGGCAACAGAGCAAGACTCTGTCAAAAAAAAAAAACAAAAACTTTCACTTTGGAGTGAGGCAGACAAAGCTGACTCCACCACTTAACTGGGCCTGTAACTTTCAAGGAGTTGGTATCCTCTAACGCCTTATTCCCTCTTTTGGCTGCTGGAGGGAGGCAGGTAATTATTGCTATCTCCCAGGGTTCTTATGAGGATAAAGGAGATAAATATATGGAAATTTTACATTTACTCTTAAAACCTTGAGGTGAAACCACAGCAGTGAGCAGGAAAAGAGGGAGCTGCCCTCAGGGCAAATGCTAATATCAACACAACAATCCAGAGCTGGACTTTGAGCAGAGGGAGAGCAGAATCAACTCAGGTTCCCGGATTATGCCTGACACAAGGAAAGGGATTAAAGGAATTGCAGGTCTGTAGCTGTCCAAGGCTGTTGCAAACACAAGCCCAAATCTTCTCTGGAAGAAAGAATCCTGAATTCAGCAACAAGGTTTTCCACAGACTGAAATAAACTAAATCAAGGATTACAAAACCCTTCTCTCAGGGAATGCATTTCCAGTCAGCTCTCAACGCCATCAGGGACTTGGCCCAGAAGGCTTCTTTCCAGTGAATGAATTCTGTGCACGGCAGGATCTGTCTTCTCCTCGGGCTTTGATCTGGGGCAACCTGACCTCAGTTTCTCCTTAGAGGGCAGCCATGCTTGCTAACATTTTGATGCCCCGGACTATTCTGTTTAGCTAATGCATTGGCTTTGCTAACAATCAGATTTTACTTTCTGTTGCTATGGGTTTTTTTCTTCTTTTTTAGATATTTTGCCTGTGATCTATATAATTTTATGCCAGAAGACTTGGACTCAAGCATTAAGATGTAAGTGGACATCTGGTGTGACTCAGTCTTGCCTTGTAGGTCTGCTTATAATTAGAAAGAGGCATACCTACATTATAGGGATATGGGTGGGCTTCAGTTAGTACACAGGCTACAGCATTTATATTAATTCATACATAACTTATTTCACACCAACAGCCAACTTAAATCTCAGTATTGTATTATCTGTAAACTCTCAGGTGTTTTCATTATGAAGACTTGATGCCCTATGGAAGTCACAGTCCATATAGATCAGTCTCTATGTGGTGTCATGTTCAAGATACACAGTATAAGAGCCAGAAAAGCAATTATAGAAGAATTTTATTAACTTGCTTTTCCAAAAGAAGATGAGAGTGGATCAGACTCACAAGTTGTAGCAACACTTCTCATATTCCTATGTCTCTTCCCCTCTACTTCTTCCCTTCTGTGTCCCCCAGCACCTTTCGTTTGCTGCCTCCCCCTCTCCACCATGTTGTTCACCTTCAGCCTCCCTCGCCTCCACTTTTCTCACCTCCTATCCCTCCAACTTTCTCCCTGGGTCATTCTCCCTGCCATAAAATCCTTCTTGATCCATTCTTACAAAAGTCTGTAGAGACTGGTCTAGCAATGACAAATGTAGGGAGTGAGGGATGAGAAAAGCATGTGGAAGAGTGGGGAAAGGTCCATCCAGCAATTGCATTCACTTTGGTGGAGTGGGGGGAAAAGGGAAATTTGTGGATAATCCCTGATGAATATTAATTTTTATAACAGAGTCTTATGCCTATAAAAGATAGATATTTATATAATTATAAATGTATGTTACTTAGTGCTTCATATTATTATTATAATAAATATTAAAAGTAATTTATGCCCCAATGTTCTTTTTATAAAAAAGTTTAAAGTAGCTTTCAAAGATGCATACAACATAATAATATGTTCTATTTTTAAAACAGTCAAAAATATCTAACAAAATAATACATGCATTTCCCTTTGACCCAGCAATCCTATGTCTAGAAATTTATGCCTAACATATGTTGACAAAAACAGAAAATGATATACACAAATCGCTATTCAGTACTATGTTGTTTGTAGCAGTCGGAATTGGAAACAACCTAAACTGTACGGCATACCTTACCTATGGTAAGATACAAGAGGAATAAAATATGAAACACCACCCAGTAAAGAACTATGGAGCTAAACAAAAGAATGAGGATAATCTCTATAAACCATTATGGAGTGATATCCAGGATAGCCTCTCAACTAAAAAACAAAAAAAGGAAAAGAAAAAACCAAGGGGCAGAACTGTATATAAAGATTGCTACCTTTCCTCGAAGGATGAAAGATACATATTTGACTATATTAAAAATAAATGGAAAGATAAGTTAAAAACTAAGGAATATTATTGTTCACTGGGGAGGAGGGAACAGGGTAGAGGAGACACAGGTAGAACACAGATATTTCTAAATGTGCTTTGTTGTGTTGTGTTGTTTTGGGTCCATGTTATTTTTTACATAATTATAAAACAAAAAAATTGAATTTTTAAAAATTCTGAAAACTTGGGGAAAAAATTAACCTAACATTATGAAATCTGTGGCTTACTCAATGGTGAATTATTTCAAATGACTTTAAAACATAATAATTTGACTGTTTCCATATATCTCATGGAGGCTGAAGTGTGGGGATGGGGAGTAATTACAGTGTTATTATTTTTATTTTAATAGGGTAAGTAACACATTGTATTAGTGCTTCTATTAATGTTACTGGGAACCAAGATTTTTATGGTAATCAAAAAGAGATTGGAAATACATAAAATCTAAGATGGTAAATAAAAATTCCTATTATCTGAATTTGAATTGGAAATATAAGTATTATATCATAATGAAATTGTATTGCCCATAAAAATTATGAACTTCCTAACTTTGTCTATTACACAGACCTGAAAGAAATAAATCATCAATCCATTAGCAACAAGTACCTCTCAGCACCTGGATCACCAAAAGTGATCAGAACTTTCTGGAAAAATAATTCCTTCAGATATAAGTCAATAAATGTATAAAATGAGCCTGGAATATTTTCTTGTACCAGATTTCAAAAATTCCTATTGTCATGTCAAAAGACAAAAGGCAAATGAAACTAACCTGAAGAAGCTTTCACTGGCCAAAAACAAAATAATTGGATCATCAAAAAGAATAATGGCCACAATTCATTGAAGTACATCAAATATGCTAAAAATCCATAAATTAATAATGATATTTTAAATAAAAAAAACCAACTATTTATTTCAAAAATAGGCAAGGGAAAAATATTACATATTTATCTTGGCTTCCTTATGTAATCTGCATTTTGTGATAACCAAATAATAGTTGAGGGGAAGCTATTCTTTAGAGAAGAATTACAATTAATAAAAGAAAAGGGGCCGAGGCGCAGTGGTTCACACCTGTAATCTCAGCACTTTGGGAGGCCAAGTAGGGAGATCACTTGAGGTCAGGAGTTTGAGACCAGCCTGTCCAATGTGGTGAAACCCCATCTCTACTAAAAATACAAAAAAATCAGCTGGGCCTGGTGGAGCACACTGGTAATCCCAGCTACTCGCGAAGCTGAGGCATGAGAATTACTTGAACCCAGGTGGTGGGGGTTGCAGTGAGCTGAGATTGCGCCACTGAACTCCAGCCTGGGTGACAGAGCAAGACTCTATCTCAAAAAGTAAATAAATAAAAAATAAAAGGGAACAATAGGATCAGAATATCACTATTTTGCAGTCCTAATGAAATAATGATAAAGAAAAAAATCTAAATCTGCTAAACTCATTAATTAAGATGTTGTGGGGAACTTTATAGTGGATGGGTCAGGCTGACACCATCTGATCTTACTGATCAATTAAGAAAAGAAAGGCAATCAGACATCACGTGTCTCCTAATATAACGCTGCAGGAACAGTCCAACACTAGCACTGAAATAGTCACATTAAAAAATCCAAATCTGGCTGGGTGCGGTGGCTCACGCCTATAATCCCAGCACTTTGAGAAGCCAAAGTGGGTGTATCACGAGGTCAGAAGTTCGAGAACAGCCTGACCAACATGATGAAACCCTGTCTCTACTAAAAATACAAAATTTAGCTGGGCATGGTGGCGCGTGCCTGTAATCCCAGCTACTCAGGAGCCTGAGGCAGGAGAATCGCTTGAACCCGGGAGGCAGAGGTTGCAGTGAGCCTAGATCGTGCCACTGCACTCCAGCCTGGGTGACAGAGTGAGACTTCCAAAAAAAAAAAAAAAAAAAACATACCTGATCAGGCCTGTAGATAGTCTAGAGGAAATACGAAGTATGAGGAAACGTCTCAGACAAAAACCACAAGAATGTATCACCAAAGTCCAAAATGTGAGCAATTCTACAAGATACATGATTTTTTTTCCAAATAAATAAATGGTAAAGAAGAAGAGGGGGAAGGAGGACTGCTATAAAGTTAAAAAGAATTGAGACGCACAACCCGATGTGATATGTGAACTTTCTGACTGAATCAAATCAACTATAAAAAGGCATGTTTGAGATAACACAGACAACTTAATTATGTACTAAATTAGATGATTTTAAGGAATTCTTTTTGAAGAATTATGAGGAATTATGAAGAATGATTATGAAGAATTTCAAGGAGTTGCATTTGGAAATTTGAAATTTAAAAAAAATTTTAATAGTAAAAACAAAAGCAGAAGGTAAAAGGGAATAAAACTGTAAATAAGATGGATCCAGGACTGGATTTGGGGCATAGATGTATACATGTGTTATAGGAGTACCACAAAACAAGCTCTATGTTTGCAGCTACCAATGTGAGAAGGGAGAGAAAAATAGTGAGAAAGTGCTCAGTACCTACTCAGCAAAAACAAACAAGCTTTTCAGGTAGAGCATCATTCTACTGCTAAGTCCTGAGCAAATCCTCTGCCCTGGATCATCACTTAAAACAAATCCAGGACAGCTTCCCTTTTTAATTTGATTGGCCAAATATTTAAATCCTTTACTCCATACCCCAACCACCTGAACTATATAAGACCAAAAGACCCCTCATCATTTAAGAAACATTTGTTGAACTCTACTATATTTCAGTATGTGTGGTAAGAGTAAAGTATTTATTTACAAAGAAGGCAGACTCTGCTGTCAGTGAACTTAGAGTCTATAGTGATTTGCTGGCATTCATACAACCATCACATCATGCCAAGATAGATAGGTCATGAGAGCGAATAACAAAGATCTCTGGAAGCGGAAGGATTCCTCTTCAAATTCTCAGGACAAGTTAAGGTTTCTTACAGAAACACCATAACTGTGTGTTGTTAGCACAAGATGGGTTTTGCTGGGGGTGACATTCCACATAAACCAAAGGCAGAGGTGGTCTGCACATCCTTCTGGGGTGCTTAGTACATGAGCTCCCCCCTTATCCAAGGTTTTGCTATCCATGGTTTCAGTTACTCATGGTCAACCATGGTTTGAAAATAGGTGAACACAGAGCAATAAGATATTTTGAGAAAGAGAGACCACATTTACATAATTTTTATTACAGTATATCTAATCATTGTTCTATTTTATTATTGTTAATTTCTTACTGTGTGTAAGTTTTGTTTGTTTGTTTGTTTGTTTCATTTTTTGAGATGGAGTCTTGCTCTGTCACCCAGGCTGGAGTGCAGTGGCGCGATCTCGGCTCACTGAAACCTCCACCTCCCAGGTTCAAGCGATTCTCCTGCCTCAGCCTCCTGAGTAGAACTACAGGCATGCACCACCACACCCAGCTAATTTTTGTATTTTTAGTAGAGATGGGGTTTCACCGTGTTGGTCAGGATGGTATCAATCACTTGACCTTGTGATCTGCCCACCTTGGCTTCCCAAAGTGCTGGGATTACAGGCGTAAGCCACCACACTCTGCCCACTCTGTGTAATTTATAAATTATCATATATCATATAATTTATCATAGGTATGTGTGTATAGGAAAAAACGTAGTATATTTAGGTTTCAGTACTATCTGCAGTTTCATGTATCCACTGAGGATCTTGGAATGTATCTCCCATGTATAAGGGGGGACCACAGTACAGAGACAAGCATTAAATTGGTATTTACAATTGACCATCAATCAGAAAAATTATACAAAAATTTCGATAGGCTCCCACAGTGGTAGAGATGTTTATAGGGTTCGAGGACCTTTAATGACTATTCTTCTCCTTCAAGTAAAACTGATAAGTTATTAGTTAGTAAGACAGTAGCAGCGGCTTTAGTTCATTTGGTAGTATTTGTCCAGCTCTTGAGGTGAATGTGGTCTCTGTGATGACTTTTAGAAATGTCAGATTTCTAGTAAGTCAAGTCTATATAGATTATTTTGTTTATGCATACATATATAACATGTGAGTTATTTGATTAAATGCATATATGCCTAAAAAGGTATATCCACATGTAAATATGTATTTATATGTATGTATGTATTACATATAAGCACCTAATTTGTATATACATCCATGGCGTTATTTTTAAAAACTTAATGAGATTGTCTATTCTCAGTGTCTAGAGAATTATTCAATATGAGCTCTGTAGCAACACATAAGTGATAAAGTCTATAATGTAATGGCATCTCTCGAAAGCCAGCCTTGGGCCCTGTCCAGGTAGCTGAAACATTTGGCTGCCCAGTGCTCCGGAGGATTGCTAAAATTAGCTAGAGAGAAAAGAGGCAAATATATCTTAAGGATGGCCGGGAGCTGAGTCTAACTTCACTTCTTTTCCAATAAAGTGACTGTCAAAAACCAAAGATCTGGGCTAAAAAGGGCTTCAGAAAGCCATTTGATTTCAGTTCCAGCTGAAGTGTGAATTTCTTGTACGGCACAAAATTAGTTATCTATTGCTACATAAAAAGTTGTCCTAAAACTTGGCTTAATTCACCCAAAGCAGTTATTATCTCAAAGTTTCTGTGGGTCAGGAATTAACACATGGCTTAACTGAGTCAGTTGTGCTCAGGGTCTCTCATCGGGATGCAGTTAAGATGTTGACCAGGGTCATAATGACCTGAGAGTTTGACTGGAGTCGGAAGATCCATTTCTAAAACAGCTCACTTGCATTGTTGGCTGTTGTTAAGAGGCCTCAGGTTTCTAATCTCATGGGCTTCTTCAAAAAGCTGCTAGAGCGTCCTCCTGACATGAAGACTGGTTTTTCCAGAGGCAATAATCTAAATACCAGGGAGGTAGAAACCACAATGTCTTTTATAACCTAGTACCAGAAGTAACACTGTCATTTCTGCAGTATCTTATTGGTTACATAGTTAATGCTATTCACTAAACAAGGTATGAACACCAGGAGGCAAGGATCCCTGGGTGCCATCTGGGAGTCTGGCACACTCACCCACAGGCCTCCCACTGTTGCTTGAATGCTTACAGTAATGGAACCTCATTCCACAAGGCAGCCTACCTTACCATTAGCCGCTCTGATGGAAATTACTCTCTTGCTTTGGGTTGTGATATGGTTTGCTTGTGTCCCCACCCAAATCTCACCTCGAATTGTAATAATCCCCATGTGTCAAGGGTGAGGCAAGGTGGAGATAATTGAATCGTGGAGGTGGTTTCCCGCATATTATTCTCAAGTAAATGAATAAGTCTCATGAGGTCTGATGGTTTTATAAATGGGAGTTTCCCTGCACGTGCTTTCTTGCCTGCTGCCATGTAAGATGTGCCATTGCTTCTCGTTTGCTTTCCGCCATGATTGTGAGGCCTCCCTAGCCATGTGGAACAGTGAGTCTATTAAACCTCTTTCCTTTAGAAATTACCCAGTCTTGGGTATGTCTTTATTAGCAGTGTGAGAACAGACTAATACAGGTTGTAAATATTATCCCGCCTTTTTAATTCTTCTCTGTATCGGGAGGCTGAGAAAACAATGCTAATCCTTCTGTGAAAAAAAAAAATAGTCCTTCAGATATCTGAAGATGGTAATTCTGTACCTTCTAGTCATCCTACTTCCACATCCTACTCCACCCCATTCTCCAGTTCCTTCACTTCTTTTTGTCTATGTGAGGAGCTTTAAGACAAGACTCCTTATCCCAAAATATTTATTTAAGAATAGGTGAGGGCACATGTCCCCTCCCCAGCTTTTCCTTCACCTGCTGTCCAGCCATTGTGTCAGTGTCCTCACCTCTCCTAAGCAGGTCATCTACCCTGGGGGAGTGCCTACATGCCATCTCATCAGCTACCAGAGCTCAATTTTCAACCAGGAGTTTCATCCTTCTTTAAAAAGGTCAACTGAATCCCATACAAATTTTATGTGGTAACAAGAGAAGGAAAAGAGAGCCCTGGCCCAGTAGGGCTTCTCATCAACTTCATGACCCACACTAACTCCAGTGATCACTAACCTAAGACACAAAGGTCTAAGCAATAAAGAACTCTGTCTTGGGGCAGTCTATATTCTAGGGTGATGGGAATATTTCTGTCTGCAATAATTTTCTATTTTACCATCCTATTTCCCTTTTTGTCACCTAGATTCATTTTTCTGCCCAGCAGTCAGAATGACAGCTTTGAAATATAATTTAAATCATACTGCTCCCCTGCTCAATTCTCCAATGGATTCACATCACTTTCAGAGTAATATCCAATTTTCTCATCATACATACAAGGTCTACCTATCTTTCCATCTCATCTCTTGCCACTTCAGCCTCCCTCACTCTGCTGTTACCATACTGACTTTCTTGCTGTTCTTCAAACATACCAGACTCTTTCCACCTCAACACTTTTGCCCTTGCAGTTTCTTTTACCTACACTCTTCCCTGGACCTTCCCATGTCTTGCTGTTACTTCATTCACAGTTCTGCATGTCACCCTCTGAGTGGTTTCCATAAATCACCCTATTACCCTCTATTTATTTACCATTAGTTCATTTTCATGTTAGTACTTATCACTAACTAGCATTATATTGCAGTAGTTGTTTGCCTATTTGCTTATTGTATTTCTTCAGTTTTGTTTTCTAATGCCAAGAACGGTGTCTGGCACTCAGTAACATCAGGTAAATAAAAGAATGAAACATCCATTAAAATGAATTTTCCTAGCCTGCTTTCTGAGTAGCGCTTGGTATCTGAGTTAGTGATATTATAAAATACATCTTTTTTGGTACCTGAGTACCTGCTAACTGTATCTTGGTAAATCTGTTCCATGCCAAATTTCTTTCTGTTCTGATGATTCAAACCTTAGCAGTCAGACAGAGCTGAACTTGGTCCTGGTAATAAAAGCCTTTCCCTTAGGAGAGCTCTTTGCAACTGAGAGATGTGGTCTCCTAACCCCCGAGGTGTAATTTGAGCAATCAGGCCAGGTGAAACCCGAGCTGGTAAGGAATAAGAAAGGATACAAATGATGATGTTGTTATGGCTGTTCTAAGACACAAGGGGGCAGCAAATCCAGCTCTTTATTTATTTAACGTGGTAAGAATTTTTTTTTTTTTTTCTCAACTTTTATTTTAGATTCATGGGAGATATGTGCAGGTTTGTTACCTGGGTATACTGTTTGATGCTGAGGTTTGGAGTACAAATGATCCCATCATTCAGGTACTGAGCATAGTACCCAATAATTATTCAACCCTTGCCGCTGTCCCTCCCTCCCCGCTCTAGTAGTCCCCACTGGCTATTGTTTCAGCTCTTATTTTTAAAGGTAAAACAGGAATTTTGACAACTATCATTAGTTATCAAAACTGATGGAGATGTTCAACAGATTAGATAAATCTATGGAGATTCAATCGATTAGATAAATCTCAGTATGTCCACACAATGAGTTTCTTCTGGAGGAATGCAGTAATAATTTTAGCTAAAATTTAAACCTTGGCCTAAGTTATAAAAGGACTGATAGGTCAAGGAGTGAGGGCTTAACTGTTACCAGGGAGACAGCCCGTGTGTCCTGTAGGGCCACTGGGAACTTCGTGAGGAGGTGAGCCGCAGGAGAACACGCTTTCTGAGCAGGAAGTGGGGCTTCTGTGGAAATCAGGATTGTCAGACGCTTAATCCTAATTGCCACCCCCTTGGGCCTACACACTGGGGCAGGGAACTTACCAAGTTGTCCATGTCAAAACGTACTTTGGAGCCCTCACTCTTAGCTCTTTTTCCACCCAAACTTTATAAAAACACCAAAAAGTTCAAAAATATTGAGTAATCATCTGTAATACCCCGAACAACAAGGAATAGTGTCATGAATGGACCAGAAACTTAAAAACATTTTTTTCAGGAAACGATCCAGATGGGAAAAGATTGCACAAAGTCTTGACCGACTAGTCACATGTGAAAAGAGGGCCTGAAAGAAAAGTAAATGAATAAACCCCTTCCCAGAACCTGAGAAAACCATCAGAATAGAGCAGAAAGGCTCAGGGTGAGGGCAGGGGTGGGCAGCTGAGGGGATCTGACTGAAGGAAGATGGGATAGAAAGTTGTCCCATTCCAGCAGGTATAGCTAAAAATAAAAATAAAAAAAATAGAAAGTCATGGAAAGCAACAATGTAATCATTGTAAACATAGTTATGAAACAATGTTAGGTTACTATATAATTATTGAGTGATAAAGTATGCTGCAAAAAAATCAATAATCTATATAACTTAATGCTAGACAAGCTTTATTGAGCAACTGCTATGTACGAGCACCATGCTAAGTGCTTGATATGCATTATCTCATTTAATCTTAATATAATTACCTACATGGTAAATTCCATGGTTATAGCCACTTAAAGGATAAAGAAACAAACTCAAAGAGAACTTGACCAAACCCACACAGCACGAAAATGCTACGTAGGCTGGTCTGACTCTGAAGCCCACGCTTTTAATGACTATAGGCAAGCCACACCTTGGCATCTTACTCTGACATCACCATATTCTCGCTGCAGCCCATTGCGACTAAACAAGCCACAACCTCGCCCAGGACTCCTACCTTCCAAGCACCTACAGATTTCTACCTTCAAGTTATGAGCCCAGAAATTCCCTTGGTACTTCATCCCTACTTCATACTACACACCTATTAATTTCATTCTTTCTTTCTTTTTTTAAGAGGGGGTCTCACTCTGTTGCCCAGGTTAGAGTGCAGCGGCATGATCATGGCTGACTGCAGCATCAACCTCCTGGATTCAGGCAACCCTCCCACCTCAGCCTCCCAAGAAGCTGGGACCACAGGTGTGCACCACCATGCCTGCTAATATTTTTTATTATTTTTATAGTGACAAAATACAAAATATTCCCTATGTGGCCCAGGCTGGTCTTGAATTTCTGGGCTCAAGTGGTCCTTCCATTTTAGCCTCTCCAAATGCTGGGATTACAGGCATGAGCCACTGTGCCCGGCCTATTAATTTCATGGATCAGAATTTTCCTACCCAGCAAAGCCTAGGATCTACTGACCAGCTTTAACAAAACCTCCAAGAGACCTCCACTGCTTCTCTCCCCATCTCTAACTGTTAAAGCAAATCCAACTTTCAGGGGCTAGCTCAAAAGCCATCTTTTCCCGGAAGCTTTCCTGATTCTCCCAGAAACAATTTTTCTCTCTCAACTCTGACTCCAGGAGTCACTTGTGGCTTTCCCTTATAGCCTTCATTCATCTAGATAGAGGTGCAGCATCACACAATCCTAGCAGCATGCACAGAGCCTATCAGAGAAAGCACTGGCTATAGGTTCGGGCTCAGCCATAGGTAGATTACTCATATGGTCCCAGAATTTGCCACTGTGCCCATCCTGATGGGCTCACATTAGCAATCATAATTTTTCTGGCTTAATGGATACCTAACCCAAGAAGCAGCTATATCAGGAAGACCACCTCAGCTGAGACATGGGCAATGTGGGATACACAGCACAGGACCTACCCACAACAGGGCCTCCTCTCAGCCTCAGCTAAATATGCATTCGGAATGGAGAATACTCACTGACCACATACATAGTCACTCCCTAGAAGGAGGTATAAGCAAGAGTATTCAGGAATCATTGCAAAGAGAATGCAAGCAGACTCGAATCTTCTTGTTGCCTACATAAGGCCAAGCTAAACGGTTCTTTGAGGCTGCCTGATCAATATTAGAGCTGGGTAACTCAAAGTTCAGAGGCCTGAGAGAGCACGACCATGGCAGCTGCTCCCTCATAAAATTCACCATTACCAGGATTTTTCAAGGGGGTGCCTTTGCACATGTGAGGGAGGAGAGAGGAGGAGTTAAGGGAAAAACAGTTTGCTCCACATGGACTCTGACTTCATGCAGCAAGGAGGCCCCACTCTGGATGCTCCTCAAGATGATCCCTCTCCCTGGGGGTGGGGTCCTGACTTCTTTGGCCTCTCTCAGCATTGTGAGTATGACGGCCAAGGTCATCCCCCTGCAAGCCTGGACCTATTAACACTGCCCAGAGGGGAGCAGCCGAGGGAGAGGCCCCGGAACAGGAAAAATGTCCCAGCTTCATAAACCCACAAGCCCAAAAGAAGGAGGTAGCAGCTACAGGACTTCACTGTTTTTTTGGCTAGGGTGGCTGGAGGAGATGGCAGATCACAGCAGGGGAGAAAGTAAGAAAGGAAAACGGGGAGAGGAAAGTGGATGGAGAGGAAGGAAGAAAATATAATAGTGATAAATGGGCAAAAGGGAAGACGGAAGGAAGGAGGAAAGGAGGGTCAAAAAAAGGAGCACAAATAAGAGGGAATCTTTAGAAAAAATAAAGCAGAGACTCAGAGGGAGAAACAGAGGGAGAAAGAGTAATAAAAAGAAGAAGAGAAGCCAAGGAACAGTCAGAAACAAGAACAATAGGAAGAAATAAAGGGGAGAGAGAGCAAAAAAAAAAAAGAAAGGACAGAACTTCACTGTCCTTCTTGGCCAGGGTGGAAAGAGCAAGGAACAGAAGAGCAAGAAGAAAGCCACTAGGGGAAGCAGAGGTAGGAAGGGCAGGAATGGAGAAAGAAGAAAGCAAGAGACAGAGTCAGAAAGACTGAGAGACAAAGAGAGACTTGGGGAAGGGGGAGGGAGAGTCCTTGAGATAAGTGAGATAGAGTGGAATGAAGAAAGGAGAGAAGAAAAAAGACAGTCTAAGAATACCAGAAAGAACCAAAGGGAGAAAGGAAGAGAAAAGAAAGAGAGAAAAGGGCAGAGAGCATGAAATAGGAGGAGAGAATTCAGAATGTGGAGACAAAAGGCCAGGGAGAAACAGGAAGCTAGAGAAACAGAAGCACAGAGGGAGAATTTGAAAGGGAAAATTTCTTCCCTTAACTCTCTACCTACACACCTGGACATTATCCCCTCCCAAGGGACCTCTTAGGAGTCAGTTGCCTTGATGAACTAAAGGGGCTTGAAAAAGTGTAGATAACAGGAGTGGGTGTTAAGGAGAAGAAGGAAGCGGAATGGGAATAACAAACAGAAAAAAGAGAAGAGCAAATGAGAAAGGGTTGGGTTAGAAACAAGATGCAGGGGCTTTGTCCACCCGCTGTCTAATTGCGACCCTGTCTGAGCCTCACTTTTCTCATCCATTAAATGAAATGCTTACTTTACTAATTTTTTAGGACAATTAAACTCAAGAATGTACATAAAGCACCTGAAATGCCACACTCTCTTAATGATTCTTTTTATTTTGTGGGTTGTAGTTCTGATGCCAACAATGAACTAGGTTACAGGAAAACAGGATCTCATCTTACTCACCTTTATATACCCATCACCTAATACACACCCTGTTACATAGATACAGCTAATGTGTGTCAAATGAATTGAAAAAAGACAGAGAAGGGAAGATACAGAACTCTTAGAAACAAAGAAGAAAAGAGAAATGGAGATAAGGGAGACAAAGAAGAAAAGAAATTTTTTTTTTTAATGGAGGAAGAGGAATAATGTAGAAGAAAGAGAAAAAAGAAGCAAGGAACTTTGCTTTGGTGACAACCAGGCAGCTCAGTACAGAGCTCCCACTCACAGTGAAATCTGTAGTTCTATGGATCTCACCCTGATATAAAGCTGCCAGACTGACAGCAAAGCCACCTTTGCAAAATTATGACTGAGACAGTGAAAGAGATCTAACTTAACTGATTCGACTCCATCTTGCTTCTAACCTCCAAGCTGTCCTTGTTCATTCTTGGCTGTAGGCTGAACTAACTTTGAGAGAAACTTCGTTTATAATTTGTAGTTTAAAACAAAAATGATAACAGCTCTTTCCCAAAGCAGATCTCCTTCTTGCCTGGGGACCAGACTGCCTTTGTAGGACTAACATTAATCACAAGATTAGAAATTATGGTTTGGGAGTCATGCAGCTGGAGGCTACAAGATTCTGACCCTCCCTAAAGTGCTCCTAAGGTCAGTGCTTGAGATATTTTGCAGACCCTGCACGTGGTGGATCAGCTGGCCCCACCCTGATCAATAAACTGGCTCATCCAATCTTGTGGCCCCCATCAAGGAACTGACTCAGTGCAAGAAGACAGTTTCGACTGCCTATTATTTCATCCCTGACCAATCAGCTCTCCTGGCTCACTGGCTTCCCCTTACCTCCCAAGTTGTCCTTAAAAACTCTCCTCCCTGAATGTTCTAGGAGACTGATTTGAGTAATAATAAAAATCCAGTCTCCCACACAGCTGGCTCTGTGTGAATTACTCTTTCTCTATGGCAATTCCGCTGTCTTGAGAAATTGGCTCTGTCTAGGCAGCAGGCAAAGTGAACCCCTTGGGTAGTTACAACATGTCTGCCTGAGACCTGGATCTGCCGTAAGTGCCAAGGCAGGAGGCAACCCTGAGGAGGGTCACAGGGATGTGTGGAGGATTGAAGAGTAGCTCACAACCGTCTGTCACCTTTTGGGATGAAATTAAAACAAAACCCTCTGCCTAGCCTGACTTCTTCAAGCTCCATCTCATTTGAGCACCTATTCCCAGGCAGTAAGCTCTGTTTGTCAGAGCCACGCCATCATCCTGCTGAGCACTAGAGAGCTCAGCCCATGGCCACCTTTAGCAGAAGGTGAAGTTACGAAGTTAGTGAGGGCTCAGGAACCATCCCACCAAACAGAGAAGTTTGCCCCAAACTACAGAAGAACTAGACGGGATTGATTAATGAATGAATCAGCCAAACACTCCCCTTAACTCTTTGCCTACACACCTGGACATTATCCTCTCCCAGGTGACCTCTAAGGAGTCAGTTGCCTTGATGAACTAAAAATGGGGGCCTGGTATCAGAATCTATACCTTATGTTAGTAGATCTCTGGGTAAATAGTGAATTGGCTAAACGAGCTCATTAAAAGCAGTGAGCATGAAAAACGGGAGAAGTTTGGGCAGAAGAACTTGATAACCCAGTGACATCAGATGGGAAGGGGCCATTCTGAGTATAACATGCTGTTTGTCATGTGTCCTGGGAACAGGGTTGGGATGGAAACTAGAATGAAAATTAAAGAACGATTTTGCTAGATACCATGTGGAACACTGAGGCACAATATCATGGTCATGGTGCCCAGTGGCCAAATACAACACCCAAAAGAGAGGGATGTTCTCTCCCATAGAATGCCAAGGAGTTCTGTCATATGACAGCCCCACTGCATCATGGTCACCAATCCCAGTGGGAGTTGTGGCACCCAGGAGACCAGCAGCAATGCCCAGTGAGGCAAGGCGCTATCCAATGGGAAATGGTAGTTCCTGAGAACTACCATCAACAGCCAAAAAAGAATTTTGCAAAGGAGCAATCTCTTCAGGACAGGCAGATTGCAAGGCTTTGCTTCCAATATCACCATGTAAAGTGTCTCTGTGTGGTTTCATTTCAGGCATTCCTAGAAGGTAGGAAACATTGAAGTCCACTGTTGGGCAAAGACTCAGCGTACATCAAGTGTGTTTCTGATAACAGGGAATTTTTAGGTGGCTCACAAATGAGATGGGATCTAGTGAGACAATAAAAGATGTGATAATATGCATCACACAGGGAACAGGGAACCCAGGAAAAAGACATCCTTTACCTAGGCTATGAGATAATACCACTTATCTGACTAGAAGTGCTCACTGCTAGGACAAAGGCCAGAGAAGAGTCACCATACTAGATATTCAACAGGAAATGTGCAGTAAGATAAATATCTACTGCTATAGCTTATATGTTTTTGTCCCCCACTCGCCCCCAAAGTTATGCTGAAACCTAATCCTCACTGTAAGGATACGAGATGGGGCTTTTAGGAGGTGATTAGGTCATGAGGGTAGAGTCCTTATAAATGGGATTAGTGCTCTTATAAAAGAGAGTCCAGAGAGCTCATTTGCCCCTCCACCATGTGAGGATGTAGCAAGAAGATGCCATCTATGAACAAGGAAGTGAGCCCTTTCCAGACACCAGATTTGCTGGGGCCTTGACCTTGGACTTTCAGCCTGCAGAACTGTGGGGAATAAATTTTTATTTTTTATAAGCCTGTCTGTATTAGTCTGTTGTTGCACTGATATTAGGAACTACCTGAGACTGAGTTACTGATGAAGAAAAGAGGTTTAATTGACTCATAGTTCCATGGGCTGTACAGGAAGCATGGCTGGGGAAGCCTCAGGAAACTTACAATCATGGCAGAAGGTGAAGGGAAAACAGGCACAACTTCACATGGCAGAGCAGGAGAGAGAGAAAATGAAGGAGGAAGTGCTACATGCTTTGAAACAACCAGATCTTGTGAGAACTCGCTATCTCAAGAACAGCAAGGGGGAAGTCTGCCCCATGATCCAATCACCTCCTATGAGGCTCTTCCTCCAACACTGAGGATTACAATTCAACATGAGATTTGAGTGGGGACACAGACCCAAGCCATATCATTCCACCCCTGACCCTTCCCATAGCTCATGTCCTTTTCACATTTCAAAACAAAATCATGCCTTCCCAACAGTCCCCCAGAATCTTAACTCATTCCAGCATTAACTCAAAGGTCCAAGTCCAAAGTCTCATCTGAGACAAGGCAAGTCCCTTCCGCCTATAAGCCTGTAAAATCGAAAACAGTTGCAGTTCTTTTTGGCGACCCTATTTTTGAATGAGGTGAGGTTTTCCTGCATCAGATATTTATGGGAGTTTCATATTGAAGATGAGCCAGGCCTTAGTTTTAGGCAAGCAAAAATACTCCTTAGATTCTGAGTTTTAAGTATTAATTTTTACAGTGTAAAAAACAGTTGCAGTTCTTTTTGGCGACCCCATTTTTGAATGAGGTGAGGTTTTCCTGCATCAGACATTTATACTGTATATAAGAGACTCTTAAAACAAAGGGGTCGAAAACTTTGAAAGTAAAATGGTGGGCAAACATATATGTACTAGATAAGTGGAGGAAAAAAAGTGAAGAGAGGGATCATTCTCTTATATCAGATAAGATAAATTTAAGGAAAACAGTATCAAATGGGATGTCTCAAGAAGTGCTTTTATAGGCTGGGCACAGTGACTCACACCTGTAATCCCAGCACTTTGGGAGGCCGAGGCGGGCGGATCACCTGAGGTCAGGAGTTTGAGACCAGCCTGACCAAGATAGTGAAACCCCGTCTCTACTAAAAATACAAAATTAGATGTGCATGGTGGCACATGCCTGCAATCCCAGCTACTTGGTAGGCTGAGGCAGGAGAATTGCTTGAACCTGGGAGGCGGAGGTTGCAGTGAGCCGAGATCACGCTACTACACTCCAGCCTGGGTGGCAGAGTGAAAAAAAAAGTGCTTTAGAGTGTTAAAGTATACAAATAACAATTAAAAATGGTAATTATGAATATTTATGCATCAATATCAATATTCATAAACAAAAATTGCAAGAGTTATAAGAAAAAACAGATTAAAAATATTTTAGTAGAAAGAGGCTTCATCACTCTTAGTCCAAGAAATTCCAAGTAAACAAAAATGAATAAAGAAGGATACAGAGGACCTAAATAACATAATAACTTGTTGATGCATTTTATACCAAATTACACACCTTGAGGGGGAAAACTCACCTTTCTTCTAGGAAACCACGGAAGGGAACAGTCATGAAACTTGATCACTGCCAGACACAGTTGACCAAGCCTATAATCCCAGCACTTTGGGAGGCCAGCACGGATGGATCACTTAAGGCCAGGAGTTCAAGACCAGCCTGGCCAACATGGTGAAACCCCGTCCCTACTAAAAATACAAAAATTAGCCAGGAGTGGTGGTGCATGCATGTAGTCCCAGCTACTTGGGAGACTGAGGCAGGAGAATAACTTGAACCCGGAAGGCGGAGGTTGTAGTGAGTCGAGATCGTACCACTGCACTCCAGCCTGGACAGCAGAGTGAGACTCCCTCACACACACAAAAAAAGCTGATTACCTATTAGGCCACAAGAAAGCATCAATAATTTTTTAAGCAGAGAAATACTATTAATAGACAACTTTCTCTAATAATAAATATGAAAACTAGCAATATAAAGTTTTTAAAACAAAATTCTACCACCTGGAATTTTTTTTCCCATAAGTTATGGGGGTACAGGTGGTATTTGGTTGCATAAGTTCTTTAGTGGTGATTTGTGAGATTTTGATGCACCCATCTTCCGAGCTGTATACACTGCAGCATATTTGTAGTCTTTTATCCTTCGTCCCTCTTCCACTCTTCCCCTCAAGTCCCCAAAGTTCATTGTATCATTCTTACGCCTTTGCATCCTCATAGCTTAGCTCCCACATATCAGTGAGAACATACGATGTTTGGTTTTCCATTCCTGAGTTACTTCACTTAGAATAATAGTCCCCAATCTCATCTAGGTCACTGCAAATGCTGTTAATTCATTCCTTTTTATGGCTGCATAGTATTCCATCATATATATATATATATACCACAGTTTCTTTATCCACTCTTTGATTGATAGGCATTTGAGTTGGTTCCATGATTTTGCAATTGCGAATTGTGCTTCTATAAACATGAGTGTGCAAGTATCTTTTTCGAATAATGACTTCTTTTCCTCTGGATAGACACCCAGTAGTGGGATTGCTGGATCAAACTGTAGTTCCACTTTTAGTTCTTTAAGGAATCTCCACACTGTTTTCCATAGTGGCTCTACTAGTTTACATTCCCACTAGCAGTGTAGAAGTGTTCCCTGTTCACTGCATCCACGCCAACATCTACTGTTTTTTGATTTTTTGATTATGGCCATTCTTGCAGGAGTAAGATGGTATCACATTGTGATTTTGATTTGCATTTCCCTGATCATTAGTGATGTTGAGCATTTTTTCATATGTTTGTTGGACATTTGTACATCTTCTTTTGAGAATTGACTATTCATGTCCTTAGCCCACTTTTTTGGTGGGATTGTTTGTTTTTTTCTTACTGATTTGTTTGAGTTCATTGCAGATTCTTGTTATTAGTCTTTTGTCAGATGTATAGATTGTGAAGATTTTCTCCCACTCTGTGGGTTGTCTGTTTACTTTGCTGACTGTTCCTTTTGCCATGCAAAAGCTCTTTAGTTTAATTGGGTCCCAGCTATTTATCTTTGTTTTTATTGCATTTGCTTTTGGGTTCTTGGTCAGGAAATCCTTGCCTAAGCCAATGTCTAGAAGGGTTTTTCCAATGTTATCGTCTAGAATTTTTACACTTTCAGGTCTTAGGTTTAAGTCCTTAATCCATCTTGAGTTGATTTTTGTATAAGGTGAGAGATGAGGATCCAGTTTCATTCTCCTACATGCAGCTAGCCAATTATCCCAGCATCATTTGTTGAAAAGGAAGTCCTTTCCCCACTTTACATTTTTGTTTGCTTTGTCGAAGATCAGTTGGTTGGCTGTAAGTATTTGGGTTTATTTCTGGGTTCTCTATTCTGCTTCATTGGTCTATGTGCCTATTTTTATACCAGTACCATGCTATTTTGGTGACTATGGCCTTATAGTATAGTATGAAATCAGGTAATGTGATGCCTCCAGATTTCCTCTTTTTGCTTAGTCTTGCTTTGGCTATGCGGGCTCTTTTTTGGTTCCATATGGATTTTAGAACTGTTTTTTCTAATTCTGTGAAGAATGATGGTATTTTGATGATGAGTGCATTGAATTTGTAGATTGCTTTTGGCAGTATGGTCATTTTCACAATATTCATTCTACCCATCCATGAGCATGGGATATGTTTCCATTTGTTTGTGTCCTCTGTGATTTCTTTCAGCAGTGTTTCATAGTTTTCCTTGCAGAGGTCTTTCAATTCTTTTGTTAGGTATATTCCTAAGTATTTTGTTTAATAGCTATTGTAAAAGTGGTTGAGTTCTTGATTTGATTCTCTGCTTGGTCGCTGTTGATATGTAGAAGAGCTACTGATTTGTGTACATTAATCTTGTATCTGGAAACTTTGCTCAATTCATTTATCAGTTCTAGGAGCTTTCTGGAGGAGTCCTTAGGGTTCTCAAGGTAAACCATCATATCATCAGAAAACAATGACAGTTTGACTGCCTCTTTATCAATTTGGATGCCTTTTATTTCTTTCTCTTGTCTGATTGCTCTGGCTAGCACTTCCAGTACTATGCTGAAGAGGAGTGGTGAGAGTGGACATCCTTGTCTTGTTCCAGTTCTCAGAGGGAATGCTTTGAACTTTTCCCCATTCAGTATTATGTTTTCTGTGGTTTTGTCATAGATGGCTTTTATTACGTTAAGGTATGTCCTTTGTATGTCGATTTTGCTGAGAGTTTTAATCATAAAGGATGCTGGATTTTGTCAAATACTTTTTCTACATCTATTGAGATAATCACGTGATTTTTGTTTTTAATTCTGTTTATGTCATGTATCACATTTATTGACTTGCATACATTAAACCATCCCTGCATCCCTGGTGTGAAATCCACTTGATCATGGTGGATTATCTTTTTGATATGTTGTTTGCTTTGCTTAGCTAGTATTTTGTTAAGGATTTTAGCATCTATGTTCATCAAGGATATTGGTCTGTAGTTTCCTTTTTTGGTTATATTCTTTCCTGGTTTTGTTATTAGGGGTGATGCTGGATTCAGAGAATGAATAGGGAGGGTTCCTTCTTTCTCTCTCTCCTGGAACAGTTCAAAAGGATTGGTATCAATTCTTTGAATGTCTGGTAGAATTCTACTGTGAATCCATCTGGTTCTAACTTTTTTTGTTGGTAATATTGAAGTTACCATTTCAATCTCGCTGCTTGTTACTGGTCTGTTCTAGGTATCTAATTCTTCCTGATTTAAGCTAGGAGGGTTGTATTTTTCTAGAATTTATCTATCTATTCTAGGTTTTCTAGTTTATGTGCATAAAGGTGTTCATAGTAGCCTTGAATGATCTTTTGTATTTCAGTAGTGTCAGTTGTAATATCTTCTGTTTCATTTCTTAATAAGGTTATTTGGATTTTCTCTCTTCTTTTCTTGGTTAGCCTTGCTAACAGTCTATCAATTTTATTTATGTTTTCAAAGAACCGGCTTTTTGTTTCATTTATCTTTTGTATTTTCTTTTGTTCCAATTTCATTTAGTTCTGCTCTGATCTGGGTTATTTTCTTTCTTCTGCTGGGTTTGGGTTTGGTTTGTTCTTGTTTCTCTAGTTCCTTGAGGTGTGACCTTAGATTGCCTGTTTGTGCTCTTTCAGACTTTTTGATGTAGGCATTTAGGGCTATGAACTTTCCTCTTAACACCTCCTTTGCTGTAGCTTAGAGGTTTTGATAGGTTGTGTCATTATTGTCATTCAGATCAAATAATTTTTTAATTTCCATCTTGATTTCATTTCTGACCCAATGCTCATTCAGGAGCAGGTTATTTACTTTCCATGTATTTGCATGTTTTTGAAGGTTCCTTTTGGAGTTGATTTCAAGTTTTATTCCACTGTGGTGTGAGAGAGTGCTTGATATAATTTCAATTTTCTTACATTTATTGAGGCTCATTTTATGGCCTATCATATTCTCTATCTTGGAGAAAGTTCCATGCACTGTTGAATAGAATGTGTATTCTGTGGTTGTTCCGTATATATCTGTTAAGTCCATTTATTCCAAGGTATAGTTTAAATCCATGGTTTCTTTGTTGACTTTCTTGATGACCTGTCTAGTGCTGTCAGTGGAGTATTGAAGTCCCCCACTATTATTGTGTTGCTGTCTATCTCATTTCTTAGGTCTGCTAGTAATCATTTTATAAATTTGGGAGATCCAACGTTTGTTAGGTGCATATACATTTAGGATTGTGATATTTTCCTGTTGGACAAAGCCTTTTATCATTATGTAATTGTCCCTCTCTGTCTCTTTTAATCACTGTTGCTTTAAAATTTATTTCATCTGATATAAGAATAGCTACCTCTGCTCACTTTTGGTGTCCATGTGCATGAAATGCCTTCTTCCACCCCTTTACTTTAAGTTTATGTGAGTCCTTATGTGTTAGGTGAGTCTCCTGAAGGCAGCAGATAGTTTGTTGGTGAGTTCTTATCCACTCTGTGTTTCTGTATCTTTCAAGTGGAGCATTTAGGCCATTTACATTAAATGTTAGTATTGAAATGTGAGGTACCATTGCTTTCAACGTGCCCTTTGTTGCTGGTGTACTTTGGGGTTTTTCGGTTTTTGTTTTTGCTTTTTCACTTGTATTTTTGTCTTACAGGTCCTGTGTGATTTATGCTTTAACGAGGTTCTGTTTTGATGTGTTTCCAGGATTTGTTTCAAGATTTAGAGCTCCTCTTAGCAGTTCTTATAATGGTGGCTTGGTAATGGCAAATTCTCTCAGCATTTGTTTGTCTGAAAATGACTGTATCTTTCCTTCATATGTGATGCTTAGTTTCACCGAATACAAAATTCTTGGCTGATAATTATTATGTTTGAGGAGGCTGAAGATAGGTCCCCCATCCCTTCTAGCTTGTAGGGTTTCTGCAAAGAAATCTGCTGTTAATCTGATAGGTTTGCCTTTATAGGTTACCTGCATCTTCTGTCTCACAGCTCTTAAGATTCTTTCCTTCATCTTAACTTTGGATAACCTGATAACAATGTGCCTAGGCAAAGATCTTTTGCGATGAATTTACCAGGTGTTCTTTGTGCTTTTTGTATTTAGATGTCTAGGTCTGTCGCAAGGCCGGGGAAGTTTTCCTCAATTATTCCCCCCAATATGTTTTCCAGGCTTTTAGAATTCTCTTCTTCCTCAGGAGCACTGATTATTCTTAGGTTTCATCATTTAACATAACCCCAGACTTCTTGGAGGCTTTGTTCATATTTTCTTATTTTTTTTCTTTGTTGGATTGGGTTAATTTGAAGACTTTGTCCTCAGGCTCTGAATTTCTTTCTTCTGTTTGTTCAATTCTATTGCGGAGACTTTCCAGAGCATTTTGCATTTCTAAAAGTGTGACTAAAGTTTCCTGAATTTTTTTATTGTTTTTTCTTTAAGCTATCTATTTCCTTGAATATTTCTCCCTTCATTTCTTGTATCATTTTTTGGATTTCCTTGCATTGGGCTTCGCCTTTCTCTGATCCTTCCCTGATTAGCTTAATAACTAACCACCTGAATTGTTTTTCAGGTAAATCAGGGATTTCTTCTTGGTTTGGATCCATTGTTGATGAAGTAGTATGATTTTAGTGGGGGGTGTTGAAGGGCCTTGTTTTATCATATTACCTGGGTTGGTTTTCTGGTTCCTTCTCATTTGGATAGGCTCTTTCAGAGGGAAGGTCTAGGGCTGAAGCCTTTTGTTCAGTTTCTTTTGTCCCACAGGGTGTTCCCTTGACTCTCCCCTTTTTCCTATAGATGTGGCTTCCTGTGAGACAAACTGCAGTGATATTTGTCTGGGTCTAGCCACCCAGCGAGTCTACCCAGCTCTGGGCTGATGCAGGGGGTTGTCTGCACAGAGTCCTGTGATTTGAACTGTCTATGGTTCTCTCAGCCATGGATACAAGCTCCTGTTCCAGTGGAGGTGGCCGATGGTGCAATGGACTCCATGAGGGTCTTTAGCTTTGGTGGTTTAATGCTCTATTTTTGTGCTGGTTGGCCTCCTGCCAGGAGGTGGCGCTTTTCAGAAAGCATTAGCTGTAGCAGTGTGGAGAGAGACTGGCAGTGGGTGCAGCCCTAGAACACTCAAGGTTATATGCCCTTTGTCTTCTGCTGCCTGGGTGGGTAGGGAAGGACCATCAGGTGGGGGTGGGCCTAGGCATGTCTGAGTTCAGACTCTCCTTGGGTGGGTCTTGCTGAAGCTGCTGTGGGGAATTGAGGTGAGATTCCCAGGTCATTGGAGTTGTGTACCTAGGAGGATTATGGCTGCCTCTGCTAAGTCACACAGGTTGTCTGGGAAGTGGAGGAAAGCTGGTAGCCACAGGCCTCACCAGGCTCCCATGCAAACCAAAGGGCCAGTCTCACTCCTGCCGTGCTCCCCTCAACAGCTCTAAGTCTGTTTCCAGGTGGAGGACGAGATATGCTTGAAAACTTGCCCGAGGCTATCCGTCTCCCAGCTGCGAAAGAAAAGGGCTTCAGTTCTTCCCCTACCTGTGAAGTCTGCGCTCCAGATTCCCGCCCTCCCCTGAGTTCTGGCCAGGAGGCTTCTCACCCTGTTCAAGTTGTTACAAAATTCAGCTAGAGAATTCCTTCTTCCTGTGGAGTTTTATTCACTGGTCCTCTGGCCACCCTCCCTATGGTTCCCTGTGGTGCCAGGCAGGAATGGGCTGCTTGGGGACCCAGCAAGCTCCTGGGACCTTTCTGCTGCTTCCTCTACCCCTGTATTTTTGCTTGGCTCTCTAACTTGACTCAGCTCCAGGTAAAGTTGGAAACTTCTGCAAACAGATCTTCAGCTTCTCCAGTGGGGGTGTGTGTTCGGGAGAAGAGGGTCTCCCTTTCCCTCTTCTGCGGTACAGTATTTGGGGTGTCTCCCAGGTCCTACAGGAGCAGTTCGCTTTCTTCCGAGGGTCTGTAGGTCCTCTCGGGATTGCTGTTTCTTTCTTGCAGTTGATCTGGAGCTAAAATTCACAATGCAAGCCTCTGCATGCTGCTCTGTCCAGAACTTCAATCTAGTCCTGCCTCCCGTCCGCCATGATCCCCTCTACCTCCCACCTGGAAATTTTGATTTCACAATTTTTAAATAATTCTTGGATAAAATGGAAATTTATCAGAACCTGTGGGATATAACTATGGAAGTGTTCAGAGGAAATTCTATGGCCTAAATTCTTACATTAATAAACAAAACTAAAATAATTGAAGTAAGTATCCAATGTTAGAATTTAGAAAAAGAGCAATAAAAATAAATAGAAGGAAAGTAGAGGGATGGTATTAATAAAGAAAAAGGCAGATATTGAATAAATCCAAAATTTTTTTAAAAGTCAGAATTTTTTTTTTTTTTTTTTTTTTGAGACAGAGTCTTACTCTGTTGCCTAGGCTGGAGTCCGGTGGTACGATCTTGGCTCACTGAAACCTCTGCCTCCCAGCTTCAAGTGATTCTCCTGCTTCAGCCTCCGAGTAGCTGAGCTTACAGGCACCTGTCACTATGCCCAGCTAATTTTTGTATTTTTAGTAGCGATGGGGTTTCACCCTCTTGGTCAGTCTGTTCTCAAACTCCTGACCTCAGGCGATCCACCCACCTTGGCCTCCCAAAGTGCTGGGATTACAGGTGTGAGCCACCACACTCGGCCAAATGTCAGAATATTTTTAAAGGGTCCAAAAGTTGGTTCTTTGCTGGGCAGTGTTCAAAGCAATAAACTTGCTGTTTTTCTAATTTTTTTTTTTTTTTTTTTTGGTCAGAGTCTCGCTCTGTCACCCAGGCTGGAGTGCAGTGGCATGATCTTGGCTCACTGCAAGCTCTGCCTCCCAGTTTCACACCATTCTCCTACCTCAGGCCTGCCGAGTAGCTGGGACTACAGGCGCCCACGACCACACCCAGCTAGTTTTTTTCTTTGTATTTTTTAGTAGAGATGGGGTTTCACCCTGTTAGCCAGGATGGTCTCCATCTCCTGACCTTGTGATCCGCCTGCCTCGGCCTCCCAAAGTGCTGGGAGTACAGGCGTAAGCCACTGCGCCCGGCCTGTTTTTCTAATTTTTAAAGAAAAAATTTAATTATATAAATGAGATATAATAAACGAAACAATTACAGGTAGAGATTAACTTAACAAAACAATAAAATAATACTTTACTAAACCCTGTGCTACTAAATTTGAAAACCTGGATATAATATATAATGTTCTAATAAAACAATTTTATTAAAATATAACTTCCCAAAATTGGTCTAAATAGCTCAGTTACTATAAACTTACTTAAAACTTTTTAAAGACTTGTCTTCCCCAAAAGACTATGTCAAGACAGTTTCACATGGGACTCTTTTTCCTTTTTTGAGACAGGGTCTCAGTATGTTACCCAGGCTGGAGTGCAGGGGCATGGCATCCCTGCTCACTGCAGCCTCTGACCTCCCAGGCTCAGGTGATCCTCCCACCTCAGCCTCCCGAGTAGCTGTGTGTGCCACCACACCTGGCTAATTTTTGTGTTTTTTATAGAGATGAAGTTTTGCCATGTTGCCTAGACTGGTCTCAAACTCCTGGGCTCAAGCGATCCATCTGCCTGGGCCTCCCAATGTGCTGGGATTACAGTCATGAGCCACCATGCCCAGCTGGGACTATTTCTAAGCCTATAAAAAACAGATAATCTCAGCGGAGCACTGTAGCTCACTGTAATCCCAGCACTTTGGGAGACCCAGGCAGGCAGATCACTTGAGTTCGAGACCAGCCTGGCCAACATGGCAAAACTCTGTCTCTACTAAAAATAAAAAAATTAGCCAGGCGTGGTGGGCATGCCTGTGGTGCCAGCTACTCTGGAGGCTGAGGGAGGAGAATTGCTTAAACCTGGAGGTGGAGGTTGCAGTGAGCCGACATGGCGCCACTGTACCTCAGCCTGGGTGACAGAGCAACACTCTGTCTCAAAAACAAAAAACAAACAAACAAAAAAGACAGGTAGTCCCAATGCTATTTGGACTGTTCAAGAGCAGGTATCACAAATCCCCAGGCCACCAACCGGTACCCATCAGGGCCTGTTAGGAACTGGGCTGCACAGCAGGAGGTGAGCGGTGGGTGAGCAAGCAGTAAGGCCAGAGATCTGCCTGCTCTCAGATCAGTGGCAGCATTAGATTCTCGTAGGAGCACAAACCCTAGTGTGAACTGTGCACGTGAGGGATCAATGTTGCCCGCTCCTTATGGTAATCTAATGCCTGGTGATCTGAGGTGGAACAGTTTCATCCTGAAACCCTCCCCCCGCCCCCCAGCCTGTCTCCAGTCTGTAGAAAATTTGTCTTCCATGAAACCAGTTCATGGTGCCAAAAACGTTGGGGACTGCTGCTTTAGAACATAAAAAACAGAGTTTCCATTTTGGAACTACTTCTCCCAATAAAAGATTCTATAGAGAGAAACATATACAGGAAATAGTTATAAAATTCTGAAGAAAATATTAGCAAAGAATTATATTCAAAATCAATACTACATGACCAAACATGGTTTATTCTAGGAATAAAAGACTGGTTCAATATCAGGAAATCTGTTCGTATAAATTACTATATTAGATACTGATAGATAAGTATCATCTTAATTATCATTTCCTTAGATACTAAAAAGCCATTAGATAAAATTCAATACTTGTTCTGGATAAAAACCTTGAACTATAAAATATATATAATATATTTTAACTGTAAAATGATATATGCTTAATATGATAAAATATTTTTTCTCAATCCTCAAACTAGCATTTATATTAAATAAGGGTAGATTAGAAGCATCCTCATTAAAGTCAAAACTAAGACACAAATGTGTCTGTCATAGTACTAGATAACATTTCATCTTACAAGCGCACAAAAGCATATCAGGGTAACAATGGAAAAAATATAAGTTAAATATCTTATTCTATGCATAATTATGTTTTTAAAAGAACCAATGACAGAGTAAAATGTGTCCAAAAATAAACTGCAATCAAACTAACTTTCATTACTATGCATGAAAGCATCCTGTATGATAATACATGATAATGAAACTTTGCTGTTCACCTGTTTAAGGTTTTAAGGGATTAAAAGATGTTAGAAGTCTAATTGGTGCTGGAGCAATTGCATATCTGCAGGTGATATGATTTGGCTCCGTGTCCCCACCCAAATCTCATCTTGAATTGTAATCCTCATGTGTCAAGCAAGGGACCTGGTGGGAGGTGATTGGATCATGGGCAGTTTCCCCCATGCTGTTCTTGTGGCAGTGAGAGAGTTCTCTCAAGATCTGGTTGATAAGTGTGTGGCAATTTCCCCTGCACTCGCTCTCTCTCTCTCTCGTTCTCTCTCTCTCTCACTGTCTCTCACCTGCTGCCATGTAAGACAAGCCTTGCTTCCCCTTCACCTTCCACCATGATTGTAAGTGTCCTGAGGTCCCCCCAGCCATGCAGAATTGTGAGTCAATTAAATCTCCTTTCTTTATAAATTACCTAGTCTCAGGTAGTACTTTTACAGCAGTGTGAGAAAGAACTAATACAGAGAACTGGTACTGGGAGTGGGGCACTGCTATAAAAATAACCTGAAAATATGGAAGCAGCTTTGGAACTGGGTAACAGGCAGAGGTTAGAATAGTTTGGAGGCCTCAGAAGAAGACAGGGAAATAAGGGAAAGTTTGGAACTTCCTAGAGACTTGTTGAATGGTTTTGACCAAAATGCTGATAGTGAAATGGACAATGAATTCCAGGCTGAAGTGGTCTCAGATGGAGATGAGGAACTTGTTGGGAACTGGAGCAAATGTTACTGTTGCTATGCTTTAGCAAAGAGACTGGTGACATTTTGCTCCTGTCCTAGATCTGTGGAACTTTGAACTTGAAAGAGATGATTTAGGGTATCTGACAGAGGAAATTTCTAAGCAGCAAAGCATTCAAGAGTTGATCTGTCTTTTCCTGAAAGCATACAGTTATATGTGTTCACAAAGAGATGATTTGAATGGAACTTATATTTAAAAGGGAAGCAGAGCATAAAAGTTTGGAAAATTTGCAGCCTGACCATGAGGTAGAAAAGAAAAAGCCATTTTGTGGGGAGAAATTCAAGCCAGCTGCAGAAATTTGCATAAGTCACCAGGATCTGAATGTTCATAGCCAAGACAGTGGAGCAAATGTCTCCATTTCCATGTCACAGATCTTCAAGGCAGCCCCTCCCATCACAAGCCCAGAGGCCTAGGAGGGAAAAATTGTTTTGTGGGCCAAGCTCAGGACCCTGCTGCTCTGTGCAGCCTTACAACTTAGTGTCCTGTGTCCCAGCTGCTCCAGCTCCAGCTGGGACTAAAAGGGAGCAAGGTACAGTTTGGGCCATGTTTCAGAGGGTGCAGGCCCCAAGCCTTGCCAGCTTCCATGTGGTGTTGGGCTTGCGGGTGCACAGAAGACAAGAGTTGAGGCTGCCAAGTTGAAATCTTGGCAGCCTCTGCCTAGATTTCAGAGGATGTATGGAAACACCTGCATGTCCAGGCAGAAGCCTGCTTCAGGGGTGGAGCCCTCATGGAGAACCTCTACTAGGGCAATGCAGAGGGGAAATGTGGGGTTGGAGCCCCCACACAGAGTCCCCACTGGTGCACTGCCTAGTGCAGCTGTGAGAAGAGGGCCACCTCAGACCCCAGAATGATAGAGCCATCCACAGCTTGCACCTTGTGCCCGGAATAGCTGCAGACACTTAACACCAGCCCGTGAAAGCAGCCATGGGGGCTGTATCCTGCAGTGTCACAGAGGTGGAGCTGCCAAAGGCCTCGGGAGCCTATATTTTGCATCAGCATGACCTGGATGGGAAATATGGAGTTAAAGGAGATCATCATGAAGCTTTAAGATTTAATGACTGCCCTGTTTGGATTTTGGACTTGCATGGGGCCTGTAGCCCCTTTGTTTTGGACGATTTCTCCCATTTGGAATGGGAACATTTATCAAATACCTGTACCCCCATGTACCTTGGAAGTACTAACTTGCTTTTGATTTTACAGGCTTATTGGTGGAAGGGAGTTGCCTTGTCTCAGATGAGAGTTTGGACTTGGACTTTTGAGTTAATGATTGAATGAGTTAAGAATTTGGGGAACTGTTGGGAAGGCATGACTGGTTTTGAAATATGAAAAGAACATGAAATTTGGGAGGGGCCAGGGTGGAATGATATGGTCTGGGTCTGTGTCCCCACCCAAATCTCATCTTGAATTGTAATCCCCACACGTTGAGGGAGGGACCTGGTGGGAGGTGATTGGATCATGGGGGCAGTTTCCTCTACGCTGTTCTCATGATAGTGAGTGATTTCTCATGGGGGTGGTTTCTCCAATGCTGTTCTCATGATAGTAAGTGTTTTTACCTGAGATCTGGTTGTTTGATAAGTCTGGCAATTTCCCTGAGCTCTCTCTCTCTTGCCTGTCTTCACCTTGTGAAGAAGGTACTTGCTTTCCCTTTGCCCTCTGCTATGATTGTAAGTTTCCTGAGGCCTCCTCAGCCATGTGGAACTGTGAGTCAGTTAAACCTCCTTTCTTTATAAATTACCCAGTCTCAGGTAGTATCTTTATAGCAGTGTGAGAATAGACTAATAAAGCAGGCAAAAAAGTACTCATACCTTATATAACAATTAACTAAAAATGGATCACAGACTTAAATGTAAAATATCAAACTATAATACTTTTAGGAAAAAAAGAGAAAATCTTTAAGAGCTAGAGCTAGACAAAGAGTCTTAACACTAAAAACATCACTCGTAAGAGAAAAGTTGATAAATGTAACTTCACCCGTTAAAAACTTTTGCTCTGTGACAGACCCTGTTAAGAGAATGAAAAGACAAGCTACAGAATGGGAGAAAATATCTGTAAAACACATATCTGACAAAGGCCTAGCATTTTGAATATATAAAGAGCTCTCAAAATTCAATAGTAAAAGGAAACAAACATGGTAATGAAAAGAGATTTTACTGAAGAGGATACACAAGATTGCAAATTGGCAAATGAAAAAAGATGTTCTATATCATTAGCCATTAGGGAAATGCAAATTAAAACTACAATGATATATTGATATATACCTAGCAAGATTACTAAAACAAAGAAGTGACAACATCAAATTCTGGTGAGGATGCAAAGAATCACTCATAGTTTACTAGTGGGAAAAAAATGATATGGCCATTCTGGAAATCAGTTTGTCAGATTCTGAAAAATTAAGCATGCAACTACCATATGGCTTAGGAATTACACTTCTGGGCATTTGTCTCAAAGAAATAAAGACTCATGTTCACACAAAAACCTAGACACAAATTTTATAGCAACTTTATTCATAATTAGCCCAGATGTTCTTCAACTGATAATGGTTAAATACACTGTGGATATTATGGAATATTATTCAGCAATAAAAAGACACAAACTACTGATACAGGCAATAAACTGGATGAATCTCCAGAGAATTATGCTGAGCAAAAAAAAATGCCAATCCCAAAAGGTTACATGCTATAGTTCTCCTTTATATTGCGATCTTGAAAGGACAAGTTTATAAAAATGGAGAACTAATGGCATATGGGAGGAGTGGAAGCAGGTGGAAAGTTGCTGTGCCTATTAAAGAGCACCATGAGGGATTCTTATGGTGATGGAAGAGTTCTGTATCTTGACTGTAACAATGCCAATATCCTGATAGTAATATTATTGTAGAGTTTTGCAAGATTTTACCTTTTGGAGAAACTGGGCAAAGGGCACAAAGAATCTCTGAACTATTTCTCTTTCTTTCTTTTTTTAGAGACAGGGTCTCACTCTGCCAACCAAGCTGGAGTGCAGTGATGTGATTGTAGCTCACTGCTGCCTCAAATTCCTGGACTCAAGCCACCCTCCCGCCTCAGCCTCCCAAGTAGCTGGATTACAGATGCACACCACCATGCCTGGTTAACTTTCAATTTTTTGTAGATCAGGGTCTTGCTGTATGACCCAGACTGTCTTAAACTCCTGGGCTCAAGAGATCCTCCCACCTTGGCCCCCCAAAGCACTGGGTTTATAAGCATAAGCCACCACACTCAGCCCCTATACTACTTCTTACAACTGCAGGTAAATCTGCAATTATCTCAAAATGAAAAGGGTAAGTTTTAAAAGGCTGATTGCTATACTTTGGACGTTCGTCCCCCAAACTGCATATTGAAATTTGATCCCTAATGTTAGAGGTGGGGCCTGATGGGAAATATTTGGGTCCTGAGGTTTAAGGTGGATCCCTCGTGAATATATTAATGCCCTCTCTGGGGGATGGTGACTTCGCACTCTTAGTGCTTTCGTGATATGGTTTGGCTGTGCCCAACTCAAATCTCATCGTGAATTGTAGTTCCCATAATCCCCATGTTGTGGGAGGGACCCAGTGGGAGATAATTTAATCATGGGGCAGTTAACCCTCATGCTGTTCTTGTTATAGCGATTGAGTTCTCATGAGGTCTGATAGTTTTATATGGGGTTTTTCCCCCTTTTGCTCAGCACTTCTCCTTGCTGCTGCCATGTGAAGAAGAACATGTTTGCTCCCTCTTCCACCATGATTGTAAATTTTGTGTGGCCTCCCCAGCCATGGAGAACTGTGAGTCAACTAAACTGCTTTCCTTTACAAATTACCCAGTCTCCAGTATGTCTCTATTAGCAGTGTAAAAATGGACTAATACACCTTGAGAGCTGATATTTAAAAAGAGCCTCCCTCTCTACTCTCTCTTGCGTCTTTTGCCATGTGATCTCTGCACAAGTTGCTCCCCTTTCCCTTGCACCATGAGTGAAAGCAGTTTGAGGCTCTCACTAGATGTAGATGTGGGCACCATGCTTCTTATACAGCCTGTGGAACATGAGCCAGATAAATCTTTCTTCATAAATTATCCATCCTCAAGTGTTCGTTTATAGCAATGCAAATAGGCCAAAACAGTGATATAAAGATAAGGAGGTTTTTTGTTGTTGTTGTCTTCAAAGTTACTGACAAGGAATACAATGGGGTGTTAAGATTTGACACACACATTATTTCAGGAAAATAAATTTTAAAATCATATCCCAATGTCATTATTTGAGCATCAGCTGTAGTTGGGTAGTAAAGTGTAATATCAGGCTTTTGGCAACTAGTTGCATTGTTCATCAACAACATTAAGTCACCAAGCTTAAAACATCACAACAATGAATTTAATCAATGAACAATGAAATGTTATCAAGACCATTCACAAAATTAAAAGCAGGCCTGGCGTAGTGGCTCACCCCGTAATCCCAACACTTTGGGAGGCTGAGGCAGGTGGATGACCAAAGGTCAGGAGTTCGAGACGAGCCTGGCCAACATGGTGAATCCCTGTATCTACTAAAAATACAAAAATTAGCCAGGCATGTTGGCATGCACCTGTAATCCCAGCTACTTGGGAAGCTAAAGCATGAGAATTACTTGAACCTGGGAGGCGGAGGTTGCAGTGAGATTGTGCCACTGCACTCCAGTATGGGCGATAGAGACTCCTCAAAGAAAAAAAAAACAACTATATGAATTAAAGCTTACATTAACAACAAATAAGAGTTTGAATGTGTTATCCTGCATATGGAAATCAGATAGGTCTTTGAAGAAAAACTGCAACCTCCGCCTCCCAGGTTCAAGCGCTTCTCCTGCCTCAGCTTTCTGAGTAGCTAGGACTACAGGCACGTACCACCACGTTTGACTAATTTTTGTATTTTTAGTAGAAACAGGGTTTCATCATGTTGGCCAGGATAGTCTCGATCTCCTGACCTGGTGATCCACCCGCTTCGGCCTCCCAAAGTGCTGGGATTACAGGCGTGAGCCACTGCATCCGGCCAGAAAAACATTTTAAAATACTTTGTACACTATTTGAAATGACTATGGAATGCTTGTTTCAATCAATAAAAAAAAGAAATATGAAATGTGAAATGCTTGTTTCAATCAATAAAAAAAAGAAATGTGAAATGTAAAATTTAATAAAATTTAAATTTTAGATACATTTAAAATGTCAAAGTCCTCCTTAAGCTTCAAGAAAATAAAATCAATCTCCTTAAAATGAACAAATTATGATGAATTCGTCAAAAATATTTATATTGTGTTAACCTCATTTACCAAGACATTTCAAATTTACATCTTTGTGTCTGTTAAAGACAGATTTAGAAATACACTAATTTTATTCAAATACAGTTTTTAGTTATGATGATTAGATTTAAAGATATGTGTGATCGGTCAGTTTATGATTATGTAGAATAACATGTCAATATTTACAGGATAATGCAGGTAGGTAAGACACCTGTTCTACTATTGCATGATTTCATGATTTAACTGGTGTAATTAGGAAAGGTTTTAGATCTAATTCGAACTGTCATATCCACTTTTTTTTTTTTTTTTTTTTTTTTTTTTTTTTTTTTTTGAGATGCAGTCTCACTCTGTTGCCCAGGCTGGAGTACAGCTCATTGCAACCTCTGCCTCCAGGGTTCAACCGATTCTCGTGCCTCAGCCTCCTGAGCAGCTGGGATTACAGGCACCCGCCACCACGCCTGGCTAGTTTTTGTATTTTTGTAGAGACAGGGTTTCATCATGTTGGCCAGGCTGGTCTCGAACTCCTGACCTGAAGTAAACCACCCACCTTGGCCTCCCGAAATGCTGGGAAGATATACTTCTAATAACAGCATTTCCAACTACATTACTTGGTTGAAACAGTTGAAACTGCCATTGCAGTTGCAGTAAAGGTAACAAGAGGTAAACTTCTAATATGTAACAGGAGATTTGACTTTTCTCATATGTAACAGGAGATTTGACTTTTCATCTAGAATTAGAACCAAAATCGTTAAATTTGTATAGATATTTGCATTAGCAGAAATCCCATTTTGTTCATGTTGTTTTTAAATAAAGTGACTCGTTTAAAATTTAGTTGCATTTTAAAAATCTGTGTTATGGGAGTGGTAATACTGACTCCAGGCAGGGAAATGAGACAATTGTTAGAGACGCAGGGATGGAGCTGAGAGGTCCTCCTGGTCTCCAATGGCCCGGCGGTGGCTCGATGGGAGGGAGAGCGCCCCCTGGAGGCATTGGCGGTTCCTGGCTCGTGTGCTCGCGGGAACCCAAGCTGTGAGCCTCTGGCCCCGCCAGGGCGTACGAATCCTTTCCTCGTTTATCCAGTATTAAGTCACGCTGTGTGCTAAGTACCGTGGCCAGGCAGCAGCTAGACAACGCGCTGAGGTAAAATAGAGAACTAAGGAAGAATGGGGGACCCCAAAGTCAACTTGGTGACACATCACACGCAGGAGTCGGACCCACGGCTCCCCGAGCCACAGCTCAGTGGGGCGGGACCGCCCGGGCCTGGGCGGGGCCGGGGCGGGGCCTGTCACGGGGGAAATCACCGCCCTAGCATCCGGGGAAATCGCGGTCTTAGCATCCGGCGCGCGGCGGTTGAATTGCTGCGCCCAGCGAGGCAACCGCCTCCGAACGCCAGGTGGGGGCGAGGCGTCTCGGAGTCTCAGAGACACCAAGGCCCCTGCGACAAGGTGGCTGCAGCTAGGCCGGGGGCGTCAGGACGACGGAGCGGGTTCGGGTCGGTGACACGCAGACCTGAGGGAGCTGGGCCCGCCTTTTCCGCCCGCGCCCCAGGCCCTTGCAGATCGAGATTTGCGTCCTAGAGTGGGAAAAAAGCAGAGGCCAGGGCGCCGGTAAGTAAAGGTTCCTCCTCACCCGCCGCCAGGGCCCGGTCCGCCCAACGAGCAGGGCGGCGTGAGGGTCACGGGCTGGAAACAACAATGCCACAGCTCAAGCCGACTCCAACAGTAGTAGCGTTTTTGTTTGTTTGTTTGTTTGTTTGTTTTTTGAGACAGGGTCTCCCTCCGTCGCCCAGGCTGGAGTGCAGTGGTGTGATCTCGGCTCACTGCAACCTCCGCCTCCGGATTCAAGCGATTCTCCCGCCTTAGCCTCCTGAGTAGCTGGGGTTACAGGCGCGCGCCACCACACTCGGCTAATTTTTGTATTTTTAGTAAAGACGGGTTTCACCATATTGGTCACACCAGTCTCGAACTCCCGACCTCAGGTGATCCGCCCGCCTCGGCCTCCCAAAGTGCTGGGATTACAGGCGTGAGGCACTGCTCCTGGCCTACAGTAGTGGCTTCTGGAGGCCACTCAGGCACCCCCTGTTTCTAGCTTAGAGAAGGAGGAAATCGACAATAAAGTAGCCTTAAAGGGATCCATGTTCCGCCCTGCCACCTCTTCAGATGTCAGCGTTGTCCAACTAGTGTCCCTAGAATTACCCAGGATGTGAGTGGCACTGATTCATCAGTGGTTTAATCAGCAAAACCAAGTGTCTTACCTATCTGCCTCATCTGCTCACTGCCTCTTTCCAAGGCGTTCTCACAGGCGCAAACACTTTCTTTTCCTCCATTAATTCCAGTAGGTAAGATTTTGCAGTCTCCTTTAAGGTCCCCGTTTCTCAAAGATAGCCCAAGGAATCTCGCCACTTCCTTGCCTTTTACACATCTGGATTCATCCAGAGACATAAACCCTGACCAGGACTAGCTTCAAAAGGGTCCCACCCGTGCAGTCACATAGGGCTCAGAAGGGCCCTGTACTTACTTTCTTGCTCTGCTATGGCAATCTTGAAATTCTTAATTTTTAAACCAGCACCCGCCTCCCCTCCCCGCCACCTCCACAACATTTTCATTTTGCACTGGGCCTGGCCTTAATTCTCAATTTTCTCAAAGGCTGTCATGTAACTATATAAAAATATAGTTAAAAGAGTTTCTTCTCTAGACATGTCTTTAGTCACTAGGACATCAAGAGACAGGACGGATGCTTCTATTAACTGAGAGTTGTTGGAATCATAAAGGCTTTGTAATCCAATAGTCACCCTCCACGCCTTCTCAATTTCAGAACCTAAGAGAGTTTGCTTAGAGAAAGAACCTGAGAGGTTGTAAAGCTGAGCTGACCAAAGCTCATTGAATCACATGTAGCTATTCAGCACTTGAAATGTGGCTGGTCTGAAAAAAGATGTGCTACAAATGTTAAAACGCACACCAGCTTTTAAAGTCTCTTTTTTTCCTTTTTTTTTTTTTTTGAGACGGAGTATCCTTCTGTCGCTGGAGTGCAGTGGCGCAATCCTGGCTCACTGCAACTTCTGCTGCCTGGGTTCAAGTGATTCTCCCGTCTCAGCCTCCCGAGTAGCTGGGATTGTGGTAGCTGTGCCTGCCACCACACCCGGCTAATTTTTGTATTTTTAGTAAAGACGGGGTTTCACCATGTTGGCCATGGTTGGCCAGGCTGGTCTCGAATTCCTGACCTCAGATGATCTGCCCGCATCAGCCTCCCAAAGTGCTGGGATTGCAGGCGTGAGCCACCGCACCCGGCCAATTTTTCTTTTTCTTTTTTGAAGACGGAGTCTTACTCTGTTGCCCAGGCTGGAGTGCAGTGGTGCAACCTCGGCTCACTGCAGCCTCCGCCTCCCGGGTTCAGGTGATCCTCCTGCCTCACCTCCCCAAGTAGCTGGGACTACAGGCATGTGCCACCACGCTGTCTAATTATTTTGTATTTTTAGTAGAGACGGGGTTTCACCATGTTGGCCAGGCTGGTCTGGAACTCCTGACCTCAGGTGATCCTGAGCATTTTGGCCTCCCAAAATGCTGGGATTACAGGTGTGAGCCACTGCACCTGACACTTTTTTTTTTTTTTTTTTTTTTTTTTGAGGAAGAGTGTTGTTCTGTTGCCCAAGCTGGAGTGCATTGACTCAATCATGACTCACTACAACCTCATCTCCTCGGCTCAAGCCATCCTCTTGCTGCCTCAGCCTCCCGATCACAGGCATGCACCACCATGCCCAGCTAATTTTTAAATTTTTTTGTAGAGATGAGGTCTCACTATGAGAAACATACTCGGGCTGATCTCAAACTCCTGAGTTGAAGCAATCCTCTCGCCTCCCAAAATGTTAGGATTACAAGTGTGAGCCACTGCACTCAGCCTAAAGTCTCCTTTTTAATTTAAAATATTTTATCCACCTTTATATTAATTACATGCTTAAATGGTATTTTAAATAAATCAGATTAAATAAAATATATTCAAATTAATTTTACCTGTTCCTATTTATTTTTTAACATGACTCAGAAAATTTTAAATTGTAACTATATGTGGGGCTCACATTATATTTCTTTGGGAAAACACTATTACAAAAGTTTTGAGATATTGGAAACTTCTTATAATGTTCAGAAAAACTGCCTTCCCCACCACCCACCCCACCCAAAAAACTACTCACATTGACTCTTATCTCCCAGAAAATACCACTACCTACTCTTATCCTATGCGATCCATATCAAACAACCTTACTAACCCAGCTTAACTCAAAGGCCTTGGCAGTTAAAGAACCACAGCCTAATTACAGATGGTCTAGGGCTGCAGAGAAAGGCTCAAACTTCCCTCAGCTGTTGCATTAGAACCAACTCAGTTGCTGGCAGACCTATCTCTACTGCTTTGGCTGTTTGATTGTCCAGTTTTGCATAAGTGAACTGTAAAACTATAGAGAAAGGAAGAAAGATGTCATCAGGGAGGGTGGTCACCTCACCAACCTTCACTCCTAATTATATTGTTACAAACTCTGGCACTGCAGCATCCTTGGGCTGACTTCTTTTTGTCAGTCACACCACTTTAAAAAGTAATTAGCTTTAGTGAAGAAATTGCCGATGCTCTAGTCTGAAGTGTAGATAGGGACAGAAAATTACCTGTAAATTTAAGCTTTCACTTGAGCAGTCTCCATTAGTTATGGAATATAAAATGGGCAGACTCCAATATCTCGATCTTTAGTGTTTTGAATGGCTCTCAAAAGCAGTGTGATGAGGGAAGATGTTAGCTTTACATCAGTGTGTACTGGATGCAGTCCTAATCCAGTCCTCCTAGAGCCTCTAGTTCCATGGAAAGAGTTCTTAGTCTGTTAGTTCACATGAGTGCCAATTGTTCAAAAGAACCTGGCATCTCTCTTGCTCTGTCTCTCGCCATGCGGCATGCCTGCTCCTCCTACACCTTCTACCAAGAGTTAAAGCATCAGATGCCTAGCAGATGCTGGTGCCATGCTTGTACCACCTGCAAAACCATAAGCCAAATAAAACTCGTTATAAGTTGCCCAGCCTCAGGTATTCCTTTATAGCAAGGCAAAATGGATCAACACACTTGGTTTATGTCTTCCTTTGGAAAGATAAGGCTGTTTGTGAGCTACCTCACCCACGAGTGTGTTTTGCCTATTCACTGCTTACCCGTCTGTATTAGTCTTTCATGCTGCTGATAAAGACATACCCGAGACTGGGCAATTTACAAAAGAAGGAGGTTTATTGCGCTTACGGTACCACATGGCTGGGGAGGCCTCACAATTATGGCAGAAAGCAAGGAGGAGCAAGTCACATCTTACATGGATGACAGCAGGCAAACAGAGAGCTTGTGCAGGGAGACTTCCATTTTTAAAGCCATCAGAGCTCATGAGACTTATTCACTATCACAAGAACAGCACGGGAAAGACCCGCCCTCATGATTCAATCACCTCCCACTGGGTTCCTCCCACGACACGTGGGAGTTGTGGAAGTTACAATTCAAGATGAGATTTGGGTGGGGACACAGCCAAACGATATTACCGTCCCATCATGAGGCTCAGTCTCAGCTATGCTTCTGAACTGCTTTGCCTCAGGAGCCACAGTATTTGACAAAGCCTTAGAAGCTGGATCTCCACCCCAGTAGACACCTGCAGGTGACTGAAATGAGATTGCCCCATCAGGGTGGGAGGATCTACCATCACACAGCCATGTAATTTCTTAAGAATTTAAGAAAGCTTTAAGCGAAAAAGCCTTGGCAAGTTGAGTTGGGAAAGAATGTCTACCACTGGCTCAAATTACTGCCTTTCTGAGGCTTCCCTTTCACCCAACATGCAAAGGTCACTCTTACGTGCAACAGCACCTTTCAACTGATCAGGTCAGCACTGTGAGATAGAATTGAGGTGTGAACACCACAGAATGCAAAATATTTGGGAATCCCTGGAAGCATAACAGAGGTGGGAACTGGGAGTTGAAGCTCAAGCATTCCTCCTGGCACTGAGAAAGGCTTGGTCTTGTCCTGATCTCTGGCTTTTGGTAGTGAAGCCATTTGGGCCTGTAGTTTTGTTACAAGATTTTTAACTACACAATTCAACATTTTTAATAGACATAGAACTACTTAGGTTATGCACTTACATGAGCTTTGGTGGTACCCATCTCATAAGGAATCGGTCCATTTCCTTACAAGACTTCGATGACTAAGTTGACTTTATGGGCATACAATAATTTGTGATATTATTCTATCCATTTAATGTCCTGAGACCTGTAGCATTGTCCCCTTTTTCATTGCAGATGTTGGTAATTTGTGTCTTCTTTTTTTTTTTTTTTTTTTATCAGTCAGGCTAAAGTAGTTTGGGCACTACTGACATTTTGGGCTGGATAATTCTTTGTCGTATGAGGCTCACCTGTACGTTATAGGATGTTCAGCAGCATCCCTGGCCTCCACCCTCTAGATCTAGCAGCACTCCTCCAGTGGTGACAACCAAAAATATCTCCAGATACTGCCAAATGTCTCCAGAAAGGCAGAATTGCCCCTAGTTGTATACCACTGCTTTAGACTACTTTATCTCTGTTACTATGTTTTCTGTTTCAAGCATATTCATTTAATGTAAACATTTTTTTTCTCTGCTGAAATTCCCCTCTGGTCATTCATGTTGCTGTCTATTTTTTTCCACTAGAACCTTCAATATATATGATTAATATATTAATCAAATATATTTTAAGTTCCATCTCTCTTAGTTCTAACACTTAGGTTATCTGAGAGTGTGGTTCTGTTGATTACTTTCCCTCTTCACAATGAGTTGTTTTTTTCTTTTTCATGCTCATAATATTTTATCAAATGCCAAGCATCTTGTGTAGGACAGTAGGGGTTGAGATAATCTATGCCCCAAAATAAGCATGCTTTTTCTGCTAGGTCAGTAATGTGGGGTCTTGAATCAGCTTACTCAGTAGTTAAGCTGGGTTTGGGTTTTATTGGTCCATCTTCAGTACACTACCAGGTTCGATTTCCTCTAATATTACCTTTTGCTTAGGGTAGCGTGCTAGAGGGATTTTCTCAATATCCTATTTCATTCTCAGCTTGCAGCCTTCCCAATGAGCCTATACCACACAGGAGTCTCTCTCCATGCTTTTGCCTTTCACCCTGCTTGTTACTTGGTGCTTGCTATCTTGGTAGAGGACGCCAGAAGACTTGGTCATCCTGGTCCAACCTCAGTCTTGGGTAAGGAAAGGTCTGGGCAGATTTTTTGCCTTTTCCACAGTAAGAGCTTACTTCCCTGTATTAGTCTGTTTTCACACTGCTATAAAGAGCTACCCAAGACTGGGTAATGTATAAATTACCAGTTCCACATGGCTGGGGAGGCCTCAGGATACTTACAATCTGGCAGAAGGCAAAGGGGAAGCAAAGCACGTCTTAGATGGTGGCAGGAAAGAGAGTGAAGGGGGAAGTGCCACTTTTAAACCATCAGATCTCATGAGAACTCCCTCACTGTCACAAGAACAGCACGGGGGAAACCACCCACATGATCCAATCACCTCCTACCAGGTCCCTCCCTCAACAGGTGGGGATTACAATTTGAGATGAGATTTGGGTGGGGACACAAAGCCAAACCATATCTTCCCCTAATAGATCTTCACCACCGAGGAGGCTCTCTCTAGTCTCCTGCCTTGTCCCAAGTCTTTTCCATCAGTACCCAGTAGAGATCATGGAAGAGAGACTGAAAGTGGAAGCAAACTGTCTTTATGTCTGAGGCTCCCAGGGGTTTTATACTCTTATGCTGGTCCACACTTGACCTTTAGCAGTTCATTAACAATTTTAGCTGAATTCTTATCAGTGTATGAGGTACTTGATGTCTCTTCTTCAGTGCTCATGTCCCTTTGCTCCTTTGCCAGGTCAGTCTTTCCTTGGATTTCAAGCTACTTTATTGGTCTGTGACCTTAGGTGGGGTGACCAGTTGTTCCAGTTTGCCTGGATCTGAGGAATTTCCCAGGATATGGGACTTTTAGTTCTCATACTGGGAAAGTCCAGTTGGTCTTCCTAACCTCAGTCCTCTGAGTTTCAGGAAAAATTATTTCGTAGTTCTTCTGGTTGTTGGCATAGGAGCGATGCTCTTTCTAGGTTTCTACATCCTAGGCAGAAGACAAATTACTGAAATATTTATGCATGTTGAATATGGACAAAAGTGGCTCTTGAGATAGTGAGAAACCATAAACCATACGGGGGGAAACATCTGTTTCTTACTAAAGCAGGGAAGTTCTTGTGAAATATTCCCGAAAATAGAGAATAAGGAAAATCATTTCAGCATCTGCCATTCTTTTGTCTGTCAGCATCAGATTTACCTGATTACCTAAATGAACTCTCATTGAAGAGGTGGGTCCGCACCTATTCCTTCTACACCTGTAGTCAGCATTCAACCAGCACCAGACTTATACTTTACCCCCAGAAACTGAGCATCTTTCATAGATTTTTGAGCAAAACTTTTTTCAAAAAAAATCTGTATTCTCTCTTGTCAAAGGAAGATGGCTGAGTGTAGCAGTAATCTTTGAACATTAATATTGACCATCTCTGGGTGAATAAGCCTGTGTGTGACACATGCATGTATAATCTTGCTATCAGCTGCCTGGGGGCATATTTGGTTTATGTTACCATGGGCAATACCTCTGGTATTGTGTTATTTTATTTCAGATATTGTGGGAACCAGGAGTGTTTGTGACCCCTGCAACCATAACTAATGGTTATGTGGTAGGCAGCCTCAAGGAAATGCTCTGTATCTGGTGTGACGACGAAAGCGTTATCATGTGCTCAATTACTCTTCTGAGCATCCTTGAGTATCCAAGAAAAATATAACCTCTTGAGGAGCTTATAGTCTGTGTATGTGATATCTTCCTATTAAATAGTCAAGATAGTGACATTAGTACAGCAGAATCAACACAGAAATCTTAAAACTGGGAACATTTATAATTTCAACAACTGTAGGCTTTATACAGCTGTAGATATAAAAATAACAGCTAAGACCTGTATTGTGTTTGTTATGTGCCAAGCATTGTCCTAAATATTTTACACTCATTACTATGCTAAATCCTCACCTACATAAGCTTTATAACAACCTTATGATGTTAGATATTATTATCCACATATTACAGATTAGAAAAAAGGAACAACATGGCTAAGAAATGTGTTCAAGGTCACACTAACAGCTAGTGGTGGCAGTGAGACTTGAGCCTGTGCAGTTTGTTTCCACAGTTCTTTTGTTGTTGTTGTTGTTTTGTTTTGTTTTAAATGAGAAGGAGTCTCTCTCTGTCTCCCAGGCTGGAGTGCAGTGGCGTGATTTGGCTCACTGCAACCTCCGTCTCCTGAGTTCAAGCAATTCTTCTGCCTCAGCCTCCCAAGTAGCTGGGATTACAGGCACCAGGCACCATGCCTGGCTAATTTTTGTATTTTTAGTAGAGACAGGGTTTTACCATGTTGGTCAGGCTGGTCTTGAACTCCTGACCTGCCTCGGCCTCCCAAAATCAGGCAGGTGATGTGCCTGCCTCAGCCTCCCAAAATGCAGGCAGGTGATGTGCCTGCCTCAGCCTCCCAAAATGCTGGGATTAGAGGCATAAGCCACTGTGCCCGGCCCTCCAGAGTTCTTTTAACCACTGTGACAGTGGTCGCAAATACAGAAGAGATAAAATATTTCAACTTGCAGGATGATGTAGAGAAAGTGAGAGTTGTATATGTGAAAAAAGCCTTTTAAATACCACTTTGATTTTAGGTCATGTGCCAACCAAGGATGTAGAGAAAGCTGAAAGAGGACATGCTAAGGAAAGTAAGTTAGCAAGTGGTATAGTGATGCCCTGGGCTCATAAGTCAACAAACAGCATGAAATACAGAGACAGTTGTGCCCATCTGATACAAATGTCATGTGATGCAGATGACTCAGTAACAGCGGAAGTGCTACAAAAAGAAAAAAACTTGTAAGAACAGCCCTACCTCTGCATATAAAATACTTGAGTACTTTCAGTTTCAAAATTAAAGATTGCTCAGAAACCACCTGCCATACAGAAGATATTTAGGATGAAAATTTTTGTCAAATGATTGAGAATGTGTTAGGCCATTCTTACATTGCTGTAAGGAAATATCTGAGACTGGGTAATTTATAAAGAAGAGGTTTAATTGGCTTATGTTTCTACAGACTGTACAGGAAGCATAGCACTAGCATCTGCTCTGCTTCTGAGGAGGCCTCAGGGAGCTTTTACTCATGGCAGAAGGTGAAGTGGGAGCAGGCACGTCACATGGCAAAAGCAAGAGTGAGAGAGAGAGTTGGGGAAAGGGAAGTACCACACACTTTTAAATGACCAGACTCACAAGAACTCACTGTCACGACGGCAGCACCAAGCCACAAAGGATCCATTCCTACGACCCAAACACCTCCCACTAGGCCCCACCTCCAGCATTGGGGATTACAATTCAACATGAGATTTGGGTGGGGACAAATATCCAAACTATTAGATTGGTGCAAAAGTAATTGTGATTTAATACGTCAGAGAATAAAACCAATGAATGGAAAGTACAAAGAACTTTGCTTTGAAGGTGACATCGTGGATGTTATCAACTCATGTGAAGCAAAGTAGATTCACAAATGACTAGAATATCTCACAAATCCCAAGACTGGTTCTTGTAAGAGGATACATAGGAAAGACAGGACAGTCAACAAGAATATTCAAAGCATTTGGCAAGGGCTGTCTTGAAGGAGTAGGATGCTTTGAGAGTTCTATGATGGGTTTTTTAAGCCAACTGATTATTATAACAAAGTATATTAAAACTATGTATGAGATGAAGTATTTTAGCCTAGCCCAAGGGAAATCACTAATGTCCTCTCTATACCTACTGGGTGACCTAGATGATACAATACAGCTCTTATTAAGTGGCACTTATTTATATGTGAGCCTGATATTCTCACAAAGGCAAAAAAGAAAAAAAAAAAAAAAGGGTGGAGGGGAGGGTATAGTGGTGACCTGGGAGTAGGGAGGAAAACTCAGATTGTGTTGAAAAATATAATGCAGCAATTTTATAGATTGGTTTCTTAAGGTTAACTTTATAGTCCAAAAGGTATAGAGGGTTCATAATCCAGTACAATTTGTAGACATTAATGAAAAGGTACTACATATTTTGTGCTTTACTGTAGCATATTTTATCCTTAAGACCAGGTAAACACCATTTAATATAACAAGCTCAGCTAAGTCTTGGATAATTTAGAATTTTCTACTCAAAAGAACTGAGTGAGGATGTCCTTTTGTAGAACGAATTATGTGCTTAAGGTATTGTTGTCAATGAGGAGGAGGAGGAGCACTGCTCTCCTAAGATCAGCTCTATTCCGAGGCCATGTTTATGCTTTTGTTTAAAAAAGTGATTATTACTTTCTAAATCGAAGTGATCCCAGAGAAGACTGGGTTTGAGGCTTGGTGAAGGTTACATTATGAGTAAAGGACACAGAGGACATTGGATTGGCAGTGTTCAGTGTGTGTGGCTTTTCACGTCTCCCCAAATCCGCCTAGGAGATGTATTTAGACTACTAAAACCCGTTGTTCTACCTGCTCAGGAAGCGAGCTTATCAAACCTCTTTTATCCTGAGCTATATTATCTTGAAATTGCAGTGTATTAACTCACATGGTGCAAAAACTGCCTTTCACTTGTCTGACCATCTGGATCTAACATTCAATATTCAGAAACAATCCTTGCTAAGCTATCATCACTGTCTTGCCACATAGCCTGTAGTTGATATGATAATGATTAGGCATCATAACATATGGTCATTTTGCAACAGTGGAAGGAGAGGACGTTGTAAGGGATGGGTGCATACAGCTCTCTGCAAGCAAGAGGTACAATAGTGCTGAGCAAAGCAAGAGGTATAATAGGGTCTGGCTAGGTGTTACCACATAAATGGACGTTGGACGTATCATGATGTTTATAGGCATAACGAAACCCAACTGCATATGTTTTTGCCATAGCCTCAGTCAATAGCTTGCCACAGGGAAGCATTACACACAGACCTTGCCGTGGGGACTATTTGGTTGTTCAGATACCTGTCTGGTACATCACAAGGCATAGACAGCTACTGCCTAGCTGCCAGAATCAGTAACTATAATAACTGTTACAGGCCAGGCATGCTGGGACATAACCTGTAGTCCCAGCTATTCAGGAGACTGAGGCAGGAGGATTACTCGAGGCCAGGCATTTGAGGCTGCAGTGAACTAGGATCATGCTACTCTGCTCCAGCATGGACAACAGAATGAGACCCTGTCTCAAAAAAGAGAGAAAGAAATGTATATTAAAAAACTGTTATAATGGTTTCCTCACAGAGGAAAGGTGAGGAGGGCTTGTATAATAACTATGTTGATACCATGAATCAAAAAAATGGCAAATATTACTGTTTTTTGAAGTTTTTGGAAGAATCTAATCCCCCCAAAGAGCTTATTTTTCATAAACACAAGAAACAGGTGTACACATCCCACATTTTATTAATGTTGTTTGAGGATTTGTGAGTGGGAATTCAAAAGCAAGCACAGGCTGCACTGATCAGTTTAATATTACGTGTTTCAATTTTGTTGTCATTGCCTCTCTTTCTGCAAAAAGACTTCCCATATTTTCTCTTAAGGTTTTCACAAATTTCAGGCCAATTGATGAACATTATTTTCACCCACAGGTAAGGTTTAACTGAAAATAGTAGGATCTTACTGTTACCATTACACACTGGATATTTTCTTTTCAGATTTTATTTGGAGAGAAGCAAGCATCTTTGCCTCTTTGGAGTAGGAAATTCAGACTTGAAAAAGGTAGGATTTTCTTCCTCTTTCTTTCAACTTGTGAAAAAAAAGTGTAATTTTTAAAATTGGACACTTTGTTAAAAATTTAAGATAGTTTCTTTTTAGTTTTGTAGATATTTTTAAATTAGGGATGAAGGCTGTAGATAGTATATCTGAATTTTAAACAAGTGTTTTAAATATGGTTTTCAGAAACTTAGACTAAACTTTTCTCATCTTAATTTTCAAAGCTATTTAATTTTGTGAAAAATTACATTGCAAACTAAAGTGAAAGGAGTTATGTCTTGGAACTTCACAAACTTTTACATTTTATACTTTAGGCACTGATTATAAATGAAGGTGGTGGGATGATGGTAGACAGGATTTACGCCATGGCATTTGAACTGTATGATTGAATGGGAAAGGGAAACCAGTTATCTCACTATGCATTAAAATAGGCACTAAAGTGTAAATGTGTAGTTTAATAATGACACCTGTGTAATAACTACCCAGGCTAAGAAATAGAAAATTACCAGCGTTCTAGGAAATATACGCATATTGCTTCTAAGTAACAGCCCTTCTCCACACAGGTGACCACTATCTTTACCTGTATACTAAAATTCCTTTTTTCATACTAGTGGTTCTCAAAGTGTGGTGTGGCATCAGTATCATCTGGGAATTTGTTAGAAATGCAAATTCTTGGGTCCATTCTCTGATGTATTACATTTATATATTTTTTATGGGATGTATATTTATATGATAAAAATGTAAAGCAATGATTCTCAAACTTTAACATGCTTCAGAATGACCTGGATGGGCTTTTAAAACACAGATGCTGGGTCCTACCTAGAGTTTCTAATGATCTCTTTCTATTGTCTGTTTTAATCATTGATTCCAATTTTCTTATATGCTGGTTATGTTTGACCCTCTGCTAGTCATTGCACTTGAAATGTCATTTTGTGGAAATAATTGTCTGGCCTGTAATTAAGATACTTGGTCCCAAAGATCACACATATTTGCTTTTGTTGGGTACCTGCAGGTACCACAAGTTTGGGCCCACCTGTTCAAAGTTTGATATTTCCTGGACAACTCAGAGGAGTCTCAGCGCATTCACATTATTACAATTCTTGTTCACCTTCACTCTGAGATTTTGGATCCCAGATTGTTGTAGGAGAAGGTCTCCTGACAGACTCCCCAACTTATATGAACCCAGGGTTTTGTTTTCAATCTCCCCTGTACTCTGAAATGCTGTCAAAATGGAGGTCCTAATGTTCTGGGATTAGCAGTGCTTTCCATGAAAAAGTGGCTTCAGGCTTGTTTACTTCTCTTGATTCTTTGCTTCTCTTAACTTTTGGCCTGATAATTCCTTACTATTTTGTAATCTCTTTGAGGCTTTTTAAAATATTATTTGAAATATATTTTACCCAGTTTTTTAGTTGGTTTGTTTTCAGCTGGCAGACTGACCTAAATAACCTGGGCCACCATTACTAGAAATGGAAAATAAATTAATAAAGCACAGTATTTTTCAAAATACTGTGGTTTTTCAAAACATTAAAAAGCAATAGATGGGCCGGGCGTGGTGGCTCAAGCCTGTAATCCCAGCACTTTGGGAGGCCGAGGCGGGCAGATCGCCTGAGGTCAGGAGTTCAAGACCAGCCTGGCCAACATGGTGAAACCCCATCTCTACAAAAAATATAAAAAAATTAGCCGGGTGTAGTGGCAGGCGCCTGTAATCCCAGATACTCGGGAGGCTGAGGCAGGAGAATTGCTTGAACCCGGGAGGCAGAGGTTGCAGTGAGCTGAGATGGCGCCATTGCACTCCAGCCTGGGCAAAAAGAGTGAAACTCCATCTCAAAAAAAAAAAAAAGAAACCAATAGATGTTTATATTTTTGGGAACAGAAAGTTCTTATTTTTAGTCTACAAGTTTAATCAGACATGGGACACACAAGATGGTTTGGATACAAAAACTTTTTTGTTAAAAGATTCCCGGAGTTCCATATTTAAAAATATTTTATGACCTTTAACCTTATGACCTTAAATAGTAATATAACCTTTAACCACTCCGGAGTGCTCTGATATTTACTCAGTGGGTTCCAAGAAATGCTTCCCACAACTTCAGAAAGCCTCACAAAGTGCAGAGGTGTGCCTAATACAGATCCACTTCACGATTTGTGATAGTGATATCAAAACACTAGGGGCTCAGTCTAGGTCCCATTGCTTACCGCACAAAAAGAAGCAAGTATTGCCAGGGAAGACTTATTATTTTACAGTTGATGTCAACCAGAGAGACCAGAGCCAAACCTCAAATCCATCTCCTCGCTCCAGCCAAAGTTAGGGGTTTATATAGTGGGGAAGGAAGACAGGAGAGGCAAGGAAGAGGAGTTGATCAACAGGCAGCAGGTGGTCGAATGGGGGATCTAGTATCTCACTGTAACCACATGTGGAAAGACAGTGATTAGGGATGGGTAAGGAAGAGGTAGTGGTCAACAGGCAGCAGGTGCTTCTTCTTGTCTGAGTGCAGCGATTCAGAAAGCCACAAGATGCAGGAACTCTCCAGTTCTGAGCTACAAATAACAAAGGGTGCTTTTCACATCACATAGAGGCTTTCCAGCCATGACACTTCTTAAGTTACAAGGCAAGTTATGGCCAACCTCCAACCAACCCTTAGTTGATAACTTTTGTTTAAAACAACACATTGACCTTTAAACCAATATGATGCCACCATTATTTTCACACAACTTATCACTTAAAAATCAAAATATTGCTCTCACAAGTATAAAATTTCTTAGTATAAATTTCCATTTCTTATTATAAAATCCTACTTTATGAAAAGGTATGGAGAGCCAGGACCACCATGAAGCCCACTCAGTTTAACCACTTCCTTATAGACATATCGTATTGCATCCCATGTGTTTTGTTGTCTGGGATGTAGGTATTTGCCTTATTTAGTAGCACATGCTCCTCCTCCCTTCCCAGCTAGAATATGATCTAAAGACATGTGGTTTTAGACCACATTTATTATGGCTACCATTTCTTTGGCATTACTTTTACATAGCTGGTCATATATAATAGCTGTATCACTGATTGCTGAGGTTGCTCAGTCAACTGAACTTTGGAAATTATATAACAAATTCTGTTTCTGAGCCTAATAAGAATTTTGAGGAACCATTTAATGGCCCCAGTGGTCTAATTTAATGGCCTAATTTAAGTGGTCTAACCATTTAATAGCCCCAGTTATGCCCAAATAGCTGCCACTACTGTATTCCTCAGGCAGCCATTGGTGTGCACATGACCTCTATATCCAGTAAGTAGAAGAATGAGGAGTGGGCCTATACTTTTTGCCAAAATCCAGAGTCCAATTTTTGATATTCAGCATAGATGTTAAAGAATGGGACCCTTATGAGCACCTTGATTTTACAAGCACTAGTGCCTTGAACTCTCAGAATCATCTAGATATGGTTGAAGATTATGCTTAGGACAGCAAGGGGCAGGAAATGTATGTCTCGGGGTTTAGGGATATATCATCTTTCTTGAAGCGCCAGTTAAATGGCCAAGTATGATTGCATCTGATAGAGATTTAATAAATCTCATGAGCCTCCATCTCCACATGTGCTTTCTTTCAACTGCAGCAGGCCTTCCATTTATGATCACTTAATAAACTTCGCCTTTGCATAGGCTATCCAGTTTCTAGAATTTGCCCAGTTTTTTTACTTGGTACCATGATTTCCCATCTCTCAATTTTCTGGAATGAAGTGTGTATCTCCAGTACTTAGGATCTATATTATACTGTATTTGCAGCCTCTAGACTAATTAGATAACTTAGCATATAGCCAGAGGTATGTAATTCAATATTTTCTTGAGAAAATTGAACTCCTTGAGGTCCTCTGAATCACCTGAGATGTGTGGGGCAATTCCTAAGTGTAATCATTCCTTTTAAGGTAAAACTGCCCTCATAACCATTACTATTGTACTAGAATGAGGACTACTGACTTACTGGCTATAAGCTTATTTCAGTTGGCATTATAGCCAGTTCTTTCAGTTCTTTCACTGTCTCCAATGCAGATAGCAGATATCTCTTTGAGTTTCTTTTTAAAAGTTTCCATGAGAGTTAGTTCTAGCTAAGAGCTGTATGTCACTGGCATTGAGCTTTCAGGAAATACCTGGTCAGAGCTTCTAGCCCAAAGTGTCTCCAGAGGTGAGCACACTATCATCCTCTTCATTGGAAATGAATACTTGGAATAGTACAGTAAACTATTTGTCCTACTGTAGTTCTTTATCTTACTACAGTAGATTTTTCTTACAGAAGACTTTCAAACAAGATTGGCTTCAAGAACCCTAACCAGTACAACCAGGGTTCCCAAGGGAGAGGGTGTTAAGACTCTGGGTTTGTTGGCAACCCAGTCTAGTTCTTTCCCTGTATTCTTGAAGACTTTTTTTCTGAAGTGGTTGGAGCCAAATAGTCACTGATAGATTGTATAGAGGGAATTAATATACAAAGGGTAGAACAGGGTCTGCTAGATAGCTAGCTAAAGTCAGCATGTGGTCAATTTAAGATGAACTGTGATTGGTAGCTAAAAGTTCTTTGCTGCTAATGTATGGGAAGAAAATAAAAGGATTGGGCAGAAATAGTAGTGTACTTTCCCTATCTTTATCACCCATTTGGCATTTTCAGGCCTATTTGTTATTCTCGTAACCTGTAGACTCCTACAAGGATACTTGCGGCTTAGTTTTCAATGTTTTATATTTCATGAAACATTTGTATCTCAACCACACCCCACACTATACCCCAACTTAGTTGCCTACTCATCTGTTACTTGCACATAAAGTCTCCTGCTCCTGAAAGTTCCCAGTGGGAAGATGTACAAATCTGGGGACACTGGCCTCCCCACTAGGGCAGTTGTCTCAGAAGTGTCTGAAGTTTGGATATTAGGGTTGAAAGGCAGACAGTATAATTAGCACTCTTATTTCTTCTGGTATTTCCTTACCATGATATTTATGGGTTGCCCATCAATTTGGACTTTTTTTCCACCCCATTTTTCAATACCTAGACTAATAGGTATTTCTATTGAGAACTTCCTTTTTCTCTTTTTTAAATTTTCCTCTATTTTCTTTTGGTTATTTTGAGAGCTGAAATTCACAGAAGTATCCTAAATTATCTTTTCCAAAATTGTTATAGCAAAGACTGCTAGTTATCTACTCTGCTATTCATTCTTCTTCCTTTTTCTTTAGCAGAACCTGATTTGTGTGGGGTTAGGGGCATCATGTGCTCAGCTAAAAAACTATAGTGCCCATCCTTCATTACTGCTAAGGATGGCAGTGGAACACAGTTCTTGCCAATAAGGTGTAATCAAAGGTATTGAGAGAGATACCTAGTAAAGCTCCTTAAAAGCCGGTAGCCTCACAGCATGTACTCTTTTGCCTTTCTTTCTTTCTTTCTCTTCTTCCTGCCTGCATGTTAGGGGAGATGCCAGACATAGAATAAACATCTCACAACAGTGAGCCATAAGACAGAAACCAAGATAATAGCTTGGGTCACATCTGAAGAGACTGGGTTAGACACTGTGTGTGAACTCAGACAGTCAGAAACAGTCATACTTTTTGCACACTACCACTATCCCCATTATCTTAGAGTTAAAAAAAAATGCCTTTGTCATGACAGATCCATACTGTTTGTATATCTCCAACACTGTTTGCAGTAAGACTTTACTGCCATCATGTAATTACTCTCACAATCTGAGATGTAGACATTATTTTGCATCTGAATCATTAAAAATAACTACTGTGTCTCTGGCCCCAGGTTGATGTTCGTTAATTATGGAGGACCCAAGATCTTTAAATGGAGTGGTAGCATGCAATTCAGTAGATGGCAATGTGGTCAATTTTGATAATTAGATAAAAATATTAGTATGCACAGCCAGTGGCTTTTAAAATAGTAGTAACATGAAAGTACCGTGAGATAGTTTTACAGCAAATCGCATGTTTTAAATGTATACATTCATATTTTAAGTGTTGTGGGGATGAATTACTTGTTTTATAGGTTTCTATTTTCAACCATGTTTTCCTGTTCTGTACTATTTGCCATAGCAGGACACTGGAAAAGATTTAAGACCTCCAAATGTAAAGGGTTATTGAGAAAGAGTTGCCAAAAAAGGGTCACATATTAGTTAGATAAGTTGTAGTTACAAAATAATATCTACAATATCTCAATTTATAGAAAGACAATATTCTGCATGTACATCTGTCTTAACTGGAAGGCTCTTATAATATCAAGTTGTTAATATTGGGGCTTTTTCTAGCTAGATGGGATAATAGTTTTTTTTAGTGTTCTATTGCTTTAATTTTTCTGTAATGAACTGGTATTACCTGTTCGTAACTTTTTTAAAGTTGAAAATAATTCCTCTTGATGGACATTTAACAAGAGAAGCAGAAGTATGTTGCTGAGAAATGAGTAGCATCAAGTCAGGAACAGTAGGAACAAAGGGACTCCTGCCTTTGCTGCTGATCCACCAGAACAGCCATCAGACTCCTCAGACCGCTGCTGGCTCCTGAGCTGCTCCTGAGCTGCCTGTGGGATCCTGAGTGGCAATGAGCCCTCGCTGTGGCACTAAAGATCCTCTTTCTTGTCTTGTTATTTCTTCATGTTACCTTATCCTATCCTATGGTAATATTGTCTCTGTCTCTCTCTCCCTTTCTCCGCCATAGTGGTGTGTGGTTGACTCTGTTTCTCGCCATGTCTTCTCACAAGACTTTCACCATTAAGCGATTCCTGGCCAAGAAACAAAAGCAAAATCGTCCCATCCCCCAGTGGATTCAGATGAAACCTGGTAGTAAAATCAGGTACAACTCCAAAAGGAGGCATTGGAGAAGAACCAAGCTGGGTCTATAAGGAATTGCACATGAGATGGCACACATATTTATGCTGTATCAAGTTCACGATCATCTTACGATATCAAGCTGAAAATGTCACCACTACCTGGACAGTTGCACATGTTTTACTGGGAATATTTTTTTCTGTTTTTCTGTATGCTCTGTGCTAGTAGGGTGGATTCAGTAATAAATATGTGAAAGCTTTTGTTTCAAAAATGTCTCTGTCATCTTTAAAAACTGTCCCTTCATTTATTCGGTAAACATCAGGATCTGTGCTGTATGCCAAACCCCTGGGTAATGCTGAGGATAAATGCTGAGCCAAATAGACCTTCAGCCTGTGGTGAGAGGGATAGATGCTGCTCAGATCATGCAGATGTATAAATGGGACAAAATGAGATCAGGACTACAGAGGAAAATAAGATACAGAGAAGGTAGAGTTCCTGGGCAAGTGGGGAGACCCACTTTATGCCTTCAGTATGTGTTCAGAACTCAATATAAGTTAAGACCTATAGGAGGCACGAGTCAAGTAAGTGAAGATTGTCATAGGGAGAACAAGTATTTTAGGCAGAGGAAACAGCATGTTTGAAGGCCTTGAGCAGCAATGAGCACATTATGTCCTTAGGGAAGTGAAAGGAGCATAGAAAGGAGCTGGCTAGAGCGTAGAAAGCAGAGGGAATGACTCTAGGTGAGTTTGCAGAGCTAAGTAAAGGCCAAACCACAGAGGGCTTTATAAATCATTAGAACTTTGTGCCTTTTTCTCCTAAGCAATCAGCAACCATTGAAAGGTTTTGAACTGAAACCATACTTCAATCAGGTCAGTTTTCACACTGGCTGTATTATGGAAAATGGATTTGAAAAAGAGACAAGAATGGTATTGGATGGAACAGGAGGCCATTGATAAAGTGCAAATATCAGTGACCAGTAAAGGGCCAGTCACAGATTTTGTCATTTATATTGCTACTCTATTTAAATAGGACATTATGCAGAAGCAGTAGTAGGCCATGGTCTAGAATTTGTAACATTTCTAGCTAGCAGTCTCTGCCTGTCTTCTTCACTCTTCTCTACATGTGGGTTCTTGTGTTTGCCATAAACTTCTGGACAGCGGTCATGTCTGAGAGTTATGAACTAAGAGTTATGAGATAATCTTTTTGCTCTTCCCAAAGTATTGCAGCCACAGCTATTAAGAGAATTGAACAAGTAATGAGTGCTTATGATGTGCCAGGCACTATAGTGGGCACTGGCATATGGAGTGAGTAAAGACAGAGTCCCTACTTTCATGGAACTCATTAAACTGGGAGCAGATATTAAATCTTGCAAATAAGTAATTACAAACTGTGAAGTGACTGTGTCTACTTGCCTTGTCAGTTACTAAAAAAAATCTTAAGGAAATAATCTTCATGGATCCCAGTCCCACGGCTACCTTGTATGATCATGCAGTTTGGCTGTTAGACAAAGATGGCTGGCCAAGGGAGTTAATCAGGACTACAACTCTGCTAGAATTCCACTTGCCAAGCCGCACCATTGTGCAAAGCTACATCCGCCCAGAGGGAAGGATACATTTTTCTTTGTGCTAAGGTGTCATGTAGGTCAGCTTCATCTCTCCCTCTGATATCAGGAGTGAATTCCCTATTCTCAAAATTGAATGGGAGGCTTTGCCTCATAAATACGTAGCTGCCCTGAGCACAGAAGTGTATAGGAGGTGAAGGTCTAGGAATGAGTGTAATTTTATGCTTATAAAAAAATGGAGTACACTCAATTCTCCATATTCATGGTCCCGCATCTGCAAATTCAACCCACCACAGATTAAAAATGTCCAAAAATTATAATACAGTAATAAAAAATAATACACATAAAAATACAGTATAACAATGATTTATATACCATTTATATTTTATTAGGTCTTATAAGTAATCTAGAAATGATTTTAAATATACAGAAGAAGTGAATAGGTTATATGCAAATAAGTATGGCCATTTCATATAAAGGACTTGAGCATCTGTGGTTTTAGTATCTGTAGAAGTCCTAGAACCAATCCCTGGCAAATAACAAGTGATGACTGTACAAAGAAGGCCTCGGACATAGATACATTTTTAGTACATAGATAATTTTTTTAAGTGGGCCCTTCATCTTCAGGGATTAGATCAATGTTGTATAGACCTAAGACAACGTGTCCCAGTGGTGGAACAGTGGAGGAAAAATCTGGTCTGTGCATCACGAGATGGTTGTACTAGGGTTAAGAAAATTAAGGGAATCATACTGGGAAAGCTATGATGGAAGAGGAAGGAGGAGCCCATATATAAAATCGAGTATTGGTTTCTATTCTTTTCTTTTTTTTTTTTTTTTTGAGACAGTCTTGCTCTGTCGCCCAGGTTGGAGTGCAGTGATGTGATCCTAGCTCACTGCAGCCTTGAACTTCTGGGCTCAAATGATTCTCCCACCTCATCCTCCTGAGTAGCTAGGATAACAGGTGTGCACCACCATGCCCAGCTAATTTTTTACTTTTTATAGAGACAGGGCCTCACTGTGTTGCCCAGGCTGGTCTCCAACTCCTAGCCTCAAGCAGTCCTTCCACCTTGGCCTCTCAAAGTGCTGGAATTCCAGCCATGAGCCACCACACCCATCTTGGTTTCTGTATCTTGAGTCTAGTTAATTGAACAAGGCTTTACTCCCATAATCTTAAGATTCCTGACTCAATTTTGAAATAATGGAATCCCTGCTTGTGGGAGTGATCCTGTTTCTGGGAAGAATTCTTCCACAATAGAAACAAAAAGCAAAGGACTAGGATTCGGGTAGCTTGAAGTTATGGCTCTTCCCATCAGTTTTATGATGTTGGACAACTGGTAGAGAACCTCTCTGGGCCTTAATTATTGTATTTCACCTGGATATATCAGACAGCCGACTTCCTCACTGAGTTACAAGGCTTGAATGAGATTGAAAACAGCTTCATAAACTGAGGCAATAAAACAAGGTTTTCATAAAATGCTACTTTAGAGTGTCAGAGGTCTGACTCTGAGCTGAGTTGAGCTGGGTGGGTTGGCTGAACCTCTCTACCTTGGTATGGTCTGTTTCTGAGTGGGGGTTTGGGCTCATCTGTCTTTAGGCTGCACCAAGGGCTGTGACTACACGCTAGCATTGATGATTGAAAACATTTTAATAATTTGCCATAAATATCCAAGACAATAGGTAGTTTTCTGATTCTAATAGATTATGTTCTGAGCATAGGCCATCTGTCACCTAATGAAATCTGAGGTCAATTATAGAGAATTTTTCCTCCATTTGATGGGACCCATAAAATTTAGGTCACTCTCAAGCACCAGCACCAACCTTAACAGAGAGCACATATCAAAAGATACAGATGTCTTTTGTTTGCCACATATCATATGAGAAAATATACTTGAAATTGTAGGATGATGTAAATGGGTATGTTCAGTATAGGTCTACATTTGATCCAGCAATCCCACTACGGGGTATCTACCCAGAGGAAAAAAAGTCATTATACGAAAAAGATACCTGCACACACATGTTTATAGCAGCACATTTCGTAATTGCAAAAATGTGGAACCAACCCAAATGCCCATCAATCAATGAGTGGATGAAGAAACTGTTTTTTATAGATAGATAGATAGATAGATAGATAGATAGATAGATAGATAGATAGATGATAGATGGATGATGGAATACTACTCAGCCATAAAAAGGAATTAATTAATGGCATTCGCAGAAACCTGGATGAGATTGGAGACTATTATTCTAAGTGAAGTAACTCAGGAATGGAAAATCAAATATTGTATGTTCTCACTCATAAGTGGGAGCTAAGTATGAGGATGCAAAGGCATAAGAATGACACAATGGACTTTGGGACTCAGGGGGAAAGGGTGGGAAGGGAGTGAGGAATAAAAGACTACAAACTGGGTGCAGTGTATACTGCTTGGGTGATGGGTGAACCGAAAATCTCACAAATTACCACTAAAGAACTTAACTTATGTAACCAAACACCACCTGTTCCCCAATAACCTGTGGAATTAGAAAATTTTTAAAAAATGTATTAAATCCACTCTTTGGAACTCAGATAACATCTCCAGAACACCCCAGTGCTTTGTTCCCAACATCCTTTCTAAGTCTGCACCAAACAGCACAGGCACTCTCTTCTCCTCACGTATCTTCCTTGATCATCACTGAAACTCATGTAGAAGGATGAACTGGAGAGCCGAGTGCTGAAAACCCCTCACAGCTGTCTTCTCTTCTCACAGCCTTTCATCAGAATGGCATCACACTATCTAATTTTCCCCATCTGGTAGGTGAGAAACGGTATCTCAGTATAGTCTTAATTTGCATTCATTTGTTTGAGTGAGGTTGAACACCTTTTCATATGTGTAAGGGCCATTTTTATATCGTGTTTGTGTGTGTGTGGTCTGTTCATGTTTTAAGCCCATTTTCATGTCATATTTTTGGACTTTTTCCTCTCCATTTTTAAGAGTTCTTTATATATTAGGGATATTAGCCCTTTCTGATGTATGTTGCAAATTTTTTCTTCAAATTTCTCCGTTGTATTTTTACTTTGTTTATGGTATTTTCCCACACAAAAGGTTTTTTATGCAACAAAATTTATCAAATTGTTTTTACTATATCGAGATTCTGAGTCATAATTAGAAATCCTTTCTCTATACCCATTTTTTAAATGAATTTGCCTCACCTTTTCTTCCAGTATTTGTTTCTATGCATTAATGAAATTATTGTCTAGATATAAAAACCCCAAATATTCTATAAAATAGATCCTAGAACCAACAGGTGAGGTTAGCAAGTCACAATATATATGGCTAATATTCAAAACACAATTGAATTTCAGTATTATAAAAATAAATGATTGGAAATTAAAAATTTTAAAATACTACCATAGTACCATTTACAATACATCAAAAAACAAAATACTTAAGAATAAATCTAACAAAAATATGCAAAGGATTGTATGCTGAAAACTGCAAAACACTGCTGAAAGAAAGCAAAGCCTTAAATAAATGGAGAGATATACTGTATTCATAGATTGGAGAACTCAGTAGTGGTAAAATGTCATTTTTCTTCAAATTGACCTATAGATTTAACACAATTCCAATCAGAAACATAATAGGCTTTCCTGTAGAAATAAGTTGATTCTAAAATTTATGTGGAAATGCAAAGAATGTAGAATACCCGAAATAATTTTGAAAAAAGCAACAAATTTGGAGGGTTCATACTAACTGATTTTAGTTTTTTTAATTTTTAAAATTTTTTGTAGAGATGAGGTCTCCCTATGTTGCCCAGGTGGATCTCAAACTCCTGGGCTCAAGTGATCCTTCTGCCTTGGCCTCCCAAAATGCTAGAATTACAGACATGAGCCACCACACTGGGCCCTAACTGATTTTAACACTTATGGTAAAGCTATAGTAATTGAGCTAATGTAGGCTTGGTGAAGTAAGATAGACAAGTAGAATGAAGAAACAAGACAGGAAATTTAAAAAATAGATCGATGCATAGAGGATCAATGAACTTTTGACAAAGGTGCAAAGGCAATTCAGTGGACAAAGGATAGTCTTTACAACAAATTATGCACATCTACATGTTAAAAAAAAAACCCACCTTGATCCATATCTTGTACCATATACAAAAATAAACTCTAATGGGATCATAGACCTAAATGTAAAATCTAATGGTATAAAGCTTCTAGAAGACAGCATAAAAGAAATATTCTTAAGTTTGGGTGAGGCAGAGGTGTCTTAAATATGACAACAAAAACACAATTCATAAAATTAAAAACTTGATAAGTTGGACTTTATTAAATTTAAAATCATTTCTCTTTAAGACATTAAGAGAATGAAAAGTAACATCAGAAGCAGAATATTTGCTCTCTCTAGATATCTCTGTATACTACATATATCAAATAAGAGCCTTATATCCAGATTATAAAAAGAACTATCAAAGTTCAATAATAAGGAAACAACAATTTATAAAACAGGCAAAGAATTTGAACAGACGCTTCATCATAGATGATATGTAGTTGGCAAATAAGCACATTAAAAGAGGTTCATAGTGATATGCAATTAACATCATTTTTAGGATATACAAAATAAAGCTACAGTAAAATACCACTATTGACCTATAAGAATGAATAAACAAAAAAAAAAGCAAAAGAATACAGTTGACAATAGCAAGTGCTGTCAAGGATGCAAAGCAACTGAAATTCTCATACATTGCTGGTGGGAATAAAAAATAGGGAATAGTTTGGGCATTTTTAAAGTTAAACCTGTATTTACTCCTGGAAAGCTTTCTTCTTCTATTACAGTTCTGTTTTTGTTTTTTTAGGGACAGGGTCTCACCCTGTCACCCAGTTCAACAGTTCAATTATAGTTTTAAATGATAGTTACATTGTTTGCTATTTCTTCTTCATGTACTCCAGTTATACCAGTGTTGCTTTGGACTGTCTTCCCTGTCAATCACTTTCTTCCTGACCCATTTCACTTCTTTATTTCATTTCATTTTCTTGCTTGTTTGCCTTTGTTCAGTGCCCATATTAAATTTCCATCTGAGTACATTCTCCTTTGGGTGCTATAGCGAGGTGATGATGACCACGCCCACCCCCACACCCCAAAAATGTCTACTCAGAACCTGGGAATATGATCTTATTTGGAAAAAGGGTCTTTGCAGGTGTAATTAAGTATCTCAAGATAAAATCATCCTAGGTTTTCTGGTTGAGCCCTAATTCCAATTCCAAGTATCCTTAGAATAGAAGGAGAGAAGACACATAGAAACGATGGTAATGTGGGAAGGAAGGTGGAGATTAGAGTGACGCATCTATAAACCAAAGAACAACAAGGATTGCTGGCAGCCCCCAGAAGCTATGAAGGAGAGATAGAGCAGACCCTTCCCTCAGAGCCTCGGGAAGAAACAAGCCCTGCCAGCCCCTTGATTTGAGACCTCTGGCCTCCAGAACTGTGGGAAAATAAATTCCTATTGTTTCAAGCTCTCAGTTTATAGTAATCTGTTAAGATAGCCCTAGGAAACCAATATAAGTACCCTCTTAAAATTTATGTTTCAATCCTAAGATTATTTTTCTTTTTCTTTTATTTTCTTTCTGAGTTCAATCAACACACTGTTCATTACTTCCCATTTTTTTCTAAATCCATTTATATTTTAATTTCTGATTAAAGATAGTTTTTCAGGCCAGGCGCAGTGGCTCATGCCTGTAATCCCAGCACTCTGGGAGGCCAAGACAGGTGGATCACTTGAGGTTAGGAGTTTGAGACCAGTCTGGACAACATGGTGAAACCCCGTCTCTACTAAAAATACAAAAATTCCCTGGGTGTGATGGCGCCCACCTGTAATCCCAGCTACTTGGGAGGCTAAGGCAGGAGAATCTCTTGAACCTGGGAGGTTCAAAAAATAAATATAGTTCTAAAATTTATGTTTGAACCTGGGAGGTTCAAATATATACATATATACACACATATATACATATATATACATATATACACATATATGTATATATATGTATAGCTTTTCACATGTCTATACTTGTTTGAGGTTATTTGAGTCTGGAGTGTAGCATTGCAGTTTTCCTCTGCTTCATGGTCATTTTTGTATTTACCTCCCTTGGAGTGGTGGAAAATTTTTATCACTTGAGGTGTGTTGAGTCTCTTTCTTTAAGAAGCTTTGCATAGATTTATTCCATTTTTTGTAATTCTTTTTGTGGATGTGGGCTAATTTACAAGATTCTTCATTTAATGGTGCCCTCTTCTGTCAATGTGGTGAAGTACAGCTTCTTTAATGATTGTGTTTTGGTACTTGGGGGAGGAATAGTGTGTCTTCCAGGAGATATCCAAGCCTGTTATGCACACCAAAAAATATAAAGCTCTATCTTAAAGGCTTTACCTTTCAAATCCAGTATAGTTGAAATTTATTGTCTCTGAAGGAAGAACCTCCAAGAGCACACAACACGGTGTCCTTGCATTACTGTCAGGTGATAACTTCACATTTCCTTATATGGCATGTTTCCTCTGAGCCATCCATTCCCACCTTCACCCTGCTGCCTCCTCCCATGTGCCCTCTCTCTCTAAAAACCACGTTCTGGTATGTCCCACAAAAGCAAGGAGATGTAAACTAAGAAAGAAGCAGTGTGAGGGAAAAAGGAACAAGATTCACAGAGGAGCAAAGGAAATTCCTAAGATGATGATGAAATGAAGTTCTAGGAGAACACTTGTTTAATGTAGGGTTAGAGATCACCAGTTCAGGAGAGACAGCGCCCCCAGAGACTCCCCTCCAAAATGAAGCTTATAGGCCAGGCGTGGTGGCTCATGCCTGTAATCCCAGCACTTTGGGAGGCCAAAGCGGGCGGATCGCTTGAGGTCAGGAGTTCAAGACCAGCCCGGCCAATGTGACAAAACCCTGTCTCTACTGAAAATACAAAAATTAGCCAGGTGTGGTGGCACACACCTGTAGTCCCAGCGACTTAGGAGGCGGAGGTGGGAGAATTGCTTGAGGTAGGGAGGCAGAGGTTACAGTGAGCCAAGACCATGCCACTGCACTCCAGCCTGTGCGACAGAGTGAGATTCTGTCTCGAAAGAAAGAGAGAGAGAGAGAGGAAGGAAGGAAGGAAGGAAGGAAGGAAGGAAGGAAGAAGAAAAGAGAAGAGAAAAGAGAAAGAGAAAGGAAGGAAGGATTAAAAAGAAGCTTATAGAATATTTAATATTTATAAATAATTGTACCAACAAAAGTTTGACAGCTGTGTCAGAATTTGGGGATAAACTGGTGATATTACAAAAGAATACTAAGCAAACAAAAAAATGTAATCATTAACTCCAGGGTAGGGGGGTGGTTAAAGAAAAGGAAAGAGGCCAGGTGCAATAGCTCACACCTGTAATCCTAGCACTTTGGGAGGCTGAGGCAGGTGGATCATCTGAGGTCAGGAGTTCGAAACCAGCCTGACCAACATGGAGAAACCCTGTCTCTACTAAAAATACAAAATTAGCTGGGCATGGTGGCACATGCCTGTAATCCCAGCTACTCGGGAGGCTGAGGCAGGAGAATCGCTTGAACCACAGAGGCGGAGGTTGTGTTGAGCTGAGATCACGTCATTGCACTCCAGCCTGGGCAACAAGAGGGAAACTCTCTCTCAAAAAAAAAAAAAAAATGCAGGGGGCGGGGAAAGAAAATGTAACCATGAAACCCATACATAACTCAGCTGTAAATAACATTTACATAGTCAAAACATATAATCTTTGAATATTGACTTAACCAAATATGATGCTATTATAACTACATTAGGAGTGGGGTATAGAAGAATTGTGTGTGGATGAGGTGTGAATTGTAAGATGGCTAAATCTTTATCATCTATTGTAGTAAATAATATTTAAAGTCAAAAAACAAAAACATGGCAGTATAATCATATCCTTTAGGAAAATGAAAGTGAATACTATAATAAATGGCGAAGATTTGAAAGTGGTTCCCTCTGGGAACAGGAATGTATAGGTGAATGGGAGAGAAGAAATGGAGAATGGGTGCTTTCATTGTGATACTCAGGTGATGGTCTGAGGATCATGCAGAAGAAGTATTAATGTAGCATTCTCCTGACTTCCATATCAAATACAGGCACTCCTTGACTTAAGGTGGGATTAAGTCTGAACAAACTGATATTTTCAACTTATAATTGGTTTATCCTGATGTAGCCCCATTGTAAATTGAGAAGCATACTGAATGCTTATAACTTTTGCACCATCCTAACGTCAAAACCTCTGAAGTTGAACCATAGTAAATCGGGGACCATCTGCGTCTCCACTCACGCACACTACAGCTCCTTTGTAGGCCAATTCCCCTACACCGTCTCTACATCTTATATTCTAAGACTCAAATCAGGTCCCGTATTCTCCTGAATGTCTTCCCTGTTTGCTTGAACAAAACTGGTCTCTGAGCACTCATATTCATAATCTATTATACTTCTTTGGGCAGCTCATCAAATTCTCTTTCATAGTATTAGGTAAGAGTGATTTGGAACTTGCAGCAAATGCTAAGCCCTCAGAGGAGGCAGGGAAGTCATAAATGCTTGTTCAATTAAAGCAAACACATCCTGAGAGAGGATGCGGTGTCTTCAGAGCCCTTACTGGTGACCAGCACCCAATACATAGAAGAGAGGAAGGGATGGGAAGGAAAGAGTGGGGAATGGGATGGGGAGCAGGGAAATTAGGTAATGATGGTCAGCACTCACCCCTCCAGAAGACATTTCTTAGAGGAGGACTTGAAACAAATATGCAGGAGAGATTAGTGAGAAAGGGTAGATAGTTAGGATGTTTGTGTTTTTGTTCTATATTTTTTCTCCAGCCTAGGAAGCGTGCTAAGGAAAGTGTCAAAGAATCTCAACAGCAAGTACTGTGGTGATCAAATCCTGTTCCTCACACCCTTTTATGTTCTAGCCACTATTGACAACCCCACTAAACGTTAACTGCGATGCCGTTGGTAATAATTGGAGTCAACGTCCACTGACTCTAGATTAATCTACCTCAAGTCTGACCTCCAGGAAGCCTTCTTTGACCACTCCATCTCACACAGGATTGCTTGATTCCCTAAACTCAGCACGTTTCTTCCTGTATCACTTTGGAGTAGGCATAAGAGTGCCCTGGCCAGATCCCCTGAGATCCCTCTTCCCAGTTCTGTGCCTCCATCCTCTAGCTTCTACATGATCTGCAGCAGCAGTCAACATCTGTGACCTTCAGAGATCTTCTCCCAGGCACTAGGGCTGCCTGCCCCAGCTGAGAGCAGGAGGTGCCTGGGTGCTCTGTATCTAATTCTACCCCCTCTCCCCAGCTCCTTTGCTGTGAAACTAAATGAGGAGTCAATCATTACTCTCTACAAATTTGGGTTGAAACTGAGACTTCACCAAAAGTTGATGTCTTGTTTAGTCTCTTTTCCTCTCCTCTGCTGCTTCTCCCACTTCCTTACTGGTTTTTCCCTTAATAAATCACTAGCACCTGAATCCTTGACTCGGGATCTGACTCCAGGAGAGCCTATTTTAAGACAGTTGGCCCCAAAAGTGGTCTTAGGATGCACACTTTATGGATGAGATTCTGACCAGATGAAAATGACTTCATGTCTTGTGTTAATAGGCCCTGGCAGGCCATAGCAATGCCATTCCTAGAACTTTCACCTGTGGTTAACTAAGACAGGAAACAGAAGGGAATGCTCTGATTTGTTCAATATCTTCAGCGATTGAGAGATACAAAGGAAATCATTTATAGCTACTGCAGAACAATTTGACTATTGCTGAGTGTCCTCGATACACTGAAGGGAGAAAGGCCATGCCGTTCAAAGCATAAAATTATATACCATATGAAAAGCAGCTCCTGGCTAGGTAGGTATTAAGCTCCCATAGAGACAGAGCATCTCATCAAGTGACTCTAGGATCCGAGCTGCTTATCTTGAGCTGAGAACTTTCAGAACTACCAAGTCATAACGTTGGGCAGGCTCAGCAGCAATCTATCATGTGATAGAAGTGGTAGGTTCTAGATGCAGCTGCAGCAGATCCAGAGGGCACAGTAATCTGCATGAACAGGTGGCCCGAATCCCCATCACTCATCACCAATACAATGATACTTCTCCTTTGCTAACCCTTTGGCCTCGTGTGGGAGTTTCCTTTGACCAGCTATCAGAGGAGGAAAATTACCAGGTCTGATTCATGGATACCTTATTGAATATCTTGGTATGAACCAAAAATGGACTATTACTGAACTGTATCCCCCCTCCTGGGTGGCCCTAAAAGACAATGGTGAGAGAAGTTCTCTAAGTGGACAAAGTTTGGACGTTGCATCTGGTCACCTATGTTGTGTACAGTGGGAAGTGCTATATGGTAATGATATGTGTACAGGAGGCTCTCTATATCCACTGGTTCTACTCTGAAGATTCAACCAACTGCTAATATCAGAAATATTTGGAAAAAATGCAACAATAAATAAAACAAATTTTTTTTTTTTTTTTTTTTTTTTTTTGAGACGGAGTCTCGCTCTGTCGCCCAGGCTGGAGTGCAGTGGCGCAATCTCGGCTCACTGCAAGCTCCGCCTCTCGGGTTCACGCCATTCTCCTGCCTCAGCCTCCCGAGTAGCTGGGACTACAGGCGCCCGCCACTACGCCCGGCTAATTTTTTGTATTTTTAGTAGAGACGGGGTTTCACCGTGTTAGCCAGGATGGTCTCGATCTCCTGACCTCGTGATCCGCCCGCCTCGGCCTCCCAAAGTGCTGGGATTACAGGCGTGAGCCACCGCGCCCGGCCAACAAATTTTAAAAAATATATAGTATAAGAACATTTACATAGCATTTACATTGTGTTGAGTATTATAAGCAATCTAGAGATGATTTACTGTATACGGGATTGTGTGCGTAGGTTATATGTAAATACCATGTCATTTTATATAAGGGACTTGAACATCCACAGATTTTGGTATCCAAGGGGAATCCTGGCAACAATCCCCAGTGGATACCAAGGAATGACTGTATATAGCCTCATGGATAGTAGTGGCTGATTAACCAGGGGCCTAGAGGAAGAAAAATTGGAAAATCAGGAATAAATAGTCTGGAGATGAACATGTGGATTAACCTATGGAAGTGGTCTCAAAGTGTGAGCATCTTTATAGCACATATTTAAGGCCCACAAGTAAGCGTCTACCCAGAAGAGACATTAACCAGCTGAACAGAGTAGCTCTTCCAATGGATATGAGCTCACCTTGGTTCTTGGCCATCCCAATTTTTGTGCAATAGGCCCACGAACAGAGAAGCCAGGATACCAGAAACAAAGACACTATGTACAGACCCATGGGCTCCCTCTTAGCAAGGCAGATCTAACTACTGGCATTGCTGAATGTCTCAGCTGTCAGAAACAGAAGCTTACACTGGAGCCCAAATATGGTACTAACCCTCAAGTAAAACAACCAGTCACTTGGCAGCAAGTTGATTACATTGGACTCCATTCACTCTGGAAAGCCAAACATTTTCTTCCCATTGGGATTGTCACGTATTCCAGGAATGGGCTTGCCTTTCCTGCCCACGGGCCTCAAACAACATCACTATCTGATGAAGGGTTAAAGAGCATCTGATTAACCAGCAGGGCATACTATGTGACAATGCCTTGGATGTCTGGCCATGGGCACAAGACTGTGGAATCCACTCGTCCTACCACGTACTATATCATCCAGAGGCTGCTGGCCTAACAGTGTTAGGCAGAGTTGAGGTGCCAGCTTGGAGATGATAATCCTCTGAAGGTGGGGTCCTATGTTGTCAATAGATAGAATAATTGATTCCAGAATTCAAGTGGTGAGAGTAGAAAGTGGACCTACTTACCATCACTCCCACTTGGGGAATTTGTACTTCTTGTCTCCCCAAACTCAGCCACTGTGGGTCTCAGGTCCTGTTTCACAGATGAGGTGTACTTCCACCAGGGGACACATTAAGAATTTCATTTAAAAAGCTATGACTGATAACTGGTTGCTGCCACTATACCAGAAATAAAAGTCACCATACTAGCAGGAGAGTTGACCCTGACATCATGAGGACGTAGAATTGCGCTACCTAATGAAGGTGTGGAGGAATATGTTCAGAATTCAGGTGGTTCTCTGGGACATTTCTTGATATTCCCACGGCCAGCATTAAGTGGGAATGGGTAGTTACAGCAACCATGGCCTGATAAAAGCATGGTAGCCAGGGGCTCAGGCCTTTAAGGGTTGAAGGTCAGGGTCATGTCACCAAGAAAGCCACCTAAACTAGCAGAAGTGGTATCCAAGGGCAAGGGAAATCTAGAAAGGGTGGTAGAAGAAGAAAAGGACAAATAGATGGTACAATCTCAAGACAAACTGCAGTAGTGAGCACTCAGCTTATTCCATTAACCTATTTCTTAGAAGTTTCCCCCAGGATCTTTAACCAACCAGAATTTGGAAGATACTGTGATGAGATGGAGTGAGCTTAAGGATGGAGTGAGAGAAGCAAGCTCATCTGTGAAATACAAGAGGTGAACTATAGCAGTTATGTTGATACTCACCCTCCAGATCCTCTCAGACCTCTTCTATCAATTCCATGTACCCCAGCTTCTGCATGCTTTGTTGCAAATGGCTTAAACCCAAGATAATAAAAGGACTGATCTTGGGCATTGGAGCTGCCTACCCTAGTCCACCATTTCCACCACTTGACTGACATACCTAATAGGCATGGGATTTTTACATGTTTCCCAACCACAGGGAGACTCATGAGCCAATTATTGATGGGGGGAGCATTCAAATGCTCAGTTCCCTTGCTTCTAGGCAGGTAATCTCTATTAGTCAGGGTTCTCTAGAGGGACAGAACTAATAGGATAGATGTATATATAAGGGTAGTTTATTAAGGAGTATTAACTCACACAATCACAAGGTCCCACAATAGGCCATCTGCAAGCTAAGGAGCAAGGAAGCCTGTCCAAGTCCCAAAGCTGAAGAACTTGAAGTCCAATGTTCAAAGGCAGGAAGCATCTAGCATGGGAGAAAGATGTAGGCTGTGAGGCTAAGCAAGTCTAATCTCTCCATGTTCTTCTGCCTGGTTTTATTCTGGCCAAGCTGGCAGCTGATTAGATTGTGCCCACCCAGATTGAGGATGGGTCTGCCTTTCCCAGTCCACTGACTCAAATGTTAATCTCCTTTGACAACACCCTCACAGACAAACCCAGGAACAATATTTTTCATCCTTAAATCCAATCAAGTTGACACTCAGTATTAACCATCACAACATGCAAGGTATAATTTATACTCCAATATTCTCCATGGAATCGGGCTGAAGCTAGACCTTCCCCTGAAAGTACCCTTGTGCTGGCTTCTTCCTCTTTCCTATCTTGTATCCATTCCTTACTGATTCCTCTAGAGAGCAATTTCCTAATCAATCATGACCACCCAAATCCTTAACTCAGTGTCTGCTTTTGGGAGAACCTGATGTAAGACACACTCCCTTGTACTGTATGAAACTATCCTATGCCATTAATTTTGCAAGCTTGTATTGATACTTAGAACCAACAATGTTAACTTCACTCTTTTATGCACATATAATTTGACTTCTTACTACTCTGTAAACTCCTTTGAAAGCAAAGACCATGTCTCATTAATCTTAGTTTCCTCATCTGCACATGGTAATAATAGTATCGTCTCATAGTTCAACAGCTAACAACTTCTCCATAGTTGTTACAAGGATTAACAGTTAATATGTTAAGAGCATAGAAGTGTTCCTGGCAAGTGGCAAGTGATATATGAGAGTCTGTCACTAATGTTGTCATTGTTATTTTTGTAACTCCCTCACATGGCACCAAGACTAGGCACAGTGTATTTATGCTAGTATCTCTCAGTTGAATGAACAAGTGAATGGGTGGATGGACGGATGGCAGAACAAACGTATTAATTTTTAAAAGTTCTAAAAGAGGAGGGTGCAAAGAGATAGCTGCAAGATTGGGGCACTATATTCAAATACTTTAAAATGTACTTTATGTCTAGACTAGAGAATCTGTTATAACTGAAAGTTGCTGAATTAGGCAATAGTATAAAAAACTTCAATGTAAGGACAAATTTGGAAAGTGTTACACTTCATAAATTCCACAAAAAAGTGTGTTTCAAACTTGCTGAATCAAAACACAGGTTCCACTGTGTTATATAAAATAGCACATAACAAAGCATTTTCACTGATAGCTTGTTTCTAGTTTTTAGGGCTGGATATTCATATGTTAATACAAGGGCTCAATAGACTTGGAAATGTCACTGCTTAGATTCTACAAAAAGTGCGTTTGGGACCTGTTTCCTTAAAACGCAGGTTCAATTCTGTCCACTCTTGAGTAGTGGGCTGGTGTTGGTGTCCTTCCCGCTGGTAAACGTGAAGCACTGCTATGAGGCTTCTAGTGGCATTTACCGTGGTCTGGTGAGAAATAACTCACACAAGTGAAAGTGATGGAAAAAGAGGTGGAGATTACTAGCTGCTGGACAAGCGCAGCAGACAGTGAAGTCAGCTTCGTTACCGCAGGCCAAACCACTAACCCTTTCCTCTTCGTGAATACTGCCTGGGACATTATAATCTACCACAGTTGTATTATGTGATTGAAAAAGCAGCTACTCAGGGTTTCTCTGTATTTTGGCTTGCTCCTAGAATTCTCAGTGGAATACTACTTTATAACTCAGTGCTTCCCAGGGCCACACACTTTCCCTGTGCAGTATGTTCCAAGAATGGGATGTTCCACATTTGGAAAAGAAATACTCATATAAAGTCCTCACAGACATTTCTCTTTTGATTTCCTTCTACCATGATTTATGAAGCGGTCACAGCATTTGTCTCAACCTGAGCCGCAGAGTTGAACAGATTTTCAGCATTTTCAGAGGAGTATGCCTGTGCCTACCGACCAATCCTTTTCCATTCATGTAACCGGGTCTCTAGATATGCCTTTGCCAAGCGGTTTTCCGAGCTTCCTGATGAAGAACTTTATGGAACTTCTCCCCACCTGTTTTAAGGCTCCTTCAATCTCTCTTTGGCAAAATGGTAAAACAAACATCTGAGGAAGCACCAGTGAGTGCTTGGATCATGCCCGGCCCTGAGCCTTCAGTCCTGGCCCCTGTTTATTCAGCTGGGCAGGCTCACCCGTAGGCTTCCGCAGAGCAGAGATGTGGCCAGCAGTGACAAACATAAGACCTCATCACCACAGAAAGACAGGTCAGATCTCATGTCCGGGGGGAAAAAAAGTCACTTTTGTCACTAATGACTTTAAAAATTCACTTATTCAAGCAAGCACACTACACTGCAGCTCCCACTATCATCCTGACTGGCCTGTGTATGTGCGTGCACAAGGACTTCCCGGTCACAGGCCATTTTTGCTTCCCGAGGCATTGCTTTGACCTAGATCCTTCAGTTGGGGATCTAGCCCCCTGAAATGCCTACCCGAAAAGGACAGAGAGGGCCGGGTGCAGTGGCTCACACCTGTAATCCTAGCACTTTGGGAGGCCAAGGAGGGCAGATCATGAGGTCAGGAGATCGAGACCAGCCTGGCTAACACGGTGAAACCCCGTCTCTACTAAAAATACAAAAAATTAGCCAGGTGCGGTGGCGGACGCCTGTAGTCCCAGCTACTCGGGAGGCTGAGGCAGGAGAATGGCATGAACCCAGGAGGCAGAGCTTGAGTGAGCCGAGATCGCGCCACTGCACTCCAGCCTGGGCTACAGAGCGAGACTCTGTCTCAAAAAAAAAAGAAAAAGAAAAAGAAAAGGACAGAAAGGCACTGAACCTTTCATTATAACAGCCATCACTTTCCTCCTTTTCTGTCTTTCTTCTATGAGCACTAATGCCAGACACCAACCATTCTTGTGGCCTCTTCCTACTACCACGATGCTGCCACTGAAGCTGCAGACTTCTCATTGCCACACTGAGGTTTCAATATTTCATAGGTATTGCAGATAATCTGAACTCATGGGGTCTTCTCATATTTTCACTGTAGTCCTCTCTTCCTAGCCCACAAGACAGGGCCATAGAACAATCAGTGTTCCTATTCCCTTCTATTGTGGCCCCTTGAACTTAGGCCTCTGGTTCACCTAAGCTCTGCCCCCTCCCCTATGGACGATCAGGGAGCTCCTTACCAGTGGGGCCTGGGGCATGGAAGGCTGGAGGCAGTGAGGGATACAAGACTACATATTTGGTACAGTGTACACTGCTCAGGTGGCGGGTGGGGCACGGGGAGGCCCGTAGCGTCCCTATTTCCAGTCTCTGAGAGAGAGCCACATGTTTGAATGAACCCAGATTCTGCTGAAGTAAAACTCCTGTAACATATTTATTTCAAGTTTTAATGAAGAGATATTTCAATTTCTGGCCAAGATGGAGTAAAAGAGACTGGATTTACCCTCTTACATGAAACAAATAAAGAACATGAAAAAAATAACAATATTTAAAACATTGGAAATCAGGTAATAACGAATAGTGGATTCCTGAGGAACAGGAAGCAAACAAGTGGTATCCAAAGGGAACAAATTATTGCCAGGAAACTTAATTGCATCCCAGAACAAAGCTCAAGATATTGATAAAAATACAAAAATATCTAGCACCCCAAAAGAAAATACTTGCAATGTCTGGCATCCAATAAAAGATGACCAGTCATGCAAAGAAGCAGGAAAACGTTATCCATAGTTAGGAGTAAAATCAGCTAGAACTGACCCATAGATGATATACTTGATATAATTACTAGACAAAGACATAAAAATAGTTGTTAAAACTGTATTTTACATATTCAAGAAGCCAAAGGAAAGATCAAAACTATAATATCTCGGATAAAAACACTCTGGATGGGATTAATGGCAGACTTGATATTGCAGAGGAAAATATAAGTGAACTTGAAGACATGGCACTAGACACTACCCAAAATAAAATAGAAGAAAGAATAATTTAAACAATTTAGAAAGGACCAATGAGCTATGGAACAGCCTTAAGCAACCTAACATTCATGTTATTTGGTTCTCCAAAGGAGGGTGGGCATGGGGGTCCATACCTATAATCCCAGCACATTGGGAGGCTGAGGCAGGGGGATCACTTGAGGCCAGAGATTTGAGACCAGCCTGAGCAATAAAATAAAAATTTTCTTTGACGAGACAGGGTCTTCTATGTTGAGGGAGCCAGGCATGGTAGCATGCACCTGTGGTCCCAGCTACTCAGGAGGCTGAGGTTGGAGGATTGCTTGAGCCCAGCAGACTGAAGCTGCAGTGAGCTATGATCACACCACTGCACTCCAGCCTGGGTAACAGGAGAAGACTCTGTCTCAGAAAAAAAAAAAAAACAGATTTTTCAAATCTGATTAAAACTGTAAACATAGTTCCAAACAGCTCAAATAACCCTAAGCAGAAAAAAAAAAAACCCACAAAGAAAACTACAAGAAGGCATATCATACTCCCATTACTTAAAACTACTGATAAAGATTAAAAAATCTTAAAAGCAGTAAAAAAAAGACATTGAGAATGACATCAGCAAGAAGACAGAATAGGAATTTTCCAGCTCCATTTCTCCTCCCCCACCACACATACATACACAAATCCACTGGCAACTACTCACAGACAAAAACACCCTTGTGAATATTCCAGAACTTGAGAGTGAAGCTAAGACACCCCCTTATACCGCAGAACTGAGAACAGCCGCATGCCAAGAATAAGAGGAGTAGTTTCACTTTGGCCACATTGCTCCTCCCCCAAGCTGGCAACGTGCCACACATAGAGGATTCTCTGGGACCCATGGTTGTTACACAGGGAGGAGAGAGTTGGAGGTGAACATTCAGCTTTGCCACCATTCTGGGACCCTTCAGAGGAAGTGTTCTCTTGTCTCATCACACAGGAAGCACTGGGAGTATCAGCAGAGCTAGACATCTGAGATCACTTGGAGATAAAGAACAGATGTGGGGCTCACATCAACTAGTGCAGGAATCTTGGCAGCTGTCCTGCATTCAGGCCAGTGGAGGTGCACCACCAGAGAAGCTAGCCAACAGCGCTGCTCTGGACTAAGCACAGTCAACTGGTCTCTCAAATTCAGGTACCTGGCCAGCTTCCACAGCCAGTCCTGTTACCCTCCTTGAAATTTACCCAGGCTGGGAGATAGGGGCAGGGCAGTGATTATCTGTAAAGGGAGTATCTGGCCCCACCCAGCTCCATCAGCCAAAGAGCTAAAACACCAAGCCTCAGTGCTCTGCTTAAGGTTATCCTGGGATGAGAAGCAAGCTCAAGTTCACGCATATCTGTGAAGCATCGCCTCTGGCCCCGTCCACCCAGAGTAGTTAAGTAGTGATCCGAGAAGCCTTGCTCAGCCTCAGAGCCCAGCATGCAGTCCTGCCAAACTACAGATTCAAAACTGCAGTACTGGCCAACCAGAGAAGACAGCCTACAACACGGCCTGTCAAGGAGCAATCAAACAGCTCAGCCTTACTGCAGAGTCCAGCCACTGGTCTCATCAGACTGCGGAGCACAGCCAGCATTTCAGGTTTGTTTGTTTTTTTTAAAGGAGAACATTTTATTAATACTAGCTATTTCCAATAAATTCTCTGAATAATTGTAATGTTGTCTTTCTCTGTACTTCATGCCCTTAATATTACACTCATTTCTTTTATATATATGGTAAATTTAATTTCTCCTTTCTTAAAATTATTACTTTATTTCAGTAGCTTTTGGGGGTACAAGTGGTTTTTGGTTACATGGATGAATTCCACAGTGGTGAAGTCTGAGATTTTAGTGCACCTGTCACCCGAGCTGTGTACACAGTATCAAATATGTAGTCTTTTATCCCTCACTGCCCCGAACCTTCCCTGCCCCATGTCTCCAAAGTCCATTATATCACACTGTATATCTTTGTATCCTCATAGCTTAGCTACCACTTGTAAGTGAGAACATATGGTATTTGATTTTCCATTCCTGAGTAATTTCACTTAGAATAATGGCCTCTGGCCCCATCCAAGTTGCTTCAAAAGATATTATTTCATTCCTTTTTATGGCTGGGTAGTATTCCATATACCACATTTTCTTTATCTACTCATTGGTTGATGGGCACTTAGGCTGGTTCCATATCTTCACAATTGTGAATCGTGCTGCTATAAATATGTGTGTGTGTGTGTCCGTTTCATATAATGGCTTCTTTTCCTTTGTGTAGACACCCAGTAGTGGGATTGCTGGATTGAATGGTGAATCTGCTTTCAGTTTTTTTAAGGGCTCGCCATAGACGTTGTGCTAATTTACATTCCCACCAGCAGTGTAAAAGTGTTCCCTTTTCATCATATCCTCGTGAACATCCGTTTTTTTTTTATTTATTTTTTATTTTTTAATTATGGCCATTCTTGCCGGCGTAAGGTTGTATCTCATTGTGGTTTTAATTTGCATTTCCCTGATGATTAATGATGATGAGCATTTTTCATATGTTTGTATACTTCTTTTGAGAATTATCTACTCCTGCCCTTTTCCCACTTTTTGAAGGGATTATTTGGTCTTTTACTTGTGGATTTGTTTGAATTCCTTGTAGATTCTGGATACTAGTTCTTCATTGAATGTGTAGTTTGAAATATTTTCTCCCACTCTGTGGGTTGTCTGTTTGCTGATTATTTATTTTGCTGTGCAAAAGCTTTTTAGTTTAATCAGTTCCCATTTATTTATTTTTGTTTTTGTTGCATTTGCTTTTGGGGTCTGAGTCATGAATCCTTTGTGTATGCCAATGTCCAGAAGAGTTTGTCTAATGTTATTTTCTAGAATTGTTATGGTTTCAGGTCTTAGATTTAGGCCTTTGATCCATCTTGAGTTGGTTTTTGTATAAGGTGAGAGATGCAGATGGTTTCATTCTTCCACAGGTGGCTTGCCAGTTTTCCTAGCACCATTTATTGAATAGGATTTCCTTTCCCAAATTTGTGTTTTTGTATGCTTTGTTTAAGATCAGCTGGCTATAAATATGTGGTTTATTTCTGGGTTATCTGTCCTGTTCTATTGGTCTACCTGCCTATTTTTATACTAGTACCATGCTGTTTTGGTAAGTATAGCCTTGTAGTATAATTTCAAGTTGGAATATGATGCCTCCAGATTTTTTTTTTCTTAGTATTGCTTTGGCTATGTGGGCTCTTTTTTGGTTCCATGTGAATTTTAGTATTGCTTTTTTCTAGTTCTGTGAAAAGTGATTATGGCATTTTGATGGGAATTCCATTGAATCTGTAGTTTGCTTTGGGCAGTGTGGTCATTTTCACATTATTAATTCTTTCCATCCATAAACTTGAGGCATGTTCTCATTTGTTCGTGCCATCTGTGATTTCTTTCAGCAGGGTTTTGTAGTTTTCCTTGTAGAGATCTTTCACCTCCTTGGTTAACTATATTTCTAGGTATTTTACTTTTTTTTTGCAGCTTTGTAAAAGGGATTGAGTTCTTGATTTGATTCTCAGTTTGGTCGTTGTTGGTGTATAGCAGTGGTACTGATTTGTGTACAATGATTTTGTAACCTGAGGCTTTACTGCATTTGTTGATCAGATCTAGGAGGCTTTTGGATGAGTCATTAGGGTTTTGTATGTATACCATCATATCATCAGCAAACAGTGATAGTTTAACTTCCTCTTTTCCAAATTGGATGACTTTATTTCTTTCTCTTGCCTGATTGCTCTGGCTAGGACTTCCAGTACTATGTTGAACAGAAGTGGTTAAAGTGGGCATCCCTGTCTTGCTCCAGTACTCAGGGGGAATGCTTTCAACTTTCTCCCATTCAGTATGATGTTGGCTGTGGCTTTGTCATAGACGGTTTTTATTATTTTGAGGTAAGTCTCTTCTATGCCTAGTGTGTAGAGGGTTTTTATCATAAAATGATGCTGGATTTTATCAAATGCTTTTTCTGCATCTATTGAGATGATCATATAGCATTTGCTTTTAATTCTGTTTATGTGATTTATCACATTTATTGATTTGTGTATGTTAAACCATCCCTGCATCCTTGGGATGAAACTCACTTGATCGTGATATACTATCTGTCTGATGTGCTGTTGGATTCAGTTGGCTAGTATTTTGTTGAGGATTTGTGCATCTTTGTTCATCAGGGATATTTGTCTGTAGTTTTCTTTATTATGTCCTTTTCTAGTCTGGGTATTAGGGCGATACTGGCTTGATAGAATGATTTGGGGAGGATTCCCTCTTTCCCTATCTTTTGGAATAGTTTCAGTAGGATTGGTACCAATTCTTTGAATGTCTGGTAGAATTCAGCTGTGAAACTCTGTGGTCCTGGACCTTTTTTGTGTCAGCAATTTTTTTTATTACGGATTCAGTCCACTGCTTGTTATTGGTCTGTTCAGGATTTCTATTTCCTCCTGATTTAATCTAGGAAGGTTATATGTTTCCAGGAATTTATCCATTTCCTCTAGATTTTCTAGTTTGTGCACATAAAGCTGTTCATAGTTGTCTTGAATGATCTTTTGTATTTCTGTGGTATTCTGTGTAATGTCTCCAGTTTCATTTCTATTTGAGCTTACTTGGATCTTCTCTCTTCTTTTATTGGTTAATCACACTAACAGTCTACCAACTTTGTTTATCTTTTCAAAGAACCAGCTTTTTGTTTGATTTGTCTTTTGTATTTTTTATTGTTGTTGTTGTTGTTTCAATTTTGTTTAGTTCCACTTTGATCTTTATTTCTTTTCTTCTCCTGGCTTTGGGTTTAGTTTGATCCTGTTTCTCTTGTTCCCTGAGGTGTAAAATTTGGTTGTCAATTTGTGTTCTTTCAGACTTTTTGATGTAGGCGTTTAATGCTATGAACTTTCCTCTTAGCACTGCTTTTGCTGTATCCCAGAGGTTTTGATAACTTGTGTCGGTTATTATCATTCATTTCAAATAATTTTTAAATTTTCATCTTGATTTCATTATTAACACCAAAATCATTCAAGAGCAGATGATTTAATTTCCATGTATTTTATAGTTTTGAAGGTTCCTTTTGGAGTTGATTTCCAGTTTTATTCTACTGTGGTCTGAGAAGATACTTGACATGATTTCGATTTTCTTATATTTATTGAGACTTGTTTTGTGGCTTATGATACAGTCTATCTTGGAGAATGTTCCATGTTCTGATAAGAAGAATGTATATTCTCCAGTAGTTGAGTAGAATGTTCTGTAAATATCTGTTAAGTCCATTTGTTCTAGCATATAGTTGAAGTCCACTGCTTCTTTGTTAACTTTCTGTCTCAGTGATCTTTCTAGTGCTGTCAGTGGAGTATGGAAATTTCCCACTATTACTGTGTTGCTGTCTATCTCATTTCTTTGATTTAGTAGTGATTGTTTCATAAATCTTGGAACTCTGGTGTTAGGTGCATATAAATTTATGGTTGTAATATCTTCTTGTTGGACTGATCCTTTTATCATTATATAATGTTATTCTTTGTATTTTGTTTGCTTGTGTTTGGCTGTTGTTGCTTTAAAATCTGTTTTGTCTGATATAACAATAGCTACTCTGGCTTACTTTTGGTTTCCATTTGTGTGGAATATCTTTTTCCACTCCTTTACCCTGAGTTTACATGAATTTTTATGTGTTAGGTGAGTCTCTTGAAGACAGAAGATATCTAGTTTATGTTTTTTTTTAATCCATTCTGCCATTCTGTACCTTTTAAGTGGAGCATTTAGGCCATTTACATTCATACATTCATTACATTTTATAGGCCTTATAGTTTTATGCTTTCAGGAAGTTCTATTTTGGTGCATATCAAGCTTTTCTTTCACAATTTAAAACACCTTTTAGCATTTCTTGTAGTGCTGGTTTGGTAGTGGCAAATAACCCCAGCATTTGTTTGTCTGAAAAAGACTTTATTTTGCTCTAATTTATGAAGCTTAGTTTTGCTGGATACGAAACTCTTGACTGACAATTATTGTGTTTAAGGGGTCTAAAGATAGGACACCCAATCTCTTCTAGCTTGTAAGGTTTCTGCTGAGAAGTCTGTTATTAGCCTGATATGTTTTCCTTTATAGGTTACCTGATGCTTTTGTCTCACAGCTCTTAGAATTCTTTCCTTCATATTAACTTTAGATAGCCTGATCACTTTTTGCCTTGGTGATGATCTTTTTGCAATTAATTTCTCAGATGTTCTAGGAGCTTCCTGTACTTGGATATCTAAATCTCTAGCGAGGCCAGGAAACTTTTTCTCAATTATTACTTCAAATACGTTTTCCAAACTTTTATCCTTCTCTGTTCCCTCAGGAACAACAACTCTTCTTAGGTTTGGCCATTTTACGTAGTCCCATATTTCTTGGAGACTTTGTTCTTTTGATTCTTTATCTTTATCTGATTGGGCTAATTCAAAAGCCTTGTCTTCAAGCTCTGAAATTCTTTCTTCTATTGTTCTAGTTCATTGTTGAAACTTTCCACTGTATTTTTATTTCCCTAAGTGTGTCTTTCATTTCCAGATATTCTGATTAGTTTTTCCTTATATCTATCTCTCTGGAAAATTTCTCATCCACATCCTGTATTGATTTTTAAATTTCTTTATGTTGGTTTTCACCTTTCTCCAGTATCTCCTTGAGCAGCTTAATAATAAACCTTCTGAATTCCTTATCTGGTATTTCAAAGATTTCATCTTGCTTTGGATCCAGAGATGGGGAGCTAGTATGATCTTTTCAGGGCATTATAGAACCCCATTTTGTCATATTACCAGAATCTCTTTTCTGGTTCCTTCTCATTTGGGTAGACTATTTCTTGTAATTGTTCTTGAATTTATTTTTGGTTTCATTTTTTTTAATTTCTTTTTTTTTCTCTTAAGGATGTGACTTCAATATTTATAGTTTATTACAGCTGAATTTGGTTCTTGGTGCTTTTATGAGTGAAGATTCTGTAAGAATTCCTTGCTTATAGAGAGTCTTTGTGTGATGGCTGTCTCAGATGCTACTTGTAGTATGTATGTACTTGGTATAGGCAAGTTCATTGTCTCCTGTGGGATTGGAATGGTAGGGGTCTTTTGAAGCTTATCTCATTTCCCTGTGTTGTGCACTCATATTTATTTATTTTTTCTCCATTATTTTATTTACTGAGTTAATGGCTCAAGCTTCAGGACAGTAGGGGTGGAATTGTATCCCTGGGTAGGAACCGGTTGTAGCTAAAGCAAGTGGGTAAATGCAATACCCAATGGTGGGCAGAGATCCCAGCCTTGATTAAGGTTGCTTGGGGAGCTCCCAAATAGATGCACTGAGGTCTTATCAGAGTGAAGGTTGGGAGCTATCTCAGCTCCCCTGCCAGGCCAGCAGAAAAGCTATCCACCTCCCAGCCTCACACCTGTCCCAGTGTTCCAGCTATTCAGATTATACAGGCACTTCTTTTTGTCTGTAGGAATATTGGTGTTTCAAGTAGAGAGAAATTGTGAGTCTGCTTCTTGTGCAAGCCCAAACCTGGGGAATGCTCCTTCTGTGGGGATGCAGTTGCCCTGAAGTGTTCCAGGAAGGCTGTCTGTAGGTGAATCCACACAGAGTTCCCGTGAGAGAAGCCCCAGCTGTGTCTGCAGTGGTGGACAAGTGGGGAAAGAGGACCCTTTCTCTAAGACCTTTCATGAGCACCAAGCCTGTCTGACTGTTGGATAGAGACACAGATGTCCCCTGCTGAGTCCAGTACTGCAATTGTGTCTCTGCTGAAAGAAACTTTCCCACAGGAATGATCTGGGACTCAAGGCCTGTCACCCAGATTATTTTGTCCCACACGGTGTTCCCGTGATGTGGTACTCTCCCCCTTTTCCTAAGAGGAAGACCTCCTGAGAGTCAGACTATAGTGATTGCTATTACAGCCAGAAGTTTTGCTTGACGCCAGAACACAGTTAACAGCCCAGCCCAACTAGAGAACATGCAAGGTCTACCTGTCACCACCTACTGGCCCAACTAGAATCCTAGGCTATACTAAATAGTGAAGATCTGCACAGCCAAAGAATACCAGCAAAGACTGGAAAGTGTTTCTTCAAATGTGTAGGTACCAATGCAAAGACACAAGGATTACAAAAATGAGGGAAGTCTGGGCGCAGTGGCTCATGCCTGTAATCCCAGCACTTTGGGAGGCCAAGGCAGGTGGATTACCTGAGGTCAGGAGTTCAAGACCAGCCTGGCCAACATGGTGAAACTCCATCTCTACTAAAAATACAAAAATTAGCCGGGCATGGTGGTGCGTGCCTGTAATCCCAGCTACTTGGGAGGCTGAGGCAGGAGAATTGCTTGAACCTGGGAGGCAGAGGTAGCAGTGAGCTGAGATCATGCCACCGCACTCCAGCCTGGGCGACAGAGTGAGACTCCATCTAAAAAAAAAAAAAAAAAAAAAAAAATGAGGGAAATGCAACTAATAAAGTTCTAATAGTGGACTCTGAAGAAGTGGAGATTTATGACATGACTGATAAAGAATTCAGAAGTTCAGAGAACCACAAGAAAATACAGATGAAAAATTGAATGAAATTCTGGGAAACAATTCATGTACTAAATGTGAAGTTTGACAAAAATATAAACAATAAAAAACCCAAATAGAAATTATAAAGCTAAAGAATACAATAACTAAATTTCTGAAATTAATAGAAAGTGTCAATAGCAGGTCTTGACCAGCAGAAGAAGAATCAGTGAACCTGAATACAGGACATTTAAATTAGTCAGAGGAATGAAAAGAAAAAAAAGAAAGAAAAACAATGGAAAAGGCCTATGGTAATTATGGGACATTATCAAGAAAACAGATCTACGCATAATAGGAGTTCCCTAGGGAAAAGAAAAAGAAAAAGAACCAGAAAATTTATTTAAGATAATAATGGCTGAAAATTTCCCAAATCTAGGAAAAGATGACAATATCCAGGTACAGGAAGCTTAGAGATCACTTTTCAAATTTAACTCAAAGACAAGTTCACCAAGACACATCACATTCAAATTATCAAAAATTAAAGACAAAGAAAGAATACTGAAAGCAGCAAGAAATAAGAGGCATATCATACTGAACAGAGTCTCAATATAGCTATCAGTGAATTTCTAAGTAGAAACCTTGTAGTCTAGGAGACAGTGGGATGATACATTCAAAGTGCTGAAGGATAATAGACAACTGCCAATCAAGAATACTTTACCCAGCAAAGCTGTCCTTCAGAATAAGGGAGAAATAAAATTTTCCAAATGAAAGCTAAGGGAGTTTACCATCACCACTAGGCCCACTCTACAGGGATTGCTAAAGGGAGTTCTTTTTTTTTTTTTTTTTTTTTTTTTTTCTGAGACAGAGTCTTGCTCCATCACCCGGGCTGGAGTGCAGTGGCACAATCTCAGCTGACTGCAACCTCTGCCTCTAAAGGGAGTTCTTTAAGTGGAAACAAAAGACTACTAACTAATAATACACAACATATAAAATAAAAAACTTAATGGTAGAAGAAATACGTAGTCATATTCAGAATACACCAAAAATGTAAATAAAGGTTATGTGTAAAGCAATTTTATCTCTACTATGAGGGCTAAAATAAAACTACTAAAAATTGTAGCTACAATAGATTGTTAAGGGATACAAATTATAAGAAAAGGAAAATTTTGACATCAAAAGCACAAAAGGTAGGGAGAAGGAGTAAAGTGTAGAGCTTTTGCTTGCAATTATAATTGTTATCAGTTTAAAATAGCCTGTTTTAAGTTTAAGATGTTTTATATAAGTTTTATGGTAACCATAAAGCAAAAAACTATAATAGATGCATAAAATATAAAAATAAAGAATTAAAAACAGACCACCACTGAAAACCTTTAAACCACAAAAGGAGACAGCAAGAGAGGAAGAAAGAAACAGAGAATCTATAAAACAACCAGAAAACAAATTACAAAATGGCAGTAGCAAGTCCTTTACCTGTCACTAATTACTTTGAATGTAAATAAATTTAATTTTCCAATCAAAAGACATTGAGTGGCTGAATGCATAAAAACAATATTCAGGCCAGGCATGGTGGCTCATGTCTATAATCTCAACACTTTGGGAGGCCAAGGCAGGAGGATCACTTGAGCCCAAGGGTTCAAGACCAGCCTGGGCAACATGGTGAGATCTCATTTCTACAAAAAATAAACAAAATTAGCTAGACATGGTGGTGAATGCCTGTAGTCCCAGCTACTTGGAAGGCTGAGGTGGGAGGATTGCTTGAGCCCAGGAGGTCAAGGCTGCAGTGAGCTGAGATTGCACTACTTTACTCCAGCCTGGGCAACAGAGCAAAACTCTGTCTCAAATCAAACAAACAAACAAAATACCAATATTCAATCATATGCTGTCTACAGGAGACTCACCTCACTAGGACACACATAGACTGTACATGAAGGGACTGAAAAAGATATTCCATGCATATGGAAACCAAAAGAGAGCAGGGTTAGCTATACTTATATAAGGAAAAATAGACTGTAATTCAAAACCTATCAAAAGAGATCAAAAAGGCCATTATATAATGATAAAGGAGTCAATTCATCAAGAGGACATAACAATTGTAAATATATTCATCCAACATCAAAGCACCTAAATACATAAAGCAATTATTAAGTGATTTCAAAGAGGAGGTAGACTGCAATGCAATAATAGTACGGGTATTCATTTTTTATAACAGACCATCTAGTTAGAAAATCAACGAGGAAACACTGGACTTGAATTACACTTTAGAACAAATGTACCTAACAGACATATGCAGAACATTGCATCCAACAGAAACAGAATACACTTTCTTCTCAATGGAACATTCTCCAGGACCACGTTAGGCCACAAAACAAATCTTATCAAATTTAAGGCGATTCAAATCATAGCAAGTATCTTTTCCAATCACAATGCCATGAAACTGGAAATCAATAACAAGAGAAATCTCGGGAAATATTGGAAAATTCACAAATGTGGAAATTAGTATGTGGAAATTTTGTGGAATTTTTATGATTTTTATGTGTTTATAAGATTATGTCATCAGTGAAGAGAGAAAATTTCACTTCTTCCTTACCTATTCGATGCCTTTTATTTCTCTCCCTTGCCTGATTACAAGACCAGAGTCACAAAAGAAATAAAAAAGGAACGAAAAATGTACCTTGAGACAAAAATGAAAATATATCATATCAAAACTTACAGCATGCAGCAGAAGCAGTCCTAAGATGAAATTTTATAGCAATAAATACTTATATCAGAAAAAGAAAGATCTCAAATAAACAACCTAATATTACACCTCAAGGAACTAGAAAAAGAACAACGTTAGCAGAAAGAGAGAAATAACAAGAGCAGAAAGAGAAAAAAATAAATGAAATAGAGACTAGCAAAGTAATAGAAAAAATAGATAAAACTAAGTATTTGTTTTTTGAAAAGATAGATAAAAATGATAAACCCTTACTTAGATTAAGTGAAAAAATAGAGTGACTCAAATAAAATTAGAAATGAAAGTGGAGGCAATTGATAACACAGAAATACAAAAGATCGCGACAAATTACTTGGAATAATTATATGCCAAAAAAATTGGACAATCTAGATAAACAGATAAGTTCCTAGACACATTCTACCTACTAAAACTGAATCATGAAGAAATAGAAAATCTGAAGAGACCAGTAAAAAATAAGGAGATAAAATAAGCAAGAAATCAAAGAAAGGCTCAGAACCTAATAGCTTCACAGCTGAATCCTACCAATAACTGAAGAATAACTAATACCAAATTTTCTCAAACTATTCCACAAAATCAAGGAAGAGGGAATACTTCCAAACTGATTTTATGAGACAAGCATTTCCTTGATACCCAAATCAGACAAGAACACTACAAAAGAAAAATTTACAGGCCAATATTCCTGATGAACATATATACAAGAATCTTTAGCAAAATATTAGCAAAACAAATTCAACAATGCATTGAAGGAATCATTTGCCATGATTAAATGGGATTTATCCCTGAGATGCAAGGTGGTTAAAATATGAAAATCAATCAATGTGACTCATTACACTAACAAAATAAAGAATAAAAACCATATGGTCATCTCAACAGAGGCAGAAAAAGAATTTCACAAAATTCAACACCCTTTTGTAATAAAAACTCTCAACAGAATAGTTATAAAGAGAATGTACCTCAACATAATAAAAGCAATGTATGACAGACACATAGCTAACATACTCAGCAGTAAAAAGCTGAGAGCGTTTCCTCCAAGAACTGGAAAACAAGTATTCTCATTCTCACGACTTCTATTCAACATAGTATTGGAAGTCCTAGCTAGAGCAATTAGGCAAGAGAAAGAAACAAGGTCGGGTGCGGTGACTCCCCCCTGTAATCCCAGCACTTTGGGAGGCTGAGGTGGGCAGATCACGAGGTCAGGAGATCAAGACCATCCTGGTTAACACGGTGAAACCCCATCTCTACTAAAAGTACAAAAAATTAGCCGGGCATGGTGGCGGGCGCCTGTAGTCCCAGCTACTCGGGAGGCTGAGGCAGGAGAATGGTGTGAACCCGGGAGGCGGAGGTTGCAGTGAGCCGAGATTGCACCACTGCACTCCAGTCTGGGCAACACAGCAAGACTCCGTCTCAAAAAAAAATAAAATAAAATAAAATAAAATAAAAGGCATCCTAATAGGAAAGGAAGAAGTGAAACTGTCTCTCCTCATTGATGACATAATCTTATACATAGAAAATCCACCCAAAAAAATTCACAAAAAAACTGTTAGAACTGATCAACAAATTCAGCAAAGTTGCGGTATACAAATCCAACATACAAACATCAGTAATTTTTTATACACCAATAATGCATTACCTGGAAAGAATTAACGAGAGGAGCCACAGCAATACCCGGGTATAAATTTAACTAAGGAGGTAAAAGACTTGTATACTAAAAACTATAAAACACTGATGAAAGAAATTGAGGAAAACACCAATAAGTGGAAAGATATCTCATGTTCATAGATTAGAAGAATTAATATTGTTAAAATGTCCACACCACTCAAAGAAATCTATATCTTCAATAAAATCCCTATTAAAATTCTAATGCCATTTGTCACAAAAATAGAAAAGATAATTCTTAAATGTGTATGGAACTACAAAAGACCATGAGAAGCTGAAACAATCCTGAGTAAAAAGAATGAAGCTGGAGGCATCATAGTACCACACTTCAAAATATACTATAAGGCAATTGTGGTCAAAACAGCATGGTTCTGGCATGAAAACAGACTCATCAACCAATGGAACAGGTAGAAAGCCCAGAAATAAACCCACCTATTTATGGTCAATTGATTTTTGGAAAAGGTGCCAGGCACACAATGAGGAAAGGAAAGTCTATTCAATAAATGGCATTGGGAAATCTGGTTATCCACATGCAGAAGAATGAAATTAGACCTTTACCTTACACCAAGCACAAAAATCAACTCAAAATGCACTGAAGGCTCAAATGTAAGATCTGAAACTATAAAACTACTAGAACAAAACACAGGGAAAAACTCCTTAACATTGGTCTGGGCAAAGATTTTTTTTTATATGACCCTGAAAGCTCAGGCAACAAAACCAAAAATAGACAAATGAGATTGCATCAAACTTAAAAGCTTCTGCACAGCCAAAGAAACAATCTGCCAAGTTTAGAAGAGACAGCCCACACAGAATGAGAAAAAGTATTTGGAAACCGTACATTTGATAAGGGGTTAATACTCAAAATATATAATGAACTCAAACAACTCAATAGCAGGAAAACAAATAATCCATGGGCAAAAGACTTCAGCAGATACTTCTCAAAAAAAGGCATACAGATGGCCAGCAGGTTTACAAGAAAATACTCAGCATTACCACTCATCAGGAAAATGCAAATTAAAACCACAAGGAGATATCACCACACACCTGTTAGAATGGCTTTTATCAAAAAGATGAAACAAGCATTGGTGAAAATGTGGAGAAAAGAGAACATTTGTACACTGCTGATGTAAATGTAAGTTGGTACAGCCATTATGGAAAAAAGTATGGAAGTTCCTCAAAAAACTAAAAATAAAACTGCCATATAATCCAGCAATCCCACTTCTGGGAATATGTCCAAAGGAATTGAAATCAGTAGTCAAAGGGATATCTGCATTCCCATGTTTATTACAGAATTATTTACAATACCCAAGAGAGGAAATCAATCTAAGTGTCCATCAATAGATGAATGGATAAAGAAAATGCATATATACACAATAGAATGATGCTATTCAGCCTTTAAAAAGAATGGAATTTTGTCATTTGGGACAACGTGGATGCATCTAAAGAACATTATGCTAAGTGAAATAAGCCAAGCACAGAAAGATAAATACCACATGATCTCACTTATATGTGAAATCTTAAGAATGCTGAATTCACAAAAGTAGAAAATAGAAGGATGGTTACCAGATACTGGAGTCAGGGGAGTGAGAGAATGGGGAGTTACTACTGGTCAAAGGGTATGAAGTTTCAGCTAGACGGCAGGAACAAGATTTGAGATCTATTGGACACCAGGCTGGCTATATTCAATAATATGTTGTATATTTCAAAATAACTAAGAAAGTAAATTTCAAATGTATTGCCACAAAAAATGTCAAATAATTGAGGTGGTGAATATGTTAATTAGCTTGACTTAATCACTCCACATGTATGTGTATGTGTATACATCATATTGTATTCCATACATGTAATACAATTATGATTTGTCAATTAAAAATAATATAAGTAAAAGTAAATTTTTAAAAAGACACATTACGGTAGCCGCACGTGGTGGCGGGTGCCTGTGGTCCCAGCTACTCGGGAGGCTGAGGCAGGAGAATCACCTGAACCCGGGAGGCGGAGGTTGCAGTGAGGTGAGATCGTGCCACTGCACTCCAGCCTGGCGAAAGAGCGAGACTCCGTCTCAAAAAAAAAAAAAAAAAAAGACACATTACATACAGAGGAACAAAGAAAAGGATGGCAGCAGATTTTTCACCAGAAACAATGCAAGAAGAAACTGTCTTTTTTTGCAGATGAAATGACTACCTATTTAAAAAAAAAAAAGAAAAAACCAAAGAATTTACAAAAAAAGCCCCTAGAACTAAATTTAGCAAGATCACTAAACACAAAATCAAGATACAAAAGTCAACTGTATGTCTATATACTAGCTACAAACATTCAGACATTGAAATTAAAAACAAACATTTACAGCAGCATCAAAAATATGAAATACTTAGGGGGATAAATCTGACAAAAGATGTGCAAGACTCATAAACTAGAATCTACAAAGCATTTCTGAGAGAAATTAAAGAAAACCTAAATAAGTGCAGAAATATACTGCACTCACGAACTAGAAGACTTACTATTGTTAAGATGTCAATTTTTCCTGAATTGATCCATAGATTTAATGCAATCTCAGTCAAAATCTAGCAGGCTTTTTTTTGTAGATGCTGGCAAGCTATTTCTAAAACTTACGTGGAAATGTAAAAGGACCAAAGATACCCTCACCCTCCCAATTTTTGTTGTTGTTGTTGTTCTTTGATACAGGGTTTTGCTATGTTGCTCAAGATATCCTTGAACTTCCTGGGCTCAAGTGATCCTCCTGCCTCAGCCTCCCAAGTACCTGGAGCTACAGGCATGTACTACCGTGCCCGGCTATACCCCCCACCAAAAAAAATTTAAAGAAATTTAAAGCTACAATAATCATAACAGTGTGTAACTAGCATCCAGATAGGCAAATAGACCAATGGAACAGAGCAAAGTCCAGAAGTAAATCCACACATATACGGTCAATTGATTTTTTTTTTTTTTTTTTTTTTTTTTACAAAAGTGCAAAAGCTATTCAGTGGAGGCAGCATATTCTTTTCAACATGTTGTACTGGAACAATTGAATATCCATGTGCAAAAACCCCAACTTTCTTCCATACATTGCACCAATACAAAAAAAATTAGGATCATAGACCTAAATGTAACTAAAACTGTAACACTTTTAAAAGAAATCTTTATAACCTTGGGGTTAGGCCAAAACATCTTAGTTATGACACCAAAAACATGATCAATAGAAGATAAATTGGACTTCATCAAAATTTAAAATTTGTTTTTTAGAGGCATTTTTAAGAGAATGAAAAAAACAGACCACAGATTGAGAGAAAATGTTTACAAATCACAAGTCCTGATAAAAGACTTGTATCTAGAATATATAAATATAATATATAAATAATTTATATAAATTTATACATAAATATATAAATTCTTAAAAACTCAATAATATAACAATAAACAATCATTGTCCATTAAGAGATGGACAAATTATTTGAAAAGATTCTTCATCAAAGAAAATGGATAGGAAATAAGCACATGAAAAGATGATGAACATTATATGCCATTAGGGAAATGCAAATTAAAACCAAAATAAGATAACACACCGATTATGATGTCTAAAATTAAAAAGACTTAAACTAAGGTTAGCCATAATGTGGCAGAATTAAAATTTTTATGCACTGCCGGTGGAAATTTAAAATAGTACAACCACTTTAGGAAACAATATGGCAGTTTCTTTAAAAATTAACTAAATGCCTATAATATGACTCAACCATTTCACTCCTACAAGTCACCCAGCAGAAATAAAAGACTTGTATACAAATGGTCATAGCAACTTTATTTATAATATCCCCAAACTAGAAAACAATCCAAATGTTCAACAACAAAGATAACTGTTATACAAATATGGTATATCCACAAAGTGGAATACTACTCAGCAATAAGAGGAATAAGCTATTAATATACACTACAGTATGGATGAATCTCAAAACATTATGCTGAGTAAAAGAAGCTGGACAAAAAAAAAAAAAAAGAGTATGTGGGCCGGCACAATGGCTCATGCCTGAAATCCTAGCACTTTGAGAGGCCGAGGCAGGTGGATTGCTTCAGCTCAGGAGTTCAGGACCAGCCTGGGCAACATAATGAGACCCTTGTCTCTACAAAAAATACAAAAAGTATCCGGGCATAGTGGTGTGCACCTGTCATCCAGCCTGGGCAACATAATGAGACCCTTGTCTCTACAAAAAATACAAAAAGTATCCGGGCAGAGTGGTGTGCACCTGTCATCCCAGCTACTCAGGAGGCTGAGGTGGGAGGATTTCTTGAGCCCAGGAGGTGGAGGTTGCAGCGAACTGAGATTGCACCACTGCACTCCATCCTGAGCAACAGAGCCGGATCCTGTCTGAAAAAAAAAAAAAAAAAAAGTCTGTGATTTAAGTGATGGATTTGTAATGTTGTACTTGGCCAGTCTAAACTGTCCAAGAATTCTACTTCCTGTATGTTTCCTATCAGAGTTAGCAACAAGGGACTTTAGACGGTGGGAAAAAGGCAGCAGCTACTTTGAAGCAGCATCTGGGCCTACAGTTGCTCTACTACCTACCCTTGGATTCACCAGTTTTTCTGACTTTGGGACCATGTATGTGTTTAGTTCTGTGACAAAGCGCCCTGGCTTCTGCAGGATACCCTCATCACCAACATCAGAGGCAACAAGAATGGACAAGAGTTTCAGCCTGTCCTTGTGAGGCTCCAGCTCATGCTTCCCCATGCCAGCCCACTTGTGATCGTCTTGACTTTTTGCCCAGTAGACTTCCAGCTCTAGCATCAGACATGGAAACAGCCTTAAAGAGACTCCTTGACCAGCTGCCACAGTTGCATAAAGCCAATTTCCTGTAGCAGATTGATACATATATTTTACCCCCACCCTACTCTCTTTTGTTGAACCCTGACTGACATAGATACAGGGTCCATACTGTATGGTTGCATTTATATACAATTCTGAAAAATGCAAACTAATCTGTAGTGCAGAAAACAGAAAGTTCCTGGGAATAGGGAGGAGCAGGGAGGGATGGAAGGAAGGGGTTACAGGGGAATGAAGAAACAACCTTAATGGGTGATATGTTTACATTTTGATTGTGGTGATGGTTTCACAGTTGTATACATAAGCCAAAATTTATCAAATTGTGCAGTTTATTTTGTGCCAATCATACACACTGTTAAAATTTTTTTTTAGTGCAGAAAAGAATTGGCACACCCCCGACACTAATTTCCTAGTTTAAGCTGCCTGGAAATGAAATTCTAGGAATGTTTCGGGCTTTGTTGTGCCACCTCCACTATGCAGAGGAAGTTGTAAAAGATAAATAAATGACAGGAAGCTCTTTTAATTCACTCTTAAGAGAGACATAGCAAATTTTGGTCTAGAAAGAAATGTAACAAAGTGTGTTTTTATTTTCCTTTTATCTATACTACTATGTTTTCCCACAATAAACATGAAGTAATTTTGTAATTAAAATAAAAGGAAAATATGGCACATCCTCCGGATGTATTTTTCTTTCTCACTGAAAGTCCCTTTTATACGTTTAAAGAAATATGCTGGGTGTGGTGCCTCAAGCCTGTAATCCCAGCACTTTAGGAAGCTGAAGCGGGTGGATCATCTGAGCTCAGGAATTCAAGACCAGCCTGGGAAACATAGCAAAAATGTATTTTCTCTATCAAAAATACAAAAAAGTAGCCGGGCATGGTGGTGCATATCTGTAATATCAGCTACTTGAGAGGCTGAGGTGGGAGGATGGCTTGAGCCCAGGAGGTGGAGGTTGCAGTGAACCGAGTTTGCACCACTGCATTGCAGCCTGGGTGACAGAGTGAAACCCTGTCTCAAAAAAAAAACAAAAAAACAAAAAAATACAAAAAAAAAAGGAAATAAATAAGAGAAAATAGAATTTCACAGGATAAGCTTCCTAGAGTAAATGACTATTGTCTGTGACACAAGAATCTACAAAGGGTCTGTGAAGCTATGATATTATAACAGAAATGTGGAATACTCTCTGACCACTAAGACCCCATCAGTAAGGATTTGGTTATTTAATTATTTTATTAAACTTACCATTATTTTATTCCTCTGGAAGGCTGAGGTGATGTGTTCTGAGAAAGCAAGAGCATTTGCTTTAGAAACAAAGTGGGTTTATTGATGCATATTACCTTGGGCTTCTCACCGGCCCGCTTAGCACAGGACATGAAACACCTAGGGATGAAATGTTCTCTGTTGATTTTTTCTTTTCAATGTGAAATGTACAGTTTTTGAAGTCACAACGTTGGCACAATTAAGAAGTTTATCTGACAATAACAGAACCCAAGGAAATTGGTTAGTATTGTGTTTCTAGAATACTGTATCTTCCTGTTAGTTTAACAAACTTTCAACCAATCAATCATCAACATCTTTTTTTTTTTTTTTTTTTAGACAGAGTCTTGCTATATCACCCAGGCTGCAGTGAGTGGTGCCATCATAGCTCACTGCAGCCTCGACATCTCAGGCTCAAGTAATCCTCCCACCTCAGCCTCCTAAGTATCGGGACCACAGGAGGGCATCACCACACCCAACCCTTTTTTTATTTTTTGTAGAGACAGGGTTTCCCAATGTTGCCCAGGCTAGTCTTGAACTCCCGGCCTCAAGCCATCCTCCCTCCTTGGCATTACAGGCATGAGTCACCGCACCCGGCCCATCTTCATCTTCCAAAGACACTAAAGACAAATCAGACCAAAGCCCTGTCCCAAGGAGGCTCAACACATTACTTTACTGTAATGCAACGTATGCGGAGACAACCACAGAATGGAAAAGGGAAGCACAGGGGCACCTACCAAAGCTTTATTAGCGGGGAGGGGCTGCAGAATCAGGGAAAGCTTCTCAGAACACATGGTGCTCAATCTTAGTTGACTTTGCTTGGTGGTCCTTTCAAGCAGACAGACTTCTTCCAAGGCCTGGGCCTTTGGGACCAATCTACATAACTACATAGAATAATTTATGTTTTGCCTAACAAGAATCCAATTTCAAACTTTTGCTTTGCTAGCAGATGTTTGGCCTTCTCTGCTTCAGAGAAAGGGGAACTTCAGTCAAAGGCAAAAATAGAAGATCATCCTAGGCTTTTGAGTTTCCAAGGGCCCAGCCCTGGTATGATGGACATTTTAAGGAATTAAATTCAGAGTGATTTTAACTTCTATGCATGATTTTTGCCTTCTATGCTAATTTTTTAACCTTGCAACTGAATCAGAATGATTCCACTGTACAGTGTTTTAAAAGAAAAAAATGTTACCTCTAGAATTTTACACCCAGGCAATTCAACATTCATGTATTAAAAAGAGACATTCTCAGATATGCAAGGATTCATGTATCCTTGAAAAAATTATTTGAAGATGTACTACAACAGAGCGATAAATGAAGCAAATAAAGGGCATTAAGAATGGAGCTGTCAGTCAGGCGTGGTGGCTCATGCCTATAATCCCAGCACTTTGGGAGGCCAAGGCAGGTTGATCGTGAGGTCAGGAGTTCGAGACCAGCCTGGCCTACATGATGAAACCCCATCTCTACTAAAAATACAAAAAATTAGCCGGGTATGGTGGCGTGCACCTGTAGTCCCAGCTACTCAGGAGGCTGAGGCAGGAGAATCGCTTGACCCCGGGAGGCGGGAGCTGCAGTGAGCTGATATCACGCCACTGCACTCCAGCCTGGGTGACAGAGTGAGACTCTGTCTCAAAAAGAAAGAAAGAAAAAGAACGGAGCTTGGTAATCCCAGCTACTTGGGAGGCTGAGATAGAAGAATCACTTAAATCTGGGAGGTGGAGGTTGCAGTGAGCAAAGATAACACCACTGCACTCCAGCTTGGGCCACAGAGCAAGACCCTGTCTCAAAAAGAATGGAGCTGTCATGTATAAAAGGGTAAATGCTGAGTAATTAACCAATTTAAAATAGAAATGTGCCTTAAAAATACATTGTAATTTTGATTATAAAGCCGAATGATATTACCAAAAATTATTTTCCAAAGAACAATGATATTCTGAATCCAAAATTCTAATGTTAATAAAAACTAAGGATGGGTGATTAAAAAATAAAAGTGTGTCAAACTTCTTATCTTATAAAAATACAAGATACTGTTTCATTCCTGACTCTGATAAGAGAGGAAATATAGGTTAAAGTATATTGTAAAACATAAGGCAACAGAAAACTTGGTAGTTTGAAAGGCAGAATGAAATATAGGGTATAGGCTGGGTGCGGTGTCTCATGCATGCAATCCCAGCACTTTGGAAGGCCAAGGCAGGCGGATCACAATGTCAGGAGATCAAGACCATCCTGGCCAACATGGTGAAACTCCGTCTCTACTAAAAATACAAAACTTAGCTGGGCATGGTGGTGCGTGCCTGTAATCCCAGCTACTCAGGAGGCGAGGCAGGAGAATCGCTTGAACCAGGGAGTCGGAGGTTGCAGTGAACACAGATCGCGACAAGGACGCACTCCAGCCTGGTGACAGAGCGAGACTGTCTCAAAAAAAAAAAAAAAAAAGAAAAAAAAGAAAAAAGAAAAGAATGAAATATAGGATATATACTATACTAAGTTCTGATGATAATGAAGCCCTAGCTGCCATCTTGGCTGCAATCTTTGAGACCCCAAGCCAGAAGTAGCTAGCTAAATGACTCGTAAATTTCTGACTCATAGTAACTGTGTGAGAAAATAATGTTTATTGCTTGTTATGAGCTCAATTGTGTCCCGTCAGAATTCATATGCTGAAGTCCTAATCCGCAATCCTCAGCATGTGACTGTATTTGGAGGGATGGCCTTTAAAGAGGTGATTAATTTAAAATGAGGTCGTTAGGGTGGGTCCTAACGCAATTTGACTGGTCTCCTTCTAAGAGGAGGTTTGGACACAGAGACAACCAGGGATCATGTGTACAGAGGAGAAGCCGTATGAGGACACAGGAAGCGGGTGGCCATCTGCAAACCAACAAGAGAGGCCTCGGGAGAAACCAATCCTGATGACGATTTGACTTTGGACTTCCAGCCTCCAGATCTGCGAGAAAACAAATTTCTGTTGCTTAAGCCACACGGTCGGTGGCATTTTGTAATGGCAGCTTTAGCAAACTAATATACTTTTGTTTTAAGCTACTAAATTTTGAAGTCATTTGTTAGCCATATATAACGAATACAGATCTTCATATTGGAGGTCCTTATGACTAATTTGTATGGAGAAACAACACCAAAAAATAGCAAAATAATTAACCAGAGAAAGTAACAGAGTTCCCAGCAATCCTATAATGCTGCCTTCGGTTTCACCCCTGGTCTGTCTGTTTCTAATTCTGTAAGACTGTTCCAGAAGTTCCCCCAATATGATTCGGAGTCTCCCAGCCACAATTCCTGAGGGGAAAATAGTACCCAGCCCACCCCATGAACCCACTTTTCACCTCAGGATACAATCAGAGATGAGAACATGTGCTTATATATTTGGTATTTTGGAGAAAACAAATGTAAATAAACTGCATGCTCAACTCTAGGAACAAGTTGTGTGTAAACTGTAACCCATCCTTATGATAGAATATCATTCAACCATTACAAAGCCTGTTTTCAAAAAGTCCTTAATGATCCACAGGCATTTTTATAATGTATTTTTTAAATAAAAAGATGGGTTTTTATTTGTATAAAAATATTGTTTTTAAAGTAGGATTGGAAACTGCTGGTAGAGGTTACCTTTGGATCATGGATGTGGAAGATGATTCTTTTTCTCTTTTTAAAATTTTCTGTTCTTTTGACACTGAATATGTATTACTTTCATAATCAGAAGTTGCATTTTACTTAAAGAAAAAAGAATCTTGCCCATCCTCAAGACTCCCCAAATCTCCCCGTTAAAATGACTATCTCCTCTATAACACCATTATTTTACTTTACCTTGTATTATCACGTCTTCATATTTGGCATTTGCATACTATTTTTCTTCTAAGTAGTTATGGATGTGTGCCTAACAATAGCAGTGTTATCCAGGTTTAGCTTTCCAGAAAATAACACCACTAATCTCACATTAGTATGATAATACCTATCCACAGGCAGGGCAGGCCCATTCCTGTGGCCCTCCATTTCCTTGGGAGGCAGGTGCTGTGGGTTTTCATCCTGTTCCCAGTGCCAGGCACATGATGGCTGTTTAATGTGTATTCACTGGGTCAAAGAGAATTCCTCTTCCCATTATAAACTTGTTTTCTGATTAATCCTGAGAACACCTGGATGGGGACATCAATGCTTTGGGTGGTGGGATTTCAGGGGTACTGAGAAGGCCTTTTCCTCTCTCCTGAGCTGATGCCATTATCCCATCCCATAGCATGAGATTCCTGAGCGAGTGTTCCTGGCCTAAGTGAGAGTGGAAAGCGGTGTTAGAGCCACTTTCTGTCACATTACAACACATCCCAGAGGGCTGCGCCGGGGGTCATGAAGGAAGTGGAAACCAAGGACATCCAGAGGACAAGGACCTGGGACTAGAAAGGAGGTGGCAGTCTCTGAGTCCTGTGTGTCCTTTCTCCCCATCTTGCTCATGGCTCTAGAGGCCAGGCACTGGTATGGGTTCAGCACACTGCCAGGCCATGAAGCACTTTCTAAGAACAGTATCTAAGACACTGAAAGTCGGGCTTTGTCAGTGAGAACCCTACTAGTCGGGTGGGAGTGGAGGTTGCAGGTGCTTGGTATCTCTGTGGGCTCAGCCTTCATGGTATTCTCCCTGTGTGCATGCCTGTCTCCAAATTTCCACATTTCAAAAGGACACAAGTCATATTGGAGTAGGGGCCCAACCTATTCCAATATGACCTCATCATCGTCACTAATTACATCTGCAATGACCCTATTTCCAAATAAGGTCATAATCTGAGGTACTGGGGGTTAGGACTTCAGACATCCAAATCTTGGGGGGACACAATTCAACCTGTAACAAGGGGGTGGGCAGTTCACAGGAGAAAGGAATTATCCTCTCTCCCCTAACTCATGCTCCTTCTCAAGATTTGTGTCCAAACATTTTAAATCCTTTTAAGACATCATTCATTTAAGGATTTTAGAGTTTTGGAAACCGAGGGAAGGATCTTCCTTATGTTCTGCTTTCTGCCCGACTCCATCTCTTCTTTGATGCAACAGGTTAGTTATGTGAATCCAGGCAAGAACAAAAAATAAAAATAAAAAAATCAGTAAACCAGTGAATATTTCAAAGAGGTGATCCTTCCAGTAAAGTTCACATTTCTTTTCCTGGAGTACTGAGGAGTAAGTCTAAGGCTAGAGGAGCCAGTGGGTAAGGACTGGGGGGTTCAGGATCTCAGTTGTGTCCTCTTTGGAGATAAAAGTTGGCAATCAGCAGTTGTTCATTTAGCAAATAAGAAGAGAGAAGCAGCTTAAAGAAACACACACACATTTATTTTAAAATTTGACATAATCCTTGGGTAATTATTAGCATTTTTCAGAAGTTTCCGAGACTGATATCTCAACTCCAAACCAATAGCAATAGCTTATTTGATTGGTGGAAGGATTAGAGAGGGTCCCATGATCCAGATGAATAGATGGCTATCAAAGAAGACAGAACCCCATAGACACAGGCAGCATTAACTCATAATTTTTAAATTAACTGTCACAAATATGAAACATCTCACCAGACCAATGATAACGTCCATATCATAATTTGCATTTTACCAAAGTGTCCACATAGACAGCACAGAACTAAAAGTTCTGTAGACTTCAGAATCATATTTAAATTAATTTGATCCTTTATATTAATAATAATTAAAAACTAGATTCTACCCAGTGTCGTCCCAGTCTTCACACCAACATGTATGTCCTGCTGTCGGAATGCCACCTCCTCTGCACTCAGTGTCATGATTCGAAGATTAAAATCAGTGTGTCAAATCAGAACATAAACCAAGCCAGGAATTCATGGGCCCAGAGAGGGGTAAGGGGCTTGTCCTATACAGCAGTTAAGCAGCCCACGTGCTCCGCCCATTCCCAAGCAGAATCAGATTGGAGCTGCAGGCAGCGAGGAGGAGGGCGTGTTCTGTGTTGTCCACTGCTTTGCATGGTTTCTTGGGTGTTCCAAGGAGGACAGTTGTTGTCTCCCAATAAGACAGTTAATTCCCTGAGGACAGGACCTCTTCCACACTAGCCTCCGTCACAGCAGGGTGCATGCAGCCGAGGTGTGAGCACAGAGCAGGTCCCTACTAAAGGCAGGAAGGAAACCAGCATGAACTGAGCACCTACTACGTGCCAGGTACAGAGCCAGGACAGGTGCTTTCCTGTAATCCTCACAAAAGCAGTGAGATAGGATCATCATCCCCACTTTACAGGTGTGGAAACAGGCTCAAGGAAGAGCATTTGCCCAGAGTGGCACAGCTAGTCAGTAGGGGAGCATCAATTTGAAAATCCAGGCTTTCTCACTCCAGGGCCCTTTCTAGCTACATAAGCTGAGGGTTTGGCAGTAAATGAGGAGCCCAGCTCCGAGATGGTTAGTTTGGAGCCCAAACATTAGATCCCCTTGAGCACATGGGGCCAGCCTTGAGAGTGCAGAGCCCTGGGTCTAGGAATCCTGGCTCTACAGCATGACTTGGTGATCCTGTGCAAGTCTTTTAACCTCTCCACACCAGGGCTGCGCTGGTCCAGCAGGATTCCCTATCAGGGAGAGGGGACTTAGTAAAACCATCTGGAGAGCATGTCTGCAAACTACAGTGGGCCAGCCTCTGCCCAGAGAGCCTGAAGTTGCTCACTTGCAAGGAAGAGGTGCAGAGCATTGCAATCTGCTACCACACCTCTCACACCTGGTGAGAATCAGTTCTGATCTCCAAGGTTCTGACCTCTGAGAGTGACGTTAAGTCCAGAGAGCCACACCACTACACCCTGAGAGACCTTCAGCAAAAGGCCCGTGAGCTCAAAGAAATTGGGGTCAGGATGCTTTTAAAGCAAAAAATGCTTTAAAAAAAAAAAACAGATGGTGGTTAGGAGAAGATTTGGGGGTAGGTATTGAAAAGGAAGAATGGGACTGGTATGTAAACCCAGCTGACAGGACAGGGTCAGGCCAGGCAGAGCCTGGAGGAATCACGTTTTGTGGCTCTGGATTGCCTGGTATCTGTCGTGAGGCTGCACTTGCTACCTCAGACATGGGTAGGAGGTTTCCTAAAAAAATATCTTGAGTCTCTAAGTTCAGGTAGATCTTAGAAAATAAACATGGGAAGAAAGAAAAACACAATTCAAACGGCTCAGATGTAATCTGCTTGCCATGTTTCTTCTCTTCCTCTAAGACTCATCTGAATGCCCCCTGTGCTATAAAGCCTTCTCTGATCCACAAACACAGTTTTAAGTGCGTGGCCCTCCTGGGTGCACAGAGAGAGCAAGCCCATCTCTCTCCAAATCCCCAGTGCACTGAGCACACTGAATCCTACCTGCCTGTTCAGATGTCTGCCTCTCTCACTGAACCGTAGCAACTTGAGGATAGACACTGTATCCTTCTCTACCTTCCATCTCCACATGGAGAGGGAAAGTGGGCTAACCAAGACCCTTTAATCATAAGCACCCAGTCTAAGGACCAGCCCAACCAGCCAGAGTGATAGGAACACGTTCCAGGGGCATGGACCTCGGGAGCAACTTTTCTCTGGAGGCGCGGAGCATGTTTCCAATCCCCTGTACCACCTACTTGCCCCCCAGAGCCACCCTGCATTGGGCACAATTGTAATTTAAGAGAATTTCTTTAAAACGTGAAATCAATATTTAGATGCAGACTTCAAGCAATATAGAGCATTGGTTTGTGAGAATGGCATCATTCTGCTGGGAAAAACAAAGCCCAGCTTTGGCAGCCCTGATGGGAGAGATAGACCTTGCATCTACCAAGGTGGAAGGCGGGGAGGATGCTGTCTGGAAAGAATGCTAGATATGTGTGCATGTGTGTGGCAGGAGGCTCTGGGCTCATAAACTGTCTGGCTACAGGGAAGGCTGGACCTGATTTCCTGACCACAGGCTCTTGAAGTCCCCATGGTCTTGCTGACAGAGGCCCCTAGAGTAAAAGGAGCAGGCTGGAATTGTTCAGGAAAATGTTCTTCCCAGGCTGGGGTGGCCAAGAGACCATTCATTTAATGCCTGATGGAGAAGAGTGAGGAGCCTGTGCTTAGCAGTGAATGGTCCGGAAGCCAGGCAGTGTGGCTTTTCCAAGCAGGTAGATGTCCTCATCTGTGCCCTGGTTGAGATGCTTCACCAAATTCTTCTCATAGAGCAGCGGGTGGTAGGCACCCATCGTGCAGGCACTATCGAAGAACTTCTGGTAGTAGTAGCACACGTCAGTCTTGCGCTTGGATGGGAGGAACTCATAAATATCCACCTGGTCACACAGCGTCATCATGATGATGATACCTGGAGAGGGGAGCAGAGGTGAGTCATGCCTGACAACCCACCCCAGCACCCCAGAGCTCTGCCCAGTGGGTTCAGCAGCTCATGACCCCAAATTTGGAGAGCTTTCCCTCTGGAGTTTCTATTTATGACTGTGATTCCCAATCTAAGTTTCAGCAAGCCAAGCCCAGCAGTGTTCCTTAGGATGCAGGGCTGTGTGAGGGTTATACACCTTTGAATCCCCAGCACCTAGGCCAGGGCCTGGTGAATAATAGATCCTCCCTAAATGCTAGTAGATTAAATGACTCCATCAATCAGCCAATGAATGTATCCATGGAATAATTTATTTGGAGAAAGAGGACAAGATTACTGAGCTGATTGAGGAGACAGTGGCATCATGTGTAGTTAGCACTTTCTAGCACTGTGACATCCTGCAGAACCTCTTGGATGGTGCTATTTGGGAGCAGATTTTTCCTTATAGCATTTGCATGAAACAGTGTTGGGGAGGGAAGACTTTTCTTCCCTTAGCTGGGCAAAGGGACAGCTGGAACAGGAGCACTCCACAGTCTGAATGATGAGATGTAGAGAAAATCCAAGAAGGGGGCCCCTGGCCAGCATTGTTCCAATAAACTCTGCACAGCACTGTTACTGATCCTATCTTTATTTAAATACTTGATATTTCACTCATCATAATTTTTACATTAATTGTGTTTTCTGAAGATACTGTAGTGAAATATTATTTATCTTGATGACTGAGTTTTTAAGGGGTACGCCCTTAAATTGTACACCTGAGAAAAGTGCCTTGCTCCCCTCGTCTGAGGTGCAGCCCCGCTCCTCATTTTCCCACCTCCCTCCCCTGTTCATAGCTTCCCTTCCCTCCATCTTCCTCTGCCAAATTCTCCCCTCTCCAAAGCCTACCGAACACTACTTCCTCCATGAGGCTATAAGCAACTGTCCAGCTAGAAGGTGTCCTCTCTCCTATGACACCAGGTTGTCTCTCCCTTCTGGCACAAATTGAATATTGCCTCAGACATCTGATTGACCTCCCCAATAGATGCCCTCAGGAAAAAGGATTCTATCTGATTTCCCTCTGTATTTTAGATAGAACTTGGCATGGTCTACAAGCAGAGCAGAATCCTAGCAATTGTTTAGTGAACAAATGAACAAACGAATGACTGAATGAGACCCCAGAAAAAAAGCTCATCTCTTCTAGAAACAAACATGCAAGGTCTTTTCCCCGACATGAACTCACCAAGCATCCCAGAGGATGGGGGGTTTGGCTGAATCTCTTCTGGGGAGATTTCTTGAAGAATGTCCCATAGCTCCCAAGGCATCTGGGGCTTGAGGATGTAAAAGGGCTGATTGGGGTGCAGCTTACGATAAGTCTTGTAGTTGTTAAAGAAATTATAATCCGGATTCTGGTACCACTGAAAAAGAAAGAAGTGGTCCTCTCAAGGGAGAAATGGGCCAGTGAGCTGCTCCCCCCAGGAGTCATCTTCATCAGTGGACATGGGGAGGGGAAAGGATCAACAAGTGTTGCTCCTGAGGCACAGCCCTTTTCTTGCAGCAGACTACAGGTTTCTCTTCCAGCCGCAGGTTTCACTGGATAGCAGGGTGGGGCCTAGCCTATAGCCTGTGCTTTGGGGGAGAGTTGAGCTTGGCGACCCAAGATCAGCTTCAGGCTTCAGGATCAGAGTCCGGGAACACTCTCAGAGCTGAAAAGAGCCCCACGTACCATCTGGCCCCATCTCTCATTTTTAAAGGGGAGAAAACTAGAGCATAGGACATCTATGGGTTCAGAGTCCTTGTCCTGACCTAGGCAAATTTGAGTTCTAAGTGAGATCAGTGCAAAACTGTTGAAAGTCAGATAGTGAGGGTGCCAGGGGTCGCCAGAGCCTGTCAGGCATTGGTAGATCCAACTTAAGAGTTAAGTGTCCCAAGATTAGTGCTCTCTGCCCTTCTCAGGCCATGCTCCTGAGGCCACAGCAGCCTGCATCAGGGAGAGGTCAACTGACATGCATTAACAGTGAGAGGACTATTCCAGAGAGGTTAGAATCCAGCAGGCCTGCCACTCATGTCTCCTTCCCCGGAAAGAGCTGCTGTTGCAGATCTGCGCCTTCTGCTTAGTAAATCAAGTCCTGGAATGGGGGACTTTCATTCTCCACATTTCAATTTCCCCATCTGTAAAATGGGAACAACCACACTTCCATCTATCTCCTTAAATTGTTATGAGAGTGAAATGGGAAGAATTCTGGATATTGGAAGTGTGAAATAAAAGTGTGCTAATATTATTTACAGGAGTAACGGCAACTACTCTCGAGTTCTGCTGATGCTCATCACGAATAATTGCATTAATGAACAATCTACCCCAGATGCTGGGAACTCCAGCCACTATCCCAGTAAATACTATAACTGGGAGACAATACCTGGCAGTGCTGGCACGGCAAAGAGAGTAGCTGGTATAGGACAGGAATACTTCTGAATCTGCTAGTCCAGATGAAATGGGGTACCCTAAAACTCAAATACCCAGCCTTTAGGAATAGCCAATGTCAGCCATGACTTTAAAAACCTAGGAAATCAGGAAAATCTGTAGACAGACAGGAAACTCAACCCCTATTTCCCACGGACACCCACTTACCTTTGGGATATCTGAGTGGTATACAGATGGGTCCCATACAATTAGGATTCCTTCATTGTACAAACTGTCTTTGAGGAAGCGCTTCTCTGTGGTAACCAACTGCAGGAAGAAAGAGATAAGCTGTCGCTTGAACATTCATATGCAAATGTTTGACATGAAGTAATAGCTGACATAGCACAAGGTACAGCCTGAGGCCCCAGAGCCCCATGAGGCTTCTAAGTTCTGGTGCAGCACTTAACTTCGGTGAAAGAAAGGTAAAGATACCAGCCTGCACTGTGTTGACCTGAAAGGACATTTATCACAAGCCACTAGCCATAGAATAGAAAGGGTTCCATCCAGTCAGGCTTTGAGATTACGGGGGCAAGGGTACAGTGAAAATAGCACGGCATCCCAGCCTCCTGGAGTCACAGCTTGTGTGGTGGTCACAAGAGTGGAGTCTGAAGTCAGGGACTCATATAATCAAAATTATCTCTGGAATCCTTTCAATCACCTAGAGAGTCCAGTACACTACATACACATCCTGATGGAGACTGACATAGGCTCTCTCACGAAGTCCAACACAGCCAACACAGTCCAACACAGCCAACACAGTCCAACACATCTGTTCCAACACGGAACAGATGGCTGTGCTTGTGGTTGAGCACCAGATGAAATATTCAGTTTGTGTGCAGAGGCCAGAGTGCATGCAAAAATGCACACCTCCCAACAGGAGACCCTCACCGGGCTGGTGAGAAGCTCATGTGTGCCTCTGCTGGCTGAGGGAACCAGCAATGGCTGGTTATGGCCTCTCCCCACCACACTGGCTCCTGGGCTGGCCTGCACATGGGTAGTTATACCTGCCTTAAACATGAGTGTGACAACCTTGCTTGAAGAATTCTGCAAAATGTATTAAGAGCATTTTTTTTAAAGCACATTTATACTCTTTGACTCAATACTTCCATGTTTAGGAATCTATCCTAAGAAAAAATTCAAATTCTGGGGGAAAATAATGCATGTAAATGTTAATTATTTATCAAAATAAAGAAAAGTATTTGCAAAAGATACTGGTCTTGGATACAAAAGGATCCAGGATCAACTCTTGGCTTTGCCACTAACTTTCCTATGATCTTGAGCAAATAAGAGTAATCTTACTAGGCCCTCATTTTCTTTTTCTTTTTTTTTTTTTTTTTTTGAGGCGGAGTCTCAAAAAAAGGCGACACAGCCTGTGTCGCCCAGGCTGGAGTGCAGTGGCGTGATCTCGGCTCACTGCAGGCTCCGCCTCCCGGGTTCACGCCATTCTCCTGCCTCAGCCTCCAAGCAGTTGGGACTACAGACGCCCGCCACCACGCCCGGCTAATTTTTTGGGGGTTTTTTTGTATTTTTAGTAGAGACGGGGTTTCACCTTGTTAGCCAGGATGGTCTCGATCTCCTGACCTCGTGATCCGCCCACCTCAGCCTCCCAAAGTGCTGGGATTACAGGCATGAGCCACCGCGCCCGGCCGGCCCTCATTTTCTGATCGGTGAAATGGGAATAACACATTTGCTCTGCTCTCTCAAATATGAGCTGTCTTGCGGATCAAATGGAGATCATGAGTGAATGAGAAAGAAAAGTAGCCCCAAAGGCTTAAGAATGAAGGGAGCCATGTCCCTCTTAAGAAAGCCAGAATTAATATATGAAATCAGCTGTCAACATTCACCTTAAAAAGCAGGCGGGAGATGATGTTGCCCAGGTAAAAATTGAGAGGAATAAATGGCAGAAATCAAATCAAGAACTGACTGAAACGAAAGCAAGAATCATGACAATAATCCCTCTCCACCTCAGTCTACATCGCCAAGGCTGAGACCTAATCAATGTCACTGCAGTATCTGGAAAAAACTATGGCAAGAGAGACGGCCTGTGTGCAACCCAAAGAATAGCAAGCAATCTGCCACGAGCCTCTACAATCACTGAGCTATCCCCATGCCCATACCTTCCTACAGATGTAAGGAAGTTCCTGGAAGCCTGAAGAATATACTCTCATTTCCTCAATATATCTTTGAGACAAGAAATATTGGTGGTCGGTCTACCTTGGCTGGAGATTGTGCAGCTATACTGGGTGCTAAGGAGCCAAAGGAAAGACACAGTCCCTGCCCTCCAGGAGGTCACAGGGTAGTGGGAAAGGTGGACAATTGAACAATGGTTAACACGCTGTGATGGTGCAACAACAGAGGTAGTATGAGGATGGCCATAAAGTGAGCGAGTGTTGGGCCGGGTGCGGTGGCTCACACCTGTAATCCCAGCACTTTGGGAGGCCGAGGCGGGTGGATCACAAGGTCAAGAGATTGAGACCATCCTGGCCAACATGGTGAAACCCCGTCTCTACTGAAAATACAAACATTAGCCGGGCATGGTGGCGGGTGCCTGTAGTCCCAGCTACTCGGGAGGCTGAGGCAGGAGAATCACTTGAACCCAGGAGGCGGAGGTTGCCGTGAGCCAAGATTGCACCACTGCACTCCAGCCTGGCAACAGTGAGACTCCATCTCGAAAAAAAAAAAAAAAAAAAAGAGCAAGTGTTAGGGGGCAAAAAAGAAGATGCCAAGCAGAGACTGTAAGCATGAGAGAGGGGGTGTCTGAGACACGGGGAACCACGTGCAAACCCCTGAATGTGTGAGTGTGTGGCAGAGACTGCCAGATGTTACCCAGCATCCATTCGCTATTTCTTCCTTGACCACCAACACCTCTGGTTTTTACTTTTGCACATGGCAACCTAAAATAGACTCCCTGAAATAAAAAAATTTCATAGCCTCTCTTATAGATAAATATGGCTGGGTGACTAATTCTGGCCAATGGAATGTAAGCAAGTGTGGCTTCCAGGAACTATCCTTAGAGGCAAGGTTATGCCTTTCCTTGTTCCTTCTTCCTCCTGGCTGAAATGTGGATGTGATGGCTGGAGCTTGAGCAGTCATTTTGGACCATAAAGTGGAAGTCATATGCTGAGAACGGCAAACCCACAAAGTAGAAAGAACTTGGATTCTGACACTGGAACACCATATTAAGTTTGGAATGTCTACTTTTGGACTTCTTTTGCATGAGAGAGAAATGCATTTTTTGTTTTGTTAAGCTAGTGTGGGGGGATGTGTGTTCCTGTCTCTTGCAGGAACAACTAGTACAGTGTGTACCCTGTTTGGGAATTGCAAGTAGTTCAGTATGGCTAGGATACAGAGAAAGAGCTGGAAGAGATCAGAGAAATGTAGACAGAGGCCAAGCCAGGGAGCTTAGGATTTCTTCAGTAGGTTATGGGGACCAGGAAAGGGTTTTAAGTAAGGAAGATCTAAACATGCTAGAGTTCTGAATTAGTGTTTTTAGAAAAAAGAAGACCACAAAGAAGCTCCTGTTGTCACCTAAGAAATAATGGAGTAAAGAAAAGAAGTTACAATTGTCGGCTGTAGATGTGAAGACTAATTGAATGTTGAGAGTGAGGGAAAAAGGGGACCAAGGGGACTCCTGGACCTCAGGCCATTTCCTGCATAAGAACAGAGAAAAAGGAACAACTGGTATATGCCTGTGGGAGTAAGGTGGGGTGGAAATTTGAAGTTCAAGGATGAGGGCTGGGCTCACTTGAGGTCAGGAGTTCAAGACCAGCCTGGCCAACATGGCGAAACCCTGTCTCTACCAAAAATACAAAAATTAGCCAGGCGTGGTGGCAAGCACCTGTAATCCCAGCTACTTGGAAGGCTGAGGCAGGCGAATAGCTTGAACTCAGGAGGCAGAGGTTGCAGTGAGCCAAGATCGTGCCACTGCACTCTAGCCTGGCGACAGAGCGAGACTCCGTCTTGAGAAAAAAAAAAAAAAAGAAGAAGTTCAAGGATGAGACTACTGGCCAGGAGTTCCCTGGCTGACAGGCCATAAGAACTAAGAACAGAACCCACATCTTGTAACTTTTAAGTACTGTCCTCCTTCCACTGGGAACGTTGTAACTTAACAACAGCCCTTCAGGTCTATAGTCCAAGGGCAGAGCAGGCTTCCTGCTAGATGGGGATTTGTAAGATAGACGTGACTGAGCTGGTGACAGGGAGGCCTGAGGACAGAGGGCCAGTACTCCCTATCCTCATCCACCCTATTCCCCTGAAAACAGCTGTTATATTAAAAGCAAAGTGTCTTTTCTTTAGCTATGCTTCTTTCTATGCAGAGTACTGATGCCAGGTGATATATACATACTCATGAGGAATAGCAATAACTGGGATTTTTAAAAAATGTCTCCCCCTGCTATAGCCCCTTTCCAGCAATTTTGAGTATGCAAAGCAGGAGGCCAGCAACTCCTGGCTCCCTGAGACTTTCCCAGCTGTGGCTTCACCGTCCTCAGAAATTCCAAGAGATGCACGAAGCTTTCTTCTTTACAATATGTGAAAACAACAGACACCATTTAATGATGCTTACTACATGCTAGGTACTGTCATACCTCAACTCAGTTTATCTTCACAACAGCCCTAGGAAGTAAGTGTTAATATGTTCATTTTATGATTAAAGAAATAGAGATGCTAAATGCTAAGTAACTTGTCCAAATTACACAGTCAGTAAGTAAGAGAGTCTGAATTGGATTCTTAGGTCTAGCTCCAGAGACCACACTTCTTTTTTTTTTTTTTTTTTGAGATGGAGTCTCGCTCTGTTGCCCAGGCTGGAGTGCAGTGGCACGATCTTGGCTCACTGCAACCTCCGCCACCCAGGTTCAAGTGATTCTCCTGCCTCAGCCTCCCAAGTAGCTGGTACGACAGACATGTGCCACCACACCCAGCTAATTTTTTGTATTTTTAGTAGAGATGGGGTTTCACTGTGTTAGCCAGGATGGTCTTGATCTCCTGACCTCGTGATCCACCTGCCTCGGCCTCCCAAAGTGTTGGGATTACAGGCATGAGCCACCACACCCGGCCCAGAGACCACACTTCTAACCTATGTGCTATAATGCCTCACATAATGTGGGCAGGGTAGGGTACCACAGCTCTTGGGGAAGGACGTCAGAGAACACTGGATAGGAGTATGGAGTGTCAGGAGAATTTGCTTCTTGCCTGAGTTGTAGTATGTCACAGCTGGATGATACTCAAGGTATTAAATTCAGACCCATCATTTTCCAGATGGGTAAACTGAGGCCCAGAGAGACAAGAGAATTGTCTAAGGCTACGATGAGTTTGTGGCACAGTTAGAACCAGAGCCCAGAGGCAGGCTCCTAACAGATATTCTTTCTGCTCCAGCAGGACTACACCCATAAAACCATCAGACATTCAAATAAGCAAGCACACCATGAGGGTCAGGTCACCCTCAGTCTTCCTGTATCCAATGGAAAAACAGCCATTCACTTGAGCTACTTGAGATGAATGAGACAGTAATCCATGAAAATAGAAACAGGTGAAGATGAATGATAGTTTTATCCAGAGAAGAGAAACAGAAAGTGGCTGGGGCTGGGATCTGGTTGAGGGATAAGGGAGAAGCCAGCAAGCACTCCCCTCCTGGAACTTTACACATGGCTCTGAACTCACCCACATTAACACCATCTATATGAAGTTCAAAGATTTTCTACCAAAAAAAAAAAAAAAAAAAAAGGTTGCCTTGCCAGGTGCAGTGGCTCACACCTGTAATCCCAGCACTTTGGGAAGCTGAGGTGGGCAGATCACTTGAGGTCAGGAGTTCGAGATCACCCTGGCCAACATAGTAAAACCTCGTCTCTACTAAAAATACAAAAATTAGCCAGGCGTGGTGGCGGGCACCTGAAATCTCAGCTACTCAGAAGGCTGAGGCAGGAGAATCGCTTGAACCCCGGAGGCAGAGGTTGCAGTGAGCCAAGATCGCACCACTGCACTCCAGCCTGGGTGACAGAGACTCTGTCTCCAAAAAAAAAAAAAAAAAAAAAAAAAAGAAAGAAAGAAAGAAAAGAAGATTGCCTTAAAACTGGATGGGGAATTGGAAGCATGGGTTCCAGTCCTGCTCTGTGTCTAACTCACTCCATGGTATTAGATGGACCATGTCACATCTCCTGGCCTCAGGTGCCTTATTTAGACATAACCACCTTGTAAGGCCCTGCTGAGGGGACCAGCTGTTCCTGGAAGAATAAAGCTGTTCTCAAACGCCTGTACTTACCTGCAGGGGGAGTGTGACCTGGGTTTGGAGATCCTCTTAGGGGGCAGGGGAGGAGTTCATGCTGAGAATAAGTCATTGGCAGAGCAGCAGAGCCCTGGGGAACATCTGCCAGGAAAAGGCTACACCAGGGCATGGAGTGCTGCTGCTCAAGACACTGTTTAAAGTAACCTTCTCAGTTAGAAAGTAACAAATACTCACTGGGGACAGTTAGAAAATGCAAGAATAGAAACACACACACACACACACACACACACACACGCACGCACGCACATCTTCAGATATTACCACTGTGCATATTTTGGACTTTTTTCTTCTCAAATCTGTTTTCCCTCTGTTATAGACTGAATTGTGTGCCCCCAGAATTCCTATGTTGAAGCCCTAATCCCTAATGTGACTAATACCCTGTTTGGAAATAGGGCTGTGAGGGAGGTAATTAGGATTAAATGTGTCATGTGGTGGGGCCCTAATCCAATGGGGCCAGTGTCCTTACAACAAGAAGAGACCCGCAGAGCTCTCTCTTTCCACCACGCACAGAGGAAAAGCCATGTGAAGACACAGCCTGAAGGCATCCTTTCTCTGATTCGGAGAACTAGTGACTGAGACTGTGTCTGCTGGCCCAAATCAAGAAGCCCCAGAACTCATGATTGCCATCATGATTAAATTTTAGCTCCAATTATGATATTAATAGACTGTATGGCAGGGGTTCCATCAAAATCACCCAGCTCACCATCGCTGGTTTTAGACCCGTTGTTGATGGAAATCTCGCCCACCTCCCACCCGCCCTGCCAACCCATCCAGATACCTGTCTTTCAGTATCTTGAGAAGAAAAGTTGGAGCTTCCAGAAAGCTTTGGTGATTTAAAGTGCTGGTGGCAAACACCTAGAACCAAATCCCACCTCTGTCGCTTACTTTCTGGGCTCCTGTGAGCAACTTAAACTCTGGGAGCCTGAGTTCTGAGGTAAAATGGTGGTTGGTGGTCATACCTCACAGGGTTTGCCATGAAGATCAAATGAGAGAAGGCATGTAAGACCCTTAGATGGTATATATAATATATTTAACAAATGGCATCAACTATTATTTCAAGATAAGCCCCACTGAGTAATCTGGAAATGTCCTGGTTGCAGTCCAGTCAGTGTGGACTGTTGCTAGGCATATAGGAAGTAGGTCTTCTCTCTCCAGCTAGCACAAAAGCTTCCAAGGAAGCCACTGGGTCTTCTTGTCCCATTGTCTCCTCTCTCAGGCCCACAGGGTACAGGAGGTACTGAGTTGAGTCTCACAGAAACCTTCTTACTCTTATAGTCAAAACTGCATTTATTTAAAGACCTGTCCATTTACATATATCATTTTTCCTGTTGACTCTCATAGCCACACCTGGCACAGAAGTGTCACATGCCTGACTAGGTCTGCTGGCCTGAAACCTAACAGTATGACACCATTCTCTATAAAAAGCCACCTTCTCAATAAGAAAAGTGCCTTTTTTGTTTTGCATGCCTTCATCATGGCCAAGGGAGGGGAGCTGAACAAATGTGGGTCCAGATGGCTTTAGAAGAGAGCTGCTAAAGCCAGGCGCAGTGGCTCATGCCTGTAATCCCAGCACTTTGGGAGGCTGAGGCAGGTGGATCACCTGAGGTCAGGAGTTTGAGACTAGTCTGGCAAACATGGCAAAACCCTGTCTCTACTAAAAATACAAAAAATTAGCTGGGCATGGTGGTGCATGCCTGTAATCTCAGCTACTTGGGAGACCGAGGCAGGGGAATCACTTGAACCCAGGAGGCAGAGCAGGGAGCCGAGAGTGCACCACTGCACTCCAGCCTGAGCGCAAGAGCAAAACTCTGTCTCAAAAAAAAAAAAAAAGAAAAAGAAGAGAGCTGCTGTCAGGAGACCTCTCCGTCTGGGAAAAGAACAAGCCACTCAGAGGCAGAATTCTACCAAAGCAACAGCTATTCTCTCAGTGACTTCTGGGTGCCAGATGTTCTCCTTGTGGAGTGGGGGTGGGGACCCCGTTTACTAATCCACAGAAACAGACACAAAATAGTTAGGATAACTGACCAGGACAAAAGATAGAGAAGACAGACCACCAGCTTTTTAGGATATCAAGGTAAGAAAGGGCAATGATAGAAAGTGTCCATCACAGTTCAGTACCACCACAAGTGCTGTCATGGAGCGGCCAGGACTCGAGTACGAAAGGAACAGCCAGATACTTAGTGTTGCTTACAGGAGGTGAGAAAAGAGAGCTGACTTGCCTAAGAAGCAGCAGGAAAGGCTCTCTTGAGGGTGGGTAGTGTATCCCGGGAAGTGGGCCACCTTCCTCGCAGCCCTGGCACAATGGTGCACAGAGATCTAGAAGTGTAATGGGAAAAAAATCTGCTTCAGTAGAAAGCCATGCATTTTCTGAGCACACTCTTCCTCCCTGTCAGATTCTGATTCCACGGGAGCTATTTCGCAACCCTTTGTGAATTGTAGGCAACTAATACATGTGCCTACTGGGCAGGATGCTGCCCAGGAGAGTTTCAATTGATTTCTCCCCTCCCCCTGCCTTATCTCACAGAAAAACTAGTTCAACTCCTTTACTCCAAATTTGTGTTGCTTTGACTTTTCCTTTGAACCAGTTGTAATATCTGCCTGGTTCCATCATACGAGTAAAATAAAATCTTCATGATGAATTCATTTTTAATATCTGTATGAGAGTCATCATCTTACCTTTTTTTCCCTAAAAATTATCCTTTAACAGAAGTTTTGCCTCCCTTCTGCTAGATGCCTCTCAAGTGGTCTCAAGCTGACTCACCTTCCCTGTTGGGATTTGGGAAGGTGGAGTCATTCGCAAACAGGCAGAGGCAGACATTCAGGTTTCAGTAGTGCCCATCGCTACTATTTACAAAGCACTTGCTGCATACCAGCCTCTGGGTGACATGCTCCACACATAGTAACTCCTTTGATCCTAAAAAAAAACCCTGGATAGTAACTATTCATATTTCTGTGTTACAAGTAAGGGAAATGAGGCTCAGAAAGGTAAAGTAAAGCAACTTGCTGAAGTCACTCACACAGGAAGTGTTGGGGGAGGGATCTGATCAAAGCCTGCCTGACTCCAGTACTCTTAATTCCCAGGCAACCTTACTTTGGCCTTAAATACAGTTTCAAATCTTTGCAGGACTGGGGTTTCGTTCTTCACAGTGAGGAAGACTGAATCATCACGAAGAAGTGCTCAGAGAGTAGGTAGCCTCCGCAGTCCAAGAGAGTGCTCAGGGAGGGCTCCTCCCCTCTCCCCTCTCCTCTTTGCTGCTGCCTGCTCACCTCCAGATCCTACCATCCATGTATCAAACAGAGATTGGTTTCTCTCTAAATTCATTCTCTTCAACCTCAAAGTAGCCCAGCATGGCCTGGAAATCCTACTCCATTCATCAGGTTTACTGACGGTCCCACTCACCTCAATGACAATTATAAATCTCTTTGTTCAAACCTTCTCTACTAAAACCTCTTTCCCCCTCAGCCTCCTTCTGACTTGGCCTTGCATGCCACTTTGCAGAGAAAATAGAAGCCCTCTCATCCTTCTAATACTGACTGCCTCCAGCTACACCACTCGCACCTTCTTCCCTCTGACTCCCGCCTGCTGGGGTTCATCCTCCACTACGCTTTGGCTCCACCACCATCATGTTGTGGGTAACTAATCATTTTCTCCTCTTTTTAGTATATTCACTTTCTCCCTCTATCAACTGGTTTCTCCCTGTTGATTTAAAAGAAAGCTTTTAAAATATACATAACATAAAATTGACCATTTTAGCAACTTTAAGTATTCAGCTTAGTACATTCCTATTGTTGTGTAACTATCACCACCATCTCCAGAACTTTTTCAGCTTCCCAAAATGAATCACAGTATTCATTAAACAACAATTCCACATTCCTTTCTCCTCCTAGCCCTTGGCAAACATCATTCTACTTTGTTTCTACTCCAGGTGTTCCATATAAAGTGGAATCATACAGTGTTTGTACTTCTGTGACTGTCTCCCCTACTGACATTTTTTCCAATTTAAAAATTGTATTAAAATACATATAACATAACATTGACTATCTTAACCATTTTTAAGTGTACAGTTCAGTGATATTAAGTACATTTGTATTGTTGTGCAACTATCACCACAAACCATCTCCAAAACTTTTTCAGTCTTGCAAAATTGAAACTCTATACTCATTAAACAGTAACTCCCCATTCCCCCTCCCACCTCACATTCCCTGGCAACCACATTCATATAGTATTTTGTGTGTGTGTGTGTGTGTGTGTGTGTGTGTGACTGGCTTATTTCACTTGGCATAATGTCTTCAGGGTTCATCCATGTTGTAGCCAATCTCGGTATTTTCTTCCTTTTTTAGAATAATATTTTATTGTATGTATAAACCAGCTTTTGTGTATCCATTCAACATCAACAGACACTTGGGTTCCTTCTGCAGTCCAGCTATTGTGAATAAGAGTAGTCTGAATATGGGGGTATGAATATCTCTTCAAGACCCTTCTTTCAATTTCTGTACATATACGCCAATAAATAAGATTATTAGATTACACGGTAATTCCATTTTTAAGTTTTTGAGGCACTGCCGTACTGTTTTCCACAGTGGCTGACCATTTTCCATTCCCATCAACAGTGCCCACGGATTCCGATTTCTGATCATAGAAGCCACCCTAATGGGGGTGAGGTGGTGCTGTGTTGTATTCTTGGGTTGCATTTCCCTAGCAAAAAAGAGTTGAGTCTCTTTTCATGTGCTTACTAACCATTTGTATATCTTGGAGAAACGTCCATTCAAGTCCTTTGCCTATTTTTAAATTGGGTAATTTGATTTTTTTTATTGTTGTTTGAAGAGTGTTCTATATATTCTGTACATTAATCCCTTATCAGATAGATGACTTGCAAATATTTTCTCCTATTATGTGTGGTGTCTTTTTACTCTGTTGAGAGTATCTTTTGATATACAATTATTTTTAATTTTCATAAAGTCCAACTTGTATATTTTTTCCTTTGTTACGTATGTATGCCTTTGGTGTAATAATGACGAAATCATTGCCAAATCTGATGTCATAAAGTTTTTGCCCTATGTTGTCTTCTAAGAGTTTTATAGTTTTTGGTCTACATTTAGGTCATAGATCCATTTTGAGTTAATTTTTATTTTTGGTGTTAGGTAAGGGTCCAACTTTATTCTTTTGCATGTGGATAGCCAGTTTTCCCAGTATCATTTCTTAAAAAGACTGTCTTTTCCTCATTGAACGATCCTGACACACTCATCAAAAATCATTTACACATATATACAAGACTTTATTTCTGGACTTTTATTCTATTCCAATGGTTTATATGTTTGTCTTTGTACCTCACTCTCTCGATTATTGTAACATATGTATTTTTTGAAATCAAGAAGTGAGAGAACTCCAGCTTTATTCTTATTTTTCAGGATTGTTTGGTTAATCGGGGTCCCTTGAGGTTTCATATAAATTTTAGGATAGCTTTTTCTATTTCTGCAAAAAAAGAAATATCTTTTGGATTTTCACAACGATTGCATTAAATCTGCATATCATATTCGGTATTATTGACATCTTAACAATACTTTTTTCAATCTGTGAACATGGGATGTCTTCCAGGTTTTTGTGTCTCCTTTAATTTCTTTCAGAACTATTTTGTAGTTTTCATTGTATAAGTCTTTCAACTCCTTGGTTAAATTCATTCCTAAGTATTTTATGCTTTTTTATGCTATTCTATTGTAAATGGAATTGTTTTTTAAATTTCCTTTCTAGATCATTCATTGTTATTGCACATAATAGAAAAAATGAATATTTTTTGGGTGTTGACTTCGGATCCTGCTACTTTATTGAATTTGCTTATTTATTCAATATTTTATTGTACTGTACCCATCCTTCTTCCTGTGATGAGGAAGGGACAAAGTAAGATGTGTAAGATTTCATCCCACTACTCAGAACAACGTGTCATTTAAAACTTCTGAATTGCTTATTTCTGGAATTTTTCATTTAGTATTTCCAGCCTGCAGCTGACCACAAATAAATGAAACTGCAGAGAGTGAAACCATGGATAAGGGGCTGACTTCTAATTTCAACTTCTAGCTGCCAAGTTACACAAGAAAGAAACTGAGCTGCACCTTTGGCCCCTCTCCCTTTACTTCTCACATCTAATGCGACATTAAAACCTGTTGACTGCAAATCGCAAGCAGCCCTTAAATACATTCTTTTCTCACATTCACCTTCACCCCTACTCTTGTGCAAGCTATCAGCGTATCTAACCCAGACTACTTGTAAGACCTTCCTAACTATGTGTCTTCATCTACTGCAGCCCCTCTGCTCAGATGAAAGCCAGTGATGGTTACAAAATGCAAATCTGATCATGCCATAAAGAAGATGTCTCACCCTGCTGGGTGAGGTGGCTCACGCCTGTAATCCCAGCACTTTGGGAGGCTGAGGCAGGTGGATCACCTGAGGTCAGGAGTTTGAGACTAACCTGGCCAACACAGTGAAACCTCGTCTCTGCTAAAAATACAAAAATTAGTCGGGCATGGTTGTGGGCGCCTGTAATCCCAGCTACTCGGGAGGCTGAGGCAGGGGAATCGCTTGAACCCAGGAGGTGGTGTTTGCAGTGAGCTGAGATCGCGCCACTGCACTCCAGCCCGGGTGACAGGCCAACCCCCCTACCCCCACTGAAAAAAGAAGATGCCTCGGTGCAGCACCATGGCTTGACTCCTTCTTGCTTTCAGCCTTGTCTCTCACCACATAGTCCCACATATACTCACCTCTTCCTGAGTCCTTCCAGTCCCCCATTTCCTTCCACACAAAACTGTACCCATGCTGTTGCCTCTTCCTGAAAAGCTCTTATCCCACCCTTTTCAACATCCACACATTCCTTCTACACAGCCAAGTACCACCTACTTAGGGATTCTGACCTCCTTGAATAGCTCAAATCTCCCCTTTCAGGGCTCTCCTAGTACCTTGACCACTCTCTTCTCTAGTTCTTTTTTGCAAATTTATTTATTTGTAAAACTATTTGATTGCATCATAAGAACAGAGGCTGAGCCTGTTTTGCTCACAATTGTACCCTCCCCTACCAATGTCTGCAAATATCAATAGTAAGTGCAGTTAACGTTTATTGATACATGTGCCAGGTATTGTTCTAAGTGCTTTGCACAGATTTTTCTTATTTACACCTCACAACAACCCTGTAAGGGAATTATTCTCCCTTTTTTAGAGAGAAGTAACTTGATGATCCTTCAGCTAGTAAGAGACAGAGCTGGATTTCAACCCCAAGCAGGCTAACTATAGAGTTTATGTACTGACTGCCACAGTCTACTCAATACTGAATACATTTGTTGAATGAATGAATTAATTAAGAGTAAATGAACATCTCTCCTGGATATTTAGGTAGCATCTTATATAGAAGTGGAGATGAGGTTTTAGTGCTCCCTAAAGTGCTCTCCAGCTCCAGGGTTCCTGACTAGGCATGAGAAGGGAAAGGGACAAAGCTGGTCCTAACCCTCTGTCTGAATTTCCACACTTGCCAGAGCACAAGCAGCCATGAAGGTCCAGCCTCATCTCTCTCTACGGGGCAAGGCCAGCCAATTCTTCTACACCTCCACCTCCAACTTAGCCAGGGGTATCTGAATGTCTCCCTCATTTCCTATGATCACGCCACTGCACTCCAGCCTGATCACTAATAGGGGAGTGATCATTACACTACTCTTGGAGTGGTGTAACGCCTCCCTCATTTCCTGTTCTCCTCTGTCTTGCCAATTCCACTTTCTGGAGTGCCCGGCTATTGCTATTTCCCCAAGTCCTGCCCATCTTTCAAAGTCTAGCTCAACTGTCATTTGCCCCAGAGAGCTTCTTGCTAGCCAGTCCATTCCTTTCAATCCTATCTCTTCTAGTAACAATAAAAGTAGGCCAGGCACGATGGCTCACGCCTGTAATACTAACACTTCAGGAGGCCAAGGTGGGTGGTTACTTGAGGTCAGGAGTTCAAGACCAGTTGGGCCAACATGGTGAAACCCCATCTCTACTAAAGATACAAAAATTAGCTGGGTATGGTGGTGCATGCCTGTAATCCCAGCTACTCAGGAGGCTGAGGCAAGAGGATCGCTTGAACCCAGGAAAAGGAGGTTGCAGTAAGCCAAGATCACACCACTGCACTCCAGCCTGGGTGACAGAGCGAAACTCCATCTCAAATAATAATAATAATAATAATAATAAAAGTAATACCAAAAGCCAAAATATAAATTTGAACAACAAACAGGCATTGGAAGCACCTAGAGGTGACTAGAAGATGTGACGGTGATAGAAAGTGATTTTCTTAAAAAAAAATTAAAAGGTATTAGAGGAAGAACAAAAAAACAAGATGGTGACCACTTACAAATAAGTTAAGTTCCTCAATTTCTATCCCGTTATAAAAATATTCTTATGATGGTCAAATAGGAACAGCTCTGGTCTGCAGCTCCCAGCGCGATCGACAAACAAGACGGGTGATTTCTGCTTTTCCAACTGACGTACCTGGTTCATATCATTGGGACTGGTTGGACAGTGGGTGCAACCCATGGAGGACGAGCCAAAGCAGGGTGGGGCATCACCTCACCCAGGAAGCGCAAGGGGTCAGGGGACTTCCCTTTCCTAGCCAAGGGAAGTCGTGACAGACGGTACCTGAAAAAATGGGACACTCCCGCCCAAACACTGCGCTTTTCCAACTGTCTTAAAAAATGGCACACCAGGAGATTATATCCTGTGCCTGGCTCAGCGGGTCCCAGGACCACGGAGCCTTGCTCACTGCTAGTGCAGCAGTCTGAGATCGACCTGCAAGACAGCAGCCTGGCGGGGGAGGGGCGTCTGCCATTGCTGAGGCTTGAGTAGGTAAACAAAGCAGCCCTGGAAGCTCGAAGTAGGTGGAGCCCACTGCAGGTCAGCCAGGCCTGCTGCCTCTGTAGACTCCACCTCTGGGGGCAGGGCATAGCTGAATAAAAGGCAGCAGAAACTTCTGCAGACTTAAACGTCCCTGTCTGACAGCTCTGAAGAGAGCAGTGGTTCTCCCAGCACGGTGTTTGAACTCGGAGAACGGACAGATTGCCTCTTCAAGTGGGTCCCTGAGCCCCGTGTAGCCTAACTGGGAGGCACCTCCCAGTAGGGGCCGACTGACACCTCATACAGGCAGTTGCCCCACTGGGACAAAGCTTCCAGAGGAAGAATGAGGCAGCAATATTTGCTGTTCTGCAGCCTCTGCTGGTGATACCCAGGCAAACAGGGTCTGGAGTGGACCTCCAGCAAACTCCAACAGACCTGCAGCTGAGGGACCTGACTGTTAGAAGGAAAACTAACAAACAGAAAGGAATAGCATCAACATCACCAGAAAGGACATCCACACCAAAACCATCATCAAAAACCAAAGGTAGATAAAACTACAAAGATGGGGAGAAACCAGAGCAGAAAAGCTGAAAATTCTAAAAACCAGAGTGCCTCTTTGCCTCCAAAGGATCGCAGCTCCTCGCCAGCAACAGAACAAAGCTGGACGGAGAATGACTTTCACGAGCTGACAGAAGTAGGCTTCAGAAGGTCAGTAATAACAAACTTCTCCAAGCTAAAGGAGGATGTTCAAACCCATGGCAAGGAAGCTAAATACCTTGAAAAAAGATTAGATGAATGGCTAACTAGAATAAACAGTATAGAGAAGACCTTAAATGACCTGATGGAGCTGAAAACCATGGCTTAAGAACTACGAGATGCATGCACAAGCTTCAATAGCCAATGCGATCAAGTGGAAGAAAGGGTATCAGTGATTGAAGATCAAATCAATGAAATAAAACAAAAAGAGAAGTTTAGAGAAAAAAGAGTAAAAAGAAACAAACAAAGCCTCCAAGAAATATGGGACTATGTGAAAAGACCAAATCTACGTTTCACTGGTGTACCTGAAAGTGACAGGGAAAATGGATCCAAGTTGGAAAACACTCTTCAGGATATTACCCAGGAGAACTTCCCCAACCTAGTAAGGCAGGCCAACATTCAAATTCAGGAAATACAGAGAACACCACAAAGATACTCCTCGAGAAGAGCAACCCCAAGACACATAATTGTCAGATTCACCAAGGTTGAAATGAAGGAAAAAATATTAAGGGCAGCCAGAGAGAAACATCAGGTTACCCACAAAGGGAAGCCCATCAGACTAACAGCAGATCTCTCAGCAGAAACTCTACAAGCCAGAAGAGAGTAGGGGCCAAGATTCAACTTTCTTAAAGAAAAGAATTTTCAACCCAGAATTTCATGTCCAGCCAAACTAACCTTCATATGTGAAGGAGAAATAAAATCCTTTACAGACAAGCAAATGCTGAGAGATTTTGTCACCACCAGGCCTGCCTTACAAGAGCTCCTGAAGGAAGCACTAAACATGGAAAGGAATAACTGGTACCAGCCACTGCAAAAACATGCTACATTGTAAAAACCATCAATGCTAGGAATAAACTACATCAGCTAATGGGCAAAATAACCAGCTAACATCATAATGACAGGATCAAATGCACACATAATATTAACCTTAAATGTAAATGGGCTAAATGCCCCAGTTGAAAGATACAGGCTGGCAAATTGGATAGAGTCAAGACCCATCAGTGTGCTGTATTCAGGAGACCCATCTCACATGCAGAGACACACATAGGCTCAAAATAAAGGGATGGAGGAAGATCTACCAAGCAAATGGAAAGCAAAAAAAAGCAGGGGTTGCAATCCTAGTCTCTGATAAAACAGACTTTAAACCAACAAAGATCAAAAGAGATAAAGAAGGCCATTACATAATGGTAAAGGGATCGATTGAACAAGAAGAGCTAACTATCCTAAATAAATATGCACCCAATACAGGAGCATCCAGATTCATAAAGCAAGTCCTCAGAGACCTACAAAGAGACTTAGACTCCCACACAATAATAATAGGAGACTTCAACACCCCACTGTCAATATTAGACGGATCAACGAGACAGAAACTTAACAAGGATATCCAGGACTTGAACTCAGCTCTGCACCAAGCAGACCTAATAGACATCTACAGAACTCTCCACCCCAAATCAACAGAATATACATTTGTCTCAGCACCACATCGCACTTATTGTAAAACTGACCACATAGTTGGAAGTAAAGCACTCCTCAGCAAACATAAAAGAAGAGAAATCATAACAAACTGTCTCTCAGACCACAGCGCAATCAAATTAGAACTCGGGATTAAGAAACTCACTCAAAACTGCACAACTACATGGAAACTGAACAACCTGCTCCTGAATGACTACTGGGGACATAACGAAATGAAGGCAGAAATAAAGATGTTCTTTGAAACCAATGAGAACAAAGACACAACATACCAGAATGTCTGGGACACATTTAAAGCCATGTGTAGAGGGAAATTTATAGCACTAAATGCCCACAAGAGAAAGCAGAAAAGATCTAAAATCAACACCCTAACATCACAATTAAAAGAACTAGAGAAGCAAGAGTAAACAAATTCAAAAGCTAGCAGAAGGCAAGAAATAACTAAGATCAGAGCAGAACTGAAGGAGATAGAGACACAAAAAACTCTTCAAAAAAATCAATGAATCCAGGAGCTGTTTTTTTTTTTTTGAAAAGATCAACAAAATTGATAAACCGCTAGCAAGACTAATAAAGAAGAAAAGAGAGAAGAATCAAATAGACGCAATAAAAAACGATAAATTGGGATATCACCACTGATCCCACAGAAATACAAACTACCATCAGAGAATACTATAAACACCTCTATGCAAATAAACTAGAAAATCTAGAAGAAATGGATAAATTCCTGGACACATACACCCTCCCAAGACTAAACCAGGAAGAAGTTGAATCTCTGAATAGACCAATAACAGGCTCTGAAATTGAGGCAATAACTAATAGCCTAACCAACCAAAAAAAGTCCAGGACCAGACGGATTCACAGCCAAATTCTAGCAGAGGTACAAACCTCTTTGTATCAATCCTTCTGAAACTATTCCAATCAATACAAAAAGAGGGAATCCTCCCTAATTCATTTTATGAGGCAAGTATCATCCTGATACCAAAGTCTAGCAGAGACAAAACAAAAAAAGAGAATTTTAGGCCAATATCCCTGATGAACATCGATGCAAAAATCCTCAATAAAATACTGGCAAACCAAATCCAGCAGTGCATCAAAAAGCTTATCCACCACGATTAAGTCAGCTTCATCCCTGGAATGCAAGGCTGGTTCAACATATGCAAATCAGTAAACATAATCCATCACATAAACAGAACAATGACAAAAACCACATGATTATCTCAATAGATGCAGAAAAGACCTTCAACAAAATACAACAGCCCTTCATGCTAAAAACTCTCAATGAACTAGGTATTGATGGAATGTATCTCAAAATAATAAAAGCTATTTATGACAAACCCACAGCCAATATCATACTGAATGGGCAAAAACTGAAGCATTCCCTTTGAAAACTAGCACAAGACAGGGATGCCCTCTCTTACCACTCCTATTCAACATAGTGTTGGAAGTTCTGGCCAGGGCAATCAGGCAAGAGAAAGAAATAAAGGGTATTCAATTAGGAAAAGAGGAAGTCGAACTGTCCCTGTTTGCAGATGACATGATTGTATATTTAGAAAAACCCATCATCTCAGCTCAAAATCTCCTCAAGCTGATAAGCAACTTCAGCAAAGTCTCAGGATACAAAATCAATGTGCAAACATCACAAGCATTCCTATACACCAATAACAGACAAACAGAGAGCCAAATCATGAGTGAACTCTCATTCACAATTGCTACAAAGAGAATAAAATACCTAGGCATCCAACTTACAAGGGATGTGAAGGTCCTCTTCAACAAGAACTACAAACCACTGCTCAACAAAATAAAAGAGGACACAAACAAATGGAAGAACATTCCATGCTCATGGTTAGGAAGAATCAATACTGTGGAAAGGGCCATACTGCCCAAGGTAATTTATAGATTCAATGCCATCCCCATCAAGCTACCAATGACATTCTTCACAGAATTGGAAAAAACTACTTTAAAGTTCATATGCAACCAAAAAAGAGCCTGCATTGCCAAGACAATCCTAATCCAAAAGAACAAAGCTGGAGGCATCATGCTACTTGACTTCAAACTATACTATAAGGCTACAGTAACCGAAACAGCATGGTACTGGTACCAAAACAGATATATAGACGAATAGAACAGAACAGAGGCCTCAGAAATAATACCACACATCTACAACCATCTGATCTTTGACAAACCTGACAAAAACAAGAAATGGGGAAAGGATTCCCTATTTAATAAATGGTGCTGGGAAAACTGGCTAGCCATATGTAGAAAGCTGAAACTGGATCCCTTCCTTACACCTTACACAAAAATTAATTCAAGGTGGATTAAAGACTTAAATGTTAGACCTAAAACCATAAAAACCCTGGAAGAAAACCTAAACAATACCATTCAGGACATAGGCATGGGCAAGGACTTCATGACTAAAACACCAAAAGCAATGGCAACAAAAGCCAAAATAGACAAATGGGATCTAATTAAACTAAAGAGCTTCTGCACAGCAAAAGAAACGACCATCAGAGTGAACAGCCAACCTAAAGAATGGGAGAAAATTTTTGTAACCTATCCATCTGACAAAGGGCTAATATCCAGAATCCACAAAGAATGTAAACAAATTTACAAGAAAAAAACAAACAACCCCATCAAAAAGTGGGCAAAAGATATAAACAAACACTTCTCAAAAGAAGACATTTATGCAGCCAACAGGCACATGAAAAAATGCTCATCATCACTGGTCATCAGAGAAATGCAAATCAAAACCATAATGAGATACCATCTCACACCAGTTAGAATGGCGATCATTAAAAAGTCAGGAAACAACAGATGCTGGAGAGGATGTGGAGAAACAGGAATGCTTTTACACTGTGGGTGGGAGTGTAAACTAGTTCAACCATTGTGGAAGACAGTATGGCAATTCCTCAAGGATCTAGAACTAGAAATACCATTTGACTCAGCCATCCCATTACTGGGTATATACCCAAAGGATTATAAATCATGCTGCTATAAAGACACATGCACACGTATGCTTATTGTGGCAGTATTCACAATAGCAAAGACTTGGAACCAACCCAAAGGTCCATCAATGATAGACTGGATTAAGAAAATGTGGCATGTATACACCATGGAATACTATGCAGCCATAAAAAAGGATGAGTTCATGTCCTTTGTGGGGACATGGATGAAGCTGGAAACCATCATGCTGAGCAAACTATCACAAGGACAGAAAACCAAACACCGCATGTTCTCACTCACAGGTGGGAGTTGAACAATGAGAACACTTGGATACAGGGCAGGGAACATCACACCCTGGGGCCTGTTGTGGGGTTGGGGGCAAGGGGAGGGATAGCATTAGGAGAAATACCTAATGTAAATGACGAGTTGATGGGTGCAGCAAACCAACATGGCACATGTATATCTATGTAACAAATCTGCACATTGTGCACATGTACCCTAGAACTTAAAGTATAATTTTAAAAAAAAGTTTCTTAAGGTTGTGGGCTTCAAATAGAAAGTGGGCTATGCAGGAAGCAGCTTCTGCCTAGCTGGTGAGTTCCTGAAAGTAAGGAAGTGAAGAGACAGATATAGGGAAGTGGAGCCCTAGTAGAGAAGGAAAGAAACACACATTCCACAGACACTGCTGAAAAGGCATTTCTGATCTGTTCCAGGATCCACCCCATGCCCAGGACTCCTAGGGAAGTATGCAGACTAAATACTGACATAAAAACCCCCAGAGCACATATGTTTATTCAGAAAAAGGCAAATGTTGGTGGTTGTGAGATGGGCAGGTTGCAGCCCTATTGTGCAATTTTTGATATTTTCATATATATGTGTAATACAGTTTTTCCCACTAATAAAATATACTAACAGAACCCTGTGGCAAGAATATTTCTCAAGTCTCCCTTAGTATTGAGAAATCGGCATGTGCTACCTGAAAATACTCCGGGAACCTAATTATCCAGGGGAATTTATGAAATAGTACATGAATTCTAGTGCCATATTACACATAATTACATGGTGACACTGTCTTATAGTAGTTGTATAGCATTTTACGGTTCATAAAGTGCTCTCCTGTGTATTGTTTCATTCACTTTTCACAACACTCCCCACTCTCCCCTGGATGTTCTGCGCTCTGCTGTCCCTCATGTAAACCTCCAGGTATGACCTTGCAGCAGCAAGGACAGCTCAACTCTACTTTCCTGGGTACCAGACACCTCCATTAGCAGACACTAATACTAAAGGGTTTTTCTTTAAATAAACACATCATCAGGTTGGGTCATGGAATCATTGTCTTCTTCTCCAGTGAGGAATCAGGAACTCAGGAAGATCAAGAGACTTAATTGGCAGCCTAGATATGCTCCCAGTAGATACATTCCACATTAGAGCCCACACTGTGGTCCTTCTCTTACTCCATAGCTGCACAGAAGAAATTTTACCTGAGAGTTCATCAGGCGAATGGTAGTTTTTGTGCCCACATCTTGTTGGAAGTTGGCTGTGGGTGCCCCATTAAACCTCAGGACTGCGTCATGATCATCTATAAACCACAAAGAAACAGAAAAGAGGTGATGAGCACTGGCAATATGCAGAAAAAGAGAAAGACGAGAGGCGGGGGAGGGGGCAAGGGAATAATGCTTCCCCATCTTTACCCCATCATGATCCACAGGGCGAAATGGCAGTATTTGTGTGGTGCTCAGGTAAAGCTCCTAGGCAGAGATGACCACCTGTCTGCCAGCCACTGTAAGGGCTGAAGGGGGCCATACTGTGGCATTCCTGAAACCCATTCAAAGACATTCGCTTGTGCCTGGGCACACAGAAAAGTGAACAAAGCCAGTGTGCTACTTACAGTGGAGTAGCTACTCCAGTTATCAAAGCAGCAAACCAGATATTCTCTTGGTATCACCAGTAGATTATATTTCTATCTCTGTCAGAAAAATGAAAACACTACCATATGTTCAGTGTATCCCACAAGTGCAAAGGACCCCATTGCACTTTGAAAAGCATGCAGTGCTCAGCAAATGGACAGGATTTAACTATGGCATCCAAGACAACCCCCAGGCGTTCCATTTAGGAACCTGAGGCCCAGGGAAGAGTCACAGAACTGGTGTGGCAGAAATGGAAGAGGAGGTCAGAGAGCTAAACTAACTTCCTTCCTCTCTCTCTTTTCCTTCCTTCCTTCCTTCTTTTCCTTCCTTCCTTCCCTCCCTCCTTCCTTCCCTCCCTCCCTCTCTCTCTCTCTCTCTCTCTCTCTTTCTTTGTAAGCCATTGTCAGAAACAATGTACTAAATCCAGTCAAAATCAAACAGGCCATCTTGAAAAACCTAAAAGCTTCCTGGGCTAGCTCCTTGTCTTTGCAACTGTTTAAGCAGTGTTTGGAAGACTTGGAAAAGTTTCTCTACCCCACGTTGACCTATCTGATGAAGGAGGGAACTGAAGACTTTAAGGAGCCATCCAAATCCTGTGATCCTATGAGAACTTCTTTCAATCTTACTCGGTCAAGCAAGTTTGGGGCTCACCACTGAAATCTACACGGGATCTGGGGGTCAGCTGAATCCTCTATTGTCCTATTCAGGTTTGTTTTGGATCATTCTTTATCCACACAGGATTTGGGGAAGTGAGGGCATTTGACTGAACACAAGATGATTTAGAAAGAGGATATCCACAGAATTAAGGATGAAAGCCTCTCTCTTTATTTCAGTTCCAATGTATGTACTAAACCTCAGGAACACAGAAACATCATTCATGAAAACAACACAACCCTATCCTCAATCCTAGGGCAAAATTTCATCAAAATGGTTTGAAAATTATCTGAGAAGGGCACAGTCCAAACTGTTATCATCTTACAGGGCAGGTACACTGAAGTGCACATAGGGCAGGAGGTATATCTTTACACAACTCAGAATTACAACACATTTTGTCAGAATCAGTCACTGGTTCGAAAGGGATTAGTAGTAATTGCATGAGAAACACAGATCCATCAGAAACTTCAGTTAGTCAACTTTTCCATTTCACAGATGAATAAATTATTGGTGAGAATCCCAGTAGAAAAGAGATGAGAAGCTCCAATGGAGTAATTGAGAGATTCATAAAAGGACTACTTACCAAGTTGGGGTAGAGTTTAAAGAAATCAACACGGAATAGGCTAAAGCCCCAGGGTTGATGACTGCAGGGTGTCATTACCACCCCAGGTCTACTGTGGCCTGATGAGCGGAGACCCTGAGCTGAGGAGGGACACCTGTCGGGAGCTGTTGCCTTTAGGAGAGGAACACAGCTATTGCCAACCTCCGGGCAAGAAGGAGCCTGAGGGAGTCAATATCCCAACCTGGTTCTGCCCCTTCCCTTGGATCTCATAGAACTGAAGGGAAAAGGGACAGAGCAGGACCAAGACTGGGACGGCCTCCTGGCAGGATCTGAGACCTTCAGTCAAGAGAAAGATACAGCTTGAGTTTACTCTGCAAGGCGAAACATGGCGGAATAGGTGCCCTGACCTTAGTCTTCTTCTCAGCTTTAATGCCACTGCTTCTCCTGGCCAGTCCCAGAGAAAATCCAGAGAGTGAGAAATGCCAATTAACGCAGTTCAAAATTTTAATTTCTCAGCTGGGCGCAGTAGCTCACGCCTGTAATCCCAGTACTTTGGGAGGCCGAGGCGGGTGGATCACCTGAAGTCAGGAGTTCGACATCAGCCTGACCAACATGGTGAAACCCCATCTCTACTAAATATACAAAAATTAGCTGGGCGTGGTGGCACGCACCTGTAATCCTAGCTACTCTGGAGGCTGAGGCAGGAGAATCGCTTGAACCCAGGAGGCGGGGGTTAGCGTGAGCCGAGATTGTGCCACTGCACTCCAGCCTGGGCAACAGAACAAGACTCATTCTCAAAAAAAAAAAAAAAAAAAAAAAAAAAATTCAATTTCTCAGGGACAGAGCCAGATGGAAAAGGGTGAGAGTGGGATTTGGAGGTGCCACTGGAGAACATCCAGCACAGAAGGCTTAGGTTAGAACAGATGCTTGATGTTGACCATAAGAAAGGAGAATTGTTTTGTTCAGTCAACAAATACTGATTGAGCACCTACTCTATGCCAGGCACAGTTTTAGACACGGGAGACGACGCCTGTGAGCAACAAAGACAAGGTCCATGCCCTCAGAGATATTACATTCTACTGCACGGACATAGACAGTAAAGACGGACAACAACCTACATATAAGATAATTTCGGATTGTGACAAACACTGTGACACTAACAAGCTGAGCTGTGTGCCAGAGACACTGAGGGAATTTCCTTCATAGAGTGATGATTCAGGGAATGCCTTGGAGCTGAGACCCAAAGGATGGCCAGCCTTGGGAAGGGTTCAGAGAAGTCCACCAGTCAGAGGATGCAGCAAGTGTCAGGACCACAATGAGGGCAGGGACTTGACTGTAGACAAGGAGTGAGGGGAAGAAAAATCAAAGATACAGTTACAGAGGTTGGCAGGAACCAGATCATACACGGACATGGGGGCCCAGGTATGAAGTTTGGACGTGATTCTAAGAAAAAAGCCAATCAGGCTGGGCACGGTGGCTCACACCTGTAATCCCAGCACTTTGGGAGGCCAAGGTGGGCAGATCACGAGGTCAGGAGATCGAGACCATCCTGGCTAACACAGTGAAACCTCGTCTCTACTAAAAATACAAAAAAATTAGCCGAGTATGGTGGCAGGCGCCTGTAATCCCAGCTACTCGGGAGGCTGAGGTAGGAGAATGGTGTGAACCCAGGAGGTGGAGCTTGCAGTGAGCCAAGATCACGCCACTGCACTCCAGCCTGGGCAACAGAGCAAGACTCTGTCTCAAAAAAAAAAAAAAGAAAGGAAAAGAAAAAAGCCAATCAAAGGAGAAAACTTTTTTGAGGAGATGGATATTCTAATTACCCAATCTGATCATTGCGCATTGTATGCATGTACCAAAATATCACATGTACCCCATAAATATGTACAATTATTATATATCAAATTTTTAAAAAGAAAACTTTAAACTGACTTGGGTACTTAAAGAGAAAAAAATCCTGTTTGTCAAACCTCCCTGCTAATTGAAAGTTGAACTTTCAAACTCAAATAGGCCTCTAAGAAATCACCAAGAGAAATCCACAACTACTGAGATCCCAGCAAACAAGCCTAGCGAGGGGGAAAGGCTGCAGAAAAAAGAAACTACCACCTCTCTGTAACTTAGAATTAGAGCTCAGAAAAAGAGGCAAATTAGGAGAAGAAAAAATAAATGCATCACTGTATTCAGATTATACAATCACACGCTTAGAAAATTCAACAGAATCAGCTCAAGTTAGTAAATTCATAAATACATCAAAATCCACTGCCTCTAGGTGTAGTTAACTCTAAATAGCTAGAAATTATTATGAAAGAAATTTTATCACAATTTATCACCAAACGCTTTTATATTTTCAAGTTAGCCTAATACATCCTACAACCATTTATGGAAAATTACATTCTGAGTCCGGTTGAAGAAAACAGACATACTATAGATCAGAGTTAAAAAAAAAAAAAACTATGACTTGGCCGGGCGCGGTGGCTCACACCTGTAATCCCAGCACTTTGGGAGGCCGAGGTGGGCGGATCATGAGATCAGGAGATCGAGACCATCCTGGCTAACACGGTGAAACCCTGTCTCTACTAAAAATACAAAAAATTAGCCAGGCGTGGTGGCAGGCACCTGTAGTCCCAGCTACTCGGGAGGCTGAGGCAGGAGAATGGCATGAACCTGGGAGGCGGAGCTTGCAGTGAGCCGAGATCATGCCACTGCACTCCAGCCTGGGCAACAGAGCAAGACTCCGTCAAAAACAAAACAAAACACTATGACTTGAAGGACAAATCTGGTGCATCCCTCATTTTGTAAATAAAGTTTTGTTGGAACATAGCCAGGCCTGTTCATTTACTACTATCTATTGTTACTTCTGCAGTACAACAGCAGAGTTGAGTAGTTGTGACAGACATCATGGCCCTCAAAGCCAAAACTATTTACTATCCGGCCTTTTAAGAAAAGCTTGCTGACCCCTGATATAACTGATCATGTTCTCCAAGCTACTCAGTTCACAGGTGTCTTCTCAGTCCTTATTCTGCCCAAGAATATGTCCCACCTCTGCAGACTTTGATACCAACAGCCAACATCCCTCAAACTCCATCCCCCTTTGCCTTCCATTGTATGGTGCACACCTAGTTCTCCTCTAGCCGGTCTCTGACCCTTCTGACTTTTCCCTGTTCTTTTCTTTGTCCTTTAAATGTAAATCTTTTTCTAGATTTTCTAATTGGTCTTCTTCCCTGGATTATAACCATTATCTCACCTTGATACAAATGACTTGTAAATCTATCTCGATATCTGATCCTTCTCTAGAATTAAGTACTCAACAGCATAGATATCTACCCAGGGAAATCCACACACACTTCAGTCTCAGAACATCCAAAGTGGAATCTGCGTTCCTCTGGAAGCATGCTCCCCTTGGTAAGATACAGCCTGCTCCCAGGCTAGACATCCTGGCTCCTGCCTCTCACTCAAGATCATTTCCAGCTAGATAGTAAGTTCTGCCTCTTACTTCATGAGCCCTCTCAGGTAAGGTCCTTTCTCTTCATCACTGCTACCACAGCCTGGGCAGGCCTGGCACTTCTGACCTGGTTGTGGCAATAGTCCCTAATAATGGAGACATTATAGAGTACAAAACAGGGACTCATAGAGAAGTGAGAAGTCTCCCTTGTTCAAAAACCTCCTAGGGCTCTCCATGGCTTAAAGAATGAAACCTAAAGTCCTTATTGTGACTATCAACGTTCTCTAAGAGCTAATGCCTAGCTACCTTTCTGGCCTCGTTCCTCACCCATCTTCACCCACAAGGACCCACATGCCGTCCAAACAGGATTATTTGTGATGCCCAAACACACTTTTCCCCGTGCAGCCTTTGCTTCTTGCCTTTGCCTTAACTCAGAATACCCTTCTCTTTCTCTCTAGGACAGCTAATAGACAAGAATAGAAGAAAATTTTTAACATAATAAAAGAATAATCACACCGAATTTTATTATGAAGCTACAATTATTATGAGGCACAACAGCAGAGGTGCCAAGAGTGGGGTCTTTGAAGCAAGCACTCTGCTTTCAAACCTCAGTCTGCTATTAGCCAGTTGTGTGACCACTTGAGCCTCCGCATTTAGCTCTCCAGCAAAATGAGACCAATAATCTTATCAACCTCACAGGACTTCTGGGAGGATGAAAAGAGCAAGGCATGTTAGGAACTCAGCAGATGCATAATAAGCATCACTTGTATTGATGATAGTGTTTTAAAATTATGCTACTGTTTGACATGAAAATTCCAGCAAATCTAGGATACTTAACATGTATGAGTAAACTATCAAAAATAATTGAAAATGACTGAGCCCACCATTGGCTGGTTTGTGAGACTGCTGGAGGCAGAGTATGTTATTACACTCTCTCTGATAGAAAATCTTGCTATGGACAAAAAAAAAAAAGTCATAAAATGTCTCTTACTCGTGTCTTCTAGCCTCACTTCTGAGGATATTTCCCTGTTGAATGTCAATAGTGGTTACCTAAGTTATCTGCACAAAAACCTTGTCAGCAATGTTATTTGTAAAAGAAAACCATTTGAAATAATCTGATCCATCCAGTAGTTGGGAAGAGACTCAACAAATTCCAGATGCAGGAGGAAGTGTATGGGCCTGGCACGCTGCCTGCAACTCGGGCTTCAACAAAGGGCCTTTCCCTTCCCTTTCCCCTTTGTATTGTTGATGAATCCATGAATAAATAAAAGAATATATGAATGTCTTAAAATATTTGTTAGACAAAATGCCAAGAGGATATATACCCCATAACAGCAGAACATTCGAAGTCTAACATGCAATTTTGATTACATCTCAGGATCAAAGTCCTTCTGTGGAAATCCTTATTTTGAAGTTGAAACTGCAATCTATAGAAAAATATTATTTGTATTAATGTTTACTTAAATCACCCCAAATCTTTAAGGAGTGCATAAAATTAAAGCTGTAGTTCTAATTAACAGAGCTATCAGGCCCTGTCTCAAACTTCAGTACAATTTCAGCCAGGCACGCAATATTAACTTGACATGAAGAAGAAGGATCAGCTAATACCTAGGATATCCCAAACATTTGCTACATAAGCAGCAAAAATGGAGAAGAAAGAAACTTAGCTCCATTATGGATGAACAAAAACCAATCACATTTAGTTTCTTGAAAACAAAGTCCAAGAAAAACCAAAAATACAAAAGCAGAAGTTGAGGTGGGGCCGGCCAGCGGGGCAGCTGCCTATTTGGGGAGGTAGAAACTGTGATCTCACCATTTCTTTCTGCTCTAGAGAATCCAGTTTGGGCCTACTTTTCTTTGAGAGCCTGTGCTGGGTTTCAGACCATTTTTCCTGGCAGTCAAATGAAGGAAATAAAAAAGGAGACGTATGACCTCACCTGCTCCAGTACCTCCAGGCTGACAGAGGAGCAAAGCTTCCTGTGCTTTGCTTTCTTTAGCTGATTCATTTCAAATAATGGAAAACACATTCAGCATAAGAGAAATAAGGCTCTCTGTTACACAGGTTTACAAATATAGACAGACTTTCTATCTTGATTCACTACAAAGGGTTTCAAGAAAAGCAAATTAATATGTTGTGACCAGTGACTCTGAAACTTTTTTGGGTCACAGATCCCTTAGAGAATAAACTGCAGTCTACAAACTCCCTTCCTGGAAAAATGCACGGACACACTTATACGCATACACATACATTCTACACACCTAATCCACAGACAGTTTTGCACGCAATTGCAGGGATTCATGACCCTCTGAAGTTGGTCCATAGCCCCCAGTTAAGAATTACTGACCCAATTAAATCTTTTCAAAGAGAAAAGCTGAAAATTACCCAGGTTGTTGAGGCCAATAGAGTCCTCCACTAATCAGGAAAAACAACAGAATTTCAGAACCTGGAAATGATGTGCAGATCTATGCTTCAAGTCTTTTCAAAGGTCAATTGTAGGCTTTTGATTATTGGTAGCAGCGGAACTCTCTTTTTCAAATGAAATCTTCTACACAATTCCAATATTTAAAACAGATGAAAATAAAACTATTCTGTTCCCAACACAAAGAAACAATAAATGTTCAAGGTGATAGATATTCTAATTACCCTGATTGGATCATTACACATTGAATACACGTATCAAAATATCCCCATAAATATATCTAATTATTATATATCAACTAAAAATATTAGGAAACAATAATGAAGCTCTTCTAATTGATAAAAGATGCGGGGGCCTAGAGCGCCATCTGTTCAACTCCCTCTGTGTCACTTGTGACTCTGAAAAAAACACTGCCCTGGGCCCACTCCACTGGTCCGCTGAGCCACACTTGGGCCACTTGTCTCCCATACCATCAATATGCCCAGCCAGTCCCAATAAGCACTGCCATTCACAGAACAACCCCAGAACATACCGATTTCTCTGCCTAGTTGGGAGGACTTCAGAGATCCCGCTGACGACACAACAGCACACCTGCCCCAAGGCCCAGCCTTGGTCCTAATGCTCTCCTTGGGCAGATAACCCTCCCATTCAGAGGTATTGAAGGGAAAATCTGTGACCTCTACCATGGATACATTCACATGGTCCCGGAGGTGGCAGCGCAGGGCCTCTGCACTGAACTTGATGCCTGGTCCTGGCCCCTTGTAGGACACTTTGTACTTGTTCATGCTTAGGTAATTCTTCCAGATCTTTTGCAGCCTAGGGATAAGGTTTTTGGAAGAGCTGTCCTTGTTCCACACCTGGAAGGAGGCCTCTGGTTTGGCCTTGGCTAGGCCTCTGAGACTGCCGAGGGTCTGGCGGCCCCTGTGGGGGTCCTGGGTGCTGCTTGAGGATACAGACTGGGAATCAGACCCCATGGCCAATTTCCCCAGACTCTTTAACACCTGGAATTCCTTGGTTTGCAATTTAAAGGAATCATAGTAACTCCCTTTCTTCTTTTCCTTCCACACACAGATGACTGCAAACAGAAGAAAGACCAGGACGCAGCAGCTGAACTTTTTCTTCAGGTTGGTGTGAATCATAATGAAGATGTGTTCAGGGAAGTCACTTTGTTCTGAGCAGGAAAACAAGCCTAAAAAAAGTGAGACAAGGAAAAACAAATGATGTAAAGAAAAACCCAATGTGGCATGAGGCGGAGCGATGGACTGAGCAATAGATTTGAAATGAGGTGACTTGAATTCCAGCCCTGGTCTACCTCCTGGCCACCTCTGCAGCCTGTTAAGCAATTCTCGACAAAAGTCAGACTCAATTTGGGCTTTGAACGTGGACAGCAGTCCCTCTTCCTCTTCCACTCTTCCACTCCCTTCTTCCTCTTGAGCCATGAACACTTTATATGTCCTCCCATCATTACTTTTTCTATGCTGAATATTAGTTTCTGGTTGCCTTGGTCTACCTCTCTGACTGCACTCTGAGTTTCTTGAAGTCAGAAACCACATCTTGCAAATCACTCAGTTCCTAGGGCCTTGTAACATTTGTTAAATGAAGCCATGCATGCTTGAAAAAAAAATAGAATAAAAAAAAGCAGGCTGACTGTTTTACATCACCAGACCTAAACTTCCTAAAATAGTAAGTGGCCCAACACCCCTTCAAAATGGCCAGAAAAAGACTTCTCGTTATAGATGATGCCATAGATTTCTGATGTATCTCTCTAAGGGCTGCGATGCTGGACTCCTGCATGAGAAGATCGAGGGTTATCTCCACCACAGTTTTGTGCAGTGCCCTGCAAGAAGAGCACTGCTGAGACAGGAAGCTGACTCACCTCATGATAGAGGCTAGGAATTCTGGGTAAGATAGCAGACATGTAGCCAACTAAGGAAATGGAAACAAAAATTCATTAAGCACGCTAGATGTTATTTCACTTAACTTCACCATAACCAGGGCCACCATGAGACACAACTCTGGGGGCACCACGCATAGCATAGTCTAATACGAAGGGCATCTCCTAACCTGTACAGGGTTCACTTCAAAGGTGTTATAATCTCCATTTTATGGATTAGCAACCTGAGGCTCTAAGAAGTCAAGGGAAGTGCCCAAGCTCACAGAGCTGAGGAAATGGTTGCACTGAGGTTCAAATCGAAGTGGATTTGATTCCATAACCCATGTCCTTTCCAGTACAACATGCACAGAACTGCAAGAAGCTCTGGAAAATAGATTTCACTGAGCAAATAGAGACTGAATAGTCTCTTTATTTCTGAGTAAACACCTACTTTGTTTTCTCAGAATTTATTGTGTAACTGAATGGAAACTGGAAGCACTTTGAACTCAAATAATGTCTGTATCTTTTGGAAAACATTACATTCTTTCCCCAATCACTGGGTTTATTTACAATAATAAATCAAAGCAATCACCTCCGGGGTTTTGCTAACCCACTAGGGGTCTGAGGTCCCTTCCCATGGATCCCGCTCCTAAGGATATCAGGAAAAGGTAGTAGGAGTACTGGACTGGGTGTTCACAAAACCTGGGTTCTTATCCCCATTCTTGGTGACCTTGGGCAGGTCACTTAATATTTCTGCCCCTGAGTTTTTCAGAATAATTATCTCTGCCCTATGTGATTTGCAGAGTGTTGGGAGGGCAAAACAAGAGCATGGTATTCATTGGATTTGAACTAGATAAGCAAAAAGGCACAGAAGGTATTCTGAACAGAGACAGGAGAGCAGCAGCTCAGCCTGGGGGCCATGTGGAGGTGATACGGGTAGTGAAGACAGCAGTGTGAAGCCACAGCCATGACTCAGCAGCCCTGAGCTCCAGGCTCTTCCCTGGGAATTCTCCATGAACTGACATCCAGCTCATTCCTGGAATCCATTGGCAGTACCAACCAAAGCAGTGCTTCCACCATCCCAGACCTCAGGAACCAGTGACTCTGGGAACGATGGGCTCCTATCTTGGGCTGCTGAAGTTGTGGAAATGATTAAATGTACACAGTGGAAGAAGAATTCAGATAGAAGATCATGAAGTGAAGGGTGGAAGCTTGTTGTATTACCAGAAACTAAGGAATTCAATTTCCGCAGACACCCAACACAGGTAATCACATGACCATATGACAACTGAAGAAGAACTAGAGAAAAGAAGGAAAGTAGCATTTAAGGAGGGCCTACTACGTGGTAGTCACTTTCCTTGCAATATCTCATTGAACCTTTACTACAACACTATGATAGAGATATTGACAATCCTATTTTAGGAAATGGAAAAAACTGAGACTTAGCAAGGTTATAGGGTTTCTCCAATGTCAACAGCAAGTCAGTTCTAGAACCAGAATTCCAGCCCAGGTCTGTCTGACTCTAAAAGTTCATCATCTTTCCACCCAAGGACATGCATCTGTGATAAGGGACAGTGAGAAGTCAGTGTGATCAAGTCGGACTCAAGGTCACTAGAGAGGCAACTTCGTCTGTCAGACAGTCGCAGACAAGCCACCTTCACCATCAGTGCTGCACCTGCCATCCCTGCTGTGCACTGAGTGGTAACACTCAGGTACTTTCCGTATTGGTAAGGTTTTACAGACCTATTATACTCCCGTGAGATAAGCACAGCAGATTTTATGAGCTCCATTTATAGCTGAGTATAGTGAGGTTTGGAAATACAAATAATTTTCAAAGTTGCATGAGTGATTTGGAAATAGTGGACTTAGAACCTGACTTTCACATGTCTGAATGAAACAAGATGGCAGGAAGGGCCTGATTCACTGTCACAGGAGTGGAGGCTCAGGCAGCAGCTGCCCAGTACCTACTCTCCAAGGTGTGGTTTCCCAGGAAAGAAGAGTTCCTCCAAACAGCTGGGTCTAGCGACAGTCTTGCAACCATCAGACAGCCTCAGCCTTCACAGCCTGTGCTCTGTCATGGCCTCAGGGCACTCATCTGAAATCTCACATAAGGGCTCATGTGGTCCCTTGACACCACCCTTGGTTGAGGCTCCAAGTCCACCAGGTGGCTGGAGTTTCTGGTCACAGGCACTTATAACTGCAAGACCCTTTCTCATCTCTCAAATTGTCTGAAGAAGGCAGAGGCTGAAGAAACTTTCTCTAAATGGCGCAACCGAGGGAAAAGAGTAGCAAACTTTTCTCTACAAATGTTTTGGAAAAACACACTAAGCTTTGAATTTTCCAATTACACCAGACTGTGTTAAGCCTCCAGGTGTCTGCACTGCTGCACTCTTTCTCCTTGTCCATGTGCCTGCCAGCTCTGACAGCATCACCTTTCTGCTTCTGAAGGTCAGTGGAGGCCACCTCCCCTTCCGCACTATCCCTGCTCCCCTTTGCTGCCAGCCAGTGCTTTGTAATGCTTGCTTTTCATGCCTGACTTTGCTGCTCAAGGAAAACTCCTCCTGGTATCCTTTCTGAAACCCTAGTACCCAGCACAGTGCCTGGACCAGAGCGGATACTCAATGAAAGATTATTGAACTGATGCAATTGTATCAGAGAATCTTTACAATCATCACGAGGCTTCTAGAGGAAGAACACAGCGACTTGCATCATCACCTTCAAAGAACTGGCCAACACTGAACCGGCAGAAATCAATGCTCAAAGCAAGGAAATCCTGTCCCGACCCACCCGTCATGACATACTCAGTACCAGTTGCATTCGTGGCAGGTAGTAGGTACTCAGAATGGTTGACTGAAATACAGAATAACTTAAATCTTATATAGTTAATAGAAATGGACAAGCCATTTCTCTACACCCCCCAATGAAACCCACATTGAATCAGCAGTTAAAGAGGACTAAAAAATACATACAAAAAGAAAACAGCAAAGCTGGAGCCAGATACTGAGATCCTGAGATTCCCTGCCAGGACATCTGCCACACCAGCTTTTACTCAGGAATGTACCCCTTTGCTAGCCCATGCCTCTGTGTGTTCCTTACCTGCTTCTGGCTAATCCCCCAGGGGCGGCAGGCCCTTCAGGTCCTCAGGAATTAGCACTATTATCCATGGGAGGGAAGGTTTATTGGGTCTGCAGGCCAAGGCCCATTTTTCTCAGGATGATCAAAACTCATCTGCAAAGGCAAAAAATAAGAGACAGAAAGAGAGGAGGTGAGAGCTGTTTTCCAGCAGAGGCAGTGTTAAACATTAACAAGATGGAAAGGTGCTTATGCAGACCTAGGCTAGGTCTCAATCCAGGAAGCCTCCAGGGCTCAGGAAAAAGAGAGAGAGAAAAGCCTATTAAAGGTGCAATGCTCTGGATCTGTGAACAGCACAGATAGCCTAGAAATAGACTTGACACTAGCCGGGTGTGGTGGCTCACACCTGTAATCCCAGCACTTTGGGAGGCCGAGGCAGGCGGATCAGGATCATGAGGACAGGAGATCAAGACCATCTTGGCTAACACGGTGAAACTCCATCTCTACTAAAATACAAAAAAAAAATTAGCCAGGCATGATGGCGCACACCGGTAGTCCCAGCTACAAGGGAGGCTGAGGCAGGAGAATTGCTTGAACCCGGGAGGCGGAGGTTGCAGTGAGCCGAGATCACGCCACTGCACTCCAGCCTGGGCAACAGAGAGAGACTCTGTCTCAAAAGAAAAAAAAAAAAAAAAAAAAAGAAATAGACTTGACACCAGATAAGAATGGGCTAGAAAGCTAAAGCGGCCACCATGGACCAACCTGGGAAGAACAGGTTGTTTAATTGCTGGCTTGGAGGTAAACAGGGAGTAATTAGGTCCATCCTGAAATAAACTTCATACAGATTTTCAAAAAATTATTTATTTTCAAAGAATATTTAATAATATGTGAAAGTTCAATCAGTATAATTGTAACTGAAAAAATACGTTATAAAACGGTAAACACTATCCAAATTCAGAAAAAAAATACATTTAAAAAAACGTGAAAAAGTACTAGGAAAAAGTACTAGAAAAAAGTACACCCAGAATGGTAATAATAGATGTTTTCATCTTTTATAATTTTACATATATTCCAAAATTTCTAAAATGTACATCCATTATTCTTTGACTTTGAAAAAATGTACAAAAGTATAAAAATGTAATTTTAAAAAGCTAAAAATAAGCCAGGCGTGCATGCCTGTAGTCCCAGTTACTCAGGAGGTTGAGGAGGGAGGATCATTTGAGCCCAGGAGTTAGAGGCTGCAGTGAGCTATGAGCGCCACTGCACTCCAGCCTAGGTGACAGAGTGAACCTGTCTCTAAACAAACCAACAAAAAACAGCTAAAAATATAAATATATACCTGTCAGCTCTTTCTTCTTTTGATGCGATGTAGGAAAATAGCAAAGGAAAAGTTTAATACATTCAGTTGCAAGAAAATTTCAACATCTATACAATGAAAAATACTGTAACTACAATAAAAAGGAAAAGTCAAAATATAAAAAGGGTTAATATAATAAAAGTCTCCCAAAATAAAGAGGTAATCAACATGAACAGACTAATCACAAAATAAAAAGCACAATTAACAAGCATATAAAGTTATGGTTAATCATGAGAGAAACCCAAGAGGGGCAACTAGAATACTGAGAAACTAGTTTATAGAATTTACATTCGTCCGCAGTTTTCTACATGATAATACTCATTGCTGGACAGATTATAATTAAATCGATATATATTCAAAGGATCATATAAATTAATGTAACCTTTCTAGAATGTATTCAGGCCATAGAATTAAGAGCTTCTGACCATGGACCAGGCTACTGTACTTCTAGGAAATAAGAGTGAATAAATAAATAATTCATAAATAATTCAAAAGATTACATACTCCAGTTTCCCCACATGTAAAATGATTCTCTACATTACATAGTTCTGATGACAAATGAAAGAGGATTAATGAGATAAAGAATATGAGTTCTATAAAGCAATACGCACACAAAGAAGAAAAGGGTTTTTTTAAAAAATAATTTTAATTTATATGTTAGATTCAGGGGGTATGTATGCAGGCTTGTTACCTGGTATATTGCACAATGCTGAGGCTTGGGGTATGATTGATCCTGCCATGCAGGTACTGAATAATTCATTTTTTAGCTCTTTCCCCAGCCTTCCCCGTCTTGTAGTCCCCAGTGTTTATTATTGCCATCTTTATGTCTATCAGCATTCATTGTTTAGTTCCCACTTATAAGTGACAACATATGGCATTTGGTTTTCTGTTCCTGCATTATTAATTTGCTTAGGATAATGGCTTCCAGCTGCATCCATGTTGCTGCAAAGGGCATGGCTTTGTTCTTTTTCATGGCTGTGTACTATTCCACAGTGTATATGTACCATATTTTCTTTATCCAGTCCACCACTGATGGGCACCTAGGCTGATTCCATTCTTTGCTATTGTGAATAGTGCTGCAATAAACACACAAGTGCATGTCTCTTTTTGGTAGAAACATTTATTTCCTTTTGGATATATACCCAGTAATGTGATTGCTGAGTTGAATAGTAGTTCTGTTTTCAAGTTTTCTGAGAAATCTCCAAATTGCTTTTCATGGTGGCTGAACTAATTAACATTCTCAACAACAGTGTGTAGGTGTTCCCTTTTCCCTGCAGCCTCCCTAGCATCTGGTGTTTTTTGACTTAATAATAGCCATTCTGACTGACGTGAGGGGGTATCTCACTGTGCTTTTGTTTGCTTTTCTCTAATAATTAGTGATACTGAGCATTTTTCATGTTTGTTGGCAGCTTATATGCATCTTTTGAGAATTGTCTGTTCATATCTTTTGCTCACATTTTAATGTTGTTATTTGTTTTTTGCTTGTTCAATTGTTTAAGTTTCTTATAGATTCTGGATATTAGATCTTTGTCAGATGCATAGCTTGCAAATATTTTCTTCCATTCTGTAGGTTGTCTGTTTATTCTGTTGATAGTTTCTTTTGCTGCACAAAAGCTCTTTAGTTTAATTAGATCCCACTTGTCAATTTTTGTTTCTGTTGCAGTTGCTTTTAAGTACTTTGTCATAAATCCTTTCCCAAGGTTGATGTCCAGAATGGTGTTTCCTAGGTTTTCTTCCAGGATTCTTATAGTTTGAGGTCTCACATTTAAATCTTTAATTGATCTTGAGTTAATTTTTGTATATGGTATAAGGAAGGGATCTAGTTTCATTCTTCTGCATATGGCTAGCCAGTTATTCCAGCATCATTTATTGAATAGGGAGTTCTTTCCCCCGTTGCTTATTTTTGTTGACTGTGTTAAAGATCAGATGATTATAGGTATGTGGCTTTATTTCTGGGTTCACTATTCTGCTCCATTAGTCTATGTGTCTGTTTTGGTACCAGTACCATGCTGTTTTGGTTACTGTAGCCTTACAGTGCAGTTCTAAGTCAGGTACTGGAATGCCTCTGAGTTTGTTCTTTTTGCTTAGGATTGCTTTAGTTATTTGTACTCTTTTTTGGTTACACATGAATTTTAGGATAGGTTTTTTCTAGTTCTGTGAAAAATGACATTGGTAGTTTGATAGGAACAGTGTTGAATCTACAGATTGCTTTGGGCAGTGTGGCTGTTTTAATGATATTGATTCTTTTAATCCATGAACACGAAATGTTTTTCCATTAGTTTGTGTCATCCATGACTTCTTTCAGCAAAGTTTTGTAGTTCTCCTTGGAGAGATATTTCACTTATTTGATTAGATGTATTCCTAGGTATTTAAAATTTTGTTGCGACTATTATAAATGAGATTGTGTTGTTGATTTGACTCTCAGCTTGAAAATTACTGGTTATGGAAATGCCATGAATTTTTATACACTGGTTTTGTATCCTGAAACTTTGCTGAAGTTGTTTATTAGTTCCAGAAGCCTTTTGGCAGTGTCTTTATAGTTTTCTAGGTATAGAATCATATTGTCAGCAAAGAGAGACAGTTTGACTTCTTTTCCTATTTGGATGCCTTTTATTTCTTTTTCTTGTTTGATTGCTCTGGACAGCACTTCCAATACTATGTTGAATAGAAGTGGTGAGAGTGGGCATCCTTGTCTTGTTTCAGTTCTCAAGGAGAATGCTTCCAGTTTTTACCCATTCAGTATGATATTGGCTGTGGATTTGTTATAGATGATTCTTATTATTTTGAGGTATGTGCCTTTGATGCCTAGTTTCTTGAAGGCTTTTTTGATGAAAGGATTTTGGATTTTATCAAAATCTTTTTCTGCATCTATTGAGATGATCATATGGCTTTTGTTTTTAATTCTGTTTATGAGGTGAATCACATTTATTAATGTGTCTGTGTAGAACCAACCTTCCATCCCAGGAATGAAGCCTACTTGATCACAGTGAAATAATTTTTGATGTGCTGCTGGATTCGGTATGCTAGTGTTTTGTTGAGGATTTTTGCATTTATTTTCATCAGGGATATTGGCCTGCGGTTTTCTTTTTTTACTGTGTCTTTGCCAGGTTTTGGTATCAGGGTAATGCTGGCTTCATAGAATGAGTTAGAGAGGGATCTGTCTGCCTCACTTTTTTGGAATAATTTCAGTAGGACTGGTACCAGCTCTTTTTTGTATGTCTGATAGAATTTGGCTGTGAATTTATCTGGTCCAGGGCTTTTTTTGGTGGTAAGTTTTTTATTACTGACTCAATTTCAGAACTTGATATTGGTCTGTTCAGGTTTCAATTTCTTCCTGATTCAATCTTGAAAGATTGTGAGTTTCCAGGAATTTGTCCATTTCTTCTAGATTTTCTACTTTGTGTGAACAGAGGTATTAATAGTCTCCAAAGATCTTTCATATTTCTGTGGGATTAGTTGTAATGTCATATTTGTCATTTCTGGTTGTGATTATTTGTATCTTCTCTCTTTTCTTCTTTGTTAATCTAGCTAATGGTTTACCAAACTTGTTTATCCTTTCAAAGAACCAACTTTTGGTTCTGTTGATTCTTTGTATGGATTTTTGAGTCTCAATTTTGTTCAGTTTTGCTCTGGATTTTAGTTATTTTTTTCTTTTTCTGCCAGCTTTGGGGTAAATTTTTTTTCTAGTTCCTCTGGGTGCAATATTAGGTTGTTAATTTGAGATCTTTCTAACTTTTTGAAGTAGATGTTAAGCACTACAAACTTTCCTAATAACACTGCCAAAAATAAAAATTTTTAATGTCGAGCTTATTTATCAAGGTGAAAATCTGTTAACAACTAAGCATCCAGCAATAAGGAAATAAGAAAAGCATGGTATAGCCACCTGAAATAATTTATATAATTGTGTATGAATTTATATAGTAATAGGGGAGAAAATACTTAAAATCTTAAAATGAAAAAAGCAAAACAGAAAATGTTACCTGTATACTCAGATGGTGACTTAAAAGATATGTATATCCAACTGTCTAGAAAAAATGTAAATGGTTGAGACTTGAATACCATTGACGGATAAACTGATGAAAGATTAATTCTTATCAGTTTGAATTCCTTTATTATTTTATTCTTTGTTTTTGAGATGGTGTCTCTCTCTGTCGGCCCAGGCAGAAGTGGTGCAATCTTGGCTCACTGCAAGCTCCACCCCCGAGGTTCATGAGATTCTCCTGCCTCAGCCTCCCCAGTAGCTGGGTAATATAGGCACCGGCCACCACGCCCAGCTAATACTTGTTTTTAGTAGAGATGGGGTTTCACCATGTTGGCCAGGCTGGTCTTCAACTCCTGACCTCAGGTGATCTACCCACTTCGGCCTCCCAAAGTGCTAGGATTACAGGCGTGAGCCCCCACGCCTAGCCAACTTCCTTTATTATTTTTATTATGTTACTTGAATAATTAAGGCAAAACTCTTGGGGGCAATACTAAAAAATACACTTCAACCTTGTGTATCAACTTGGTGCACAATATTAACCTGGCTGCAAGGCCTGTCCTAGGAGATCTAGCATTAACAGAACTAAGAGGAAGCCATATGGACATACTTGACTTCACCCCATGAACCAAGAGAAAATCCTCTGTTGAAGGCTAGGAATTCAGGTTGGGAGAACCCCAGCTCTTCATGACCAGGAGGAAGGCAGGCAGGCAAACCCTAGGTATGACTACCAGGGAAAAAGTGAGAGGTGCCACTCTGCCCTGTGTCAAAACATTTGGGGCTCTCCTCATCAGCTCAAAGAAGGACGGTTTTCTGGGCAGCATCCTTGGAAGAGTCAGAAAATTTCTCTGATAGTTATCCCTCTGACATTTTCACAGCATGAATTTCCCTTGTGGCATGAGTGTTTGTAATTATGCAGGCATTCATTTAGTATTTGATTAGTCTGTCTCCTTCCACTAAAAATATAAGCTTCATAAATAGGAATCTTGTCAACCTTCTTCTCTATTATTTCCAGGGAGTATCTCTAGACACTAGATGAATGTCTAGCACTTAATAAGCTCTCAGTATGCATTTGTTGAATGAATAAATGGGTGACGGGTTCACAGCTCTTACTCCTGGCATCACTCATGGAAGAGGCTCTTTCTTAGCCCCCTGTAGAAAACACTGTGGGCAGTCACCAGACTTTTGGATGATACCTCTTGCCTGTGAATGCTGGTTTGCTGCCATCCTCCAGCTGGCAGCCAGAACATGAAACTTTTTGTTTGATACAGCCCACAGACAACAGAAAAGTACATCAATCCCAGCTCTTCCTCCCTTACATCAACTGCATCTGCTCAAAAAACCTTGCCCTCTAAGAAGATAAAAATCACTCTCCATTTTTGATTTTCAAAAATCAACCAATTGAAACAAAAGTGGTGCAACTATCTAGATTTATCATAGGTGATGAGGGCTTTCCAAAAATAGTCCCTGCTGCTGATGAGATAGCAGCACTACTGATCTTCAACCAGCTGTAGAAGTGATAACAGAACCCTCAACTCTCTGGGTGAGAAACTTTAGCAATCCTGGCAATAATAGCTACCATTTATTTAGCACTAGCTATGTGCCAAGCACTGACTATAGCTTAGGGATGAACAATACAAGCTTTGGAATCAGATTTATCAAGACAAGAGCCCAAACTGCCTTTCACCAGCTACCTGACTTTGAGCAAGTTACTCAACCCCTTAAGACCCAAGATTTAAGACATCTTTATCTATAAAATAGAAATAGTAATAATAACAAGTCCTACCTCATAGTGTGATTTACAGAATCAAGTAAAATAATCCACTCGGCCAGGTACTGTGGCTCATGCCTGTAATCCCAGCACCTTGGGAGGCTGAGGCAGGTGGATGACTTGAAGTCAGAAGCCCGTGACCAGCCTGACCAACATGGTGAAAACCCGTCTCTACTAAAAATACAAAACTAGCGGGGCGTGGTGACGTGTGTCTGTAATCTTAGTTACTCGGGAGGCTGATGTAGGAGAATCACTTGAACCCGGGAGGTGGAGGTTGCAGTGAGCCGAGATCACACCACTGCACTGCAGCCTGGGCAACAGAGCGAGACTCCATCTCAAAAAAAAAAAAAGATAATCCACTCAAAGGGATTACAACAGTCACCATCCCTTCCTCTGTGGATACCATTACTACCCCCATTTTTACAAACAGGGAAACTGAGACAGGGAAGATAAATAATTTGCCCAGATTAAGTAGAATGGCACTCTAAATGTCGAAGACTCTTTCATGCCTTTGCAGCTCTGCACAAGAAGTTCTTCAGCAAAGTGTGGTTTCCTGTGCTGTTCCCATGGGGCCATGCCCACTCAGCTTCCAACACCAGCTCAAGTGCTCCTTGACTCTCAAGCTTCCTTGGCCTCACAGAGATGATCAGCATAACTCCATGGTGCCTATTCTTCCCCTCATCAAACTATGTGACATTTATCTGTTTGCAGATCTGTCCCAACCAGATTGAGAGCTCCTGGGCCACAACTAGGAAATGTTCAGTCATGTCTGAATGCAAGAATGAAGCTAGCTCCTGACACCATCCCTCCCCACTGCCCACTGCCTTCAATTGCTACAGCCACTCCCTCCCACCTACCCACCCATCACCTTCAGTTGCCAGAATCACCTTGACGGCACCATCATTGCAAATGTTCATTTTGCCTGTTGGATACACTGAATGACAGGGAATTTACTACCGCCCCAGACCACACACAACTGTGTGAGTAGCTCTGCCTCTTAGAAATATATTAAAGTTAATGAAAATCAACTTCCCTGTAAAAATAAATCCAGTGTTGCAGCTGGGCACGGTGGCTCACACCTGTAATCCCAGCACTTTGGGAGGCCAAGGCGGGCAGATCACTTGAGGTTAGGAGTTCGAGACCAGCCTAGCCAACACGGTGAAACCTCATCTTTCCTAAAAATACAAAAATTAGCTGGGTGTGGTGGCGGGCGCCTGTAATCCCAGCTACTTGAGAGGCTGAGGCAGGAGGATCGCTTGAATCCGGGAGGCGGAGGTTGAAGTGAGCTGAGATTGCACCACTGCACTCCAGCCTGGACAACAGAGCAAGACTCTGTCTAAAAAATAAAATAAAAAATGAATAACTATAAACCCAGTGTTTTAAGCTCTACTCACTGGAGCCACATAGACTCAGATGGTGAACCTCTAACACTTGTTGCCTCTAGCAAGTGTTAGACTGAACCTCTAACACATGCTATTTGTCAGGCTCAAAGTGAAGAGCATCACATGCATCAATGCATGTCATCCTCACAGAGACCCTGTGCAGACAGCGCTACCTATGACCCCACTTACCTGGCTGCAGCCATCTTCTCCCCCACCCAAAATACCGTGCTTCGTTGCCTGAATATTTTAGCTCCAACACTGTTTCTATCATAACTCCTTGTGATATTAATATCCACTTTTAGGATATTCTAGTCCTCTGGCCTCACAGTCCTTTGATCTCCTCTACCCCAGTGATTGTGACCACGGCCACTCACTCCCAGAGTTGTATCTCTGATCTTGTTATTTCCCAACAATACCTTCCATAATCTTGAGTTCAGGCATCCCATCTCCAATTACCACTCCTGTCTATATGCAGCCTATTCCAACTAGTACCCCAACTCCAACAAGCTTCTGTGGTTAATCCTTCCACCTGTCACTGTTCCTCACTTTCCTCATATTCTTACTTCCCTTCCTACACAGCTTAAATTCCATGGTCAAAATCATTAAAATGAGTCCTTTGCCCTCTTTGATCACACATGATTGGCTAAAACTCAATCCTGGTTAAATCCAACCCTCTGTTCTGCTCCACACCAGCAAACATGCAACTGAGCATGGCTAGAGAAAATTGTACAACAATGCTTACTGATTTCACTTCAAGTTCGCGATCCCTAACTGCCAGGAGGTCCTTAATGCTTTTCAGAAATCACATGCTACTTGTCCAGTCTATTCATCTGGCACTCGCCCACTACTTGACTTCCTCCTTTCAATCTCCCTCTCCTGTGATGAATTTGCTACTTGTTCATGGAGAAAACAAAAGCTGCCAGATTAGAACTTCCTCAAACCCCCTAACAGAGCCCCCTTTATCTGCATTTATGTCCATATGCCTCATTACTATAGATGAACTGGCTATGTCCAACACTTGCAATAACCAACACTTGTCCACTAGATCCTACACATTATTGTTTACTTAAGAAAGTTGTTCTAGAAAACCTCACCCCTTTGTTTAATTGATAAGTATCCCTCTCTCAAAGATTACTCCCATCAACATATAGACACGCTGCTGCTCTTAAAAAGCAAAATCAAAACACCTCTCGTGAGTCAAGCAGCCGTGACCTGACCCTGATCAGTCTTTTAGCATCATTAACAGTGAGACATCTAGATAGTGTGTGCCTTCTGATGTGACGTGACATGAAGCACCTATGAAAAATTCTTTTTTTTTTTAGAGACAAGGTCTTGCTTTGTCACCCAGGCTGGAGTACACAGTGGCACAATCTCTGTTCACCGCAACCTCCACCTCCCAGGTTCAAGCGATTCTCCTGCCTCAGCCTCCCGAGTAGCTGGGATCACAGGCGTGCACCACCACGCCCTGCTAACCACCTATGAAAAATTCTTGCCCAAAATGTTTAATCTGTATATTATCAAGCTGTCATACACAATTCCAGTTTTTAGGAAATACAGAAGAAAGAAGAACAAGTCAAATAGCGCCAAAGGAAAATTATCAGACAAATCCAGAAGGTAGGACTTCCTATGGGACAACTGAACTGGTTTCATCAACAAGTAAATGGGAATAAAAAACAAATGGCTTCGCAGATATAATAATATGTAATACGTACACCTTGTCTGAATCTTGGTTTGATTCACCTTGGGGACAAATGGGGATATTGGAACATAGATTGGTTATTATATGGTATTAAGAAATTATTGTTAATTTTGTTAGGTGTATAAAAGTATTGTGGTTATATAAAGAAAAAGTCCTATGCATGTGAAGTAGTAAGAGATGAAATCTACTTTAAAAATCTACTTTAAAATACTCCAGCCAAAAAATAGATTCAGCAAATATGAAAATAATGCAATGTCATTTTTTGGATGTATTCAAATTAAGCTATGTAACAAGACTGATTTTCAAACTCCTTTCTTCTTAGACAGTGATATAGTTTGGGAGTGGGGAGAGTTTTAAAGAGCTTGAAGAAAAAAGTCACGATAGACAATTGTTTCTGTTTTACTCAAGGAATTAACTAAAAGATATATGACTTTAGAGAAGTCATATATTGAGCCACTTATTGCATGAGTTCTAAATAAACTCCACTTCCCTGCCCTGACCCTAAACCTCTTGACCTCATTTCTCTTCTTTAAAATGCCTTATTTCTCTTTCCTTTACAGTAAAACTCCTTGAAAGACAGTCCATAGTCTTGTTTGCAATAGCTATCTTCCCACTCTCACTTGAACCCACTCCAACCAGGCCTCCCCATCTCCATGAACCTGATCTTGTCAGAGTCACAAGGACCTCCACGATCTCCACATTGCTAACCAAATGGTCAATGTTCAGTCTTCATCTTATTCAGCTCATCAGCAGTCCATAACTTCCTCTTCCTTGATGCATATTCTTCACCTAGCTTCCAAAACCTATACTTCTCCTGGCTTTTCTCTGCCTTACCGGTAATGCCTTACTGGTCTCGTTGCTGGCTCCTTCTCTTCTGCCCCACTTTATGCACAGAAATGCCCTAGACCTGCCCTTTCTCTACCTATACTCACCCTCTACTGCTTGTGAGCATCTTGCGGTCAGCTCTCCACCTACCCAGCCCCCTGCAGTTTGAGCTCAATACCTGTTTGTTGAAGTGCACTGAGTCCGGAAAGTCGGTTCTGTCAGTGAGCTTCTACAGAAAGGAAGCCTTTGAAAATTTTTTTTGAGAAAAGAAGACGGGGCAAGAAGGGGGGCCGGAATAAAACACTGCACTCACTTCACTATTTACCCTCTTATCTGTTATCTGTAGAGAGGAGGCAACACTGAGGAGCACAGTGATTCTCAGACTTAGAGCACACCCAAATTATTAAAATCACTTGTTAAAATGCGGGTTCCTGAATTCTGTCTCAATCATTCTGATTCAAGTAGTCTGGGAGGTTGGGAGAATATTGGGGGGAAGTTGGAAATCTGCATTTAATAAGCACCCCAGGTAATTAATTCTCAGGCAAGTGGTGAGAAACAGGTCGCTGAGAACAGTGCTACTGAAAGTGAGATCTGCAGAGAAGTGCTAGGCTGAGAAAGCTTTTCAAGATGCAAGATGAGAAAAGTACAGAAATGGAGTGTAAGTGACTTTTACAGTAATTTTAAAGAGTAATTTTATGCCTGTTAGATCAATACTTTTTAAAATGGGGCTTGTATTTCAAATGTCCTTTTTCTCATTTCATGATTCTGGAATCCATGCTTTTTTATTTATTTGTTTATTTTATTTTTTATTTTTTATTTATTTATTTATTTTTTTGGAGACAGAGTCTCCCTCTGTCGCCCAGGCTGGAGTGCAGTGGTGAGATCTCGGCTCACTGCAAGCTCTGCCTCCAGGGTTCACTCCATTCTCCCGCCTCAGCCTCCCCAGTAGCTGGGACTACAGGTGCCCGCCACCATGCCTGGCTAATTTTGTTTTTGTGTTTTTAGTAGAGATGGGGTTTCACCGTGTTAGCCAGGATGGTCTCGATCTCCTGACCTCATGATCCACCCGCCTCGGCCTCCCAAAGTGCTGGGATTACAGGCGTGAGCCACCGCACCTGGCCCCATTTTTATTGTATTTTACGTAACTACTGATGTGAGAGGAATTGGGAAAAAAAATTTGGTTCTTCACCACCAATAGTTTGAGAAGCCTTGGCTTTGGAGAAACAGTTCACTCAGGCTCTAGTCTCAAAAAGCTAGATTGAAATCCTGGCTTTTGTACTGTAAGTTATCTTAGGCCAATTAGTCAGTTTCTGTGAACCTTGTGTCTTCATCTGCGAAGGATAACAATACTTAAAAGGTTGCCTCTGCAGGGCTGTGCTGACAATTTAATGATAGATTTTTATCACTTTATTTTAGCTAATAATTAATGAGCTTTTACTATGTGCTAAGTAATTTACAGGCAGTAAAGGTCCTGTAATTTGGTGAAGCTCATTTAATTCCTGCAGCAACAACAGTGCCCAAGGCGAGCACTGTTATCACCATGTGCTTCACAGAGTCCCCAGAGGAGCCTGCCCAGGCTGTCTGGCTCTACCACCCCAGCTCCTACCCACCGAGCTCTATCAAGCGGGAACCAACATGGGTCAAAACATTAATCATTTGTCAAAACATTTCTGACAAGTCACCGTTTTGCTCAAAAGCGCAGCAAAGGTCAGAAGCATGATATGCAACAAGAAACCGACTTGTAGCTGGTGAATCTGAGAAGACAGTGAAAGAAAGGAAGCCATGAGGGGCGCGCAGTGCCTGAGAGGCTGTGACTGTTGGCAAGTGTTTACCTGAGGACAGGCCCACCTGCATGGCTCATGGTGGGGAGGGGGAGATCCTGCCCAGAGCAAAGCCCTGAAGATAAAGGGCTTTCACTCCTGCCAAGGGTCTCTTACCAGAGATTACATCTTTTCCCAGCCAGGCAGCACTGATAATGAAGTCCTCAGAACATTTCCCTGAGTACATTTCCCCAGAGGTTTTCTAAGAGTCTGGAGAACAGAACTTTGTTGGGGGGTGTTGTGTCCCCACCATGAGGTCAGGCTGCGGTCCCTGACCAGAGCCAACCACTCGGAACTGATTAGGAGAGCTCTGAACTCCAGATTGACACAGCCATGGCAAAGGGAAATCATGAGCCATTTGCTACTGTCTTCACCCTTGCACCCCATGCACAGACAGACAGACTTGTATTCATAGAAATATCTGCCTTCCTATTTGACAGGTGCCTGGCAAAAAGTAGGCCTTTCGTGCCCCATGAATTCCCTTTCTGTATAATGCCCACTCCCCACTACACACCCCAGCCCCAGGAGGCATCTCCCACATGCTCACCACACAATTTGCACTCCGCTTGGTAAATCAGCATTAAGCAGAGGAGAGCGCAGGAAGGGCCTATATAGAGAGTGGAAAAAACACTTCACCCCTCCCCAGCAACACAGCTACCCACTCTTTCCTCCACATCCCTACACTACACCACACCCCTATGCTACAGAGAGCCAGACAAAGAAGAAAACGGGCCCGCCATCTCCTCAGAAAGAGGAACTGTCTCACCTCCTAATCTTTACTACACTGCTTCGATTTTTCTTGGAGTAATTTAAAGCAAACGCCAGACTTTGTATCAGTTTCCTGCTACCAGCTCTTCCCAACTGCGGATCCAACAAAAAATTAAGCCTTAATGTCCTAAGACCTCCATTGTATGCAACGCATCAACTAACTCCCATGGCATCGAGAATTACCTACGTACCACCCCTGGCAGAATCGTACCACCCCTGGGAGAATTGAGAACGTAGACCCTCAGATTCTCTACACTGTGAGACACACACACACAGACACACACACACACACACACACACACACACACGCACCAGGTTCTGCCAGAGAATATATGAATATAAATAATAATTCAATATGATCACAATGCCAATATCACCCAATATCCAACCCACCTTTAAATGTTTACCAATTCTCTCAATAATGTCTTTTACACTAACCTGCTCAAAAGGGGATCCAAACAAGGACAGGACATTTTGTTTGGATGACTGGATGATGTGCCATTTTCAATTCTCTCTTATCTAGAAGAGTTCCTCGCTCCCTTACTTCTTCTTTTCCACGGCATATATTTGTTGAAAAAATGAAGTCATTTCTCCTGTGGAGTGGCTTATGTTCTGAGCCTGGCTCACGGCTTCCTCAGGGTGTTGTTTAATGTTCTCCTCTCTGCTCTGTGTTTCCTTAAACTGAGTGTTAGATTTCAAGGCTTGTTGAGATTTGGTGGTTTCAAATTCAATGGTTCTCCCAGGCTTTTTTTGTTAAAATATATACACATATACTCTCTCTCTCTCTCTCTCTCTCTCTCTCTATATATATATATATATATACACATATATATGTGTATATATGTGTGTGTGTATATATATATAGAGTATATGTGTGTGTGTATATATATATATAAAACATTTAGGCTGGGCGCGGTGGCTCATGCCTGTAATCCCAGCACTTTGGGAGGCCGAGGCGGGCAGATCACGAGGTCAGGAGATCAAGACCATCTGGCTAACATGGTGAAACCCCCGTCTCTACTAAAAATACAAAAAATTAGCCAGGCGTGGAGGCATGCACCTGTAGTCCCAGCTACTCAGGAGGCTGAGGCAGGAGAATCACTTGAACCTGGAGGCGGAGATTGCAGTGAGCAGAGATCATGCCACTGTACTCCATCCTGGGTGACACAGCGAGACTTTGTCTCAAAAAACAAACAAACAAGCAAAACATGTATATATGTATATATATAAAACATATATATGTATATATATACCCAAAAGGATCTAAGTCCTGGTAGTCTAAGGGAGTTGGAGGTGAGGAAATGAATAGGGAAGGTTGAGTTCTTCTACTTTGTGGTGGCCCCGGGGCCTGTAAGAAAACTTACACCAATACTCATGCGATAGGTTCATTCTTTTTTTTTTTTTTAATTATTATTATACTTTAAGTTTTAGGGTACATGTGCACAACGTGCAGGTTTGTTACATATGTATACATGTGCCATGTTGGTGTGCTGCACCCATTAACTCATCATTTAGCATTAGGTATATCTCCTAATGCTATCCCTCCCCGTTCCCCCCACCCCACAACAGTCCCGGTGTGTGATGTTCCCCTTCCTGTGTCCATGTGTTCTCACTGTTCAATTCCCACCTATGAGTGAGAACATGTGGTGTTTGGCTTTTTGTCCTTGCCATAGTTTGCTGAGAATGATAGTTTCCAGCTTCATCCATGTCCCTACAAAGGACGTGAACTCATCATTTTTCATGGCTGCATAGTATTCCATGGTGTATATGTGCACATTTTCCTAATCCAGTCTATCATTGTTGGACATTTGGGTTGGTTCCAAGCTATAGGTTCATTCTTTCAGCAAATGCTGATTGCCTACTGTGAACCAGACTGCAGACACAGCAGTAGAGAAGCCAGCCAGAAATCCCTAACCCCTCCAGCACTCACCTTATAGTGAGGATAAATAAAGAGTCAAACAACATAAATCCGTGGTGCTTTGCAAGGAGATAACTGATATGCAGACAATTAGAGTAGGGAAGAGAAATAGGGACAGCTTGGAGTGGGTGAGGTGGAGATTTAAATCAGATGATCAGAGAAAGCCTCACTGAGAAGAAGACATTTGAGCAAGGGTTGGAAGGAGGTGTAAACCAAAAATAAAATCCTAAGCCCCCCACTAACCAACTGAATGGACTCCTTTTTGGCCATGGGCACCCCAGAGAAACCTGAAAAACTGAATTCCCAGCCATGACAGAAAGGAGGTTACACCCTCATCATACCCCTCCCTTTTGGGGTTTAGGTACAAGTGACCAGCATTAAGGTAAAATAGAGATTATAAGACTGACCAAACAGACCCTTTATGACAATAAGATACCAAACTATACACAATACCTAAGGCCATAAAAGGCAAAGATTAAGTCATACCCTAGAAACAATACAGTCTCATTAAATGGGTTTTTTAATTAACCCAGTAAAATGTGGCTTACTCTCCAACCTGACTCTGGTATAGTATCACATGACAGACAGCAGACTCTGAAGGAAATTAAAATATTTTGCCCCAAAATACATTTCTTTGACATATTTGGAAAAGGCTGCCAGACAGCCTTTGGACTGCAAAGCCATCTTTGGTGGGGGAAACGTGCATCTCCAGAGAATCGATATTAATGTCTCTTCCCTTGCTAGGCCTTTCCCAGATCTAGGAGAGATTCTAACTGAGAGTCAGACACCCAAAGGTCTGAGAAGAGACAATCACTATCTATTCACCCAGAGGGCTGCTATCTATGAGGCTCCAAGGACCTAGGCCCCCACAACCTCCTTATCTTACTCAGGCATTCCTTCCTACTGACTTCAAGTCACTAGACAATAACTTGACTCTCTCAGCTACTGTTAGCTAAAGAATCCCTAAAACGCACTTAAGACTTGTAAGGCCCCTCAGCCCTCCCCTAACCCTCTACCCCCCAAGTCCCTGTGTAGGGAAAACTCTCTGTAGCCATCTTTCCTCTGCTCTCACACCACAACAATCAACACAGAAGATGACTTATGTGACCATATGTGTGGGGGTCCCACCCCAACACCAAGCAGCGACACCAGCTTGGTGTCCTCTAATTCAGTTCCAACACTATCTACCTGGAAATAGTGTCAGATCCTACAGATTGAGGGCTTAGTGTCCAAGACATCCCCCCTCCACCAGTCACAAGTCCAGGCCTCCAGAACTTCTTTCTGACCAACCAGCTTCCATTGGGGTTCCCCTCTCCGTGGGTTCAATTAATTTGCTGGAGCGGCTCACAGAACTCAGGGAAACACCCTACTTACATTTACTGGTTTATCATCAAGGATGCTGCAGAGGATACAGATGAAGAGATGTGTAGAGCAAGGTATGGGAGAAGGGATGCAGAGCTTCCACGCCCTCCCTGGTTGTGCCGCCCTACAGGAACCTCCTCCTATTAAGCTATCAGAAAGTTCACCCAACCCTGTCCTCTTGGGTTTTTATAGAAGCTTCCTTGACGTCAGCATTTCTTCCCCCAGGGCATAGGGTAGGAACCTCTCATGGGAAGGTTTTTTTTTTTTTTTTTTTTTGAGACAGAGTCTCGCTCTGTCGCCCAGGTTGGAGTGCAGTAGCATGATCTTGATTCACTGCAACCTCTGCCTCCCGGGTTCAAGCAATTCTTCCTGCCTCAGCCTCCCGAGTAGCTGGGATTACAGGCGCCCACCATCACACCCGGCTAATTTTTCTATTTTTAGTAGAGACGGGGTTTCACCATGTTGGTCAGGCTGGTCTCGAACTCCTGACTTCAGGTGATCCACCCACCTCGGCCTCCCAAAGTGCTGGGATTACAGGCATGAACCACTATGCCTGGCCTCATGGGAGGGTTGTAAGGCCCACAGTCAGGCCAGAAAACATAAAAACCTTGCCTTGGGGCAGGTGAAAGGACGGCAGGAGAGAGACTGTTTCTTAGGGCCTGTCCCTGAAGTCTAAAAAGCCCAGCATTCTAGCAAGACTGTAGCAAGGGCTATGGGGCTATGCGCCAGGAAACATGCATGGAAACCAACACATAGTCCAGGCATGATGGCTCACGCCTGTATTCCCAGCACTTTGGGAGGCCAAGGCAGGTGGATCACGAGGTCAGGAGATCGAGACCATCCTGGCCAACATGGTGAAATCCCATCTCTACTAAAAATACAAAAATTAGCCGGGCGTGGTGGCATGCTCCTGTAATCCCAGCTACTCAGGAGGCTGAGGCAGGAGAATCACTTGAACCCAGGAGGCAGAGGCTCAGTGGGCAGAGATCACGCCATTGCACTCCAGCCTGGGTGACAGAGCGAGACTCCATCTCAAAAAAAAACAAAAAAAAAAACCACCAATACATATATCCTAACACCGCACCCTCCCCCACTTTGAGATGTCTCACATTTTTTGGACAGAACTACCAGTTACCTTCCATGTACTGATTTCCAGATATCCTTGCCTGTAATGCCTGTCTCCCTAAAATGTATAAAACCAGACTATGGCCCAACTGCCTCAGGGCCACTCACTCAAGGCTTCTTGGGTTTGTGTTTTCTCTAAGCTACAGTAACTCATATTGCCTCAGGATAAACTTCTTGAAAATATTTTACAGAATTTGGTTTTTCTGTTAACAGAGATGAAGGAGGCTACCATGCAGATTTCTGAGAAAAGAGGGTTGCAAGTAGAGGGAACAGCAAAATACCTACACAGGGGCAGCCAGATAATGTGGCGCCTTACACAGGTGTAGGGGTTTTGGCTTTCATCTGATTAAGACTTTGCCGATGTATGTTTCAAAGGCATCACCGGATGCTGCCTTAAGAATCAACTGTAATGAACAGCAGGTCTTATAGATGTTACCAAATTTAATTCTTACCACCACCCTGTGGGGTGGGGTATTAACAATCCTCTTTTTTAAATAAAGAAATTGAAACTCAGAGAGTTTAAGTCATTTGCTCAAGATGTCACTGTAAATGGTGAAACCACGGTGTGTTTTGTTTTTTGTTTGTTTGTTTGTTTTTGAGACAGAGTCTCGCTCTGTTACCAGGCTGGAGTGAAGCAGTGCAATCTCGGCTCACTGCAACCTCCACCTCCCAGGTTCAAGCAATTCTCTGCCTCAGCCTCCCGAGTAGCTGGGATTACAGGCACCCGCCACCACGCCCGGCTAATTTTTGTATTTTTAGTAGAGACGTGGTTTCACCATCTTGGCCAGGCTGGTCTTGAATTCCTGACCTCGTGATCCACCCGCCTCAGCCTGTCAAAGTGCTGGGATTACAGGCATAAGCCACCATGCCCGGCTGACCAGATTATTCTAACCAACAAACTGGTAGTGCTCTTCATCCTATGTCCCTCTACTCAGGCCCTTCCAAGGGCTACTGCGAGCCTCTCTGCTTTATCACACCAACTACAGTTGCTAATCACTGTATTGACCTTCTGGTGACACCTATTTACTCTGCCCTGATCTTCATCTCCTTAATCTTTAGTGCACAAACCTCACCCTCATCTGGACCTTAGAACCCAAACTTTCTGTTCTTAGACTTAGAGTGCTTGACACCCTGTTGCCCCCAGAGGGTGGCATAGTGCCTCCGAGAGGGGCTCCATGTGTCCTGGCTGCCAGAAACCCTCTCCCATGAAGGACTCCCATTTCTCTAAGAGCTTGGATTCTTAATGTGTGCCACCTGAGCTGCCACTTAATGCTGACCCTTCTTTCTCTTTCCTCATATCAGGGATAGCTGGCTGCCCCACAAGAAGTTTGCTCCTTCTGCCATATAGTTATTGCTGTAAATTACTGTCCAGAGAGGGATTGCATTTTACACACACACAAACACACACAGCATATAGATGGGATCATTTTACTAGTTATTGGCAAAGAAATGTGAGCAAAAATAACATACATCACTTCTGGGCCAAGATGGTTAAGACGTGAGTTTATTTGCTCTAGCAGCTAGCATTACCCTATAGAGCTACTCAATAGAGACTTCCTGAATATTTATTTCTATGGTTTAAAACCATCAACAGAATATTCAGCTATAGATTTTTCATATCTCCTCATCCCAACATTTCACAATCCCAGTGAAACAACAGAAGCACACCCTAATTTAATCAAAGCCAAGAGGTCCTAAATTCTTTCACATCAAATCATATCTCTTGTATTTTGTTTCCCCCGACACGATTCCAAGATTTTGAAAGATGTTGTCGACTAACTTTAATTTAAAATTTGAGTTATTTGTTATCAAATGAACAAAGATACTGTTGCCAATCAGAGGTTCTGAATGGCATGAGATTGCCACGACTACCACAGTCAGTTGATAAAAGTTTAGCATAAAACAAAGAAACTTGATTTTCTTGGCTGCGCAGGTTTGCCGTGGTGAACGTGCTTCTCCCATCTGGCTTTTCGAGATACTCAAGTGTCTGGTGGATCTCTGGAGGCCCTGGACAAGGGACTCTGGTTTGTGGAGCTTACTCCAATAATCGTAACTTTGTGATTACAGCCATAGACACAATTCTTGCTTAGCATGCCCCTGTGATGGCTAATACGGAGTGTCAACTTGATTGGATTGAAGGATGCAAAGTATTGATCCTGGGCGTGTCTGTGAGGGTGTTGCCAAAGGAGATTAACATTTGAGTCAGTGGGCTGGGGAAGGCAGACCCACCCTTAATCTGGGTGGGCACCATCTAATCTGCTGCCATTGTAGCCAGAATAAAAAGCAGGCAGAAGAATGTGAATAGACTAGACTTCCTTAGCCTTCCAGCCTACATCTTTCTCCTGTGCTGGATGCTTCCTGCCCTCGAACATCAGACTCCAAGTTCTTCAGCTGTGGGACTCGGACTGGCTTTCCTGCTCCTCAACCTGCAGATGGACTATGTGGGACCTCACATAGTTCCATGACCGTGTGAGTCAATACTCCTTAATAAACTCCCCTTTATAAATACATCTATCCTATTAGTTTTGTCCCTCTAGAGAACCCTGGCTAATTCACCTCCCAAAAATCAGGTTCTACTGGTTGGCTAGACACAGAAGGGTGCTTAGAAAAACCACCCCCAACAGCCCCTAACTAGGCAAAATTAAGGCACTCTATGTTTCTCCAGAAGAATCTGGTTTCATGTGTTTAGAAATCAGGAAAAAAACAATGTAAAATTACGATTTTTCTGGAGTATCAGATCAAACAGATACCAGCCTGCCTCTCCATCTCAGCACTCACCAGGCAAAGGCAGAGTAGCAGTTATGTTGGAAACCTGCCTCCCCCGGGACACAGCAGCAGAGCTGTCAAAGATGGGCAAGGAATCAGGCTGCCCGGAATTCTCACATGCTAAGTTGCAAAGGAGAACCAAATGGCAACAAAACAGGAACGATTTCTACTGAAATACCGAAGATAAGGATTTCCTCTGAAATCCTACTAACGTGGGTCTGATTATTCAAACTCCACTTTAACTCTGTCTTTAGTGAGGACAATGTCTACTAATGTCTTCTTAAATATCATGTCCTCCAGGAATTCCAGGGCTGGGGATCGCGCCAGGCGGCCGTTCTTTCCAACCATGTCCGTCGTGGTTTTCGTGTTATCAATCTGGGCAGGAGGAAGTCTGAGCCAGTGTTCCTTGACATTTTCTAATTGCCAGAATCACTGAAGTGCAACTACCTCTCCTTAAAGTCACCAAGGCAACAACTGTTTACCTCGCTCGTCTTAACAAACTGACGTCATTGCTAGAACCCGTCCAAGGCCAAATGGACCCCCTACAAAGAAAAAGGGGAAGGGAACATGGAGGAGAAAAAGGTTGTTCAAGTCTGTCCTGAGAGCTTCAAGGCCCTTGGTGTAACCCTCCCCTGCCCTCCCACCCCTAATCTCACAGCCATGAAGGTGAGTGGTGTAGGTGAAGGGAACCACTTAGAACATTGTTGCTCTATCTTACCTGGGCATTAATATCACCTAGGAAGCATTTTTAAAATATAGATGCCTGATATTACCCTCAGTAGCTTCTGATGTAATGGATCCAGACCAATAAACATCAGAATAGTTTGGAAGAATGTAAAAGTTCACAGAGGGTTTCCTTGGGCAGAATGGGAGAGGCCAGGCCTTTCCTGGGAAGGGAAGGGCAACACCAGTTCAGCCTAGGGTAGACATAGTTAATGAGTCAACACACGGCTCAAGCATTTAAAGTCCCCAGTTAACCCAGCCTCCTCCACAACCTAGGAAGTCTGTTGCCCAATAACAGCTCAGAGTTACTGAGGAAATGGCAGGGCCACAGCTTCAATCCAGGGCCCCAGGAATTTCAGGCTACACTGTCATCAACTCTGTCCTCCTGGACTCAAAGGGGATCGCCTGTTATGAAGAATTCACATTGATTAGTAGGCCAAAGTGAGTCAGTACTGCTGGAGAAAGAGCTAATCACCCTTGCATTGAGGTGGGCCTTTCACTTCTGTCTCCTCCCCACGTGGTGATCTTGTCTTGTCTTTGGTCACCAAATGAAGAGGCAGCAACACGGCTGCAGCTCAATCTCTTGGGCAAAGGGGCTGCTACCCTCTGAGCAATCCCAGGCCAAGGCCAGAACTCAACTTCTGCTCTTGGCCCACATCATTGCCTCCTGGGAGGCAGGGGCTGGTTCTCTGGGGGTTTTCACATTTGCTTCCTCCTTACCACACCTGAAGAACATTTTATATCTGCACTTTCTGGGTGCTTAATGGAGCATGTTGACCAACGTTTGGACATTTTTCTTTGGGGGACAGATCCACAGAAGTCATCACTCAATGGTTCATCTCAACCTCGAACTGCCTCCCGCATTACTCTTTCCCTTCACTTTAGGTCCCCAAAGGCAGCCCCAGATCCAGCCCATGTCCCTGGAGGAAGCTTCTCAGATCCTGCAGTGAGGAGTCCTCCACCAGTGTCGACTTCCACTCACACTCCTGACATGCACACACACTCTCCTGCACTCCCGCACTCTTCTCCAGGTGCTGCGTGTGGGAAACTTATTTTTCCAGTCAGAAAAATAAGATTATATCCCTTCTCTGTCTCCTTTTTAGCACTGCCAAGCACAGGATAGGCAAGTGGCGCTTGATGAATAGAATGTCTGGCTGGCATCCACCGCGGGGGCTTGTGGTGTGTGTTGGGGTGGAAGATGGTTATTTTGTAAACAAGAAAATGGTTTTAGACAGGAACTGAAATCATCAACAAGCATGAAGCACCTGCTGGGTCTGCGGCTCTGTACAGAAAGAAAGGAAGGATGAAAAGTGACTGTGATTGCCTCCTAGGGGGTTCCCACGTGCCAGGCACTGTGCCAGGTCTGGACATCCGACAGCTCATTCAATCTCACCACAGTCCTCCAAAGCCGGTACCGTGTTATCCTTTCCATCTCACAGATAAGAAACCTGAATCTCAAAGAAGTTAAAGGACTTCTGCTAGTAAATGGCAGGGCCAAGGTTTGAACCCAGAACTGTCTGAATCCAAGACTGTACTCTTTTATTTATTTTTATTTTTTTTTCCTGAGACAAGTTGTCACTGTGTCACCCAGGCTGGAATGCAGTGGCTCAATCACAGCTCACTGCAGCCTCGACCTCCCAGCCTCCACCAATCCTCCCACCTCAGCCTCCCAAGTAGCTGGGACTCCAGGCACACACCACGACACCCATCTAATTTTTGTAATTTTTTGTAGAAACAGGTTTCATCACATTGCCCAGGCTGGTCTTGAACCCCCTGGGCTCAACCAGTCCACCCACCTCGGCCTCCCAAAGTGCTGGGATTACAGGCGTGAGCTGCTGCACCCAGGAAAGACTGCACTCTTAATGCCTGTACTAAGATGATCATCTTGTTTGACCTGTGACTCTTTCAGCCAAAGCCATGCCCACCTAACCCTGGAATTTCAGTGATTTTCAGTGAATGTGCAAGGTCCCAAGCCCAGAGCACACTTAGGATGCTGGACACTTAGCATTTTATCTCATTGAATCCTCCAGCAGCCCTGGATCATTGCTAATATTATAGTTGACCCTTGGTATTTACAGAATCAACATTTGGGATTTTTACTTTTGAGAATAACTCCGAAGGTCCTAGACATGAAACAGCCTAAGTCTGCTAAGGAGTAATTATGAAGTGCGTGCAGTAAGAAGCACACAGGGGCCAGTCCCTTCGTACGCAAGAGAGTTCACACTCAGGCTGGAACCCAGTGTGCAGGGGATGCTGTACCCTCCATGTATTAGGAAGTGACAGAAATACCTGTTGGCTTGTGAATTATGGCTCCCAGAGAAACAAAATTGCTAGTCCATGTTAGGGAGAATTTACACTCAGTGATGAATTTCCTTTAACAAATTTAGAAATCCCTACTGCCTTTTATTCGTGGAATCAATAAGGAAGAAATCACTTAGATTTTCAGGTGTGCTTGATTGTATTTACGGTGTAAGGGGGAATTATGTGCTCTGGTGGCATGTGTGTGATTTTGTCATGTGTCAAGCAAGAACAAAATGCCTCCTCTTAGGCTACTGTACACAATAAATGAGATCCTGGCAACAATGACCATAAGGATGTTGATTTGAGAATTGGCAAAGATCTCAGGAAAAGTCACTCGAGAACATCAACATTTTGACACACTGTGTTAACATTTTATAGATGAAGGAACCGCAAATGGGAGAGGCCAGATGTCTTGCCCAGGAATGTATTGCAATCATGCCAGTGCCCTTCCCTCCCCACAACCCATAAGCAAGTCCTCAAAACAGTCCCAACTCCTGCATGCTGACCAAGCACAGAATGTGGACTTAGGAGGATGGAGATGTAAGAAGCAGGCCCAAAGAAGGAACAGAGCTGCCCCTGGGCTGCCTGCCCTCCCCACACCTCACCCCAGTGCTGGCCTGGGAAAGGCAGAGCTGTGAAGTTGCCTGTTTTGACCACATCCATCCAGGTCAATCAATTCAATCAAGAGGCTGGTAACTGGGAGCTCAAAACGGTGGGCCCAGAAAAAACTAAAGGGGACCAAAGACCAAGACTGAGAAGGCAAAAGACCCTCAGACAAGGCTCAGTTTGGAGGAATGGTGCTGAATTTCATTTGCACCAAGACTTGGAGTCAGACAAATCTAGATTTGGATCCCGGCTTTATTATTAATCAGCATGCAATTTTAGGCAAATTACATGACAGTCGGGGTCTCAGTTTCCTCATCTGTAAAATGTGTGCAAAAGCACCTACTTCACAGGACTGCAGTGAGGGTTAGAAGTAAGGATTGTGCAGTGCCTGGCACATGCCAGGTGCTTAATAAATGAGAGCTGGCAAACCTGTACCTGCCAGGAAGCAGGGGAGGAGGGTCAGAAGGCTGAGGCCCGGCTTGACCGCTGTTGGGTGTGAAAAGTCTTCATTTTCAAGGATGAGATGAAATTTTCCGGAGTGTCATGAATCAGTATTTATCTTTGGCTAAACACGAGACCTTGATGTTCATCTCAACAAAACCAGTATTTGCGGCCGGGTGCGGTGGCTCATGCCTGTAATCCCAGCACGTTGGGAGGCCAAGGTGGGAGGATCACCTGAGGTCGGGAGTCAGAGACCAGCCTGGCCAACATGGTCAAACCCCGTCTCTACTAAAAATACAAAAATTAGTCAGGCGTGGTGGCGCACATCTGTAATCCCAGCTACTCAGGAGGCTGAGGCACGAGAATAGCTTGAACCCAGGAGGTGGAAGTCGCAGTGAGCTGAGATTGCATCACTGCACTCCAGCCTGGGTGACAGAGGGTGACCCTGTCTCAAAAACAAAAACAAAACAAAACAATAGTTGCCACTTTTAGTGTTAGCTATTTCAAACACTGCTCCACAGCAAAGAGAATAGGAACGTGGGACCCTCGTGGGAGGCAGGGTCAAGGGTGTGTCACTGTGAAGACTGAACTAATAGAAAAAGCCTGAAACCAGGGCACAGATGTGAGGTCCTCCAGCTCTCCAACCAAATCACTGTGTGTCCTCAGAAAAGTCACTTATCTTCTCTGAGTCTCTGTTTCCTCATGTGAAAAAAGGGCTTAATAGTCCCTATTTCACAGAGTTATGGGAAAGCACAGGGGAAGTAATAGATGGGAGAAGGCTTTAAACTGTGCAGAGGAAATGTTTGTTATTTTAAGTCTCTCCAGACAGTGCTGTTATTTCATCACTTCTATAGAGCCATAAGAAATAAGGCTTACAGATTAAGTCAGCTCCCATTTTAAAGAGGAAAAAGAAACAGTGTTCAAGAAACACTTAAGACGCTAAAGGTCTCCTCCATTATGAATTGAAGTCTTCGTGACTGGTACAGAATCATTTTTGTGTGATCATCAAGATGAAAACACAACATTGTTAAATTCTCCCTGAGCCCTTCCACCTCACCCCTGCCAGCCCTCTGCAGCCCCTGCCTGGTGGAGAAGATTTGCTTTCATTTCCACAGAGCAGGTGCTCACGGCCTGACATAGGAAACGCTGGTAGACCCGACGACTCACAGTGAAGCCTGCTGACTTCCCTGGATTTCCCCTCCATTTGGAAAACAGGCCAAACTCACCGCACCTCCCACCCTCATGCTTAGACCTCTTGCACTGAATGTGCTCAGGGGAAGAAAACAGGAAATCACTGAGATGGTCCCAGAGAGAAATCACAGGCAGGCTGGCAGCCCTACGGCCTGGCACCCAGTCTTGATTTCAGGAGAAATGGCTCTGTGCCCGATCAGCAGCACCCTTGCTCAGGACTGAGAGAGTGTGGTGGGGTTTTCTGGCCTCATCTGTTAGCCTGGGCCCAGAAGCACTAATTGCTTGGTGTTCAAATAACCTTAAAAAGTGCAGCTGGGCGAGGTGGCTCTTGCCTGTAATCCCAGCACTTTGGGAGGCTGAGGTGGATGGATCACAAGGTCAGGAGTTCAAGACCAGCCTGACCAATATTGAAACCCCGTCTGTACTGGAAATATAAAAATGAGCTGGGTATGGTGGCGCACGCCTGTTATCCCAGCTACTCAGGAGGCTGAGGCAGGAGAATCACTTGAACCTGGGGGGCGGAGCTTGCAGTGAGCCGAGATCGTGCCACTGCACTCCAGCCTGGGAGACAGAGCAGGACCCTGTCTCAAAAAAAGAAAAAAAAAATGAAAAAAAATGCAGTAAATACAGACAAAGCACTCCCGCTTCTCTCTTGGTCTGCGAGCAGACAGTTTATTGAGAGCCACAGTTCCCGTTTCTGTTTTGGCTGCTCTCAACCTTCTGAAAGAGGTGGCAGATGTGTAGCAAGAGCACGACTAACATAGATGACCGGAGCCTGGGCAAACAGTGAGTGGGGAGGAAGATGTGAGTCCTGGGGAAAGGGCAATAAATTGAGGCAGAGACCATAGCTTGGCTAGGTTGCCCTGGAAAGAGAGCGTTCCAGGTCTGAATCCTGCTCCAGAGAGTAAGATGAGACAATGTCAAACAAACCCTCCCGAAATTCAACCCAGTCCTCCGAATCAAGTACTGCAAGGTGCATTTCCACTGAATCAAATAAATACCATTAGCAATTTGAATTAGTTCCCTAAGATGACCCAATTCCCTAACATGAATTTCCTGGCCTGTGATAGCTGCCTTCATGCCCAGCAGGGCATGGAAGATACAGAAATAAAATTTTACAGAAATAAAATAGGTAAAAAAGTTAAAAGGATAAATGGTTACAGGAGCCTGGAAGAATAAAAGGTAAAGAATTAATGACGCAGATACCAGCAGCAGTTCCTGCAAGGGGCCTTCCCTGTGTGAAGGAACCCAGCTCTGAGCTCCTTGCCGCCTCTGAAAAAGAGCAGGAGGTTGTTTCACATCCTGAGCCTCAGCTTCCCAAGGACAACAAAAGCTACCATTTTCAGAATGACCATTGCACCCCAGGCATTTTCTCTATAAATGTCTATTACTTCACAGTTCATGATTGCACTGATTTCTTCAGTAAAAAATCTGAGGGTCAGAAAAATAAAGGTACAAAATCAGTAACTAGTAAGTTGTAGAGCCAGGATTTGAATCTGGGATCTGTCTGTGTTTGCCTCTCATCTTCAAAGTGAAGAACGAGGAAGAGAAAATAAATCCTTTTTCTCCGGGCACGGTGGCTCACGCCTGTAATCCCAGCACTTTGGGAGGCCGAAGTGGGCGGATCACTTGAGGTCAGTAGTTCGAGACCGGCCTGGCCAACATGGTGAAACCCTATCCCTACTAAAAATACAAAAATTTGCCGGGCATGGTGGCATATGCCTGTAATCCCAGCTACTCAGGAGGCTGAGGCAAGCGAATCACTTGAACCTGGGAAGCAGAGGTCACACTGTTGTACTTGACCAAGTTAGAGAAAACGCCACACTTTGAGACGAATTAAGAGTCTGTTTATTTAGCCGGCGGCCAAGAGACAGCTAACGCTCAAAGTTCTCTCGGCCCCGAAGAAGGGGCTAGATTTTCTTTTATACTTTGGTTTAGAAAGGGGAGGGGGGTCTAGTTAAAACAATTTTACAGAAATAAAATAGGTAAAAAAGTTAAAAGGATGAATGGTTACAGGAAAGTAAACAGTTCCAGGTGCAGGGGCTTTAAGACTATTACAAGGTGATAGACGCGGGGCTTTGGGCGTTATCAATCAGACTAATTCCTGGGAATTGCAGATATTGCTCGCCACAGTATCTTATCAGTTAACTGCATTCTTGGATGTGCTGGGAGTCAGCTTGCACAAGTTAAGTCCCTGAGGAAGGGGCTGCCAGTGAAAGAGCCAAGATGGAGTCTGTCTGGCTCTCTTAGCTAAGGGAGAGTCAATTCAGGTGGAAACAAGGCTAGGTGATTAAAGGAAAAGGGAGAGTCTAAAAACAGGGTTAGTAAAAACAAGGTTGGGCATTACACCACCACTGCACTCCAGCCTGGACAACTCCATCTCAAAAAATAAATAAATCATTTTTCTTCTACTCTTGTCTCTGCCTCCTCCCTAAACGGGTGGGAACCAATTCAGTGACAGGCTGGGGATTCAATGTCACTGGAAATAAAAGAAATTCAATTAAAATAATAACATACACTTTCCCCCACCAAATTAATAGACTAAAAAATTACAATAGAGCTGACAAGGTCACTTTTAAGTAACTCATGGAAAAATAACATGGAACGTCTTCTCTGAAGGACAATTTGATTAAATATATCAAAGCATTAAAAATGACCATTCTCTTTTAACCCAGTAATTCCATCTCAAAAAAAGAAGTATTCAGAGAAGCAAAGACTGCAGTTTTATGTCAGCCCATGAATAACCTGAAATAACCTCAATTCCCAAGAGGACAATTTAACTTGTCCTCTTCCTTTAAAGAGGACAAGTTAAATATGTTATGAAATGTCCACACAAAGGGTTATAATTTTTTCTTTTTTTAGATGGAGTCTCGCTCTGTTGCCCAGGCTGGAGTGCAGTGGCGTGATCTCGGCTCACCGCAACCTCCGACTCCCGGGTTCAAGCGATTCTCCTGCCTCGGCCTCCTGAGTAGCTGGGATTACAGGTGCCCACCACCACGCCTGGCTAATTATTGTATTTTTTAGTAGAGACGGGGTTTCAGCATCTTGGCCAGGGTGGTCTTGAACTCCTGACCTCATGATCCACCCGCCTCAGCCTACCAAAGTGCTGGGATTATAGCCGTGAGTCACCATGCCCAGCCACAATGGGTCACGATTGAACAATTAAAAATAAATTCATAAACATTTCTTACAGTTTTTACTTTTAAAACATTTATTCACTTACTTATTTTTAGAGACCGGGTCTCACTCTGTCACCCAGGCTGGAGGACAGTGGCACAGTGATAGCTCACTGCAGCCTTGAGCTCCTGGGCTCAGGCCATCCTCCCTCCTCAGCCTCCCAAGTAGCTAGGACTACAGGCACACACCACCACACTCAGATAAAGTTTTAAAATAAAAAATTGCACTCATAGAAAACTATAGAAAGTAGCAATAATGAACCACCATGTATCCGTTACCTAGCATCAACAATTATCAATTCAGGGTCAATAATGTTTTATTCATAGCCACCTATCCCTAAGTATTTTAAGTAAATCCCAGACATATCATTCCATCCATAAACATGTAATTATGTACCTTTAAAAAAATACGACCATAGTACCATTAAAAATAATTTAAAAACTTAAAAGTTTTTTTAATTATTGACTTTTTAACAAAACAGGAAAATGCTCACAATATAGATTGAATAAATAAAGAATATTATAAAACTATATACTACATAATCTTAGTTGAAAGAAAAAGGGAGGAAGAAAGAGGGGAGGTAAGGAAGCAAAGAAGAAAAGAAGGGAGGGAGGGTGGGCAATTTCACAAATAGAATCAAAGCATTAAAAATGTCCATCTTCTTTTAATTCAGTAATTCTATCTCCAAAAAAGAATTATCAGAAATGCTGCCAAAGACTGTAGTTTGACTTCAGTCCATGCATAACCTGAAACAACCTCAAATCCCAACAAAAAGGAATATTTAAATATGTTATGAAATGTCCACATGAAAGGAAGAGACAGAGAGAGAAAAACCAAAAAAGAAAAAGAGAAACGCATATTCACAGAAAAAAAAGACTTAAAGGAAATAAATCTAAAATATCGCCAGTAGTTTGTAGTTACCCATGTCATGAGATTTATGTTTGTGTGTATTTTTATCAAGGGGAATGTATTAGATATTTATTATTTCTCCTGCTCTTCTTTTGTTCCTCAAGTTTTAACTTTTCCTCTAGTACAGCTTCCCTTCAGGTTGAAAAACTTCCATTAGTATTTCTTTAAGAGGAGAGCTCCTGGAAATGAAGCCTCTTGGTTTTCCATCACCTGAAAATATCTCTATTTTGCTTTCACTCCCAAAGAATATTTTTTCTGGATATAAAATTCTGGGTGGATAGTTTTTTTGTTCTTCCAGCATTCTAAAGACGGGGTTTCACTGTCTTCGTCTTTGGCCACCATGGTTTTGGATGAGAAATGGACAGTCATTCGAATAGGTTTCTTCCTTCCTTCCTTCCTTCCTTTCCTTTTCTCTTTTTTCTTTCTTTCTCTCTTTCTTGAGTCCTTCCTTTCTTCTCTTTTCTTCCTTCCCTTTTCTTACGTATAATGTGTCATATTTTAATGCTCTTAATGTTTTTTAATCCTTGGTTTTTAGAAGTTTTCTTATGAGGTGGCTGAGGAGTTGTTATTAAATGTATCCTGTTTGAAATTACTGAGATTCTTCAATTTGTGAAGATACGTTTTTCTTTAAATTTGAAACTATTTCAGCCACTCTTTCTCCAAATATTTTTTTCTGCACCAGTATTTTTCTTTTTACCTTCTGAGATGGAATGCCAATACCAAGAAGTTTCAGCCTTTTGACATTGTCCCACAGTACCATGAAAGGCTTTTCATTTTTCTCCAATTTTTTTTTGTTTCATAATGTATATTTCATTGTGTATACTTTCTATTGATCTACCTTCAGGTTCACTGACTCTTTTCTCTGTTATATTTATTCCGCTACTGGGCCCATATCATCTTTTCAGGTCTAAAATTTCTATCTGATTATTCTGCAGTTTCTAGTTCTCTGCTGAGAACTTCTATCTTTCCTAATTTCAAGAACTTTCTAATTTCAAGAGTGGAGAATGGTCATACCTACTTTATTTGTCTAATAATTTCACGATCTAAGTCATTTCAGTGTTACTGCCTATTGAACTGTCTTTTCCTTTGAGTACTGTTTAGATTTTCCAGGTTGTTTTGATATTGAGTAAATTTGAATTGTATCCTGGATTTTTTAATATGTTGTGAGACTCTGAATCCTGTTAAAAATCATCTGAAAAATGTTTGTTTGTTTGTTTGTTTTACCAGGAAATTAATCCACTTAGGTTCAGACTGAAAGTACTGTCTCACTTTTTATGAGTGTTAGCTCCAGTGTCAGATCAGTTTTCAAAGCTTTTGGTATGCCATTTGAGTCAATCTGTCACATGCTCCATTCAAGAGTTTGTCTGGGACTTGGGTGGTTGTTAATATCATAGTTAGATTCTCAAAACCTCTTCTGTGCCTCCTGGGTCTGTTCCATGCATGCACACCTTGTAGTGTGCCCAGGACTTTTGTCAGTCCAATTTGTGGATCCCTTTTTCCACCTCTCTCCTCTCAGGGATTTCCTCACACTCTCTGGCTTCCAGTGGCTTTTCCCCCCTGCTTCCTCTAGTTAGAAAGATGGAGTTATCTCGGACTCTTAGCTTTCCACACTGTTCTGCAAATCCATGTTCATCGTGAGTCATTGTTCAAGTTTTGAACCCAGTACTCTGCCTGCCTGCTATTACTTTTCAGAGTTTTCATGTGGTTTTTTGCATCCTATTCAGCTTTCTGTTGTAAACATTGGTAGAGATTGTGGTTGGATTATTTCATCTTGGCTGTACTAGCAACTCATCCTTCTCAGCAATTTACTTCTCATCCATGTTTCAAAACTCCACTAAAATACCACTTCCTTCTAAGAAGCCATCCTTTTTCTCCCAGCTAGAAAACTTTCCTCTTCCTCTCATTAGGGAAGAAAGGGATTTGGCAATCTTGAGAATAAAACTTAAAGCCAAATTTTTTTCACGATTCTCTTTGTTCAAACATCTGAGTCTAAGGAGATGACTGGAATGAAATCAAACTTAATCAAGAAGCACAATGGTGGTTAAAAGTGGACTTTGGGGCCAGATTGCCAAAATTCCAGCTCTGCTAATTGCTAGATGTGTGACCTTAGACAAATCACTTACTTCTTTTTACCTCAGTTTCCTCATCTATGAAATTAATAATAATAATACTTACCACATAGAATTATTATGAAGATTAAGTGAGTTAATAGTTGTAAAGCACCTAGAAAAATGCCACACTGTAGGTGATTACTATGAATCTCTCACAGGTTGCCGTAACTCTACAGATGAGAGAACCCTATGCAGGGAAAAGGGGAAAGGAGCACACAGGGAATTGGCTCTATTTTCACCTCTTCCTATGTCCTGAAAGTGACCATAATTTTTGTTTTGATAAATACTTGAAAAAGCCCAATTTGTGTTCTGTGTAGATCTGAGAAGTCATGTGGCAGAGTGGGGACATGATTACATGAGGTAGGTTAGATCTGGCTTCCAGACTGGCTCTCCTTTGGGTCTAGGTTTTATGTTCTAAATCAGACCACAGAGGTAGACTGGTCTATCTACAAGGAGCCGACGGAATGATCTCTGTAAGAGGCAAATGGAACTGGGCCATTTCTCAGTTTATCCTCCAATGGTTCCCTGAAACACAGATAAAATATAAATTCCTTAGGCTGTCCCAGAAGACTAGTGACTTTTGCTGCTGCTGCTATCTGTAACCTCATTTCCTGCCACTCCCCAACAGCCCTCACATTGCAGCCATACTGAACTCAGGTTGGCTCACCCCACTTGCACCACTTCCCTCATCCTCAAGGTCAGATATCCCCCCACCATCTTGTCAAAGATGCCTATGTCTCCTCTTCCATGCAAGTTACTGAAGGGCTTTCCCAGACTCCCCAGGACCCTGTTGGTCGGTCCTTCCCTTCTGTGTGCTCCCACAGCCCTCTGACCATATTCTAGTAGCACTTTCTGGTTGACAGTAATCAATTATTTTATAGGTCCCTCTCTCCCTCGATACACCAGTGTTTTTCAAAATACGTATTATTTTACATCAGTGGATCTCAAAAGCAATTTGGGCACAAGGACCAGGTTTTTAAAAAGAGAATAAACAAGATTTTAAAATATCAGAATCCACTGCATGTAATAAGAGAAAGTAGAGCTTCATGAAACTTTTGTCTCAAATAGATCATTAGAAAGATGGATGACAGATGCCGGGCGCCGTGGCTCATGCCTGTAATCCCAGCACTTTGGGAGGCCGAGGCGGGCAGATCACGAGGTCAGGAGATCGAGACCATCCTGGCTAACACGGTGAAACCCCATCTCTACTAAAAAATACAAAAGTTAGCCGGGCATGGTGGCGGGCACCTGTAGTCCCAGCTACCGGGGAGGCTGAGGCAAGAGAATGGCATGAACCCGGGAGGTGGAGCTTGCACTGAGCCGAGATCGCGCCACTGCACTCCAGCCTGGGCGAAACAGCGAAGACTCCGTCTCAAAAAAAAAAAAAAAAAAAAAAAGAAAAAGAAAAAGAAACATGGATGACAGATAATGAACCCCACAGACCCATGACCAGTTTCAGTATTATCAACTCATGGTCAGTCCTGTTTTGTGTATACCCCACTTACGCCTACATCCCTAGATTTTGAAACAAATCCTGAACTCATCATTTCATTAATAAATGTTTCAATATATAAAAACCTTAAAAAAGAAAGACCTAAAAAAAAAACTGCAATACCATAAAATGTACTTCTTATTGATGGTGGCAGTCAAAAACGTTTGTAAGACTTAGAAGCTCCTAGGGAGAGATGCCACCTCATTTATCTCTGCATTTTCATGCCCTGGCACTCAATAAGTGCTGAGTAATGAAAGGAAGAAGAGGAGAAAGAGAAAGGATAGAAGATAGAAAGGTTGTAAAAGGGAGAAGAAAGAAAGATGATTTCTTCTCTTTTAGCTTTGAATCATCTTGAAGTATTTTCAATCAATTTCTCTAAAGGAAAGAAACACCAATTTAGCTTCCTCATCAATAATTAATTCCTGAATAAGTAAGGTTTCTGTATTTGTTGTTTTCTCTCTGGGATGTCACATATGACTGTACAAGTTGTTCACTGCATAATGGCATCTGGTACTGGCTGAAAGGGCATCCTTTCTTAATAGCACGAAAGTGCCGTATAAGCTAACAGGACATCATTCTCGCTCCCGACTCTAGTGTATTACATATTGCTACCTTGGTCCACTCTGCTGTTTTCTTCCCTTCCTCCTACACTGCCTATGGAGGCTACAAGCAGGAGATTCTTCCTGGGCACCTGGAGGTATCTTCTCAGTAATGCTTATAAAAGGCCATCTTTCTATAGAAAAACTTTGGTATCAGAAGCAGGACCTCTCTCTTAGGAAAAGTCCTGGGCTCTGGGGCTGGCTCTGCCACTTGCTAGTCATAGGACTTTCAGATAGTCTCCCTGTGTTAGTCTGTTCTTCCATTGCTATAAATACCTGAGATTGGGTAATTTACAGAGAAAGGAGATTTAATTGGCTCACAGCTCTGCAGGCTGCACAAGCATGGTGCCAGCATCTGCTCACTTGCCGGGGAGGCCTCAGGGAGCTTTTAGTTATGGTGGAAGGTGAAGCAGAAGCAGGCACATCACATGGCGAAAGCAAAAGCAAGAGGCAGTGGTGGGGAAGGTGCTACACACTTTGAAACAACCAGATCTCATGAGAACTCACTGTTGTGAGGACAGCTCCAAGCCATGAAAGATCCACACCCATGACCCAAACACCTCCCAGCAGGCCCCACCTCCAGCACTGGGGGTTACATTTCAACATGAGATTTGGTGGGGACATATATTCAAACCACATCAATCCCTGAGGCCACATTTCCTTGTATGAAAGTAGAAATAATAGCTCTTCTGTCTCTTTCTAAGAACCCTTACGAGGACCAAAGGAAAAAAAAATGTTTTGGCAATAATAAAGTAGCATAGGGATGTAAGGAATATTTTATTAATGATGTATGGTTATGTCCAGAATGGTAGTTCCTAAACTTCACTGCTGTCTGACGGATTTTCAATTATCCTTCTCCTAAAAATTCTCCATTATAATTCTTCAAAAGCAAAATTTCACAAATCATTGGAAAATATATCTTATATACTGTTTACAGTAGCAAAGTATCCAATGCCAAGAAGCAAATTTAATTAAAGATAGGCAAGACTTTTTACTGAAAACTACAAAACACTAGTGAGAGCAATAAAAGATCTAAATAAATGGAGGATATATACCATGCTGATCAACTGAAAGATTCAATTTTGTTAAAATGTCAATTTTCCCCCAAATTGATGGTGATGGCTGATTTTATGTGTCAACTGGACTGCGCCACAGAGTACCCAGATATTTAGTCAAATATTCTGGGTGTTTCAATGAGGTTGTTTTGGATAAAATTAGCACTGGAATCAGCAGGCTGAGTACAGCAGATTGCCCCCTCTCTAACGGTGGGCCTTATCCAATCGGTTAAAGGCCTGAATACAGTAAAACAGGCTGACCTTCCCACAGGTAAGAGGGAGCTCCTCCTGTCTGACTGCCTTGAGCTGGGGCATTGTTTTTGCTGTTGTTGTTTTGGTTTGGTTTGGTTTTGGGGTTTTTTTCCCCCTGCCTTTGGACTCAAACTGAAAGGCCTTAGGCCAACTGGCATTTGCACTAGAACTACGCCATTGGCTTTCCCTGGTTCTCAGGCCTTTGGACTCAGACTGGAACTGCACCATTGCTGCTCCTGGGCCTCCACCTTGCCAGTCGCAGATCTTGGTAATTGTCAGTTTCCATAATTGCATAAGCCATTGTTTTATTTCTCTTACTAATGTTTTATATTCTTCAGTAAAATGTCTTGCCTATCTTTAATTAAACTTGCTTCTTGCATTTGATATTTTGCTACCGTAAATAGTATACAAAATATACTTTCTAATAATTTGTGAACCTGTGCTTTTAAAGAATTATAATGGAGAATTTTCTGGGTAAGGGTAATTATGCACACACACATACATGCTATTGATTCAGAATCATCTGAATCAAGGGACATTTCAGAACCCTTTCTGCTGATACGCCCAGAGTTGAGATTTTACCCAGAAACAGAAACAGACAAATCACACAACTTTCCTCACCCCAAATCCTAAGCAAAGGTAATTGGCACAGACAGGAATTGATGAGATGTTGGCAGAGAGGAGATGCTTAGCGGCAAGAAAGCCACAATGAACCTCCCAGCCAATGCCTCACAGAGTGCAAGGCCATGTAAAAAATGAGGGAAAGAAGTCCTTGGCATTTTCCAGACATAATGACTACATTGACTTTTCCTGAGGGAAAGTTGGACAGACCAGGGAGAGGAATGAGCTGTGCTCAAGGGTCTTTTGGGTCATTTCTTTGCATTTCCTAAAGAATATGTTTTTTACCTTATCATGTAGACAACTTTGATCTGTGCTGCTGAGCATAAAGAAACATTTGATAGCTTCCATAAACCTGACAGTTTGACACTAAGTGTGGGAGGGAAATCACTAAACTAATAAGTATATGAAATATCATCCCTTCTTTGTGGAATTATGAGCTCATTCATCTCCAAAACAAAATTACATTAAAAGCTTCAGACACACGAAAATGTTGATTTGCCTCCCATTTGTTTCAAGATGGCCTTAAACCTAGAATGTGGACTTAAAAATACACCATAACAGAAAATATGGTCAGATCTAACAGCTAATTACAACACCAATATAAGGCAACAAAGCTCTCTCTTTGGTAGAGTAGAAAATAAAGCTAAAAACATTGTTTGTTTGTTTTGTTTTTGGGTTTTTTTTTTTTTTTTGAGACAAAGTCTCACTCTGTTGTCCAGGCTGGAGTGCAGTGGCGTGATCTCGGCTCACTGCAACCTCCGCCTCCCGGGTTCAAGCAATTCTCCTGCCTCAGCCTCCTGAGTAGCTGGGATTACAGGCGCGCGCCACCACACCCGGCTAATTTTTGTATTTTTAGTAGAGACGGGGTTTCACCATGTTGACCAGGCTGGTCTCAAACTCCTGACCTCGTGATCTGCCCGCCTGGGCCTCCCAAAGTGCTGAGATTACAGGAGTGAGCCACTGAGCCCGGCCGTTTGTTTGTTTTTCATTACATATATGGTGGGCCCTTTATGTGCAGGACACTGTGTGAAATGCATTTTCTCACTTAAACCCCTAACATGATGCTGAAGTAGATGCCATAATCCCATTTTACAGATGAAGCTGAAGTCCAGAAAGGTCAGCCATTTGACCAAAGTGGGCCTCCAGAAAGCAATGGAAGTGAGATCCAAACCCAGGTTTACAACAGTTATTGAGCACTACTTATGTGCCAGGCACTGATCTCAGCACTTTTCAAGTATTAACAGATTTAATCCCCACTGCAATATTACAGGGAGACATTGCTGTCACCTGATTTTAGATGAAGAAATGAGGCAGAGAAAGGTAAAATAATTTGTCCAAAGTCACACATCCCTCTGATTCAATGCCTGAGACAGATCTATGTGCAGTGGAGGGTATGGAAAGTGACATGCAGGTCATCCCTTTCCTCGGGCTGTGGACATTTCAGAATGTCCAGGGTTCGGGTAGGAACACTGAGTTCTACCTCGCTTCTGTGCCACTGTGGGAAGTTGAGGCCAAACTTAGTGAAGCCACATGGCCAGCTTGAAACCTGTGGGTCTTCGGGTTTGGCTCTCACCATTCATCTGCAAAGAAAAGCTGTGTAACCCACCTTCTCCCGAGGAAGGCACCTTTCTGCCAACAATGGCCTCACCTGACACTCTGGTCAGTTACACAAGCACTGTTCTAAAAAGCATCTGGGGAAGTACGCACAAATGCATGGCCCATTTCTACTCCAGTTAAATTTAGCAAAACTTTGAGTAAATTTTCACACCCAATGCTGGTGATTAATAGCAAAACAGTTGTGCTCATGTATCACTCATGGCTGGGAAAACAGAAGTGAAACCTTACGAAAATACCTCAGAACAACCAACAATAGTTGAAAAACAGAAAAGAAACATAAATGTGTGGGTGCCTACTGTAGCATCAAATGTAATGCTGAGAAAATTTGGAACAACCTAAATATCTAGCCATAGGAACAAGCAAAATTGTGATCCAGAAGTCCATCGATTGCCTATGAAGCCATTAACAAAAGACATGCACTATAAAGATGAAAAACAATGTTTATAGAAACAAAATAAACTTTTTTTTGAGCCAGAGTCTCGATCTTGTCACCCAGGCTGGAGTGCAATGGCAAAATCTTGGCTCACTGCCACCTCGGCCTCCCGGGTTCAAGCGATTCTCCTGCCTCAGCCTCCCGAGTAGCTGGGATTACGGGCACCTCCACCAAGCCTAGCTAATTTTTTTTTTTTTTTTTTGTATTTTTAGTAGAGATGGGGTTTCACCATGTTGGCCAGGCTGGTCTCGAACTCCTAACCTCAGGTGATCCACCCACCTCAGCCTCCCAAAGTGCTGAGATTACAGACGTGAGCCACCACATCCGGCCCAAAATAAACTTTTGGTCAACACTAAAATTGTAATTCTATTAAAAGCTTGCTTTGCAAACAGACTATGATTACAAGTGACCATTGTTACAAGTGAACAGTAATGTGTCAGGAGGCAGGATACATTTTAAAAATGTATCTTGGCTGGGCACCATGACTCATGCTTATGAATCCCATCACTTTGAGAGGCCAAGGCAGGAAGAATGCTGGAGGCCAGAGGTTCAAGATCCGTCTGGCCAACATACTCTACAAAAATGTTCTTAAAATAGCTCAGTGTGATAGTGCACGCCTATAGTCCCAGCTACTCAGGAGGCTGAGACAGGAGGATCCCAAGCCCACAAGTTCAAGGCTGCAGTGAACTACAATAGCCACTCCAGCCTGGGCAACAGAGGAGGACTCTGTCTCTAAAAAAAATATAAATAAATAAAAGTGTATCTTTACTGCTGTCATAATGTTTGTGAGTAAAACAAGAAAAACAAGTTTAGCACCAAGTTTGTTGCCCCCAGAGCACGCACATGGCCCTCCTACTCCACTTACCCTCCATTAGAATATAGTAGTCTTGGCTGGACACGGTGGCTCATGACTGTAATCCCAGTGCTTTAGGAGGCCAAGACGGGAGGATCATGAGGTCAGGAGATCGAGACCATCCTGGCTAACACGGTGAAACCCCATCTCTACTAAAAATACAAAATTAGCCAGGCGCAGTGGTGCACTCCTGTAGTCCCAGCTACTCGGGAGGCTGAGGCAGGAGAATGGCCTGAACCAGGGAGGCGGAGCTTGCAGTGAGCCGAGATCGTGCCACTGCACTCCAGTCTGGGCTACGGAGTGAGACTCCGTCTCAAAAAAAAAAAAAAAAGAGATTATAGTAGTCTTCCTTCAAGGCGACAAATCCGGGCCTACTTCTTCCCCGGATGTCTTGCCTTAGCATAGGGGACAGAAACACATTTATTCAGCACCCATAATGGCCTGGCCCTGACATAGCTGAGCTGTTCCTATGCATTATCACCTTGAATGACACACACCTTCTACGAGGCGAGTGGTGTTAATGGTCCCACGGCCCTAGACAGAGGCTTACCGCCTAGTGAAAGGATTCCCTTAACTTTCGCATATGCATTTAAAAAGGAGGATTCCCTTTACTTCCCCAGGGCCAGCTGCCTCCACAAGAGCAAGTTTAACAATGGTTTGGAAATAAGATACCCCTGCATTGCCCCCGGGCCCCCTTCCTGGTCGGCTGGCAGTTGGCCACAGTGGGAAGAGGAGGGAGAGGCCAGGATCCAGTTCTGTTGCTTTCCAGCTTCGTGCCCCCCAGGCAAGTTACCTAACCTCTCTGGGCTTCATTTCCTCAACCATTAGATAGTTCTGTAATAAACTTTTCACGTGATTATTGAACTATATGAAATAATATACGTAAAATGCTTAGAACTGGGCTCCACAATGCAACAGCCACTAGCCAGATGTGGCTAGGCCAGATGAGACGTGCTGTAAGTGTAAAAATACACACTGAAGATTTCTTATGGAAAAAGGAATGTAGAAAGTATGATTCGTAATTTTATATTGATTACATGAGAAAGTAAGAGTATTTTGAATATATTGAGTTAAATAAAATACAGTTGATCCTTAAACAGCACAGTTCCATTTATATGCAGATTTTTTCAATAAAAGTTACACTAAGTGTGCCTGTCTCTCCTGCCTCCCCCTCGCCCTCCTTCTACCTCTGCCATTCCTGAAACAAACCCAATCCCTCCTCTTCCTCCTCCTCAGCCTGCTCAATGTGAAGATGATGAGGATGAAGACCTTTATGAGGATCCACTTCCACTTACTAAATAATAAATACATTTTCTCTTTCTTATGATTTTCCTAACATTCTTTTCCCTAGCTTACTTTATTACAAGAATACAGTATATAAAACACATAACATATAAAATATGTGTTCATCAGTTTTTTATGTTATCAGTAAGGCTTCTGGTTAACAGGATATTCGTATTAAGTTTAGGGACCGTCAAAAGTTATACGTGGATTTTCTTTCTTTTTCTTATTTTTCAGAGTCTACTTTCAGAAAATATACATGGACTTTCAACTGCACAGGGAGCTAGTGCCCTTAACCCCTGTGTAGTTCTATGTTGTTTAAATTAATTTCATCTGTTTCTTTTTACTTCCCGTATTTTTTAAACAATTAAATTTTATAAAAATAACAATAGAGACAGGGTGTTGCCCAGGCTGGTCTCTAACTCCTGGGCTCAAGTGATCCTCCTGCCTCAGCTTCCCAAAGTGCTGGAATTATAGGCACGAGCCACCATGCCCGGCCTCTTTTTGCTTTTTTAATGTGTCTATTACAAATCTGAAAACTACGTATGCAGCCCACACTTGTGGCTTGCTTTCTATTTCCATTAGATAGCACTGGCTGAGAACACAGTTCTGCACAATGTTAGTTCTTTATTTCTCCGTCCCCACTCACCAGTCAGCATTGTCTCAATATGGTCAGCACTGTCTAAAATCTTTTTTTTTTTTTCTTTTTGAGACAGAGTCTCACTCTGTCCTAGGCTGGAGCGCAATGATTCCGTTGCGGCTCACTGCAGCCTCGATCTCGCAGGCTCAAGTGATCCTCTCGCCTCAGCCTCCTGAGTAGCCGTGACTACTGGTGTGTGCTACCACACCTGGCTATTTTTTTTTATTTTTTGTAAAGACAGGGTCTTACTATGTTGCCCAGGCTGGGCTCAAACTCCTGGACTCAAGCAATCCTCCCACCTCAGCCTCTCAAAATGTTGGGAGGCATGAGCCACCGTGGCCAGCATAAAACCCTTAATCTTTAGGCTGGGTGAGTTCCTTCTCCTTTCCAGGCCTCAGTTTACCATCCTGAGACAGATGATGAAGAGCAGAATAGGAACTAGGCTTAGAAGACTGGGCTCCAGCCCTGATTCCACCATTACTAACTAGATGACCTTTAGCATGTCATTTCATCCCTCTGAGTGACAGTTTTGTCACTTACAAAACAGGGGGTGACACCCTGGTCATTGCATGAGATAACACGTATGACAGTGCTTGATAAATGCAAAGGACTATAGAGGTCAGGAGGAAGTAGCGTAACGTGCCCAGTGAGGAGGTTGGGCAGTCCTGCCTGCCTCCTCTGATAGTCCATGCCTCCCATATTATATTATTACTTAACTATTTTCCATGTCTCATGTCTCTAAAAACAAATCTCCCCAAGAATACATTTCTTCCTTCCCACCTGCCCGCCTCCAACACAGCCAAAGCACAGTGTACAGACAGAACCCCTCAAACCACCACACAGACCAAGTGTGCTGTGTGAGGTGGTCATGAACAAGCTCAAAGTGGAGATGGCCTTGGAAACAAACTGGCAATACAAGGTGGAAAGTGCAGGATACCAGTGTAGCAGGGACCCAAGCAGAGAGGGGCAAGAAGCGGGGGACACGTATGTAGTGGCCAACAGGAAGGACTCTAGAGTGCAGACATTTGCAAAACAGGAGAGCAGAAAGGTGTGCATGAGCCTGGAATTCTATAGCACGTCATGCAAAGAAAACATCAGGGTATGATGTACAGTGGGCCACCTATGAGATGAGCCCTGTCACCAGAGATACCTGGTTGGTAGGTCCTTCCACAGATGGAACGTCGTTGCCTTCTTGCCTTTGCTACTTCAGGTTCTCCAGCTCACCCATGATCCACTCAAGCAGGTGTGCCGTAAGTTCTTGGAGCTTAAGTACCACCTGCAGCAAATGCGTAACCCTCCGCTATTTGCACAGAGGCTTGTGAGAGAAGAAGCTCCTGTCTCACAGTATGCTGTTCCTATTTTTAGCCAGGAAACAACTCCTAACCACCTACACTCTATCTACCCCCTTCCAAGGCCACAAAGCATGAAAAGCACAAAGCTATGCCATCATGTAGGTAACAGAGCAGGCTTTTCTACATCATAACATGTTTCTTCCTAATTCCAAAATAAGATCCGGATTATTTCTAGTTAAGCTAAGCTGCAAACTCTTACTGTATCAAAAACACAATTGTCTATCTGAGTGGCCCAGGAAAAGCAAATACACAGAGTTTCTTGGGTGAAGATCTGAAGTCAAGGCTTCTACAGCTGACTAGTCCTTCAAATATTACTGCTATTCAATATACTGGTCCTTCAAATAGACTCTGTATTCAAATATTTAAAGAGAATAAAAGAATCTCAAATATCATATTTTTATTTAAAAAGACAAATGATCAGGAAGCAGGTGTTTGTGAGAGGAATGGTACATGCGATGGGAGTAAACACGCACCGATAATATGGCCACTGCACCTGTGGGCCTGTGTCTACCTATACAGAGACAGGGCAGCCACACACCTCACCCAAAGATTATATTTCAAATCAGTGTCCCCGCCCGTGGGAAGTTATTGATTAAAAGCATTTATTAAACAATCTTTTTTTTTTCTCAAGACAGAGTCTCAATCTGTCACCCAAGCTGGAGCACAGTGGCACAATCTCGGCTCACTGCAGCCTCTGCCTCCCGGGCTCAAGCTATTCTCCTGCCTCAGCCTCCCCAGTAGCTGGGATTACAGGCATAAGCCACCATACCCGGCTAATTTTTGTATGTTTAGTAGAGATGGGGTCTCGCCATGTTGGCCAGGTTGGTCTCGAACTCCTGACCTCAGGTGATCCACCCACCTCAGCCTCCCAAAGTGCTAGGATTACAGGAGTGAGCCGCCACCATGCACAGCCTGCATTTTAACAATTTCTTTATTTTTTTTTTATTTTATTATTATTTTTTTTTTGAGATGGTGTCTCACTCTGTCACCCAGGCTGGAGTGCAGTGGCGCAATCTTGGCTCACTGCAAGCTCCACCTCCCGGGTCCAAGCAATTCTCCTGCCTCAGCCTCCCAAGTAGCTGGGACCACAGGTACATGCCACCACACCCAGCTAATTTTTGATTTTTAGTAGAGTCGGGGCTTCACCATGTTGGCCAGGATGGTCTCAATCTCCTGACCTCATGATCCGCCTTCCTAGGCCTCCCAAAGTGCTGGGATTACAGGCGTGAGCCACCATGCCTGGCCCATTTTAACAATCTTAAAGGTCTTATCAATCTATTGCACTTGGATTTTATCTGGATCCTAATTTGAATACACAAACTATTTTAAAACTATACACACCCATATCTATATACATACACTCAAACACTAATATATACACATACACACATATATATATAATAATTGAGGAAAATTGAATATTGACTCCATATCTGGTATTAAGGAATACTTACTTACTTACTTATTTGAATGTGATAATAGTATCTTGTAGTTTTTATTTTTAAAGGGTCTCTTTTTTTTTTGTTTTTGAGAGGGAGTCTCACTCTGCTGCTCAGGCTGGAGTGTGCAGTGGCGTGATCTTGGCTCACTACAACCTCCGCCTCCTGGGTTCAAGCGATTCCCCTGCCTCAGCTTCCTAAGTAGCTGAGATTACAGGCGCCCACCATGCCTGGCTAAATTTTGTGTTTTTAGTAGAAACGGAGTTTCATCATGTTGGCCAGGCTGGTCTCAAACTCCTTGGCCGCCTTGGCCACCCAAAGTGCTGAGATTACAGGTGTGAGTCACTGCGCCCCGGCCTATTTTTAAAGGGTCTCTATCTTTTAAATATACATACTGAAATATCTACAGCAAAAATGAAAAAATAAACAGCTGAATTTGAAGTCAGTTAAAATAACATCTTATTTTGTATGACTATTCATGTGCAGTAAATGAAAGTTAAACAAACAAAAAGTCCCCCCACTTTGAATCACCTATGAAATACAGAATATATGGTCTGTTTATACAGCCCTGAACACTCATATAAAATTCACTCAGTGAATCTAACACAGCTGTGTTAGACTCCAGCCCTGAAAGGGATCAGGATGTGCACCAGAAGAAGTAATTGTCTTCAGTTTACTACCATGTTACACTAAAAAGACAAACATTTAAATACTGGGATCACACCTGGACCAACAAGCTGCTCACCCTACAGAGACTGAGAGAACTCGAATTCATGTCTCCCCACCTGCACTTGTGGGCTTTCAGCTGATCAAGAGGCTGTCAGAACTGTGGGCATTATTTCAATTACTCTCTCTTTCTCTCTCAATCTCTCCACTTTAAAAAAGTTGCTGAGTAGAGCTGAATCGACATATTTTTCTCCTCCAAGGTGAAGCTGTACTAGGCTTCTACTAGTTGATATTTAAGGATTGAAGACAATCTCATCCCAACACATAGAAATATGTGGAAGGCAAGGAGCCTGCCGAGTGCTTCAGGCCACAGAGACCCTCTCTGATGACGAAGTAGAGCCATGTCTACCTACATGCAGCAGCAGAGAGCCCACCATTCAATTGTTATTATGATGATGATTATTATCATTATCATCATTGTTATAAGTATCGCTTACATAACGTAATGTGCTAGGTTTTCTCTTTTATTGTAAATCTTCTGAGTAATGCTGTGGGTTGATTATTTTACAGGTGAAGAGGCTGAAGCTCAGAGGAATCAAATGATTTTCGAAAGACCACACAGCTAGAAAGTGACAAAACCAAAATTCAAATCTAGTTTCCCAGGCCCACCCTTTTCTTTTCTAGCATGCTGCTACTCCTGGTTGGAAAGAAGGGCTTTAAGGCACAGTTATTTACCTAGGCCTCTTAGTTTTCTAAAACATATAAATAAATAAATAAATAAATAAATAAATAAATAAATAAATAAATAAAACTCTGTCAAGTTATCTAACTGAGAAGCAGAGAAAAACTGCACCCCGTGATGCCAAGGGGTAGCTTCTGCAAATCTGCACCTCTGTTTAGTTTTGCTTCCAGCTTCTCTGGCCACCATTATGTCTTCCATCTCGCTAACACGCTTGAGAGAACAGGACAAGACATGCTTGACTTTTTTGTTTAGAATGAAAGACGTACAGGTGACCCTATGCCAAAAACGGGAAATCTTAACTCCATCGGGTCATTCTGGCCACTTAAGAACCAGACTGGATGTTTCTGAGAGTGAACTATCAAAGCATGTGCTCAGCCCAAGGGCCACCAAACAGGGCCCACCAGCAGTGTGCCCTCGAATTAGATTCCTTTAAGAACTTGTTATTTCAACTCCCCATGCAGGTGTTTATCGAGTACCTGCAAAGGCAGCCCCCACCCGAAGCTAAACGCACTAGGGACACAAACACTCAAGTCAGAGTTGCAGCCCACAGCTATGGCCAGGAGACAGAGGAGGGGAGTGATGGGAGGGAGCGGGGAACAGCTGTCCTCTGTCACAGGATCTAGCTGCCGTCAATCCAGGAAGAACTGCACGGGACAGGCAGTGTTAGGCAAGTTAGTAAACAGTTTGCCTCATAAACACTGACCAGCAGTGGAAAATATCTGACCTAGATAGATAGTGGACTGTGAGCACCTTAGGGGCAAGGACCACGTCTAATTTGCTTTTCTGTTCTCAAAAAAGTAGGCCTCAAATATTTGTTGTTGTTGTTTTTGAGACAGAGTCTCACTCTGTTGCCCAAGCTAGCGTACAGTGGTGAGATCTCAGCTCACTGCAACCTCTGCCTCCCAGGTTCAAGCGATTCTCCTGCCTCAGCCTCCGAGTAGCTGAGATTATGGGTGCCCGCCACCACATGCAGCTAATTTTTTTTGTATTTTTAGTAGAGACGGGGTTTCACCATGTTGGCCAGGCTGGTCTTGAACTCCTGACCTCAGATGATCCACCCGCCTTGGCCTCCCAAAGTGCTGGGATTACAGGCGGGAGCCACCGCGCCCGGCCATGTTTTATTTATTTATTTATTTATTTTTTAAGGTCATGATTGTATTAGTCCATTCTCACACTTCTGTGTGAGAACTGCCGGAGACTGGGTAATTTATAAAGGAAAGAGTTTTAATTGACTTGCAGTTCCACATGGCTTGGGAGGCCTCAGGAAACTTACAATCATGGTGCAAGGCAAAGGGGAAGCAAGGCACCTTCCTCACAAGGCAGCAGGAGGAAGTACCAAACACTTAAAATACCATCAGATCTTGTGAGAACTCACTCACTATCATGAGAACAGCATGGGGGAAACAGCCCCCATGATTCAATTCCCTCCACCTGGTCTCTCCCTTGACATATGGGGATTACAATTCAAGATGAGATTCTGGGTGGGACACAGCCAAACCATATCAATGGTCATGTACTACATTTAGAATTTTGGAAGGTATTTATGGCGGGATACTGAAACTGTTTTCACGTACCACAGCAGAGTCTGAAGGGCTCAGTTTGAAGAACTGGATTCCCAACCTCAGGATCGATTTGGCCATATGGGAGGTCAGCTGGAGATGAGGGAGACTGAAAATTGGAGATAACCCCAGAGATGACGGGCAGGTTACCCTCTGTCCTCAGATGGGAGGGGAGGTGGCTGGGGAAAGGATTCCAACTCTGAGTTCTATTGTGGGAAGGTGAGCAGAGTCAAGCTCTGTGGCTCAGTGGAACTTATTCCTGCCCACAAGCTCAACATCTCCACCTCTGCCCCCAGCAGTGGAGTTATGACAGCAAAGGAGACAAGGTGAATAGGGATCACCCCAGAGGATCAGTATGGGATGAGGCCAGCCGGTGAATCACCCACGCTCCCAAGGAACCCACGCCACAGGAACACACACCTCCAGGTGAGACTCGGAGAGGCCAGAGGAGATAAACCCTTGGGAGAGTGAGTGAAATGGCCTGTATCAGTCCATCCAGGGAGGAACCAGAGACACCCTTTGACTCAATGTGTGGAAAGAACCAGCAAGTCTGACATAAAAAGTGTATCAAATAAGAGGTCATTTAGTATCAGGAGCCAAAGCCTCCCTGATCCCCAGTGTGAGTTAGGAACCCTTCCCTGTGCTCCCACAGCACCCTGTACAGACCCCAAGACAGCGCCCCTCACAGTTTCTATGTCCGTTTCCTCTATTAGGGCATGACCTTTCAGAGAATTAGCAACCATCCTAGCCTTCTCTGAAGCCCAGGCACCTACCACACCGCTAGGCCCAGGTTAGGTCCTAAGAAATGCCTTTTGTATGCCCTGAACAAATGAATCATGAATGAGGCATCTCTGGGAGAACCACACTCCACCCAAGGGAAAATAAATACCTGGCCTGGCTGAAAAGTCAAATCACAGCAAGTCCAAAAGAAGGCAACTAGCCAGGTGCTATCTGTCTCTCCCACATCATAAAAGAAATGCTTCAGTGGAAAAATCCTGACCACATGAGAAAAAGAAAAAAGTCAGTTAGCTACCACCAAGCACAAAGGGTAGAAGCCTGGCAAGCTGATTCACGCCAATACTGTGAAACCCGGCCCAGCGGTCTGCAGACAGCCTGGAAGCAGGGGTGGAGGAGGTGGGGAGGCGGACAAGCATGAGAGGGAGTGAGGAGAACTTACTGGAACAAGCATCTAGGTCAGCTGCTCCTGGGTAATGCCAGAAGCTGGTTTATATCCTTTTTTTTTTTCTTTTTTGAGATGAAGTTTTGCTCTTGTTGACCAGGCCGGAGCGCAATGGTACGATCTCGGCTCACTGCAACCTCTGCCTCCCGGGTTCAAGCGATTCTCCTGCTTTCTACCTCCTGCTTTATTTTCTTTATTGAAATTTTTTAGAGGAAATCAAAAAAAAAAAAAAAAAGAACATCCTGTAGGAAGGGATTGGTCTAAGAGGGAGGGATGGGAGAAGGCGGCTGGGGTTGAGGTGAGGTAGAGAACTCTCCTCAGCCCCAGCCAAGGAATTCTTCACACCAAGTAGCTACCCACAGATGACTGAATATAGTCATCAAGTCTATCAATAGTCTATGCCTATCATCACAAATATTAACACCATGGACTGAACATGAACACATGCTAGTGCTGTGCTGCTGGGCAGTTTCTCTCGCTCTAATGATCATTAAGAATCTGGCAGGTGGAAATGAGTCACCTGCATTCAATAGATAGAGATGAGAAGCTTTAGGCCAAGCTTGGTGGCTCACACCTGTAATCCCAGCAATTTGGGAGGCCAAGGCGGGCAGATCACTTGAGGTCAGGAGTTCGAGACCAGCCTGGCCAATATGGTGAAACCCTGTCTCTACTGAAAATACAAAAATTAGCCAGGCATGGTGGAATGTGCCTGTAATCCCAGCCACTGGGGAGGCCAAGGCAGGAGAATCGCTTGAACCTGGGAAGCACAGGTTGCAGTGAGCTAAGATCGCACCACTGCACTCCAGCCAGGGCGACAGAGCAAGACGCAGTCAAGAACTAAGCCACTTGCCCAAGGTCATGGAGCTGGTACAGAGCTAGGATTCAAACCAACTCATCTAACTCCAAAGCTTGTGGCTACAGCACCCAGAGGAAAGACTGCCCCTACAGATAAGGGTGGATAAGGAAGGGTTCCTGTGAAGTAAGAGTGTTGACCGGGACCTTGCTGGAGCAGTGCTGGAAGGACATCCAGGAGGTCCACAGGGTCCCTGAGATCCCTTGGGAGAAGACATGCAAAATCAAATGCCCTCAGTTATTCTGCTATTTTTCAAATAGTAAATGCTACCTGGTGGGCACCTTGGAATACTAATTATCTTACATAAACTCAAATTGATATGTTCTCTATGCTGACAGCAAGTCAAATACACAAAGCTTTTAATCATTAGCTTTGCATCCAAAGCTCAAGCTTTCTGCCAGCTCCCACTAGCCTGCCAACAATGTTATCCAGGTTCCCTCGAACATGGTGCATAGGGCTTCATGCTCTGTGAGGTCTAGCAACACACCATCACAGCTAGAAAAGATCTTAGTGGACATCAGCCCAATCCTCTATCTGATGAATAAAAATCCCCCACTCAGTAGCAACAAAAAGTGGCCAGCCAGCATCTACTTCCACATCTGTAATAATGACAACCCTTCTTTCAAGACAGCCTGTCTGCAGAGAGCAAAATATTAATTAAGAAATGTTTTTATACGTTGGACTGAACTCTTCCCCATTCCCCTAAGTATCCATTTCCTGGTTCTAACAAACGTCTGTTCTTTTTTCCAAAAAACAACCTTTTAAGACTATGGCACTCTTCTAAACCTTCTCTTTTTCAAGCTAAATAGTCTCAGTCTTTGAATCATTCTTTAGATAATATGGTTTCTGAATCTCCTAACTTTTCTGTTTATTGTCCTCTGGGCCTATTTCCATTTGCCCCCCTCACTCTTAAAAGAATGACAATAAGCTCAGTTCCAGGTGTGACCCAATTACTGTAAAACAAGAGGAATGACTACACCTCTACGATGCAAATACTGAAAGTTTCTGGTTAGTTTTTAGTAGCTTCATGTTAATGATTCTCACTTAGTTGAAATCAGGTGCACTAGCCTTTTTTTGTTTTGTTTGGTTTGGTTTGGTTTGGTTTTTTGTTTTGACACAGGGTCTGGCTCTGGCTCTGTCGCCCAGGCTGAAGTGCAGTGGTGTGATCTCAGCTCACTGCAACCTCCACCTCTCGGACTCAAGCCATCCTTCCACCTTAGCCTCCCTAGTAGCTGGGAATACAGGCACACACCACCACCTCCAGCTAATTTTTGTAATTTTTGTAGAGATGGGATTTCACTATGTTGCCCAGGCTGGTCTCGAACTTCTGACCTCAAGTGATTCCCCCCACCTCAGCCTCCCAAAGTGCTGGGATTACAGAGTGTGAGCAACTGATAACCTCACTAACTTTTCTTACAAGTCCTAATCCTTAACCCCACCACCACCCGCCCCCACCACCACCCCCCCACCCCAAAACACACACACAGCCTGGCTTAACCATTGGTATTTGGAGCCTACAGCTAGGTCTTTACATTTATATTGGTGCAGCCTGTCTTTCCTCACTCAGTCCTTCCTGTAAGCTGTTAAATTTATAGGGAATCTCGATTCTGGCATATACAATAGCTTCTACCCCTCTCAGCTTCAAATTTTCCGTCAGTGTGATCAACAAGCCCTTTATGTGTTAATCTAAATCACAGGTTAGAGCTGAGGAAGCATTATCCCCATGACCAACACAAATTAGCACCCGTTAGAGACACTTCCAGAAGCCCTACGTGTAAACCAACTGAACCATCATCCAGTCCACATTTACCATGTCGTCTATGAGAACAGAAATCCTGTTACTGAGGATACAAAGATGTTCACTGTCTAATCGAAGAGTTTTAAGTTAATTACCACCACAACCAATGTCAATTAAAGTGTATGCTTCTGTATCATACAAAAATGCCTGACCACTGAGGAGATACTTGGGATGGTCTTTAACATATAGGCTATATGGCCATATATAAATTTTACTGTGCCGACACCACAAACAGGAACTAAAGCAGAGGTATGAGAAGCTAGGCATGACTGCCAACTGGAAAAGAGGTTACCTTACACCATGGGATATTATGCATACAGAAAAACTAAAGTGCTTTTAAATACGAGCCCCAATAACTCTGTGTCTCAAGTTCTAGCATAAGAAGCAGCAGCAGAAACATATTTATTTAATGATAATAATAATTCCCTTAAATATCATAGTTATCACTTGTTGAGTACTACCATGTGCTATGCATTTTCCATAGGTCAACTCAGTTACTGCCTGATACAGTTGGTTTATAATTATTCCTTTTGAAAATTTAAATTTTATTTCTCTCCCCCTAGGTTTCTCCCATCTCCGTAAGATCTTGAGGACCTTCAACAGCACTTCAGCAAAAAACATTTTCAGGTTTCCTCAGGTAATTCGTTCAACCAACCAACCATCCCTTAGATAAATAAATATTTCTCAAATTCTCCTAAGAATAAGACACTATGCTGGGTGCTGGGGAATCTGGCTGACTTTAAGCAACTACATTTCTTGGCTTTATTTCTTGTGGGCCGTGGGCTTCAATTTTCTCCCCCAAAGGCTTGTTGTATCCTCTCTCCCCATTGTTAGCTGTGGACCTTGGGTAGGTTACCTAAAACACTGATGTAATACCCTTCACTGGATAAGGAAGGTGGTAAGGTATGTATGTGCCTAGCGTAGTTCCAGGGACATAAGATACTTACTAACCTTAGGGGCTTTTCTTTCTTCTTTCTTTCTTCCTTTCTTTCCTTTCTTCCTTCCTTCCTTGCTTTCTTTCCTTTTCTTTCCTTCCCTCCCTCCCTCCCTCCCTGTCTCTCTTTCTCTTTCTTCCTCCCTCCCTCCCTTCCTTCTTTCTTTCCTTCCTTTCCTATGCAGTCTGCCTGACTTCTCTCAGAAATGGTAAGAGTAAAATAGAAGTTGATTGTTCTGTTTTCCCCCAGGACATCTGTGAACATTACATCATTTGCCACCATTAGGGAACTAAGCCTGTATTCACTGTATATCACTTTTTTTTAAAAGGAAAGAAAGAAAACCTTTGGTTCTGAGTATGTTTAGCAAGTCATGGTTCCTTGTTTTTCTTTTTCTCCTGACACTATTCTTTCTATAAAATCCAAAGGAAATGACCTTAGATCATTTAAATTCAAGTTTCAGAGAGGTGGCTCGACTTGCTATAAGATGCATCTGATTTGACATCAGGTTCTTCTGATCGCAAGTCTGGGGTCTTTCCGCCTCATTTGGCCAACTCTCTTGTCCCCTTGCTTCCCCAGACTCACCGTGATATTCCTTTACCTCCATCCAGAACTCAGATAACGTGTCACTCTAGTCACCCTGAAGATTTGCCTCTTGAAAACATAATCGCCGTGCAGTAAAGAGGAGACCAAAATAGAACCACATACAGCTGCCGAAAAGTGCTGAAGAATATGGCGCTAAGGAGAGAAAGACACCACTAGCCAAAGGCAAGTGGATCAAAAAGCAACCCCCTACATTGGACATTCTTGTTATTTTGTTGTGGTGGTGGTGGTGGTGGTGGTGGTCATTGTTGCTGTTGTTGATACAGGGACCTGTCTAAATTCTATAGTATTTAATACTGTATTCAACAAATATTTACTGTTGAATATTTATTGAATACAATATTCAACACTATGTGCCAGGCATGATAGAGGCCTGGACTGAGTAGCGACTCTTTGGTATGAACCAGATATAACTTGCACGATGTTTCACAAGCTGGTTTGGATGTTATTAGCTTAGTGTGTCATTTACCCCATCCCTACTCACACCCGAAACATGATATTTTGTGGAGCTAAAAAAAAATACCTCAAACAAATCACTTCCTCAAACGGCAACCTAATCTCTGCTTCCTTATGGCGGGGTCTCTTGACTTGCTTACACTTCCCCACTTTCTACTGGTTCCTCAAATAACTGAAGTCGGTTCACATCATTCCACTGAAACTGCCTTTCTAATTGCAAAATCTAAAGAGTCCTTTCCAATACTTATTTCAAACAGGCGTCTCTGGGTCTTTTTCAAACTCCCTCCCACTAATGCCTTTCAGGCATCCTCCCCAGCTTAGCCTCCCCTGGGACCAGCTTCCTGCCAGTCCTGAAATGCCCACATACACGGGGAAGATTCCTGCTTCCACATGACCAGCCCCCAGTGACATCTCCCTCAGACTCCAGACCTCGTCTTTTTTTCTTTTTCTTTTTTCTTTTTTTTTTTTTGAGACAGGGTCTCACTCTGCCACCCAGGCTGGAGCGCAGTGGCGCAATCTCGGCTCACTGCAACGTCCACCTCTGAGGCTCAAGCAATCGTCCCTCCTCAGCTTCCTGAGTAGCTGGGACTATAGGCATGCTCCACCAGGACCAGCTAATTTTTTTTTTTTTTTTTTACTTTTTGAAGAGACGGGGTTTCGCCATGTTTCCCAGGCTAATCTCGAACTTCTGAGCTCAAGATGCACCCACCTTGACTTCCCAAAGTGCTGGGAGTGCCTAGCCTCAGATCATATCCTTTCAAAAACTTTTAGAGACCTGCACAAAAGCTTTATATTCTACGCTTACTCACTTTAAAAAAAAATGTATTAAACATTTGCTAAGTGCTAAGTATAATTCTTAGTGCATAGGATACTACAGTGAATAACCCAGATGAAGATCAACACCCTTAGAGTTTTACATACTAGCAGAGGGAGACACTAAGAGCCGTAAATATAACAAATTAAAAAAATTATTTGGTATCTTAAAAGATGCTAAGTGCTTAGAGAACAAAGTAGAGTACAAGAAAGGGGGGATAGGGCCAGGCTCAGTGGCTCACGTCTGCAATCCCAACACTTTGGGAGGCTGAGGTGGGCGGATCACTTGAGGTCAGGAGTTCGAGACCAGCCTGACCAACAAGGTGAAACCCTATCTCTACTAAAAATACAAAAATTAGCCATGTGTCATGGTGGGCACCTGTAATCCCAGCTGCTCAGGAGGCTGAGGCAGGAGAATCACTTGAATCCAGGAGGTGGAGGTTGCAGTGAGCCGAGAACGTGCCACTGCACTTCAGCCTGGGTGACAGAGCGAGACCCTATCTCAGAAAGAAAGAAAAGAGAGAGACAGAGAAAGAGAGAAAGAAAGGACGGAAGGAAGGACGGAAGGAAGGAAGGAAGGAAGGAGGGAGGGAGGGAGGGAGGGAAGGAAGGAAGGAAGGAAGGATGGAAGGAAGGAAGGAAGGGAGGAAGGGAAGGAAGGAAGGAGGGAGGGAGGGAGGGAGGGAGGGAAGGAAGGAAGGAAGGGAGGAAGGGAAGGAAAGAAAGGGGAGATCGGAAGTACTGGGTTGAGGTAGGTTTCCATTTTCCAAAGGGCAGTCAGAGGAGAACTCACTGAGAAGGGGACATTTGAACAAAGAGTTGCAGATAGTGGAGGAATGAGTCCCACAATATCTGGGGAAGCGTGTTTGCGGCAAGGCTCAAGGCAGGAGTGCACTGGTGTGCACTGGTTGGAAGGAAAGGATCAAGGAAGAGGGTACATGGAGACGGGGTCCGGGAGGAACAAACAACGATGTCGGGGAGGTGGAGGAGTCTGGGCAGGGCCTTTGAGGTCTTGGCAAGAACTCTGGCTTTTAGCAAATAAAATAGGAGCTGCTGCAGGAGGCTGAGCAGAGGAACAACCAGATCTGACTTAATATGCCAGAATTGCTCAGGCTGCCATGTGGGAACAGGAATAGGGGGCAGGGATAGTAGTAAGGAGACAGCAGCAGTCCCAGTGAGCGATGCTCATGGCTTAGACCAGCTGGTTGCAGTGGAGGCAGAGAAGTGGGTATATTTTAGACGTGCTTTGAAAATCATGCCCGATATTTTAGATGTGAGTGTGAGAGAGAGAAGAGTCAAGGATGATTCCAAGGGTTGGAGCCCAAGCAACTAGACGGATGGTGCTACTTTAATGGAAAAAGAGGAGACAAAGGAAGAGCAGACCTGGGGGCAGAGGAAATCTGGAGTTCAGCTTTGGATATTCTGAGTTTGAGATGAGACTGTCAAACAGAGCGTAAAGTAGGAAGCCTGATAGGAAAGTCTAGAGGTCAGGGAGAAGGTGTGAGCTGGAGATCCATATTTGGGAGTTATCAGCATGAGAGCTTTTCGGATGTTCTTGATCAGCTAGTGGAATTTTTCTCCACCCAGCTGCATGACTGTTTACTCTGGAGCAAGGATTCCTGGGCGTAAACCTAACTCCTCCACTCCTCAAAGGTCTGATCTTGGACAGGCTACTCAACTGCTCTCAGTGTCTGTATCCCCAAAAGTGCCTACTTCTTTTATTATGAGGAAAAAATGAGGCAATTCGTGTTAATTACCTTGCACATAGTAATAAGCACTCCCTATATAATAACCATTATAATCCCCTCCCTTCCTCTCTCCACCTCTTACTACCTTGCTAAGCTTGGTATCTTCAACTTCCCTTTTTTCTCACCTCATATTCAACTCATCCCTCACCCTGAGTGCCCCTGGATCACTGTCCACGCCAGTGCCTCACTGCCCCTAGAGCAATCCTATAAACAGTGTTGATTCCAACTGAATAGGTCGCAAGCTTCTATTTTCTACTCTCAGAATATTTCTTAAATCTGCCTCCCTCTCTTTGTTTTCTCATTATTTCCCATCTGAGTTCCCAATAAGTTTTACTTAAATCTCAATTATATTCTAATCAAATTAAAATGTCATTTTAATGTGCCTACATGTCTGTCTTCCCTTAAAACCGTAAGCATTTCAACTGCCAAGTAATAATTATCACTGTATCCCTAGCACCTTTATGTCCAGTGCCCAAACCGTGGTAACTATCCAGTAAATATTTGGTGAATGAATGGAAACATTTTATTGGCTAATTATTACCTGCTAGACACTCTGTGAAATTAAAATACAACCATCACTACCATATAAACTACAATTCCTGCCCACAAAGAGTTTTGAGAGACAAACTTAGCGTACCTGAGACAGAAAACAAAGCAGCCAAATAAATGTAATTAGATTACTATTAAAAAGAGAGAATTGGGGCTGGGCGCGGTGGCTCATGCCTGTAATCCCAGCACTTCGGGAGGACGAGGTGGCTGGATCACCTGAGGTCAGGAGTTCAAGACCAGCCTGGCCAAAATGGTGAAACCCCGTCTCTACTAAAAATAAAAAAATTAGCTGGGCATGGTGGCGGGCGACTGTAATCCCAGCTACTTGGGAGGCTGAAGCAGGAGAAACACTTGAACCCGGGTAGCGGAGATTGCAGTGAGCCGAGATCACACCATTGCACTGCAGCCTGGGCAACAAGAGCGAAACTCCTTCTCGAAGAAATAAGACAGAGAGAATTACACACAGACACTTTTCAATTTACGATGTGATGCCATTATATCTGGATAAACCCATCCTAGTTAAACTTAGGGTATGTTCCCTTTGGTCTCAAGCTCAAGGTTGATTAAATGATACACGGTACATGCTCCCTTCCTCTCACTTCCTGTACTCAGTTGTCATCGCTCCTCAAAAGTAGTCAAATTCCTGGCCCTCAATATCTTTGCCATACTGCCCCATAGTTGAAGATACATATTCCCCCTAACTGTCTGCCATGATTCTTGGCATTACTGGGTCTTCACTGAGAGTCACGAGCAACCAACAATCTATCTTACTAAGAAATGACTTGACTAAGGTCATGCTTATCCACATGGAAAAAGGTTAGGAATGATGTGATGTTAGATGGGAATGTAGGGATCTGCCACCCTTTGATGCAATTTGTACATAGCTTTGCTCTGTATCACCAGTCAGGGTAACCAATCTCTAAATTTCTTCCTCACCAAAAAAGGAAGGACTTCCTATTATTCTAATGAGGCAAAATGGTATAAGCATAATAAGTGTTCATTTGTGAGCTACACAGACCTAGGTTTGAAGTCCAACTCCACTGCTAACCTAGGGAAATCTAGTTGAATTTTCTAGGCCCGTTTATTCATTTGTGAAACAATACCAGTGTGACCTGTATCATAGCGTGACTGCTATCATAGAGTTGTTAGGAGAATTAAATGAGAAAATAGATGTAAAGCACCCAGCACACAATCACTGTGCACAGTGGCAGCTATTATTATGGATTCTAACTCCCAGATAATCATGGGTCTTAGTAAAGGAGGTATTCAAGGGTGGTCATTCAGAGGGTTTCCTTCAGCTTTAAGCAGTGTTTTATAAAGTGCTCTTAGTCTGTAAGAAAGCTTCTGCTGAGTTTTGTCATCAAAGCTGAGGTTGGAAATAGGTCAATGGACCAGGATAAGGGTTGAGTCTTTCTCCCAGCTCTGATGGAACAATATTTCCTGACTGCCTTCAGTAATTTATATGCCCAAAAATGGACCTTGAGAATTCAAAAATAAGATAAGACTTGGAATGCTAATAAGAGATAACAAGACATCATCAGTCTCCCTGAGGAAAATGAAGTGCCTTAGTGTATTGGTGGCATGACAGCGGATCTAGATGCTCTGAAGCTACAGAGAAGACTTCATGCAGGTTACCCACGGTACAAGGCAGTAGTGATGGCCCTCAAATATCTGCTGTCTTCTACCTCTGCCATCCCTCTGTTAAAGCAAATAAGAAGGAGGCCGTTAGCCTGAGGTTGTCTCCATAACCAGAGCTTCTACATAAGCAAACCAAAATCCAAATCAATGTAAACAGTAAAATGTAACTAGAGGCTTCACCAATCAGAAACCACCAACTAACCTCTAACTAGGGTCTTCCCACTCTAATAAAATATATTTTCTTAGCCTTCTTTCCACGTTCAGCCTACAAAAGCTCACTGTCCTCACTGCGGCAGCAGAGCTCTCTGAACCTCTTCTGGTTCTGAGTGCTGTCCAATTCACACATGGTTCTTTGCTCAGATGAACTTTGCTACATTTATTTTCTCTAAAGTTTTTCTTTTAACACCTCCTGCCTTCTTCCTTGCTTTGCATAGCTGCTCTACTCCACCTCTTCTAGAATATTAACACACCCAAAGCCCTCCTCAGTGCACAAATGTCCTCTGCAGCTGCATGTATACAGCAGACACTGACTGAGGAATGGGTCCCTGAAGAACAGCTCAGCCATCACACCCAACACGTGATGGCACTGATTGCTTGACCACTAGTGACAGGGACCTATAAAGGCACACATCCCACTTGCAGATAGTTTTGAGTTTAGAGTATTAGAGTATAGATTCATTGATCCAGAATCTATTTCCCCTTGACTTCTATCTTTTTTTTTTTTTTTTTGAGATGGAGTCTCTGTCACCCAGGCTGGTGTGCAGTGGGGTGATCCTCACTGCAACCTCCACCTCCCAGGTTCAAGTGATTTTCCTGCCTCAGCCTCCCTAATAGCTGGGACTACAGGCACTTGCCACCTTGCCTGGCTAATTTTTTTTTTTTTTTTTTTTTTGTAATTTTAGTAGAGAATGGGTTTCACCATGTTGGCCAGGATGGTCTCGATCTCTTGATCTCGTGATCCACCTGCCTTGGCTTCCAAAAGTCCTGGGATTACAGGCGTGAGCCACCGCGCCCATCCGACCTCTATCTTTAAAATCTAGTGTCAGGACTAATAAGCTTTTTAAAGACGTATATTCTTTCACAATAAGCTGTCCTTTCAATTCATTTATATTATAATACTAACAGCTAACATTTCTTGAGGGCCAACCATGAGCCACAACTTACAGGCAGGAAGGCACAATATAGCGTTTCTTAAACTTGCCAGATCCTAGTATCATCCAGGGTGCCCGCTGCATCCACTGCTCCCCAGGCTCCACCCCAGCTGGGCTGAATCTGAATCTGAGACAGGGCCTGGGAATTGCTCTTTTAACAAGAGTCTCAGGTGATTCTTAGGATCAGGCAAATTGTAGACCAATGGCACAATGGTTAAGGTGTGACATATCAGGATCCATGATCTGATTCCATCATCGTTTGTTTTATGGCTTCAGGCAACTTACTTAACCTCTCTGAACCTCAGTTACGTATCTGGAATTTCAGAATGATGACAGCATCTGCCTGTAGGGTATACGGAGGAATAAATGAGATAATGGTCATCAACCACTTAGCATAATGCCTGGCACATAGTAAGCTCTCAACAGTATCACCAACATCACTGACCTGATTGGTGCTATAAAAGCTGCATCCCTATTATTTTTGCTCAGTGCTACACAATTAGCAATTAAAGTGCCCGAGACCAGGATTTAAACTCATACCTGACCATCTCCGAAGCATTAAGCACCTACACAGCAACTTCTCGGAAGCCTTGGCAGCAGGGGAAGGAGAAATTAAACAGGCAGGGGGCCCGGTGGCATAGAACAACCCACATATTCAGGTACTGGCTCCAAATTCATGTTTGAATTCAGCTCACGTTGCATTCTTAGGAGCAGCTATTACGCAGATGCTACAGCCAGAAGGATGCCCCCGAGCACTATGTATTAAGGAAGGAAAGTTTGTCTTGGACTTCCTCCTGTCTCTGTTTCGACTCCTCTTCTACCCCTACCCTCCTTTGGGGACCATCCAAAATCCCCACTTTTTCTCCAGGTCTGCCCAAGGAGTTCCTCTCTTGGGAAGCAGATCAGGCACAGAGTTTGAGTCTGGCCTGGAGAACAGGGAAGACCTAAGCTTCACTTCCCAACTGTAAGGCCTCCCACTGTTACTTCACCCCTGGGACCTTCTCTCAATAGGTCCTAGGCTCATTTGCAGTAATGCTCCAGGCAGAGTGCATAGCTCACTGGTCAACTAATCAATAACGCTAGGCCTCAGGGTATCACCTCTCCTTTCTCTGAATTCCCCCAACCTAACCTAACATTTCAGTTAAAGTGGGGCCACCTGTGACTCACACTTTATATACAGTTTGTTTTACAATGAGCCCTCATTCATTTGTTCACACAAATATGCCCCAAATACAGATGATACAGAAATAAATAGGGCCCAGCTCCTGCTGCTGAGGTCTTAGAGAAAAGACCATAAACTAGTGGGTGGAAAATCATGTAAAGCATTAAAAACTAAGGGCCGAGGAGGTGGTGCCAACTCTACTAGAGGAAGTCAGAAGTCAGAAAAGGTAAAGTTCATCCTGGGTTTTGAAGTTTGAACAGGAGTTCACCAAGCAGAGCAAGGCATGCCCAACAGAGAATAGCAGTGCAAAGGCTCAGTCATGAAAGTGGCCCATTGTGTTCAGGGATGGGGAGAAGCTGTGAGGTGGGACAGGGTATAAGGGCTGCAGTGATGAGAAATGGTCTTCGACAGGACATCTGCTCCAGACAGAGGTATTTCTAGTCCCAATTTATCCTGCAAGCAACTGGGACTGGTGGAGGTTTTCTAAGCAAGCAAATAACATTATTAGATTGTTTTCTCTAAACTCCGTGGTGTGCTCCCAGCACTAAAAAGGAGCTTTGATGGAGCACGAAGAGGTGAAGAGGGGCCATTTCCGTGAATAAAGGAAAGGGTGCCAGAGACCATCTTTTCTGGCTCCTGGTCTGGCCTGCAGCCCCACCATCCACCCAGCTAACCCCTGGCTCAGCAGATAGTGAACTCTGGTCAAGTCCCTCCTGGAACACCAGGCTCCAGAAGCTGTTAACAGAGTAACGTGGAGAGAGAGGAGTGGGAACCAACTGCACAGATAAACTGAGGAGGAGTCAGAGAAATATGATGTGTCTAGTGGCTCACAGCATCCTGAAAGGGGCAGGAGCTTCCAGCTAGATAGACTATGTTCAAATTCCACCTCTACCTTTACTACCTGGCATAACCTTGGGTAATTCCCTTAACCTCTCTGAGACTGTTTTTTCTTTTTTCTTTTATTTTTATTTTGACACGGAGTCTCGCTCTGTCACCCAGGCTGGAGTGCAGTGGCATGATCTCAGCTCACTGCAACCTCTGCCTCCTGGGTTCAAGCGATTCTCTAGCCTCAGCCTCCCAAGTAGCTGGGATTACAGGTGTGCGCCACCACGCCTGGCTAATTTTTGTATTTTTAGTAAAGATGGGGTTTCACCATGGCCAGGCTGGTCTCGAACTCCTGACCTCAGGTGATCCTCCCACCTTGGCCTCCCAAAGTGCTGGGATTACAGGCATGAGCCACCACGCCCGGCCGAGACTGTTTTCTTATCTATTAAATGGCAATAACAAGTCCCATTCACTTCAAAGGCTTGTACTGAAAATTAAAACTATTTCAAGTGATGAGGATAGTGACCACTACAAGGAATAATGGCTCTCTAAATATTATTAAACTGATTATTAATATCTTCATTTTTATTTTATGTGTCTTTTATATGATGTGATAAAATCCCTCAGGCTAAAAGATCTTCAAATACAGCAGGCCCCTGGAGGCACGGGATGGAATTAGCCCTCCTGAGGCGCTCAGAGGACGGCTGTGTCTCCTGCGTGAGACTGATCAGTTCCTTCCAAGTTGCCTTCCGCCCTCCTTGGCTGCCTGCAGTTTCTGTAGGATCATATTTCCCACCTGACCCAGTGGGCCCAGGAGAGCTGTGGGCCTTGTAGCTCTGAGCTTTTCAGAGGTCTCACATGACAACCTGGCAGGGTGCAGCTGTTCCCGGCAAGGGCATTAATAATACAGGCCTTCTTCCGCAAACTCTGGCCAACAGTCTAAAATGACAAGTGAAAACACTGAGTCCAAATTCTCCCTGGGGCTTAGGGCAGAGGAAGCCAAAATAGCTCGCCTTTATCAGGGCTAAATCGTGGAACTAAATCAGGGTTCTGCTAGCGGTGGTGGCTAAGGGAAACCGCTGGTGATAAAAGCAAAGAAATGGGGGAGAAGCCGTGGGGGAGGGAGCCACAGTCACACTCCTTACAGAATAAACTATCTCGCCTAGGGGCAGTTTCAGCAGAAGGCTTCAGAGACCCCCGGAAGCAGACAGAAAGAAGTCCACATGCCTTGCTGGCTGAGGAGCAAATCGGGTCATGAATTTCATCTCAGCAATAGCCAATAAACACAGCAGCTGCTATACCCAGCCCTGAGACATCTAGCACAGGAGACTTTATAAAGAACAAGCCGATCTCCTCTGGCAAGCAAGCCACAAATGGAGAAGGTCTTGGCAGGATTTTTGTGTCCTTTATTCATATGGTATCAGCACCTAAAACAGTGCCTGGCATTAAAGCACTAGGTAAATATGAGTGACTGAAGAAATACATGCGTGGGGAGAGAATATAAACCAGCAGCACCAGTTAGTAACTATACAAAGGTAAGCAAGCCATTCAGTCTCTAGGAGCCTCTATTTCTTCATCAGGAAAATAGGGTAATGACACCTACTTTGAAAGGGTCTTATAAGAATTAAGGCCGGGCACAGTGGCTCATGCCTGTAATCTCAGCACTTTGGGAAGCCAAACTAGGTGGATCACTTGAGGTCAGGAGTTTGAGGCCAGCCTGGCTAACATGGTGAAACCCTGTCTCTACCAAAAATGTAAAAAATAGCCGGGTGTGGGGGCACATGCCTGTAGTTCCAGCTACTTGGGAGGCTGAAGCAGGAGAAGCGCTTGAACCCGGGAGATGGAGGTTGCAGTGAGCCGAGATAGTGCCACTGCATTCCAGCCTAGGCAACAGAGCAAGACGCTATCTCAAATAAAAAAAAAAAGAATGAAATAAAATGATGTATGTAAACACCTCTAAAACAATGCTTGGTAGAAGTAGGCACTCAGTAAATGGACTTCAATCTTCAGCTACAAATTTGACCTCAATCCTCAGCTATAAATCAGACCTCAACTATCAACTCTCTGTTTCCAATTCTTACGGAGGAGGGGAAGGTTGGGGGAGGTGAATAAAAGGAGAGCGTAAACCAACTGAAGATGAGAAATCAAAGGAAAGCAAAGGAAAGACCCACAAGGTCACACCTCACTGGATGACCTTGGACAAGTCAGGTACTTTGCTGGGTCTCAGAGTTCTCTGTGGTAGGATGCAGGGAGGTGAGTTTGATCTGTGGTCTTGAAACTGTGTGCAGGAACTCTAGCGAGCCCGTGGAGACCCTGAGGGGCTGTCTTGGGGTGGGGAAGAAGGAGACCAGTGGGTCCCGAGCAGTTGCAGGCAGTTTCCTATGGGAGGCTGGGAGGCTGTCCTCAGAAGAAACAGTCCCACACTTGGTCCAGTTTGTTGTAAACTAATGCTTTCTCCGAGGTCCCCAGTTCCTCCCAGGGCCAGGATTGGGATGAGGTAAGGGAGGTCTCACCCTAGTCCCAATCGTGAGTCCCCCAGACCTCCTTCAGTGCCAGCCTCACTCACTTCTGTGGCGTTTGGCACAGCCAGCCACCCTCTCTGGAAGTCTCTCTCCACTGCCTGCCCTGGCACTGCCTTTCATGGGTACAGTGTTCTGTTTCTCTCCATCTCTTTCGCTGGATCCTCTCCTTCCTCCTGGGCAAGAGAAGTAGAACAAGAGGGAAGAAGTGGATGGGAGAGTACAAAGAGGCCATGGAAGAACACACTGTGGGGAAGTTCAGTTGTGGACAGGCAGAGGGAGACTGGTTGAACAGCAAAAGGCAGATGGCCAGGCAGGTACGAACCTCAGGGACAGAGAAGAATCACTCCCCATCACCTGGCAGAACTTTCTCTCCCCTGCACTTCTTCTTTCCTTGCCTCAATGCCCCTGTCCAAGTCAAGTCCACATCATCTAATACTAGGACCCTCACAACAGTCTCCCAACCCATCCCTTGCTTATCTTCTCACAAAAGATTAATCTCCTGAAGTCCAGCTCTGAATCATTAAGCTCCTCCTCAGACACTGAAATTGCATCTTCCATGTTTACTCCATTAAGTGCAAATGCCTCTCAGTCTAGTATACAAGGCCATACTCCCACTCACTCCCCAGCCTCCAAGCAACACCCACCGTGCACACAGGCACCCGCTTCCCTGGATTCACCCTGGCCACCGGCCCTGACGTTGCCTGCACTCCTTTCCTCCCTCAGCGCACCCTCGCCCCAATTTCACCTGTCAAATCTTTGCACTGTAAACAGCAGACCCACGCTCCTCTTTTCCAAGATCCTGCATCCAGGCCTGCCAAAGCCCAGAGCTATTTGTAGATGTTGGCGAGGACACGTCTCTCTGTCTGCTCAGTCAATAATTCACTGCAATACCAGGTATTGCAAAAGAAGGCCTTTGCCTTGCCTTCCAATAAGAGTTACAGGGTAGAAAGCAGAAACCTGCCCTGCAGCTGCCATGAACCCCACCTGAGCAGGCAAGTTAGGCTACACTTGACAGTGGAAGCTCATCAGCCACAGTGAAGCAGCCCCCACCACTTGTTTATTTATTTATTTCCCTTTGCACCCAACCCTGCTGTGGGCGCCCCCCCCCCAACCAGGCTCTCAGTAAATACTAATTGAATTAATTAATTAATTAATGAGATCTTCCTGCTGGGAGCACAGAACTAATCCCATAAAAACAAAAATAATTCTCCTGTCTTTTGCATCTAAAGCTGACCCCACTAATGACGGAAATGTTCTATAACTGGATTGTGGTGACAACTGCACAGCTCAGTAAGTTTACTAAAAAAAATCACTGAATTGTATACTTAACATGGGTTGATTTCATGGAATATAAACTGTACCTCAATAAAGTTGTCTTTAAATATCTGTATGATGATCAAAACCACCATGGTCCATGGTGGCTCACTGTTCGGCTGAGTGATAAAGTGAGTTATGAGCTAACCCAAAAATAAACAACAGAAAAGATGCTCCGGGTCTGTAAGGTGTGGGATCCAAGCTCAGTCGGTTCCTGCAGTATCGGCAGCACCTGTGGATGGTTGGATATGGGTAATCTCAAGGAACGGTCTAGGCTGTTGGAGGCGGGGTGAGGGCCCTGGGGTGGCCAGGCGCCTGGTCAGCCTATAGTCAGGATATAGCATAAAGTGGACTGATCCTACTGAATCTTCCACACTGGCCTCTCCAGTGGCCCAAAGCTAGAGAGTCAAACCCCAGGATGAAATCACTTTCCCGAGGAAGTATCTATCCACTGGCTTCCCAGGCTGTGGTTCATTCACGCAACACCACAGAGCTTCCTCCACAGCAACCCCCACAATTCACGGTTTCACATTTGATTGTGTTACTATTTAATTAGCATTTGTCTCTCTCTCTTTAGCTCACATGCTACAGGAGGTCAAGCGCCATGGCTCATGTGTTCACAGTGCCCAGCACAGAGGCAAGCACACAGTAGGTGTTCATTTAAAAAGTCGATTGAATGCTGAATGAGTGAATGGACACTCTTCGCTGACTGAACTTGGGTAAGGCACATGTCCCGTTTTCTTTCAGTGCAGCACTGCCCTACAGCTGGGTGTTCATGAAGAGGGCCTCCAGGAGAGGAGGAGAGGCAAAGAGTTAGGAGAGGGAGCCAACACTCCCTAAGACACTTCTCCACTTTGCCCTCACAACAATCTACAAACCAGCTATTATTATTGCTCTGTCTACAGGTGAGGCAACTGAGGCATTGCAATTGGAACTCAGATCTGTCAGGCTAGAAACCTCTCTTTCCCAGACACCCCTGATGGGCAAGGGTGAGATGAAGTGGATGGGAGTCTCTACAATGCAGTCAAGGTTACTGCTGCACAGGCAGGGGGTTGAAAATCTGAGGGCCAGTGCAATCATGTGCTATCCTCCAAGGTCCAGTCCCCTGTGTCATCCTCCTCCTGCCTCTTCCTGCAGTATATGTGAGCCAGCCCTGAGTGCACAGGAGACTCAGAAAACAGAAGAGGGCCGGGCGCAGTGGCTCACGCCTGTAATCCCAGCAGTTTGGAAGGCCAAGACGGGCAGATCACGTGAGGTCAGGAGTTCAAGACCAGCCTGACTAACATGGTGAAACCCTGTCTCTACTAAAAATATAAAAATTAGCTGGGCATGATGGCGGGCGCCTGCAATCCCAGCTACTCAGGAGGCTGAGGTGGGAGAATCACTTGAACCCAGGAGGCGGAGGTTGCAGTGAGCTGAGATTGTACCATTGCACTCCAGCCTGGACAACAAGAGCAAAACTCCATCTCAAAAATAAAAATAATGAATAAATAAATAGAAGGGTATCTTCCCAGCGGTGATCCAGAGCCTGAGCCCACTCACAACTGGGGAGCCCATGGCCAATGCAGGTCTCCAAAGACCTCTCCATTCCCCCTGGAAATACACTCACTTCTCAATACTCCATTTCCCATCTCAACATCCCAAACTGCTCCTGTCCCAGAGAAAGCTCATGGCAAATCCTCCTCTTCTTCCCACATGCTCCTAAGGGGAGACACCAAGGTGTTTGCCCAGCTATAGGGCAGTGCTACACTGAAATCAAACAGGGAGTATGTGCCTTACCCCAGTTCGTCAGTGAAGAGTGCCCACTCACTCATTCAGCATTCAATCAACTTTTTTAAATAAACACCTACTATGTGCATGCTTCTGTGCTGGGCACTGTGAACACATGAGCCGTGTTATGTGGCGTCATGTGTGTGCCACATGAGGTTCTATCCACCCTAGTGCAGGTAATGTACACATAGTAACAAGCAGTGGCCGGGCATGGTGGCTCACGCCTGTAATCCCAACACTTTGGGAGGCCGGGGCGGGCAGATCACAGGAGGTCAGGAGTTTGAGACCAGCCTGGTCAACATGGCAAAACCCTGTCTCTACTAAAAACACAAAAAATTAGCTGGGTGTGGTGGCCCGTGCCTGTAGTCCCAGCTACTTGGGAGGCTGAGACATGAGAATCACTTGAACCCGGGAGGTGGAGGTTGCAGTGAGATGACATCCCTCCCAGGCGCACTCCAGCCTGGGTGTCAGAGTGAGACCCTGTCTCAAAAAAAAAAAAAGAAAGTAAGAAAGTAGCAGGTAGCATAGCATAATGACTAAGAGGACAGACCTGGGTGTCCTACTCCCCAGGTTCAAATTCCAACTTACTAGCTATGAGACCTCTCTATGCCTGTTTCCTCATTTATAAAATGGAGTTATAAATTGTACCCAATTCTTAGGGTTGTCATGGGGATTAAGTGAATTAATATACATAAAACACTTAGAGCCTGGTCCATAAGAAGTGCAATATCATCATTCACTGTCATTGTTCGTTTCTTTCCCCAGTGCATTGAAGTTGCCTCTCCATCTGTAAGAGGAAAGAGTAGAAGATGCTGAGCTAGGGAAGGCTTGAGGCCATGGCAGCTGCCCTTGGCACTGTATGATCTCTAAACACTGAGAAAACAGTCCTCCTGGGCCAACTCTAGAGGTTTCTTCAACTAGGCTGCCAGTAAGTAGAGATGTTGGCACGCTGGCACCAGGGAGGAACAGGGTGGAAAGCACAGTGAAAAATCAGCACTTACAGGATGTTTGCTCATCTGTGAACAAAAACAATCCTCCCTGGAAAAATACACAGCTCTATAAAATATCACTTTTCATGGGCTACCCAGGACAATGACTAAAGATTTCCTATAACTGGTGAACTGGGCTGAAGAACAAGGAAGTCAGATTCCTGGGGCAGCTCTGAAAATGATGGGAGGGGGTTTGTCAGCACCAAATCTTCTTGCTTCCAACACTTAAGGAGTACAGGCTGTGGTCTAGATTCAGACAGCCAGACTGGGGGAGCAGAAAGAGAGGCACACAACCAGCTGTTAGGGAAACACAAATTAAGACCACAATAAGATATCACTACACATCTATTAAAACAGCTAACGTTGGGGGGGCACAGTGGCTCACGCCTATAATCCCAGCACTTCAGGAGGCCGAGGCACGTGGATCACCTGAGATCAGGAGTTCGAGACCAGACTGGCCACTGGCCAACATGGCAAAACCCCGTCTCTACTAAAGATACAAAAAAATTAGCCAGGCATGGTGGCGCACACCTGTAATCCCAGCTACTCAGGAGGCTGAGGCAGAAGAATCGCTTGAACCCGGGAGGTGGAGGTTGCAGTGAGCCAAGATAGCACCACTGCACTCCAGGCTGGGTGACAAGAGTGAAACTCCGTGTCCAAAAACAAGGGAACAGCTAAAGTTGAGAAAAAGTGACAACACCAAATGCTGGCAAGCATGTGGAGGAAGTGGATTATGTTGCTGGTGGGCATGTAAAGTGATACAGCCCCTCTAGGAAATGGTTTGGCCGTTTCTTCAAAAACAAAATAATATGCTCACCATGCAACTTAGCAATTGAACTCCTCGGCATTTATATCAGAGAAGCAAAAATTTATGTCCACACAAAAATCAGAACACAATTGTTCATAGCAGCTTAACTTGTAATAGCCAAAAACTGAAATTAAGCAAAATGCCCTTCCATAGGCAAACAATTAAACTGTGATACATGCATACCATGGAATACTATTCGGTAATTTAACAAAAAGAGCAAACTATTGATAAATTCAACAATTTTAGTAGACCTGAAGGGCATTATGATGAGTGCAAAAAAGCCAACCTCAAAAGGTTGTATATTGTATGATCCTATTTAGAGAATATTCTCCAAAGGCAAAATTATAGAAGTGAAAAACAGAGGTGGGGGCAGGGTGACAAAAAAGGGTCAGCACAAGGAAGACCTTTTTGATGATAAAATAGTTCTGTATCCACCGGGCGCAGTGGCTCACATCTATAATCCCAGCACTTTGGGAGGCTGAGGCAGGCGGAGCATGAGATCAGGAGACAGAGACCATCCTGGCTAACACAGTGAAACCTTGTCTCCACTAAAAATACAAAAAAAAAAAAAAATTTGCCGGGCGTGGTGGCAGGCACCTGTAAACCCAGCTACTTGGGAGGCTGAGGCAGGAGAACTGCTTGAACCTGGGAGGCGGTGGTTGCAGTGAGCTGAGATCGCGCCACTGCACTCCAGCCTGGGTGACAGAGTGCAACTCTGTCTTAAAAAAAAAAAAAAAAAGAAAAAGAAAAGAAAAAGAAATAGTTCTCTATCTTGATTCTAGGGATGCCTATACTAACCTACACACAAGAGAAAATGACACAAACTATACACATGTTGTACCAATCTCAGATGGCTGGTTTTGATATTGTACTATAATTATGTAAGAAGAAACAAGAAACTAAAGGAAGGATGCATCAGGAGTCTCTGTACTATCTTTTCAACTTCCTGTGCATCTACAATCGTTTCCAAATAAAAAGTTAAATAAAAAGAAAAGGCACCCAGCCAGTAAGAAAACTGGGATTCCAGTTCAGACTCTTCGCTCCAAAATCCTGGTGTTCCAACCAGGTCAAATTATTCATAGTACTGTGTGTACCACGACGTTTCCTGTTTCCATGCCTTGGCACATACGAACTTCTACTGAGGCTACCCTTCCCTCGCCTAGATAACTTTTCATTTCCTTTAAGATCCAATTCATATAGCTTCTCCTTAAGGAAGCTTCCTTGACTCCCCATCCTGAGATCACCGCTCTTCCTCTGCACTTCCTGTGCACAGCACTTATTCAACTGAATTGCAATAATTAGCTTACTTGCTTCCATCTCCTGTCATGTACAAGCCACAGAATTGGAGAACAATTTTGCAAAGCATATCCAATAAAGGACTTATCTGTAGAATATATAAGGAAACCTTACAACTCAATCATAAGAAGACAAACAACCCAATTTTCTTTAAATGGGTAAAAAAATCTAAACATTTCACCAGAGGAGCCATCCAGGTGGCAAACAAAGCACATAAAAATGAAGCTCAATATCATTAGTGTTTACGGGAATGCACAAAAAAACACAATGAGATATCACCATACACCTATTAAAATGAAAAAGATGGGCTGCGCGCTGTGGCTCACGCCTGTAATCCCAGCACTTTGTGGGGCTGAGGCGGGCAGATCACTTGAGGTCAGGAGTTCAACACCAGCCTGGCTAACATGGTGAAACCCCGTCTCTACTAAAAATACAAAAATAGGCCAGGCATGGTGGCCAGGTGCCTGTAATCCCAGCTACTCAGGAGGCTGAGGCAGGAGAATCGCTTGAACCCCGGAGGCAGAGGTTGCAGTGAGCTGAGATTGCGCCACTGCATTCCAGCCTGGCCCACAGAGTGAGAATCTGTCTCAAAAAAAAAAAAAAAAAAGAAAAAGAGAAGAAAGAAAAAAAGAAAAAGAAAAAGATAGATCATACCAAGTGTTGGCAAGGAAGTGAAGTGCCTGGAATTCTAGTACACAGCTGGTGGTGATATAAAATGGTACCCGTGCTCTAGGCAACAGTTTGGCAGCTTCTTTAAAAGTTAAACAAACGCCCACCACATGACCCAGCCACTCTACTCTTAGGAGATTACTCATGAGAAATAAATACTTATGTCCCCACAACATTTTTTTCCACAAATGATTCTAATGGCTTTATTTTAATAGTCCAAAATTTGAAACAACCTAAATGTGTGTCAACAAGTAAATGGATAAATAAATTGTGGTATATCCACAACTAGGACTACTGATACACACAACATTGATGAACAGCAAAATAATTACGCTGAATGAAAAAAAAATGCATGCTGTATAATTCCATTTACATAAAGCTCCAGAAAATGCAAACGAACCTATAGTGTGAGAAAGCAGCTTAGTCCAGTGGTTGCCTGAGGATGGAGGGCAGGAGATGGAAGGGGGCAGGAAGGAGGGATAAAGCTCGGAAGGACACTTTTAGGGGTAATCGTTATGTTCATTAGCTTAATTGTGGGGATAGTTTCATGACCGTATACATATGTCAAAACTCACCAAGTTGTACAATTTAAGTATGTGCAGGGTTTTGTCTGTCAATTACACCTCAATAAGGGTATATAAAACAAGATTAATGGGTACCATCTAATAGGCATCTACTTTGTGGGGAAAAAACTTTATATAAATAATTATTCATCTTCACTCAAGGTAGGTATTATTCGGCCCATTTTACAGATGATGAAACTGGATCAGAAAGCCGGGAGGTCATGCAGCTATGGTCAGGTCAGGCTCAGACCCAAGTCAAATGGCTTCAAAGCTGGGCCACTTTTCTCCGTACTGTGATGCCTTTCTACAGTGGCAAATTCCCAACCTGAAGCCACAGGCCATAACTCCCCGGCCTAAGCAAGACCTCAAAGAAGGCTCCAAATGAGAATGAGGGGCTGGGGCTGCAGGAGATCTCTGGCATCACTAAAATGACACCCTCTCTCTCTTGGATTGCCACTGCCACAAATACCTCCAACAGCCAAAGCCAGCCCATCCCGGGCCAGATGGGCTAAGGCAGGAAGTGGGCTGTGCCGGCTCCCCAGGACACCCTGGCCTCTACTGCCACGGTGGTTTTGTGTCAAGGACCTGACCAGACAGTCAGCAGAACAGACTCCAATTCCTCTCATGCTGCAAATAACATCCTTCCCCTTTCTGGGCCTCCATTTCCTTAAGTGAAAGACGTGATGGCTAACGATCAAGCCTTCCAAGGAGCTCTTTCGGCTGTAATTCATGTTCTGAGTGCCCTGCTGAGCCAAAGCTGAAGGCAGGGCACCACCTCCACGTAGCAGTGCCTCCCCAAATCACTCCCTCTGCCACTCTGCCTCCTCCCCTCAGCCCTGTCCCTCAGTAGGTATCTTCCAAAGACCCTGACTCCCTCCCCCATCTGCTGGTTTGTTCCCCAGTTAGCAAGTTAGGTACTTAAAACTCTGTGTTCGGGCCAGGCGCAGTCGCTCACACTTGTAATCCCGGCACTTTGGGAGACTGAGTCATGTGGATCACCTGAGGTCAGGAGCTCGAGACCAGCCTGGCCAACATGGCAAAACCCCGTCTCTACTAAAAATACAAAAATTAGCTGGGTGTGGTGGCAGGCGCCTGTAATCTCAGCTACTTGGGAGGCTGAAGTAGGAGACTCGCTTGAACCCAGGAGGCGGAGGTTGCAGTGAGCTGAGATTGCGCCACCGCACTCCAGCCTGGGCAACAGAGCAAGACACCGTCTAAAAAACAAACGAACAAACAAAAAAACACCTCTTCAGGAGTCTGGAAACCCTGGACACACAGCTACTTGAGACATAATTTCTCCTTTAGAGTTCTTGAAGGAAAGGCTGGACATGAGTGGTGACAGAACGGACGGAAAAAGAAGGTACTAAACAGCCTTGAAGTATGGAAGCTCCTCCTCTTGTCCCTGTCAGATCTGTATGTCCAAGTGTGGGCCAGAGTTTCTTGCCCAAACAAGCTGAGATATTTGGCAGGGCACATAGTAGGCTTTCAGTAAGTATCTGTGGAACTGAATTAAATCCCCCTAGCCAGAGGAATAATCTCTTCCCGAGTTGCAGAGGAAACGCAAGCATATCTGTCTTTGTGCGCTCCCCGGGAAACAGTTCTGAGAGTCCAGGGACTGACACGCCTGTTGCTTCTAACTGGCGGGGAGATCTGGGGGCCCAGCACCACTGGGCCTCACCTCCTGGGGCATCAGCTGAATGAGAGGACTACACTATAGCACTCTATAAATGCTCCCAGCTCTGGTGCTATCTTACACTACAAGGAAGAGACCTTGGGGTTTGAAAGGAACAGTGTAGCATTTTGCAAAGCTCCAAGCACTTTGAGCTGCAGCTGTTCACAGAGCTTCCGAGATGGAATGATATTCCCCGACGGGAGAGACTCTGTGTGTGGGAACTGCATTTTGGAACTACCACGTGGGCAAGTGCTTGCCATAAAGAGCACTCACTAGCTTTGAGAAGCTGTGGAGGTCACAGACAGCCTTAGTGTATCTCTTTTGCTTATGAGCTGTGAAATCTTGCAGAAGTCTCTTTACCTCTGTGAGACCCAATTTCCACATCCGTGACATGGGATAGATACCTTGTTAGCTCATTGCAGAATTAAATAAGATAATGTAGACAGATTACAAAACACTGTGCCGGGAACCATCATGAGCTCAATCAACAGCCTCTTCCCTTCCTTCCCTTTGTCATAAATAGATCTAAAGATTCTCAGAATAAGATCTCAGTTAGGTCGGGCACGATGGCTCACACCTGTAATCCCAGCACGTTGGGAGGCCTAGGCAGGCGGATTACCTGAGGTCAGGAGTTCAAGACCAGCCTGACCAACATGGTAAAACCCCGTCTCTACTAAAAATACAAAATAATTAGCCAGCGTGGTGGCCCATGCCTAGAATCCCAGCTACTCGGGAGGCTGAGGCAGGAGAATCACTTAAACCTGGGAGGCGGAGGTTGCAGTGAGCTGAGATCGCACCACTGTACTGCAGCCTGCGCAACAGAGCGACACTCTGTCCCGAAAAAATAAAAAATAAGATCTTAGTTGATTTTGCTGACCAGAAAACCAGGCCTCTGATGGCCTTAAGTCCAAACACACTAGAGAGGCACCTCAGGAAGTACACTGGGACTTCAGATACAGGGGAAGGACGAGGAAGAGAAGAGGCAGGGCTGGCACCTGGAGACCACCCACCACGTTCCCTGCCAGTTATATGTAAGCTCTGTGAGGAGGCGGCCTCCTGAGCAGTGCTCCATCCTCCACCCCTCCACCTGAGCTCCCTTCCTCCCAGGAGTACGTACTTTCGCCTCAGTCACTGGTAATCACCAGCTCAGTGGCCTGAGGTTCTTAAAATGAGGGTGTGGGACCAGATGGACTCTGTAGACCTTACCACCTTTATAATTTTCTGAACCTACAATTCTACAAGGATAAACTGGTGCTTAACGGATGTCCCACCCGCTCCCTATCCCTCCTTTGGGACACAGGAAGAGATTCAGGAAGCAGAGGGAGGGGGACAGAGGCTGGGACTTCATTATGCTAATTTATTAGCTCTAATCTGCTGCAACAGCAGGGCTTTGAAGAAAGAGGCTTTTGTTGCAATTTCACATTTGGCAGGAAGTCCCCCACACCCGCATTAGAGATTATGAGTCAAAAACTCTGATTTCAGTTCTGGCTCTTATGTCCTGCATTGCTGAGGCTCCCTTTTCACACTTCTCTGACCAACTTCGTGACTTTTCCGGGAAGGAAATGTGCCCCAGATGTTGGCCAGTAAATGGTGGGTTTTCATCTGCCTTTATAAAAGGGTGTCAGTAATCCGAAGGCTCCCCAAGGAGCAAGAGCCAAAGGGGGAAATGCAGCCAACTTCTACCACTAAACCAAAGGTTGCCCAGTCAACTAAGCCCCTCTCTACAGGGGCAGGGAGGCTCACTGTACGCAAAACATTTCTGTTTTCATTATTTTATGGGACCCTCACGATTGTTGTATGAAATAATGACGGAAATCTCACTTTCATTTATTCACGCAACTCATGTTACTGGGCACCTACCGTTCACAGGTGAGGAAATGAAGGAATGCATAGGGGAGGTGATTTGCCGGATGCCCCACAGCCTGGGGTAGGGTAAGCCCTGAAACCAGCAGCTTGCTTATCTAATCGGAATTTCCAAAACAAAAAAGCCCTGGGTTGTAGCACTTGCCCATTTCCATGGCATAAGTTTCCCCATCGTGGTCAGTTTCAAGCCACCCATTGTTTTTAATCGTTTTTAACAAGCAGTTTGCAAAATTCTTGAATATATAAAAATTGGGAAACAGAGTTTCCAGATTAGGGACAAGTTCTCCTTCTGCCTCACCTTTCTACCTCCACACAGGAAAAATCAACATCCTGTGGAAGCTTAAAGAGTAACCTTAATAGAATACCACCTGGAGGATTGTTAACAGGGGCAGGGTTTCAGATATATTGTATTTTCTTCCACAACAGAATTTTTCCAATCATTCTATGAGCACCTATTACCTTTATAATCAGAACATATCTAGGTAATTAAAATCAATTTTTAGTGAGCTTCCCAGAATGTTTTGGAATAACCTCTCTGCATAATGTTTCACTCTGTCACCCTTGGGTTGAAAGAGAGAGAGCGTGGCACGCGCGTGTGTGTGTGCGTGTGTGTGTGTTTCCCAAGAGCTCCCTTGCAGAGCAGAGGAGGTATACTTAAGCATTCACCTGAATCCGGTGCAGTCTTACCTGGAGGATAAATGTATTCCCTTGGGAATTCAAATTTCACCAGCAACTGAGAAAATACAACTCCCATCAAGATTCCAAAGACCTGCTCTGACAAAGCAGAAGCCTCTTTGGCCACCAATTGACCTTGCCTCCCAACGGGCTGAGGCTGAAGCAGATGGTTTGACTGAACCAGAAACAACTAACTGCTCCTTCTTTCCTGAGAAGGCCCTCTGCCTCCTGCCCCTGCAAAAAAGGCATTGTGTCCTCTCTTCCTCAGGCTGGGCTTCAGGGGGTCTTACCTCAGCACGGGGATGGACACCTGGCACCAGGGCTTGGGACAGGCTCAAGGGGGCCAGTCCATTTCAGCTGGGCTCCATGACATTCACCACTTCTCCCTGGACTGCTGGTTGCAGGGCTCTGCGCAACTGGCTCTCCCCTTGCCTGCAGAGGGTTAAAAAACAACAACAAAGCAAAGTTTCACCAGAAGCACATACGTTAATACATTCAGGAGGAAAGAGTCTTTGCTCCTCCCACTGCCAGCTCCGGGGCAGCCAGCCTCCTTTCCAGGACCTAAACGAGCTACATGTTCACCCAGACTCATCCCTCTGGGGTTGTACAATTTGAGAGTAAGTTGCAGATTGGGCAAAGCAAACTCTGCTACAGTCGTGGAATCCTTGTGCTACTCACTACTTGTGGTAAGAAAAAGCAAGGGTTAGAAAGCTACAGATCGGGCCCAAGTCTCGTGTTTAGAGAAGGCCTGCGGACAATGGATTTCAATCAACAACTACATCAAGCTTGTTCACAGTCTCCTTTGACCTATAGTATGTTGTTTATGCTGTTACAAATGTGAATTCATGCCTGTAACCCCAGCTACTTGGGAGGCTGAGGCAGGAGCATCGCTTGAACCCGGGAGGCGGAGGTTGCAGTGAGCCAAGATCGTGCCACTGCACTCCAGCCTGGACAACAAGAGCGAAACTCCGTCTCAAAAAAAAAGTTTTTTTTAAAGTGAATTTAATTTCTAATTCATTTTGGAAGCATTTTTAACTGATCCTAAATTTTCAACCCATATATTATTATAGTTGCCTGAATAGAGGGCATTTGTTTTTAAAGTAATTGTGTTTCCTTGTGTCAGAAAAAGTATGTTCAATCTATAAATTTTAGAAAATATAATTAAATGAAAAAGACAAAATGTACCCATTCTTTCTTCATCCAAGATAACTACAGATAACATACTCTACCTGTTTCTTGTTTTTATTTTTCAGATTTTTTATAAAGATGTAATAAAGCTAGGCATGGTTTAGTAAGTGCCGTGTCAGTAAGTAATCTCCAGCAGCATCATTTTAATGGCTGCATAATATATACGTACCCAAGGATCTCCAATGAGCCATGTATAGTGCCCCACAGAGCTGTACCATAAATTGTACCCAACCCTCCAAGCCTGGACACTTAAGTCATCTTCAGCCTTTTGTTTTGTTTTTGGCTAATGGCAAATAGTGTTTGAAACAAAATCTTCCAGGGAGTCCCATGATTATTTTCTTTGGACACAGTCTTAGGAATAAAACTGTGCTGGGTCAAAGAGCTTCCAAATTCTTCAGGCTTCTGAACAGTCTTAGCATGCTACCTTCAGGACTACTGGTACCATAGAAACTGCTCCCAGCAATGGAGAAATGTGCCCATTCCCCTAACACTCCTCTCTCCCCCAAGCCCCTCCCTCACCCACATATCCTCGTTCACCTGGTGTAACCATTTCTAGTGGAAATGAAGGTGCAGTTCTCCAAGTCTGACTTTTCATTTTTCATGCTCACACTCAGCTCAGCCCCAGCCTAAGATAAGACCCATTATGCTAAATGAACTCTGCTAATCAAGCTTGGGAAAGAGGGGTACATGAATGACAATTCGTAAGGAGAGAAAGAGAAACCCGTGGAGGGACAGGGGAGTGATAGATACACAAGGACGGTGTCCAGGGGAAAGAAACCCTTAGATACAAAGAGAAACAAGAGTCATCCCATGAGACGGGAGATGCTGATAGACAGAACTGAAGCTGAAGTGAGCCATGCGATGGGTGGTAACGTCAAGACCTCACAAAGATTCAGGACAGAACAGGGCGAACAACAAAGGCATCTGGTGAGACGGAAAAAGAACAAGTTGCTTGAGGCTTCGGGCACTTTGCTGCTGTTTGTAATTAATGCCAACAAAACACCAGGAGCCAGGGTCACTGTGGGGAAATGAGAGCAGTCAGGGAAGAGGTCTTTACAGGCAAACAGCTGAGCTAGTGGTCAGCTAGGAGCCACCCACAAGGAGCCCTCCTGGGGGAACAAGAGCAAAGTGCTCCTGGGGTGGAGGTAGAGTGGGCACTGCTGGGCTGACTGCTCTGCCTCCTTAACAGGAAGGAAGACTCCACTCTCCATCTCTCCCTAGCCAGCTCTTGTATCCTTCCTTTCACTCCAGGCCAAACTTTCAGTGAGAGATGGAGAATTCACCTACACAGATAACTAGGTTTCTCAGCCCTGTGACCCAGGCAAAAGCCTTGGGGACCTGTCTCATGCCCCTTTCCAGCTGACCAGCCTCATGCCCTGTCACTCTCATGCACCCTACACTCCAGCCATAGCAATCTGCAGCTTCATGAGGGAATGGGGGATTCCTTTTGTGCTTCTTAAGTCCTTTGGAAAATGGTTTGCAGATCTCCAATATTTAGGCAAGTCATTCTACCTGCCCACCCTGCCCCTACCCCACTTGCTCATTCATCTGGACTTCCCCTGATGGACAAAGGGTAGAACTCTGACTTAAAGACAATTCGTCCATACATAAGGAAGCTGGGCCAATCTGACACTCTTTCAAAACTGCAACTGTGAAAAAAGACTCTAGTCAGCTGGTGGTAGACCCTAGAGTGAAGGGAAAGGTAGTGGTGGAACCATGACAAGCAAATGCCATGCACAAGATCAAGTGATGGGGCCGGGCGCAGTGGCTCATGCCAGTAATCCCAGCACTTTGGGAGGCCAAGGCGGGAGGATCATCTGAGGTCAGGAGTTCAAGACCAGCTTGGTCAACATGGTGAAACCCTGTCTCTACTAAAAACACAAAAATTAGCCAGGCATGGTGGCGTGCACCTGTAATCCCAGTTTCTAGGAAGCCAAGGCAGGAGAGCTGCTTGAACCCAGGAGGTGGAATTTGCAAATTTGCAGTGAGCCGAGATCAATCACTGCACTCCAGCCTGAGTGACAGAGTGAGACTCTATCTAAAAAAAAAAAAAAAAAAAGATCAAATGATGGAGCTACAGGGACTCTATGGAAGGAGAGGAAGCTGGCCTACAAAGAGAGCAGGGCAGAGGCCCTGGGAGAGGTAGACAGGACACCATGCAGGCCCAGGACAGCAGGTATGTAGTGAGTCTAGTGGCCGCGGGCCACTAGGGTTGGCAGGTACCATCTCAAAATAAAAAAGATTTAAAAAATTTAAAAAAAAAACAGAAAACAAAACGAAACAAAAATCTACTGACAGGACCACGCTAGATTGCTAAAGTGTAGTTGGATGACTCTTCTATCTTAAATTCTAAAGTTTTTTTTTTCTATTAAGTAGATTATATAACTTCCTCCTATCACCATACTCAGCACTGCAGATTCAGCTGATCATAGGGTCCCCAAGCCTCCTATCTACTCACGTGCTTCCTGGCCATTTTAATATAGTTTCCACTTAATTCATAACGCTCTGTAATCTGTCACCACAAGTTCTGCTCTCTGACCTCCCTCCTATCCCACAAGGGTCACTGGGCCTAACACCCAGATTTGGTCTCTCTACTTTCCTCTCGAGGCCCAGCCAGCCAAGATTGTGCTCAACTCCTTCCTTCTCCTCAGGGCCTGTTCTCTGTTTTATCTCTTGGGGCAGCCCTTACTGCACTGTCCCCCAACTCTAGAGCCCCTGGCAGCAGCTCAGCCAATCCCCTTTCTCCTCTGCCCTTAGACCCAGAAGCATCTAGATGACACAGAAGATGATTCTAAGGAAGAGGGTGGCTAAATGAGAGGCTGCCTTGGGCGCAGTGACTCCTTCTTGCCTCCAGCAAGTGTTTCCTTCAAGTAAGTGTACCATGTGTGAGGCACCAACCACAGACCCAGAACCAGGATTTGGAGAGCTCACCAGGAACCAAGGAACCCAAAGAAGTTCATAAATTGAGCCAAGAATTTCATGGCCCAGCCCCTCAAAGCAGAACCATTGCTCGAGTGCTCTGTGTTGACTCAGAGGAGGGGTTCACCTGTCACAGCAGTAAGGCTGTGGCCCCAAGCCCCTGGCTTCAAGGAGCCATCCCCACTCAGCACCCAGGAGCCTCAGCGTGAGATAACCCTTTTAACCCTGGAGCCATTCTTCCACATTGTCTGAGATGTGAGCAATGGTTTTGATTATGTTTGAATATGGAAGTGAAATAAGCTAAGAGCTTTTATTGATCCTTGTGCATAAAACATTCCAGGATCTGGGTCTCCACAAATCTGCTGAACACAGCAGTCAAATCAGAAGACACTGCACCCAAAACACAGTAAGAACGTCTGCTAAGATAAGGAGACTTTCCGGATTATTTCTGTCCCCCTCTTCCTCTCCCAGGGCTCACATCCCTTCTTGATGGTTCATATGGGGAGCCCAGATCCAACATTACGGGGCTCCTGTCCTAGACCTAATAATATTCACCATAAATGTTCCTTTATTTTTAATTTCAATTTTTTTTTGTTAGCAACTACTGTGTGCCAGGTGCTTTATGTACTAAGTTATTCATTTATTCTTCACACAAGCCTATGAAGCGAGGAGTGTCTTCTCCATTTTCAGATGAGGTGACAAGAGCTTTGGTGACAGCACGGGCACAAAGCAGGTAAGTGACTAAGCCAGAGTTCCACACACAAAGCTGCCTCCCAGAGCTGCCTCCCAGGGGCTTTTCTTTATCTTCCCTTTAGTGCTAGGCCAAGAGATTCCAGCAAAGAGCTGAAACTAAGTATGAGTTGCACACTGAGTACATGGGTGAGCTCTGACAAAAAGAGAAAAGGTGTCTGCATTTAGAGAACCAGAAAAGGGAAGCTCTTCTGCCATTGCCATATGCAAAATTTCCAAAGGAGGGTACCTCTGCACATTTATTTGATTGTGTTGTTAATATGTTCTCTACAGCAAACAATCATTCAGCTTTGATTGGGTGCCTATTTTAGGTGCCAATCTGGATACAGGGGGAGACACTGAGCCCTTTTTAACTTATTTTATTTTATTTATTTATTTATTTATTTATTTAATTTTTTTTTTTTTTTGAGATGGAGTCTCGCTCTGTCACCCTGACTGGAGTGCAGTGGCACAATCTCTGCTCACCGCAACCTCCGCCTCCCACGTTCAAGCGATTCTCCTGCCTCAGCCTCCCGAGTAGCTGGGATTACAGGTGCATGCCACCACACCTGGCTAATTTTTGATATTTTTGGTAGAGACAGGGTTTCACCATGTTGGCCAGGCTGGTCTCGAACTCCTGACCTCAAGTGATCCACCAGCCTTGGCCTCCCAAATTAGTGGGATTACAGGCATGAGCCACAGCACCCGGCACATTGAGCCCTTTTTTAAATCAAAGCAACACACACCAATGATTTTTAAGGTCCAGTGGTACTGCAAGGCTGTAAGGAGAAACAGCAGGCCCTGCCCCACCCCTCCATATCCCTAATTCTGTCTTTCAACTCCTGTATCTATTTCCAGAGTCATCTCAGTGTATCTAAATAGCACGCTTATATGGCTCTGGATTTTTTTCAATATTAGATATTATTCACTAACTTCCTATTATAGAAAATAAGGATTTAGCTCCTTACCACCATTCTATATACCACCTCTCCTGTCCCACATTCTCCCAATAGTTATACCATTTTTTATTAAGTCAACACTAATAGCTATATTATTAAGTTACATTATTTTGTCAAGTAATTATTAAGTTACATTATTATAACCAGATAAATTATTATTCATAGCTGAGCCATGTGTGGTGTTACAATTAATTCCTTTCATGTATATTTCTTAGTTGCCATTTGTAGAGTCCATTATTACCTCATTTGTTTGTCTGCTTAACTTTCTATGTACTTGTCACGAATTCAGCCCTCAACATTCCAACAAAACTATAAAACTCATCACAGTACACTAAATATACCATTATGTACTAATCTTTTTTTTTTTTTTAATTCTTAAAAATCTCCCTTCTGGAACCTTCCATTCTCCTCCTTCAACCTGAAGTGGTTGCTTTCTGTGCTTAAAGGAAGATCCCATTTATTCTTAGTTTACTGTCTAGTTTTGGAGAAACAAATGCATCATAGATTCCTCAAAAAAGGCTGTGTGGGAGATAAAATCATTGAGACTTCTCATACCTGAAAATGCCATTATTCCACCCTCATATTTGATTAATAATTTGTCAGGATATAATTTCTCAGTTGGAAATACTAGCCTCTCAGAATTTAAGGAATGGCTTCATTGTCTCCTAGCTTCTGTAGAGATAGATGATGTCAATCATATTTCTATTGTTATATATAATCCATTTGGTTGGGGGGAGGATTTTCTCCTGTCAAGAAGCTTTTCTTCTGGTGTATGTCTTTTTTTCAAGTCACAGCCCCAGGTACTCAAGTGGGCCTTTCAATGTCCTTTCAATGTTCTCAAAGTTTTTCTTGTATTATTTCTTTAATAAATTTTCCCTTTCATTGTCTCTATTCTCTTTTTCTGCGAGTCTTACTATTCTGATGTTGGGCTTCTTAGAATAATCCTTCTTATTTTTCTTTTCTTTTCTTTTAGGCGGGAGGGACAGGGTCCCACTCTGTTGCCCAGGCTGGAGTGCAGTGGTACAACCTCAGCTCACTGCAACCTCAACCTCCTTGGCTCAAGTGATCCTCCCATCTCAGCCTCCCAAGTTGCTGGAACTATAGGCGTGCACCACCATGTCTGGCTAATTTTTGTATTTTTGAGTAGAGGTGGGGTTTTGCCATGTGGCCAGGCTGGTCTCAAACTCTTGGGTTCAAATGATCCACTCACCTTGGCCTCCCAAAGTTCTGGGAATACAGGCATGAGCCACCGCGCCCAGCACATTTTCTTTCTTTCTTTGACTTTCTGCAAGGTTCTGTAAGTTTTCTTCAATTCTATATTCCAAACCCTCTACTGATTTATTCTTCTATCACACTTTTAATTTCCAAAAGTTCTTTCTTAGTCTCTGAAACTCCTCTTTGTTGCACATTGCTTTTATTTTATTAATGCAACATATTCTCTTATCTCTCTTAGACTAGTAATTACAGGTTTTGTGAAGTTTTCTTCTGCTCCCTATATTTTCTCTATTTCTTGTGAGTTTCTAGTGCTGTTGTTGTCTCTTTTAATTTCTGCCTTTCATGTTTCAAACTTTTCTCAAATATCTGGTGATCGTTAGCTGTCTTTTTAAATTGAAAAGTGAGACACTAAAAACTGACCGGATGTTCTGTGTGCATGATCAGTGCTTCTGAACTGGTGGATCTTACGGGAGGGTGATTGTGAGTCAGCTGTAAATTTTGTTTGGAACACCCTAAATATCAATATCTATAGGCTTTTTCTCTTGGGCTCTTAAGTTTATGCAGAAAGACTCCTCTAGCCTCATGACTAGGGAAAGCAGAATTTGACTCTAGTATCCAGCACTGTGTGACAGAAGCAGAAAAAGTGCTGGGAGCAGCGAGAGGCCTCGCTGGTGAGCATGTGGACTTTCCCTCATTCCCTCTGGTATAGAACTGCATTTCACACATGCCCCTCTTAGCCTGGCCTGCTGTGCCTGATCTTAATCGGGTCTTAAAACTGAGCATGTTCCTGGAAAGAGCCTTAAAGGAAATACTAATTTACCAGGAAGAAAAAAAAACAAACACAAACATTTTACAGGCATAGATTTATAAATAGCCTCACATCAGTCCAAATCAGGTTTTGCCACCAAATGGGTTAAGAATAAAGCTTGACTTTCACAAATTTTTGGACTTGAAAGTTGCAGATAAGGGCTTGTTTGTGTATGCATTTCCCACACCTCCAGTCACACTTGCGACATTTTTCACAGGGATTTTTCTCACTCTGTGGGACCGGCTGCTTGCAACAAGACATGAAAAAAATGAGGCAGTTGAGATGTGGGTGCAGGGGGAAGGCCAGGCTCCACAGAGAGACGATCTAACGACACAGTCACTTGGCAGGTTTGAGTCCTAGTTCTACACTAGCAAGCTGTGTTACTCTGAAAAAGTTGTTTAACCTCTCTGCGCCTCAAAAATCACAAGCATTCCTATACACCAGCAAAACACAAGCAGAGAGCGAAATCATGAATGAACTCCCATCCACAATTGCTACAAAGAGAATAAAATACCTTGGAATACCCCTAACAAGGGAAGTGAAGGACCTCTTCAAGGAGAACTACAAACCACTGCTCAAGGAAATAAGAGAGGACACAGGCCGGGCATGGTGGCTCACGCCTGTAATCCCAGCACTTTGGGAGGCTGAGGTGGGTGGATCACAAGGTCAAGAGATCAAGACCATCCTGGCCAACCTGGTGAAATCCCATCTCTACTAAAAATACAAAAATTAGCTGGGCATGGTGGCACGCACCTGTAGTCCCAACTACTCAGGAGGCTGAGGCAAGAGAATCGCTTGAACCCGGGAGGTGGAGGTTGCAATAAGCCAAGATCACACCACTGCACTCCAGCCTGGGTGACAAGAGTGACACTCCATCTCAAAAGAAAAGAAAAAAAAAAGAGAAGACACAAACAAATGGAAAAACATTCCGTGCTTGTGGATAGGAAGAATCAATATCATGAAAATGGCCATACCACCCAAAATAATTAATAGATTAAATGCTATTCCCATTAAACTACCATTGACATTCTTCACAGAATTAGAAAAAAAACTACTTTAAAATTCACATGGAACCAAAAAAGAGTCCATATAGCCAAGACAATCCTAAGCAAAAAGAACAAAGCTGGAGGCATCCAGCCACCTGAGTTCAAACTATACTACAACGCTACAGTAACCAAAACAGCATGGTACTAGTACAGAAACAGACACACAGACCAATGGGACAGCACAGAGATCTCAGAAATAAGACCACACATCTATAACCATCTGATCTTTGCCACACCTGACAAAAACTAGCAATGGGAAAAGGATTCCCTATTTAATAAATGGTGCTGGGAAAATTGGCTATCCATACACAGCAAATTGAAACTGGACCCATTCCTTATACCTTACCCAAAAATTAACTCAAGATGGATTAAAGACTTAAATGTAAAACCCAAAACTATAAAAACCCTAGAAGAAAATGTAGGCAATACCATTCAGGACATCAGCACAGGCAAAGATTTCAGGACAAAATCATCAAAAGCAATTACAACAAAAGCAGAAATTGACAAATGGGATCTGATTAAACTAAAGAGCTTCTGCACAACAAAAGAAACTATCATTAGAGTGAACAGACAGCCTACAGAACGGGAGAAAATTTTTGCAATCTAATCTATCCATTTGACAAAGCTCTAATATCCAGAATCTACAAGGAATTTAAACAAATTTGCAAGAAAAAAAAAACCCATTAAAAAGTGGGCAAAGGACATAAACAGACATTTCTCAAAATAAGACATTTATGTGGCCAACAAACATATGAAAAAATGCTCAACACCATGCATCATTAGAAAAATGCAAATCAAAACCACAAAAAGATACTATCTCATGCCAGTCAGAATGGCAATTAGTAAAGCCGTGAAACAACAGATGTTGGTGAGGCTATGAAGAAATAAGATCGCTTTTACACTGTTGGTGGGAATGTAAATTAGTTCAACCATTGTGGAAGACAGTGTGGTGAGTCCTCAAAGATCTAGAACCAGAAATACCATGTAACCCAGCAATCCCATTACTGAGTATATACTCAAAGGAATATAAATCCTTCTATTATAAAGATACATGCACGCATATGTTCATCGCAGCACTATTCACAATAGCAAAGATATGGAATCAACCCAAACGTCCATCAGTGATACACTGGATAAAGAAAATGTGGTACATATACACCACGGAATACTATGCAGCCATAAAAAGGAAAGAGATCATGTCCTTTGCAGGGACATGGATGGAGCTGGAAGCCATTATCCTCAGCAAACTAACACAGGAAGAGAAAATCAAACACCATATGTTCTCACTTATAAGTGGGAGCTAAACAATAAGAACACATGGACACAGGGAGGGGAACAACACACACTGGGGCCTGTCAGGGGGCCTGGGGGAGGGAGAGCATCAGGATAAATAGCTAATGCATGTGGGGCTTAATACCTAGGTGATGGGTTGATAGGGGCAGCAAACCACCATGGCACATGTTTACCTATGTAACAAACCTGCACATCCTACACATGTATCCTGGAACTTAAAATAAAATAAAATTAAAAAAAAAAAAAAAACCTCTCTGTGTCTCAGTTTCTTCATGTATAAATTTTGGGTTATTCCAACTAATTTTGAAATGTCATTGTGAGGATTTTGTTAAATTCAGCCAACAAATGTGGATTATGCCTATGATACCTGAGGCATTGCTCTGGGTCCTAAAGAAATAGCTGTGAGCAAAAGAGATAACATCCTTGCCCTCATGGAAGCAAGTTCCTAGTGAGAAAAGACACAGGGTAGTAACTCAGATGGCCACCTACGCTATTGAACAGCAACAAGGAAGGATAAAAGGGAGAGAGCCAAGTCGGTGGGAGGAGACAGGCAGGAGATTATAATCTTATATAAGGCTGTCAAATGGCCTGTTTGACAAGGTGACATCTAAATAGAAACCTGAAGAAGAGACGAAAACAATAGGATACATGAAGGAAGGTGTCCTGCCTGGAGGAAGCAGTGGAAAGGCTCTGAGACCAAAGTGTGCTTTATATCTGAGGAGTAGGCTCAGTGAGGTGAAGCAGAATGAAGCGGTGGAAAAGAGCAGGAGATGAAGTCTGCAGGGTCTGAAGGCTGGGTCACACAGAATCCTGTAGGCCTTTCTAAGCTCTGAGTAAAAGAGGAAGCCTTTCCTGGTTTTTGAGCGGAAGAATGACACATCACTACAGCTTTTAAAATGATCACTCTGGTTACTGTTTTGAGAACATACCACAGGAGCAAGACTACAAGCAGGAGGCTCAGTTGTGAAACGATTCTAAGAGAAAGAACAGGTCTTCTGTCCTGGACCAACATGAATTTGATGAATTAAGTAGTTGTTTCTTAATTTATTGTGAAAGCACAGCTGACATGGTTTGCTAACAGAGTGGGTGCAGCATGAGAGAAAGAGAATTTAGAATGACTCCAGAGTTTAAGCCCTAAAAGATGGAAAGATGAAATTGTTGTCCACTGAAATGAGGATGGCTCTTTTAGGGAGAAAAGCAGCAGTTCGATTTTGGGCTTGTCATATTTGAGATGTATATTAGATGTCTAAGGAAACTTGTCAAGTAGATGGTTGAATATCTGAGCATGGAACTCAGGGGAAAGGTGTGGGTTGGAAATATAAATTGAGGGTTGTCAGGAAATTGATGATATGAGATGGCCAGGGCATGAGGAGACAGAGAAGAGGCCAAGTCCAAGGGCCACTCCCAGAGGCACTCCACAGTGACCAAGTGAAAATGAGCCAACAGAGAAGCGCTTGAACCCGGGAGGCGGAGGTTGCAGTGAGCTGAGATCGCGCCACTGCACTCCAGCCTGGGTAAGAGAGTGAGACTCCATCTCAATAAAAATAAAAAAAGAAAAGAAAAGAAAAGAAAATGAGCCAAGAAAAGGAACTGAGAAGGAGAACCTAGTGAGAGAAGAGGAAAAGCAAAGACAGTGATGTTCCAGAAGCCAAGAGAAGAAACTATTTCAAGGAGGATGGAATGGTCAATTGTATCAAAAGTTGCTGATCAGTCAAGATAGGGACTGAGATCTGACCACTGGATTTGGCAAGAGAGGATACTGGTGAGCCTGACCGGTATGGTTTTGGTGGTGTGATGGGTACAAAAGACTGATCATGTTGAGTTTAAATGAGAATGAGAGAAGAGGGAGTGCAGGGTGCAAATGCAGACAACTCTCTCCAGGAGCATAAAAATTGGCACACCCCCTCCCTTTTCACCTCCTGCCGTGAGTAAAAGCTTCCTGAAGCCTCACCAGAAGATGATGTGGGTGCCATGCCTGTACAGCCTGCAGAATCATGAGCCAAATAAACCTCTTTTCTTTATAAATTACTCAGTCTCAGGTTTTCCTTTATAGCAAGGCAACATGGACTCATACAGTAGTACCCTTATAAAAGAGGCTCTGGAGAACTAGTGAGCCCTGTTAGCACATGAGGACACGGTGAAAAAGCACCATCCATAAATTAGGAAGCAAGCTCTCACCAGACGCCGAATCTGCTGGTGCCTTCAACTTGGACTTCCCAGCCTCCAGAACTATGAGCAATACATTTCTTTTGTTTATAAACCACCCTGTTTACGGTATTTTGTTATCACAGCCTGAATGGACTAAGACAAAAGGTATGAAAGTTTTCCTCCGACTGCCATTATTTTTTCAGGTAAGTTTAAAACAAGGTATCAACTGAGAGTATGGATAGGGAAGGTGTTAGAGACTTGAAGAGAGAGAAAAAGGTGCGAAACAGTCATCTAGATGACAGAGGAATGGTCATGCTTCTCAACTATCATTCATTGGAATTAACAGCACAGGTTAACAAAGAGATACTGGTGCCCAGGTCAACCTCACAAAGACTTTGATTTCGTTAGTTTGAGAGGAATTCAGGCAGCAATACGTGTTATAATTCCCACCAGTAACACTAATGACAGCCAGGGTTGAGAACCAATGGACCAACAAAATGAAGCGACATGGCCTACAACACCAATGTCCCCTTAAGAGTCATGGCCAAGAATTACGGCCTGGCGCAGTGGCTCATGCCTGTAATCCCAGCACTTTGGGAGGCCGATGTGGGCGGATTGCCTGAGGTCAGGAGTTCGAGACCAGCCTGACCAACATGGTGAAACCCTATCTCTACTAAAAATACAAAAAATGAGCGGGTCACGTTGGCAGGTGCCTGAAGCTGAGGCAGGAGAATCGCTTGAACCCAGGAGGCAGAGGCTGCACGCAGTGAACCGAGATCACGCCATAGCACTGCAGCCTGGGGGACAAAAACAAAACTCTGTCTCAAAAAAAATAAACAAAAAAGAATTAGAGTGGGACCATTCAGGATGACACTATGCTTTTCTACAGTCACACTCAGATTTGTGGAGTAGGTATGGTGTTCAAAGAGCTGGATTTAGCCAGGGCTAAATGAGATACTTGTAAAGCATATAGCATGCCCAGACATGGTAAGAGTTCAGTAAATGAAAGCTTCTACGTTTGTTTTTATCACCACCTAGGTGACACACAACATGCATGCAGCAAATAAAATCCTGTTTTTATCTCATCCAAATGATTCACCCAATCATATCATATCACAGAACTTTAGAGTCATTTGTGAATAACTAAAACCACAAATGTATATCCTTAACTATCAAGGTGGTCTTCTCCGGTTCTTTTTATTTGACACTGAGCACTGCATAAAGGGTCAGTGGACTTCCCAGAAATCACAGAAGTCACAGGTCACCCCTCCTCCCACCTACCTGCTGTCTGAATTTGATAACAACCGCTTTGTACCATTTTGTGAAGCCCCTCCATCCACATGACCTGGAGCCTGCACTTTAGTGAGCTCTGCCTTTGCAGTTCCTGCCTGGTAATCTGTCCCACTCCCTCTGAGGAGGCCCACTCCTGCTCCTAGCCCTAAGCCTGGAGCCCAGATACCTATGGAGAGATCACTGGGATGACAAGTGCCACCTCAACACCCTCTCCCCCAGTCAGGCCTGGCTGGATTCCTGCCCATGTAAAACCACCTGCTGGAAAATGACTGCAGACTCTATCCTGACCCAAACTGAGTAGGATCAAATGCCAGCAGAGAGGGGGAAGCCCGAGGGCTCACCTGTCCAGGGAGCCTCCACTGTTAGCTCTGCCCTCCCTTATGAGTGGATCCAATGCTGCCCCCGCCCCAACTGCCTGGCAGATTCTTCTTCATTCTTTTAAAGCCTTTGAGGATATCATCTCTTTTTCTGGCCTTCTCTGCCCCTGCCTCCAGCTCCCTCCACAGCTTGTGCAACTTGCTTTCCTTTGTGCCCCCTTCCACAGGCCTGGCTCTCCTCCTAGATGGAGAGCTCCTCCAGGGAGAGGCTGTATCTCATTTCTCTTTCTATTCACAGCCCCTAGCAAAGTGGCCCATCAGGTGGACAATAACTGAGAATAACCGTTCACATGTGCTGTGATATTGAAAATAACCACGATTTATTGGTCTCCAACCATGTGCCCAAAACTAGGTTAGGCACTACCTCTAGGACTCACACCAATGCTACAAGGCAGAAAGGATGAATATAGACTAAGACAGGAAACTGAGGACCAGAGAGGCCAAGCTGCCAAGCTTGCACACCTGAGAAGTGGCATATCTGGAATTTAAACCCAAGTCTGTCTGGCTACAAAGCATGTGGTTTTTTTTCCGAATGATAAGGTCTTTCTGAGGAAGGTGACATTGCAAACGGTAGTTAACAGGGAAGGCAGTGAGTTGCCTCCAAGCCCTCCTACTGTGAGTCACTGGATCTGGCTGGGGAGACAAGGGCAGGACTCTTCAAGTACAGAAGGATTCCCTGTGAGACGCCTTTGGTTCATCTCCTCCTGGCCAGTTTTTTCCCCTCATCCAAATTTGCAGCCCAGAATAAGATGTTCATTGTGAAAAGCAAAAAAGGAGCCGTCACAAGCCCTCTGGCAGGAATCATCTTCTGGGGATTCATTCCTCACACTGTCAGCCACCACCTCCAGCTCAGGCCCAAGGCCAGCCTCCTCCCAGAACCAGCACTGTGCAGTCCACAAAGGCAATCCCTGAGGCAGACTCTTAGGTAACTGATAACTCAGCCTGGCTGCCACGTCACAGCTCCCTAGCTGCCTTCTTCCCTCTCTCACCTGGAACAAATTCCTATGACCCTGGTTCCCAAAATAAGACAAGAAGAACAAGGTCCCAAGCTTGACTCTCCTCCAGGGCTCAGATCCATGAACCATCCCAGAGAATTTTCCCTCTTTCACCCGCCTGCTTGGCTTTTATTTCCAAGGCTAGAATTGGCAGGTAGGAAAAATGACTCTCTGGTGGAGCAGGAGGGCCCACTACAGCCTCACGGGCTTCCCACCACGGGCTACTGCAAATTCACTGCCTGCTGTCACACCTTGATCTTACCGAGAGAACACCCACTCAACTCACTGGTGGCTGGATGTGTTCTTACCTCAGTGGACAAACAGGAGCATCGCGGGAGCTGAGCTCATTCCATGAGGACTCCTAAGGGCTGGGCAGGATACTGGGCCCAGGGCTGTGCAGAGAAACCAGTCATCATCCCCACCATCCAGGATGTCAAGGTCTAACATAGCAAATTTCACATAGCATAGTGAGCATGGCACAAGAGATCGGAGGTCTTCTCTCTCCTTTGTGGGCCATGAATTTGAGGGGGCTCCTCCGGAACTGAGGCTGGCTGGAGCTGAGGCTGAGCCAAAGGTGTTGGTATAGCAGAGAGACCAGTGAGATAAGGAAGAAACGGATCTCTTCAGCGATATGGAATAGCCTGGGTCTCTCTCCAACGACCACATACACACACAGACACACACACACACACACACACACACACACACACACACACACTAGAGTTTCTGAACCCCCAAGAGCATACCAGGCCCCAGCCCACACCCTACAACCATCCTGATCCTTCCCGGAGCAAACGTCAGGTGCCTCCAGCCACACTAGCTCAGAGCAGAGGTCTGGCTGCCCGCCCAGTTTGATAAGTGTTGTCAGAAGCCCAATTTCTTTGAGGTCAGGGCCTTGCTTTGTCCTCATCGGTACTTCTGGAGAATAAAGCTGGCCACCGAAGTCCCCTGACAACCCTATCCTTCCTGGTCCCTCTTTCAGACCACTGGCGTCTACCAGACATGGCAGGGCCTGCCGGCGTGGCAGCTCCAACATTCATTCCTGTAGCTTGGCACGTCTGGAACAGCCTCCTCCACCCTCACCAAGCTGTTGACAGCCATCCCGACGCAACTCTGGCCCAGAAATTCCCCAGCAACCAGGAAGGCAGGCAAGAGCGGATTCTCACCCAGGCAGGGAGAGAGCCAGACACACTCCCTGCCTCCTCCCTCCCTCACTCTCTGCTGCCTTTCATTACAGCCTCCAGCTGGTTAACTGAGTCAGGGAAGCAGTTTCTTGCCTGTTGACCAGGTTGTTTGTGTCAACCCTGTAGGGGCTGTGTCTATGACTGTGAACATTTTCACAGACACCTGTGGGTGCTTGAACAGATGTATGCTCTCAGCAGAGCAAGGGGTGTGTCCGCAATAACAAACCCTTCTGTGTGCCTCTTTCAAACTGTCTCATCCTTAACGTCTATGATCTAATTTGAACATAAAAACTAATCTCAGGCTAGGCAGTGGCACAATTATTATCCCCTTCTATAGGCAAGGAAATTAGGGTTCTGATTAAGTAGCCTGGGGCCACACGGCTGCTGGATGGTGGAGTCTGGACCATCATGTAGGCTCTTATATTTACCTAAAAATTTACCTACAAAATTTACATCTAAACCATGTTTTATTTTATAGGTAAATGTAAATAATAATAAATACCAATCTAAACATAAACGTAAATGTATAAAATAGACTTACTTATAAAATATTTACCTATACAATTATTTTTACATTTTGTGTTTCATAAAGGTGGCTGATTCCGGTCTCTGTGCACCACAAATCATAGCACAATAGAAAAACCATGGGCATGGCTGTGCAGGCAGCACAGGGAGCTCAAATCAGTCTCACCACCATGCGCCTCTGGGCAGATAAACATCACTATTTTTTAATGCTCACCTTCTCTGTACCATTGCACTTTTCGTGTATGTGCTGCTGAAGCAAGCACAGATCTCTCACCCTTAACTTCAGTTCCCTCATGTGTACAGTAGAGATAATTGTACCTGTGCTATAGGGTTGTTGGGCAACCTAGAGATATCTACGTGTAGTATCTAGTGTGCTGTGCACACTGTATTAACAGCAGCCATGTTTTCCTTCATCCTTGCTTCTCCAACCACGAACCACCAACAAACTGCTCCCAGTAACCCCAGACATGCCAACGCCCCTTCATCCCCAGGCCTGTGTTCCTGCTGCCCCCAGGCCAGAAAGGTCCTTTCTCCCATTCTCCACCTATCAAAACTCCATCGGTCTCCTGGGTGAAACCTTTTCCATTGTCGTGTGGGCCCCAATCCCCAGCTGTCCATCTGATTGATAACGTATTTTGTTCTGCCTAGAGTGAGGTGTTTGCATAACTGACTCTCAAATCCCCCACAGTGTTCATCCATCTGTATCTCCGTTCCCACTCTTCACTCCCCAGGAACCAGTTTTTAATGGTGCCTTTCAGAATAGCTTCAGTGGTCTGATTTAAGTAAGACTAGTTCATTATTTATAAAATGTCAATCAATATGCAAAACTATATAGAGCTAAAAATCACCCAAGAGCCCTCTATCCAGGAAAAAATAAATGAATTAGTATCATTCCTCAAGTCTCTATATCTGTATATGGATAGAAGTGTGAAAGATGGAAGAAAGCATGCGTGAAAGGATAGATGGGGATTGCTTTACACAATAGCTGTTTTGGGTCAGGAGCAGTGGCTCAGACCTGTAATCCCAACACTTTCGGAGGCCGGCGGGAGGATCACTTGAACCCGGGAGATCGAGTCTACAGTGAGCAGTGACCGCGCCACTGCACTCCAGCCTAGGTGACAGAATGAGACACTGTCTCAAAAAATAATAATAATAAGTTTTTTAAAAGTAAAATAAAATAGCTAATTTTATTATTTTATTTTATAAGGAAAAGGAACACTTTTTTTTTTTGAAATGGAATCTCACTCTGTCGCCCAGGCTAGAGTGGCACGACCTCAGCTCACTGCAACCTCCGCTTCCTGGGTTCAAGCCACTCTTCTGCCTCAGCCCCACCGAGCAGCCGAGATTACAGGCGCCCGCCACCATGCCCAGTACAAAATAATTTTTGTATTTTTCGTAGAGACGGGGTTTCACCATGTTGGTTAGGCTGGGCTCGAACTCCTGACCTCAGGTGATCCACCCGCTTGGCCTCCCAAAGTGCTGGGATTACAGGCATGAGCCACCGCGCCCGGCCAGAAAAGGTACCCTTCTTTTTTTTTTTTTTTTTTTTGACGGAGTCTTGCTCTGTCACCCAAGCTGGAGTGCAGTGGCGCGATCTCGGCTCACTGCAAGCTCCGCCTCCCAGGTTCACACCATTCTCCTGCCTCAGCCTCCCAAGTAGCTGAGACTGCAGGTGCCCACCACCACGCCTGGCTAATTTTTTTGTATTTTTTTTTGGTAGAGACAGGGTTTCACTGTGTTAGCCAGGATGGTCTCGATCTCCTGATCTCGTGATCCACCCGCCTTGGCCTCCCAAAGTGCTGAGATTACAGGCATGAGCCACCGTGCCCAGCCGGAAAAGGTACACTTCTAATTAAAGTTAGCACTTAACATCTCCTCACGTCTCCCCTAACCCCCTATTTCTGGTATATTCTTTCTACTTCCTCACATTCTGTTCCTTAGTCCTCACTGCCCATCCCTGCCCCTGCTTAGCTTTGCTTCTCTATTTGAACGGATTAAGAGTTCACCAATTGACCTTCCACTATGCCTTCTAAGTATGTTTGTCGATTAATCTTTTTCTTCCTCAAGTGGGTTTCCTGAGAAGGCCTCTTCAGTGCTAGATTCCCTAAATTCTTGCAAGTGTGAGGATGTCTGCCTGACATACTTGCAAAGTAATTTGAGTGTAAAATTCTTCAGTCCCATTGCCTTTGCCCCAGAACTCTGTAAACAATTTTTTTTTTTTTTTTTTAAATAGAGACAGGGTCTTGCTCTTTCACCCAGCCCAGAGCACAGTGGCACAATCATAGCTCACTGCAGCCCCGAGCTCCTGGGCAAGGGATCCTCCCACATCAGTCTTCCAAGTAGCTAGGACTACAGGCATGCACTACCACACCCAGCTGATGATTTTCATTAGGGTCTCGCTATGTTGCCCAAGCTGGTCTCAAACTTCTGGCCTCAAGCGATCCGCAGGCTTCTGCCTCCCAAAGTGCTAGGATTTTAGGCATGAGCCACCTCACCTGGCCTCTGTAAACCTGTTCAGTCATGTCTGAGACCAACATGACTTCCCTTAAAGCAGATACTAGTTGATCCCAATATCCAGGTTTTCCTTTCAGTAGTAGAAAGCTTTCCCCAAAACTGAGTTTTAAGAAGGCATATGGCCTCTCAGCTGGAGACTTTTTCCCAGAGTTACTTACAGCCAGGTGTGTCTATCTATGTGACTAAGTCTTGGCCAATGGAATATGAGCAAAAGCGACGAGTGCCTCCGCAGACTCTCCAATTACCCTTTTGAAGGCCCACCTTTGTATGATCTTTAGATCTCTGATTTAAGTGCGTTATCTTTTTTCTCAGCATAGGCTGTGATTTTCCTCAAGCCTTCCTTCTCTGTTAGCAATTTCATTTTCAACAGATTCTGTTATGTTTCCTGGTAACTTTTTCTGTAATGACATTGTTTTTATCCCCAATGTCTTCCTTGGCTCTGTAATTACCTTTTTTATTTCATTGAGTAGTTTCATCATCTTGTCTTTGGGATCCAATTAATTAGTTTTCAATAATCTTGATTTTGCATGAATGAATTCCCCATACTGCCTCTCCTACCCGAGAGCCAACTCTAACCCAGGAATTATCTTGGAGGATGGGGAGAATAGGCAAAAGATGTCCCATTCACCATTAAGTGAGACAATAATTTTGCTCATATGTTATGCCCTCCACCTTCCCAACTCCTACTCATCCTTAAAGGGACAGCTCAAGGCCCATTACCCCACGTTCCTCCAGCCAGCTGTGATTGTTCCTGTTCCAGTCCCCAAAGTGTTTCTCCAAACTAAAGGATTCGCAGGCACTACCTGGGCTCACAAATAAACCTGGATCTTTTGAGAAACGAGATGAATCTTCTCCCTCTTCACACGTGGTTGGGCACATAAAGATTTTATTTGAAGACTTCTGGATTACTGATTGGCTGGATAAAAAGGAAGGTGAACCCTAGAACCAAGACTCAGAAAACCTGTCAACATCAGACCCACTAGTCCCAATTTAACAAAAAGTTGGGTAACACCATGAGGCAGGTTGAAAGAAGAGGATTCGGCAAGGGATGTTGTCCTTGAAACATTAAAAGAGAGGGAACAATCGTCTTAGCCAGCAAGCCAGACTTTCACAGCCTGCCTCTGCAGGCACTGAAGTGGAGGCTGAGACATGGGCTCTGGAGGCAAGCAGGCCTATGTTCAAGACCACGCAACTCAACACACTCACGGTCTGACTTTGAGCAAGTCACTGAATCTCCTTCAACCTTTGTTTCCTCGCCTATTAATCTGAGATAATAGGCCGGGCATGGTGGCTCATGCCTGTAATCCCAGCACTTTGGGAGGCTGAGGCGGGCGGATCACGAGGTCAGGAGTTTGAGACCAGCCTGACCAACATGGTGAAACCCCATGTCTACTAAAAATACAAAAATTAGCCAGGCATGGTAGTGTGTACCTGTAATCCCAGCTACTCAGGAGGCTGAGACAGGGGAATGGCTTGAACCCGGGAGGCGGAGGTTGCAGTGAGCCGAGATCGCACCACTGCACTCCAGCCTGAGCAAGAGCGAGACTCCGTCTAAAAATAAATAAATAAAATAAAATAAAAAATTGAGATAATAATAGTGTATGCAGTGTTATGAAAATTCTATTAAATAACACATGTAATGGTTCCAGCCTCAAGTCCCGCCACTTCATGCCTCATGCATTTCTCTCCAGGAATATCAACCTGCTAGTGTTTCCCTGACATATACAATGAGCCATTTCTCACCCTCAAATCTTTGCTCCTGCAGCCTTCCCCTGCCTCAAAAATGCTCATTTCCCAGAGGCTAACAGCTACTACTTTCTAAGACACAGCTTGTGTGTTGCCTCTTCCAGAAATCTTTCCCAAACTTACTGGATCTTCTTCCCATCATCTGTGCACACCCAAATCATAATATTTATCACACTATATTGTAATTAATATGTGCATATCTGCCTTCAACTAAGCTCTGGAAGCAACAGACTATGGGGATTATTTGGATCTATGTTCTAAAAATGAGCACTGCAGTCCCGGCACAGTGGCTCACACCTGTGATCCCAGCACTTTGGGAGGCCGAGGTCGGTGGATCACCTGAGGTGAGCAGTTTGAGACCAGCCTGGCCAACACGGCGAAACCTCATCTCTACTAAAAATACAAAAATTAGCTGGGCGTAGTGGTGGGCACCTGAAACTTTAGATGAGTTTCTAGCCCTTTCTGAAGCTTGGTTTTCTTATTTGCAAAATGGAGCTAATGATACCGACACAGCAGATCTTCCTGTGATGATTGGATGAGAGAACACACAACATGCCTAATCAGGGCCAGGCACACAGCAAAAGCCCAGAAGATGGTAAATTTTGCCACGTTTCCTTCACCAGACTTGGTTAAGACTTAAGTCAAAACATTCTTCTTCACTTGCAGGAAAGAAAGGGATCAGCCTTAAACACGGTGGGTGCCCTCGATTCCAGCACAGAGGACCATCGAGAGGTTGTAAAGGGTACAGCATTCCTAAAATTAAAGCTGGAAGCTCGGCACTGTACTAAGGAAAACTCCATCAACCAACAGACGGATGCAGATTTACAAAGACTGCAATGAAAAAACTTACAACCATCCTCCTGGGACATGCAGTTCTTTTCCAGGTGCCAGATTTCCTGATCATCTAAAGTGTACGTAAGGTATTTATTCCTGTGGAAATAATTTAAGAATACAAGGTCAAAGGGAGCTGAAGCCAAGGACAGAACAGGGAGAGAGTTGCCAAGATCCAAGGGAAACAAGGCTTAAGCCTCCTTTGATGGCTTCCATCTTATTCCACCTTTTCAGAGCAGGTGAAAACTACTTCACTACATTGTCTATAACTTGTCCCACCCCTTTAGTTCTAGTTTGCACCTTTCTGCTTCTTGCCCCATAGTCACAGACTCTCAAAGCTGCAGGGGGCCTAAGTGGCCATTGAGGTCAACCCCTCTGCAATGCAGAAGTCCTCTGATGGCAAACAAGTTTACTTGCAACTTTTTTTTTTTTTTTGAGACGGAGTCTTGCTCTGTCGCCTAGGATGGAGTGCAGTGGCATGATCTCGGCTCACTGCAAGCTCGGCCTCCTGGGTTCACGCCATTGTCCTGCCTCCGCCTCCCGAGTAGCTGGGACTACAGCCACCCACAACCACGCCGGGCTAATTTTTTGTATTTTTAGTAGAGACGGGGTTTCACTGTGTTAGCTAGGATGGTCTCTATCTCCTGACCTCATGATCCGCCTGCCTCGGCCTCCCAAAGTGCTGGGATTACAGGCATGAGCCACCGTGCCCAGCCTACTTGCAACTTTTGCTTGGATCACTTTATAACACGGCAGTGGCTTCCTTGTAACACAGCTTGTTCCATTGTTGGGTAGCTCCGTTAAGTCAGTTCTTCCTTATTTGTTTTCCTGCAACTCTTTCCCCTCCTCACCCCCCGCCCATCTTGCTTCTCCCGTCTGCAGCAGCCACTCAGTGTGACTGTAATGAAGTGTGATTTCTTCCGCATGAAAAGGATGCCTCTTATTTTTATCTCTTGCAGACTAGAAAGTCCTAGTTTCCACATTTATTCCACCTCCGATATGTTGTCCTAAGCCACTGTCATCCAAGTAGCCAATTTCTGGGTGTGCATCATTTTATCACTCTCTGGAGGGGACCCAGGGAAGCATAACACTCCAGGTAGGTTTGAACAACCAGACAAAGTACAATATAACTGTAACAATTCCTCCTCCAGAGCCCGAGATCAAACACTCCTTTTCTTCAGTTCTCTCTCCTCCCTCCCTACCACTTAAGTGCCAGTTCTCCCACGAGGTCCTGTTCCTGACCCTGAGACCAGAAACAAACTTGGAAGGCCCAAGGATGGTGGGAAGGGGAGGGGAACGTGATGACGCAGCTCAGTGTTTGCACTTGAAGCTGAGGACACCAAACCAGGCAGGCTATCTCCAAAAATAACCTTCCATGCAAACAGCCTCTTGGTAGCTTCCTGAGAGCCCTTCAATTCAGCTTTCCAGAGTGCAGACCCCAGTGTTTCTGTGCCCACTCTCTCACCATCCTTTCCAGAACTTGATGGACTAGGTTCATTTAACCCACTGACATTTACAACCATCTCTCCATATGTTTGAGGTCTAAAAACACTTAGAAATATATTTTTATGGGAATACATAAATGTCCATCAACAGAAGATTGGTAAGGTAAACACATTCAAAATATAGAATGCAATGCAGCTATGAAAAAAAAAAAAAAAAACACTGACATGGGAAGACCTCCAATACACACAGTAAAATGAACAAGGCAAGTTTGTAAATGGACTAGTATAATGCCAGGAATGTCCGATCTTTTGGCTTCCCTGGGCCCACACTGGAAGAATTATCTTGGGCCACACATAAAATACACTAACACTAATGATAGCTGATGAGATTAAAGAAAAAAGAAAAACACAAAAAAACGCATAATTTTTAAAGAAAGTTTACGAATTTGTGTTGGGCCGCATTCAAAGCCATCCTGGGCTACATGCGGCCCCCACGCCACGGGTTGAACAAGTTTGATTGTAATCCATCTACTGAGTTTTAAAAATGTATTTGCATATAGCCACAAATACATATATAAATGTGTACAAAGGGGTTAGAAGGACAGACATCAAACTGCAAACAGTAGTCATTGCAAAGAGAAGTGGAATGAGGGAGGAATGGCATAAGCTGAGGGGTTAATTTTTTACCCCATTTGAATACTCTAAAAAAAAAACCATTTCATTTATTATTTATGTGAAGAAGCCTCCCAGTCTTACATGTATGTTTCATTTGATAATCTCAGAGCTGGAAGGGGCTGCACAGGGCTGAGAGTTGATTCTCTGAGGTGGCATACCCAGGGTGGCATGCATTTGTCCAAGGTCACAGAGCTAGCCACCAACAGCCAGAGACCACAAGTCACAGTCCAGGTCTTGAAATAATGGGTGTCCCAGTGGATTAAGGAGAGGACTTTGACTTGATTACTAAATCGGATCGACTTTCCTATTTTATTTGAGTCAAAAATTCCTACTTGGGTGTAACAGCAAGTTAGAGGAGACCAAGAATCATCAAAGTCAGAGGTAGAAAAGGGACCCTGTCTTCCCATAGATGGGGTGTGAGAGAGGGCCTGCTACCAAGGACTGGGACCTTCTCTAGGTCCCCCATCCTCATCCATAAAGCAGAGGGAAGGGGCTAACTAACAGAGGGGATGGGAGATTTGCAAGCATGGGGCGTTGTGTGTGTCAGGTGCTCATCTGAGCTACCACCACATCTTCGGCATGAGAGACCGGCAGCAACGCTCCCTGAATGCATTCTGGTGAGGCTGCAGGTGGCAGTCAGGGACCTAAACTGCATATGGAGGCTGCCTCTCAGGAAGGGAAGGCTGGGCTCGAGTCTGATTTAGGTCCAACTCATATTGAGCCACTTGAGCTGTCACATGGGTTATCTCATTTAATACTCACAAAATGTTTACAAATATGCTCCAAGAAATTCAAAAGTCACTTTCTAAAAGCATAAATCCATTAAGGGGTGGGGCCCTTATTTGAAATCAGGTTTCCTGACTCCGAATTCAGTGCTCCTTCCACCCTGTCTATTTGTGACACAGCAAGGCCTCCTTACTTGGGCAGTAAAGCTTAAGAAGTGCCCAGGTTGGAAGCTGGGCACAGTGGCTTATGCCTGTAATCCCAGCACTTTGGGAGGCCAAGGCAGGAGGATCGGTTGAGCCCAGGAGTTCAAGCCTGGGCAACACGGTGAGACACCCATCTCTACAAAAAAAATAAATAAAATTAACTGGGTGTGGTGGTGCATGCCTGTAGTCCCAGCTACTCGGAGGCTGAGGCAGGAGGATCGCTTGTGCCTGGGAGGTCAGAGACTGCAGCAAGTCATGATCATCCCACTGCACTCCAGCCTGGGTGACAGTGCGAGACCCTGTCTCAAAAAAGAAAAAAAAAAAAAAAAGGTCCCAGGTTGACTTTCTGTCTCTCTCCTCACTCCCAATCCTCCCTAAAGGTCCTAGGTTGACTTTCTGTCTCTCTCCTGACTCCCAATCCTCCCTACACACACATACACACACACAGTCCCATGACTGCGACAGCAGAGGCAGGCTCTTAGCCAGCACAACTCAGTGCCTCAAATATGTATCATGTGACTGAAATAGCTATGGCTCGGCTGATAAGATGTCTGGGATGTACTTGCACGTAATCTGGGGTTGACCATGGGGTTACGGATCAGCCATGCGTTTCAGTCATAGTTGAAGCCAAGGGATATGATATAGGGTTCCTTACACTCTTCTTTGTGCTTTTGTATGTTTGAAATTTTCCCTAATAAAAAAGACCTTTTATTCTTTTTTTATGCATCATGTGAACGATCATTTTTCTCTCTCAACTTGTCACTTGGTGGGGGTTTCCATTTTAATTAACTTTCTGCTTCCCTCAGCACAGAAAACCAAACAATGGCCTGCTGTCATGGTAAGAAAAAATATCAGGAGCAAAAGTGTGCGGCTTGTGAAAACCTCAGTTATAACAATAACAGCTATTACTTAACTGAATGCTTCTTGTATACCTGGCACTGTACTGAGCCTTTCACCCACGATTTCATCTAATGCTCATAATCACCCTATGAGATAAGGTCTGTTATCCCCATTTTACAGAGAAGGAAATTGAAGCTTAGTAAGCTTAAGTAGCTTGTCCAAGTCTACATAGGCGATACATAGTGGGCAAGAAAGCAAATCCCGACTTGCTTGCGCTGTTAGTTTTTCCCATTCCCACAATATATATTTAGCTACTTTAAGACTTTATAGGTAATTGAACTAAATCCATGAAGTTTTAAAAATGGTCATACCCTTTAAAGTATAACCCAGTAATTTCAACTTTAGGACTACCCTATGGGAATCATCTGGAAAATGAACAGAGATTTCTTCATGAATATTTTATTTTATTTCATTTCATTTCATTTTGAGACAGTCTTGCTCTGTCACCCAGTCTGCAGTGCAGTGGTGCGATCTCAGCTCACTGCAACCTCCGCCTACTGGGTTCCAGCAATTCTCCCACCTCAGCCTCCTGAGTAACTGGGATTATAGGCACCCGCCACCACGCCTGGCTGTTTTTTTGTATTTTTGGTAGAGACAGGGTTTCACCATGTTGGCCAGGCTGGTCTCGAACTCCTGATCTCAGGTGATCTGCCTGCATCAGCCTCCCAAAGTGCTGGGATTACAGGAGTGAGCCACCACTCCTGGCTCTTCACAGATATTTTAATCACAGTGTCAATTACAATAAGAGAAAGTTAGATGTGGTTGGCTGTCCAGTGTGGCCTCATGCAGGAGGCCATTCCCACTGCTCCAGTCATTGGTGACTCCCTCCTCAAGGTCGCACGGCATCCTGCACTAATCTCTTGTTACCCCTGCCTCCTCCTTTGAACTATGAGCTTCTAAAAAACTAAGCTCTTCTTATTTGTCTTTGGTTTAGAGTGGGCACTCAAATATGTGGTGAATAAATTAATAAGTGACCTTGGAGTTGCTCATTTAACATATGCAGACGTTGAAGACTGGGGTATTAAAGTTAAGTTTTTGAAGGTCACAAGGGCAGACTGGAACTCAAGGCCATGTGCAGGCCTCTTCTCTCCCCACTGTACTGTCAGTACCTGTAGACTTCTAAAGAACCGACGGGTGATGGCTGAACACCTGAGGCAATGGTGGGAAAGGCAGAGGCAGTTGGAGGCTCCTGAAATTTTATAGGCCCTCACTGAAATGATCAGATCCCAGGGGCCCACACATCCTTGGAGACGCCGAACAGCTGATATGGGTGACGAATGAAAGAATACAGCTTTAATGCAATGTTAACCATGAAATGTATATATGGGAAGGTTAAGCAAGAAGGCAAGAGACATAACTGCACATACAGTATGTTCTCAACCATTTACAAAAAATATATCCATTTAAAAAAAAAAGAAGAAGGAAAATTGCCAACTGTTAAGAGGGGTTGCCTTTGGATAGCGGAATTTTTTTCTGTTTCTCTATGTTTTTTTGTACAGTACTTTCCAAATTATCCTCAATGGTCAAGCTTTTTCTTTTTTTTTTTTTTTTTTTTTTTGAGACAGTCTTGCTCTGTCACCCAGGCTGGAGTACAGTAATACAATCTTGGCTCACTGCAACCTCCGCCTCCAGGGTTCAAACGATTCTCCTGCCTCAGCCTCCAAAGTAGCTAAGATTACAGGCACCTGCCCACCATGTCCGGCTGATTTTTGTGTTTTTAGTAGAGATGGGGTTTCACGATGTTGGCCAGGCTGGTCTTGAACTCCTGACCTCAGGTGATCCAGCTGCTTCAGCCTCCCAAAGTGCTGAAATTACAGGCATGAGCCGCTGTGCCCAGCCCCTAGCTTTATTTTTATAATCAGAATAAATAAAATTTAAATCACTACATTGATTCTGAAGGCTAACCTGACCTTTCTGGTGTAATAATTACTTAGAAAATCATCTCAGTATTTTAATATGGTGAAACTGTACTGCTCAATGCTACTGTTACATATAAGCCTATCAAAAATACATCTATAGGAGTCAGACTGCCATCGTATAGTTTTCTGCAGACAAGCAAGAAAAAATTCATTTGCCTCTAATTCAGTTCTTATGGAACAAATCACTGATACTACATCAGAGCAACTAATTCCCTGTCTAAATTCTCAGGAATCTAATGGTCCAGAACAATTACTGTGAATTTCATTAATGAATTATTCCTGTATATTTTTAATGCAACCATGTCCTCATATTTATGGAGGGCCAGATTTTCTCTGAAGCCTTCCCTCTTGTATTCTGTCATTTACCACCTGCTCTTCCCTTTATTCATGAAGAGAAGGGGACCCCAGAGGTCAATACTGAGACAAATTAGATCAATTTTCTCTGAGCTCCTGAGGGCAATTTCTAAGGGAGAGCCAAAAGTGTTTTAAGCAAGGGTGGTGGAGCTAGGCTGGACTTCCCTCGGACAAAGAATGGGTGGGTCTCCATGCTCTTTGTAATCCCAGGCTAAGCACAAGACCCCCTCCACTCCCACCACCTGTTTGTCGGTAAATACAGAATACATAAATAGAATGACTTGAGATATTACTCACTTATGTGTGAAGGTTCTGGGTTTTTTTCTTTTTTTTTTTACTAGTTCTAGTCACCTTAGAGTCACACAAACTTCACAACTGCTCAAAGCCTCCCTTGATAGTTTGGCAGGCCTTGCTTTACACCTCTTTGTGACAGGTGAGGTCTTCTAATCTGAGCACATGAGCTTACCCTACGGGGTCATTCTCCCACTAACATTCCCTACCACTTTAAAAGCTGGTCTCACACCAGTCAGAATGGATATTATCAGAAAGTCAAAAAGTAACAGATGCTGGCAAGGTTGCAAAGAAAAGGCAATGCTGATACACTGTTGGTGGGAGTGTAAATTAGTTCAACCATTGTAGAAAGCAGTGTGGGGATTGCTCGAAAAACTAAAAATAGAACTACCATTGACCCAGCAATCCCATTACTGAGTAAATACCCGAAGGAATATAAATTGTTCTACCATAAAGACACATGCGCGCATATGTTCACTGCAGCACTATTCACAACAGCAAAGATCTAAATACCCATCAACAGTAGCCTAGATAAAGAAAATGTGGTACATATATATATATACTATGGAATACTATGCAGCCATAAAAAAGAATGAGATCATATCCTCTGCAGGAACAGGGATGGAGCTGGAGGTCATTATCTTTAGCAAACTAATGCAGGAGCAGAAAATCAATACCACATGTTCTTACTTATAAGTGGGAGCTAAATAATGAGAACACGTGGACACAAAGAGGGGAAACGACAGACACCAGGGCCTTCTTGAAGGGTGGAGGGTGGGAGGAGGAAACGGAGCAGGGAAAATCATTACTGGGTACTAGGTTTAGTACCTGAGTGACTAAATACTCTGTACACCAAACCCCCGTGACACAAGTTTACCTGTATAACAAACCTGCACATGTACCTCTGAACCCAAAATAAAAGTTTAAAAAAAATAAAATTTTTGATCGAGACCATCCTGGCTAACAAGGTGAAACCCCGTCTTTACTAAACATACAAAAATTAGCCGGGCGTGGTGGCGGGCACCTGTAGTCCCAGCTACTCGGGAGGCTGAGGCAGGAGAATGGCGTGAACCCGGGAGGCGGAGCTTGCAGTGAGCCGAGATTGCACCACTGCACTCCAGCCTGGGTGACAGAGCGAGACGCCATCTGAAAAAATAAATAAATAAATAAATACATAAATAAATAAAATTTTTTAAAAGCTGGTAAGCACTCAAGCCTGCCAAGAGGTCTGACCAGTCATAAGAATGCATCATGTGACTTAATGCCCTCAACAACCCCAGGAGATTCATACGCCTTACTCCCCTCACTTTACACAACGCAGAGGCAGCCTGCTGGTTTTCTGTTGTTGTTGTTTTGTTTTATTTTCTGTTTTTGAGACAGGGTCTCGCTATGTCCCCAGGCTGGAGTACAGTGGTGAGATCGCGGCTCACTGCAACCTCCACCTCCCAGGCTCCAGCGATTCTCCTGTCTCAGCCTCCCAGGTAGCTGGGACCACAGGAGTACGCCACCATGCCCAGCTAATTTTGTTCTTTTATTTTTTGTAGAGATGGCGGTGGGGGAGGTAGTCTCACTATGTTGCTCAGGCTGGTCTCAAACTCCTGAGCTCAAGGAATTCGAACTCTTCCCTCCTCGGCCTCCTGAAGTGCTGTGATTACTGGAGTGAGCCACCACACCTGGCCCAGCCTGCTGGTTTTAAAGTAATACTAGAGACAGGAAGATGACCCCAAACCCCTCCTATGGCCTGAGCATCTTCCGCTCCGCTGGAACAGCCTGTGCAGAGACTGGGCAAGGAGAACCCTCACTGTACAAAGAAGGAAACTGGAGCCCAAGAGGTTAAGTAGCATGAACAGCTAAGTGGCGCCTCTCTCTTCTGTCTTCTCACTGCCTCTTGCCTTATGATTTCATACAAAGCAGCCCCTAAATGGGGAAGCACAAGACAGAGACATGGAGGAACCCAGCACAAGAGTAAAGTGAACCGTTCAGCAAACACTAAAGAAAGCTGATCCCCAGAGATAATTGCACTATTCAGCATACCTACTACTGGGATCCCTGGCTTTGCTTAATAACCAAACCTATTTAAATCCATAAGGAATTGGTTCTCTGACTTAAAGGGTGTTGTTATAACAACCATAACTTTGGCTTTTCTCTGGAGTACCAACAACTACTGGTTTGATGCAACCATTTCCCTTTTACGCAAAAAGGTGCACTAAAAGTAGACCACGCATTGTTGTGTATCATTAGGCAAGCAATTTCTCTTCTCTAGGCCTCACTTTTCCCATCTGGAAAGTAAAAGGGTCCAGTCACATGATTTCTGAAGTTCCTTACAGGGTCAGCGTCCTGGTGAGAAAACTATACTGCAGTGCCAAGAGGAATTGATGTAGGATTTTTCTTCTTGGTCCTCGGGCCAGCAATGCCCCACCTGTGCTCGCTCGGCCATGCAGGTGTGTCCCAGCTCACTGTATTATAGCTTGTACCCGCGTTCGGTGGTTCCGAGCTCGTGCACCACACCAAAGGATAATGAGGATACACTGGACATTGAAGGGAGAGGAAGGCAGATAAGAATTTTATTGAGTGTTGAAAACAGCTTTCAGCAGAGAGGGGACACCGGGTTGGTCCCCTACCTGAAGACGGAAAAGTTCCCCAATGTGGCTGGGTCAGGGGCCTTTTATGGACTCAGAATAGGGAGTGCATGCTGACCGGTTTGTGAGTATGCAAAAAAGATGAAAGCAAAGACACCACTCAAAGGTGGGCACGGCAGCGTAGAAAACCAATTAGGAAAAAGTGGGTATATGTAAAACAGGCGAAATGTAGGAATCAATTAGGGGAAAGCACGCCAAACAAGTTCTCACTCTGGTCTGAGGATTTAACTCGTAGCTTGGCTTTCAGGCTTTAAACTGTCTTTGGCCTGGAGGTGGGGGTTTCACCGGGTACCTGACCCTATCTGCCTAGGCATCCAGCTGCCTCCTGTTGCTACCAGAATCACATTGAAAGTGAAACACGCTGGAAACTCTAAGGAAAAGAAACAAGTGTAACTAGGAGATAACAGGCACAGTGCAAAACAACATGTTAACTTTGGGGAAATCCGGCTTCTCAGTGTTTTTTTGGTTTTCCTACTTCTCTGCCAAATACAAAAATAAGCAGCTACTTCCATGGGACTCTCGTTAAAAAAAAAGTAACTTTAATAAGATCAGTGAAAACAATGCTTTGTTCTCCCACAAGTGGCTCAGGAGTAGCTTGCTAAGACACACTTTCTTCCCCGTGGGGCTGATGTCAACAGCCCATGCTTTTGCCCAAACAAAGGCCTCCTGGCACAAGGATGAGAGGCAAAACATCTGAGTCTCCGTAGCTGGCCTTATTCCAATTTGAGGGGAAGGGGCAGCCAGGAGAGAAAAATAACTAAGCTTTTGAAAGGCTTGAAGGAGAGTAAGGAATTACTAAATCTATTTTTTCTCAACAGAATAAAGAATTCTTGAAAGGGATAATGGAAGGGTGCAGCTTTCTATTTGAATTACTCTTTGTTTCACCCTATTCTGCCTAAGGCCACTGCCTTTTAGGCCAATCACAGAATCCCGGTTTTGCCTTTAGTTGCCCGCTGAGCGATGCAGTGGGAGTTGGGAGACCCACACTCAAGTGTTCTCTCTGTGGCCCGTTTCACCCGGTTTAAACTTGGACAAGTGGCTGAACTCTCCGGCCTCAGCTTCCTGCCTGTAAAATGAGAAGGCTCCCTAGATGCTCTCTAGACCTTTTCAATAACAGCGGAATAGGATTGGAGGCTCTCCAGTTCCCCCCCCGGGGACAGGTTAATCTTCAGCCACACTAGCCAAGGTGAGGCAGCAGCCCGCCCGCTCAGCAGGCACACACTGGGGCGGCGGCGCCTCCATTCCTGCTCACACTGCACGCCCACAACCTGCACCAACACCATCGCCTCAGAGACCAATTCACCGCGAAACCATCTCCCCGCTGCAGATCGTGTCCGATTAACATCTGCAAAGCTGAGCTGAGCATATGTAAGCAAAGAAAAAGCAAAACAAACAAGAGTTCTCTTTTTCCGGACCTCGGAATTTCTTTCAAATAAACTCAGAACTGAAAATTGTACGTCCCCAGCTAGAATACGAGGTCTCGGCTGGCCTTGCTTGCGAAAATGCATTAACAAGCCAAAAGGGGCTAGTGACATCTGGGGTGTCTGGGCACACGGACACGGGCCTCAGAGGCAAAGAGCAAGACCGCACTGGGCGACTCGTACATTCTTCCCGCAGGCTGAGGAGGCGACCAAAATATCCCCACAGAGGCAATCGCCGGAGTGCGGGGACAATAGTGCACCCAGCACTCTCTTTTTTTGAGGGGCACCCTTAGACCCTTAACCCAACCCACATCTCTAAGAGACCTCCAGGAGGTGAAGGTGAGGGGTGGTCCACTTCACCCAAAAGAATGCGCCACGGCCGGGGACCGACTCAGCCTGGAGTAACCTTTTTGTAGCTGCTTTCTTGTTTTGGTTTCCCTTTTTAAGTCTGGCAGTTTAGTCTGATGCCCAAGCGGTACCTTTTAAATGTCTCTCTCGCCCTCTTCCAGCAAGTGGCGCCTCTAGAGCCACTCCCTCCCCCGAGGCTGAGACAATGGCCCGGCACCGCAGGGCGGCCCCTAAGGGTATGCAGTGCGTCCAGCTCTCCGGGCAGGGCGCACGTGCGTTTGTTATGGTGCCTGTGCCCCCTCCGCTGCCGCGGGCCTCAATTTGTCGATCCGTAAACCCAGACTCTGCAAGGCGCAATGCCCCCACGCCACCCCACCCCATACTGACGGTGCCGTGGAGAAATCCGTGTTCCCCGGGGCTGTGCGCACGTGGGTTTGTTGTGGATCCGCAGGCTCGCGGAGCCAGAGAGAAGCCAGGGTGGCCCTTTGGCCCTGACAAAAATGCACACACCCCCAACCAAAAGGCGGCCAGCCCCGGAGCCAAGGCAGCTGAGGCGGAGCTGGAGAGAGATTCCCTGCGCCCTACGCGCGCCGCGGGCCCCGCGCCTCCGCTATCCTCCCGCGCCCCTTTGCATCACACTCCTCCCGGGATAGCCCGGGCCGCGCCGCCGCCCACCGCACCCCCTACTCACTCGCTGCACTCTCGGCCGCGGAGGCTGCGGTTGCTCAGCACGCTCGGTGGCGGCCGCCCGCTCCGCGCCCACGCCGGTCGGTATCGGCTCCCTTTGTTAACGCCGGGCAGTGCCCCAGGCGTCTTCCCCAGCCCGGCCCTGCCCAGGACTCCCCTCCCCCAGGTGACTCCAGAAAACGCGCTCGGCAAGGGCAGGATCGCCCGGGAGCTGGGGACCCCACTAGGGAGTCTCGAAAGAGGGGTCCGCTGGGGAAGAACGGGGGACAGAAGACGCACAGTGGAAGGGACTGGAGAAGGAAGGAAGAAGAGCGCGGCGGAGGGGCGGGAAGGAAGCGAGTCGCCTCCGTATGCAAATAGAGTTGCGAAGACTGGGTCGGTCTCCGCCCCCACTCCACCTCTCGCCACCGGCCACACCGCGCCCCAAACCGGCCTGGAGGTCGCTAGCGAGCGGGCTTGGGGTTAAAGACTCTTGATGAAGGCACTGGGTGATGCTAGAATCCTGCCTGCTCTCAAGGAGGGTGGATCGAGGGCCGAGTGGGAGGGGCCACGCGGCTGCGCAAGGACCCCTAAATGCCTCTTCCCCGCTTGGCCGCGAGGGGTCAATCCAGCAGTGTCCGGCTTTTGGTCCTAACATGCGGGTGCTGTACACCCGGTCTCTGCTACCGGCTGACTGCGAGACCCTGAGGAAGTCGCTTAACCTCTCCGAAGACTCGTGTTGCTCTTATCTAGAATAGGAAAGAACAAAATCTTTCACTGCGTTTGGCATTAACCTCCTAACATTGAGGCATGACTCCTACTGGGCGCTCTCAAATGGCAAATACAGAAGGAGAGGAGCGTCCTCGAACCCCTGCACCCAGAGGCTTCCACCCCAAGCTGCAGGCTGAAAGACTGAAGCCTCAGCCTGGATGGTGAAGGGAGCGAGGTTCTTTCTTTTCACCCGGACGACGGTGGGGCTGCTGGGGAAGGAAAGAGGATTAACCAAGCTGCGTACTGACCATCCCCGATAGCCCCAAGGCGATTTCCCTAAGAAAGAAAAACTGCCCAACAGGAGGGCGGAAGGGGCCTTTAAGGCCTCCAGTCCAGCCTCCCATAGCCCAAAGAGAGGATGTGACTACCAGAGGCAATAGTCATATCCCAGTTGTCTACTGAGTGCACACTAGGCACCAGGCTGTGTGCTGGGTGGGAAAGGGGAAAGGAAGGAGATACTGGAAGGTTTGGGGGTCCTCTGGGAACACAAAGTCCAGTGCACACTTAAAGTGCCTGAAGCCCAGGCCCAGAGTTCTGTCTCCAAATGAGGTGCCTACCCCACATCACCAACCTTGGAAAGGGAAGTTACATCCGCACCCTGTCCCCAGCACCCTTCTTCCAAACACTGCTTCCTCCCTGTCCTGATCCTGGCTCCCTTCTGCTGATACTGTCATTCCCTTCCCTGCTGCCCCTGAGGCATTTTTGCTCAGTACAAAGAGCTCCAATTGAAGGGAGTGCCAGCCAGAGTGAATTCAAATCTTTATGACCAACTCGCTGTGCCTTCTTGGGTGAGTTCCACATCCTGTGAGCCTCCCTTTCCTCTTCTGCAAAATGGAGATATTAAGGAAAGCGTTGTTTTCAGGATCCTGTGAAATGACCTACGTGAAACACGTAGCTTAGTGTTTGGCATATAGAAGGTGCTCCTGACAGTAAAATGTATGTATGCGTGAATGAATAGAAGCAGCCAAGTTCAGAAGACTATTTCTGGAAGGATGCTACATTGAAGATTTTAGGCCCTATTCGAAAAAGGGAAAAAAAAAAAGGAGGCTATTAAAAGATTCTGTGCAGTAGCATGACATGCATCTTTGTATTTTACAAGGATTCCTCTGGCACCACACTGGAAAATAGATGGCAGAAGCAGAGAATGCAAGAGACTAGATTGGAAGCTGACATCAATGGAGATATAATAAGAGCCTGAACTGTGTCAGTGACTGTAACAAGACAGAAGAAAAGGACATCTAAATAATAGCTACCATTTGGAGATCTGACATGGTTTGGCTCTGTGTCCCCACCCAAAAATCTCATCTTGAATTGTAATCCACATGTGTCAGGGGAGGGACCTCCTGGGAGGTGATTGGATCGTGGGGGGCGGTTTCCCCCATGATGTTTTTGTGATAGGGAGCTCTCACGGGATCTGGTTGTTTGATAAGTGTCTGGCATTTCCCCTGCATTCTCTCTCTCACCTGCCGCCATGTAAGATGTGCCCTGCTTCCCCTTCACCTTCCACCATGATTATAAGTTTCCTGAGGCCTCCCCAGCCATATGGAACTGTGAGTCAATTAAACCTCTTTTGTTTATAAATTACCCAGTCTCAGGTAATTTATAATTTTCTCAGTAGTGTGACAATGGACTAATACAGGATTCAAAGCACCTTATTTATTACATTGTCTCTCCTTTTCATCAGATAAGTAATGGTCTTAGTCCTATTTTATGGATTAGGAAACTGAAGTCATCTAGGAAGTGAAGAGAGAATTTGACACATTCTTCCACTTTCTTTGAAAGCTTTAATCATCTCCTTCATCATCACCCATATGTCAACATTACTTAAGAACTAAGAACAGCCTGGTGCGGTGGTTCACGCCTGTAATCCCAGCACTTTGGGAGGCCTAGGCGGGCGGATCATGAGGTCAGGAGACCAAGACCATCTTGGCTAGCACAGTGGAACCTTGTCTCTACTAAAAACACAAAACAAATTAACCGGGGCTGGGCGTGGTGGCTCACGCCTGTAATCCCAGCACCTTGGGAGGCCGAGGCGGGCGGATCACAGGTCAGGAGATCAAGACCATCCTGGCTAACATGGTGAAACTCCATCTCTACTAAAAATACAAAAACAAAATTAGGCGGGCACGCGATGACGGGCGCCTGTAGTCCCAGCCACTCAGGAGGCTGAGGCCGGAGAATGGTGTGAACCCAGGAGGCGGAGCTTACAGTGAGCCGAGATCACGCCACTGCACTCCACAAAAGCAGAAGGCGCTCTTTCAGAGGTTGTCCAGTCCCCACTCCGCAGTTCTCTTTTGCAGAGAACTGGAAAACCAAATTAAGGAGAAAACAAGGGAAAAGGTTATCTCAACACTGAGATAAGCACAGATGATATGACACGTGCAAAAATTTCCTGGGCGTCTGAGACAGATGAGTGGGCAAGCAAGGGTGCTCCTGGTAAAATTCCAGGATGGGGGCCATTGTGGAGCAGCCTCCACCAAGGTTCTCTCTTATCACTTAGGACCCTCTGACCTATAAGTGAGAGGCAGAGGCTGGGGCATTACTTTGGAGATGATCCTGTCCTCCCAGTCTATACATGTGAGGCTTCTCCTCCCATTTTCTCTGGGGTCCCTGCCTTGACAGGTTGGTTTTGGTTTTTTTGAGAAGTACAGATACCCACTTTCCCTCTGGACAGTATCTCAGTTCTGGGCCCTCCACCCACAGCTTCCTGCTATGGTCTGCATGTTGTATCCCCCCAAAATTCGTACAATGAATTCCTAACCCCCAAGATGATGGTATTTGGAGGTGGGGCATCTGGAGGAGGTGATTAGGTTATGAGGGCAGAGCCCTCACAAATGGAACTAGCGCCCTTATAAAAGAGACCCGGACCAGGCATGGTGGCTCACACCTGTAATCCCAGCATTTTGGGAGATTGAGACGGGCAGATCACCTGAGGTCGGGAGTTCGAGACTAGCCTGGTCAACATGGTGAAACTTCATCTCTACTAAAAATACAAAAAATTAGTTGGGCGTGGTGGCAGTCACCTGTAGTCCCAGGTACTCGGGAGGCTGAGGCAGGAGAATTGCTTGAACCCGGAAGGCAGAGGTTGCAGTGAGCCAAGATCACGCCACTGCACTCCAGCCTGGGCAAACAGAGCAAGACTCTCTCTCAAAAATAAGTAAATAAATAAATAAATATTAAAAAGTAAAATAAAAGAGACTCCAGAGAGCTAGCTAGCCCCTTCCAACATGTGAGGCTGCAGCTAGAAGGTACCACTTATGACCAGGAGACTGAGCCTTCTCTGAACACCAAGTCTGCCATTATTTTAATGTTGGACTTACCAGCCTCTAAAACCATAAGCAATAAACTCCTGTTGTTTACAAGCCACCCGATTTATGGTGTTTTTGTTATAGCAGCCCAAACAGACTAACACATTCCCCATCCCTCCCCCAACCCTTGACCTCAACCTTAGCCAATATATAATATTTTTAGGTAATGCATTGCTCAGTCATCATTTCAGACATCTTACGGATTAATACACATAATTTTCATTTACAACAATCCACTTGCAAATAATATGTTCATAACACTCTTGAATTGGAGGTGATGTTTCATGAGGGGAAAAAAAAAAGACAATAAGCAGTTGAAAATTTCCTCCCAAATCTTTCTTCCCCACCCACTACAGATGTTCATCAAGTTCCTTAAATAAACCTCACAGCTCTCCTCTTCATATCACGTCTCCTCTTCAGTACATGTTGTCTAATATGAGGATAGGTTCGGGGCCTAAAAGAACTGTGGTTTGCCTGTGCCCACCATGTTGGCTTTCAGTGCTGCCAGCCTTATGGATGATTTTATATATATATATATATATATATATATATATATATATATATATATATATATATATGTTCACAGCTAGTCTACTAAGTCTGTAGAACTCAAGTTTAAAAGTAGAAAGAAAATAGCAGCATGCTCAGCCCCCTTGCCGTGTGATGCCCTGTGCCACTATAGAACTCTGCAGACTCCCCACTTGCATGAAAGCTCTCACCAGATACAGTCCATTGACCTTGGACTCCTCAGCCTCCATAACTATAAGAAATGACTTCCTTTTCTTTATTAAAAGAGAGAGAGAGAGAATAACAGCATCTCTAATTTAAGCACACAGGGATGGCTCCTGCTGATTGCTGTGAGGCAGACCTGCACAGATGGGCTGATAAAGCAGAGTGGGGGCAGAGAAGAAGAGTGCTAGAATGCAGGGGCTGGAAACTAGAAACAGGTCTCATGAAAGGATCACAGCCACAAGACTGGGAGGATGGCTGGCCCCACAGCCCCAAGTACAGCAAGAAGTGACTTGCTGGCTCCAGAAACCTCAGAGTAGAACATGGGCATGGCGAGATCAGGATAGGTCAGAGAAATAGACATATACGTATCATGTGGGCACATGAGTAGTTAGGCTGCCCTTCACCCAATTATCTTCTGTGTCCAACCCCATCCTAAGTCCCTGGGAAGATACGAGGAGAAACCAAGACTCTGTTCCCAAATCACATGTGTTTTAGCAAAATATCTCAGTTCGTAATAATGATTTTCATGTATTGAACATCTACTCATAAGCTATGCCCAGGAGACCAGATACACTGATAATGGCAGGGAATACAAGAGCTCGGGGACTCTGAGGAAGCAAAGATGCTTATAATAAATTCTCTCAAAAAGATTCAGGAAATTGGCTTCTCTTGGGAGACTTCTATCAGAACCAAAGTAGAAATTGCCTCCTATGTATTAATGATCTAAGGATGACAGTTAGAATAAATCGTAGGGATAGTCAATGTTTTGTGCAAGAGGTTACACAGGTCAATGAAAGTTCTTTGCAGTTAATTTCTTTGAGTGGAGGAGGATCAGTGTTTGCTGCCTGGTGGTGATCTGTCCCGAGCCTGCGTCCGTAAGGTCTCATGTTTTTAATAGTGTTTTTTCTGATGTTACAGTTAACATTTGCTTTAGAAAATTCAGAAAAGTCAGACAAAGTTAAAGAAGCAAGGAGGAAAAATTGTCAGCCCATCAACCACAAACAGAATTGAACCATTTGGCCTGTTTTCTTCCTGGGCATTTTTCTGCAACTTTCTATAGTTAAAATTATAATGTATGTACAGTGATATCCGGCTTTTCTCCCCCATTTAAATATGTCATAAGCATTTCCTATGTGTATTTAACAATAAATGTAGTCATTCAGTTTAGCCCTTATTACATGCAAAGCAAGCATTCTTCAGCAAATTATTAGTGGTTTATTGTACTAATGGTTGGCTATACAAGAGACAGTTTCGTGGTTGAGAGGATTCTCAAGTCAGGTTTGAATCCTGACTCTTCTACCTCCTAGCTTGGTGACTTTGGACAAATTACTTAACTTCTCTGGCTCTGTTTCCTTAACTGTAAAGTAAGGATAATAGTATCTGCCCCATAAAGTTATTTTAACTAATACATGGGCCGGGCATGGTGGTTCATACCTGTAATCCCACCACTTTGGGAGGCTGAGACAGATGGATCAACTGAGGTCAGGAGTTCAAGACCAGCCTGGCCAACATGGCGAAACCCCGTCTCTACTAAAAAGTACAAAAATTAGCCAGGCATGGTGGTGGGCACCTATAATCCCAGCTACTCAGGAGGCTGAGGCAGGGAGAATTGCTTGAACCTGGGAGGTGGAGGTTACAGTGAGCTGAGATCACGCCATTGCACTCTAGCCTGGTCAACAGAGAGAGACTCTGTCTCAAAAAAAATAAATTAATTAATAACAAGAAAAGTGCTTAAAGCAATACCTGGCACAGTAAGCACAGAATAAGCGGTAGCTATTAACAATATGTGAATGCGTCGTAAATTATTCAACCATTCTCCTACAGCTGGAAATTAAGGTTGTTTTTGGTCACGCCTGTAATCTCAGCACGTGGGGAGGCAGAGGCTGGTGGATCCTGAGGTCAAGAGTTCGAGACCAGCCTGGCCAACATAGTGAAACCTTGTCTCTACTAAAAATACAAAAAATTAGCCAGGCATGGTGGCGGGCGCCTGTATCACAACAAGCTAATTTTTTGTGTTTTTTGTAGAGACGGGGTTTCAACATGCTGCCCAAGCTGGTCTCGAATTTCTGATCTCAAGTCATCTGCCCGCTTCACCCTCCCAAAGTACTGCGATTACAGGCATGGGCCGTGGCACACAGCCAGTGAAGCTGATTTCTTTTTTTTTTTTTTTTTTAGATGGAGTCTCGCTCTGTCTCTCAGGTTGGAGTGCAGTGGTGCGATCCTGGCTCACTGCAACCTCCGCCTCCTAGGTTCAAGCAATTCTCTTGCCTCAGCCTCCCGAGTAGCTGGGATTACAGGCACCCGCCACCACACCCAGCTAATTTTTGTATTTTAGTAGAGACAGGGTTTCACCATGTGGGCCAGGCTGGTCTTGAACTCCTGACCTCAGGTGATCCGCCCACCTCAGCCTCCCAAAGTGCTGGATTACAGGCATGAGCCACGGCACCCACCCAGTGATGCTGAATTCTTAACCAAAATATATGACTAGTTACAGCAAGTGACGGCCAGCGCTGAGTCCTGGTGACTTGAACATTCAGTTAAAAGGATTACCCCATCACTGACTGTGTTTTACTCACATGTGTTTTCTACATCTCACCCCAAGGAGAGCCAATATTTTATGAGAGAGGCCACATAACACACAGCACACCAGTTTAGGAGACAGCAGGCCTGCATTCCACATTAAACTCTCACAACCAGCCTGCAGACCTCAGCTAAGGCACTTGCCCTTTCTTGTTCTCAGTTTACTACTTTATGAACAAGGGCAGTTGGACAAAATAAGTTGTTTTCAAGCCTGGCTGAACTTTGGAGTCACCTGCTGAAATTGTTTATAGTATAAATGCTCATTCTCCTCCCCAGGATATAATGGTTCTGGGGTCAGACGCTGGGTATCTATAATTGTTAACAAATTTCCCAGGCAAGGCTGATGAGCTGCAGGGTTTACAGACAAGTCCACTGGGTTACCTCTAAGGCTCTTTCTAGCTTCTCACAAAGAAATTCCTCCAAAGGGAAAAAGCCACCAACCATGCCTGAACATGTTCGTGCTCCTTCACCAAGGGAGCTTTCTCTGCTGGTGCTGCCCTGAGTGAGGAACCCTTTGCCAAGGGACTGTGGGCTTTAGACAGCAGAGGCGTGGTTACAGCCTCAGCAACAGTCTCATTGATTATCATCACCGGTAGTTAATTAAACACAAATAGCTGGGCAATAACCTTTGGAAAAAGCCACATTTCTTATCATTAAGCTATTTCCTGCTCTTCCGATTGTAGGTGCTTCAGGAGCCACAGCTTAAAGTGCAGACATGGCCAAGTCCAAGAACCACACCACACACAACCAGTCCCAAAAATGGCACAGAAATGGTATCAAGAAAGCCTGATCACAAAGATACGAATCTCTTAAGGGGGTCGACCCCAAGTTCCTGAGGAACATGTGCTTTGCCAAGAAGCACAACAAGAAGAGCCTAAAGAAGATGCAGGCCAACAGTGCCGAGGCCATGAGTGCACATGCCGAGGCTATCAGGGCCCTTGTGAAGCCCAAGGAGGCTAAGCCCAAGATCCCAAAGGATGTCAGCCACAAGCTCAATCGACTTGCCTACATTCCCCACCCCAAGCTTGGGAAGCGTGCTCGTGCCCGCGTTGCCAAGGGGCTCAGGCTGTGCCGGCCAAAGGCCAAGGCCAAGGACCAAACCAAGGTCCAGGCTGCAGCTCCAGCTTCAACTCCAGCTCAGGCTCCCAAAGGTGCTCAGGCCCCTACAAAGGCTTCAGAGTAGATATCTCTGTCTGCCAACATGAGGACAGAAGGACTGGTGCAACCGCCCCCCTCCCCCAGCCCCCGCCGGCTGCCATCTGCACGGGGCTGGGGTCCTTCTGTGCTATTTGCACAAATAAACCTGAAGCAGGAAAACAAAAAGTTATTGCCTAAAGTTTAAACACCTCCCTACGAAACTACATTAATTTTCTAGTCCCTCTTTGTACAGGGCTCAAGGTTAAACTTTGACAGCTCGCTATTAGAAACCTGAGTGCACATGTGTATTGATTCTGTTTCTTGAAGGAAAAGAAAAAAGAGGAAAAAAAAAATCCCTGAGCGTACAGCCTCAGCATCCTCCTGGCAGGAGCTGATGGAGGAGGTGGTGATTTGGATTAACCTGTAACCAGCTCTGCTGAGGTCTAAGTGTTCGGACAATAACATGTGCATTTGGGAAGCACTGAAATGGTTCAGTGCAGGAAATAGCCCCTGAACAGTGCAGCCTTATCCATTACAGTCTTACTTGGTGATATCATAAAGCACTCAGCTGTCCAGTTCAATTACCAAGCAGGCAGTCTATAATGATAATAAGAGCCTGCACTTCTCTAACCAGACAGGCTCAGACAAGGCCATGACGTGGAGGCCCCAGAACTTCATCCAGGAGGCAGGGACTCCAGCTCAGGCCCACTGAGGTGGAAGATTTGTGTGTGTCTGTGACTGTCTGGGGGAATGTAAGCACAGGCACTTGTATTAACCATATATATGATTATATTCAAAGGGTTGGATCCAATCTGCTTGGGGTCCCAACCCATCAGCTGGGCTGTAATTCTACAGACCGGGTTCCTCTGTGACGCTTTTCTCAAACTTACAGGAAGGATCGTTATTAGGAAACTCATTTTCTTCCCCAGAATAGATGCAGAGGTCTTCAGTCCACATTCAGAGTGGACTATTGAAGAGGTATTTTGTTGCAGAATCTGGGACTTCTCTGGTGGTTGGGTTAAGCTGAAAGGGGTACAATACACCTGCTTGATTCATCTACTCACTTTAATATGCATTACACATTTAGAGGACTTGCGAGGTGCATTCCTATACATTTTTTGATTGATCCTTATTTTACTGAGAAATCAACTGAGGTCTAGAAAGTACAATAACTTGCCAAAGATCACCTAGCTAATAAGCGGCAGCAGTTGGACTAGAGCCCAAATCTTCTGATTCTGTTGTAAATGCTAATAAGGGGCCAGAGGGTAGCCCAGAAAAATGTATAAAGAACAAAAGACTTGAGAAAAAGCAGAAATTTCAGTGGCTTGTCCTTCATAATGAGGCCCCTGAGAGGAATCAGGACCTGCTCATTATTTTCTGACTTTTCATACTGCTCAGGGATCATTAGCCTGGGTTTTCAGCCTGTCTTTTCAAAGTGCCAAGAAAAATGTGTAAAGTGATAAGTGGAGATTATAGAGAATGGCCAGAAGTCTGGGGAGAAGAAGGAAGACACTCATTTGAGATGGCTTTGTGTGAATCTGGACTTATGATAACACATTTCCTTCACCGCAGTGGTTTTGACATAGAGGGTTGAGGTAGTTTTACTGCTTCAAAGATCTCATGAGCTAGAAGAAATTGTAATTTCCATTGATTACTGAGGTGAAATAGAGCGTGGTTGAGATTTGTATCTGGATATTCCAGAATGATCTAAGAGATAATAATGACTTCCTCAAATTACTGAAGCAGGAGCTGAAATGGTTATGATATTTAATCCTCATAAAGATCCTGGGAGGTGTGCGTCATTAACCGCATTTGGAAATGAGATTACTAAGGCTTAGGAAGTTTGAATAACTGGCCAAAGGCTTGTAATTGCAAAGCTGGAAATTGAACTAGGATGTGTATGACTTCAAAGCCACTCTTTAACCAATAGGCTCATCTGTTTTTCATTGGAGGCAAAGTGAGGAGAGGATGACCTGACTGTCTCCTCACTGTCTCTACCACTAGGACTCGCTTCTTCATTGCTCTGAAAAGCCTCCTTCATCTCTCTCTGCCTTCAAGCCATCCTCTAAGGTCTGGTTCAATCCTAAGCTCCTCCTGGAAGCCTGGCATCCACATTGATCTCTTCCTTCTCTGAAGTCTTGTAGACACATGCAGAAATTCCTGGGACTGTACCTTTTGTTTTCTCATGTATTTGATATATAGCTAAATGGAATTTGGTTTTTGTTTTTTATTTTTTATTTTTATTTATTTATTTATTTATTTAGAGACAGAGTTTCCCTCTTGTTGCCCAGGCTAGAGTGCTTTGGTGTGATCTTAGCTCACCACAAACTCCACCTCCCGGGTTGAAGCAATTCTCCTGCCTCAGCCTCCTGAGTAGCTGGGATTACAGGCATGCGCCACCATGCCCGGCTAATTTTGTATTTTTAGTAGAGCCGGGGTTTCTCCATGTTGGTCAGGCTGGTCTCGAACTCCCAACCTCAGGTGATCCACCCGCCTCGGCCTCCCAAAGTGCTGGGGTTACAAGCGTGAGCCACCGCGCCTGGCCTGGAATTTGGTTTTTAATACCGTTTCAAATAAATACGCATTAGGTGTTTCATGGAAACACACTTTGTTTTACATAAATAAGTCCACAAATCAGGACAAAATTTTCTTTATCAGATTTAGAGTTGTAAATTAAATCAGATTGGAACCTTCCCTCCTCACTAGCCATTCCCCAAACTTTGGCCAAGGACCACAGAGGTAGGGAGGGAAGGAAGTGTCTCTCCTAACTCCATTCATGGCCAGGAAATAGGCTTGCTCTTCTTAGTTGACATTTCCATCTCTAATCCCCTCCAAGGTCTTTAATAAAACTCCAAAATGGGCCAGGCACGGTGACTCACGTCTGTTATCCCAGCATTTTGGGAGATCAAGGCGGGCAGATCATGAGGTCAGGGGTTCGAGACCAACCTGGCCAACATGGTGAAACCCCGTCTCTACTAAAAATACAAAAAAAATTAGCCGAGCGTGGTGGCGGGCACCTGTAATGCCAGCTACTCAGGAGGCTGAGGCAGGAGAATCACTTGAACCCGGGAGGCAGAGGTTGCAGTGAGCCTAGATCGCACCACTGCACTCCAGCCTGGGAGACAGAGTGAGACTCCATCTCAAAAAAAAAACAAAAAAAAACAAAAAAAAACTCCAAAAAGGCCATGTCTCTGCAGTGTGCCTCTCCATCGGCTGCTGACAGTTCATTCCTTAGGTAACTAATGAGACCACAGCTAACTCAGTGCTGTGGTGATGCTTCAGGAGTTCTTTGGGGCCAAGCAGAATGGAGTTTGCTTCCTGTCTTGCTTTTTACCAGCCAGATAGCTTTTAAAAAGGCCCTTAGCTTCTCTGAATCTGTGAAATGGAGGCACTGCATTCCTCGAAGGATCACAGCAAAGATCAGCAATAATGCTGGTGTGTGCGGTGGCAGGCTGTATATCAACTACATACACAAAAGGAGAAAGGTATTATAATTATTAGATGTGAAACCAATCAGAAGGAGGTGAACAATTAACTTTTTTTAACCCTAGGACCAATGCAGAAAACCCAGATGCCTAGGGCCTGGCATAGGAAGCCTCCTCCTCCTCTTCTTCCTTTCTTTTTTGTTCCTCTTTCATCCTTTAATCTCATTCAAAACAAAACACCTGCCTGGGCGCGGTGGCTCACGCCTGTAATCCCAGAACTTTGGGAGGCAGGGGCAGGCGGATCACTTGAAGTCAGGAGTTCAAGACCAGCCTGGCCAACATGGTGAAACCCCATCTCTACTAAATATACAAAAATTAGCCGGGCGTGGTGGCAGGCATCTATAGTCCCAGCTACTCAGGAGGCTGAGGCAGGAGAATTGCTTGAACCCGGGAGATGGAGATTACAGTGAGCTGAGATCGAACCACTGCACTCCAGCCTGGGCAACAGAGCGAGACTCTGTCTCAAAAAAAAAAAAAAAAAAAAATCATTGTAACTGTGATTACCTACTTTATGAAACAAATATGTAGCAGTGAGAAAGTTAGCACTGCTTTTTAGCCTCTAAAAGATTTCCACTCACATCTGTGCATACTGAAAAAGAAGCAGTGTGGAGACAGCTTTCTCATGTTTAACCCAGAAATTACAGGCCATGGACCAGATCAAAGATCTCAGGGCCACAGGAGGGTCTTATGTTAGTGTTTCCTCTTTACCATGTGAGAAAAACCTAAGGTATTACTGGAAGATCTTACTACACTCTCAGAATGTCAAAGACGATCTCATTTCCCTCATGAAGAAACAGACACCAGACTGACAGAAGCAAACCCTAGTCTCCAGGCACTCATCTCTTTCTGCTACCTCCCAGCCGTCAGTTTGAGGGCCTTACTGAGTAGCCCTTGTGCACTAAGTGTATGCTTTATGGGGGTGGAAGGCAGAAGGGGACCATATCCCAGCCCTGCAGGAGTACACAGAATGGAAGAATAAGAGGTACTCACAGACCGTCATCAGGAAGTGGCTCAAGACCCTTTATGATCCAGACTCAGCAGGGCAGCTCAGGCTGTGAGTTCATTCCAGAGGACAGAAGTGTATTTGCTCTGTCTACTTTATTCCCTAGAATAGTCCAGCTGAGGCAGTATTCATAAATGTTAATACAGTTAATGGACTCAGAGCCACAGTGGGTGGTGTTAAATCCCAGCTCACCCAACGAACAGCTGAGCAATCTTTGATAAATTACTTATGCTTCAGTTTTCCTATAGGTAAAGCATGGATAGTATTGTAAAAATGAAATGATGTAATCCATGTAAAGTGCTTTAAAAGGGGCCATCATTGAGTAAGTACTCGATAGGCTTAGCCATAATCATTGTACTAACCAATCACTTTAGAAAAGAAATTAATATTTGATAAACATATACATATACATATTTGATATGCCGTAAAATAATATTTGAGGAAAAAATGAATGAATTGGAGTCAGAGAAGGAAGGGATTCTTGCAGGCTGAAATTCTCAGGGTAGGTTTTTTAGCAGAGGCCAGATCTGAGCCTGGCATTTAAGGAGATGTAGGATCTAAGCAGGATGAAAGAAGAGAAGAAAAAATGTTCTAATTTCAGAAGGTCTTTTACACATAGACTCATGTTTAAAGATGTTTATTAAAGTGTTATTTTATTAGTGAAATATTAAAAACTGCCTAAATAGCCACTGGGACCATTAAGTACAATTTGATGAATCCATAAATGAATTTCTTTGAATCCATTAAAAGATATTCAAACAATACTTAATGACAAATATGCTGAGATTATAATACTAAATTACCCCAAAAATCCCACATTATAGGCAGTATAATTTCAATTAAGTAAAAAAAAAAGTCCATTCCGATACGTAAAAGAAGAAAGGAAATACATATGCCAAAATACTAGAAGGAAAGAATATAAGTAACTTTGTTTCTTCTTTAAATCTTTCTTAATTTTTCAAATTGTCTACAAAGAGCATATATTATTTTACCAATTTTGTTTGTTTGTCATTGTGGTAAGGCATATGTAACATAAAATTTACCATTTTAAACATGTTACTTAATATTTTCGAAAGTCTTTTTGTATCTTTATCCAGCTAAGAAGACTCCCAGGCTCAGGGAGCTTGCTCAACTTACTGTTCTCTTGGAGTAGCCCTGGCAGGTGCTGTGAATGGAAGCACAGCCACTGATAGTGCCTAAATGCTGGACCCCTTCACCCTGGTAAATACCATTATGGTTTTGGAGCATGCAACCACCTGCTGAGGGTTGGCATTTCAGCCCTCTGGTGTGGGTAATAGTTCCTTCCTGAAGTCAGGGAGTTATGAGCTTGTCACGCTTGGAGAATGAACACCTCCTCCATCCCCAAACCTATCCATTCTGTCTCTGCTACTGCCCCACCCAAATGCAGCTTTCAGACATTTCCTCCAATGCTCAGGAAACAAGGGAGTTCCACGCAGGCTCCAGAATCCCCCCAAAATTCCTCTGTGCCTTCTGGAAAGTGTACAAAGCTGGGATGTGGAGACTCTTCCCCCAGTTCTGCAGGATCGTCCTCGTGCTGCGGCTTGTGTCATGAATCACCGCACAAATTAAAGAGAACACGTTGTGTAACAGAGCCTGGCCAGAGGGAAGAGCTACCTGGCCACAGGCCTGTGTGTCTGTTACATGCCCAGCTCCAATGGGGAAATGCCACCCTTGAAGCAGCTTCTCAGTTTCCTGTAGTTAGTTTCACCATTGCTTGTATCCATTCTCTTCCTTCTCTATTTTCATGTATCTAATTCATTTATCCAACAATCATTATTTATCTCTTGCTACATACTCGGCACCATGTTAGGGATGAGATACTGACACTGAAGATAACGGTAATAATCTTATTAACTGCCAAGCTCTGGGCTAAAAAGTTTTACCCGCACTATCTTATCTAAACCTTTAAACACACTCCACAAAAAACTCTTTTGCTTATTTTATAGATTATAAAGCTGAGGCTCTAGAAGAAGAAACCACTTGCACAAGAAAACTTCTGGATAAAGATGGCAAAATGACTCTAGATGACATAATCTCTCTCCTCCCAACATTTAACACAATGAACAGCAAAAGTAAAAGCAACAGAAAAAAAGTACCATCAATTTCCGCTTTTGGTATGGACAAATAAGCATCTACCAGATCCTGGTTTCCTACAGATAATACATATAAACTTTGGATGAAATAAACAAAGAAACAAACAAAAACAAAAAGCCTGAAGGCACTAAAGAGTAAACAGAAGCAGACAGAATCCGGGGGGAGTCAAAACTTGGATAAGTGAAATGGCAAGGGGTGAGTTTCCTATTTTTATAGTTTTGTAGCCTGAGCACAGGCTGAGGTTGGTACTATGTGGGATAGCTAAAACTCTAATACAGCATGCTAGAAAGCAGGAGGTGGGAGGATACTAGAAAGAAATGAGCCAGAGTAAGAAAGACCTGGATCCTGTGTATAAACTCTGATCAAGATTTGGGCAGATTCCTGAACCACACTCACATAAGGCATGCTCAAATCAGCCTACCTAATGGTAGTGAAAATGACCCAAGAGATAGAGTTTTGCAGTTTGAGCTCAGCTAAGTTAAGTGCTTGCTAAAACAAAACACCAGCATTCTCAGAAGAACATAATAGGACGTAGAATCTCCAGAACATCAAATTTATAATGCCTAAATATACTCGAAAATCACATACCATGCACAGAGCCAGAAAATATGATCCAAAGTTAAGAGAAAAAACAGCACAGAGCCAGAGAATATGATCCAGGATTAAGAGAAAAAACAATCAACTTGGGCCAACCCCAAGCAGCAGATAAGAACTCTCAAGCAGGTATTACAACTCATCTCAGCAAAGTAAAGGAAAGTATACTTTAATGAATGAAAGGCAGGAAATCTCAAACAAGAAATAGAAACTATGTAAAAAAGAACCAATGGAAACTTAAAACTGACAAATGCAATATTTTAAATTAAAAATTCACTGGATGGACTTGATTTAAAAAAAGAGAGAGAGAATTTTATAGCCATAGAAATTGTCCAATCTGATGACAAAAAAAGTTGAAAACATTGAACAGGGTCTCAGGGACCTGTAGTACAATATAAAAATACCTGCATACAGGTAATTGAATTCCAGAAGTAGAAGAGAGAATGAGACCAGAAAAAAAATTTTGAAGAACAAATGGCTTAAATGTTCCCCAATGTGTTGAAAGACATACATTTATAAATTAAAGTTCAGTGAACCCCAGGCAGCATACATGTAAATAAAGACACATATAGGCCTATCATAGTCAAACTGTTGAAAACTAAAGAGAGAATTTTGAAAGCAACCAGAGAAAAAAATGATACCTCACATAGTGGAGGAGTCATTTGAATCACTTCTGAATCCTCATGAGAAAATATGGAGGGCTAGGCACAGTGGCTCACGCCTGTAATCCCAGCACTCTGCGAAGCCGAGGCAGGTGGATTACCTGAGGACAGGAGTTTGAGACCAGCCTGGCCAACATAGTGAAACTTCATCTCTACTAAAAATACAAAAATTAGCCAGGCATGGTGGCACGCAGCTGTAGTCCCAGCTACTCGATAGGCTGAGGCAGGAAAATTGCTTGAACCCAGGAGGCGGAGGTTGCAGTGAGCCGAGATTGCACCACTGCGCTCCAGCTTGAGCAACAGAGAGAGACTCTGAAAAAAAAAAAAAAGAAAGAAAGATAGAGGAGGAGGGAGAGAGAGAGAAAGAGAGAGAGAAAAGAAAGAAGAGAGAAAGAAAGAAGAAAGAAAAGAGAAAGAAAGAAAGAAAGAAAGAAAGAAAGAAAGAAAGAAAGAGAAAGAAAGAAAGAAAGGGAAAGAAAGAAAGAGAAAAGAAAAGAGAAAATATGGAGACCAGAAGATAGTGGACCATCTTTAAAGTGTTTGCAGGGAGAGAAGGAAAGAACACCTGGCAATCTAGAATTCTATATTCGTTGAAAATATCCTTCCAAAATGACATTGCAAAAAATCTACCAGCAGCAAGGAAAGAGATTCAAGCTTATGCCTTAGCTGTCAAAAAGAAGTTGTCAGAGGAAGAAATATAAAGTTCTGGTGTGGTGACACAGGGATCATAATTTCATACTTACCTTTTCTAGAAGTAGTGTGAAGGGAAGTAGATACAATGGCAATATTTCTAATAATTTTTAGGAATCGCTCTCCCTGTTTCAATCTGCAGAGAATCTGACTGAGAGGATGAAAAGGAAGCTTGAAGAAAAGTCAAGACAAAATGCTTAGAAGCAGAAGCCACTACATACCACCATAGAAATTGCAGAACAGCCAGGGCCTGACAGCTTCCAGAGCATGTGCTGGCTTAGGGAAGGCACACAGGAGCGGGGTACAAAATTGGACATCTTAATGAGATCTCAGAAAGTGTCATGCCCAGGTCCTCTAGCAAGGGCTGTGCGCAGCTCCATGCCTTCCCTATGCCCTCAAATTACGGAAATGTAGACAGCAAGCAGCCCCTGTAGTCCTGATGGAAAGACTACTGGGTTTTTTTTTGTTTTTTTTTTTTGAGACGGAGTCTCGCTCTGTCGCCCAGGCTGGAGTGCAGTGGCGGGATCTCGGCTCACTGCAAGCTCCGCCTCCCGGGTTCACGCCATTCTCCTGCCTCAGCCTCCCAAGTAGCTGGGACTACAGGCGCGCGCCACTACGCCCGGCTAATTTTTTTTGTGTGTTTTTAGTAGAGACGGGGTTTCACCGTTTTAGCCAGGATGGTCTCGATCTCCTGACCTCGTGATCCGCCCGCCTCGGCCTCCCAAAGTGCTGGGATTACAGGCGTGAGCCACCGCGCCCGGCGACTACTGGGTTTTACACATGATAGAAGGGCTTCAAGGAGAAGTCACCCACATATAACCAAATAATGGAACGAGATTACCAAACCGTCTGTGTCAATCACGGGCTAGATAACAAAAAGAAACAGGGCAGAAGCTATGAAAGCATTCGATATAGAGAAAAGTAATCCAATCTGGAAGAAAACGTAGCCCAAGCCAAGGAACAGTGCAATACTCATTGTGAATTTATCACTCTTCAGACATATATCACATTCTAATAAAGTATACGATTTTAACAAAATAAGAACACAAAGACAAAAGGATAAAATAACAGCATAAGATTAAAAGGGAGATTAAAGTACTAAAGAAACAAGTTGTGTAGCAAAATCCCAATTTACATCTAACAAATAACCTAGAAAAATAACCAAGTAACACAATAGAACCAACCGAGCATCAAATTATTTTTGTGGAAGGAAGGCTTGGTATAATCATAATGAAAATAGAAAGAAAGGATAAGGAATTTAAGACATGTAAAGAATAGATGATAAAAACCACCTAACATAACAACTACTACTGTCCTGGAAATAAGAGTTACAACAATTAACTAGGGAAATTATCTAGAAATGTAATACAGGAAAATCTCTCCAAAGTGATTCTGTTTTTCACTCAAGAAGATGCATTGTTTTCCAACAATATTGGTTGAAAAAAGATATTTAGGCGTATGCCTGTTAAAGTTGAAGGCAAAAAAAAAAATTCTTTAAATATTCAGAAAGAAAAATCCAGTCACCTCTCAGGGTTTTTTAAAAAATCAGATTTTTCTCTAAAGAGCAGTGCAATGTGGCCGGGTTTGGTGGCTCACGCCTGTAATCCCAGCACTTTGGGAGGCCGACGCGGGTGGATCACGAGGTCAGGAGATCGAGACCATCCTGGCTAACACCGTGAAACCCCGTCTCTACTAAAAATACAAAAAATTAGCCAGGCGTGGTGGCGGGCGCCTGTAGTCCCAGCTACTCAGGAGGCTGAGGCAGGAGAATGGCGTGAACCCGGAAGGCAGAGCTTGCACTGAGCCGAGATCGCACCACTGCACTCCAGCCTGGGCAACAGAGCGAGACTAAATTAGACGGCTAATTTTTTGTATTTTTAGTAGAGACGGGGTTTCACCGTGTTAGCCAGGATGGTCTCGATCTCCTGACTTCGTGATACACCCACCTCAGCCTCCCAAAGTGCTGGGATTACAGGCATGAGCCACCACGCTCAGCCTAGTTTCTATTTCTTTAAATTAACTGTGTGAAGCCAATCAAACTGCCTGTGTAGGTTAATATATAGCCTGCTGGACCCAGGGTGGGGCCCTGCTTAAAGGGTTTAAAAGAGTAGCCAATATCCCAATATCTCTCATGGTAAAGAAACATTACCTGAATCTCAGCAATCCTTTTTTCACTTTTTTTTTTCTTTTTTTGAGACGGAGTCTTGCTCTGTCGCCCAGGCTGGAGTGTAGTGGTGCATTCTCGGCTCACTGCCACCTCCACCTCCCAGGCTCAAGTATTTCTGCTGCCACAACCTCCCGAGTAGCTGGAATTATGGGAGCATGCCACCACGCCTGGCTAATTTTTGTAATTTAGTAGAGTTGGAGTTTTGCCATGTTGGCCAGGCTGGTTTCGAACTCCTGATCCACCTGTCTCGGCCTCCCAAACTGCTGGGATTACAGGTGTGTGTGCCACTGCGTCAGGACCTCTTTTTTCACTTTTAAACAACAGAATATAGAATATAATCCTAGGTTATTAGTTTTGAATTTATTTATGTATCATTCTAACATACAAATCCACTTGGAAATATCTATAAGCATGCTCACAAATTTTAATTTTATTTCTAAATGGTGGGATATGGAGGTAATTTATTGTTTTCTTCTTTCTACTTTTCTGGATATCATGTTATCACTTTGGTTAAAAAACAAAAAAAGCCCAACAACCATTTTTTTGAGCAAGAGAAATGGGAAACTTGTTTAAATTCGCATAGATTGAAGCTGGGATGGGAACTCGTATCTTCCAAACTTTAAAAACTACGAACCTGGCCGGGCATGGTGGCTCATACGTGTAATCCCAACACTTTGAGAGGCCGAGACAGGTGGATCACTTGAGGTCAGGAATTCAAGACCAGCCAGGCCAACATGGTGAAACCCTGTCTCTACTAAAAATACAAAAATTAGCTGGGCATGGTGGCACATGCTGTAATCCTAGCTACTTGGGAAGCTGAGTCAGGAGAATCGCTTGAGCCCAGGAGGTGGAGGTTGCAGTGAGTCGAGATCACACCACTGCACTCTAGCCTGGTTACAGAATGAGACTCACTCTCAAAAAACAAATAAATAGGCTGGATGCGGTGGCTTACACTGGTAATCCCAGCACTTTGGGAGGTCAGGGCGGGAGGATCACCTGAGGTCAGGAATTCGAGACCAGCCTGACCAACATGGAGAAACCCCATCTCTACTAAAAATACAAAATTAGCTGAGCGTGGTAGCACATGCCTGTAATCCCAGCTATTCAGGAGGCTGAGGCAGGAGAATTGCTTGAACCCGGGAGGCGAAGTTTGCAGTGAGCTGAGATCGCACCATCGCACTCCAGCCTGGGAGACAAGAGTGAAACTCCATCTCAAAAATAAATAAATAAATAAATAAATAGAAAGAAAAAGAAAAACTATGAACCTTACTGCTCTCTTACCTCCCATACCCTGAGGTTAAGGAACTTGAAGACTTAATATGATTAATAAATTAATATGCCAGAAATTACGATGCATTTAAAGTGCTTGACACAGTGTCCAGCAAGTAGTGCATAGATGTTCGCTGTTATAATAATGGTAATTATCTTTATTTAATACTATAATATGATATTAAAAATGTTATGATAGGCCAGGCGCAATGGCTCATGCCTGTAATCCCAGCACTTCGGGAGGCCGAGGCGGGTGGATCACCTGAGGTCAGGAGTTCAAGACCAGCCTGGCCAACATGGGGAAACCTCGCCTCTACTGAAAATGAAAAAAAAATTGGTGCTGGCAAGATGGCCGAATAGGAAAAGCTCCGGTCTGCAGCTCCCAGTGAGATCATGCAGAAGGCAGGAGATTTCTTCATTTCCAACTGAGGTACCCAGTTCATCTCACAGGGACTGGTTGGATAGTGGGTGCAGCCCACGAAGAGCGAGCCAAAGCAGGGTGGGGTGTAGCCTCACCCAGGAAGCACAGGAAGCACAAGCGGTCGGGGGATTTGCCTCCCCTAGCCAAGGGAAGCCGTGAGGGACTGTGCCGTGGCCAACAGAGCACTCTGGCCCAGATACTGTGCTTTTCACATGGTCTTTGCAACCTGCAGACCAGGAGATTCCCTCCAGTTGCCCATGCCACCAGGGCCCTGGATTTCAAGCACAAAACCGGGTGGCCGTTTGGGCAGACATTGAGCTAGCTACAGGAGTTGTTTTTTCATACCCCAGAGGCACCTGGAATGCCAGCGAGACAGAACCGTTCACTCCCCTGGAAAGGGGGCTGAAGCCTGGGAACCAAGTGTTCTAGCTCAGAGGGTCCCACCCCCACGGAGCCCAGCAAGCTAAGATCCACTGGCTTGAGATTCTCGCTGCCAGCGCAGCAGTCTGAAGTTGACCTGGGACATTCAAGCTTCGTCGGGGGAGGAGCATCCGCCATTGCTGAGGCTTGGGTAGGTGGTTTTACCCTCACAGTGTAAACAAAACCGCCAGGAAGTTCAAACTGGGTGGAGCCCACCGCAGCTCAGCAGGGCCACTGTAGCCAGACTGCCTCTCTAGATTCCTCCTCTCTGGGCAGCACATCTCTGAAAAAAAGGCAGCAGCCCCAGTCAGGGACTTACAGATAAAACCCCCATCTCCCTGGGACAGAGCACCTGAGGGAAAGGGCAGCTGTGGGTGCAGCTTCAGCAGACTCAAACGTCCCTGCCTGATGGCTCTGAAGAGAGCAGTGGACCTCCCAGCACAGCGTTCGAGCTCTGATAAGGGTCATACTGCCTCCTCAAGTGGGTCCCTGACCCCTGTGTATCCTGACTGGAAGACACCTCCCAGTAGGGGCCGACAGACACCTCATACAGGAGAGCTCTGGCTGGCATCTGGCAGGTGTCCCTCTGGGACAAAGCTTCCAGAGGAAGAAACAGGCAGCAATCTGCTGTTCTGCAGCCTCTGCTGGTGATATCCAGGCAAACAGGGTCTGGTGTGGACCTCCAGCAAACTCCAGCAGACCTGCAGCAGAGGGGCCTGACTGTTAGGAGGAAAACTAACAAACAGAAAAGAATAGCATCAACATCAACAAAGAGGATGTCCACACAAAAACCCCATCCGAAGGTCACCAACATCCAAGACCAAAGGTAGATAAATCCATGAAGATGGGGATAAACCAGCACAAAAAGGCTGAAAATTCCAAAAACCAGAATGCCTATTCTCCTCCAAAGGATCACAACTCTTTGCCAGCAAGGGAACAAATCTGGACGGAGAATGGGTTTGACGAATTGACAGAAGTAGGCTTTAGAAGATGGGTAATAACAAATTCCTCCGAGTTAAAGGAGCATGTTCTAATCCAATGCAAGGAAGCTAAGAACCTTGAAAAAAGGTTAGATGAATTGCTAACTAGAATAACTAGTTTATAGAAGAACATAAATGACCTGATGGAGCTAAAAAACACAGCACCAGAACTTCGTGAAGCATACACAAGTATCAATAGCCTAATCAATCAAGCAGAAGAAAGGATATCACAGATTGAAGATGAACTTAATGAAATAAAGTGAGAAGACAAGATTTGTTATAATTATCATTATTTAATACTATAGTATTTTCAAAGAATGAAAAGAAACAAACAAAGCCTCCAAGAAATATGGGACTATGTGAAAAGACCAAATCTACGTTTCATTGGTGTACCTGAAAGTGATGGGGAGAATGGAACCAAGTTGGAACACACTCTTCAGGATATTATGCAGGAGAACTTCCCCAACCTAGCAAGGCAGGCCAACATTCAAATTCAGGTAATACAGAGAACACCATAAAGATACTCCTCCAGAAGAGCAACCCCAAGACACACAATCGTCAAATTCACCAAGGTTGACATGAAGGAAAAAATGTTAAGGCAGCCAGAGAGAAAGGTCGGCTTACCCACAAAGGGAAAACCATCAGACTAACAGCGGATCTCTCAGCAGAAACCCTACAAGCCAGAAGAGAATGGGGGCCAATATTCAACATTCTTGAAGAATTTTCAACCAAGAATTTCATATCCAGCCAAACTGAGCTTCATAAGTGAAGAAGTAAAATCCTTTTCAGACAAGCAAATGCTGAGAGATTTTGTCACCACCAGGCCTGCCTTACAAGAGCTCCTGAAGGAAGCACTAAATGTGGAAAGGAACAACCGGTACCAGCCACTGCAAAAACATACCAAATTGTAAAGACCATCGACACTATGAAGAAACTGCACCAACTAACAGGCAAAATAACCAGCTAGCACCATAATGACAGAATTAAATTTACACATAACAATATTAACCTTAAATGTAAACGGGCTAAATGCCCCGATTAAAAGACACAGACTGGCAAATTGGATAAAGAGTCAAGATCCATCAATGGTGCTGTATTCAGGAGACCCATCTCATGTGCAGAGACACACATAGGCTCAAAAGAAAGGGATGGAAGAATATTTACCAAGCAAATGGAAAGCAAAAAAAAGCAGGGGTTGAAGTCCTAGTCTCTGATAAAACAGACTTTAAACCAACAAAGATCAAAAGAGACAATGAAGGGTATTACACAATCGTAAAGAAATCAATGCAACAAGAAGGGCTAACTACGCTAAATATATATGCACCCAATACGGGAGCACCCAGATTCATAAAGCAAGTTCTTAGAGACCTACAAAGAAACTTAGACTCCCACACAATAATAATGGGAGACTTTAACACTCCACTGTCAATATTAGACAGATCAATGAGACAAAATTAACAAGGATATTCAGGACTTGAACTCAGCTCTGGAACAATAGACCTAATAGATATCTACAGAACTCTCCACCCAAAATAAACAGAATATACATTCTTCTCAGCACCACATCACACTTATTCTAAAATTGACCACATAATTGAAAGTAAAGCACTCCTCAGCAAATGCAAAAGAACGGAAGTCGTAACAGTCTCTCGGACCACAGTGCAATCAAATTAAAACTCAGGATTAAGAAACTCACTAAAAACCACACAACTACATGGAAACTGAACAACCTGCTCCTGAATGACTACTGGGTAAATAATGAAATTAAGGCAGAAATAAAGATGTACTTTGAAACCAATGAGAACAAACACACAACATACCAGAATCTCTGGGACACATTTAAAGCAGTGTTTAAAGGGAAATTTATAGCACTAAATGCCCACAAGAGAAAGCAGGAACGATCTAAACTTTACACCCTAACATCACAATTAAAATAACTAGAGAAGCAAGGGCAAACAAATTCAACAGCTAGCAGAAGACAAGAAATAGCTAAGATCAGAGCAGAACTGAAGGAGATAAAGACACAAAAACACCTTCAAAAAAATAAATGAATCCAGAAGCTGGTTTTTTGAAAAGATCAACAAAACAGATAGACTGCTAGCCAGACTAATAAAGAAGAAAAGAGAGAAGAATCAAACAGAAGCAATAAAAAATGATAAAGGGGATATCACCACTGATCCCACAGAAATACAAGCTACCATCAGAGAATACTATAAACACCACTGTGCAAATAAACTAGAAAATCTAGAAGAAATGGATAAATTCCTGGACACATACACCCTTTCAAGACTAAACCAGGAAGAAGTCGAGTCCCTGAATAGACCAATAACAGGCTCTGAAATTGAGGCAGTAATTAATAATCTACCAACCAAAAAAAATCCAGAATCAGACGGATTCACAGCCGAATTCTACCAGAGGTACAACGAGGAGCTGGTACCATTCCTTTTGAAATGATTCCAAACAATAGAAAAAGAGGGAATCCTCCCTAACTCATTTTATGAGGCCAGCATCATCCTGATACCAAAACTTGGCAGAGACACAACAAAAAAAAAGAACATTACAGGCCAATATTCCTGATGAACATCCATGCGAAAATCCTCAATAAAATACTGGCAAACCAAACCCAACAGCACATCAAAAAGCTTATCCACCAAGATCAAGTTGGCTTCATCCCTGGGATGCGAGGCTGTTTAAACATATGCAAATCAATAAACGTACTCCATCACATAAACAGAACCAATGACAAAAACCACATGATTATCTCAATAGATGCAGAAAAGGCCTTCGATAAAATACAATAGCCTTTCAGGCTAAAAACTCTCAATAAACTTGGTATTGATGGAACGTATTTCAAAATAATAAGAGCTATTTATGACAAACCCACAGCCAATATCATACTGAATGGGGAAAAACTGGAAGCATTCCCTTTGAAAACCGGCACAAGACAAGCATGCCCTCTCTTACCACTCCTATTCAACATAATATTGGAAGTTCTGGCCAGGGCAATTGGACAAGAGAAAGAAATAAAGTGTATTCAATTAGGAAATGAAGAAGTCAAATTGTCTCTGTTTGCAGATGACATGATTGTATATTTAGAAAACCCCATTATCTCAGCCCAATATCTCCTTAAGCTGATAAGCAACTTCAGCAAAGTCTCAGGATACAAAATCAATGTACAAAAATCACAAGCATTCGTATACACCAATAACAGACAAACAGAGAGCCATTCACAATTGCTACAAAAAGAATAAAATACCTAGGAATCCAACTTACAAGGGATGTGAAGGACCTCTTCAAGGAGAACTACAAATCACTGCTCAATGAAATAAGAGAGGACACAAACAAATGGAAGAACATTCCATGCTCATGGATAAGAAGAATCAATATCGTTAAAAAGGCCATACTGCCCAAAGTAATTTATAGATTCAGTGCTGTCCCCATCAAGCTACCATTGACTTTCTTCAAAAAATTGGAAAAAAACTAGTATGAATTTCATATGAAACTAAAAAAGAGCCCACATTGCCAAGACAATCCTAAGCAAAAAGAACAAAGCTGGAGGCATCACATTACCTGACTTCAAACTATACTACAAGGCTACAGTAACCAAAACAGCATGGTACTGATACCAAAACAGATATATAGACTAATGGAACAGAACAGAGGCCTCAGAGATAATACCACACATCTACAAGCATCTGATCTTTGACAAACCTGACAAAAACAAGCAATGGAGAAAGGATTCCCTATTTCATAAATGGTGTTGGGAAAACTGGCTAGCCACATGCAGAAAACTGAAACTGGATCCCTTCCTTACACCTTATACAAAAATTAAGTCAAGATGAATTAAAGACTTAAACATAAGACCTAAAACCATAAAAACCCTAGAAGAAAACCTAGGCAATACCATTCAGGACATAGGCATGGGCAAAGACTTCATGACTAAAACACCAAAAGCAATGGCAACAAAAGCCAAAATTAACAAATGGGATCTAATTAAACTAAACAGCTTCTGCACAGCAGAAGAAACTATCATCAGAGTGAACAGGCAACCTACAGAATGGGAGAAAATTTTTGCAATCTATCCATCTGACAAAGGGCTAATATCCAGAATCTACAACGAACTTTAACAAATTTACAAGAATAAAACAACCCCATCAAAAAGTGGGCAAAGGATATGAACAGACACTCCTCAAAAGAAGACATTTATGCAGCCAACAAACATATGAAGAAAAGCTCATCATCACTGGTCATTTGAGAAATGCAAATCAAAAGCACAGTGAGATACCATCTCATGCCAGTTAGAATGGCAATCATTAAAAAGTCAGGAAACAACAGATGCTGGGGAGGATGTGGAGAAATAGGAATGCTTTTACATTGTTGATGGGAGTGTAAATTAATTCAACCATTGTGGAAGACAGTGTGGTGGTTCCTCAAGGATTTAGAATTAGAAATACTAATTGACCCAGCAATCCCATTACTGAGTATACACCCAAAGGATTAAAAATAATTCTACTATGAAGACATACGCACATGTATGTTTATTGTGGCACTGTTCACAATAGCAAAGATTTGGAACCAACCCAAATGCCCATCAATGATCGACTGGATAAAGAAGATGTGGCACATATACACCATGGAATACTATGCAGCCATAAAAAAGGATGAGTTCTTGTCCTTTGCAGGGACATGGATGAAGCTGGAAACCATCATTCTCAGCAACCTAACACAAGAACAGAAAACCAAACACCACATGTTCTCACTCATAAGTGGTAGCTGAACAATCAGAACACATGGACACAGGGAGGGGAACATCACATACTGAGACCTGCCAGGGGTTGCAGGGAGTAAAGGAGGGATAGCATTAGGAGAAATACTTAACGTAGATTATGGGTTGATGGGTGTAGCAAACCACCATGGCACATGTATACCTATGTAACAAACCTGCACATTCTGCACATGTACCCCAGAACGTAAAGTATAATAATTTTAAAAAATAGAAAAAAAATAGCTGGACATGGTAGTGTGCACCTGTAGTCCCAGCTACTTGGGAGGATGGGGCTGGAGATTTGCTTGAACCTGGGAGGTGGAGTTTGCAGTGAGCCAAGATCGTGCCACTGCACTCCCGTCCAGGCAACAGAGCAAGACTCTGTCTCAAAAAAAAAAAAAAAAAATGCTATAATAGAACTAAGCACACGATGTCATGGAAATATAGAGAAGGAAAATCTGCTAATCCTTTTGATGAACCAGGAAGATGATCCAGGGTGTCTTCCTGGAGGAGATAACAGACGCTGACTTTTAAAAGTAAGTAAAGATTTAGCCAGATAAAAAGTGAGGAGATGAGGATATTCCTGGCAGGGAGAACAGCATGATAGATTAAGAGAACTGGTCTGGCTGAATTGGAAGACATGTGGAGAATATGGCTGGAGAACAGGTGGAAAACATAAGTCATTGCTAGATGAAGAGTTTACATCATATGTCCTATGCTAAGGAGTTTAGACCTTAAAGCCAGTGGGAACTCACTGAAGGGTATTAAGCAGAAGAATGTCCCACTGATACTTTTCTGAACGCTCACTCTGGCTGTGTGGAAGACTGATAGAAGGGGACAGCTTTGGAGAGAGAGAGAACTGGTTATGGTGATGATTACTGTAACAGTCTTCCTAAGAACTCATGAGTCCTAAGGCAGAGGTAGAGTTGGTGGAGAGTTCTTTAGGACCGTGGTTATCAAAATATGGTCTACAGACACTTTCAGGGGGTCCATGAGGTCACAACTATTTTCACAATTACAGTAAGATCATATTTGGGTTTTTCACTGTGTTGACATTTGCACTAATAGTGCAAAAGAAATAATGGGTAAAACTGTTAGTGTCTTAGTACAATGAGGCACTAAAGTCCACTAGTAGTCTTGCGTGCTTCACCACCATCAACTCACAGGGAAAAAAAAGTTTTTTAAATATCCTTTATGAAGCAATAAATATTATTAATTTTTATTAAGTCTTTACCTTTGAGTACATATCCTTTTTTTTCTATCATTCCTGAATCACCAGCCTCCTTTTTTTTTTTTTAGGTAGGGTTTTTGCTCGATTGCTCAGGCTGGAATGCAGTGGCGTGATCTCAGCTCCCTGCAGCTTTGACTTCCTGGGCTCAAGCAATTCTCCCACCTCAACCTTCCTGGTAGTTGGGACCACAGGCATGCACCACCAGGCCCAGCTAATTTTTGTTTGTTTGTTTTGTAAAGACAGGGTCTCACTCTGTTGCCCAGATTGGTCTCAAACTCCTGGGCTCAAGTAATCTGCCTGCCTCAGCCTCTCAAAATGCTGGGATTACAGGCATGAGCCACTGTGCCCACAACCTTTTAATACTCTGTGTGATGCGATATACGAAGGATATACAAAGCATTTTAGTTGCAGAGTAAAATATGATGATTGTCCCAAGGAAGAGCGCTTTTGTAGTTAAGTTATGAACTGAACTAACCGTTTTATTTTTTTATGGAACATGAAAAAAACTTTTATATTAAAAGTTTTACCATACTTTTAACTTCTAGTATGGTAAATATGATTTCACCTGAAAGAAAATTACTAGTATAAACTAGGGTTATCAGACTTGCATATTTGGGAGACGTTTTCTTAAAAGTCAATAAAGTGAACCTCTCACTTCAAGAATAACAAATTTTTCTAGTTTTTATTTTAGTGTTTGTTACTAGTTGTATTTTTTGCCAATGATGAAAACTAAGTTTTCAGGTAAAAATTAGAATTTTGGAAGACTTGTACCCACCCCTGTGAATCTGACAGGTTCCCAATTCTTGAACATTTTTCTGATGACACTAATGGGTGTTGTGGGTTGAATTGTGGCTCCAAAAAAGACATGTTGAAGTCCTAATTTTTTATATCTATGATTGTGACCTTGGCAAACAGGGTTTTCAGATACACTTGAGTTACCATGAGGTCATACTGGATTAGAGGAGGCCCCAAATTCAATGAACTGGTGTTATGAGTATAAATTTGGATACAGAAATGTAGCCACACCCAAGGAAGTAGGCCTGTGAAAACAGAGGCAGAAACTGATGTAATGCAGCTACAAGCCAAGAAATACCAAGGACTTCACACCACCACCAGAAACTCAGAGAGGGGCATGAAAGGATTCTCCTTTAGCCCTTTAAGGAGGAAACCACCCTGCCAACATCTTGATCTCAGACTTCCAGCCTTCAGAAATGTGACAGAATAGATTTCTGTTATTATAAAAAACTACACAATTTGTGGTACTCTGTTACGGCAGCCCTACAAAGCAATACAGTGGTGCAAACATCAAATGTGATTACTTGATATTTAGAGGGAAATGGGTCAATGTCAGGAAGGTATACATGACTCAGTGAATAAAATTTTCAAAGCCCAGCACACAATGTCACAAGGTCATGCATTAAGGGGTAAAAGATTCATTCAAAGTATAAAATAACCCAGTAGATTTTAATATAACAGAGTACAAAAAATTCACTGATATGATTTCAGAATCTACTTTACAGCTAACCTTTAAGAAACTACCACTTGTTGAGCTTTGGTGTAGCAACAAAAGAAGTATCTACAATTACCTAAAAATGATGTTAAAACTCCCCTACCTTTTCCATCTACTTACCTGTTTGAGGATGAATTTTTCTCTGTATACTTCAAACAAAATCATTGCATTTTGGTTGCAACTGAATATATTGCAAGAGAAGCAGATATTGTAATTCAGCTCCTTCTGTTAAGCGACATTAAGAGATTTACAAAAATGTAAAGCAGTGCAACTCTTCTTATTTTTTTTGTTTTGGAAAATAGTTTTCTAATAGAAATGTTAGTGTTAATGTGTCAATGTGTGATTCTTGTAAATATGTGGTGGGCTTATTAGTTATGTCAATATGTGATGGGTTTATTATTTTAAATAAATATATATATATATTTTTTAACAACTGGTAATCAATTTATTAAAATAGTTGACTTAAGCATCTGCAATGGTGACTTCCACCTCAACTCCTGGCTCAGTACTGATGGAAGTAATCTGCTTAACAATCTCAGAAGGACTGTGCAAGTCAAAGAGTCGCTTGTGAATTCTCATCTGGAAACGATCCCACGTCTTAGAACCTTCACCACAAGGAGTTTTTCTTGTAGTGATTCTCAAAGTCTTGGAAGGCATTCGAACTCCTCCTTTCACTTTGAGATTCTTTGCTTTTGCGCCTCTGATCAAGTCAGCACCCACCTTTTCCAAGGATTTTACGCTGCGGCTTGTTAGGGTGATTCGAATTCGGTGAATTGCCACCTCCGGCTCCACGGGTGCTTTTCCGGTATCCTTAAAAGCCATGGCTGCTGCGCGGCTTCATGACCGACTTGTTCCTCGGCGGCGAGAGCGAACAGCGGTGAGTCAGGAGCAGGAGCATGCGGACCAGAAATCCTCGCACCTACGACCGCGTCTTCCTCTTAAAGAAATATTTTTAAATTTTTTATTTTAGCTTCTAGTATGGTAAATATCTATAAATATGGCTCATTTACATAGAGTCTCTTTGAGATACCAATGATTTTTAAGAGTGTAAAAGGATTCAGAGACCAAAGTTTGAGACTCACTAGTTTAAAAGGTAGAAATAATGGCTGGGTGTGGTGGCTCACACCTGTAATGCCAACATTTTGAGAGGCTGAGGTGGGAGGATCACTTGAGGCCAGGAGTTTGAGATAGCCTGGGCAACATAGCAAGATCACCAGATCACCACACACAGATTTTTTTTCTTAATTAGCCAAGCCTGGTGGCACACACCTGTAGTCCTAGCTACTCTGGAGGCTGAGGCAAGAGGGTCACTTGAGTTTTGGAGTTCAAGGCTGCAGTGAACTGTGACACCACCACTGCACTACAGCCTGGGTGACACAGACCAAGACCCTATCTCTGAGAAAAAAAAATGTAGAAATAAAAGAATTTGGCAAGTGATCGGTGGGGTTGGGAGAGAGAGAAGGCTTGTTCCAGTCTTAGGAATTATTCTCCTGATTGGGTTATGTCAAAAAGAACTGGCTTTATGGGAGATGATATGTTCAACCTTGGAAATGATCAGTTTAGGTTGCCTGAAGGACACTCTGGTAGAGCCAACCATTAGCCAAAGATCTATGGGTTTGGAGTGTGGCTGTCTGAACATATCAAATTCACATAGCTGCAGTAACTAATGCCCCAGTCAAGGAGACAATTACTAAGGTAGAGAATCAAGTGAGAAGAGTGCTCAGAATGGAGTCCAGGGTTATATCAATATGGAGGCATAGCAAGAAAGCTGGCTAGAAACCAATCTATGGGTCTGAAAAAGAGTACTCAGTGGGAAGAGAAACCCCACAGGGAGTGATGTCACACAAACCAAATAAGGCAGAATTTTCAAGAAGGGAGGGGTCAATATCAGCAAATATTGCAAAGATACCAACTGTGTCATTACTGCCTGGCTGGCAGCAGTTTTAGAGGTGGTAAGAGACGTCATGCAGGGAGCAGGTATGGTCTGCTCTTTAAATAACAAGCTTGAATTGGACAGACATTCATTATTTTTTTATTTTTTTATTTTGAGACAGCTGATGCCCAAGCTGGAGTGCAGTGGCGCAATCTCAGCTCACTGCAACCTTTGCCTCCCTGGTTCAAGCAATTCTCATGGCTCAGCCTCCCAGGTATCTGGGATAACAGGCGTGTGCCACCACACCCAGCTAAATTTTGTGTGTGTGTATATATACACACATATAATATATACACATAAGTATATACATATACAAAAATAATACATATAAATATAATATATATTATATATATTTAGTAGAGACAGGGTTTCACTATGTTAGCCAGGCTGGTCTCAAACTCGACCACAGGTGATCTGCCTGCCTTGGCCTCCCCAGGTGCTGGGATTACAGGTGTGAGCCACCGCTCCCGGCCACACATCAATAATTTAAACACTGCCTGGCAAGTGGAAAGTGTTCAGCCAACTGGTGTTACTGCTGAGATCGAAGGGAAGGGAGAAATGCTGGCATCCCTAGCCCATCCAAGTTCCTAGTTGGAGGGACACAGTGTAGCTGGCTCCTGCCTGACATGCCACCCTTTTCTGGAGTAGATATGAGAAGCAGGTGGTCCTGCTGGGGTGTAAGGAAGATGGCAGCATTCTAAAGTATAATGATGGGGCACAAACACAAAATCGTTTTCTTTTTGAGTTACTGTCTTCAGCCACCCTCTTTCAGATCCCGCTTTCTAGTTTATTAAAAGGTAGTTTAAAATCTCAGACTCAGCCAGGCATGGTGGCTCATGCCTGTAATCCCAACACTTTGGGAGGCTGAGGCGGGCGGATCACGAGGTCAAGAAATCAAGACCATCCTGGCCAACATGGTGAAACCCTGTCTCTAGTAAAAATACAAAAATTATCTGGGCGTGGTGGTGCGTGCCTGTAGTCCCAGCTACTTGGGAGGCTGAGGCAAGACAATCGCATGAACCCAGGAGGTGGAGGTTGCAGTGAGCTGAAATCACGCCACTGCACTCCAGCCTGGACAACAGAGTGAGAGACTCTGTCTCAAAAAAAAAAAAACAAAAAAACCCTTCAAACTCACTTATCAAGATTGGAGCTGGAATTCTGATGACAACCAGCACTTCCTGTGAGGGGTGGACAAGAGAGAAGGGCATGGGGTGAATGTCACTCTCTAACCAGCCATTGTCGTGATCCTCTCTGTGGTCTCTGTGACCCTCTGGCTAACACAGCCTGGCCTCCTTGCCCTCGGGGTAGCAGGCATTTAGGTGTTGGGTCCGCCATGGGCTCAGATGAGAGCACTTCTGGGTGCTCCCAGATGGGAAGTCCACCTGTTACACCCAAACGAGTTAGAGAAAACGCCACACTTTGAGACGAATTAAGAGTCCTTTATTTAAGCTGGCGGCCAAAGAGACGGCTAATGCTCAAAATTCTCTTGGCCCCGAGGAAGGGGCTTGATTAACTTTTATACCTTGGTTTAGGAAAGGGAGGGAACTCAAATGCAATAATTCTACAGAAGTAAAAACATGCAAGAATCAAAAGAAGCAAATGGTTACAGAGAGATAAACAATTTAAAAGACAAATGATTACAAAAAGCAACGGTACCAGGTGCAGGGCTCTAAATCCTTCATTAGAGTTAGATATAGATGCTATGCCGGACACGAACTCAAGGCTTTATGTTGTTATCTCTTTGAGAAAAATCCTGGGAACTTCATACATGGTTTGTTCCAGTACCTTATCAGTTAACTGGGCTCCTATGAAATGCTGAGGATCTGCTTACACAGGTTAACTCCTTGAGGAAGGGGGTTGGGTATGGAGCACTTAATGTCTTGTAAATCAAAAGGTCAAATGGAGTTTATCCGGCTTTCCCAGCCAGGGAGAGTCTATTCATATGGGAAACATGGCTGGGAATTAAGGAGACAAAAAAAGGGAAAATTTAAAGTAGCGAGCTAGAGTAAAAAACAAGGTTAGGCATTGCACACCTCTGCTATCTTCCCGCCTCCACTGCTCCCAACCCAATAGTCTGCCCCTCTGCTGAGTGGCCTGGCCCAGAGCACAGCCCTCCAGTGTGAAATGCGGCAGACCATGTCCTCAGGATACTCTGCTGTCTGCCTTTGCCATCTCCATCACTCTACCAGCCTCCATTCTCCCCAGACTTGGGATGTGGTGGGGGGTGTTTGTGGTGGTTGGTAGGGCATCAGGGCTGCTCTGCTAACTCTTAAAAAGCCCCAGGAAGGTGGTTGTGCCTAAGTTGGCAGCGCTCTTTAGTAGGGAGAGTACTGTTGCCTACTGTTTTCAGCTGTTGGCTCTGGTGCGTGCAGTAACAGGAAAAGCCCCCCTCAGACCATTAAGTGGCAATGGTGAGAAATGGGAAAGGGGCTGACTGAGTCCAGAGCTGCAAGAGATAAGCTTACAGCAAACCAAGGCCAGATCTCAAGGCAATGATAATTCAAGTTAAGTCATTTGGGCCTGATCCTGAGGTTTAAGGGGAGTCTTTGAAAGGTTTTATGGAAGAGAATGACATAATCAGATATGGGTTTCAGAAAGATCAGTCTGGTGAAAGACAAGAAGAATTAGAAGACTACAAAATGATTCAGGAGAAATACGGTAAGGGCCTACATCGGGATATGATGGGGAACAGAACAGAATCACAGTTAAGATGCACATTGCCTTTGACAGGCCCCCTGGAGCTGAGCACCACCGGCCCTTCTGTGTACAGCACTGTGCTTTGCCCACCAGCTAGAACATCTCTTCCTCAAACGGGGCCCCAGAGCTGATGTGGGTTAGACTTGGCCAGAGAGACCTCTTCTTTCTATATCTGCAGCTGGGCCTACTCTCTATCGCCTAACCCACTGTCACAGGGTGGGTTTTCCAGCAGACATTAAAAAGGAGTTTGGGGATACAATATGCTTATTAAGGATCAGCACCTCTGAAAGGAAAGGGAAGAAGCAGGATCAGGCCCAGGAACAAGTTGAACTGTGATGCGGGCCTGACAAAATGCTCAGGAGCCCCTAGTAGAGGTGGGGAGTGAGGATTGCTTGTCAGCATCTAAGATTAGGTCCCCACTTCATTCGGCAACCAGATGCAGGCTGCCCCAGGAGGGGGCATGACTGTGTGTGGGGCCACTTTACAGCTGAGGCAGAGCACAAATCAACTGAGTCCTGGAGACCCTGCAGCTGAGCCCTGGAGTCCCTGCAGCTGGGTGGCAAGCCCTCCCTTCTAGGGGAATACAGACAAGGCATCTTACTTCTGTCCTGCTCTCGCCTCTGGGCCTCTGGTCAGGCCTGCTCCCCGAGCCTGCCTCACCCACCTCTGCAGCACCTACGGCTCAGGGAGCTTTGCCAGAAGGGCTTTGGAGAAGGAAGCAGGAAGAACCTTAGTCTTTGGAAATGCTATTTATCTGTAATTGTAATCCCAGGCATCCATAATTAGGAGGGTAAGTTTACTTCTGAAGAAATTGTGTCATGCCTTCCCTGCTAAAACATACTTGGGGATTTCCTGCTCTTATAGATTGTATCTGACTCCCTTTCTGCATCAAATAACGTAAAATCAAGAATGCTAATCCTCAAGACTTGGGCCTACTTAATTGCAACAGGAACACGCCCTTAAGACACAGATCACTCAGGCTTTTGTTTGTGGCTTAAGAATGCCTTTAAGCAGTTTTCCGCCCTGGGTGGGCCAGGTGTTCCTTGCCCTCATTCCCGTAAACCTGCAACCTTCCAGCTTGGGTGTTATGGCCATTATGGACATGTTGCGTTTTATTTATGACCAGTTTTGGGGCCAGTTTATGGCCAGATTTTGGGGGGCTTGCTCCCAACACCTGACCTAGAACCAGATTCTTGAAGAAGTGTCTAGGTTGGGCGCGGTAACTCACGCCTGTAATCCCAGCACTTTGGGAGGCTGAGATGGGCGGATCACCTGAGGTCAGGAGTTCGAGACCAGCCTGGCTAACATGGTGAAACACCATCACTACTAAAAATACAAAAATTACCCGGGCACGGCAGCGGGTGCCTGTAATTCCAGCTACTTCGGAGGCTGAGGCAGGAGAATCGCTTGAACCTGGGAGGCGGAGGTTGCGGTGAGCTGAGATCGTGCCATTGCACTCCAGCCTGGGCAATGAGTGAAACTCCATCTCAAAAAAAAAAATCTGATTCTGCCATGAACTTTATCTGAGATGAGCACAGCTCTTAGTTAGCCACCCCAGTCATTAAATTCCTCTGAAAAGGAGAAAGCAGTTTTTATTTTTAGAAAGGTGGCTAGGCAGGCAGTTAGAGGCTGAGACAGACGAGGATGAAGGGACAGAGGATCTTCCCAAACGGTAGTTTCTGACCTCAGTGTGTAATAGAAAGGCATAAATTGTGGTCCGGTGACAGGGTTCACGCCTGTAATCCCAGCACTTTGCGATACCAAGGCGGGTGGATCACTTGAGGCCAGGAGTTAAAGACCAGCCTGGCCAACAGGGCGAAACTCCATCTCTACTGAAAATACAAAACTTAGCTGGGCTTGGTGGCACACTCCTGTGGTCCCAGCTACTTGGGAGGCTGAGGCAGAAGAATCGCTTGAACCCGAGAGGAGGAGGTTGCAGTGAGCCAAGATTGAGCCATTGCACTCCAGCCTGGGGGACAAGAGCAAGACTCTGCCTCAAAAAAAAAAAAAAAATGAAGAAGACATTATAGGATACAGACACACACAGAGGGAAGACCATGTGAAGATACCATGTGAAGATACAGGGAGAAGACAGTCATCAACATGCCAAGGAAAGAGACCTCAGAAGAAACCAACCAACCCTGCTGACAACTCAGTCTCAAATTTCTTTCATCCAGAATTGTGAGAAATAAATTTCTCTTCTTGAAGGGGTGGGTTGCCCCTCCACACCTGTGGGTGTTTCTCGTAAGGTGGAACGAGAGACTTGGAAAAGAAAAAGACACAGAGACAAAGTATAGAGAAAGAAATAAGGGGGCCCAGGGAACCAGCGTTCAGCATATGGAGGATCCCGCCAGCCTCTGAGTTCCCTTAGTATTTATTGATCATTCGTGGGTGTTTCTCCGAGAGGGGGATGTGTCAGGGTCACAAGACAATAGTGGGGAGAGGGTTAGCAGACAAACACGTGAACAAAGGTCTTTGCATCATAGACAAGGTAAAGGATTAAGTGCTGTGCTTTAGATATGCATACACATAAACATCTCAATGCTTTACAAAGCAGTATTGCTGCCCGCATGTCCCACCTCCAGCCCTAAGGCGGTTTTTCCCTATCTCAGTAGATAGAACGTACAATCGGGTTTTATACCAAGACATTCCATTGCCCAGGGACAGGCAGGAGACAGATGCCTTCCTCTTGTCTCAACTGCAAGAGGCATGCCTTCTTCTTATACTAATCCTCCTCAGCACAGACCCTTTACGGGTGTCAGGCTGGGGGATGGTCAGGTCTTTCCCTTCCCACGAGGCCATATTTCAGACTATCACATGGGGAGAAACCTTGGACAATACCTGGCTTTCCTAGGCAGAGGTCCCTGCGGCCTTCGGCAGTTTTTGTGTCCCTGGGTACTTGAGATTAGGGAGTGGTGATGACTCTTAAGGAGCATGCTGCCTTCAAGCATCTGTTTAACAAAGCACATCTTGCACCGCCCTTAATCCATTTAACTCTGAGTTGACACAGCACATGTTTCAGAGAGCACGGGGTTGGGGGTAAGGTTATAGATTAACAGAATCTCAAGGCAGAAGAATTTTTCTTAGTACATAACAAAATGGAGTCTCCCATGTCTACTTCTTTCTACACAGACACAGTGACAATCTGATCTCTCTTGCTTTTCCCCACATCTTCTTAAGCCACACAGTCTGTAGTATTTTGTTATAGCAACCCCAGCTAACTAGGGCTTCAGGAGTGTGTATCTTCAACCAAAGACATATGTAAGTGTGTATCTTATACTATACACTTATGTATACACTTATGTATATCTTTGGATGAAACATATATATCCCTTTATATTCACAACTTTTAACATATTATAAATACTATTATGCACTTTGCGTTTTTTCATTTTAAGCTGCATCTTAGAGATCATTCCAAATCAGTACACCTAAAGCACCTTTACTTTTTTAAAAGACTACAGCATATTCCATTGTGTGGATGTTTGGTAATTTATTTGACCTCTCTTTATTTATTTATTTATTTATTTTATTTTACTTTTTATTGTTTTTAGAGACGGAGTCTCGCACTGTTGCCCAGGCTGGAGTGCAGTGGCGCGATCTTGGCTCACTGCAAGCTCTGCCTCCCAGGTTCACACCATTCTCCTGCCTCAGCCTCCTACCCTCAGTAGCTGGGATTACAGGCGCCCGCCACCACGCCAGGCTAATTTTTTTTTGTATTTTCAGTAGAGACGGGGTTTCACCGTGTTAGCCAGGATGGTCTCAATCTCCTGACCTCGTGATCTGCCTGCCTCGGCCTCCCGAAGTGCTGGGATTACCGGCATGAGCCACCGTGCCCAGCCTTGACCCCTCTTTATTAATGAATTTCAAGTTGTTTACAAAATTTGCTATTACAAAGAAAAATGCTCCAGTGAGTAACTTTGCATACATGTCATTTCATAGATGTGTATGCATATGAGTAAGATATTAAATTCTCAGTAGAACTGCTTGGCTAAAAATAAACAGATTTAAAATTTTGACAAATATTGCCAAATTGCCTTTCAAAAACTTTATACCAATTTACCCTCCCACCAGCAAATACTTCTGGTTTTGTTTTTGTTTTTGTTTGAGGCAAGATCTTGCTTTGTCACCCAGGCTGAAGGGCAGTGGCACAATCTTGGCTCACTGTAGCCTTGACTTCACAAACTCAAGCAATCCTCCTACCTCAGCCTCCTGAGTAGCTGGGAATACAAGCGTGTGCCACCACACTCTGCTAATCTTTGTATTTTTTGTAGAAACGGGTTTTGTCATGTTGCCCAGGCTGGTCTCAAACTCCTGAGCTCAAGAGATCCACCCACCTCAGTCTCCCAAAGTGCTGGGATTACAGGCATGAGCCACCGCACCTGTCCAAATGTTTCTGTTTCTCCATAACATTACCAATATGTTGCTTCATAAAACTTGTTTATTATTAACAATATAGTTGATGAAAAATAGTATCTTGTACTTAAGGTTGAGTGACTTTCCACATGTTTAAGTTTTTTTATCTAACTTGATGATTGAAATTTTGGCATTTTTCGTCTTCCACCCTGCATGGAATTCTGGGTAGCATAACCACTAACCTGGCCCTAGCTGTCTGTTACTCTGTAGTATTTGATGTTTTATCTTCCTGCTAAACACAGTATTGACTATTTTTTTTTTTTTTTGAGACAGAGTCTCGCTCTGTTGCCCAGGCTGGAGTGCAGTGGCACAATGGCTCACTGCAACCTCCACCTCCCAGGTTCAAGCGATTCTTTTGCCTCAGCCTCCCGAGTAGTTGGGACTACAGGCGTGCACCACCATGCCCAGCTAACTTTTGTATTTTTAGTAGAGACAGGGTTTCACCATATTGGTCAGGCTGGTCTCGAACTCCTGACCTCGTGATCTGCCCACCTCACCCTCCCAAAGTGCTGGGATTACAGGCGTGAGCCACCGCACCCAGCCTCAGTATTGACTATTCTTTAATACTACAGTGTGCTTCTTCTGGCTTCTCCACAGTTAAAATCATAATCACCATGGTTGTCATTGAGAAAGTCACAGTCTAGCACATTTAGCAGATGTATACATAAAATTTGCAATTTTGTATCTACCTGGTGGAGCCCAGGAAGGTTTTAAAGTGGAGGTGATACTTGAAGTATGGATGAAAGTGAGCCAGATAAGAAGCCACTCTAGGCAGGTAAAAAGGCATAAAATTCACAACATTCATACTGGGGATATGAAGTAGTCTGGTAGGACATTGAATGGAAAGTGGGAAAGAATGTGGTTGGACAGCCCCAGCCTCCTTATAAAGGTCTGTAAATGGCAGTGATCACACCTACTTCTGGCATATAAGCCCAGGCTTTGCTCCAGCACCCACAGGTATGACCCACCCTTACTCCTCTCTGGACTTCCCTCTCTTCAAGCAATATGCTCTCACAAAGAGAGATAAGACAAAGCAAAATGACTTTAAAATACCTTTATTGATTTTTCTGATTATAACAGAAAACATTGTATAGAAAAGTCAAGCAATACAGAACACTATGAAAAAATTTAAAAGAACAAAATACTAACCCCCAGAAGTAACCACTGCAAATATTTTGTTAGTAGTCTTTGCAGAGTTCTCCCTAAACATACACCCTAAACATTACACACACACATAAAATGTTAATTATATGTATTCATATACTATATATAAATTACATAGTATCTAAAGGTTTTATGTAAATGATAATATTTTTCACTAAAAAATACTTCATAGAAATTTTTCAAGCCTATGAATATAGAACTGCATTATTGTCTACTGCCTCCTGACTACTGCCTACATAGCATTTCATTCTAAAGGTACTAGAATTCATTGGCTAATTCTCTATTATGGACATTTAAGCTGTTATACAAACATTGCTACAATGGACAACCTTGTATATTTATGTATAACATCAAGGTTATTATATTTTTGGTGTTATGACATGTTTTAATTGATCAGGTGACTGTTGAACTGACCCCAAGCTGGCCAGGTCTTCCTGAGAAAGAACAACTTCTATTCATTGCCTCTTAGACTCCATTCCTCTCGCCATCTTGGTACAAGTTTCAATTTAAGAAGTTTTATTCCAGATTGGGTGCTGTGGCTCACACCTGTAATCCCAGCACTTTGGGAAGCCGAGGCAGGTGGGTCACTTGAGGTCAGGAGTTCAAGACCAGCCTGACCAACGTGGTGAAACCCCATCTCTACTAAAAATACAAAAATTAGCCGGGTGTGGTGGCACATGCCTGTAGTCCCAGCTACTTGGGAGGCTGACGTAGGAGAATCAATCGCCTGAACCCGGGAGGTGGAGGTTGCAGTGAGCTGAGATTGTGCCATTGCACTCCAGCCTGGGCGACAGAGCGAGACTGTGTCTCAAAAAAAAAAAAAGAAGGAGAGGGAGAAGGAGAAGAGGAAGAGGAAGAGGAGGAACAAGAAGAAGAAGGAAGAGAAGGAGAAGGAGAGGAAGAGGAAGAGGAGGAAGAAGAAGAAGAAGGAGGAGAAGGAAAAGGAGAAGGAGAAGAGGAAGAAGAAGGAGAGGGAGAGGGAGAGGAAGAGGAAGAGGAAGAAGAGGAAGAAGAAGAAGAAGAGGAAGAAGAAGAAGAAGAAGAAGAAGAAGAAGATTATTCCTCACATCTTCCTCAACCTCAAGCCTCCCAGATTTGTCCTATGCAGAGTGGGCAGCATCTCCCTCTTGGTGAGTGACAATGGAGATGTCAATGAGATGATCATTGGTATGTTTTCCTTCCCTCTTGTTTTGTGATGTTTTTGTGATGAAGTCAGGATCTGAAGGATTCTCCCTGGGCTCTTAGAAACATGGACTTATTATTGTGACCCCCCAAGGACTTGGGCTGCCCTCTAGGTTTGGCGTATGTTAGGAAATAGCCCCTTTTATCTGCTACTCCACAAAAGTGACTATAGTATGTCCATTCAGGTTACTTTGCTGTACTGTAGATTCTTGTCATTGGAGAAGATAACATTGAATGTTTCATCTGGTCACTGAGGATGTCAGATCTATTCAGTGTCACCAGTAGCTGACATTTTGTGCGTGCCAAGAACTACCCCTGTAGATCCTACTATAAGTCAGTCCTCCAATTTAAGCCTCACCTTTTCATTTATAAAATGAGATGGTTGGACAAGAAAATTTCTGAAGTCCCTACAGCACTTGAGGCTGTAATAATGAATGGACTAAGCTGAATGGATGAATGAGCATATTACTTAAGGACACTTTTCTTATGATTTAACTGGAAATCAGAGATATAAATTGGCGAAAAGTTCAGCAATTTATCACCTCAATAACAGCTCAGGACCACAGTGAAAAAAGTGTCCCAAGGATATTATGAGTAAATATAACAATAAGCACAGTAAGAGGCGACTTTAAGGAGGTAGATATTGAAGCAGGCAGAGGTGGCCAGGGAAGGGAGGCCTCATTGAATTTACAAAAAAGAAATCTTACCCTGAATCCTGTCTCTCGTTACATCTGCAAGGTGTCAGGTTTCCTGTACTCTATTCTTTAGTACCCTGTCCCTAAATCACCCTGTACATGTTTGAATTGTCAGTCTCTTTTCACCCTTCCCCCTGCTCGAAGACTCTTCATTCCAACCCCTCCCCTCTGCCCATAACTGGGTTAGAATTCACGTTCATACACAGCCGCAATGATATAAATAGAAGTAATAAAGGTTCCAAGGAGGAACTGGCAATGTCAACATCTGACTGGAAGAGATAAGGGTCTAATGGGGAGCTTGTAGGCACTGGCGCAGTCCTGTGGGGGAGAGAGCATGGTGGTGCATATTCACGTTGATGGCACCATACTTCATATTAAAAACAAAGAGTACTCTTAGAAACAAAGCCCTCAAGAAGGAGCATTTAGGACAAAACAATAAATTACCAAAGGGGATGGAATTCTGATTCTCATGAATTCTTCTATATATGTATATATACATAAATATGTATATATGCAAAGAAATATATATATGTGCAAAGAAATATATATGTATATATATTCCTAAATAACTCACAGGGTATTATGCTATGTATGATCTATAATCTTTCAGGATTTGCTCTTTTCATTTAATATTATATTGCTAAGATTCATTTATGTTACTGCATGTCACTACAGTTCATTCATTTTGACTCCTGTATAATATTTAATTGCATGAATTTCACTAAGTTTATGTTGTTCCTTATCCCACTGAGGGATATTTTGATTCTTCAGATGTCTGCTATTGTGAGGAATGCTGCTATGAACATTCATATACATCTTATATCTCCTGTTGTTCATGGGCAACTATCTTGGGCATTCACCTTCAAAAGGAGCTTCTGTGTCATATAGAGTGTGTAAATGTTCAACTTTAGGAGGTAATGGTCATGACAAACCGTTTTCCAAAGTGACTGCACAAATTTATATTTTCACTAGCAGTGTGTGAAAGATCCTGAGGCTCTACACCTCTTCTCCCATGTTCATTATTACACTTTAAAATTGTTGCCAAGCAAATGATCAGGGACTAATTTTTACTTTCAAGTTATTGGTTCAAGGACTACCTGTGGGGAAAAGCAAGAGAGATCAGATTGTCACTGTGTCTGTGTAGAAAGAAGTAGACATGGGAGACTCCATTTTGTTATGTACTAAGAAAAATTCTTCTGCCTTGAGATTCTGTGACCTTACCCCCAACCCCGTGCTCTCTGAAACATGTGCTGTGTCAAACTCAGGGTTAAATGGATTAAGGGCGGTGCAAGATGTGCTTTGTTAAACAGATGCTTGAAGGCAGCATGCTCGTTAAGAGTCATCACCACTCCCTAATCTCAAGTACCCAGGGACACAAAAACTGCGGAAGGCCGCAGGGACCTCTGCCTAAGAAAGCCAGGTATTGTCCAAGGTTTCTCCCCGTGTGATAGTCTGAAATATGGCCTCGTGGGAAGGGAAAGACCTGACCCTCCCCCAGCCCGACACCCGTAAAGGGTCTGTGCTGAGGAGGATTAGTATAAGAGGAAGGCATGCCTCTTGCAGTTGAGACAAGAGGAAGGCATCTGTCTCCTGCCCGTCCCTGGGCAATGGAATGTCTCGGTATAAAACCTGATTGTATGTTCCATCTACTGAGATAGGGAAAAACCGCCTTAGGGCTGGAGGTGGGACATGCGGGCAGCAATACTGCTTTGTAAAGCATTGAGATGTTTATGTGTATGCATATCTAAAAGCACAGCACTTAATCCTTTACCTTGTCTATGATGCAAAGACCTTTGTTCACGTGTTTGTCTGCTGACCCCCTCCCCACTATTGTCTTGTGACCCTGACACATCCCCCTCTCAGAGAAACACCCACGAATGATGAATAAATACTAAGGGAACTCAGAGGCTGGCAGGATCCTCCATATGCTGAACGCTGGTTCCCCGGGTCCCCTTATTTCTTTCTCTATACTTTGTCTCTGTGTCTTTTTCTTTTCCAAGTCTCTCGTTCCACCTTAAGAGAAACACCCACAGGTGTGGAGGGGCAACCCACCCCTTCAACTACCCACCCTGGGAAGCGGGAACCCACACCCTTGATCCCCAGGAGTACTGGGCTTGTGTTGCAAATGCTCAGGAGACTCTTTTTTTTCCTTTACCCAGACACAGGCTGAAACAAATGAGTTGCTTTGTTTTTTTTCTAGGATGAGGGTGGGAAGAGCATTGCTTTCTAGTCCACTCTTATTATGTTCTGAATTCTCACTTCATCAGGGCACAAGTTCCTTACTCCTTGCATTGTAATGTGTTAAAAGCCATGCCCCTGGGTTGCTGAGACCAAGGCCCCAAGACAGCCTTAGCCCGAGCCCATAATGATTGCTCCAGTTACCTCTCTCTCTATTTTTGGCCCCTGGTGATTTTCTTCACTTTTCTGTTAGTTCAGGTGTGCATTTAAAAGAATGTGGACGATATTTTATTCAACTCTTTCAGAGGTTTTGAAGAGGGAACTACTTTAGGTTGTCTAGTATGATGTCATTCCCTTGTTTCAAAGCTGCCAGGGCACATATTCCCCAGAATGCAGGAATTCCTGGAGGTTTGTTCTGCATCCCCACACTGAGGGGTTTCTGTGCTGGGTTGGTTGCTCTGTATCTGGCCTCTGTCTTATGGGGAGGGAATCTGCTCCACAGACAGCCCCATGAGTCGTGCTCAAGTTCATTCTTACCATGCTCAGGACAGTGACCCTGGGACCCAGTCTATGTCCACTCCTCATCAGTAATAGGAGCCCCTTACCCACCCGGACCTTTCTGATTTGAGGACTGGGTCAATAATCGTCCATAATGATTGCAACTGGAAGTTACTAATTTATTCTATGCTAGTGGGTCAATAAGGAATGGCTGTGGTCTGAGAAACTATGTGTTTCTCAGGGTGGGGGAACAGGAATTCATATGGAATTGCAAGGGACCCCAAAGAGTCAAAACAATTTTAAAGAAGAACAAAGTTGAAGGACTCATTTTCTAATTTCACAACTTACTACCAAGTTTCAGTATCAAGACAGAGTATCACTGACAAAAGGATAGACATATAGATCAATGGAATAGAACTGAGAGTCTAGAAATAGATCTCACATTTAGAGTCAATTGATTTTTAGCAGAAGTGCTAAGACAATTCAATAAATGGTGCTGAAACAATTGGATATGTACATCCAAAAGAATGAAGTTGGACTCTTACCTTATACCACACACAAAAGTTAACTCAAAATGGATTAAAGACCTAAACAGTCTCCCTCTCCCATTAAAGACCTAAACAGTCTGCCTCTGCCTCTGCCTCTGCCCCTGCCCCTGCCCCTGCCCCTGCCCCTGCCTCTGCCTCTCCCCACGGTCTCCCTCTCCCTCTCTTTCCACGGTCTCCCTCTGATGCCTAGCTGAGGCTGGACTGGACTGCTGCCATCTCGGCTCACTGCAACCTCCCTGCCTGATTCTCCTGCCTCAGCCTGCCGAGTGCCTGCGATTGCAGGCACGCGCCGCCACACCTGACTGGTTTTCGTATTTTTTTGGTGGAGACGGGGTTTCGCTGTTGGCCGGGCTGGTCTCCAGCTCCTGACCGCGAGTGATCCGCCAGCCTCGGCCTCCTGAGGTGCCAGGATTGCAGACGGAGTCTTGTTCACTCAGTGCTCAATGTTGCCCAGGCTGGAGTACAGTGGCGTGATCTCGGCTCGCTACAACCTCCACCTCCCAGCCACCTGCCTTGGCCTCCCAAAGTGCCGAGATTGCAGCCTCTGCCCAGCTGCCACGCCGTCTGGGAAGTGAGGAGCGTCTCTGCCTGGCCGCCCATCCTCTGGGATGTGAGGAGCCCCTCTGCCCCGCCGCCCCATCTGGGAGGTGAGGAGCGTCTCTGCCCGGCCGCCCCGTCTGAGAAGTGAGGAGCCCCTCCGCCCAGCAGCCACCCCGTCTGGGAAGTGAGGAGCGTCTCCGCCCGGCAGCCGCCCCGTCCGGGAGGGAGGTGGGGGTCAGCCCCCCACCCGGCCAGCCGCCCCGTCCGGGAGGTGAGGGGCGCCTCTGCCCGGCCGCCCCTACTGGGAAGTGAGGAGCCCCTCTGTCCGGCCACCACCCCGTCTGGGAGGTGAACCCAACAGCCCATTGAGAACGGGCCATGATGACAATGGCGGTTTTGTGGAATAGAAAAGGGGGAAAGGTGGGGAAAAGATTGAGAAATCGGATGGTTGCTGTGTCTGTGTAGAAAGAAGTAGACATGGGAGACTTTTCACTTTGTTCTGTACTAAGAAAAATTCTTCTGCCTTGGGATCCTGTTGATCTGTGGCCTTACCCCCAACCCTGTGCTCTCTGAAACATGTGCTGTGTCCACTCAGGGTTAAATGGATTAAGGGCGGTGCAAGATGTGCTTTGTTAAACAGATGCTTGAAGGCAGCATGCTCGTTAAGAGTCATCACCACTCCCTAGGAAAACCAGAGACCTTTGTTCTCTTGTTTATCTGCTGACCTTCCCTCCACTATTGTCCTATGACCCTGCCAAATCCCCCTCTGCAAGAAACACCCAAGAATGATCAATTAAAAAATAAAATAAAATAAAATAAAAGACCTAAACATAAGAGGTGAAACCATAAAACTCTTAGCAGGCTGGGAGTGGTGGCTGAAGCCTTGTAATCCCAGCACTTTAGGAGGTCAAGATGGGCAGATGGCTTGAGCCGAAGAGTTTGAGACCAGCCTGGGCAACGTGGCAAAACCCTGTCTCTACAAAAAATACAAAAATTAGCCTGGCGTGGTGATACACACCTGTAGTCCCAGCTACTAGGGAGGCTGAGGCAAGAGGATTGCTTGAGCCTGGGAAGACAAGGCTGCAGTGATCCGTGATCAAGCCATTGCACTCCAGCCTGGGAGACAGAGAGAGACTCTGTCTTGAAAACTAACTAAATAAACAAATAAAAGCAAGAATCTAAATTGGCACTTCTGCAAAGAAGATACACAAATGGTCAGTAACCACAAAAATAATGCTCAACATCATTAGTTCTCAAGGAACTGCAAATCAAAACCACAATCAGATATCACTTCACACCCACTAGGATGGTTATAATTTAAAAGACAGATAAGAGCAAATGTTGATGAGAATGTAGAGAAACTGAAACTCTCATGCACTGATGCCAGGAAGGTAAAATGGTACAATGCCTGGGTGACAGAGTGGAGAATCTGTCTCAAAGAAAAAGAAAAATCTTGAAATCGTGTCTTGTGACTTTGGAAAACAGCCTGGTAGTTCTTCGAAATGTTAAACATAGTTACCATTCCTAGGTGTATGTATACCCAGAGAAATGAAAATATATGCATACACAAAAACTTGTACACAAATGCTCTTAGCAGCATTATTCATAATAGTCCCAAAGTGAAAACAACCCAAATGTCCATCAACTAATGAATGGACAAATGTAATGTAGTACAGTAGTGCTTCTTCTCATCCGCAGTTTCACCTTCTGCAGTTTCAGTTACATACAGTCAATTGCATTGGGAAAATGTGAAATGAAAAACTCCAGAAATAAACAATTTATGAGTTTTAAATTGTGCAGGCCAGGTGCAGTGGCTCACTCCTGTAATCCCAGCATTTTGGGAAGCCAAGACAGGCAGATCACTTGAGGCCCAGAGTTCAAAACCAGCTTAGCCAACTTGGTGAAACCTCATCTCTACAAAATATACAAAAAGTAGCCAGGCATGGTGGCGCATGCCTGTGGTCCCAGCTGCTTGCGGGGCTGAGGCGGGAGGATTGCTTGAACCTGGGAGGCAGAGGTTGCAGTGAGCAGAGACTGAGCCACTGTGCTCCAGCCTGGGTGACAGAGTGGAAACGCTGTCTCAAAAAAAAAAAAAAAAAGTTTGAAACTGTGTCTTGTTCTGAGTAGCATGATAAAATCTTATGTCATCCCACTCCATCCTTCCCAGGAAGTGAATCATCCCTTTGTCCTGTGCATCTATGTTCTCTATAACACCATTAGTCACTTAGTAACTATCAGATTGACAGTTACAGTATCACAGTTCTTGTATTCAAGTCACCCATATTTTTCTTGATAATGGCCCTAAAGCACAAAAGCAGTGATGCTGGCATATTTTTATGAATTGTTCTATTTAGTTATTGCTGTTGTTAATATCTTACTGAGCCTAATTTATTTTTATTTCTATTTTTATCTTATAATTTATAAATTAAACTTTATCCTAAGTATCTATATATAGAAAAAAACATAGTATATATAGGATTTGGTGCTATCTGTGGTTTCAAGCATTCCCTGGAGAACTCGGAACATATGCCCCCCAGATAAGAGGAAACTACTGTGTATCCACATAAGGGAGTATTAAGCAATTGAAAGAAATAAAGTACTGGTAAATGCTATAACATGGATGAACCTTCAAAACATTATACTAAGTGAAAGAAGCCAGTCGTGAAACATCATAGTGTAATGCATTACATGAAATGTCCAGGCTAGGCAATCTATAGGAACAGAAACTAGATTAGTAAAAGCTAAGACTGGAGGATTTCAGAGGAAATGAGGAGTAGCTGCTGATAGGTATGAGGTTTCCTTTGGGGATGATAAAATTCGTCTAAAATTGGTTGTACTGATGGTTTCACAATTCTGTGAAACCCAAAAAGCATTGACTGGCAGGAGAGGGGATTCCTTTAAACGGGTGAATTGTGTGGTATGTAAACTATATTTCAATAAAGCTCTTACAAGAAAAAAAAAAGATGGCTATGACATGATTCTTGCTTTGGAAGAGCACGACTCAGACATTTTGAATCCTCTGCATTCCTATAAAAATTTCTGAATTGTTTTAGTGTCTTCCAATAAAAGAGGAAACAGCGGGTACAGAAGAGAATCAATAGAAACATCCACTAAAATATAAAAAGGATTACAAAATAAAAGAGTTTCACCAACACTCCAGGCAACGGGGCTAGAGATTAACATCAGCTCTATTTATACTGTTTGCGCATAATTGCATATGGTTACACATGCTTAAGTTGACTAAAAATTACATCTAGGCCGGGCACGATGGCTCACATCTGTAATCCCAGCACTTTGGGAGGCTGAGGTGGGCAGATCACTTGAGGTCAGGAGTTCGACGCCAGCCTGGCCAACATGGTGAAACCCCATCACTACAAAAATACAAAAACTGGCTGGGTGCGGTGGCTCATGCCTGTAATCCTGGCACTTTGGGAGGCCGAGGCTGGCGGATCACGAGGTCAGTAGTTCGAGACCAGCCTGACCAACATGGTGAAACCCCGTCTCTACTAAAAGTACAAAAATTAGCCAGGTACGGTGGCACATGCCTGTAATCCCAGCTACTCAGGAGGCTGAAGTAGGAGAATCACCTGAACCTGGGAGGCAGAGGTTGCAGTGAGCCAAGACTGCACCACTGCACTCCAGCCTGGTGACAGAGCGAGACTCCATCTCAAAAAAAAAAAAAAAAATTATCTGGGTGTGGTTGCGTGCATCTGTAATTCCAGCTACTGGGAGGCGGAGGCACAAGAATTGCTTGAACCCAGGAGGCGGAGGTTGCAGTAAGCTGAGATCGCGCCACTAGACTCCAGCCTGGGTGATGGATACTCTGACTCAAAAAAATTTAAAAAAATTATAAAAAATTACATCCAGGTCAGTGATTCTCAAACCTTGGTGTGCTTACCTGAAGAGCTTTTAAAAACACATATTGCTGGGCTCCACCCCAAAAACTTCTGATTCGATAGGTTTGGGATAGATCCCAAATTATTTGCATTTCTACAAAGTTCCCACGCTGATGCTGCTGGTCTGAGAACCGCTTGGAAAACTACTGGCTCAGATCTTTTCAAGATGTCATTCTCAGCTCATCTTCATCTCATTAGGTTAAAGAAGTCCTCTAGATGTTGGGAAAGTCAAGACGCACGAGACAGGCTTCCTGACAATGGTAGCTAACGCTCTGGCACTCAGAGAGGGCAAATCAGATGCACCAGGGCCTCTTCTACTTGTTAAAACTACATCTTACACCATGTTGCTTCCTATTATAACAGTAGCTGTTGCAATTTTGTTCATTCTGCCTCATATTGCAACAAAGAAGATTCTGGAGTAGCTTTTTTCTGTTGGCGCTTATTGAGAGTGGAGGAAAATAATGAAAGCCATCGCCCCTAATCACAAGGCATCAAAGCTGTTTTTAGGGGCATGTTTCTCAGCAAGATTTCCTCGAAGAGAAACCAAGGGCTTGGTCATCACTAGAACTTCACCTCTGAAATCTTACCTCACATCTGCAAATCATTCTCTCTCTCACTCACTCTCACTGTACCTTCTTTTTCTCTTTGCATTTCTGTTATGTTTGTTTCCTCCTTTCTACCAATCTGTTGAATCTGTGTAGGCCTCCGTGGCTGTACCCATTGTTGAATACCTAAGCTATTTTCACAGGCCTCCTAGGATCCAGCACCCTACCTGTCCAATGCTAAATTAGTGCTATAACCACCACTTTTCCAGTCCTACACCCGAGCCCTTTGTTTTACCCTCTCAATCTTCTGCCAGACTAGAGAGGGACAGTCATCATGCTGCAGGTTTAGAGTAGAATTGAAACCAACTTGTCTTTTTTAAGCCCATATTTACTCCTATTGCAAGAGATACTTGGTGCTGCCAATTCCTGAAACTTTTGTGTGTTTTGGGAAACATATATAGTACTTCTTTGCATTTTCCCTGCCAGCTTAAGAGTAACTTTTTCAGTCTGCTAAATCATTATCATTAGTTATGCCTGCAAGTTGTTATTGCCCCTGTCTACCCTCTTCTTCATTTGCTTTTGTGCAAACATTTATGCTTTTTAAAAAAATTTGCTGTTGTTTTAGTGGAGTTTGGAGAAACAGCAGAGGCAAATACATGTGTTAATTTCAGCATCTTTATCAAAAGCCTTGCATGTTTCCTCCTAGAGAGAGAGAGTGTGTGTGTGTGTGTAATGATTGTGAGATTCATCAGACTGATGTTTGTGGCTTTAGGCCATTCAATATTACTATTTTACAGTATCCTATTGTTTGACTATATAAAACTTTATTCATTCCTTTTTTGATGCACATTTGGGTTGTTTCCAAGTTTTGCTCTTACAAAACAATCTGCTATAAAAATTATTGTGTGTGTCTCCTTGTACACCTGCGTGAGAGTTTCTCTTAAAATGGTGGAAGATAGAATGGATTGTAAACTATAAGCCTCTTCAGCTCTGGCAGATAATATGAAATGGATTTCCAAAGTGATTTGATCAACTTACACTCCTACCAGCAATTAATAATGACTTTACACTTATGTTAACCCTTGGTATTATCAGATTTTTAAAATTTTTGCCAATCTAGTGGGTTTAAAAGGAACAAATGATCATTGGTGGATGCAAAAACTATTGCTTGTAAATTGCAAAAAGAAAAATGGACCACTACAATGGAGAGATCTGTCTGTCACCACCTTAGCTGAGTGACCAAATTTGACATCACTAACAATAAGACTATCTGGCATTATGGGTCCCCTGATGTAATGCAATATTAATTATCATGGATTTACCTATAGAATAATTCTTGTCAGAAATTATAACCCGAATTAATCAAGCTCCAGGAGAAGCTTCCACTTTACAAGAAGGTAAATGGGATCAAGTAGCAAGGTGACTGTTACTATGAGGAAACAGACAAAGCCAGAATACAGGACTTTCCATATCCGCTGTGATGACTTTAGAAAATCAGTATCATAAAGGAGGAAGGTAACTGTGTTAGATTAAATGAGACTAAAAGGACAAAACAAAACACACTTTTTGATTAAATCCTAATTGGGATAGAAGAGAAATTTGGCGACTGGGAAAGTTTGAGCATTGGGCAGATAAAAGATAATATTAATGAATTATTGTTAATTTATACAGGTATAAAAATGTAATAGATATTGATAAATTTAATAATTATAATAAATATAATTATAAATTTAATAGTTTTCTCCAGGGTATGTGTATATTGTTAAAATTGTACATTGTAAAAATTTCACCATATTTGCTTTAATAATGGTTAAATCTAGATAATGCAGAATGGATATAAAGAGAATAATTGTATGGTTCTATTTTTATGTCTTTTTGAAATTTTTAATTACATATCATAATATTAGAAAAATGTATATCAGGCTGGATGCGGTGGCTCATGCCTGTAATCCCAGCACTTTGGGAGGCCAAGGCAGGCGGATCACCTGAGGTCAGGAGTTCTAGACCTGCCTGGCCAACGTGGTGAAACCCTGTCTCTACTAAAATACAAAAATTAGCCAGGCATGGCAGTATGTGCCTATAATCCCAGCTGCTCAGGAGGCTGAGGCAGGAGAATCACTTGAACCCAGGAGGCAGAGGTTGCAGTGAGCCAAGATTGCGCCAGTGCACTCTAGCCTAGCCGACAGAGCCAGACTCCGTCTCAGAAAAAAAAAAAAAGAAAAAGAAAAATATATCTCATTTTTTTTTATTGTGGTAAAACATACATAACACAAAATTTAGCATTTTAACCACTCTTAAGTTTTCAGTGGCATTAAGTACACTCACATTGTTGTGTACTTCATTGTGTTTTTAATCGAGTTTATTGAAGTGTAATTTACATACAATAAAATACACACGTTTTAAGCATATGAGGCAATAAGCTTTGAAAAGTGTAAATTCCCATGTAACCATCTCTGCATCGAAATAAAGATTTCCACCTGTAATCCCAGCACTTTGGGAGGCCGAGATGGGCAGATCACGAGGTCAAGAGATGGAGACCATCCTGACCAACATGGTGAAACCCCATCTCTACTAAAAATACAAAATTAGCTGGGCATGGTGGCACATGCCTGTAGTCCCAGCTACTCAGGAGGCTGAGGCAGGAGAATCGCTTGAACCCAGGAGGCAGAGGTTGCAGTGAGCCGAAATCATGCCACCGCGCTCCAACCTGGGCGACAGAGGGAGACTCCGTCTCAAAAAAATAAATAGATAGATAGATGATAGATAGATAGATAGATAGATAGATAGATAGATAGATAGATAGATCTATCTCCGGCCTGGTGTGGTGGCTCATGCCTGTAATCACAGAACTTTGGGAGGCCAAGGTGGGTGGATCACAAGGTCAAGAGTTCGAGACCAGGCCAATATGATGAAACCCCATCTCTACTAAAAATACAAAAAAATTAGCCAGGCGTGGTGGCGCATACCTGTAATCCCAGCTACTCAGGAGGCTGAGGAAAGAGAATTGGTTGAATCCGGGAGGTGGAGGTTTCAGTGAGCCAAGATGGCACCACTGCACTCCAGCCTGGGCCACAGAGCAAGACTCTGTCTCAAAAAAATATAGATAGATAGATTTCCTTCATGTTCTTTTACAGCCAATTTCTCCTCACCACCACCACCACCACCACCTTATGTAACAACCACTGATCTTATTTCTATCATCATACATTTATTCTGCACAATCTACACCTGTATATATAAAGGGAATCATACAGTACTTAAAATTCTGAATTCAGCTTTCTTTCACTCAATGTAACATTTTTTTGATTATACTATACTATTTCAAATATCAGAAATGTCTTTTTAATTGCTGAGTGGGTGAATACACAACAATTTGTTTACTATTTGCCTGTAGATGAAGTTTTGGGTTGTTTTTAGAGGCCATTACGAGTGGTGAATAAATCCACTATGAATATTCATGTACAACTTTTTAACAGACAGATGTTTTCATTTCTCCAGTTTGGGTGGTAAATGTAAAACTTTATAAGGAACTATCAAACTGCTTTTCTATAGTGGTTGGCTATTTTACATATCTAACAACAAAGTAAGAGAGTTCCAGTGGCTCCACGTTTTCACCAATACTTGGCATGGTCAGACTTTTTAATTTTAGTCATTCTAGTGCTTATGGACGGGTATTCATCATCTTAATTTACATTTTCCTAATGATTCATGATTTTCAACGTATTTTTATTAACTCATTGGACATTCATATATCTTCATGTTTCTCTTTTTAAAAATATGGTTATTTGTCTTTTCATTATTGAGTTATAAGTGTTCTAATTTGTAGGTCTAATTCTGAGTTCTCTATTCTTATCTATTGATCTATGTGGCTGTTCTCTGCCAATACCATGCACTCTTGATTTCTGTAGCGTAAGTCTCCGAACTTGATTCTTTTTTTTCTCAAAATTGTTTTGGCTGTTCTAGGTCTTTTGCATTTCCAAATAAATTTTAGAATGAGCTTGTGAAATCCTACCAAAAAAGACTGGTGGGATTTGGACAGGGATTAAATTGAATCTATAGATCAATTTGGAGAGAATTGATATCTTAGTAATATTGAAACTTTCTGTCCATAAACATGATATATTTTCATTTACTTTGATTTTTTTAAAATATCAGTGTGTTTTATAGTTTTCAATGTAGATTCTTTAAATAGTTTGATGTTACTATAAATTTTTTAGATAGTATCTTATTGTGGTTTTAGTTTTAATTTCCTAAATTACTTATAAGAATAGCCATCTTTTCCCCGTCTCTACTAAAAATACAAAAAATTAGCCGGGCGAGGTGGCGGGCGCCTGTAGTCCCAGCTACTCGGGAGGCTGAGGCAGGAGAATGGCGTGAACTCCAGGGGGCGGAGCCTGCAGTGAGCCGAGATTGCGCCACTGCACTCCAGCCTGGGCGACAGCGAGACTCCGTCTCAAAAAAAAAAAAAAAAAAAAGAATAGCCATCTTTTTGTATATTAATGACCAATCATGTATCTTTTGATACTTTTATTTAATTTTTATATGACTGGTTTTTAATTCTTTATGTCTCCTGAATGTTTTTACCAGTGATATGTGGTGCAAATAACTTTCCCCCTATTCGTGGCTTGTCTCTTTCACTTTCTTGAAGATTATTTTCTGATTAACAGAAGTTTTTCATGTTACTGCATCAAGATATATAAATATTTTCCTCTATTGTTTATATCTTTTGAGTCATGTTTATAAAATATTTTCTTACCTTCATGTTTTCTTTTAAAGTTTTAGCCAAACCTGGTGGCATGTACCTGTAGTTGCAGCTAGTCGGGAAGCTGAGGCAGGAGGATCACTCATGCCCAGGATTTGAGGCTGTAGTGAGCTACAGTTGTACCACTGTACTCCAGCCTGGGCAACAGAGCAAGACCCTATCTCTAAAATATAAATAAATAAAATTTTAAAGTTTTTATTTAATATTTAAGTCTTTAACTTTCTTGGAATTAACTTCTTTGTATGGAGCAAGAAAGGAATTCAATTTCATGATTTAAAAAATCTTTAGAGTCAGTAATGCCAGCATCAGTAATTAAATTATCTATAATTTTCCCACTGATCTGTTAAGCAACCTTCATTATGAATTATTTTACATGAACATATGGAATAAAATTCTCATATATTCACCGATTCATGTCTGGTTCTATTTATTTTTTTGTCCATGAACTAAACTTCATTGTTTTAATTACTATGGCTTTGTAATAAGTCTCATTATCCAGAAGGACAAACTCTCTATCCATGTTCTTTATTTAGAAAAATTTGGCTTTTCTCAGCCCTCTCATCCTTCATAAAAATGTTAGAATCAGCCTGGAAAATGCCATGAAAACTTTGCTGGGATTTAATTAAAATTGTATTGACTGTACGGATTAACTTGGAGGGACAGAAATGACCTACTTATACTAATGAGGTTTTTTGTCCATGAACTGTGTCTCATTTTCAAACTCATCTTTTGATCTCCATCAAGCAACCCAATAGCTGGCCCAGAAAAGAAAGAAAAGGAGACATAGATGATTTGGGAGACCATCAAAACCATTTTTAAAATTCTTTTTCTTTAGTCAAAACCAGTTTAAACAAAACAAAGTTTTTTTTTTTTTTTTTTTCAACTTTCTTTTTTTTTTTTTTTTTTTTTTATTGATCATTCTTGGGTGTTTCTCGCAGAGGGGTGTTTGGCAGGGTCACAGGACAATAGTGGAGGGAAGGTCAGCAGATAAGTGAACAAAGGTCTCTGGTTTTCCTAGGCAGAGGACCCTGCGGCCTTCCGCAGTGTTTGTGTCCCTGGGTACTTGAGATTAGGGAGTGGTGATGACTCTTAACGAGCATGCTGCCTTCAAGCATCTGTTTAACAAAGCACATCTTGCACCACCCTTAATCCATTCAACCCTGAGTGGACACAGCACATGTTTCAGAGAGCACAGGGTTGGGGGTAAGGTCACAGATCAACAGGATCCCAAGGCAGAAGAATTTTTCTTAGTACAGAACAAAATGAAAAGTCTCTCATGTCTACCTCTTTCTACTCAGACATGGCAACCATCCGATTTCTCAATCTTTTCCCCACCTTTCCCCCCTTTCCATTCCACAAAACCGCCATTGTCATCATGGCCCGTTCTCAATGAGCTGTTGAGTACACCTCCCAGACGGGGTGGTGGCCGGGCAGAGGGGCTCCTCACTTCCCAGTAGGGGCGGCCGGGGAGAGGCACCCCTCACCTCCTGGACGCGGCAGCTGGCCGGGTGGGGGGCTGACCTCCCCGCCTCCCTCCTGGATGGGGCGGCTGGCCAGGTGGGGGGCTGACCCCCCCACCTCCCTCCCGGATGGGGTGGCTGGCCGGGCAGAGGGGCTCCTCTCTTCCCAGTAGGGGCGGCCGGGCAGAGGCGCCCGTCACCTCTCGGACGGGGCGGCTGGCTGGGCAGAGGGGCTCCTCACTTCCCAGTAGGGGCGGCCAGACAGAGGCGCCCCTCACCTCCCGGACGGGGCGGCTGGCCGGGCGGGGGGCTGACCTCCCCGCCTCCCTCCCGGACGGGGCGGCTGGCCGGGCAGAGGGGCTCCTCTCTTCCCAGTAGGGGCGGCCGGGCAGAGGCGCCCCTCACCTCCCGGATGGGGCGGCTGGCGGGGCGGGGGGCTGACCCCCCCACATCCTTCCCGGACGGGGCGGCTGGCCGGGCGGGGGGCTGACCCCCACCTCCCTCCCAGATGGGGTGGCTGCCGGGCGGAGACGCTCCTCACTTCTCAGAGGGGGTGGCTGCCTGGCGGAGGGTCTCCTCACTTCTCAGACGGGGCGGCCGGGCAGAGGCGCTCCCCACATCTCAGACGATGGGCGGCCTGGCAGAGACGCTCCTCACTTCCTAGATGGGATGGCGGCCTGGCAGAGACGCTCCTCACTTCCTAGATGGGATGGCGGCCGGGCAGAGACGCTCCTCACTTTCCAGACTGGGCCGCCAGGCAGAGGGGCTCCTCACATCCCAGACGATGGGCGGCCAGGCAGAGACGCTCCTCACTTCCCAGACGGGGTGGCGGCCGGGCAGAGGCTGCAATCTCGGCACTTTGGGGGGCCAAGGCAGGCAGCTGGGAAGTGGAGGTTGTAGAGAGCCGAGATCACGCCACTGCACTCCAGCCTGGGCACCATTGAGCACTGAGTGAACGCGACTCCGTCTGCCATCCCGGCACCTTGGGAGGCCGAGGCTGGCGGATCACTTGAGGTTAGGAGCTGGAGACCAGCCCGGCCAACACAGCAAAACCCCGTCTCCACCAAAAAAATACGAAAACCAGTCAGGCGTGGCGGCGCGCGCCTGCAATCGCAGGCACTCGGCAGGCTGAGGCAGGAGAATCAGGCAGGGAGGTTGCAGTGAGCCGAGATGGCAGCAGTACAGTCCAGCTTTGGCTCGGCATCGGGGGAGACCGTGGAAAGAGAGGGAGAGGGAGAGGGAGAGGGAGAGGGAGAGGAGGGAGAGGGAGAGGAGGGAGAGCAACAAAACAAAGTTTTTGTTCAATGTGTTTAATAATCAAGAAAACTGACAGAATCACTTTTATTTCTATTGTTACAGAAAAGGGTCCAAGTAAAGTGTTCATCTTAACCCCGTGAAAAATTTAGTTTTACAGATTTTAATACATTGCAGTCTTAAGAAAAGATTAGGCCAGGCGCCGTGGCTCACACTTGTAATTCCAGCACTTTTGGAGGCCGAGGCGGGCAGATCACAAGGTCAGGAGATCGAGACCATCTTGGCTAACACGGTGAAACTCAGTCTCTACTAAAAATACAAAAAATTAGCCGGGCGTGGTGGCGGGCGCCTGTAGTCCCAGCTACTCAGGAGACTGAGGCAGGAGAATGGCGTGGACCCGGGAGGCAGAGGTTGCAGTGAGCCGAGATCGCACCACTGCACTCCAGCCTGGGCGACAGAGCGAGACTCCGTCTCAAAAAAGAAAAGAAAACATTAGTAAACTTACTGTTTAACATTTACATAAACTAACACAGTTTGAATTCATCATAAGTTCTCCTAGGAGACACCAGTTTATGATATATAATATAAACCATGTATTTATTTTATTTTAGAGACAGAGTCTCACTCTGGTTGAAGTGCAGTGGTGTGATCCTAACTCACTGCAGTCTCAAACTCCTGGGCTCAAAAGATCTTCCCACATCAGCCTCCCAAGTAGCTGGGGGTGGCATGTGCCACTGTGTTTAGCAAATAATGTGAACAATGTAACGAAAACATTTTTTGAAAAAGATATTTGGCATATCAAAAACTAAGCTATTGTTATGGTCTGAATGTATCCCCCAAATTTATGTGTTGGAAACTCAATCCCCAATGCAACAGTGTGGAGAGGTAGGGTCTTTTGGAAGGTATTTAAGTCATGAGGGCTCTTCCCTAATGAATTAATGAATGCCGTTATTAAGAAAAGCTTGTTGGAGCAGGTTTCCTCTCTTCTGCTCTTCTGCCATGTGAGGACATCGCGTTCCTCCCGTCTGAAGGATGGAGCACGCAAGGCGCCATCTTGCAGGCAGAAACCAGCCCCTCACCAAATGCCAGCACCGTGATCTTGGACTATTCTTTATAAATTACTCAGTCTCAGGTATTCTACTTAGCAGCATAAAATGGACTAAGACAGCTATCAAAGTTATGATCACTAGAAGAAAACTCTTCCCCTGATAAAATTGTCAGTGGCTCAAGGAAAAAAATTGCCAGTCATATAAAGAAAGTAGTAGAAATGTATTCACTGTGAAGCATTTTTATCCTGCAACCTTGGATATAAGCACTATACTAATTAGAAGTTATCTGACGCTCTTAAATGACAAATGTTTATTTCTAATCTTAGTTAACTTTCATGGAGATCTTTTTGCCTATCAGTGTCTCCTATCATGACACACAGCCCTGAGCAGAAGGAAGGGATAGCAGGCTGTGTGTCCTGGATATGGCACCCCCTTCTAATTCTTGAACTTTCCATACCCCAGACAAATTGTAGGACTTCACCTTGTCTCTCCATGGCTGGCCTTACTAATTTATCCTGCTTGATTTCATGTTTGATTTATGGAAGATTTTGCTCAGAAACAGGAAATCATTAGGAAAGTGCTGATTTTGGGGAAAAACAGGGGTAAGAAAAGGATGTTTACCCAATCAAGGAGGAAGCCAGACTCAGTGATAAGCTGACAAAGGGAAGTGGTACGTCTGGATAATCTGCCTGACTGCTGTATGCACTTCCTGCCCCTTTCTGAGAAACCCTAATTGACCTGAACATTTGCTTGGATAGGCTGAAAAGTAAATCAGAAATATCATCATAATTGGAGAACCAGGTTCTTACTGGTTGTGATCAACCCCTGAAAGGTCTTCATCAAAAGGCTTCCACCGGCCTCAGAAGACACTTTCATAAGGCTTGTAGTTATATAAATTCTAAGTACCTCACCCCGACTATTCATAACATCATCCCTCAACCTACAGAGAGCCCTTTGCTAAGATAACTCGCAGAACAGCATGAAAATCTAAGATGACAAAATAAATGAACTAAAAAGCACTAATTCTCAATACAAACGTAGCATCCAGAGGGCACATTTAATAAAGTGGACTTCCTAAGAGAAAGCACTCTTCCCGTAATTTCAATTGTTCAAATGTGAGGGAGGTCACAGAGGATTTTCCTGAATGGACTGACATATCCACCACTTTCTCAAGAGCACAGCCCCCATCTGATAGGATAGAGGTATGTGGCAAACTCTGTGTCTGTTTATTCTCTGAGCGTAGCGGCCAAGTCTCCCACCTCCACCTGACACACACTCATACTTTCACCTGGCTCATACCCACATTCCAATGGAATTAAACAGTGGTCTATCATTTTATATCCTAACTGTATAATTCTAACACAGAAATTTCTCCAGGATTGAGTCTTCAATTCAATTACCACTGCTTTTGTCTTCCTTTACTGGGACCAATAACAAATATCTTCCAATTATCAGTAACTCCAGCAGGTGACCTTGACATAATGTCAATCTGGTCATATTTTGCTCCTGCTTAAAAGTTCTTTGTTGGCCTCCGTCATGGAAAGATGAAGTCCAGATACTTTCTACCCTATCTGCTTTGCTTGGCCACACTCAACTTTATCTCTGACCTTTTGTCTTGCATATTTTTTTTCTCAGCCACACTGAACTTCTCACCTTGCCTTATCAACTTATTTATGTTTTGTTTGTTTTTTGACATTGCATCTGCTCTTCACTATAAATGGAATATCTTCCTTTATTCCTCAGTTTAGCAAGACCTAGTTCAAATGTCATCCCCAACACAAAGACCTCCTGACATTTCCATCACCCTAAACCATCCCCCCTCTTAACTCCTGTATCCTATTTTATAAATTTTTATTAAGTTAAAAGGAAATTATGAGTTTATACGTCTAGGTTCTCTAGACAAGATGGAGGAAAAGGCAGGGTATAATGGTAGCTTCTTTTGCTGTAGCTGAGAAATCATGCCATACCACTTAGAGAGATCTTTTTTGCTTTTATTTTTTTCTTTTTAATTTTATTTAACAGAGTGTCAGGCAAGCGTCACTTGGAAATACCTCAAATCTCTATCACACCTGAGTTCCGCTCAGTATCCTTTCTTTTTATTACTGAAGAAAATGGGCATGCTAATGCCTCGACTGTGTCATACTTTCCAGTTTCCAGAGAAAACACTAATTGAAAGCAGTTTGGCATGCAGACATTACAGCATTTATAGCAATGATACAGCATTGTTTCATTCCTCACAGAATCATCCATCATGAAATTATTCTGAGAGAAAGTTTTCCAGGGTGGGAAAGCAACTCAGTCAAACTTTTTCTTCAGCTGAATACCAGAATTCATTCTTTCTATTTTATGGCTGTGATTTTTGTCATGAATTAGGAAGACAGTAAGGTCTTTGTCTTTAAGGCTGAGATTTAATGTATTCATATTTACTGAAAGGTGCCTGCCAAGTAAGCAACACTAGGAGTCAGATAATATCTTGTTTCCAATAAGTGAAAAGGAATGTGTGAATCTGAGAAAGAGCTGCTACTTCAACTCTTAACACTGATTTGCCTTTGCCAAACCTCAGCCAGTTAACAGATGTGTGTGTGCAGCAGTGGAATATTCAGGAAGTTTTCTACAAGCTCAAATTATACGAAATAGTTGACCTTTTGTAGGTCTGGATTTTATAATTTACTCTGTTAATAACATCATACAAACACATTCATGAGTCTGTGAGGCATTCTCTCCATCTCCCTTTTCCAGTTGTGACTAACACTGAGCCAGTTGGCTCAGAGTGGAGATGTCCAAGTCATTTGGGCTCTGACACCATTTTTCAAAGTACTCAGACATTTTGCTCCAACTATATACACATTGCCAACAAGTCTCATTTCTAGGCATAAACATTGCTCAAATAAATGACAGTGACATCCATATAAGGAAACATTATGCATCCACATACAAATCACATTTGAAAGACAACACATTTGAAAATTATATTTTGTGGTGTAGAAAAGCATTCAAATCATTTGAAAAGGCGGGCCAAACAATAGATGTTCAGGATGATTCCAATTTAAAAAAAAAAAAATTTGTAGAGACGAGGTCTCCCTGTTTCGCCCAGACTGGTGTCAAACTCCTGAACTCAAGAGACCCTCCCACCTCCCAAATCGCTGGGATTACAGGCATGAGATTCCAATTTTTTAACAAATATATTGTGTAATCCAAGTTTACCATTCCTTTGAAAGGATCTGTTTTGTCTAAGAAGAATAATGGGACCGGGCGTGGTGGCTCATGCCTGTAATCCCAACACTTTGGGAGGCCAAAGTAGGGGGATCAACTGAGGTCAGGAGTTCGAGACCAGCCTGGCCAGCACGGTGAAACCCTGTCTCTACTAAAAATACAAAAATTAGCCGAGCGTGGTGGCACATGCCTGTAGTCCCAGCAACTTGGGAGGCTGAGGCAGGAAAATCGCTTGAACCCAGGAGGTGGATGTTGCAGTGAGCCGAGATCATGCCACTGCACTGTAGCCTGGGCAACAGAGCCAGACTGCATCTCAAAAAAAAAAAAAAAAAGGACAGGCCCCCGCGGTGGCTCACACCTGTAATCCCAGCATTTTGGTAGGCCGAGGTGGGCGGATCACCTGAGGTCAGGAGTTCAAGACCAGCCTGGCTAACCTGGAGAAACCCTGTCTCTACTAAAAATATAAAATTGGCCAGGTGTGGTGGTGGGCACCTGTAATCCCAGCTACTCAGGAGGCTGAGGCAGGAGACTCACTTGATCCTGGGAGGCAGAGGTTGCAGTGAACCGAGATCACACCATTGCACTCCAGCCTGGGCGACAGGAGTGAAACTCCATCTCAAAAAAAAAAAAAAAAAGAATAATGGAAAAGCAAAAGTTCTGTCTTAGGCCAGGCGTGGTGGCTCACACCTGTAATCACAGCACTTTGGGAGGCTGAGGCGGGTGGATCACGAGGTCAGGTGATCGAGACCATCCTGGCTAACACGGTGAAACCCTGTCTCTACTAAAAACACAAAAAGTTAGCCGGGCGTGGTGGCGGGCGCCTGTAGTCCCAGCTACTCGGGAGGCTGAGGCAGGAGAATGGCGTGAACCCAGGAGGCCGAAATTGTGCCACTGCACTCGAGCCTGGGCAACAGAGCAAGACTCCACCTCAAAAAAAAAAAAAAAAAAAAAAGAAGTTCTGTCTTAGGTCACCCCAAGTGACTTGCACTTACCTCTTGTAAGGGCAGTGGTTCTGCTGCAACTTTTCCCAGCTCAGCCACAGGCTACCTCCTCCCTAGCAACCACTCCTGAACCTAGTCCTCACAATTTACAGCTTCCTCTCCATGAACACTAGAGGTTGACCTAGGGCAAGCCTCACCTTGCTTGCTTGTCTTGTTCCTTTCTTATCCTTAACACCGTCACAAAAACAAACAAACAAACAAAACCCTGTGTCAAAGGACTCCCCTGGTCAAGGAATTTTTAGTACCTCCCGCATTCAGGTTTGCTGATTGCCTTGTAATTTTGGCCATTTTTTATAAAGCCTTGAAATTTAAAGTTTTATGTCGTCACATCTATTTATGTTTCTTCTTTTGCTTCTTCTCTTATTTTAAACTTAGAAGGTCTCCCCTCTGATCTAGAGACTCAGTAGCCATTTTTATATACTTTTAGAGTGGTTTTTTATGGGTTCATTTTTCACCCTTAATTTAACTACTTGATCTATTTGCAATATTTTTCTTTTTTTTTTTTTTTTTTTTTTTTTTTGATTTTTTAAGAAGTCAATTTTTTAAATTGGGAAACCAACATAATAAATCTAAACTTATTGAAAAATGAAATCAGTAACTAATCTTCTCTGTTTCATTCCAACTTTAGTATATATGCTTCCAAAGTAAGAACTCATTTACGATTTTTTTTTTTTTTTTTTTTTACAGCTATCACGGGTGATTTTAATTTTCAACTTTAGGCTTCCATTTTCAAATTCCACAATGAACACATAAGGTGGAGTTCTGGTTTCAACACACACACACACACACACACACACACACACACACTCCTGCCTCCTAGTGGGCAGAGATTTTTGTTCACAAAGAATCTTCTGCCAAATGCCTCCGAGGTACACGTAGGTCTTGGGGAGCCCATGGGCCAACTGTTTTGTGGGCACTCCTGTCTTCGGTAGGCAGGTTCTTCAGAGCTTTGAGACCTCCACAACCTTGCGCTGCTCTCCTGGGGCAGCCTTCATGCAGGGGTGTCCTGAGGACTTCCCAGGGCACCCAACTTCAGCACTGTCATCCAGTGTGCGTTTCACGGAACTTTTTTTCCCAGGAGAAATAACTTTATTTGAACTGAGAGCTGGAGAATGAGACAAGGACTTGAGACAGCATGAGTAGAGGTGAGGTTCCAAAACGGCAGTCAGAGCTCATCCACCAAACAGACTCCACTTTCCCAGCAACCTTGCAGTTAGTGCCACCAACAAAAGGTCCACTGGGAAATATATTTGCCACAAAATTACCCAAGTATGCCAACATTACAAAAAAGATACAGATTTTTCATCGTAATTAAATTTCCACAAAACCCCCAAATCACAAGTGTTTTGTTTTTTTTTTTGAGACGGAGTTTTGCTTTTTTCGCCCAGGCTGTAGTGCAGTGGCACAATCTCGGCTCACAGCAACCTCTGCCTCCCAGGTTCAAGCAATTCTCCTGCCTCAGTCTCCCAAGTAGCCGGGACTACAGGCGCCCAAAACCACATTGTGGGGAAAAGAAAGAGAGATCAGACTGTTACTGTGTCTGTGTAGAAAGAAGTAGACATAGGAGACTCCACTCTGCTCCCCACTAAGAAAAATTCTTCTGCCCCGAGATGCTGCCAATCTGTAACCCTTCCCCCAACCCTGTGCTCCCCGAAACATGCGCTGTGTCAACTCAGGGCCAAATGGATCAAGGGCTGTGCAGGGTGTGCTTTGTTAAACAAATGCTTGAAGGCAGCATGCTTGTTAAGAGTCATCACCACTCCCCAATCTCAAACCACTCCCCAATCTCAAGTACCCAGAGACACAAAACACTGCAGAAGGCCGCAGGGACCTCTGCCCAGGAAAGCCAGGCACCGTCCAAGGTTTCTCCCCATGTGAGAGTCTGAAATATGGCCTTGTGGGAAGGGAAAGACCTGACCGTCCCCCAGCCCGACACCCGACACCCGTAAAAGGTCTGTGCTGAGGAGGATTAGTAAAAGAGGAAGGAACGCCTTTTTGCAGTTGAGATAAGAGGAAGGCTTCTGTCTCCTGCTCATCCCTGGGCAATGGAATGTCTGGGTGTAAAGCTGATTGTATATTCCATCTACTGAGATAGGAGAAAACCGCCTTAGGGCTGGAGGTGGGACATGCTGGCAGCAATACTGTTCCTTAAGGCAATGAGATGTTTATGTATATGCACATCAAAAGCACAGCACTTTTTTCTTTACCTTGTTTATGGTGCAGAGACATTTGTTCACGTGTTTACCTTCCGACCTCCCCACCATTATCCTATTATCCTGTCACGCCCGATAATGAGCAATAAATACTAAGGGAACGCAGCAGCCGGGGCTGGCGTGGATCCTCCATATGCTGAATGCCTGTCCCCTGGGCCCCTTTTTTTTTTTTTTTTTTTTTTTTTTTTTTTATTGATCATTCTTGGGTGTTTCTCGCAGAGGGGGATTTGGCAGGGTCATAGGACAATAGTGGAGGGAAGGTCAGCAGATAAACAAGTGAACAAAGGTCTCTGGTTTTCCTAGGCAGAGGACCCCGCGGCCCTCCGCAGTGTCTGTGTCCCTGGGTACTTAAGATTAGGGAGTGGTGATGACTCTCAACCAGCACGCTGCATCTGTTTAACAAAGCATCTGTTTAACAAAGCACATCCTGCACCGCCCCCAATCCACTTAACCCTGAGTGGACACAGCACATGCTTCAGAGAGCACAGGGTTGGGGATAAGGTCACAGATCAACAGGATCCCAAGGCAGAAGAATTTCTCTTAGTACAGAACAAAATGAAAAGTCTCCCATGTCCACTTCCATCCACACAGACCCGGCAACCATCCGATTTCTCAATTTTTTCCCCACCCTTCCCGCCTTTCTATTCCACAAAACCGCCATTGTCATCATGGCCCATCCCCAATGAGCCGCTGGGCACACCTCCCAGACGGGGTCGTGGCCGGGCAGAGGGGCTCCTCACTTCCCAGTAGGGGCGGCCGGGCAGAAGCGCCCCTCACCTCCCGGATGGGGCGGCTGGCCGGGCGGGGGGCTGACCCCCCCACTACCCTCCCGGACGGGGCGGCTGGCCAGGCAGAGGGGCTCCTCACTTCCCAGTAGGGGCGGCCGGGCAGAGGCGCCCCTCACCTCCTGGATAGGGCGGCTGGCCGGGCGGGGGGCTGTCCCCCCCACCTCCCTCCCGGACGGGGCGGCTGGCCGGGCAGAGGGGTCCTCACTTCCCAGTAGGGGCGGCCAGGCAGAGGCGCCCCTCACCTCCCGGACAGGGCGGCCGGCCGGAAGGGGGGCTGACCCCCCCACCTCCCTCCCGGACGGGGCGGCTGGCCGACCCCCCCCCCCCGCCTCTCTCCCGGACGGGGCGGCTGGCCGGGCAGAGGGGCTCCTCACTTCCCAGTAGGGGTGGCCGGGCAGAGGCGCCCCTCACCTCCCGGACGGGGCGGCTGGCCAGGCGGGGGGCTGACCCCCCCTCCCCCCTCCCGGACGGGGCGGCTGGCCGGGCGGGGGGCTGACCCCCCCACCTCCCTCCCGGACGGGGCGGCTGGCCGGGCAGAGGGGCTCCTCACTTCCCAGTAGGGGCGGCCGGGCAGAGGAGCCCCTCACCTCCCGGACGGGGTGGCTGCCGGGCGGAGACGCTCCTCACTTCCCAGACGGGGTGGTTGCCGGACGGAGGGGCTCCTCACTTCTCAGACGGGGCGGTTGCCAGGCAGAGGGTTTCCTCACTTCTCAGACGGAGCGGCGGGGCAGAGACGCTCCTCACCTCCCAGACAGGGTTGCGGCCCAGCAGAGGCGCTCCTCACATCCCAGACAGGGCGGTGGGGCAGAGGTGCTCCCCACATCTCAGACGATGGGCGGCCGGGCAGAGACGCTCCTCACTTCCTAGATGGGATGGCAGCCGGGAAGAGGCGCTCCTCGCTTCCTAGATGGGATGGCGGCCGGGCAGAGACGCTCCTCACTTTCCAGACTGGGCAGCCAGGCAGAGGGGCTCCTCATATCCCAGACGATGGGTGGCCAAGCAGAGACGCTCCTCACTTCCCAGACGGGGTGGCGGCCGGGCAGAGGCTGCACTCTCGGCTCTTTGGGAGGCCAAGGCAGGCGGCTGGGAGGTGGTTGTAGCGAGCCGAGATCACGCCGCTGCACTCCAGCCTGGACACCACTGAGCACTGAGTGAACGAGACTTCATCTGCAATCCCGGCACCTCGGGAGGCCGAGGCTGGCGGATCACTCGCGGTTAGGAGCTGGAGAGCAGCCCGGCCAACACAGCGAAACCCCGTCTCCACCAAAAAAAAACCGAAAACCAGTCAGGCGTGGCAGCGCGCGCCTGCAATCGCAGGCACTCGGCAGGCTGAGGCAGGAGAATCAGGCAGGGAGGTTGCAGTGAGCCGAGATGGCAGCAGTACCGTCCAGCTTTGGCTCGGCATCAGAGGGAGACGGAGAGGGAGAGGGAGAGGGAGAGGGAGAGGGAGAGGGAGAGGGAGAGGGAGAGGGAGAGGGAGAGGGAGAGGGAGAGGGAGAGGGAGAGGGAGAGGGAGAGGGAGAGGGAGAGGGAGAGGGAGAGGGAGAGGGAGAGGGAGAGGGAGAGGGAGAGGGAGAGGGAGAGGGAGAGGGAGAGGGAGAGGGAGAGGGAGAGGGAGAGGGAGAGGGAGAGGGAGAGGGAGAGGGAGAGGGAGAGGGAGAGGGAGAGGGAGAGGGAGAGGGAGAGGGAGAGGGAGAGGGAGAGGGAGAGGGAGAGGGAGAGGGAGAGGGAGAGGGAGAGGGACTATTTGCAATATTTTTCAAGTATATATGAGGAAGAGGCCAAGAGTGTTCCTTTTTTTCTAAATAACTAAAGTGCATAAATCTTTTATCACATATTAAAGTTCCACATATCTTAGGGTCTAATTCTGGTCACTCTTATCTTTCATTAACCTGTCTGTCTATTCTTATGCTAGGGATACTCTGTTTTGGGGGGGCGCGGTGGGGGTTTGAAATAGAGTCTCACTCTGTTGCTCAGGCTGGAGTGCGGCAGCACATTCTCAGCTCACTGCAGCCTCCACTTCCCAGGTTCAAGCAATTGTCCTGCCTCGGCCTCCTGAGTAGCTGGGACTACAGGCATGTCCACCAAGCCCGGCTAATTTTTGTGTTTTTAGTAGAGACAGGGTTTCACCATGTTGGCCAGGCTGGTCTCGAACTCCTGACTTCAAGTGATCCACCCACCTCGGCCTCCCTAAGTGCTGAAATTACAGGCTTGAGCCACCGCGCCTGAGCCAGGATACTCTGTTTTAACTGCTATGATTTTGTAATATGTTTTCAGTACCTAGCAAGGTTAGCTGCCTATCCCACCTAAATTACTGTTTTTAAAAATCTTATACAGTCTCACCTGTGTGCTCTTTCAAATGACCATCAAAAAAGAAAAACATTAACACCCCTGAAAATTCACCAGAAGCAAAATTAAGAAAAGGGTGTAATGACAAGTCACAGACTTCAAAACATGGCTATTGAGGAAGGAAACAAAAGATTCTGCCAGAGCATGGCAAGGCTTCTAATATCACTGTAGCCTCCCACCCACCAAGACTATACTAAAAAGAAGAGGATTGGACAAATTCCTGTGAGTTCTCCTCAACCTGGGGCAAAGAAGACTCAACAGGTAAGTAAGTATCCCAAGGAAAAGTCTAGAAAAAACCTGTCAGAGTACAGACTCCTGTCAGAGTACAAACTAGCATATCTCAAGATCTCTGTGGAAGAGCTGATGGTTCCTAGGGGTTACTAGGAACCTGTGGACCTAGAGGTATTCCACCATGGGAATAGGATGCATGGCCAACGAGATGGGTTAATTTGTGGTACCAAACATTTAACAGCATTTTAGAAGAGAGAGTAAAAGCCAGGTTACCCAACAAAGGCTGCACAATCCCCAGAGTCTGCTTCTATTCTCTCTTCCCTCCGTCTCAGAAAAGTGGAAAGAAAATGAGATTTCAGCTCTTGCTCTGTGGCTGGGAGGTGAGACATGCAAGTATCAGAGATGGCAGTCATGCTCACTGTATCAGAGCAAACAAAGTCTAGAAAGACCCACGTTCAACACAAGCAAGCTGGATCAGCCAGGTATACTACAGAAAAGCAACAAAAAAAAGAAATGAACAACATGCCAAGAACCCAGTCTGGGAAATATATATATATGTAATATATATATATATATATAAATATATTTGCTATACATACATTATCTATATTTGCTATATATATGTATATATATACCAAAATTTAGAAAAACCCACAAAACTCTCCATGAATTCCTGTTTTTGGAAGACTGTGATAAGAACATGAATAAAATAAAACAAGAGGAAGTTCAAAGATAAGAGGACAAATCAACGGAATTTCCCAGAACATTGTTAAAGTTAGAATGGTGAAAGCAAGCACCCTTGTTTTGTACCAATTTTAATGGGGATTTATTTAGTGTTTTGCTATTAATTATAATGTTGGATATTATTTACAATTTGTTATTCTTTATCATACCAGGGAAATAACATTCTATCTTTAAGTTATAGTTTTTTTTGTTTGTTTTGTTTTGTTTTGTTTTGAGATGGAGTCTCACTCTGTTGCCCAGGCTGGAGTACAATGGCACTATCTTGTCTCACGGCAACCTCCGCCTCCCAGGTTCCAGTGATTCTCCTGCCTCAGCCTCCTGAGTAGCTGGGATTACAGGCGCCAGCCACCATGCCCGGCTAGTTTTTGTGTTTTTAGTAGAGACGGGATTTCACCATGTTGCCCAGGCTGGTCTCAAACTCCTGATCTCAGGTAATCCATTGGCCTCGGCCTCCCAAAGTGCTGGGATTACAGGCATGAGCCACCGTGCCTGGCCTTAAGTTATAGAATTTTTTAGATAAAGAAAGGTTGAGCATTGACTTAAGCTATTTCAGCTGGCATGAACAAACTATTTTGGAAGGCCCTTATTTTCTAGCACCACACTACAAAGAACCTCAGTGCAGTCCTCAGAACTTGCCCACGTGAAAGATGAGTGAGACATTTCATCATATTTTCTTTAAACAACCGGACTTTCTGCCACATAACAAATTGAATGACTCATTTTACAAAGGCAAGTTCTTCCATTACCGGTATTTACAGGATTGCTAACATTAAGGCTACAGGTTGTATAACTCTATCCCCCAATGTCTTGAAACTATAAAGAAAAAAAGTCCAATGAAATTGGGGTTTATTTTTCATAACAGCATAGCTTTTGGTATCAGGCAGCTCTGGCTATGAATCTTTGCTCTACAATTTACTAGCTGCAGCTTTGAGCCAGTTAATTATCTTCTCTAAGCTTCAGTTTTCTTATCTAACAATGGGGTCAATGATATTTAATGTACAAGATGTTGTAAAGAGTAAATAAAATAATGTATTTCAAGCAGCTACTTCAAAATGATAATTATATTATTATTTCTATTTTTAAGATTATGATGTACCCAGTATAAAATAGACAATAAATATTTACTGAATAAATCAATGATCTTTGTAAAGAATTCAAAGATGAAATACAAAGTCTCTGTCCACAAGGGATTTCTAAGCTAGGAGGTTAATTGCTAATAAAATACATGTAAGTGAAGCTAGGGTTTTAGGTGTAATCTTATGGGTGCCTAATGACTTGACTCTATTATCCTGTTGCCAAGTTTTCTTCCTAACTGAGCCTGAGCTTGGTGCCTGGGCACAGTCACAGTTTAATTTCCAACCCTGTGTACTTTTTATTTTTATTTACTTGTTTTTTTGAGGCAGAGTCTTTCTCTGTTGCCCAGGCCGAAGTGCAGTGGCACTATCTTGGCTCACTGCAACTTCTGTCTCCCAGGTCAAGTGATTCTCCTGCCTCAGCCTCTCAAGTAGCTGGGATTACAGGTGCACGCCACCACAACCAGCTGATTTTTGTATTTTTAGTTTCACCATGTTGGTCAGGCAGGTCTCGAACTCCTGACCTCAAGTGATCTGCCCACCTTGGTCTCCCAAAGTGCTGGGATTACAGGCATGAGCCACTGCGCTCAGCCCCCTGTGTACTTTCTAGATGTACATAAAATAAATACAAGCTAACTCACATTAAAAGGAGAGATGGCATAAAAATACAGGAACTGGTGTCTTACGGCCCCCGTGGGTTGGGATATAGTTAAATCTCAGGAAGGACTGAACCAAAAAGTAGAAAGCATCCAAGATCTCTCTCTCTCTCTCTCTCTCTCTGACTTTCAATTCTGTTTCTCTCAAAGCCTCTACCTTTCTCACAGCTGGGCCTCTTCTTGTTCTACACTGCAGGGCAGAAGGACCCATGAGTCCTGAATCTGCATGTTTTACATCCATCCTAATTCGTATTCCTGGAGGAATCTGGTCGGCCCAGTATCTTAGCCCATTTTGTGCTGCTATAGCAGAATACCACAGACTGGGCAATTTATAAAGAACAGAAATTTGTTGGCTCACAGTTCTGAGGGTGAGAAAATCCAGTGGCTCAGACCTATAATCTCAGCACTTTGGGAAGCCAAGGCAGGAGGATTACTTGAGCCCAGAAGTTTGAGACCAGCCTGGGCAACATAGCAACACTCAAATCTCAAAAATAAAAATAAAAAATGTCTGCAGAAAATGTCCTAAATTTGCTGAAAGACCTATATTTATAGATTCAAGAAGTTTAATGAACCCTAAAATGGGTGAAAGTTGAAAACACCCAGACACATCATAATCAAACTATTGAAAATCAGAGGTAAAGAAAGCATCTTGAAAGCAGCTGGAAGAAAAAATTATAAATTACACATAAGGGAAAACTATGACTGCAGGTTTCTCATCTGAAACCATAGAGCCTTTGAGATAAAGAGAAAAAAAAATATATATATATATACACACACACCATGGGTCCCAGAAGACAGAAACATCTTTAATGCACTGAAAAAAATAAACTAAATAAAATAAAATGCTAGAAGAAAGAACTGTCAACTGAGAATTCTATATCCAGTAAAAATATATTTCAGGAATGTAGAAAAGATGAAGGCATTCTCAGATGAAGAAAAACTAAGAGAATTCATCATCAACAGACTTGCTTTAAAATAAATGCTCAATAAAGTTTTTCAGGTTGAGGAGAAATTACACCAGAGAGAAACACAGAACATTAGAAATTAATAAAGAACAAAGGAAATGATGAATATCTGAATATGTATTTTTCTCCTCTTAAATTCTTTAAAATATATATATGACTGACGAATGCAAAAATCATAACATTGCCTATAATGTTTCAGTGTATATAGATGTAATATATATGACAACTACAACATAAAAGAAAGTGGATAGAGGTACTAATATGATTATAAGCCTTCTACGGTTTACTGCAAGTGGCAAAATATTAACTTTATGCACACTGTGAAAAGTTAAGTACATTGTAATCCCTCAAGCAACCACTAAAAAATACCACAAAGAGATATAGGCAAATACCCAATAAATAAATTAAGATAAAATATTATGAAATATTTAAACAATCCAAAAGAATTCTGGAAAGAGAATAAAACAGAAGTGGTGAACAGCAAACAAATAAAACAGTCATCCATCTTAAATTCAACAATTTTATTAAATATAAATTGTCTAAACACCAATTAAAAGACAGATATTTTTAGACTGGATAAAAATTATACCCAACTACATGCAGTCTGTAAGAAACACATTTTAAATACAATAATATAGATATATTTAAAGTAACATGATGGAAAAAGATATACCACAAAAACACTAATCAAAAGAAAGTTGACCAGGTGTGATGGCTCATGCCTGTAATCCCAGCACTTTGGGAGGCCGAGGCGGGTGGATCACAAAGTCAGGAGTTTGAAACCAACCTGACGAATGTGGTGAAACCCCGTCTCTACGAAAAATACAAAAATTAGCTGGGCGCAGTGGCATGAGCCTGTAGTTCCAGCTACTTGGGAGGCTGAGGCAGGAGAATTGCTCATGGTAGAGGTAGCAGTGAGCCAAGATCACACCACTGAACTCCAGCCAGGGCCACAGAACGAGAGTCTGTCAAAAAAAGAGAGAGAGAGAGAGAGAGAAAGAAAAGGAGGAAGGAAGGAAGGAAAGAGAGAGAGAGAGAAAGAAAGGAAGGAAGAAAGAAAGGAAGGAAGAAAGAAAAGGAAGTTGAGTGCGTATGTTATTTTTAGACAAAGTAGACTTCAGAACACAGAAAATTATCACAGATAAAGAAGGACATTACATAATGATAAGAGAGTAAATGCACCAATAAGACATAATACTAAACATGTATATATCTAATAATAGAGCGCTAAAATATATGAAGCAAAAGCTGACAGAACTAAAGAGAATTGGACAAATCCACAATTGTACTTCAAAGCATCACAGGACCATTAATCCTGAAATCTTGACCTCAGTTTCTCTCAGGCCTCTTTTGGCCTCAGTTGACTCTCTCTGTGCCTCTGGTTCCACAAAGGAATAACCCTGCCCCAGAGAGTTTAGGGTAACTGTGAAAGCGTGTTCTGTAAGGAGCCCACCCCAACCAGATGTGAGACTGTGAGCATAGCCAGACTTTAGCTACTTGTTGAAATTTTAGAGAAAATCAATAGGAATTTTCCAGCTATGTCTCTCTGGGAAACTCATGAAAGCTCAAACACAGCATTAAGAGTTTGTTGTGGACAGGTATTATTTTGCATCTATCATCCACTCTCCTATTTCTGATAACAGTGTCCCAATTTTGCTTTAGGGAAAATACCTCTACATACCCCTAACTTAAGCTGCAATTAAGTCAATATGAATATTTCATCCTCCTGACTCAGTGATTGGTCAGAAACAGGCACACAACTCAGCCAGAGCAATGAGATGCAAGGTTACACTTGCTGGGGCATCTGGGAAAGAGAGCTTCCTCTCTCCTCTTTGGGCATCACCAGAAAACATGATGTCCATTTAGCCAGATGGTGTGGCTTGGGGATACGAGAGCTGGGCAGGCCACAGTCTTTTTGATATCGGGAGGGAAACCCTAGAACTATACTGTGTAGCACCTGAGGGTAAAGCCTACACTGCGGAAGGCAGAACAGAAGGACATACAGAAAAGGGTCTTGATTGTTTTGAGCTTTGGTTCAAACCTTATCTAAAGACAGAACAACTCTGGTAATTTCTATTATGCAAAGGAATAAATGTTTCCATTTTTCCTTTATTTTTCTTGCTTACAGTAGTTTGCATAATATTTTGGGTTTTCTGTTGTGAATGACATTCACAACACAGAGTTCTGACTAACACAAGGCTTACTCTCACCTCTTCATCCCTCTCTAAACCTCATATCTATCTTTCTCAAAAAATAACAACAAAAATGGAGGCGGGCAGATCACAAGGTCAGGAGTTCGAGACCAGCCTGGCCAATATGGTGAAACCCTGTCTTTACTAAAAATACAAAAATTAGCCTGGCATGGTGGTAGGCACCTGTGGTCCCAGCTACTCGGGAGGCTGAGGCAGAAGAATCGCTTGAACCTGGGAGGCAAAGGTTGCAGTAAGCCGAGATCATGCCACTGCACTCTAGCCTGGCAACAGAGGGAAACTCCATCTTAAAAACAACAACAACAACAAAAAGACAAAGCTTTATATGTGGAAAAAATAATACCTTAATGATTAGCAATACACATATAAGAGAGAATTGTTCAGAATTTAAAACTGTAAGCAAAAAGATAGTTTTTTAAATTTATATATTGATAGAGAATGCTATTTACTCTGTTTTTGCTAAAATCTTTGAAGAACATCACTGGAGTTATTGTCTCCTGAGAGAATGTTTACCACCATCAACTACCTCAACCTGTAATTCTTAAAGAACAATAATAAATTCAGGAGGCCCAGTCTTCCCTGACCCTGTTGGTACTCAAGGAGACAATGGCTTCAGAATTCCTCCATGGGTTTTGCATTTCAGGCTCAAGCTACCTTCTTGATGAAAAATTCTGGACGTGTTCTGAAAATCACAGTCATCCCTAACTTCAGTGGAAAAGATTCATATTGTCCAGCTGAACAAGGATTGATACTTAAAACCAGGGATTTCCTAAAATGAAAATGTTTCTGTGGATAAAACTGATTACATGCAGAGACTGGAATGGAGTTAATTCTGGGTAGATATGGGATTCAAGAGATTGGTCTTCATGAGGCATTTATCAAGGATCTGCAAGGGATTTAGAGGTGACGGAAGCACAGTCCTTCCTGGGCAGTTGCCTCTAGCCTGGTGGGAGGTGTTCCTCACACCCAGGACTCTCATCCATGGCAAAATAAAAAGTGAGATATCGACTGGGCATGGTGGCTCATGCCTGTAATCCCAGCACTTTGGGAGGTCGAGGCGGGTGGATCACCTAGGCCAGGAGTTCGAGACCAGCCTGGCCAACATGACGAAACCCCATTTCTACTAAAAATACAAAAATTAGCCATGTGTGGTGGAATGCACCTGAAGTCTCAGCTACTCGGGAGGCTGAGGCACAATAATTGCTTGGACCCAGGAGAAGGAGGCTGCAGTGAGCCGAGGTCGTGTCACTGTACTCCAGCCTGGGTGACAGAGTGAGACTCCATCTCAAAAAAAAAAAAAGTGGATATCACATCAGAGAAGCTCCTGGCCAGGTGGCCTTGAGGAACAGGGATGAGTTCGGCACTTAGAGATGGAGTTGGCTTTCCCCGTTGGAGGGAAAGGCATGAGAAGGGACATAGGTAAGAGGAAGTAGAGTAGTGCAGGGGCCATTGAGTAGTAGTCCTTCCAAGACAGGACGTCATCATAGAACCACTTTCTCTGAGGAAGCTCTGCTTGGGGGAGGTTTTAATTCATGAGGAAGGCAAATTCAATGGCTCTCAGGTGAGGTGGGAAACAGACACCTACCAACACTCCAAAGAGAACATGTACCTCTATAAAAGGGCACAGTCTAGTGAACAAAGTCCACAGCTCTGGGTTTGATTTCTAGCACTGTCACTTAATACTGTGTGACCTTAGACATTCACTTAACTCTCTCAGCCTCAGGATACAATCTGTAAAAACAGGAGAATGCTTGTTCCCTGTGCCTTATAGGATTGATATGAGCATCAGGAGAGACAGTGGGCACAAAATAGCACTGTCAACTACTTCTTTCTAGTCAGTTATCTGGTCATGTTTGTGAAGCTCCCCAGGACTGGGAACATAGCATATGATTTTTTTAAAGTTACTCGATGAATGAATGAATAAATGAATGAGTAAATGAATGAATAATATCTAAAGGCCTCCAACTAAATAATAATCAACTTCCTAACCGTACTGAAAGCCTTTAATTGACTTTGGGGCTGTTTGGCCTGGAGGAGGCTCTGAGTTAGTGGTGATCAGTTGGTGTCATGGTAGAGAAGAAAGCCTGTGAAGGTGGAGTCATTGTCATTATCAGCATAGAGTCCATTACGCTCTCCTTCCCCATACACCTGGAGCCAGACTTGGTCGCCCACCTCCAGATGCAGGAGCACAGAGCCGGAGGCCTGGTCCACATTATTTTCCTGGTACTGATCATAGGTGAAGAGCATAGCCTTGTCCTTCTTGAAGAGGCTGACCTTCACATCCTTCATATAGACTGTGATGTGGTAGGCAAAGTAGTACAGCCCAGGAATGTTGCAGTGGAATTTACCAGTGGAGCCATCATAGTGGTTTTGCTGATTGTAGAAGATCTTGGTAAAGCGAATGGGCATGTTGGGGATAGTAACGTAAGTCTCCAATCCCACACTGAATGCTGAGCGGTATACATAGGCACCTTCTCCAGGTTCTCCTTTCCTGCCTTGGATTCCCGGAAAGCCTCGGGGACCTTCAGCCCCGGGTACTCCGGTTTCACCGATGTCTCCCTTAGGACCAATAAGACCTAAGGAATGAGAAGACCTCAGTGACTACAAAGAACAGAACTCCTGCCTAGGTTGGTTACAGCCTAAATTACCATCCCTGTGGCTCCCACTCACAACCTTCTTGACTTATAGATCAAGAAACCAATAAGAGCTCCCAAAAGGAGAGAGGTGTTACCTCCTCCTTCTATATCTCCCACAGACATGGAGGCTCCCATAATTTCAACTCTATCTTTATCTCCTATAGGTCTCTATCATAGACCCTCCACCCTGCCAGCCCTTTATGTGCTGGCACCATCAACCCTGGTTTTGCAATTCTACCCCCTCCATCTAGGATGTCTCTCCTCCTCTATTCTGCCTACCCATCATTCAAGGCCTAGCTGAAGCTCTGCCTCCTCCTTGAAGCCTTCATTCTTCATCAGGTCCACGGTGAGTATATTTTCTCTATGCTCCATACTTTGAATACTTGTTCACATTCAGTTTGACATTTTTAGAGTAGACTTTCTTGTAGTAACCACCAACAGAGCCTTGCACATTAGACATCTTACCTAGATCAAGAGTTCCCCAAAGGCAGGACTGAGCCTTTCAGGGGGTGTGCAGTAAATGTGGTTGAATGCCACTGGGTGAAATGGAAGTTAAGCAGACAGAAAGAGGAATCAGAATATGAATGTACTGGGAATAGGGATGAGGGTGAAGATGGGAAAGGGGATGGAAAAGGAGCTGCAGATGCAGCAAAGCCAAAGTCTTGGTTATAGAGGCACCATCTACACTCATCCTTGGAAGACCAACCCCAAATCACTTCAGGTTGCTTATGGTTAACATAAAAAAGCTTTGCTTTCTCCCTGTGTCTAGGCCTTAGTTAATAATGAATGCCTTCATATAGTTTATATCAGTGTAGGAGGTCTGTGATGAAAGAGGCCAGAAACATTCTTACCTGGATCTCCTTTCTCACCCTTCTCACCAGGGGTGCCATCTCTGCCATCACGGCCTGGGGCCCCATTATGGCCCGGATGCCCTGGGATGCCCGCCATCCAACCTGTGCAGGCCCCCTTGGGCAGGGGAAGCAGGACTCCGGGCCCTTGAGTCGTGGTTTCCTGGTCATGACCGGGCAGAGCTAATAGCAGTAGAACAGCTCCCAGCAACAGCATCCTGAGCCCTGGAATCCACATGTGCACTGTCAGCCATGGAGAGACAGACCCCACACACACACCCAGTTGGGACCTACAAAGGACTCCGTCCATCTCAGCAGAGTCTACTTCTAGGAGCTGCTTTCTAAGTATTCAACTTTTCCAGGAAGACTTTTCTGAATATTGCAGCCCACCTTGATCTCTTTCTGCCCTGAAATCTGTAATACTTAGCATTATTCCCTGTGTGTAGTCTCCTTTCCTCACCAAGATTATGAATTCAGTGATTGCACAGATGACACTCCTCTAATTTTCCCATGTCTGAGCACAGGACCAAGCACAGGGAAAGCTCCAAGAGTCGACTTGCCAAGAATCCATCCTTGGGTTTCCCAAGTACGATGACACAGATTGCTCCATTCAATGCTAACCAGCTTCTCTCCTCTGGCTCCTTTCTTCTTTTTCTTTCCCCCCTTCTCTCTCATTTTCTGTGTCTATTCCTCCTTCTTACTCTCTCATTCTCTTTCTTCCTCTACCCCTCTCCTGGGGCACATGTTTGACTATTGGGTATATTACATTTGCACACATGCACACACACAAACACACACAGAGAAAAAGAGAGAGAGAGGGAGGGAGAGACTCACCTTGTGTTAAGCAGACAACGAGAGACACATCATCCCATGAACATATCCCCTGGCCCTTTGTTTGCCTGAGCCATCTTTAGCTGCCCCTCCTCCCCTGTCTAATCTCTATTCAGCTTTCAGGACCCAGTTTGGATGTCATCTGTTTCAAGAAGTCCTCCTTGTTCTCCATCTCACTCCTTGGCTGGTTCTTTCCCCTCTGTGTTTCTCCAGTGCCCTGGTAATATGGTTTGGGTCTGTGTCCCCACCCAAATAGCACGTCGACATGTGTTGGAGAAGGGGCCTGGTAGGAGGTGACTGAATCATGGAGGCAGACTTATCCCTTGCTGTTCTCATGATAGTAGGTGAATTCTCACAAGATCTGGTTGAAAGTGTGTAGCACTTCCCCTATATTCTCTCTCTCTCTCTTTCTCTCTCTCTCTCCTGCTGCTGTGTGATGTGCTTGCTTCCCCTTCGCTCTTTCTTCCACCATGATTGTAAGTTTTCTGAGGCCTCCCCAGCCATGCTTCCTGTACAGCCTGTGGAACTGTGAGTCAATTAAACCTCTTTTCTTTATAAATTACCCAGTCTCAAGTAGTTTTTTACAGCAGTGTGAGAATGGATTTATACACCTGGCTTAGCTCTATCATTGCACTCTGCTGTAATTTCTGTTTTGCTCACCCATTTCTCCATTAAACAGCAAGTACCAGGGGACAAAGACTAACACACTAATAGCAGAGTAGGGACTAAATAAGCACTTTTATAATGAGGAAAAGAAATCATGAGAGAGCCAGAGAAAGGAAGGGAAGGAGGAAGGAAAAGAAGAAAGGAAGATAAAAAGGAAGAGTGGAAGAGGGAAGGAAGGAGGGAGGGGGAATGTATTTGAAATATGTATTCTGGAGCCCTAGCAAAGAGCTCAAGTGGCACAGGTAGTCAAAAGCCTCCCTGTCTCAAAATCATTCTTTGATATCCCCCTCCCAGAAAAGGGCCCAATACAGGTATAGGGACTTTTATCCCCTCTCAGATTCTGCCTCCGATCTTAGGGGGATCTTAGGCCTCCACCTCAGATTGCTGAGGTCTTAGTCTTCCCACTCTCACCAAGGAGTTGGGAGAAAGCATCTCACAGAGAGAAATAGGTCCTAGGATCCTGGATTAGAGGCATCACTAAGACCCTCTGTGGGTTAATGTGGTTAATCCCAAGAATCTGATTCTAAACAAAGTGTAGTCCATGTACTTTATTTTACCTTAAAAATTCACTATTTTTCATCAGTTTGCTTGTCTCTTCTAGATTATATGAAGTCTCCAGAATTAGGTTTGTCTTCAGGACAACTGAAGGTTTGTTGAAGACAAACCTACTCCTCTGTGAGGGATGGAAGAAAGACCGTGATTGGCAATCTCACCCCAAAAACATGGGCCTGGTATCTGGAATCCCACTCCTATGCCCCATTACCTGGGGTTCTATACTACCCTCTTCACGTGGCACATCCAACTCATCTTTCATCTTTATCATATATATGAGATAAATTTTGTATATACATATAAACTATATGTATATATTACATATATAGTTCATTAAAAATAATAGTTATATAGTTCTTTGGACATGACAGAAAAGAAAACAATACTCAACTCCAAGAATGTCTCTGTTTATTTTTAAACATAGTGGAATCATACTTTATGTAAAACTTTATTCCTTTATTTTGTCTTTGGCATTTTCTAGTTTTTATAATGACTATTTTTAACGTCTCAGAGTGAGTGCTAGTCTAGTAAGTGGATATAATCAATATATATTTGACCATTTATATTTCATCAAACTTTTAGCATATTTTCATTTTAAAATATTATTTTATATTCTGTAAGAAATTATACTTTGATTTTTAAATAATATTTTAAATATCCTTAGGCATGTAGCTTTCCCCAAGATTATTATTCTGTTATGACAGATTCCCAGAAGTAAATTACTGGACCAAAAGGTATGCACATTTTTAAGTCTCCTGATACATATCCCCACATGGCAGCATATGTTATACTGCCAACCAGTAGTACATCATTAGTGTGTGTATAAAAGGGCATACCTTAACTACCCTCATCAGCTTTGGGTATTATAAAAAACATTTGTGTGTTGTCAGTTTAGTGAGCAAAGGAAATAATGGTACCTCACTGCTCTAGTTTGCTTTTTTTTTTTTTTTTTTTTGAGAGAGAGGATTTCACACTGTCACCCAGGCTGTAGTGCAGTGGCACAATCTCGGCTCACTACAGCCTCCACCTCCCAGGTTCAAGCGATTCTCATGCCTTAGCCTCCCAAGTAGCTGAGATTACAGGCATGCACCACCACACGCAGCTAATTTTTGCATTTTTTAGTAGAGACGGGGTTTCACCATGTTGGCCAGGCTAGTCTCAAACTCCTGACCTCAGGTGATCCGCCCGCCTTGGGCTCCCAAAGTCCTGGGATTAAAAGCATGAGCCACCACGCCCAGTCCTTGCCTCTAAGTGTTAAACAGTTCTTATTCATGCTAAGATTTAGTAAGTATTCAATTTTCTTCTGTTTTTTTCTATTGTTTGATATAGTTAAAATTTCACTTTTTAATGTAGCTCTGATTTTTTGTTTTGATGTAAGCTGTGACCTAAGGTACTCAAATGATTTCTCCCCACTTGAAGACTAGCTGTTACAACACCTTTAATTGCATTAATTTTTTCTCTCACTATAGATCTGATGCATCATTTATCAAATATCAGGTTCTAATATGATCTTATAAGTAAAGTAACCATTGATAATGAAATGGCAGACAGAGAGAAGAGAGACAGAAACAGCAACAGAAACAGGTGCAATCAGACTCAGGTGCTGCCCCTTTAGGTGTCATGAGTCTTTATTTAAGACCCACTACCATCATTTATATGTACATTTGTCGCCCTCTACTGAATTTGAAGAATTCAGGAGAGTGTTCTCAATAGCTTCTGGAAATAAAATGAGAAACAGCTTAGGTTTGACTAGTCTCAAGATAAGAAAAAAGAGGTGAGCTACATGAGAAGCCAAGGGGAGACCAGCAAAGCCCCTTTTGCATTTTAGGAGAATTCTTGTTCTGAGACTTTACAGATTTCATGCATCTTTAAACTTCCTCACTGCTTGTCACCTCCACCCTTTCTTATTATGGCTTTGGCAATAAAACTCCTGAGAAGAACTTTGAGCTCCATGCATGTTTTTCTCCAGAAATGGGAAGAATCTGTGAGGCTCCATCCTTTTCTGCTGGGAAACAGGAGGAGAGAATCCAGAATATGTGAAAGCCCCAGAGATAAAGGGTGACGGGGGGCTTACCCCAAACCTTGGAGAGAGGGCAAACTCAGGGGTCTCTGGAGTTTTCTGGCTCCTCCCCCTTTGTCAAAAATAAAGATCTCTTTCTCCTACCCTAAGGGAACACTGTTTGTCCCCAAACTTCAGTATTATGGACAGATTTCTCCACTAATAGGTGCGATCAGCCTGGGTTCCATGACAGTGGCACGGGGTAGAGGTGCCAAAAATACAAGAGTGTGATTAGCACAGGAGCCTCAGAAGTTTCCAAGACCAAGAACGGACTCTGATTGTAAAAGAAAGTTGCATTCCAACTTAATTCTGGGTGGGAAACCAGCAATTAATAACAATTGAAGGTCAGTGCAAACGTGCCTAATTTTCAAAAAAATTTTCAAAATTATTTGTGTTCTTTTTTATTTTACTTATTTATTTATCTGGAGATGGAGTCTTGCTCTGTCGCTAGCATCTTGCGCTCTCCAAGTCTCAGGAGACACATTAGAGTCAAAAGCAGGGCTTTGGGAAGATTAGGTAAAATAAGTTTTGAAAATGCCACATGAAAATGATACTCCAAGGAACCCTCACCCATGTCAGCGTTCTCATGTTCCTCATCTCACATAATCCCGTTTAGCGGATTAGGAAGCTGAGTCTGAGAAGCTCCGTGTCATGCTTTCGGAGGCACCGTGATGCGATGGAAAGCTCACCGATTTGGAAGTCAGAACAGAGTCTCTCAGGGATCGTTTCCTTAATCTCTCAGTTTCCTCATCTCTAAAGTGGGGGTCATATATATAAAACGACAAACATATAAAAATACCTATTTTTTTAGATATTGCCATTGTTACACTTTGCTTGTTACCCTTCCTTCCTTCCTTCCTTCTTTCCTTCCTTCCTTCTTTCCTTCCTTCCTTCTTTCCTTCCTTCCTTCCTTCCTTCTTTCCTTCCTTCCTTCCTTCTTTCCTTCCTTCCTTCCTTCCTTCCTTCTTTTCTCTCTCTCTTTTTTTTTTGTTTCTGAAGTGGAGTCTCGCTTTGTGGCCCAGGCTGGAGTGCAATGGCACCATCTTGGCTCACTGCAACCTCCGCCTCCTGGGTTCAACTGATGCTCCTGCCTCACCCTCCCAAGTAGCTGGGATCACAGGAATCCACGACCACACCTGGCTAATTTTTTGTATTTTTAGTAGAGATGGGATTTCACCATGTTGGCCGGGCTGGTCTCAAACTCCTGACCTCAAGTGATCCGCCCGCCTCGGCCTCCCAAAGTGCTGGGATTACAGGCATGAGCCACTGCGCCCGGCCTGTTACACTGTATTTCTATCAGAAAAAAATTATTACTAAGTAATAGTGAGTACTATGATCTAAAACTCAATTATGCCTAAAAAGAAAACTTTTACAAGGATCAACAAGCTAAATCTCAAGTGTCACAATTCTTTGCCTTTGTAAAATGCTATTTGTTGTGTCCCTGTGGGCTTAGCATGGCACTAAAAGTTCCTAAGTCTCAACTCTGGTTATGTGTCATTTAGTGACTCAGGAATCTGCTTAATTGTTTTTGGTCACAAAGCTTTTGGCAACGAAGGAGTGATGAAGCTAAGCGCACCCTTGAAGTGTCATAAAAAAAAATGAGGTAGTATGATCAGCTGTACAGTTAGAGCAATAAAAAGTCCAGGCAGACCTTCTGATTCACCATAATCAATTTAAGATTTCTTAATGTTTCTTTCCTGGCAGCATACAAAAAGGCAAAATTAATAAATAACATAGTTGTTGTATAACAAATTTTGTTACTTTTTATAAAACAAAGGGATCTATTTTATCTGTATTAAAATTAAAAATTTTGTGGACTTTAAAAAATTTTTAAAATGCTATTTATAAAACCCTTTTCTCACCTAGTGTCTCATTCGATTCTCACAATCATTTTGAGAGACAGGATAGGGTAGAATAGGGAGCACGGGCTCTACGGTCTTGGTGCTTAGGCACAAATCATTTGTTCTGACCTGTAATGCGTTTCAGTGTTCTGTTTGTTGGAAGATCAAATGGTGTAGTCTGTGTAAAATGCTTAGAATGGTGTCTGGCACATGTCAGTGCTCAGTAAATGTTAGTGATGAGTGTATGCATTTTAGAGATGAGGAAAGGGGACTTCAGAAAGGTTAAGTGGCTTTCCAAGATCCCAGAGCTACACAGAGAGGAGTCGGAAATTAAACTCTGATCTTCAGAACCCAATAACAGACTCTTAGACATAGTCCAGGAGGAGAAAAGTATCGTGGTCACACATCCTGCCTTTCAATATGCCACCCCATGGGGTGAGGGATACAAGAAAAAAGTAGCATAAAAAGACTTCCACTGTAATCCCAGCACTGGCTTTCCTGGCAAACCTCGCACAGGCATGGATTCATCTGCTTTTAAAATTATACCAGGGGATGACCGTGATGTTCTCAGGATCCTAAAGGGCCATACTGTGATCATTTATCTTCATGTTAAAGTGTATGAGAAATTTCACTTTGACCTACTGGAATTTCAGTTGCAACAGCAGAATCCTGTGAAATGCAAGGACAGGGTCCCCTCTGGGACTGGCAGGAGGCAGAGCCGTGTGGGGGAAAGAGATCACCAAACCTGGTGCCAACTCTTCCAGCAGAAAAGGGCATTAAAGCACACAAAATTGGCCAGGCACGGTAGCTCACACCTGTCATCTCAGCACTTTGGGAGGCTGAGATGGGTGGGTCACATGAAGTCAGGAGTTCAAGACCAGCCTGGCCAATATGGCAAAACCCCGTCTCTACTGAAAATACAAAAAAATTAGCTGGGGGTGGTGGTGCCTGCCTGTAATCCCAGGTACTCAGGAGGCTGAGACATAAGAATTGCTTGAGCCTGGGAGGCGGAATTTGCATTGAGCTGCACTCCAACCTGGGTGACAGAGCAAGACTCTGTCTCAAAAAAAAAAAAGTATACAAAATCCTCAAATGTCAGAGCCAAAAGGAGCCCCAGAAATCACCTCACCCCTGCCTTGCTTTTACAAATGGGAAGGCTGAGGGGAAGGAGTAGGAATGCACTTATTAGAACCTTATAGAAGCCAGTTCCCATGCTAGATTTTACACGTTATTTATCTTCATCTTTACAATAACTCCATGAAGGAAGGAAATGAGCCCAACTTCAGAGATGAGGAAACTGACAGATTAAGGAGATGATCCCTCAGAGACTCTGTTCTGACTTCCTAACGAGTGAGCCTTCCATCACATCACGGTGCCTCCGAAAAAGCACTACACGGAGCTTCTCAGACTCAGCTTCCTAATCCGCGAAATGTGATCATGTGAGATGAGGAACATGAGAACACTGACACTGGCGCGAGTTCTTTGGAGTGTAATTTTCATAAGGCATTTTCAAAATTTATTTTACTTAATCTTCCCATAGCCCTGCTTTTGACTCTAACGTGTAGGAGAACCTGAGACTTGGAGAGGGAACGATGCTAGCTAATTCAACCACTGGATTGAATTATATCAAACTCCCATTTTTAAAAGTCAAAATGGGCCGGGCGCAGTGGCTCATGCCTGTAATCCCAGCACTTTGGGAGGCTGAGGTGGGTGGATTACCTGATGTCAGGAGTTTCAGACCAGCCTGGACAACATGGTGAAATCCCGTCTCTACCAAAAATACAAAAATTAGTCAGGCGTGGTAGCGGGCACCTGTAATTCCAGCTACTTGGGAGGCTGAGGCAGGAGAATCACTTGAATCCATGAGGCAGAGGTTGCAGTGAGCTGAGATCGCGCCACTGCACTCCAGCCTAGGTGACAAGTGTGAAACTCTGTCTCAAAAAAAATAAAAATAAAAATAAATAAAAGTCAAAGTGTAGAATATTGGCAGTTTCACACGGTGCAACCCAATAATAAATGGCATAACCAGGAATCAACTCAGCTTTGCCTAGCTCCCAGGAGCTTTGCCCGAAAGCCTTCACTCAGCCCTGGGAGAGCTGTCAATATCTCCATGCCCAACACACACACATACCCGCACCCATACACACACCTCCACCTATGCACGCGCACACCCACACACCACATCCACACATCCACATACGTACGCACCACCCCCCCCCACACATACACACCCATCCAAATGAGTGTGCGCGCGCGCACACACACACTCACACACATACATACTGTCAAGGAACTAATAAAACAGAGCATCCCACGCACCACCACATTTTTAGGATAAGTCTCTCTCCACATGATTGAATTTCTGATTGAAATTCCTGATTGAAAGTATCTCTCCAAAAGACATCACCTCTTGACTTTAGCCGTATGTCTGGGACCACCGGTCCACTGGCTTGACAAGGAGTAGGTGGAAAGTTTGTCCCTACAGCCACCTTAAAAAGAGCAAGCATATAATCCCAGCCTTTTGGGAGGCTGAGGTGGGAGGACTGCTGAGCCCAGGAGTTTGAGGCCCCCCAGCCAATATAGTGAGACCTCATCTCTACAAAAAATTTTTAAAAATTAGCCAGGCATGGTTGCACACACCTGTAGTCCCAGCTACTCAGGAGGCTAAGATGGGAGGGTCACTTGAGCCTGGGAAATCGAGGCTGCAGTGAGCTGTGATTGCACCACTGCACTCCAGCCTGGGTGATAGAGTGAGACCCTGTCCCCAAAAAAGACAAGGAGCCAGTCTTGTGTCTATTTTTTTTTTTTTTTTTTTGAGATGGAGTTTTGCTTTTTTTGCCCAGGCTGGAGTGCAATGCTGTGATCTCAGCTTAAGACTCCTCGGCCAGGCGCAGTGGCTCACACCTGTAATACCAGCACTTTGGGAGGCCGAGGCAGGTGGAATATGAGGTCAAGAGATCGAGACCATCCTGGCCAATATGGTGAACCCCATCTCTACTAAAAATATAAAAATTAGCTGGGCGTGGTGGCGCATGCCTGTAGTCTCAGCTACTTGGGAGACTGAGGCAGGAGAATCGCTTGAACCTGGGAGGCGGAGGTTGCAGTGAGCTGAGATTGTGCCAAAAAAAGACTCCTCAAGACTTAAGGAAGAGTGGCAGCAGGGACTGCTGAGGAAGCTGCCGGGCTCCCTGTGTACCACTGGCCTTCATGAACAAAGCTGACACCATCATGCTCCTTCGGACATATTCTGCTAGCATAAAGGGACCCCCATCTCCCCAACCGAATTAGGCAGAGCTGGCCTTCCTTCTAGCGGAGTTCCTAGGAGTGAGTTGGTGCCACCCCTTGTGAGGCTTGATCCAAAAACCAGAACCTCTCCAGACCAGGGATCCATGTCCTCTAACACAAGAGGGGCAGACCTAACCTCTAAAATCCCTCCCACTCTAACCTTCAGCATCCACAGCTCAAAACAACCAGGATGCCTCAGAAACAGCACTCACTGGGGCGAGCAGGATTAGGCTTCAGAAAAACCAGGTAGATCCAGTTTCTTCTGTCAGAAAATGTTTTTTTTTAATTACAATTTTTCATAAGTTGCCACTATATGCCAGGCTTTTCTCATTTTATCTCATTAGAGCCTCTTTTTCTTTTCTTTCTTTTTTTTTTTTTTTTGACACAAAGTCTCGCTCTGTCACCCAGGCTGGAATGCAGTGGCAACAATCTCGGCTCACTGCAACCTCTGCCTCCCAGGTTCAGACAATTCTCCTGCCTCAGCCTCCCGAGAAGCTGGGATTACAGGCACCTGCCATCACGCCCAACTAATTTTTGTATTTTTGGTAGAGGCGGGGTTTCACCATGTTGGTCAGGCTAGTCTGGAACTCCTGACCTCAGGTGATCCACCCGCCTCGGTCTCCCAAATTGCTGGGATTACAGGTGTGAGCCACCATGGCTGGCCTCATTAGAACCTCTTGATTACCTTGTAAGATATCCCTATACCTACATATATCCCCAAATCCATAGACAACAACCATGTCACACTCATTGTATCTTGTGAACCCAATCCACTGTCTAGCCCATAGAATTTGCTCAGTAAATATTTGCTGAGTAGAATAAAGTGGCAGAGCTGGATTCCTAATTCCAGTCTGAAGTCAGTGCTCAGCTTGACTTTTCTGAAGCTGCCTTCATATATGCTTCTTCCTTTGCCCTACCTGGTCAAGCTAAGAGGCAATGTATTCCCTTATCCCCCTTAATCGAATTGGACTTCATCTGTGGACAGACCCTTCCACCTTACTGACCCTAACTTTTTCTCAATAGGTATCCTGCTACAGAGCGAACTGGGCAAAATTCAGAATGGTTCCATGCATCTTAGAAGGAATGTCTGAAATAACCCTTTCTCTCTTGGGGCTGTGGGAGAACGGAGGAAGAAGCCCAGTGCATATCTGCCTCCACCAGTGCTGCTCTGACCAGAGTATCCACCTGTATCCACTCCCACACTACTACGGACGGGAGAGCCTGGGTGATCCCAGCCAGAGGCTATGCATGCATCCCCCACCCAGCCTGGAACTTCACAGAATTGCTCTTACCCTCTGGTATGGAATCAGAACCACAGACTGCAGTCAGAATGGAAGTGAGGAGGAGATGGCCCAGCCTCAACAGCCTGGTACTCACGGGGGCAGGCAGTCCCCACCTCACAATTGTCATTTCCCATTGGCCAACTCAGTGAGGGCCAGAGGCCGGTGGGCAGGCACATGTCCCTGGCAGTTGCCCACAGCCTGCACCCTAGGGAACCTGGTACAACCCAGCTTGGGCTTCGGAAGCCAAGTGGAGCTTCAGTCAAAGCACTTGTGTTTCCAGGCCTTGACCCTTATTTTGCCTCCTACAACAGCAACAGAAGATGGGGCAAAAGTCAAAACCACAGCAGGAAAACAAGATTTTTTTCCTGCATCTGACGGAGAAACTTCCTAATGTAAATGAATTAATTGCTCAGTGGTCCAGGAGGTCTCCCCCTCCCATAGATTTGCCCTAATAAGTCAGGGACGCCAATTATCACACCACAGTCTTGCTCACTGTGCATGATTAAGTCTGAGACTGTGTACGTTCAGACAGTGAGTGCTTCAGAAGGGAGCACTGTCAGAGGGGTCTGCAATCAGGTAAGAAATAGAGCACATCCTCCACTCTCTGACCTGGACCCTGGATTTAGGAAAGACCTTGCACATGAATTCTGAGAACTGGGGTGTGGGGAAGTTCCTGGAGTGGTGTGGGGCTTGGCAAGTTAAAAAGGCCCTGAATTCTTAAAGCTTGTGGCCTCGAATCGTAATTTGAATCTAATATAATAGAAAACTTACATAAAATGTGATATTGGAATACCATCTTTCAAGATTTTTTGGTTCCAAAATTTCGGATAACATTTTGACAGCTACCTTGGTATGTGTGTGTGTGTGTTTGTGAGAGAGAGAGAGCCTGTTTTTCCAGTTCCTTAAGCATATATATGCCTATTCTGTCTCTTGTGGAACCCAGCTCTGGCCTAGAAGCAGCCTGGAGAACTGGAAGCTGCCACCCACTTAGGTGTTCCTAGAAAGTTTAGGCTTGAAGTGGCAACATTCAACACCTTGGACTTTCTTGGCACGCTCATGTTTTGTTTTTGAAGGGCAGGATCTGAGCCGGTTCTTGCAAGCCACACATTCTGATGAATTAAATTACGACCCCAGCAAGGGCTTAGGATGCCAGCACCAACTTCAACAAGACATCCAAAACAGAATTTTCTCAGACAGAGGCAGGGCAAGTGTCTGCCTGCCCCCCAGATATCATCTCCACAGTCCACACAGAGCCTAAAAATCTACCAGTAAAGTCAAGTCCACCATTAAAGTAAAGATCTGATGTAAAGCCTCAGCTTCCTGCTAATGTCCAAATATTTCAAGAGAAGTCACATTAGGCCGTTGAGATGAGAGACATGAGAGACTTTCCAAGGTCCCCCGGCTTAAATAAGTGGCCCATGAAAATGAGGTTCCATATAGTTTAGCAGGCTGATTGAACCAAGAAGACAACAAAAAGAAATAGAAGCAACTCTCAATTATATCACTGTTTGATTTTTGTTATGGTGTTTTCCTATTTATTTTTGGTTTATGTTACTGTCTGTTGCTATTTAATAGAACATAAACTTCAGGTCAGGTGCAGTGGCTCAGGCCTGTAATCCCAGTACTTTGGAAGGCCAAGACAGGCATATCACCTGAGATCAGGAGTTTGAGACCAGTCTGGCCAACATGGTGAAACCCCATCTCTACTAAAAATGCAGAAATAGCCGGGCGTGGTGGCACATACCTGTAGTCCCAGCTACTTGGGAGGCTGAGACAAGAGAATCACTTGAACCCAGGAGGTGGAGGTTGCAGTGAGCCAAGAGCACCATTGCGCTCTAGCCTGGGTGACAAGAGTGAAACTCTGTCTCAAAAAAAAAAAAAAAAGTAAACTTCAGGAGAGCAGAGATTTTGCCTATTCAAAGTTGTATCCCTTAGTTCCTAGAATAGAACCTGGCACAAAGTAGGCAATAATAAATGTTGAATTAATGAATAAATGAATGATCATATTCAACTTTCCTTTGGAGATAACTATTATTGTCTTTCATTTTACAAATAATGAATCTAGAGTTCAATGAGGGTAAATAATTTGTTCAAGGCACAAGTCTAGGATTTGAACCAGATCTGTCTAACTAAAAATCCCTATGCTTTCTAATTCCTCATGCCCTTCACCCCTCTTGATGGAGTGTGAGGCCTCAAGGTTGATGTATGTGCTTCAGGGTAGTTTCAGGGCTGGCATAAAAAGTATTTTCTTTGGCCGGGCACAGTAGCTCATGCCTGTAATCCCAGCATTTTGGGAGGCTGAGGCGGGCAGATCACTTGAGGTCAGGAGTCTGAGACCAGCCTGACGAAGATGGTGAAACCCCGTCTCCACTAAAAATACAAAAAAGTTAGCCGGGCGTGGTGGCAGGCACCTGCAATCCCAGCTACTCGGGGGTCTGAGGGAGGAGAATCGTTTGAACCCAGGAGGCGGAGGTTGCAGCGAGCCGAGATCGCACCATTGCACTCCAGCCTGGGCAACAGAGCGAGAATCCATCTCAAAAAAAAAAAAGTATTTTCTTCTAACTTTATAAGAATGCAGCTGGTTAGAGAAAGCTGTAGCTATTGCACAAGGTGGAATAACTTTAGCCCCACAATCACACCAAGACTGTGCTGGGCCTGGCTGTCAGTCAGTGACATTGTGAAAGCCTAGCATTTTGCGAGGCCTCAGGGCAATCTGCCACCCACCACAAAGGCCGTCATGTGGAAAGAGCCAGTTCTGTGGCATACTGGTTTAAAGACTGTAATTGAAAAACATTCAATCAGAAATGCCTTGAGGCTAGTCTTTTTCCCAGGACAGAACTATTACTACTTAGACCGAAATAACCAAATAAATGCGATCATTTCCTCCAGGGTACCGTAGCTACAGGTCAAGCCCCTGTTAGCATGTGAGTTGGGATACTGAAACAGGCCAAATCACTTAATTTATCTTAAATATGTTTAAGCATGGCCATATATTTTTGCTTAATTATGATTTTTAAAAATAATCTTAACTGAAGTAACCAAGCATAAGCACTGTATTTTGAAAAATAAAGATTGGAGCAAGATGGTAGAGTGAGCACGCCCTGCAGCAATGTACGCCATCCCCAAACCCCTAGAAATGGCAAGAAAGGAGAACATTTCTTTATCTTTTTTTCTTTTTTTTTTTTTTTGAGATGGAGTTTCACTCTTGTTGCCCAGGCTGGAGTACTATGGCATGATCTCAGTTCACCGCAACCTCTGCCTCTCAGGTTCAAGCGATTATCCTGCCTTAGCCTCCCGAGTAGCTGGGATTATGGGCATGTGCCACCACGCCCCGCTAATTTTGTATTTTTAGTAGAGACAGGGTTTCCCCATGTTGGTCAGGCTGGTCTCGAACTCCCGACCTCAGGTGATCCACCCCCTCGGCCTCCCAAAGTGCTGGAATGACAGGCGTGAGCCACCGCGCCTGGCCAGGAGAACATTTCTTTATCTCTTCTGAAGGTATGGCTACGGCTGTACTTCTGAAGTATCTCAGATGATAATTTAAGTATCTGGTTTGCTACTGCATGATTTGGACTGTCACCTCCTGCCACCGACCAGAAGGCCATCATGATTCAAGCGCAGTCAATGCAGGTAGGCAACCCTGAATTCATACTTTTTAAAGCCTGTGTCCTTGGACTACCCCCAATACTAAAAAATTGTACTAGTCAAGGTACAATAATTTTAGAAAGGCTGGAGAAGCAAAGGGAGATGATATTGCCTAAAGACCAGGAATCGGTGACTGCTCCTGGACCATAGCCTATGAGCCTGCGCTTACTGCATGTCTTGCTAGCTGCTCCACCATTGCCACTGAACAGGAGCCACTGTCACCGCCACTGCCAAGGGCGCTCACTGAAACACAACAGCTCCTCCCTTCTTCCCCACTTCAGTCTTTTCACGGTTGTCTCCCATGTGCACAAGCTAACTGGTACCCATCTGGCAAAGGAATGTAGGATGTGTCATTTCAGGCATCAAGCTCCAGGAATACAAAAGGGATTATGGAGAGGTGAATGGAGGGCTAAGTACTAACAGACATGATCTGGCATAGGTCACAATGTCAAAAAAGAAAAAGTGACACCCAAGGTAACAAAGCTAATAGAAAAAAGGGTGAAGCTTAAGAATAACTATAATTATTATATCAGAAAGATGTCATAGGAATGAGCATACATGAAAATAATTAACGTCTAGTCTGCCCACAGTAGGAAGTGAAAATAAATTTCTGTCTTTTTGTCACTAAGTTCATGGTGATTTGCTATGGCAATCTTAGGAAACCAATACAAGGATCTAGGGCCAGTGAAGAGTTCTTACATATGACAACAAAAGCACAATCCACTAAAGAAAAAAATGAAAAGTGAGATTTCAACAAAACTAAAACTTTTGCTCTGTGAAACATCCTGTTAAGAGGAGGAAAAGGCAATATATGAATTAGAGGAATGTATTTGCAAACCATATTTGAGACAAGAGATTTGGATCTAGATTGTATAAAGAAATCTCAAAACTAAATGGTAAAAAAAAATTCAATTAGAAAATGGACAAAGGACATGAACAATTATTTCACCAAGTAGGAAACACAAATGACAAACAAGCACATGCAAAGATGTTCAGCATTATTAACCATTACGGAAACGCAAATTAAAATCACCATGAGATATCACTACATGCCTACTAGAATGGCTAAAATTAAAAACAGGAATACTATAATGGTACATACATGTAGATGCATACAATTGTCAAAACCCACAGAATGTACAACACTAGGCCAGGCACAGTGGCTTATGCCTATAATTACAGCACTTTGGGAGGCTGAGGCAGGCAGATCAGCTGAGGTCAGGAGTTGGAGACCAGCCCGGCCAACATGGTGAAACCCCATCTCTACTAAAAATACAAAATTGGCCAGGTGTGGTGGCACGCACTTGTAATCCCAGCTACTTGGGAGGCTGAGGCAGGAGAATCACTTGAACCCAGGAGGCAAAGGTTGTAGTGAGCCGAGATTGTGCCATTGCGCTTGGCCTGGGCAAAAAAGAGAGAAACTCCATCTCATTAAAAAAAAAAGAGAGAGAGAGAGAGAATGTACAACAGTAAGTTAATCCTAATACAAACTATGGACTTTAGATGATTAAAAAGAACAAAAAGATGTGGAGAATAGAGAACACAAACTATTTTGAATTAAAAATAGTGAGAATGGCCAGGCACAGTGGTGCACGCCTGTAACCCCAGCACTTTGGGAGGCAGAGGCAGGTGGATCGCTTGAGGTCAGGAGTTTGAGACCAGCCTGGGCAACATGGCGGAACTCCACCTCTACTAAGAATACAAAAAAAATTACCCATGAGTGGTAGCACTCACCTGTAGCCCCAGCTACTCAGGTTGCTGAGATGTGAGGATCGCTTAAGCCTGGGAGGCAGGGGTTGCAGTGAGCCGAGATAGTGCCACTACACTCCAGCCTAGGCAACTGAGCAAGACCCTGCCTCAAAAAAAAAAAAAAAAAAAAAAAAAAAAAAAAAAAAAAAAAAGTGAAAATACTAAATTTGGGAAAGAATGCGTAAAAATAGATTACTCATACTTTGCTGGTGGGAATGGAAAATAATGCAGCCACTCTGAAAAGTAGTTTGGCAGTTTCTTTAAAGATTAAATAGCAGTAACACTTCTGGGCATTTATCCCAAAGAACTAAAAACTATGTCCATATAGCCAGGCTCGGTGGCACATGCCTGTAATCCCATCACTTTGGGAGGCCATGGCGGGCAAATCACCTGAGGCCGGGAGTTCGAGACCAGCCTGGCCAACATGGTGAAACTCTGTCTCTACTAAAAATAGAAAAACTACCCAGGTGTGGTGGTGCATGCCTGTAATCCCAGCTACTTGGGAGGCTGAGGCAGGAGAATTGCTTGAACCTGGGAGGCGGAGGTTGCAGTGAGCCGAGATCACGCCACTGCACTCCAGCCTGGGCGACAGAGTGAAACTCCATCTCAAAAAAAAAAAAAAAAAAAAAAAAAACTATGTCCGTACAAAAACCCGACATAAAAATCTGAACATCCCTGTACATATATGTCTTTGCTCATTTGTAAGTAAATATTTAGGATAAATTTCTAGAAGTGGAATTGCAGGGTAAAGAGATATGCACATCTTAAATTGTACTTATTGTAAACTGAATCTCAAGAATCCAGTATTGATTTATATTTCTCCCAATGTAGGATGAGAGTGCCCATTTCTCTATATCCTCAACAATACTCAATTCTGTCAAATTTAAATATCTGGTATTCTAATAGATTGTGTTAAAAGTGCCTTATTTTTATTTGTATTTCTTCTATTATATGTGATTAAATGTATCATATATTTATTGATTATTTGTATTTTTTCCTGGAATTGTGTGTTTCTTCCCTTGTCCATTTTCCTTATTGAATTATTCTTATTAATTTTGAAAATCTTTTTATTAACACATAATGTACATATTTTTGGGATACATGTAATAATTTGACACATTCATATAATGTGTAAAGATCTAAGGAGGTCGGGTACAGTGACTAACGCTTGTCATCCCAGCACTTTGGGAGGCCGAGGTGGGTGTATCACCTGAGATCAGGAGTTCAAGACCAGTCTGACCAACATGGTGAAACCCCATCTCTGCTAAAAATACAAAAATTGGCCAGGCATGGCTGTGGGCCCCTGTAATCCCAGCTACTTGGGAGGCTGAGACAGGAGAATCACTGGAACCCAGGAGGCGGAGGTTGCAGTGAGCCAAGATTGCGCCATTGCACTTCAGCCTGGGTGACAGAATGAGACTCTGTCTGGAAAAAAAAAAAGTAATTAGGGTATTCATCACCGGCAATATTTATCTTTTTTAATGCTAGGAACATTTGAATTGTTCTCTTCTAGCTATTTTGACAGGTACAATAGATTATCTTGAACTATAGTCACCCTACTGATCTATCAAACACTTAGGTCTTATGCTTCTACCTAACTCTATATTTGTACCCATTTCAACCTCTCATTGAATTATTCTTATTAATTTTTAAAAGCTCATTGTATACCAAAGAAATTAATTCTTTGTTATATGTTTTGAAAATTTATCTATCTTTTCACTTTAAAAAATGTTTCATATAAAAATTTTGGCTTGCTATGCAGCCTAACTTATTAACAGTTTACTTTTTGTCTTCTGGGTCTCATGTTTGGTCTGAAAAGACTCCTCCCATTCCAAGGGGTTTTTTTGTTTTTGTTTTTTTCAACTTTTATTTTAGATTCAGGGGTGGTACATGTGCAGGTTTGTTACAAGGGTATATTGCATGATGCTGAAATTTGCATACGATTGAACCCATCACTCAAGTACTGAGCATAGTACCCAATAGGTAGTTTTTCAATCCCTGTCCCCCTCCCTTCTCTTGTAGTCTCCAGTGTCTATTGTTTCCATTTCATGTCCATGTGTACTCACTTGGCTCCCACTTATAAATGAGAACATGTGGCATTTGCTTTTCTGTTTCTGCATTAGTTTACTTAGGATAATGGTCCCTAGCTGCATCCATGTTGCTGCAAAGGCCATGATTTCATTCTTTCTTCTGACTGTATAGTATTCCATGGTGTATATGTACCACATTTTCTTTATCCACTCCTCTGTTGATTAACACCTTGGTTGATTCCATGTATTTGCTATTGCGAATAATATTGCGATGAACATACAGGTGCATGTGTCTTTTTGATAGAACAATTTATTTTCCTTTGGATATATATCTAGTAATGGAATTGTTGGTTTGAATGATATATATATTTTTAGTTCTTTGAGAAATCTCCTGCTTTCCACAGTAGCTAAATGAATTTACATTCTCACCAACAGTGCATAAGCAATCCCTTTTCTCTGCAGCACTGCCAACATCTGTTATTTTTAATAATAGCCATTTTGACTGGTGTGTGATGATACTTCACTGTGGTTTTGACTTGCTTTTCTCTGATGATTAGTGATGATAAGCATTTTTTCATATGATTGTTTGCCACTTGGATGTCTTCTTTTGAGGACTGCCCAAAAAGTAAGCAAAGGCCATAAATGGGGTTATTTGTTTTTTGCTTGTTGATTTAAGTTCCTTATAGATTCTGAATATTAGACCTTTGTCAGATACATAGTTTGTGCATATTTTCTTCCATTCTGTAGGTTGTCTGCTTACTTTGTTGATAGTTTCTTTTGCTGTGCAGTCAAGGTTACTTTTTAAAATATGTTTTCTTTTTCAGCAGTAAAGCTCAAATAAATGTTTTCTTCTAGAGTGTCCATGATTTCTTTTTCTTTTAATTATTTTATTTTACCAAACTTTAATTATTTTCTTTGGCAAACAAAATAGAATTAATCAAAGGCTGTTTATTCAAAACTTACTGTTATAAGGGAGTCAGCTGCCATCATTTTCATTATAGTAGAGGTTGGAAGGGGTTTGAAAGGAGAGTAAGTTTTTTTGTCTTATTGTTTGTTTGTTTGTTTTGAGATGGAGTCTCACTCTTGCCCAGGCTGGAGTGCAGTAGCACGATCTCAGCTCACTGCAAGCTCCGCTTCCCAGGTTGAAGCGATTCTCCTGCCTCAGCCTCCTGAGCAGCTGGGACTACAGGCACCTGCCACTACTCCCAGCTAATTTTTGTATTTTTAGTAAAGACGGGGTTTTACCATGTTTGCCAGGCTGGTCTCGAACTCCTGACCTCAGGTGATCCACCCGCCTTAGCTTCCCAAAGTGCTGGGATTATAGGCGTGAGCCACTGCGCCAGCCTAGAAGAGTAAGTTTTACAGACTAAAAGGAGGAAGACTTAAGCCAATCTTTGGTGAGTGTTCTTTCATGGTGACATATTCTAGTTCCAATCGGGTAAAAGATACTTGGAAGGGAAGGAGTCTTTCTGGTTGGCTTTAAAGTGTATGTAGTAGTCTTTGATTGCTTCACAATCTATTGGTACATAAGGTGGGGGCTTTCCAGGCTGCATGACAACTGAAAGACAATCTGGTTCTCAGCTTTGGAGTCTTGCATAAGCAATTCCTTCTTCAAGAGGGAATTAAAGGGAAATCTAGCTATATATATATATATATATATATATATATATATATATATATATATATTCTTAGTTAGTGGACTCAACACCCTCCTTTTTAATGTATATTTATCTTTTTGGTTCTATTTTTTAAATGACTTTTTCATATACCCATTTTTCAAATGCATTGGGATCTCTTTCAGGATTCTCTACTCTGTTCATTATATGTGTTAATCCCTCACCAAGAATATGTATGTTCTTGGCAAATGAAAGGAACATCATGCAAAGCTATCAGATAATTTGGGATAGCTTTACAAAGCTATCTGAACGTTTATCCATTAATAAAGCTTGATACTAGAGTAAATATATAATTAGGGGATTCTGTTTTGTAGGACTTTCCACTCTCATATTGACATAGAGCCTGGCACACAGGAGGACTCCATATATGTTGGCTGAACACAGTCAGTCAGTCCTCACTTAATGTCATCAATAGGTTCTTGGAAACTTGGACTTCAAGCAAAATTATGTAAGCAGGTCCTCAAATAACGTTACTCAGTTACAACATTGATGAGAAATTTCAAAATTGATTTCATTATACATGATTTCACTTAAAATTGCAGTTTCCAAGAACCTGCTGATAACATTAAGTGAGGACTTACTGTACAGAAATACTAGTGTGGTAATGGGAACTCTGGACTAGGAGTTGGAAGACCTGGCTTCTAGCCCCTGCTCTGTTGCAGGCTGGTGGGACAACTATGATACACATTAACAGACTTGTAGCTGTCAGAAATAATGTAGAAATGGCCTCCCCATTAGGGACCACAATTCCTACCCCTCCTTGAAGGGAGGAGTGACCACATGATTAAGTTTTCACTAATGGAATGTGAGAGAAAGTGATGTGTGCCACTTGCAGGTTGAGTCTTAAAATATTGCACATGTAATCCTCAGTCCCCTTCCCCTATCTGTGACCACAGATACGACTGTAAGTCAGTTTTGACCATGCAGATAAAGACATTGTTCTAGGGCATGATGGAAAACCCAGATAGAAGAATCTTGGGGACCTTGAATAACTGTGTGGAGCAAGCGGTCTTCCTACTGAATTCAAAGAGTCTGGGAAATGATGGGGTTAGCAAAAGTATGCAGATTTCCTTCCTATAGAATTTCTTTGAGCCTGGATAAATTTTTTTTTTCCTATAGAACAACTTGAGGGAGAAAACTGCTGATCTCTTGTATTCTCTTGCTTGTTCTGAAAAACTCTGGAAATGCTGATTTGGATGATTTCTACTTCCTTTAAATATTGCATACTGCACAGCTAGTGTTTAGTTTGTATTCACAACACCACCAAATGTGCAGAATCAAAGGTGCCTTTAATCCCACCATTCCATCCAAAGCATGTTACCTGAGTCCCTTTGGGGGACAATAGCAAAATTATAACACTATAGAGGACATGAAGAATTTTTCCAAAAGTTTTAGGAGACTATAATCTCATTGTTCTGTATTCTTTCTCATCTAAACAAGTGAAAAGATGACCAAAGTTTTACCCACAGAAGAGTCATTCGTTTATTTTCTTACTTTCAAGGGACTTTAAGAATGTACCACAACAACAATCCATTTCACAACTATTTCCTGAGCAGCTACAGTGAACAAGGACCTGAAGAAGAAGACACAATATCCACTGGACTGGAATGGAAAGACAGACTAGACAGAGTAGATATGCTCCACAGCACCTGGGACAGCACCCCAGAAACATCCAGCAATGACTGGTATTGGAATGGCTCCTCTGGTCACCCACCTGCCATGTAAGATTTGCAGAGGGTTCCTCCTGTGAAGCGTGGGAGGTTTGGGCACTTCGCAACCTGCCAGCACCATCCAGTATGGACATTTTCATAGATCCAGAAAAGGGCTGAGGTCCAAAAGATTGAGAGTGCTTCGGGCTGTGTTTCCATAGTGAGTGGCTGGCTATTCAGTGGTCAAATGCGTTTGAGAGGAACCAAGTGATGTGCTTCCCAAGGCAAGTGTCCAGAACCCAGGAGACTCCTCTGTTCAGCAATGGCATGAAACATCTGAGGTTCTTACATATTCTCGCACAGAAATGGATTCCCATAGAGAAACGGATATATTGTTATAGGATAATCAGAGATGCTGTTGTAGCCCATTTGAGCTGCTATAAGAAAATACCATGAACTGGGTGGCTTATAAACAACAGAAACTGGCCGGACGCACTGGCTCATGCCTGTAATTCCAGCACTTTGGGAGGCCGAGACGGGTGGACTACTTGAGGTCAGGAGTTCAAGACCAGCCTGGCCAACATGGTGAAACCCCCTCTCTACTAAAAATACAAAAATTAGCCTGGCGTGGCGGCGCGCACCTGTAATCCCAGCTAATTGGGAAACTGAGGCATGAGAATCACTTGAACCCAGGAGTCAGAGGTTGTAGTGAGCCGAGATCACACCACTGCACTCCAGCCTGGGCAATAGAGCGAGACTCAGTCTCAGAAAAACAACAACAACAACAGAAACTTATTGCTTACAGTTCTGGAGGCTGGGAAGTCCAAGATCAAGACACCAGTAGCGAAGGCCTTCTTTCCGGTCCATAGGTGGTGCTTCCTCACTGTGCCCTTACACAGTGGAAGGGGCAAGGAAGTCTCTCCTCCTTTATAAGGATAATAATCCCATTCATGAAGGCTCTGCCCTCATGACCCGATCGCCTCCCTATGTCCCCACCTTCTAACACCATCATCACCCTGGGGGTTAGGATTTCAACAAGTGAATTTGGCGGGGACATAAACATTTAGACCATAGCAGAGGCTAAAGCAGAGAAGTCTGCTGAAGAACTTTTTAATGCATTGTAATGCGTTCAGTGTGTTAAGTTAGTCACATACACACACACACACAGACACACACACCCCAAGACGGAATGCATAGGTGTGTATTATTAAAAGTGTGAAAATACACCACCGCAGATTGTGTAGGACCATTTTTTTTTTTGGACCTGGTAGACATGTCCATTGCTGTTAGTGCAGCAAAGGGCTCTGTGTGCTTTTAAAAATTCCAGTCTGTTACATTCACAAACCTGGGTTGGATCTACAGCAGGTTCCCCCTTTGGGAAAGGCATCCTCATGACCTTACAATGGTTGCTGAATATAGTTGGAGGCAGTCATGGTTGGTGATGCCCGGAGCCCACTCCTCACCATGCTGGTCTGCAGAACTTATGCAGCCATTCCCACAAGCTGGTCTCCTCTGCTCTGCTCTTCTCCACCTCCTTTTTCAGCTGAAGTCTCCTGTGTTTCACAGCTTGCTGGTATCAACCCTCCTTCATCTCTACATATGTTTAAGAAGCAGGAGTGAAAAGGCGAAGGAAGGAGGGACTCATCTTCAATAGACAAATGAAAATAAGGGTGGGAGAAGGAGAAAGTTGGGAAGGCGCTTAAGATATCCAGAAATGTCAACTGTGTTAGGAGAAACATGGGACTCCTGAGGTTGCTCCCTACTATCTTGCAGACTTGCTGCAGGAACAAATGAGGCAGGATGTGTCAAGCACCAGGGTCAGCCCTTAAGCTTAGTGCCTTTCTGAACCCTGCAACCCTGCAGCCCCCATCAACTCGTCCTACCTGCCATGCACAGCTCCTCCGTGCCCCTGTACCTGAGCTCATGCTATTCCCTCCGCCAGGGTGCCCTTCTCATCCTCCACCAGGAGAAGACACTTGCCTGTAAGACCCAGTTCCAGTGTCACCCCTTCCTGACTGTATCAGGAAGAGTCAGTGATGGTGTTCTGTGCTCCCAGAGAATTTGCCACATCGTGTTGTGATTCTGTTTCCACATCTGTCTCCCCCACTGGACTGAATGCTTCACTCATCTTCATACCTCCCTGGTCTCTACCTGGTGCCAGACCCGTCCTCAGGGAAGGAGAGTGCTCAGGAAATAGGTATTGAATAAAGGGAATGTGTACATACATACATACGTACATACATATGTACATACATATGTAAACTTTCTGATGGTCAAATGGAAAAATGTGGGCTGAAGGATAATACAGGTAGAAGAACCTAAGATTACAGATTATTGATTTGGGAGGAACTTTATTTTATTATGCAAACAGTCTACAACTTCAAAACATGAAAGGCACTGTGTTGTTAGGAAGGGCAGTGGGAGAGGGTGGCCCCACAAAACAGCATAAAGTTCTAAAGAATTTGAAAGAGGAACACTCTGCAGGACACTGTTCCAAGGACCCCTCCCTAAGAGTCTGTCCCTTATTGGGAGGAACTTTATTTTATTGTGCAAACAATTAAAAAAACAGTTTACAACTTCAAAGCAAGAAAGGCACTGTGTTGTTAGGAAGGGCAGTGGGAGAGGGTGGCCCCACAAAACAGCGTAAAGTTCTAAAGAATTTGAAAGAGGAACGCTCTGCAGGATACTGTCCCAAGGACCCCTCCCTAAGAGTCTGTCCCTTATTGGGAGGAACTTTATTTTATTGTGCAAACAATTAAAAAAACAGTTTACAACTTCAAAGCAAGAAAGGCACTGTGTTGTTAGGAAAGGGAGTGGGACAGGGTGGCCCCACAAAACAGCGTAAAATTCTAAAGAATTTGAAAGAGGAACGCTCTGCAGGATACTGTTCCAAGGACCCCTCCCTAAGAGTCTGTTCCTTAGGCTCTGCCCGTTTTTGGCCACTTTGTCAAAGGGCTTCTTTGTGAACAAAGTGAGACATGTTATTTTTGTTTTCTTAAATTCTAAAGTGATCCTCTCAAGTCTCCTGGGAGAGACTCCTGTGAGGTGTTCGTGACCCACTCCATTCCAGAAACAAGACCAGGAGACTGAAGATTCTGCCAGATCCCACATGTAGTGAAAAAATGAAATCACCCCTAACCATTCCAAAACTGACTGAATCCTAACGGAGCTCTACGTAACTCCAAAGCAAGTGTGCTGGGATGGTCCTCAGCTTTTACATCCCCCTGCCCCCCACCCCCACCCCCGCCCCTGCTCTGTGGTGCAGGGTCACGATGGGCTCCTTCCTGTGCTCCTGGGTTCCTGTCAGCGTTCTAGCAACAGGTCTCCACTCTGAGAATGACAGGTGGTGTCAGTAGCAGCAGTTGGTTCCAGCTTGTCATTTTCCCAGCACTCCCATAACCAGCCTGATGATGCCCATTCAGAGACACCAGCACGAGCTGGCCATGTCCCCTCCCGAGTTCTGCATCCAGCTCCCAGACCCCAGGCTCTGAGCAGTGTCTCCTCCGCAAAGAACAACCCCAGCCCTGGGGCCATCTTCAGACTTCTGAGTTTTGATCATTCCAACTTCTTTTTGTTCCCTTAGCTCTTGAGGTAGTAGCTGCTTCTTGCAGTTGAAATCTCCATGATATCTCAATATCATCCTTTTTTTTTTTTTTTTTGCCTTTTTAGTTCTCCAATAGTTGTGTGACAATTCCTTATATTAAATTTTCTGTTAAAATAATTGGTGTGGGGTCTATTTCAGTGATTGGACCCTGACTGACAGCAATGTTAAACCTAAGAAATTCTGAAAGTAAATACACCTTAAAACTAAGTAAGTAAAAATTAAAAACAGAAAAGTTAATTTGCAACTTATGAAAAGAAAACATGACAAGTCTGAAGATAACTAAAAAACTAAACAGATGCAAACCTCTGACGAAAATTCTGAAAATCGGCAGGCCGCAGTGGCTCACACCTGTAATCCCAGCACTTTGGGAGGCCGAGGCGGGCGGATTACCTGAGGTCAGGAGTTCGATACCAGCCTGACCAAGATGGTGAAACCCCCATCTATACTAAAAATACAAAAATCAGCCGGGCGTGGTGCCACATGCCTGTAATCCCAGCTTCTCGGGAGGCTGAGGCAGGAGAATTGCAGGAACCTGTGAGGCGGAGGATGCAGTGAGCAGAGATTGCGCCATCGCACTCCAGCCCGGGTAACTGGAAAACTAATTTTTAAACTAACAAATCCAAACGTAAATCTCTCAGCAGTTACCTTGGAACCACCCCCTCTGAATTAACCTGTCAGGTGCTAAGTGGCTTGCACACCCGGTCCACTGCCAGGCTGGGCAGCCGGCGCTGGCGGGTGGGAGCAGCCCCGAGCCAGCTCCGGCTCCTCCTAGGCTCGGCCGAGCCTTAGGAGGCGTGGCCTCCGCGAGCGTCTGCCTCCGCCCGCCGCGCTCGCGCAGGCGCACTAGGGGTCCCCGTCCCGCGAGGTCCTTCGCCGGGCGGCGGGAGCTAGACGAGCACGCAGGGCACCCCTCGGGCTCCCGGGAGGCGGCCCTGGGCGTCCCCTTTCTGCCGCCGCCGCGGCCCCGGCTGCTTTCTGCGTAGCTGGGCAGGGCCCGGGCCCCCACATCGCCTCTCTCGGGAATGCGGGCGCTCTGGAGCCGGGGAGCCGGGGCGACCGCAGGGAGGGCAGCTCTCCGGGGTGGAGGTCCTCGGGCGCCGCGCCCTCGCCTGGAAACCAGCCGTCGCCCCCGCAGGAGTCAGCCGGCGTGGACGCCCCAGCACGCTCCTTCTTGGTGCTGCCGGTCGCCCTGCAATTCCGAGAAGAAAGTCAGAGACGCCGTGGCCCACAGAGGCGCTTAGTTTTCCTCGCTCACACTCACGTTGCTTCCTCATCGCGTTCTTCTTTTTCTCCCTGGGTGCTTTCTCTCCTCTCCAGGAAAGCGGATTTGGAGGAACAGGTTTCGTGACTGTCATCCAACTGGAAAAGGCCCCGCGAGCTGGAAGGGGGGGCGGGGGGGGGGACGGGTGCACCCTCAGAGTTATTGCTGGAGGCTGTGGCCAGGCCGGGCAATGTGGTGACTTCCGCTGGCAGGCTGAGGCCCACCCCAGCCCTCCCACCTGGGCCACGGGGCTCTCAGCGGGAGCCCCAGTTATGACCGGACACCAGCGCACCGCCAAGGAGACAGCCACGTGGGGACATGCCGGGCTAGCAGGGTCAGAGCCACTTTGAGGACTAGTGACCTCGGTTCCCTGGCTTAACCAGGTCCTTATGGGTGAGAATCCTGAAGAGGGGGAGAGGGATGGAGGCGAGGGACAGTAGGCAGGAGGAGCTGATGAATAGGAAGGAGGAAGAAGATGAAATAAACAAGAAAGAAAGAAATTACGTTCAGAGCGCTGCTCACCTTTTCCATGTCTTCTGCACCTTCATAGCCTTCAAAGGTGTCCATGGAGCTAAACTCCCTGCTGGAGCAGCCTTGGGGAAAGAAAGGAAAGGATGGGGCCTCTCTGGGGTGGGAGGACAGCCCCTCTGCCCATGGCAGGGTGTAGCAGGCAGTGCCTGTTGCAGGCGGGGTCCTCCCCATCTCTAACTCCTGCTCTCCCAGGGCCTGCACTCCGCTGGGCTGTGAAGGGAGTCTGATTTTTTCAGGCTCTTTCCAGCGCTGAAATGCCTTAATTCACTGAGAAGAAGCGTCCACATGCTTTTCATGGCCCTACCTCCCTGTTCGTCCAAGAAAACAGTCGTCTTTTTTGCTTGCCTGTCTTCTAACCATGCCTCCGTCCCTTCTTCCTCCCCTGTCTATTTCCCACCCTCCTCCCCTTCTTGCCTCCTTTTCTTTCCCGTAATTAATGTCCATTTCCCATCTCCCTGGCAGCCTCTGCCAAGTGTCACTGCTCCCCATAAGGGAAAATAAGAGGAACAAGCAAGTGCATCCATCCCTGCCTCTCTCCGCAGTGAACTGATAAACCCATCAGTCTTGCCCGTGGTGCACCTGTTACATCCCCGGGAGGTGTTGGACACTGTGGGGAACAGCAGCCACCGCCAAATACTCAGCAACTGCCCTGTGCCTGGTGGGATGGTAGGCGTTTGTCAAAGTTTAAGCCTCACAACCCTGTAAGGGTCTCAGCCCCCTTTACAGTTGGGGAAACAGACAGCAATGGTCACTTGGCCAAGTCCTCTTGGCCTGTGGCAGGGCAGCTGGCTTCTCCAGCCCTGCTGCTCTTTACCCTCGCTCTGAGTGAGATGCGGTTTCTGCGCCACACGGCTCACAAGCCAGGGTAGGGAGCCGAGCATCTGCATAAAGCTCCCAGCACAGGGCAGCCCCAGACTGAGGCTCGGCTGAGTAATCCACGCGGCGGGAGCCGTGCTAGGAAAGTGTCTGCTCAGGCGAGAATTCAGGGAGGTTTGGGCAGGCCTTGAGGGGCGGACAGGACTGGAGAGGGAGGGCCTTCTGGGCAGAGGCATGGCGGGAGGGCTGTAGGCGGCAGTGGAGGGAGCTGCAGTTATCTGGGTGAGCAGGCAGCGGACAAGTGACGTCTCCCGGCCTGCTGCCCCAGGCCCCCCACAAGCCGCGTTCTGGGGCCGTGGCCTCCCCAGAGCAGATCAGTGGGGGCTGTGTGAGCAACACTGGGGGCAGCTGGGCAGCGCCTCCCTGGAGGCCCCTCTGAAATCCCGCCGGATGCTGGCAGGCTCCAAGGGGGCTGGACACCATCTTCTCAGGTTGAAGCAAGTCCTGGTTGAGTTCCTAGTCCAGGAGGTGGGATGGGTGAGGGGTGGAGGGCAGAGGAGAAACTGCGTCAGGGATGTGTCCGCCACCTTCATCCTCCAGACGGGACTTGGGAGCGGCTGCAGGAAACCCTGAGAGATTCCTCTTTAGGGAAGTCATCCAGCCCTGGGGTCCCCTTATGCCGGGAGCAGTGAGGACAGAAGAATGACCATCTATCTTGCTGAAAGCTCTGTGAGGGAGGAACGGAAGAACGGAGGGAGCTACGACCTTGACCATCCCCTGAGTGTCCATGGCCTCTGTGCTCCGGATGATGCCGGGGCTGCCAGGGACCACAGAGCCACCCACTGGGAGGCTGGGGGTTGGCCTGGCTCAGGGGCGTTCGTCAGCCATAGACACCCACAGCATGTGGTGGGCAGGGCTGGGAGGTGACACAGGAACTGAAAAACCTGAGAAGCTCCAGCCACTCCGCAGGGTAAGTGCCACCTGGGGTAAAATGATTAGCTGGTTCCAGCCCCTCCGCAGGGTAAGTGGCACCTGGGGTAAAATGACTGCCTGGAGCTGGCAGCTGCTTTCTCTGCTCTCCCCAGGGCCCTGCAGGGAAGCGTGGAAAGGCGGCACAGGGCTGGACCCAGAGGAGCTCTCAGATGCTGGACTGGACTGTTTCAGGGGTCATCTAGCCCATTCCCCGCCTCCAGGCGAGGATTTGCTTGAGCCTGGAAAGATGAAGGATCCTCCCAGTGCCGTCAAGCCCCGGATTCCACCTCCCTGTAGGTGGACTGCCAGCGCAGGCCCTGACAACGCAGAGAAAGACACAGGACCCAGCTGGGCCAGTGACAGCAGGAGCTCCTGGTGCCACAGGTGAGGGTGGGGACGCCTGGAGCACCATGGGGGTCCTGGTTTAGTCTACAGCAGGGTCTTAAAATAGGATGTAAGTGTTACATCTTGACACAGTGTACACATGCTGACACATATTAAAACAAATTTTACACAGCAGTATTATCCTGAGTATGAGTGACGCCTTTTAAGGAGTTTATATTCTATTAATTCCCTTTTTAAAATGCTGGTCCACATCCACTGAATTGATTTTATGACCTACTAATAATGTGTTATAACCCACAATTAGAAAGGCACCGTTCTAGGGCAGGGCAGAGGGAGACAGAAAAGAAAGAGAAGCAGAAAGGAAATAATAAGGACAAAGGGAAGGAAGAACAAAGTGAGGTCAGAGTGGAGGAGGGTGTTTTGTGGGAGGTCACACAAATGCCTGCCATGATGTCCCTTCAGCCCTCTCCTAACACAAACCACATCCCACTCTGTGTCTGCCCTTAAGTCTTTTCCATTGGACCCTGGGTTTATATTTTATTAATATAAAAGAATATATTTTTGGTGGAAGGGATATATAATAGAATATATATAATATATAGAGATAAGATAAATAGAATATATATAATATATAGAGATAAGATATATATAATAGAATATATAATATGTATAGATAAGATACATATAATAGAATATATATAATATATATAGATAAGATATATATAATAGAATATATGTTTGGTGGAAGGGCTATCTTTTTCACCTCTGTAAACCCACAGCTTCTAGCAGAAGAATTAGAATCAGGCAAAAAGCTTAGAGAACACCCCACCCCTAAGTCAAAAAAATTCTCATTTTGCAGGAATGGAAACTGTGACTCATAATAGCCAGCTAGTCAATGATTATTCCCCCCAGTCCCTGGCGCATCAAGATTTGCTGGTAGGTGGTCATAAGCATCATTTTTTTATTTCTAAAGTGAAGACAATGATATCTACTTTGGAGATTTAGTGGAAGGATTAGCAAAATGTACATCAAGAACAGTGTCTGGCCAAGGCAGGGTGTCTCACGCTTGTAATCCCAGCACTTTGGGAGGCTGAGATGGGTGGATCACCTGAGGTTAGGAGTTCGAGACCAGCCTGGCCAACATGGTGAAACCCTGTCTGCACTAAAAAAAAATACAAAAATTAGCTTGGCATGGTGGCGGGCACCTATAAACCTAGCTACTTGGGAGGCTGAGACAGGAGAATCGCTTGGACCTGGGAGGTAGAGGTTGCAGTGTGTCGAGATTGTGCCATTGCACTCCAGCCTGGGGGATAGAGCGAGACTCCATCTCAAAAAAAAAAAAAAAGAACAGTGTCTAGTACACCATAGAAACTCAATAAATAACATTTGCTAGTAATACGAGTAATAACCAGCCAGATGTGTTGGCTCACACCTGTAATCCCAACACTTTGGGAGGTCAAGGCAAGAGGATCTCTTGAGCCCAGGAGTTTGAGACCAGCCTGGGCAACATAGGGAGACCCCGTCTCTAAAAAAAACTTTAAAAATTAGCCGGGTGTGGTGGCCTGTGCTGTAATCCCAGCACATTGGGAGGCCGAGGCAGGAGGATTGCTTGAGTCTGGGAGGTCAAGGCTGCAGTGAGCCGAAATCATGTCATCGCGCTCAGCCTGGGCGACAGAGCAAGACCCTGTTTCAAAAAAAGAGTAACAGCCTCAGAATAGCACCAGTCACTTCAGGTATGCTACTGTTACTAACTTTTCAGGGAGTTTTGGCTGCAGATGTCTTCATCCTAGGCAATGGAAATCATCATAAATACCTAGATAATGTCCATAGAAATCAAAACAAAGCAAACATGCATACATACACCAGCAAAAAACAAATTCAAGCACACAGGCCTTAACAAATACCTTGGTTACATCAACTTTTTTGTTTGTTTGTTTTTGAGACGAAGTCTCACTGTGTCAACAGGCTGGAGTGCAGTGGCATGATCTCAGCTCACAGCAACCTCTGCCTCCCAGGTTCAAGTGATTCTCTTGCCTCAGCCTCCCAAGTAGCTGGGACTACAGGCACACACCACCATGCCCAGCTAATTTTTGTATTTTTAGTGGAGACGGGGTTTTACCATGTTGACCAGGATAGTCTCAATCTCTTGACCTTGTGATCCGCCTGCCTCAGCCTCTGAAAGTGCTGGGATTACAGGCTTGAGCCACCATGCCCGGATACATCAACATTTTAAGTGAGTGTACATTTTTGAAAAATGAATGGAATGATCTTACTCACCCACTGATTTTGCTCAGTATTTTGGGAAAGATATAATCCTCAGAGACTCTGGGCTTCTCCCAGTCTATGTGCCAAAATAAACGTAAAGAGTATGTGTAGAAATGGATAATATAAACGGGAAAGGGAGGGGCAGGAAAATTTATGATAATAAGAGCTCAAGAACGTTCTCTCTTTCCTCTGCAGATCTTTGAAATTCATAGTTTATAAATATAAATGTTTTGGGAAATTTAGTTTTACTGCTTAGTGTTTAGAATACTGTGTGGTTTTTCTTTACAAAGTGAATCTATTAACGAGCAAATTTAGTAGATAATTTAAATTATGCTAATCAGAAAACACAGCCTGGTGCTGCGGCTCATGCCTGTAATCCCAGTGACCAGGAAGGTTGAAGTGGGAGGATGGCTTCAGCCCAGGAGCTCCAGGCTGTTGAGCTATGATCACACTGCTTGCACTCCAGCCTAGGTAACAGAGCAAGACCCCAACTTTAAAAAACAAAAAACAAAAGAACACACTTTTTTGTAAATTAAAGATGGAAGTATTTTGGTCTAAATTTGTCTTTTCCCTTCCACTAGATGGCAGAATGGAGCCACTCTAGATAGTGCTACCAAGTTGGCAGCTCTTCCAACATTTTAAATGGTCAAACTGTATTTTTGTTTTGGTTCCCTCTCTCGTTTAATGAAAAAGAAAGGTAAACATTGCATATGCAAATTTCAGGACCATTTCACTTTGACTGAAAAAGCTGGAGCTGCCTTAAAGAAACTTCTTGGGCCAGGCGCCGTGGCTCACGCCTGTAATCCCAGCACTTTGGGAGGCCGAGGTGGGCGGATCACGAGGTCAGGAGATCGAGGCCATCCTGGCTAACACGGTGAAACCCCGTCTCTACTAAAAATACAAAAAATTAGCCAGGCGTGATGGTGGGCGCCTGTAGTCCCAGCTACTTGGGAGGCTGAGGCAGGAGAATGGCGTGAACCCATGAGGCGGAGGTTGCAGTGAGCCGAGATTGGGCCACTGCACTCTAGCCTGGGTGACAGAGCGAGACTCCGTCTCAAAAAATAAAAAAAAGTAAAAATACAGAAAAGAAACTTCTTGGCCGGGCGTGGTGGCTCACGCCTGTAATCCCAGCACTTTGGGAAGCCGAGGTGGGCAGATCAGGGGGTCAGGAGATCGAGACCATCCTGGCTAACACAGGGAAACCCCGTCTCTACTAAAAAAATACCAAAAATTAGCCGGGCGTGGTGGTGGGCACCTGTAGTCTCAGCTGCTTGGGAGGCTGAGGCAGGAGAATGGTGTGAACCCGGGAGGCGGAGCTTGCAGTGAGCCGAGATCTCACCACTGCACTCCAGCCTGGGCGACAGAGCGAGACTCCGTCTCGAGAAAAAAAAAAAAGAAAGAAAGAAAGAAAAAAAGAAACTTCTTATTCACTGTCTGAGGGGCTGAGTTCGGGCTTTATCCTTTAGAGAAAACTTGGCCAGTACCATTGTCCTAACATTAGTGAAACTTTACTCTGAGCCAGGTGCTGTGCTTCTCCCATCTCATTTACTCTTCATACGGAGACTAGAAGGTGTCACCTCCATTTTTTAAAACAAAAGATTAAATATTTGGCCAGGCGCAGTGGTTCACACCTGTAATCCCAACCCTTTGGGAGGCCAAGGCAGGCAGATAGCTTGAGGCCAGGAGTTCAAGACCAGCCTAGGCAACATGGCAAAACCCCATCTCTACAAAAAATTAGCCAGGCATAGTGGCACACACCCGTGGCCCCAGCTACTCAGGAGGTTGAGGTGAGAGGACCACCTGAGCCTGGGAGGCAGACGTTGCAGTGAGCGGAAATCATGCCACTGCACTCCACCTTGGGTGACAGAGAAAGACCCTGTCTCTAAATAAATAAATAAATAGTATTTAAGGCACTGAAATAAGGTAACTTATCCAAAAGGACAAAGCTGGTCTTTCTTGAACCTGGATCTGCAGGGTATCAAGCACTTCACCACCATGCTACTGCTGCTGCCTCGTGAGTGGTGAACTGCATGGCTAATTTCTGCCTAATCTGCCCCACTAGCAAACTAGGTCTCATGAAAGGAGGAGTCTCAAGATTAATCTAGGTTACTGGGCTACATCCGGACCTTTTGCAAAGTTTTGCTCTGTGAACCAGAGTTTAAACTTGTACATTTAGACTGGTGTATCTCTGAAGTGTGTATTTCTTTTCCAAACCAATGTAGGGCCAAAAGGAATCAGAGTTGCTAATAATCACTGAGAGAGAATTAGTATCTTTCTTTTTTTGTTTTGTCTTGTTTTTGAGATGGAGTATTGCTCTGTCACCAGGCTGGAGTGCAGTGGTGCTATCTCGGCTCACTGAAACCTCCGCTTCCCGGGTTCAAGCGATTCCCCTGCCTCGGCCTCCCGAGTAGCTGGGACTACAGGTGCGCACCACCATGCCTGGCTAAGTTCTTGTATTTTAGTAGAGATGGGGTTTCATCATGTTGGCCAGGATGGTCTCGATCTCCTGACCTCGTGATCTGCCTGCCTTGGCCTCCCAAAGTGCTGGGATTACAGGTATGAGCTACCGTGCCCAGCCAAGTATCTTTCTTATAAAAATAAAAAATACCAGCTGGGCGTGGTGGCTCGCACCTGTAATCCCAGCACTTTGGGAGGCTGAGGCAGGCAGATCACTTGAGCTCAGGAGTTTTAGACCAGCCTAGGCAACATGGCAAAACCCTGTCTTTACTAAAAATACAGAATTTAGCTGGGCATGGTGTAATCCCAGCTGCTTGGGTGGCTGAGGCAGGAGAGTCACTTGAACCTGAGAGGCAGAGGCTGCAGTGAGCCAAGATCGTGCCACTGCACTCCAGCCTGGGTGACAGAGTGAGCCCTTTCTCAAAAAGAAAAAAAACTTAAATTAAAAAAAAATTAAAAATACCTTGTAGTAAGCTTAGAAAATCAGTAATCTGCATGAACTCTCAAAATGTTTTGCTGAGGCAGGAGGATTGCATGAGCTCAGGAGTTCAAGGCTGCAAGGCCCTATGATTGTATCACTGCACTCCAGCCTGGGCAACAGAGTAAGACCCTGTCTCTAAAATGTGTGTGTGCCTGTGTGCGTGTGTAGTGTCTACCCAAGCCAGCAATTTTTGCATGTTTCACACAGAGACTTATTTCAGGCTGAAAGGAAAAAAAAAAATCAGCACTCAAATGAAAAACAATTTTAACTTATTTTATATATACACCTATTTGAGTAAGCAAGTATTAAAGGAACTAGGCCACCACACACATAAAATGCTGTTACCACGTATTTACATATATATATTTGCTCTTCTTTTCTCTTTCATACATTCAGAAAAAGTTGCTTCAGTCCCTGGCTCACTTGGTCCTGGCATCCTCTCCCACTTCTCCAGCCCATCCTACTGAGTTCCCTGCATACTTTGATTAGGGTCCAACCAAGTTTTAACAGCCAGCTCTGTTCATATTGAGTTAAGCAGTATCAGTATGCCCACCAAATTCTCCAGTCTTCTATGTGTTGCAAAAAGAAGAGAAATGAGCCCAAACTGTGTAAGTTTGTGGAGGAAAACTCACACATTCCCGGGACAGTGATCATATTCTTCGTTCGCGTGTTGTCTCAGGTCTACAAAGAAAGCCATCTGTGAGCTCAGCCTCCAGGGGCTCCGCATTGCCTACAACAGCACAAAAGCCAAACCCTTCAGCCCAATATTTGAGGCCTACCTGCCCCCAGTCTTATTTCCTTCCACCCTATCCCTGACTCTCCCAGGCTAGGCTCCAGATCATCACTGAATGTGCTCACTTCGAAGCAGCTCTGTGATTTTCAAGGTTCCTGGGCTCACCTTTTACTCCCGATGTGACTGCCACGTGTTGCCCCGTTGCTAGGATGGGACAGTGGCCTTGATTTCTGCCAGGACTGAGGCTTTGCCTTGTTTCCCACCCACCCCGCTGCCTGCCCCTGCACTCTTCTGGGTGGGGCCTGATCTTTCCCCGCAGTCTCCCTACACCTCCCGATCACAGATAGTCATGCCACAGCTGAGGAGCTTGTCCTAAACCTCAGTACCTGCCTCTCTCCTCAGCTTCTTGTGCTGCTGTGTCTCACCCATCAGTGACGCTCTTCTCTTCCCTGCCCAAGCCCTAGCTGACTCCATCATCTGGTACAATGTCCTCTTCTGCCTGGTTATCTCTGAAAGGCCCTCTCTCTACATCCCTCATTGGCTCCCAGTGTCCTTCCTCTCACCCATGGCCCTGAGGTCCCTGTATGCTTTGCCCAGTGTATAGGGTTATTATGCTTAACAATTCCCAAAGGTTGATAGGTATTGTAGGGTGGTGTAAGAATGAACTGAGGTGATAATATTTATATGTTAGAGCTTTGTAAAGTGCTAGACAGATGTGAGGTACTGATATTTCCCAGTATTCCTGATCTTGGAATCATGGACACCACCCTCCCACCATTGCCTGGATACCCCTGAGACTGCATTCTGCTCCTAGAGTCTCATCCCCTTTTAGGCACTGGCTCCTGCTCCCTCACCATCCACTGTAGATCCCTGCTGAATTCTTAGAGCCCTCGCTGTTTGCATCACTCACCATGACATATCATCAGACCCTGCTAGTGCACCAGGCACAGGAGACTCCGCTCTGCTGTCAACAAGCTGTATGAAATTGACCCCCCGCCTGCATTTCTGTAAAAGGAAGGGACTGGGACAATACCTCTGGGCCTTTTAGTTACAATGATTTACATACAGTAGCCCCCTCTTACCCGCAGTTCACTTTCTGCAGTTTTAATTACCCTCAGTGAACCGCAGTTCAAAAGTGTTAAATGCGGCTGGGCGCGTTGGCTCATGCCTGTAATTCCAGCACTCTGGGAGGCCGAAGCGGGTGGATCACCTGAGGTCAGGAGTTCAAGACCAGCCTGGCCAACATGGTGAAACCCCATCTCTACTAAAAATACAAAAATTAGCCTGGTGTGGTAGTGCGTGCCTGTAATTCCAGCTTCTAGGGAGGCTGAGGCAGGAGAATTGCATGAACTTGTGAGGAGGACGTTGCAGTGAACCAAGATCACGCCATTGCACTCCAGCCTGGGCAACAGAGCGAAACTCCATCTCAAAACAAGCAAACAAACAAACAAAAAATATTAACTGGACAGTACAGTACAGTAAGATATTTTGAGAGAGAGGCCACATTCACTGAACTTTTATTACAGGATGTTGTTATGATTGTTCTGTTTTATCATTATTGTTGTTAATCTGTTACTGTGCCTAATTTCTAAATTAAACTTTATCAGAGGTATGTACGTACAGGAAACAACATAGTATATGCAGTGTTCAGTGCTAGCCGTGGTTTCAGCATCCACTGTGGGTCTTGGAACACATCCCCCACAGAAAAGGGGGGACTACCATATATCGATTTTTTTTTTCCTCTTCATCTAAACTTCATGCTTTTGATTTCTACCCACAACCTAGAACACAATGCCAGGCTCACATGGGACCCTGTAAATGAGGTTCTCTATTGGTAAGTGAATAGTGGATTTGTCCAACTGATAATAGTTTGGACATTCGTCCCTGCCCAAATCTTATGTTGAAATGTAATCGCCAGTGTCGGAGGTTGGGCCAGGTGGGAAGTGTCTGGGTCATGGGGGCGGATTCCTCATGGCTTGGTGCCGTCCTCACAATAGTGAGTGAGTTCTCACAAAATCTAATTGTGTGGCACCTCCCCCACAACCCAACCCCCTTGCTGCTGCTTTCGCCACGTGAGATGCCAGCTCTCCCTTTGCCTTCTGCCGTGAGTAAAATCTCCCTGAGGCTTCTCCAGAAGTGAAACAAATCTTGGTGCCATGCTTCCTGTATAGCCTGCAGAACCGTGAGCCAATTCACCTCTTTTCTTTATAAATTACTCCGTCTCAGCTATTTCTTTATAGCAATGCAAGCATATCACCTACTGATATGGTAAGGTGATTTTTTTTTTTTTTTTTTTGAGACGCAGTCTCACTCTGTAGCCCAGGCTGGAGTGCAGTGGCGATCTCGGCTCACTGCAAGCTCCACCTCCTGGGTTCACGCCATTCTCCTGCCTCAGCCTCCCAAGTATCTGGGACTACAGGCACCTGCCATCACGCCTGGCTAATTTTTGTATTTTTAGTAGAGACAGGGTTTCACCATGTTAGCCAGGATGGTCTCTATCTCCTGGTAAGGTGATTTTTCAACACACCTACTGATATGGTAAGGTGATTTTTCCATTTGCATGTACCTAATTTATATTTTCATTTTCCATCTCATAACAACTGAATTGTTTTCTGGGAGAAATTTAGTTAGAATATTGAATCGTGTTGTGAAAGGCCACTCTCTTAGTCCATTTTGTGCTGCTATAAGAGAATACTTGAGACCGGGCAATTTATAATGAACATAAATGTATTGGTTCACAGTTCTGGAGGCTGGAAAGTTCAGGATCAAGGAACCAGCATCTTTCAAGGGCCTTCTTGCTTAGTCATCACAGGATGGAAGGGGGAAGGGGAAATGTGCAAGAGCAAAACCACTCCCCAAAGCCCATTTTATTGCAGCATTACTCCATTCAGGAGGGCACAGCCCTCATGATCTAAACACCTCCCACTAAGCCCTACCTCCCAACACTGTTGCATTGGGAATTAAGTTTCAACATGAGTTTTGGAGGGGACAAAAACATTTAAACCATAGTAACCACTAACCCAAAACCTCCACATTGCATAAATACAGATTCCCAGACACCAAACCTACAGATTCTGATTCATTATTTCTAGGCGGGGACTGGAAATCTGCACTTGTGACAAGCCCCATAAGTGATTCTGTTGCCGTGGCCCTAAACCATTCTTTGAGAAACACTAGGAAGTAAGGATTTTTTAAAACAATCCAGAGAGCAGAATTTTGTTTTTGGAGGAAACAACTAAAATTTTATTTCTCTCTGTGGAAAAGGTTGGTTGATCTCGTTGAGGGGTGATGCCACAGGGGGAGAGGAGTGGTCATCACTGGCTTCTGTATATGTTAGGAATTTCAGCAGTGAAAGTTCTTTTTTTTTTTTTTTGAGATGCTCTGTTGCCCAGGCTAGAGTTCAGTGGCACGATCTAGGCTCACTGTGACGTCTATCTCCCGGGTTCATGTAATTCTCTTGCCTCAGCTTCCCCAGTGGCTGGGATTACAGGCGTGTGCTACCACGCCCAGCTAATTTTTTTTTTTTTTTTTTTTTTTGAGATGGAGTTTCTCTCTTGTTGCCCAGGCCGGAGGGCAATAACACGATCTCAGCTCACCACAACCTTTGCCTCCCAGGTTCAAGCGATTCTCCTGCCTCAGCCTTCCGAGTAGCTGGGATTACAGGTGTATGCCACCACGCCTGGCTAATTTTGTATTTTTAGTAGGGACAGGGTTTCTCCATGTTGGTCAGGCTGGTCTCGAACACCCAACCTCAGGTGATCCACCCGCCTCGGCCTTCCAAAGTGCTGGGATTACAGGCGTGAGCCACTGTGCCTGACCATATTTTTGGATTTTTAGTAGAGACAGGGTTTCACCATGTTGGCCAGGCTGGTCTCAAACTCCTGACCTCAAGTGATCCACCCACCTCAGCCTCTCAAAGTTCTGGGATTACAGGTGTGAGTCACCGTGCTCGGCTAGCAGTGAAAGTTCTAACATATACAGTCTAACCTTCTGTCAGGTTAGACTATCAGTAGTGCAGTAGCTATAACAATTCATGCTGTTGGATTCATGTATAGTGTCCATCTTTGCCACCATGACTACCGTGTTCATCAACTTATTATGCCAACACTAGGGCAGCTGAGGGAAGAAGGTGGCTGAGAATAACTGGAAAAGCCATTCTGTTTCATTGCTTGATGAGTGCCTCCCCCATAGGAAATGCTGTCTGCTGGGTGTTAACATATGTTACAAAGATGTTCACATTCCATTCCCGCTGCCTTAGTACACTTGCCACGCATCTCTTCCCCAGACACCTTCATCCCTGATCTTCCAATCTTCCTCCTTTCAAGTCCCTGACCAACTGGCCAAGTTACTTACGCTGACCATGAGTCTTCTGTATGACCTTGCCTCAGGCCCCTTCTCTGCCTTCACAAAGTGGATGAACAGATGCCCTGTGTGCTGCTCTGTCATTAGGAGGACACTCCTTCACTGCTGTCCCTGAGGTCTACCCTTAAGTGAAGCTGTAGCACAGCAGCTGCCCATTTTTGTCTGATACCTACGTACCAACGGACCCATCCACGAACCAGGCTTAGCCTTTTTCTCCTCTGTCAGCTGGTCATAGGAATCCTCCACGTATTCTGCGCCAGGCAGACTCTAGAGTGGCTCCCATGGTCCCTACCTCCAGGTGTTCACACTTGTGGATAATCACCTCCCCTTCGGTGCTGGTGGAGTGGAGAAGAGGGTGAAATGATGGGGGATGAGGGGAGATATGTGCTGTCTTACAAGGCAGAAGCTTGTACATATATCCTTAAGAGAGGAGCATCAGCACTTAACAGAGAGGAATGGGCTACTTCTGTAGATCAATAGCATTCAGAGGAATCTGGAAATTTAAGATTTTCAAATGCATTGACCCAGATGGCCCCATTTCAAGTCTCAGCGTCTCAGTTTTTTTTTTTTTTTTTCCCAACAGGGTCCTGAACTTGGTGTGGTAGATTTACTGGAGTTGAGAATTTAACCTTCTCTCAAACCCTGCCACTAATATAATTGATTTTTGGGGTCTGGCTCACAGATTGTTTTCCCCTCTGGCTGCAGGATATGTGAATAATTTTATATGCTGCCAAATAGACCTTCTGGCTTTTTTTTTTTTTTTTTTTTTTTTTTTTTTTTTTTTTGAGATGGAGTTTTTCTCTTGTCGCCCAGGCTGGAGTGCAATGGCATGATCTCGACTCACTACATCCTCCGCCTCCCAGGTTCTGGTGATTCTCGTGCCTCAGCCTCCTGAGTAGCTGGGATTATAGGCGCACGCCACCACACCCGGCTAATTTTTGTATTTTTAGTAGAGACAGGGTTTTGCCATGTTGGCCAGGGTGGTCTCAAACTCCTGACCTCAGGTGATCTGCCCACCTCAGCCTCCCAAAGTGCTGGGATTACAAGCGTAAGCCACTGCTCCCGGCCAGACCCTCTGGCTTTCATCCTTGGTCTCACTGGCAATTGGTGACACTCGACCCTTCATTATCTTTAAGGAATTAGTAACATCCCCCCCAGCCATGTCCACCCAATTCCAAAGTTCTTATAATTACTCTTTCTTACAACCCCTGAGATATTACATCTGCTATGCATTTCCTTCTCCTGGCACCCCATTCCAGTTTGCCACTGATGAACATTTTAACAATTGCCATAGGATGCCGGGGGCCGTGGGAGCTCCACCACCACCAGTGATGGGGTTTCTGTTACCAACAGGTTGGGAGGGGATACAGCTTCAAAATCCCGTCTCAGAGCCTTTTTCAAGGACCCCTTCTGGGTTGGATTCCTTAGGAAACAGATTTTGCGATTTGCCTGCAGGCTTTTAATGGTGTGGTACTCTAAGAATCAACACATGAGAGGGATGAGGGAGGCAGGACTGGGCAGAAGTTGTATTGTGATGCAGGTGCAACGAAGATCTGGAGCTTGAATAACGCATAAGAACTGTGCCACCTTAAGACAAAGGGCTAAACCTTTATACCCCTCTGTCGTTGTCCATTTTGTCGCTATAACAGACTGTCAGGCCGGGTAATTTATTAAGAAAAGAGATTTCTTGCTCCCTCTCCCTCTCTCTCTCCCTCTCCATCTCCCTCTCCCTCTCCCCACGGTCTCCCTCTCCCTCTCTTTCCACGGTCTCCCTCTGATGCCGAGCTGAAGCTGGACTGTACTGCTGCCATCTCGGCTCACTGCAACCTCCCTGCCTGATTCTCCTGCCTCAGCTTGCCGAGTGCCTGCGATTGTAGGCGCACGCCACCACGCCTGACTGGTTTTCGTATTTTTTTGGTGGAGACGGGGTTTCGCTGTGTTGGCCGGGCTGGTCTCCAGCTCCTAACCGCGAGTGATCCACCAGCCTCGGTCTCCTGAGGTGCTGGGATGGCAGATGGAGTCTCGTTCACTCAGTGCTCAATGGTGCCCAGACTGGAGTACAGTGGCGTGATCTCGGCTCGCTACAACCTCCACCTCCCAGCCACCTGCCTTGGCCTCCCAAAGTGCCGAGATTGCAGCTTCTGCCTGGCTGCCACCCCGTCTGGGAAGTGAGGAGCGTCTCTGCCTGGCCGCCCATCGTCTGGGATGTGAGGAGCCCCTCTGCCTGGCTGCCCAGTCTGGGAAGTGAGGAGCGTCTCTGCCCAGCCGCCATCCCATCTAGGAAGGGAGGAGCGTCTCTGCCCAGCTGCCCATCGTCTGAGATGTGGGGAGCGCCTCTGCCCCGCCGCCCCGTCTGGGATGTGAGGAGCGCCTCTGCCCGGCCGCGACCCTGTCTGGGAGGTGAGGAGCGTCTCCACCTGGCAGCCACCCCGTCCGGGAGGGAGGTGGGGGTCAGCCCCCACCAGGCCAGCCGCCCCGTCCGGGAGGGAGGTGGGGGGGTCAGCCCCCCGCCCGGCCAGCCGCCCCGTCTGGGAGGGAGGTGGGGGGGTCAGCCCCCCACCCGGCCAGCCGCCCCGTCCGGGAGGTGAGGGGCGCCTCTGCCCGGCCGCCCCTACTGGGAAGTGAGGAGCCCCTCTGCCCGGCCAGCCGCCCTGTCCGGGAGGGAGGTTGGGGTGGGGGGGTCAGCCCTCCGCCCGGCCTGCCGCCCCGTCCGGGAGGTGAGGGGCGCCTCTGCCCGGCCACCCCTACTGGGAAGTGAGGAGCCCCTCTGCCCGGCCACCACCCCGTCTGGGAGGTGTGCCCAGCGGCTCATTGAGAACGGGCCATGATGACAGTGGCGGTTTTGTGGAATAGAAAGGGGGAAAAGGTGGGGAAAAGATTGAGAAATCAGATGGTTGCCGTGTCTGTCTAGAAAGAAGTAGACATGGGAGACTTTTCATTTTGTTCTGTACTAAGAAAAATTCTTCTGCCTTGGGATCCTGTTGATCTGTGACCTTACCCCCAACCCTGTGCTCTCTGAAACATGTGCTGTATCCACTCAGGGTTGAATGGATTAAGGGCGGTGCAAGATGTGCTTTGTTAGACAGATGCTTGAAGGCAGCATGCTCGTTAAGAGTCATCACCACTCCCTAATCTCAAGTACCCAGGGACACAAACACTGCGGAAGGCCGCAGGGTCCTCTGCCTAGGAAAACCAGAGACCTTTGTTCACTTGTTTATCTGCTGACCTTCCCTCCACTATTGTCCTATGACCCTGCCAAATCCCCCTCTGCGAGAAACACCCAAGAATGATCAATAAAAAATGAAAAAAAAAAGAAAAAAAAGAAAAGAGATTTCTTTAGCTCACAATTCTGGTAGCTGCAAAGTCCAAGAGCATGGCGCCAGGCTGTTCAGCTTCTGGTGAGGGCCTCATGCTGCCTTATGACATGGAGGAGAAGCAGAAAGGTGAGCAGGCACGTGCTGAGTGAGGGGACCAAGGAGGCTGACCCACTTCATAACAACTTGCTCTCTCAGGAGCTAATCCATTTCCATAAGAACGAATACAATCTCCCAGGAACAAGAACTCACTCACTATCTTGAGAATGACACCAGTCTATTCATGAGGGATCCACCCCAGTGAGCCAAACACCTCACACTAGGCCCCACCTCCACACTGGCAATTAAACTTCAACATGAGTTTGGGCGGGAACAAACCACATCCAAACTGTAGCATCCTCCTAGACTAGCCCTTGGAGGTGGGCTGCCTCCACAAAAGGAATGCAATTTTTGATAAAGTGGTTTTGTTGGCTGAAGACAGTTGCTGGACAGGGACTCATTCAAGAGTTGGCCAGCAACCCTCCCAGCAGCTGGGGGAGTGAGTATCTCAGTCCTGAAAGGTAGCATACCAGAGCATCCACTACACCTGCATTTTCTGATTTTTTTTTCTATTTATTTGTTATTTTTCTAGAGATGGGGTCTCAGCTGTGTTGCCCAGACTGGTCTCAAACTCCTGGGCTCAAGTGATCTTCTCACCTTGGCCTATCAAAGTGCTAGGGTTATAGGCATGAACTACTGCACTCAGCCTGCATTTTCTGATTTCAAAATGACACTATCATCCACTATCTGATCTTTTCCACTCCTGACAGCTCTCTTTTTTCATTTGCTACCCAAGTCTTTTCCTTTCCTAGTGACCTTATAAAATATCATCCAGGCCAGGCACAGTGGCTCACGCCTGTAATCCCAGCACTTTAGGAGGCTGAGGCGGGAGAATCACTTGAGGTCAGGAGTTTGAGACCAGCCTGAACAACGTGGTAAAACCCTGTCTCCACTAAAAATACAAAAGTTAGCCACGTTTGGCAGCATGTGTCTGTAATCAAGTGGCTGAGGCACGAGAATCACTTGAATCCAAAAGGTGGAGGTTGCAGTGACCTGAGTTAGTGCCACCGCACTCCAGCCTAAGCAACAGGGTGAGACTGTGTCTCAAAAAATTTAAAAAAAAACATAATCCAGGGCCAGAGGCAGTGGCTAACACCTGTATTCCCAGCACTTTGGGAGGCTGAGGTGGGAGGATCCCTTGAGCCAAGGAGTTCAAGACTAAACATAGGGAGATCTCGTGCTCTCTCTCTCTCTCTTTCTCTCTCTCTCTCTCTCTCTATATATATATATACACACACACACACACACACACACACACACACACACATCATGCAGGTACAGTTTTGTATCATCTGTTTCAAAGGGCAACGCACTAAATAAAGCTGTACTCAACTTTTGAAAGCCCTCTTTTAAGATTAAAAAACTTCACAGGGTCCAGGCACGGTGGCTCACACCTGTAATCCCAGCACTTTGGGAGGCCAAGGTGGGTGGATGCCGAGGTGGGCAATCACGAGGTCAGGAGTTCGAGACCAGCCTGGCAAACATGGTGAAACCCCATCTCTAAAAAAAAAAATACAAAAATTAGCTGGGTGCAGTGGTGCACACCTGTAGTCCCAGCTACTTGGGAGGCTGAGGCAGGAGAATCACTTGAACCTGGGAAGCGGAGGTTGCAGTGAGCCAAGATTGAGCCATTGCACTCCAGCCTGGGTGACAGAGTGAGACTCCGTCTCAAAAAAGAAAAAACAGAAATAAAACAAAACAAAAAAACTTTACAAATCTCCACATAATAGTATCATAGTAGTAACTGAATGAATGCCCATTACAATAAATAATAAAAGCTATTATAAACTTGTTAAACTGGTTTAATCATGTGAACACCCACATATGTATGACACAAAAAAAGATAAGTATTTATATAAGGACATTTCTTGTTCTGGTGAGAGAGACAATGCTTGGTGTGCACACAAGTTCTTCAACTACCTGGATTAGGATGCTGCCTATAATTGTGTACAATAACGGAGTAGTCAGCTGAGGGGCAAGTGGAGATAGAAATCCAGCCCAATCTCTTATCACCAAGTTTTTCATCCCACCAAGGGCTGAATGTACCTGCAGAAAGGTGGCATTTTTTTAAAATCAATTGCCAAAACAAGATACCACTCAGGTCTCTCTTTTCTATTTAACATTAAGGCACCTCTATGCCAGCCCTGAACCTGCCCAGTGACTGATCACAAGCTTTGAGTCTGGAGTCAGTCCAAGATGTGGATTATGGCTTTGCCACTTACTTGCTATTAACCTTTGTTGTAGTCTGAATGTTTGTCCCCACACCCCCAAATTATAGTTATTGAAATTATAACTCCCAAGGTGATGGTATCAGGAGGTGGGGCCTTTGGGAGGTGACTGGTTCAATAGAGTGGAACCCTCATGAATGGGAGAAATGCCTTCATAAAGGAGATGGCTGGAGAAAACTAGTTAGCCCTTTCCACCAAGTGAGGTTACAGCAGTAAGACAGCTGTCAATGAGGGAGTGAACCCTCACCAGCCACTGAATCTTATGGTGCCTTGATCTTGGACTTCCCAGCCACTAAAACTGTGAGAAATAAATTTATGATGTTTATAAGCCACCCAATCTATGGCTTATAAACATAGCAGCCAAAATGGACAAAGACCACTTATCCATCAGCTTGTCTGTTTTTTTGTTTGTTTGTTTTTGAGACGGAGTCTCGCTCTGTCACCAGGCTGGAATGCAATGGCGTGATCTCAGCTCACTGCAACCTCCACCTACCGTGTTCAAGCGATTCTCCTGCCTCAGCCTCCCAAGTAGGTGGGATTACAGGCACCTGCCATCATACCTGGCTAATTTTTGTATTTTTGTAGAGATGGAGTTTAACCATGTTGGCCAGGCTGGTCTTGAACTCCCGACCTCAGGTGATCCGCCCACCTCGGCCTCCCAAAGTGCTGTGATTACAGGCATGAGCCACCGTGCCCAGCCCAACTTGTCTGTTAAATGAGATCATAACATCCCCCTCTCTGTGGTTGTGCTGTTCCTTCAGGTAGCAAATGGATACCATCTATTTTCATAGATCTTGTTTTATCAACTGTATTGTGGTATAATTTACATACAATAAAATATACAAGCATTAAGTATACAGTTTGATAAGTTATGGTAATGTAAACCGGTGACCAGATAGATAACCTGTGTGTTTTTTATACTGTCCAGAGATTGTATCAGACTCTGTGGAAATTACAAAGTAGCATAAAGCATCCTTACTTTGGTTAAACCCTTGATTGGGTTAGGCCTGGGATGTAAGTTCTCACAGCCCCCTACTTCCTCTGCATAACCACACATCACATTGTCTGTCACTCTCCTAGTCTGTAAAGCTACTTGAGGGCATCTCGAGCGTTTTCCCTGCTGTATCTGCAGGCATCTAACACAGTGCGTGGACATTCTGTAAGCATTTGTTGCAAGATAAATGAAAAAAACGTACAAAGTTAACAATGGATATCATGCTGAGTTTGTGCCAAACAAAACAGTCATTTGAAGAAGACCCGGAACAACCTTATGGGTTAGTAATTAGTAAAGACCAGTAGAGAAGGTGGCCTTTGAGAAGGGTCAGGTTTCAATAGGATTAAGGAGCATTTCAGAGCTAAACCAAGTACTTGGAAGAGATAAAAGCAGTGGGCTCAGGCACCAGCCTAGCCCACTGTGCATGAAGCTTGGTGGGGCTAAACATGATTATCAGTCCTTTAACTTTTATTGAACGCCTTCACTTCCAGATTTCTAAGTGGGGCTCAGGAATTATAATAGATGTCCACAGCTGCATGGTCTTCTCTCTCCACAACACGCAGACACTATTAGAAGTAAAAGCCACGTGTCCTCAAGAGGGCAAGGCAAAGCATCTTCAGATGTCTCTGCCCTTAAAGCACACGCGTTCTGCTCTGCGACGAAGCAGGACAAGGAGGACAGGGACCTGCACCTCCGGAGGCCCGCACCTACGAAGATAGCGGGCTCGGGACCTTCGGTGGACCGGCAGGGTTCCAGAGGCCCGCGCGCCGCCGCCCCGCCCTCATTGCTGAGCCTGCCAGGTAAGCAGCCCCAGCGCCGTGCCCGCGCGACCTCTACTCCTTCCGGGAGGGTCGCGCTCACGTCTGAAGTGGGAGCAATGCACCGGGACAGGGACACCTCCTAGGCCATGCCTGTTCCAGTCCAGTTCTGCCTGAAAGTCCGGCTGGCTCATCACCTGCCTAAATAAAACCGTATACGGGCAAACTCCCTCCGCAAGCAGCGCGCCCCAGCACCGGAAGTGACGCGTTACGTGCCCGCGTATTCCTACCGGCGTATTCCCGCCCTGCTTTTCGCCCGCCGTTCCGTGGCGGGAACTGAGGCGACTGTGGGGACATCAGTGATCGTAAGTCTCCTGGGCCCGTTATTCTCAGATTAGGTGACGGAGCTAAGACTTCGAGACCATCTCGTCCTTTTTGTATCGCGGAAACCTGAGGAACGAGCCGGCGGCGGTGACCTGCACGAGAAGCCAGGCTAACTGGTAACCTGCTGGAGGAACTGCAAGCCCGCTTCGCCTTCCCCACTCCTGCCCTTGATGCCCCTTGTGAGGTCTTCCACCTCCTTCGGGGCCCCAGCCTAGTGGCCCTTTCATGCCCTGGCCGCGCCCTTTGGTGAAATGGTGGTTCCGGACAGCATCTTGCAGGCCCCGGCTTTGGGCTGTATTAATGTTTAACAGCCCGAGGCAGGGATGGACTAATCCAGTAACGTTATAAAAACCTTGGCTGCTAACAGATATTAAAAATTTATTTTATTGAGCATATCCCCATATGCCAAGCAAGGAACTATGTATTTGCATACATTCTTTTATTTAACTCAGTTGTCCTGTGGAATAGGCCTTAGCTCCTTTAACAGAAAAGGAAACCGGGTATCATAGATGGTAATTCATTCACCAAATATTACGGAGCATCTACCATGTACCAGGCACTGTTCTAGGCACCAGGGCATGTAGCAGTGAAAAAAATAGAATTAACCGGGGACTTTTCAGGCGAGCTAATGATGCTTTTTATCCCTGAAAACAGCCTGGAAGAATGTTTACCTGCATGTTAGAAATAGTTACCTTCTGGGTGGGATTTTGTATTACTTTTTTAAATCTCTCATGCTTTTATGCATTGTTTTGATTTCTTCAAGTGAGTGTGTTATGAGAAAAACAGCTGTTTCTATTTTAACAACAGAGTCCCCCACCTTCCCTTCCCCACAGAAAGTCTCTGAAGGTAGGTAAGCATTGACTCTGCCATGAAAATAGGTCCCTGGCCAGGCGAGATGGCTCACACCTGTAATCCCAGCACTTTGGGAGGCCGGGGCAGGAGGATTACTTGAGCCCAGGAGTTCCAGACCAGCCTAGGCAACATGGTGAAACCCTGTCTCTACCAAAAATTTAAAAAATTAGCCGGGGGTGGTGGCACGCACCTGTAGTCCTAGCTACTGGGGAGGCTGAAGTGGGAAGATGACAGGAGCCTGGGATGTCAAGGCTGCAGTGAACCATGATTCCGCCACTGCACTCCATCCTAGGCAAAAGAGTGAGACCCTGTCTCAAAAACAACAACAACAAAAAAAGGTCTTTGAGTTCTGACCCAAGGAAAGGAGTGAAGGTTCTCATTTGTGGTGCAAGCAGAGCACCTTTAATTGCCGAAGAGTCCATTTCAGGGTCTGAGCTAGAGCTAGGCCCATGACTGTGAAAGAAACCATGGAGGCCCATGTGGTTTGGTCATTAGCAACATCATATTTATCAATGCATTTGGAACTCATTAAACATTTTTGTGACATATGATCTTTGTTCTATAACTCCTGCACTAGAAATAGATTCTAAGTTCGTTAGGGACTTTGACCACTTTTCTGTTCTTGTAGCCCTCAGTACAGTGCATTCAGAGTGTCCTAGGTCATGGGGTGATGTCCTTTATTATGTAACATCTTTGCACAAGGCTAAGTTTATTTTCGGGCTGTACTTTCTCATAATGGTTCCCCACCACCACCCCCGCTTTCCTATGGTGCTGATTCGCAATAAAAGTTTCAATAAAAGCTTTTTTTTTCTGTCTTGCACCTGACCAGGGTGAAGTACCATGCAAGCATTTCTTAAAGGTACATCCATCAGTACTAAACCCCCGCTGACCAAGGATCGAGGAGTAGCTGCCAGTGCGGGAAGTAGCGGAGAGAACAAGAAAGCCAAACCCGTTCCCTGGGTGGAAAAATAGTAAGAACACTTGTGTCTTTGTTAAAATAATTCATAAATTATCTCTCTAACCAGTACTGATCACTTTTTTTTTTTTTTAACTTATGGAGGAATGCTTTGTTCTGTTTAGAAGTTGTCTTTGAAAAAAAATCACCCACTTATATAAGTCATAGAACCCTGGAACTAAAGTTACCTGAGAATAATCTAGTTTAACTCCCTTATTTTGTAGATAAACTGAGATCTCTACAAGCAGAGGCTTCCATTTTAGGGGCTGGGATACAGAAGTGAAGAAAACAAAAGTTTCTGTAAACTGGCTATAAATACTAGGTCAGGAGTTCTACTTAAATCCAAATATGTAATCTGTTCCTCCTTCTTCTCATTACAATAGGTGGAAAGTATTATTATTATTATTACTATTTTTGAGACGGAGTCTCACTCTGTTGCCCAGGCTGGCGTGCAGTGGCATGGTCTCGACTCACTGCAACCTCCACCTCCTGGGTTCAGGTGATTATCCTGCCTCAGCCTCCCAAATAGTAGGGATTACAGGTGCCCACCACCACACCTGGCTAATTTTTTGTATTTTTAGTAGAGACGGGGTTTCACCATGTTGGTCAGGTCGATCGCAAACTCCTGACCTCAAGTGATCCACCTGCCTTGGCTTCCCAAAGTGCTGGGATTACATGCATGAGCCACCGCGCCCAGCCCTGGAAATTCAGTTTTGGTTAGCTCATACATTTTTGTCCAAACAACACTTGAATTAGCATTTAAATTGTCAGTCACCACCTGGCATGGTGGCTCATGCCTATAATCCTGTATGTAATCCCAGCAATTTGGGAGGCCAAGGTGGGAGGATCACTTGAGGCCAGGAGTTCCAGACCAGCCTGGCCAACATGTCGAAACCCCCTCTTTACTGGGAAAAAAAAAAAAAAAAAATTAGCCAGGCATGTTGGCGGGCACCTGTAATCCCAGCTACTTGGGAGGCTGAGGCACGAGAATCACTTGAACCTGGGAGGCAGAAATTGCAGTGAGCTGAGATCACACCACTGCATTCCAGCCTGGGTGACAGAACGAGACTCTGTCTCAAATAAATAAATAAAATTGTCAGTCATCTAAGTGATATTACCACAAGTAATTGTAACTATTGGTTGAATGTAGCCTCGGTAATTACCAATGTTTACAGATTACTTATAGGCCGAGTAAGGCCCTCATATGTTTTTTGTGTTTTTGTTTTTTGCTTGCCTTTTTGTTTGTTTGTTTTTTTGGGACAGATTCTCACTTTGTCACCCAGGCTGGAGTGCAGTGGCGCAATGTCAGCTCACTGCAACCTCTGCCTCCCAGGTTCAAGTGATTCTCCTGCCTCAGCCTCCCGAGTAGCTGGGATTACAGACATGCCCCACCACACTCAGCTAATTTTTGTATTTTTAATAGAGACAAGGTTTCATCGTGTTGACCAGGCTGGTCTTCAACTCCTGATCTCAGGTGATCTGCCTGCCTTGGCCTCCCAAAGTGCTGGGATTACAGGCGTGAGTCACTGCGCCCAGCCCCTTATATGTTTTGTTTGGCACCAATAAACCTCATGAAAATCTAGATTTTTTTAATTATGTGGAGGAGGGTCTGGATTTTCAGCTTCTCAGGAGATCAGGCAACACTGGGGGCAGGTTCTCACATGACAGGAGTTATATGGACTTGTGTACTGCTTCTCCTTTTGGAAAGGTCGTGTGTTCCTCAATTTGCCATGGTCCCTACTATATCTTGCATCACACTCTGCCTTCCTCACTCTTGTTATCTGCTTAATCTCTGCAGGTATTTGAATATGAGTCCCTGCTTTATAACATATACTGGATTCCCAAGAGAAGACATTAAAAAAAAAAATCATAATTCCTACCTAGTGTTAACCTGATTTATCGAAAAGTATGGATCAAAGAACTTTTGATTAGTTAACTAAGCACAAAGCCTAAGCTTAGAGTTGGAAGTGTAACTTTGTTCTAGCTTCTCTTAAAAATCACTGTTGTAAGATGAAAATTATATATGATACTTCATATTGGTTCAGCTTGTTGTTTTTGTTAGCCCTCAATGAATTGAATAGGTCTTCATTTTTTTATGCAGTTAGATGATGGAAAAAATTGGCATTAACCAGTTAACACATACTAAGTATATATGTAACTACATTAACCAAAATAGTTACCTATACTAAGGTTACTAAATGGTTTTCCCTTTTCATCTTAAGATTCATGATCTTATTTTGTCAAAGTGGAACAATGCTTTTTTTTTTTCTTTTGAGACAGAGTCTTGCTCTGTCGCCCAGGCTGAAGTGCAGTGGTGCGATCTTGGCTCACTGCAACTTCTGCCTCCTGGGTTCAAATGGGACTACAGGCATGTGCCACCACGCCCACCTAATTTTTTTTGTATTTTTAATACAGACGGGGTTTCACCATGTTGACCAGGCTGGTCTCAAACTCCTGATCTCAGGTGATCTGCCTCCCAAAGTGCTGGGATTACAGGCGTGAGCCACCGCATCCGGCCAATAATAATGCTTTCTAAGCAGGTGTTCACTTTAATTTTTTTTTTTTTTTTTTTTTTGAGATAAAGTTTCGCTCTTGTGACCCAGGTTGGAGTGCAATGATACGATCTCGGCTCACCACAACCTCTGCCTCCAGGGTTCAAGCGCTTCTCCTTCCTCAGCCTCCCGAGTAGCTGGCATTACAGGCATGCACCACCATGCCCGGCTAATTTTATATTTTTAGTAGAGACAGTGTTTCTCCGTGTTGGTCAGGCTGGTCTTGAACTCCTGACCTCAGGTGATCCACCTGCTTCAGCCTCCCTAAGTGTTGGGATTAGTGTGAGCCATCGCACCCAGCCCCACTTTAATTTCTTTTTTTTTTTTTTTTTTTTTGAGACAGAGTCTCCCTCTGTCACCCAGGCTGGAGTGCAGTGGTGCGATCTCAGCTCACTGCAAGCTCTGCCTCCCAGGTTCGTGCCGTTCTCCTGCCTCAGCCTCCCAAGTAGCTGGGACTACAGGCGCTCACCACCACGCCTGGCTAATTTTTTGTGTTTTTAGTAGAGACGGGGTTTCACTGTGTTAGCCAGGATGGTCTTAATCCCCCACTTTAATTTCTAATTAGTGTTTGTAGCATATAAAATAAAATCCTTTTTCTTTAATTTTTGTGGGTATAACAGATTCGAGCAATGCAGAAAGGAAGTAAAACATTATTTCACTCTTTCAGAATGTGTTTGGTTACGGTAAAAACAAGTGGGGTTTCCACCTATTTCCGATTATGAAAAAGTTTCTCATTTCATTGCTGATGTTTAAGAATGGTCATTGGTATTTTAGTAGAAGGAACACTTGAGAGTTTTCTGTGGCTACTATAATATACTAAATAACCTCTTTCCTCCTTCTCACCCCGCAAGTCGCCCAAAATGTGTGGATGAAGTTGCTTTCCAGGAAGAAGTGGTTGCAGTGCTGAAAAAATCTTTAGAAGGAGCAGATGTGAGTTGCAAATGGTGTTTAATGTCATTGGGATATTTAAGACTTAATTTATTCACCCTCTTTCTTCCTTTATAACTTCTAGCCCTCGTTAAATATCTTGCTCTGTGTACAGTAGGTCCTTGATAACTATTTGTACAATGATAATTAGTTCAAATATTTATTGAGCATCTCCTATTTAATCTTACATAGCAGTGTTACCTAGTATTCAAGTAAAAGTCATAGTAATTAAGACAAACTATGAAACATAGACATAGAACAAGACATAAAACATAGAACAAGACAAACTATGCCCCTTTTTTCATGGGTTTTTATTGGTAAGGAAAGATAGAATAAACAAGTAAACCAATAAATAATTATAGGTAGTAATATGTGCTATAAAGAAGAGCCAGAGATTCCTCTAAAGTATAATTGCTTACTAACTTTAGGATTTGGATTGACCTATAATACAAAAAAAAAATCGAGCTTTGAATTCTGCTTATAGCTCTCTCTTCTGCTGTGATCTGGGGGATAAAGTATCCATGGATAACTTGCATTGTAAATTATTCTGAGATAAGATAAACCCATGTGAAAAATTAGCAACTTAAAGTTGTGTTATGATGAATGCCCAAAGTGCTTTAACAGCTCAGTAAAGTGCTGAAGTGGGATGTGGTTTTTGCTTTAGTTTCAAGATTTGCTTCCTTCCTCTCAATCTGGCTGCTTTTAATTAGAAGTTCTTTTGGGTTTTGCTGCCATCATTCCCTTGCTGAAATTATATTACTACAGTACACATTTTGAAAGAAGTTAAATTTATAAAACTATTTAGAATCTTTTTCTTTACCAGTATGTGTTTTGATTTGACTCGCATACTCTTATACCTTTTTGGCCGGCCACAGTGGCTCACGCCTGTAATCCTAGCGTTTCGGGAGGCTGAGATGGGAAGATCACTTGAGGTCAGGAGTTCAAGACCAGCCTGGCCAACATGGTGAAACCCCATCTCTACCAAAAATTAGAAAAAGTAGCCAGGCGTGGTGGCACACACCTGTAGTCCCAGCTACTCAGGAGGCTAAAGCGGGAGAATCATTTGAACCTGGGAGGCGGAGGGGTTGCAGTGAGCCAAGATTGTGCCACTGTACTCCAGCCTGGGTGACAGAGTGAGACTCTGGTCTCAAAAATAAATAAATAAATAAGTAATAAAAAATAAATAACACAAATACTCTTATACCTTTTAATTTTATAATAGTATAGCATTTTATTTTTTGGTATATTCTGCTTGCATATCTTGGTAACAGTATATACCATTTTAATTGCAGTTGCATAGTAATTACACAGATTGCAGGACAATATCTAATTTAATTACTAGTATCTTCAGCAAATGTAGTGAGATTAAGATCCAGTTCTTTTGTTTTTTTGTTTTTTTTTGTAATTGAGACAGAGTCTTGCTCTGTCACGCAGGCTGGAGTGCAGTGGCGTGATACCAGCTCACTGCAACCTCCGCCTCCCAGGCTCAAGTGATCCTCCCACCTCAGCCTCCCAAGTAGCTGGGACTACAGGCATGCACCACCACACACAGCTCATTTTTGTATTTTTAGTAGAGATGGTGTTTAGCCATGTCAAGTGACCTGCCCGCTTTGGCCACCTAAAATGCTGGGATTACAGGCATGAGCCATCATGCCCAGCCTAAGATCTAGTTCTTGACTTTATGCCACGTAATTTATGAGGCTGAAGTAAGAACTTCAGTTTAATATTTTGTGCACCTTTTCAGACTAAGTTTTGTAAAGAGGTGAAATAGTTTTTTTAATTCAAAAGAGTAAAGGAAAACAATTCATTCAATTTATTTTGAAAGGTTTTAAAGAATTATAAGAAGATAATTTTTTCAGAAATTGATTTTAAGAACTGGTATTCCACATACAGTTCTTGAATGTACTACATATATTAGACTAGTGTATAATTAAGGTTTAATAATTTTACCCTGTTTCAAAGAATTTAAATTATTGTATCTGATAGTTAACCTGGATGAATCGTTACATTGTTAAGGGATGCACAGATCAAAATAATAGTTGTAGACCTTAATTACTAAGAAGCCTGGGAGGTTTTTAAGTTATGAATCTCATAGTTTGTTCTGTAAGCTATATGTTATGAATGTAACAGTAATAGTCTTCTAATTAACATATTTGTCTATGTATTGGTTTATTCATTCATTTGGCCAACATTGACTACTGTAGTAGATGCTAGAATACAGATGTGAATAGAACAAATAAGGTTCTTGGTCTTTTAATGAAGTAGACAGGCATTTTACAATTAAGCCCCACAGTGAAATAACAATAAACCAATGCAAAATGCAACAAACACTAATGAGAGAATAGGAGAGGAGACCTACTTTAGACTGAATGGTTTCTGATTTGTAATGCATTAGGAGTTGGCCAGGCAGAAAGAAGAGGATCAGACTCCAGGTCATGGGAGCAACATATGTTCGGGCCAGAAAGTGCCAAGCTGTTAGAAGCCATTGTAAGCTAGAGCCTGGAAGGTGAAGGAGGTGGTAGGCAGATCATGGAAGTCCTTTAGGCCATGGTAAAAAGCTGAGGGTTTTTTGGTTTGTTTTTGTTTTTCTAAGTGGAATAGTTTTAAGTAGCAAGCAGAGTGGTATCTGATTTAGGTGAAGAATGAATGGACAGGAAGAGGGAGGGTTAGGCAAGAGTGGAAACAAACTCTAATGCCTAGTTTCCTGTGTACACTGATTTCCTTATGTGACAGGACATACTGAAGATTGCACAGTATCATAACAGAGCTCATTAGAATTTAGTTGACTTATTAATTTTCACCACGGATCAGTCGACTGCTTGATAGGAGCCAAACTAGCTAGATACAAGGTATAAAAGAAGGTAGCTAGTGATTTAATTTTATCCTTTCCTCTTCTAATGAATTCTCCCTGATACATGCAAGCATCCTTACAGAGTGCATAATCATGATGTGGAGCAGTGCCTAGTACTTAATATATATCTAGTTTTGGATTTTTTGTTAATATTTCTGTTCTTGGTACTTCTGCTCATCCAAAGCCCTAATTATGTCTTTTTTAGTCCTTTTTCCTCAGTTTTGGCCAAATCCCATTACTCTTTTGGTCTGCTTCCCCTTTGAAGCAGCTGACATTTTGTGTAATATAAAATCTTACCTAATCTTGAGCATAGAGGTGGGATAGGAAACTGAGATTCCCTTTAGAAATAAAAGGTTTCTCATTCCAGCTTTGAAAATTTCACCTAAGTGGATTAGCTATAGAGCAAGCATAAATATTGGTTCAGCTTAAGAGATTAAAAAGACACTTGGGGAAAAAAGTGGTAGTATATGAAAAAGCAGGATTTAAATCTGTCAGTACTATGATATCAGTTATATTAAGAAAACTTTATACTTAGAAATTACGTGCCCTATTAGAGAAGTCATTGCACTATTCCACAGACATTTTTTTCGATCTTCCTTTTCATCTATTTGTGCCAGAATACCATTTATTAAAAATAAAATTTAATTTCTACAGCTTCCTAATCTCTTGTTTTACGGACCACCTGGAACTGGAAAAACATCCACTATTTTGGCAGCAGCTAGAGAACTCTTTGGGTACGTTGAAATCAGTCTGTTTTTCTTTTTTTAAAGATTTGACACCAAAATTCTCTGATATTGCTTTTTTTCCTCTAAAAATTTGCGTTTCGTTTTCTGTAGGATAGTTTTCTATTTCTGATTTTTAAAAATCCCATGAGCCATTTTGTTCCTCCCTCACTCCCCTGAAGAAATCAGCTTGCCTGCGTCTTTTGTGACCTTCATTGTGAATCTTGTTCAAGTGTGGGGAGCCTATGATTTTTTCCATCACTTTCTTTAAATTTTCCATTATAACTTTGGAGTCCAGAGGGCCCAACTTAATGTCCAGTTGTGCTGATAGTTTTATCACCCTCTTAATGATTGTGTTCACATCTGTGTGGCTACATGATAGAATCTGCTGTTTCTGATGGCACTATTTGCACCATCCATTCTTGAGTCCTGCTCTGGACTTCCTAGGCTCTGACTCTGGAGTGGCCAGTCCAGCTCCTTGCCTCAGGTCTCCTGAGCACAAGTGATGGTTGATGTAGTGTGATTCCAGGTACACCAGAAAATCTTCCTGTGAGTCACCTTCTTATGTTCCTCTTCCTAGATTGACCATCTTGGCTTAACCAGCCATTCTAGAGGAGCCCTTTACCTAGAGTTAAAAGATGTGTAGTGGGCTGGGTCTGATATACATGAAACATGCACCAACATAACAAAGGCTGTTTTGAGTTTATCCAGAATTAATATCAGACATACAACTGATAGAAATATCTGAAATCCTACATATGAAAATAGGCTGGGTGTGGTGGCTCACATCTGTAATCCCAGCACTTTGGGAGGCCGAGGCAGGTGGATCACCTGGGGTGAGGAGTTCGAAACCAGCCTGGCCAACATGGTGAAACCCCATCTCTACTAAAAATACAAAAATTTGCCAGGCATGGTGGCATGCACCTGTAGTCCCAGCTACTCGGCAGGCTGAGGCAGGAGAATCACTTGAACCTGGGAGGCAGAGGTTGCAGTGAGCCGAGATCACGCCACTGCACTCCAGCCTGGGTGACAGAGCGAGACTCCGTCTCAAAAAAAAAAAGACGCCACTGAAATCACCAAATGTGTAAGGATTATTAGTTATGTCAAAATGTAAAAGACAAAGGGAGAAGCTGCTATGTGCCTAATATTTTATTTGACAGCAATTTTTTATTCTCAGTAAAATTATAGAAGAACTTTTTTGATTATTCCACAACTCAATCAGATAGAACCAATCTGAATCAGCCTTAACAGTTGTTTATTATTACTTAGAGTAGGTCAGTCCAGATTATACAACTTTTTCTATATCCTTTATGAAATAATGTTTGTCTTTAAAGAACTTACTTTAACAGTGAATTTCATATTTAATATTGTGGCTTTAAAATAGAAAATAGATGCATGTAAATGTTTATGTCCATAAACATGCTTAGGATACCATGCTGATTAGGAAAAATAGAGATGAAACTAAATCACAACTCTTGTTTTTTATTTAAATGTGTGTGTGTGTGTGTGTGTGTGTGTGTAAAAGACTAGAGGGAAGTTTCAAAAACAGTGCTTTGACAGTGTGCCCACTTTTTTCTTTTGATTTCTCAAATTTCTCTACAGTAAGCATATATTACTTTTAGTAATTTTTATTAAAACTCACTTTAAAAACCTGCTCATGTTTTAATCCATTAATTTTCCTTAATCCAGTAGGTTTCCTTATAGCAAACTACCCTGTGGAATTTATTTATTTATTTGTTTATTTATTTATTTTTGAGACAGTGTCTCGCTCTATTGCCCAGGCTGGAGTGCAGTGGTGCGATCTCGGCTCACTGCAACCTCCACATCCCGGGTTCAAGCAATCCTCCTGCCTCAGCCTCCTGAGTAGCTGGCACTACAGGTGCCTGTAACCACGCCCAGCTAATTTTTGTATTTTTAGTAGAGACAGGGTTTCACCACGTTGGTCAGGCTGGTCTCGAACTCCTGACCTCGTGATCCACCCGCCTCGGCCTCCCAAAGTGCTGGGATTACAGGCATGAGCCACCACATCCGGCCGGAAATAATTTAAAATGTGCTATATTATAACATTATTTAAAATTACAGTATTTAAAACTATCTAGATGTCTAACAATAGAAGAATGTGAAGTAAATGATGGTACAGTCATAGGATGGAATATCATATGACTATTAAAATGTTATTTACAGTGGTTTTGATAATATGCCAAGATACTTATTATAAATGCAAAGTGGAAAATCGATTTAAAATTTTATATGTGGGGCCAGGTGTGGTGCCTCACACCTGTAATCCCAACATTTTGGGAGGCCAAGGTGGAAGGATCACCTGAGACCAGCCTGGCCACATAATGAGTCCCTGCCTCTACAAAAAGTAAACAAAATTAGCCAGGTGTGATGGCATGTGCCTATAGTCCCAGCTAGTTGGGAAGCTAAGGTGGGAGGATCATTTGAGCCCAGGAGTTCAAGGCTGCAGTGAGCCATCATCATGCCACTGTTCTCCAGCCTGAGTGACAGAGCAAGACCTTGTCTCCAAAAAAATAAAAAGAAAAGAAATTGTATATGTTATGTAATGTCTACATTTTTTTAAATGCATGGAAAAAAGCCAAAATGTTAACTGCAGCACTCTGCTGAAGCGAGAATGCAAAAGTGATTGTGTGCCTTCTATCCATGTTGTTTACTAGGTGGATTTTAAACGTCTGCAAAGTGTGCAAATGTTAAAATGTGATTTAAGCCTACTTGTGCTCTATGTTTCATATTTGTTTCATTTTGAGATAGGCCTGAACTTTTCCGATTAAGAGTTCTTGAGTTAAATGCATCTGATGAACGTGGAATACAAGTAGTTCGAGAGAAAGTGAAAAATTTTGCTCAATTAACTGTGTCAGGAAGTCGCTCAGAGTAAGTAAATTTGCCCTCCCTCCTCCATAGCATGTATTATTTTAAATATGTATTTCTGCCATCGCTCCTCAGCCTTTTGGCTAAGATCAAGTGTATTTCTGCCAAATTGTCAACTTTTCATGTTAGAAGACTATCCTGCCTGAGGTAAACAGGGATTTAATCAACTACTTATGCTCCTTAGGTGGCAAAGGTCCAGGATTACATTGGTGGTACCTAGACATATGTGTAAATTTTACATGAGCACATTTCAAAATTTGTGAAAGTGAATGACTAATTTTTGATATGCACCTTAAATTGATGGTGCAGTCAGTCACAACCGCTATAGCACCTAATGTATTTTTATGTGAAATGAAGACTGGGAGGTGGACTAAAAGACTCTGAGATCCCTTCTACCATTAATACTTGAAATCTGTTTTCTTGGTATAATTTTCATACAATTATGTTAATGCCACTTTTGGTGGGAGAAAAACTTTAATGGCAGATTACCAAAAATCAATGTACAGAAGGTAATAACCCGCAACGTGGGAGAAAATATTTACAAATCATATACCTAAAAAGGTACTTATATCTAGAACATATGAAGAACTTTAAAAACTCAGTAATAAAAACAAATAACCCAATTAAAAAATGGGCAAAGGCCGGGCGCAGTGGTTCACACCTGTAATCCCAGCACTTTGGGAGGCCGAGGCAGGTGGATCACAAGGTCAGGAGATCGAGACCATCCTGGCGAACATGGTGAAACCCCATCTCTACTAAAAATACAAAAAATTAGCTGGGTGTGGTGGCGGGCGCCTGTAGTCCCAGCTACTCGGGAGGCTGAGGCAGGAGTATGGCGTGAACCCAGGAGGCAGAGCTTGCAGTGAGCCAAGATCGCACCACTGCACTCCAGCCTGGGCGACAGAGCAAGACTCTATCTCAAAAAAAAAAAAAAGGCAAAGGATCTGCATAGACATTTCGTGCATGTGTAATAAGCACATTAAAAGATGCTCATCAACATCATTATCCATTTGGGAAATGAAAATCAAAGCCACATTGAAATACCACGTAACTCCCACTAGGATGGCTATGATAAAAAATACAGAAAATAACTAGCATTGACAAGGATGTGGAGAAATGGTAAACCGCATACATTGCTGGTTGGAATGTAAAATGGTACAGCCTCTTGGAAGACATGTCTGCTCAAAAACATGTACACAAATGTTCACAGCAGCATTATTCTTAATAGCCAAAACATGGAAACAGCCCAAATGTCCAACCGATTAATGGATGAATAAATGTGGTGTATCTATTTGCCATAGTATTTGACAATACAAAGGAATGACGCAAACACATGCTACAATATGGATGAACCTTTAAAATATGTTAAGTGGAAGAAGTCAGCCACAAAAGACTGCATATTATATGTTCCATTCATATCATGTCCAGAATAGGCAAATCTATAGAGATGAAAGTAGACTAATGATTGCCTAGAGCTGGGAATGACTGGGGGAAGAAGAGTGACTCCTAATAGGTACAAAGTTTCTTTTAGGAGTGATAAAAATGTTCTAAAATTAGATTGTGGTAATGGTTGCACAACTTTGTGAACATACAGAAAAACACTGAATTGTACATTTTAAATGGGTGAATTGTATGGTACGTGTATCTTTCAACAAAGCTGTTAAAACCAATATACATATTAATGTTCAACTCTTATGTGTTTCTCTGAATCAGTGGGAAGCCGTGTCCGCCTTTTAAGATTGTGATTCTGGATGAAGCAGATTCTATGACCTCAGCTGCTCAGGCAGCTTTAAGACGTACCATGGAGAAGGAGTCGAAAACCACCCGATTCTGTCTTATCTGTAACTATGTCAGTCGGTATGTATATTGCCCTGAAGACAGATGCTAGGCAGCCTTATTTTCATAACCCAATTAGGGAAAGGAAATTTAGGATTTTCAAGGCTACATTAATTTTTCCTCCATCAAATCTTGATTTGTTCTTGATAAAAATGAGTTCTTTTGGGGAAATTCTTTCTTTAGACACCAACTTGGTTTTTCTCATCTTCCACAGAATAATTGAACCCCTGACCTCTAGATGTTCAAAATTCCGCTTCAAGCCTCTGTCAGATAAAATTCAACAGCAGCGATTACTAGACATTGCCAAGAAGGAAAATGTCAAAATTAGTGATGAGGTAATTACTAATTATTACAATTATTAGAGTTACTAATTCCTTTGATGAATGCATATAAAGAGGCCCTGAAAGATTTAAATGTGTGTTGCCTCAATCCTGATGCCAGTTCTTCAGACAAACTTAAGCTAAAGGGGCAACAATTGAAATGTGTAGGAATTACAAGGTTTAGCTTTTCTATTACTTTTTGAGTTAATTATCTTTTAATATATCAGAGACCCGAAACTGAGGTGGATTTCATACATATAATGCAAATTCTGCAACATAAATCTCTGCATGATGACAAGATTTTAGTCTTCTAGCTAATACTTCAGTACTTCCCTAAAATTGATAGAAACATAAGGCCCTTATTCATTATAACAGAATTTAACCATAATTTGAATTTGCTTTACGTGAGCAAGAAAATGGGATAAATATGGAACATTTTTTCATCTCTGCAAATTTATTTCAGAAGCAAGAGATCTCTATCCTTCCATTGTACCCGGCCCCTAGACTGATCATATTTTCTCCCAAAACAGAAATGTTTTTTCTCATTAACTCTAGACTAAAACAGGGTTTTTCACTTTTATTAAACATTTTAAAATTAAAGTTATAAATCCTTAATTGGCCATCATAGGTTAAAAACAACTCTTTTCTCTTCAGGGAATAGCTTATCTTGTTAAAGTGTCAGAAGGAGACTTAAGAAAAGCCATTACATTTCTTCAAAGCGCTACTCGATTAACAGGTGGAAAGGAGATCACAGAGAAAGTGATTACAGACATTGCCGGGGTAAGAGTACTGGATATTCTGAATTTCTTTTTAGTTGGCTTTTTTGTGGCTTTTAGGAAATTTTCATCCAACAAATACTGGGTGTTTAGCAAGTGCCAAGTACTGCACTAGGAAGTATAAGGGAATAACCTGGGAGTATCAGAGTGTTTGAGGTGAGGAGATAGCACTGACTTTTCAGTTTGTCAGGCATGTAACAGACATTTCAGGAAAGAAAAGGACACTTTCAGTTGTTAGTTTTTTTGTTTTTTTTTTTTTGAGACAGAGTCTTGCTGTGTCGCCCAGGCTGGAGTGCAGTGACGCAATACCGACTCACTGCAACCTCCACCTCCCGCCTCACCCTCCCAATTAGCTGGGATTACAGGCACCTGCCACCATGCCCAGCTAATTTGTATATTTTTAGTAGAGACGGGGTTTCACGATGTTGGTTGACCAGGCTGGTATGGAACTCCTGACCTCAGGTGATCCGCCCCCCGCTTAGCCTTCCAAAGTGCTGGGATTATAGGTGGGAGCCACCGCACCCAGCCTTCAGTTTTTAGATTTTATAAGAGATGCCTTTGGCAGTTAAATCAATTTTAGCAGATGTTCTTATACATGAAAACTATTTTGCCAGTTGTATATAAACAAAAGGCATATCCAACTTACAGTAATCATTTATTAAAGAGAATGGAGTACCCCACTTGTCTTTGGATACTCCCATGTAAAAACTCACTTCAGAATCACTACTACTTAACAACTTTTGTTTCTGTGACATTTTTCACCTGCACGGTAGGCCTTCCATATGACAAGACTGGTACCACTAATCCTCTTTGTTTCTATGACGTTTTTCACCTTCACGGTAGGCCTTCCATATGACAAGACTGGTACCACTAATCCTCTTTAATTTTCTGGATATTGTGGACTTTTTAAACCAATCTCATTAGTGGCATCTTTACATGGAGACATTGAGAGAAAGGGCACTTCCCCTTTAAAGAAATCAGTCTTTTTGATTGATCTTGGCCACTGTTCTGAGGAATCGTTATAGCCGCTAGGGGAAAACTTAATCTTCATCCACTGACCAGAACAAGCTATAATCCATGTGTGCCCAAACTTGGAAGTTCACAAAGCCATTAAAGGGCTTTAAAAGCACAGTTGTTAGCACCTTGGTTGCTTAGTGGTGACTGGAGTTACTCTGGCCCTTTCCGTTCTCCCAAAGCCTTCCCAGGAAAGTATGGAACTTAGGTGTGGAACAGAAATGACTGGGGGCACGGGGGCCAGTTGGCAGAGTGTATGTCTAGTCTCACCTAGAAACATCTTTAATACCGAACATTCAATTACCTAGGTAATACCAGCTGAGAAAATTGATGGAGTATTTGCTGCCTGTCAGAGTGGCTCTTTTGACAAACTAGAAGCTGTGGTCAAGGTAAAGTCAGCTTACTAACTTTGGGGAAAGGAATATTAAGTCATCATACCAAAAGTTTTTTTTATTATAGGATTTAATAGATGAGGGTCATGCAGCAACTCAGCTCGTCAATCAACTCCATGATGTGGTTGTAGAAAATAACTTATCTGATAAACAGAAGTCTATTATCACAGAAAAACTTGCCGTAAGTAGGTACTTTGCACATGTCAATGGAACATTTAACTACCTGAAGGATGCTAATTTCTTAAATTTTTCTCGTAGGAAGTTGACAAATGCCTAGCAGATGGTGCTGATGAACATTTGCAACTCATCAGCCTTTGTGCAACTGTGATGCAGCAGTTATCTCAGAATTGTTAACGTGAATATATCTGGATGGGGGGTTTTGTAAATAATGAAGTTGTAATAAAAATAAAATGACCAAAAGCACCTTTAAAGTGAATATACAATTTATTTAACATTCAAACTTCATTAAGACATGTGCAATATGGCAATTTTACTGGGGATTAAACCCTACCTAGGATTGCTTGCTGGGGCTTAGCAACAGGGTCCAGTTCACACTTAGCACTAATTAAATACTTTATTGAATAAATACAATACCAAACAAAATGCATTCAAATGCTTTCTAAAAAAATTTTAAAGGCCTTTCTACTCAGGCTAATGACAAACACAATAAAGGCAGATATGCTAGTTTAACATAATTGGCTGATTTTATACAGCACTTATATCTTTTAGTCCACAAGTATATTATTAAATGATAGAGAACATCTAATACAACCATTTCTACAGAACTAGGAAATAAATTTCTAAGAAAGAAAGATTTTACAGACCCCATCTTTTATACCCACCCCAACAGTCTAACTCTAAAGAGGATAAAGCCAATGACTTTCCTCACAAGAGCTCACGACTAACGTCGCTTTGCTATCAAAATCTGTATTTCTGATCCGTTATGAGCATTGAGACAAGATTCAAATATTCCCAAAGAAAGAAGCACAATGCACGTTGTGATCGCCTATTCAGCAACAGCGAGCACTGCATCCAAAACTCTCATCCCAGGAATTAAATAAGGTCAGCCACATTCATGGGCATCTCCTCCACTGTAGTATTGTAGAAAGTCTCAATGTCACGAAGAATCCTCTTGTCTTCTTCAGTAACAAAGTTTATAGCCACACCTTTCCTCCCAAATCGACCCCCTCTGCCAATTCTGTGTAAGAAAAAGAATCAGAACGTTACTTCTCACATAATGTATAAACTACTGAACATGACGATCCACTTGTTAACCACCAGCTGCTGTTTACTTATCAAGGTTATAGTTCGTGCTTCTAACTGGAGCACTAGCTGCTAATGCATATCTAGAGAAAAAAATCTTCCTTTGCAGTTAGTGCCAAAAGGATTCAAGGCTTGTCTGGCTGCAAAATGAGATTTTTATCAGGCATCTTGAGCATTATTATAAAGCAGATGACAGTATCGTGTTTGGGGTAGTGAAATTAAAGCCCATACCAAAGTGGGCCAGCCAAGAGCAGGTGTCAGCCTGGGACAGATGTGAACACCAGGAATAAAAGAGCAGTTATGTAATCCATTTCGACGCACTTCTGGAACTGTAAACTGTAAACAAATGCTGCAAAGGTTAACTATTTTCTAAAACTTACTTTTTTCCAGTGGGAAAACAAATATTTGGTATGGTAACCCAAACTTATCACTGCTTTTTTGCTCAGTTTCACACGTTGTAACTCAAATTACTCTAAACGTGTTTAACTGCCAAACAGCTACCTGCATGTTAGAAACCAGACAATACAAACCACCTAATAAGAAAGGTTCCCTAATAGAAATACTAATACAAAAAAATGCCTTAGCTGGAGCAACTTAAAAATCAAATAATCATGACAAAAGAAAAACAAATATAAATACCGACTCGCTCTTTATTCAAACAGTGTGCTGTTTCGCTTATGATTCCACGTCCTAAATTACGTCAACGCCGTTTCTGAGTGCCATCTCGTCACCAACTGCTGCTATCGACTCCTGTATTTTTTAAAAAGTCTTTTTTTACATCATATAACAAAGTACAATTCAATTTATTTAGGGATAAAGCCACTATAACTAAACCAGGGTTCACTCAAATTGCTACCAGGCGACACCAAGAAAATCCCAACTATAGAAAAAATCACCAAGAAAAACACATGGACACAAGAACATCACTAAAAGCTCAAGCATAAGGTAAGACCAACAATTGTGGAAAAAAACCCTATGTCCACAATCTGGGCAATGTTTACAAGTTTTCCCACTTTGTTCTCATCAACCTTCCCTAGTACAAATTTAATTACATCATCTTACTGAACACTACTGACTTTACTGAATCTATTCCTTGATTTGATGTTACCTTTCATACAAATCACAGTAGAAAAACGTATGAATTTTTTTCAATACAGCCAAGATGCTGGCTTCTCACCTGTGAATATAGTTTTCACGATTGGTAGGTAGATCATAATTTATAACCAAAGACACTTGTTGCACATCAATCCCGCGAGCCTGAAACACAATGGCATGTTTTAAAAATTGATTCAAAAAAACTTGACACCTGTCATGTAGGCCACAAAATAGTAGCGAACTATACTAAGTGGTATAGCCCACTGTGGAGTGTGGTCTTTTACTCTTCCAAATAGCCCAAGTTGGCAAAGGTTACTTAAAAACCTGCCCCCCAAAAAGCTAACTTTTGGTAGATTTTTAAAAAGCATTAAGAGACTTACCAACAAGTCAGTAGTGATCAGAACACGACTTGACCCTGACCGGAATTCCCTCATGATAACATCTCTCTCCTTCTGGTCCATGTCACCATGCTGCAAATTAATAAACCTTAATTCAAGAATCACCAGTCAGGTCGGTATTTAATTTTAATCAACATGTATGAGACCAAGCGTCCCTGGCTGCTACAGGAGAATAGCAGACAGGTATAGTTAAGAAACAACTTTATTTTAAGCAGGGGGAACGACAACACAGCACTTAGCAGCTATATTGTAGTCTGAATCCTGCTTTAGTGGAAATCCAGACATTTTAGAACACCTCTTACCAGAGCAGAAACTGTGAAGTCTCTGGCATGCATCTTCTCAGTCAGCCAGTCCACCTTGCGCCTCGTATTGAGAAAAATAACAGCCTGTGTAATGGTCAGTGTCTCGTACAAGTCACAAAGTGTATCCAACTTCCATTCCTGTAATGTTTAGAAGTTAAAGTTAACAGTCATTTAGTTTTTCCAACTCTTCAGTTAAAAATTCATTCTGGGCCAGCCACAGTGCTAATGCCTGTAATCCCAGCCCTTTGGGATCCTAGCACTTAGAGCCCAGAGTTCCAACCAGACCAGGGTTTCAAGAAAGTGAAACTGTCTCTACCCAAAATACCAAAATTGGCCAGTCTTAGCCAGTCTCATAACCCAGTCTCAAAACGTAGAAATTATAAAAATTAACTTCATTCTGTTAGGTCTAATGAGATATTGCACCAAATCTTAAGACAAAGGACATTGGACATTAAGAAAGAGGTCCACCCCAGTCTTTACAATCTAGTGCTGTTACTTTTCTTCTTGTGTGTACTCTGCTAGCATTATTGCAAAAACCAAGACATGGTCCTAGTGTCTGCAATTTTAGCACAGTGCTTATACAAGAAGGTAAAATAATGTCTAACAATCAGACAGTTACCTCTCTCTCAACATTAATATAAAACTGTTTGATTCCTTCAAGGGTCAATTCTTCCTTTTTCACCAGAATTCGAATTGGATCTCTCATGAATTTTTTGGTCACTTCCAACACATCAGTTGGCATTGTGGCAGAAAGCAACACAACCTTAAAAAGAGAAAATTATGTTGTAGCACAACTTACACATTAATACCCAAAGGAAAATGTCTGAAGCCAAGCGTCTCTGTCTTACTACGGAATGAAGGTAGACAGAGTTATGCATCAAGTGCTTTAAGCAGGGGGAACGACAACAAAACACATCAGTTGTATTGTAACAGTACCTGCATTAAATAAACCCCATCTCTACCTTTAAGAGGGGGGTGAAGTAATGCTTACCTGAATACTTGTGTTTAGTTTTTGGAAAATCTCATAGATTTGATCCTTAAAACCACGGCTCAACATTTCATCTGCTTCATCCAAAACAAACATTTTGATCCATTTTGGAGCTGTTAGAAACAAAGTCATACTGTCATTTCTAGATCTACTCAGTGATACAATTTGACTTTTCAACTATGTTAACAGTTTTAAAAAAAATACTCTCTTAAAGACAATACTTACAAAGGTATCTTCTGTTTAACATATCAAACACTCTCCCGGGTGTACCAACAACAATATGTGGTGCTTCAGCCTGCAGTTTTTGCATTTCATTTCGAACATTTGTTCCACCAATGCAGGCATGACAAGTGGCTCCCATATAGTCTCCAAGTGCCAGAATTACCTTTTGGATCTAAAACCCAAGCCTTAATTATTATTCCGCAGAACTCCAGGATCAATGACTAATTTTTAAAGCATAAAGGCAAATATAATCTGGTCTGCCAACAGCTTTTATGCATGCACAGCACAAAACTACTTCCAAGCTTAAAATGCAGACGACCTAACTGCTGCAAGGTAAAATTCCCTTAATGTCTTTCTTATGCCTTGTCAAACTTGGGATGCTGCTGCTCCACGCATCAGCTAGACAATCCAAGAATAACGTTTCCTACATTATTCTTCACTGTAGGTAGGGAGTACGTAGTGAAATTTATGTTCTGTAATTACAGCTAGGGCAAATGATTTTTTTCCCCCAGAGGGTATTGTGCCTTATATAATCCTGACCTCAATAAAGCCTACAGCTTTATTAGGAAGGTTTACTTCAAAGCCAATATAGCAGTGAGCTTTGAAAACATAGCATGCAACAGATGCATCACGAACTACGGAGACAGTCAAATGGTAACATGTCACTGCAGTTTTCATGTTGCACAACTGCATTCAAACTTAAAAAATGGGGACAGATCTAGTACATCCAAGAGAGCGCTTCGGATTCTCAATCTATTAGTATACAACCCTACAAACCATACCTGCATACCCAGTTCTTTTAAAACTTTCAACAAAAACTCCCTGCATGCATGGACAATTAAAAGGAGGGATCTGGTAGGACCAATTTATACTAAGTTTTAAATTCTTCACAGTTGTGAAACCTGAAACCTATGCAACACGCAAGCAGTTTTTTTGAACTACACTATCAATACCTGTTGAGCCAGTTCTCTGGTGGGGGCCAATACTAGTGCTTGGGTCTCCTTGAACTCAATCTCCAACTGTTGCAGGATGGAAATAGCAAATGTGGCTGTCTTGCCAGTACCTGACTGAGCTTGAGCAATCACATCATACCCTAAAAAAAGTAGGATACACATTTACCGATCCCACATCAAATTGTCACTTCTACTTCACACCATGTATTCCATTTGGAACATTATGCCCAAATAATCAAGTGATCAGCAATGAGTATTCTCTTCATTTCAGGTCAGTCCCGAAAGATGATTGCCATCATTTCACTTTAAGGAATACAAACAGGTGCTAGTCCCCCAGAGGTTACTTTCCCTTTTATGGTTCATGTCTATGTAGAACAATTTCCTAAAAATGCCAGTTTCTTTTACCTTTAATACAGGGAATAATAGCTCTCTGCTGAATAGCGGAAGGCTTCTCAAAACCGTAAGCATAGATGCCACGAAGGAGAGACTCCTTTAAATTCATATCATCAAAGTTATCAACAATCTCATTCCAGTTGCTCTGTAAGTTAGAAAAAATAATGCACGCATAAATGAGATGAACACACTCACCTTTCCAAAGCTTCAAGATCCACAACCGTTTCTTACCTCGATGACACCATCGGGGTCCATTCCCTCTGGGCCGCCATGTTCTCTGCTGACAAGAATACTGCAGTCAGACACCCCTTCCAGGCCACCTCAACTGCACCTTAAGCGCATAGCCCTTTGCAACCCGTCTCAGCACGTTAGCCTCCCCTGCACAAGCTAAAGCAGCAGCCTCAGGGCGAATATCCACACTGTGCGCCTTCCCTAAAGGTTGGGGCCTGCGGATGCCCGGAAAGGCAGCCCCCCAGGCCCGAGCGCATGGCGATCCCGTTTCAACTGCGGAGCGTCTCGCGAGAGCTCGGAGCGCCGAACTCCGCCCCCAACAATGCGCAAGCCGGGTGATTGACGCGGGCGGAGCGGCCTGGCGAGGGCGATGCCAACGGTTCACCGGCACCGGTCCTGTCCCGTCGCCTCCGCGCCGTGGCCGAGTGGAGACCGCTGCCTCCAACCCTTCCCCAAGTAAAGCCTAGGACCCTCCCCCAACTCGTGTGGATGACCGAAAATAAAGCTTCGGGTCCTGGTTACAGTGTACCGAACTCGGACTGCGCCACGGCTTTTTACTCCATGTTTCCCGTGCTCTACACTGGGAAGGAAAGCAGCCGAAGTTTCGTAATGTCTTAGAGAGGAAAAACGCCCTTTAGCCACTGCTTTCGCACCACCGTCCTATCTCCCCACAATCCGGGCCCTACCCATCATGGAAGCTTCTGGAAGGGCACAGGAGTGCTGTACCCTAAGAAAACGTCCATTAATTTAGAGTTTTTGCCTCCGTGCCATCCACTATCATCTCCCCTGGCGCCCTATGACCTTCACTACAGACCGCGACCGCCAACAGACTGCATACCTGTTATAATCCGCGGAGCCACCAGACATGATCCGAAAAACCACTCAGCGCCCGACTGAAAAGACAGCGGCGCCCAACCACCCGTTTTTTATAGGCTCGTGGCCGGAACCCGTTTCTTGCGGAGGAATTTTCTCGCCGTGCTTCGGTCAGCTACAAAATTGTGATCCTGGGGTCGTTACCTCGGATAAAATCCTAAGCAAGTTGGTAGAAAAACCCAAATGTGGTAATTTCTCGATATTACAGGGTCGCTGGAAATCCTAGGGCCCGGGGTTGGGTTGGGACTCTTTACCTCGCGGCGGAAGAATATAGCTGCGGAGTTAGTTAAACCTCGCTTTCCCCGCCCGCCCTGCTCCTACGGGGTTTCCGCGTCCCTGACGCAGAGGCGGGCCGGGGGAGCCGCGCCGGAGCCGGAGGCGGAAACCGGAGATGCTGTTCGTCGGGCGGCCGGGGCTTCCCGCGGGTGACAGGTCCCGGCTCGCGGCTCGCTGCCGGCACTCAGGTGCGGGAGGGGAACTCGGTTATTCCGCTTGCTCCCACCGCTGTTTAATTCCACAATGAAGACCTGCCTGGCATTTAGCCCGACCGTTAACATCCATTCAGATCTTGGAAACGTAAAATTCCTGCTAGGGAAAATGTCGGCCACCCAGCGAGTCCCGGGAAGTCCGGTTTACCGGTACATTTTGCAGCGCGAGAAGGAAAAATGGAGTGTCATTTGCAGATGTCTCTGGAGTGGCCAATTCTATTCTCATATCATTTCCGGTCTCTCGCTTTCTTTTTAAGAGTGTTACTGATTTTAACCTAACAGGTGTGAGGAATGCCTGAAAAAAATCATAAACTTTTGCAAATGGATAGAAACTAAGCAGTAATTTTCCTTGGAACGCACGAATTTAAATGGACGCTTTGGCAGATACAGCTCTGTGCCGCTTTGGGACTACATCGGTTTTGATTCCGTCTATATTGGTCATTTTTTAAAGGCTGTAGACTTTGCCGATATATAGTGAAATGTTGATTTATTGAAATTCAGAGCAATAATATCCTTGCTGCGTAAACTGCACGGGTCTTTAAGCTCCAGACGTTTTCAATTAGCCCCATCTCAGGTCTCTCGACAAAAACAAAAAACAATATATGTAGTCATTTAACTTTAAAATACAACCCTACCCATGGTGCAAAATATCATCGAGACTATCAGGGTAACATTTTCTCATATTTCAGAAGGCCAACTTAAAGAATCATTACTGGGAAAGCTGACTCAATTTTCTATATTATAGAAGATATTCGGTTCTAAATACTACTTTTTTAATACAAAAATTATTTATTTATTTGAAAATTCTTATCGTGCCAGGAACTAGGACAAAGATTAAGAATACCAAGATGGCAAAGTGGGCCAGGCCCTCAGTCCAGTGGTACTGCTCCTCATTCATCCCTCTGTAATGTTCGAAATCCAGATTTGAGGTGATGCCAGATATTTTCTGAGAATGATGGTCGTCAGACATCCTTGTTGTCTCATCCAAAATCTACTAAAAATATCCTGAGATCTAAGAAATTGAAAAAATACTAAATCGAAAAAGTGACCAACCGTTTGGTTTCACTTGAGCCTTAGGGTGAAAACAATTGATCATAGGGTGATACCAATCAACAATTAACACTTAATCGTTGGTTGTTTTCTTTAGGATTAGCACTACACTAGATGGTGTAGGATTTTCAAGTCTCTTAAGAGGAAATAAAGGCTAAACTCTATGGTATAGGTTTACAAGTGCTAAGTAAGTTTCAAGGTAAGAAAACTTCAAATACAGTCAAAATCCACACCCACACTGCCTGTAACCTTACAGTGTATTCCTAATAAATGCAGTGATTACCACATTTGCGTGTGCTTACTAAATAGTAAATAACATTTGTAACTAATAAATGAATTAAAGATCAAAACGTATACTTTAACAAAGTTTTGCATATCAACACAGAGCGTGCTCTTTTAAATTTAAGTGATTCTGCTTACCTGGAATCTGAAATAAGATAGCCTTCTCAGTGAACTATAAATGCTTCTTTGTCAACCTTTAGTGTTTGAAATCATTTATACTGCAAATAATCCTAAAAGTCAGATTATTTCCCTATCTAAGCCAACTAAGGTAGTTTAGTTTTGCTCTTCAAGAGCCTCAGCTGACAATTCTAAAGCTATCTAGCAACCAGAGAAGCAAAGAATTAGTACAAATCTGTCAGTGCTACATGGAAAAACAATAACAAAACCTTAAAAGAATATGCTTTCAGACGGGCGCGGTGGCTCATGCCTGTAATCGCAGCACTTTGGGATGCCAAGATGGGCAGATCACGAGGTCAGGAGATCAAGACCATCCTGGCCAACATGACGAAACCCTGTCTCTACTAAAAGTACAAAAATTAGCTGGGTGTGGTGGTGTGCGCCTGTAGTCCCAGCTACTCCGGAGGCTGAGGCAGGAGAATCGCTTGAACACGGGAGGCGGAGATTGCACTCCAGCCTGGGTGACAGAGCAAGACTCTGTCTAAAAATAAATAAATAATAAAAAATATGCTTTGTGTTGATAGTGACATCTTCCTATAAAAAGTACCATGTACTCTCATCATTCAGGGCGCATTTGTATGCCATCTTGAGATTCTTACATTATTTTGAACCCATCAGTTGATTTTAAGTGATAGCTGCACATTTAAAGCGGTGTCTAGATAATCTATTGATATATAGACATTTGTTAAGGTATGTGTTTTGGATCTAATTATTACGTATTAATGTTGTTATTTAGTAATAATAAAGTATAAAGCACAAAGTATATAGTACATGCTGTCCTTACATCTGTAATTTCAGTGTTTAAAAATAACTGGGCCAGGCCCGGCGGCTCACGCCTGTAATCCCAGCACTTTGGGAAGCTAAGCCAGGTGGATCACGAGGTCAGCAGATTGAGACCATCCTTGCTAACATGGTGAAAGCCCATCTCTACTAAAAATATAAAAAATTAGCTGGGTGTGGTGGCATGTACCTGTAGTCCCAGCTACTCAGGAGGCTGAGGCATGAGAATCACTTGAACCCGGGAGGTGGAGATTGCAGTGAACAGAGATCGCGCCACTGCATTCCAGCCTGGATGACAGAGTAAGACTCCACCTTAAAAAAAAACAAAAAAACAAAAAAAAAACACTGCCCAGAGCTGGATAGAGATGGTGGTGCTACTCACCTCTTTTTCTTTTTCTTTTCCTTTTTTTCTTTTTTGGCAAACCCAGGATAATCTCTGTAACCTCTTTTTATTACACAGTTTCTGAGGAAATTAGAGGCTAGGTTCTGCTTGCCTGTGACCCCTGACGCAATTTGGAGGGTTGAACTTACTGCCATGTTCTTACACTATAACTTAAAAAACATTTGTGGTTGGGCATGGTGGCTCACGCCTGTGATCCCAGCACTTTGGGAGGCTGAGGCAAGCCGAACAATTGAGATTAGGAGTTCCAGACCAGCCTGGCGAACACGGAGAAATCCAGTCTCTACTAAAAATAAAAAAATTAGGCTAGGCATGGTGGCTCATGCCTAATCCCAACACTTTGGGAGGCCGAGGCGGGCGGGTCACTTGAGGTCAGGAGTTCGTGACCAGTCTGGCCAACCTGGTGAAACTCCCTTTCTACTAAAAATACAAAAATCAGTCTGATGTGGTAGTGTGCTCCTGTAATCCCAGCTACTCAGGAGGCTGAGGCAGGAGAATTGCTTGAACCTGGGAGGCGGAGGTTGCAGTGAGCCAAGATCACGCCACTGCACTCTAGCCCGGGCGACAGAGCAAGACTCCGTCTCGGTGGGGATAAAATACAAAAATTAGCCGGTTGTGTTGGCGCACACCTGTAATCCCAGCTACTCAGGCAGGAGAATTGCTTGAATTCGGGAGGCGGAGGTTGCAGTGAGCTGAGATCCCGCCACTGCACTCCAACCTAGGCGATGGAGAAAGATTATGTCTCAAAATAATAATGATAATAATTTGCATCAAGATAGGTAAAGATATTAACAGAGTTGAAGAAAATGGAGAAAACTGAGGAGGACCACGGAAGGACTTTTAAACTAGCTAAGAACTAGTTTTGAATCCGCTGATCCAAGGTTATTAAACTCTTTTGTGTAGCCAAGATACAGAAGTTTTTCTACCTTTATAGAGGAAGACTAAAATACAAGTACATTGCTGTACTTCAGATCAGGTGATCAGAAACTGTGGTATGCATAAAAATCAATGGGAACATCTATTTGAAATGCAGATACTTGTGGACTCTGCCCTCTCACCCAGATTCACTGGATCTGAACTGAGGTGGAGCCGGCTTCTGATTTTGAAAAATTAAGGCTGGGAGCAGTGGCTCATGCCTATTATCCCAGCACTCTGGGAGGCTGAGGTGGGCGGATCACTTGAGATCAGTAGTTTGAGACAAGCCAGGCCAACACGGTGAAACCCCATCTCTATCAAAAATACAAAAATTAGCTGGGCATGGTGGCGCACACCTGTGGTCCCAGCTACAGGGGAGGCTGAGGCAGGAAAGCAGGAGAATCACTTGAATCTGGGAGGCAGAGGGTGCACTGGCATGATCATGGCACTCCAGCCTGGGCGACATCTTTATTTTACCTCAAAGATTCACTATTTTGGCCAGGCATGGTGACCCACAGCTGTAACCCCAGCACTTTGGAAGGCCAAGGCCAGTGGATCACCTGAGGTCGGGAGTTTGACACCAGCCTGGCCAACGTGGTGAAACCCTTTCTCTACTAAAAATACAAAAAATTAGCCAGGCATGGTGGTGGGCGCCTGTAATCCCAGGTACTCGGAAGGTTGAGGCAGGAGAATTGCTTGAACTCAGGAGGTGGAGGTTGCAATGAGCCAAGATTGCGCCACCACACTCCAGCCTGGGTGACAGAGCAAGACTGTCTCAAAAAAAAAAAATCACTGTTTTTCATCAGTTTGCACATCTCTTCGAGATTACATGAAGTCTCCAGGATCAGGTTTGTCTTCAGGACAAACCTACACCTCTGTGAAGGATGGAAGAAAGACCATGATTGGCAATCTCACCCCAGAAATGTGGGCCTGGTATCTGGAATCCCACTCCTGTGCCCCATTACCTGGGGCTCTATACTACCCTCTTCATGTGACACAACCAACTCATCTTTCATGTTTGTTTGTTTTCTTTTTGAGACAGAGTTTCGCTCTCGTTGCCCAAGCTGGAGTGCAGTGGTGCAATCTCGGCTCACTGCAGTCTCTGCCTCCCGGGTTCAAGCGATTCTCCTGCCTCAGCCTCCCGAGTAGTGGGATTACAGGCATCCACCACCACGCCCGGCTAATTTTGTATTTTTAGTACAGACGGGGTTTCTCCATGTTGGTCAGACTGGTCTCGAACTCCCAACCTCAGGTGATCCGCCCGCCTCTGCCTCCCAAAGTGCTGGGATTACAGGTGTGAGCCACCATGCCTGGCCAGGAATTTATCTCTTTTAATTCTTATAACGTTGCCCGGCCTCATCTTTCATCTTTATCATATAAATGAGATAAAGTTTATATATACATATATATAAACTATATATTTATATATACGTATATATAAACTATATATACATATATAAACTATATATACGTATATATAAACTATATATACGTATATATAAACTATATATGTATAAACTATATATGTATATATAAACTATATATATACATATATTCCTATATAGTTCATTAAAAATAATAGTTATATCGTTTTTTGGAAATGACAGAAAACAATCACCAACCCCAAGAATGTCTGTTTGTTTTTAAACATAATGGAAATCATACTTTAGGTAAAAATTTTTTCCTCTATTTTTTCTTTTTTTTTTTCTTTTTTTGTTTGTTTGTTTTTGTTTTTTGAGACAGAATCTCTCTCTGTTGCCCAGGGTGGAGTGCAAATGGTGCGATTTGGCTCACTGCAACCTCCACCTTCCAGATTCAAGTGGTTCTCCTGTTTCAGTCTCCTGAGTAGCTGGGATTACAGGTGCATGCCACCACACCCAGCTAATTTTTGTATTTTAGAAGAGACAGGGTTTTGCCATGTTGGCCAGGCCGGTCTTGAATTCCTGACTTCAGGTGATCCACCCGTCTCGGCTCCGCAAAGTGCCGGGATTACAGGCTGAGCCACCGCACCCGGCCCTTCATTATTTTAATAGGAAAAAAAACTATTAAAATAATAAAACTATAAACGACTTCAATGGCTGTCAAAAGAAGATTGGTTAGTAAATTGTATGCCGTGTGTATTAGTCATTACAAACAGTGAGGTCTACTTCTACTTCTGGAGAGATGGAGTAGGCAAAATTTTTCCTGTTCCTCCTACTAAGTGCAACTGAAAACCCTGGACATTATATATAAAGCAAACACAAGAAGACTCTGGGAGGTGGGGAAAAGAAGGCAGACAGGTAGGAACCTCAAGATACACATGATAGTGAATTCCCTGGGTTTTCTTCCTCCTTCACACATCCTGAGTTGAAACTGAAGAAGCGGCCGGACGCGGTGGCTCACGCCTGTAATCCCAGCACTTCGGGAGGCCGAGGCGGGCGGATCACGAGGTCAGGAGATCAAGCCCATCCTGGCTAACATGGTGAAACCCCTGTCTCTACTAAAAATACAAAAAATTAGCCGGGCGTGGTGGCGGGCACCTGTAGTCCCAGTTACTTGGGAGTCTGAGGCAGGAGAATGGCGTGAACCCTGGAGGCGGAGCTTGCAGTGAGCTGAGATCGTGCCACTGCACTCCAGCCTGGGCGACAGAGCGAGACTCCACCTCAAAAAAAAAAAAAAAAAAAAACAAAACAAAACAAAACTGAAGAAGCTAGCAACCCAGAAAAGCCAACCGGCATAGACTAGAAAAGCTCCAGCAAAAGGCTGCTTTCTCTACCCAGGACAGAGGCATTCTAGGAAGATAGAAAAGTTGTAGACAGTAATTCCATTATTTCAGCCAAATACCACAGAAGCAGCTGTGGTCCTACCCACACCCATGCCAGCAAAAGCCAACTGGGGAGCCCACGATTCTACCCTTGGGAGGCTGTAATGAGGTTCTCTGACAACCTCCACCCCCAGACCCCCGCCACTACCACCACCACATTGTCAGAGGAGACCACGGAGCAGCTTCAACTTCCAGGCCCACTGGGCAGGAAGAAAGGTGATCCTTCAGATCCCACTAAGGTGGTGTTATACAAGGCCCGCTGGGAAATCAGGACTTGATCGCACAGTCGTCATGAGGCCACCTCATTGTAGTGTCGGTGGAGACCACATGAGGAACTCCAGCCCCCACCCAGCAGTAACAAGGATCATCCCCTCTGGTGTGTGTGAGAAATCTGGACTTCTACCTCCTGCTGGCAGTAGGAAGGCTGTGCTGTCCTTCCCCGGCCAGAGCGGCATCAGAGAAAGCCAGCCAGAGCCAGAGATTGAAGTAAGATCTAATGAGCATGTGAAAAATGCTCAGCATCCCTAATCACTAGAGGAATGCAAATCAAAACCGCAGTGAGATACCACTTCACACCCATTAAGATGACTATTATTATTTTAAATAGAGAACGGGGTGGGAAGGCTTGGGAGGCGAGTCTCAATTGTTGCTTAGGCTGGTCGTGAACTCCTAGGCTTAAGCAATCCTCCTGCCTCCGCCTCCCAAAGTGCTGGGATTACAGGTGTGAGCCAGCACGGCTGACCAAAATGACTATTAATTTTTTAAAAAAATAGAAAATAACAATTGTTGGTGTGGATGTGGAAAACCAAAATCCTTGTACATTGCTAGTAGAAATGTAAAATGGTGTAGCCACTGTGAACAGTATGGCAGTTACTCCAAAAATTAAAGAATTATCATATGATCCACCAATTCCACTTCTGAGTATATACCTAAAATAATTGATAGCAGGGATGCAAACAGATTATTTGTACACCAGTGTTCATAGCAGCATTATTCACAATAGCCAAAAGGTGACAGCAACCCAAGCATCCATTGACGGATCAGTAGATAAAACAAGTGTGGCTGGGCGTGGTGGTTCACGCCTGTAATTCCAGCACTCTGGGAGGCTGAGACATGAAGATCAGTTGAGTTCAGAAGTTTGAGACCAGCCTGGGCAATATAGGGAGACCCCATCTCTACAAAAAAATCAAGTAATTAGCCAGGTGTGGTGGCATGTGCTTGTGGTCCCAGCTACTCGGGGAAGGCTGAGGCAGGAGGCTTGCTTGAGCCTGGGAGATGAAGGCAGCAGTAAGCCATGATCACGCCACTGCACTCCAGCCCGGGGGCAACAGAACAAGACCCTGTCTCCAAAAAACAAACAACACAAAAAATCAAATTGTGCTTTATACATCAATGGAATATTATTCAGCCTTAAAAAGGAATGAAATTCCGATCCATGCTACAGTACGAATGCACCTTTGAAGACATTATGCTAAGTGAAATAAACCAGACACAGAAGGACACGTAGTATATGAGTCCACTTATATGAGCATAGAAACAGAAAGTAGGAGGGTTATCAGGGCCTGGGGGAGGGGAGAATGAGGAGTTACTGTTTAATGTGAACAGAGTTCCAATTTGGGGAAAAAGGTTTGCAGATGAATAGCCGTCATGGTTGTATCACATCATGAATATGCACAATGCTACTGAAGTATACGCTTAAAAATGGTTAAAATGGTACTTTTTATGTTATTCCTATTTTACCAAAATAAAAATATATTCCTAGCCAGATAATCTAGTTAGAATGAAGTTAATCCATTAGAATGTTTTGTTTTCCCACCTAATTGTAGTTGTTAGTCTACTGATTTAAAAAACAGGCCAGATACGGTGGCTCATGCCTGTAATCCCAACACTTTGGGAGGCCGAGGCGGGTGGATCACTTGAGGTCAGGAGCTTGAGACCAGCCTGGCCAACATGGTGAAACCCCATCTCCACTAAAAATACAAAAATTATCCGGGTGTGGTGTCACGCGCCTATAATCCCAGCTACTCAGGAGGCTGAGGCAGGAGAATCACTTGAACCCAGGAGGCGGAGGTTGCAGTGAGTTGAGGTCGCGCCATTGCACTCCAGACTAGGCAACAGAGCGAGACTCCGTCTCAAAAAAAAACAAAAAAAAGAAAGAAAGAAAGAAAGAAAAATACAGAGAGGAAAAAAAGATCTTGAGTCACATAACAATACAGAAGTTTCCAGATTTCAATAGAAAATCACTTAAGCCGGCCAGGCGCGGTGGCTCACGCCTGTAATCCCAGCACTTTGGGAGGCCGAGGCGGGCGGATCACAAGGTCAGGAGATCGAGACCATCCTGGCTAACACGGTGAAACCCCGTCTCTACTAAAAATACAAAAAATTAGCCAGTGCATGGCGGCGGGCACCTGTAGTCCCAGCTGCTGGGGAGGCTGAGGCAGGAGAATGACGTGAGCCTGGGAGGCGGAGCTTGCAGTGAGCCCGGATTGCGCCACTGCACTCCAGCCTGAGGGACAGGGCGAGACTCCGTCTCAAAAAAAAAAAAAAAAAAAATCACTTAAGCCAAAAATCGTGACCGGGCGCGGTGGCTCACACCTGTAATCCCAGCCCTTTGGGAAACCAAAGTGGGAGGATCACCTGAGGTCAGGAGTTCAAGACCAGCCTAGCCAACATGGTGAAACCCCATCTCCACAAAAATAGCAAAAAAATTAGCCGGGCATGATGGCAGGTGCCTGTAATCCCAGCTACTCGGGAGGCTGAGGTGGGAGAATCGCTTGAACACGGGAGGTGGAGGTTCCAGTGAGCAGAGATTGTGCCATTGCACTCCAGCCTGGGTGACAAAGGGAGACTCCGTCTCAAAAAAAAAAAAAAAAAATCATGAAGATCTCAAACTGAATGAAAAAGACAATGGATGCCAACTCTGAGATGATAGGAATGTTGGAATTATTATACTGGTCAAGGTTGTAAAGCAGCCATGACGAAAATGCTTTGGTGACCAATTATGAGCATGCTTGAGACAAATGAAAAAATAAAAAGGAAAAATTGATAAATTGGACTTATCCTTAAAACCCGTTGCTCTCTTCTTCCTTCCTCCTCCTTCTCCATCTTGTCCTTTTCCTTCTCCTTCTCCCAATGGCAAGTAGATTATATTGGCCTTGGGCTGGGACACTCGGGGGGAACCCACACCCATGGTGTGTGTGTGGGGGCAGGACGAAATTGAAGCTATCTGATGGTCACTTGCAGCATGACAGGTTCTGGCTGTGTTGGATGACGAGTTGCTGAGGGCCTGGTTGGTTGGTAGCTGCAAAACCTAGACGTTCCTGCTGGCTGCATCTTCGCGGGGAGCTGGGATTAGGCAAGGAGTCTAGGGCCTGGATGCAGAACCTGGGCATGCATGGGGGTCAGGGAGGATGGACCAGGGAAACCTGTGTGCTGGTTAGCATGGTCTATCTGCGGTTTCAAAGACAGAGCAGCACCAGAAGAGGAACCCTGTCTGGGTGTGCTGAAAGTGGCCCAGCAGAACATAAGGTTGTGGCTGGGACATGAATGCACCCCAGGGAGCACTGAACTGCTCTGAGCTGCCGACTAGGGCCATAGGCTAGCTATGTGGGCCCATATTGAGGTAGGGGCTGAGCAGTCCCAGCGGCACCGCCCAGGCTGCCTGCTCTGGGGTCCCTGCAAAAGCCGCCGCTGAGCCCACGGACTTCCGGGTCGTAAGCACGTGGGGCCTGAACATCTGCTTGGCTGGGTCAGCTGCTATGACAATGCCCGGGCGATCGTGCCCTCCAGCGCTGCCTGCATGCCGAGGAGGAAGCGAGTCCCCACGTGAATAATCGGGCTCCGCCGGCTCACAGCGGATGTCAGAAGGTCAGGTCGCTCTGCTCCTTTCGCCTCCGTTTTTCTTCCTCATGGAAACTTTCTTCAGCTGCAGAAAAAGCTGGTCCTTTTCTTTCTGCCTGGCCCACAGCTTCTCCTGCAAAGTCAAAATTTGTTCCTTCGGTCTCCTCTGGTGACATTCTCTCTTCCATCTCCTTTCTCTTCCTTCGTCTGCTCTTCCTCCATCTTCTCGCCATCACCTTATCCGCCGCCTCCTCTTCCCTCTCGCCCCGCAGCCTGCGCTCCCGCCGGGGGCGCTCCGGACACACTGTCTGCGCGACCCCCCACGGGACCCGGCCCCCAGGCCAGCTCTGCCCGCCGCCCACAAGGGCTGGGGGCACCCGCCGCCAGCCCAGCTGGCAGCTATGGCTCCTCCGAGCGCACAGGAAAACCTCGGCTTTTGAAAGACCCTGTTAAGATAAGGATGAAAAGATAAGCTATAGAGGAGAAAATATGTGCAAACCACGTATCTGGCAAAGTACTGGTATCTAGAATAGATAAAAACTCGCAAAAAACTCAACAGTAAAAAACAACAGTTTTGGCCAGGCGCGGTGGCTCATGCCTGTAATCCCAGCAGTTTGGGAGGCCGAGGCGGGCAGATTGCCTGAGGCTGGGAGTTCGAGACCAGCCTGGCCAGCATGGTGACATCCCGTCTGTAATAAAAATATAAACATTAGCCGGGCGTCGCGGCAGACTCCTGTAATCCCAGCTACTCGGGAAGCCGAGGCAGGAGAATCTCTTGAACCCGGGAGACGGAGGTTGCAATGAGCCCAGATCAAGCCACTGCACTCCTGCCTGGACAACAGAGCAAGACTCCGTCTCAAAAACAAAAGCAAAAACAAAACAGTCCTAATACAGCATGAACAAAAGATTTGAAAAACATTCTGTGCTCACTTCCACAGCACATGTATTAAAAAAATCGGAACAATACAGAGATTAGCACGGGCCCTGCGCAAAGATGACATGCAAATTCATGAAGTGTTGCATATTTTTAAAACATTAAACAAAATTTAAAAAAGAAAACAAACATTTCACTGAGGAGGATATACAGATGGCAAACAAGCATACAAAAAGATGTTTAACACTATTAGCCATTTGAGAAATGCAAATAAAAACCACAATGAAATATCGTTGTACACCTAATTAGAATGGCTAAAATAACAAAGTGACAACAACAAATTCTGACAAGTATGCAGAGAAACTGGATCTCTCATCCTCTGCTGATGGAAATGTAAAGTGAGGTGTAGCCACCTGGAAAGCAGTAGTAGTTTCTTTTCTTTTCTTTCTTTTTTTTTTTGATACGGAGTCTCGCTCTTTCACCCAGGCTGGAGTGCAGTTTCATGGTCTCGGCTCACTGCAACCTCTGACTCCCAGGCTCAAGAGATTCTCCTGCCTCAGCCTCCCGAGAAGCTGGGATTACAGGAACCCGCCACCATGCCTGACTAATTTTTGTATTTTTATTAGAGACGAGTTTCACCATGTTGGCCAGGCTGGTCTCAAACTCCTGACCTCAGGTGATCCGCCCGCCTTGGCCTCCCAAAGTGCTGGGATTACAGGCGTGAGCCACTACGCCTGGTTGCAGCAATAGTTTCTTAAAAAGCTAAACAGGTAACCACCACCATACCATGTGATCCAGCAATTTCACTCTTGGGCATTTAGCTGAGAGAAATGAAGACTTATGTTCACACAAAGACTCTGATATGAATGTTCAGAGCAGCTTTATTTATAATAGGCAGAAACTGAAAACAATCCAGATGTCTTTCAATGGATGAATGGGTAAACTGTGATATATTCATACTGTGGAATACTACTTGGTAATAAAAAGAAAGGGTCTATTTATTATTACATATCACAACCTGTATGAATCTCCAGATTATTATGCTGAATTTTAAATCAATGCTAAAAAGCTACCCCTTGGCCAGGCGCGGTGGCTCACGCCTGTAATCCCAGCACTTTGGGAGGCCTAGGCAGGTGGATCACTTGAGGTCAAGAGTTCGAGACCAGCCTGGCCAACATGGGGAAAGCCCATTTCTACTAAAAATACAAAAATTAGCTGGGCATGGTGGCGCATGACTGTAATCCCAGCTACTCGGGAGGCTGAGGCAGGAGAATTGCTTGAACCCAGGAGGTGGAGGTTGCAGTGAGCTGAGATCATACCACTGCACTCCAGCCGGGTGATAGAGTGAGACTCTGTCTCAAATAAATGAATAAATAAATAAATAAATAAATAGTTACCTCCTGCATGATATAACATTTTTGAAAAGACAAAATTATAGAAACAGAAAACACAAGTGGTTGTCAGGGGTTAAGGAGAGAATGGGGGCAGGAGACAGATGAACTGTGGCTATTAAAGGGCAACATGGGCCAGGCCCAGTGGCTCACACCTGTAATCCCAACGCTTTTGGAGGCTGAGGCAGGTGGATCACCTGAGGTCAGGAGTTTGAGACCAGCCTGGCCAACATGGTGAAACCTGGTCTCTTGCAAAATATAATGATCTTTGAGCATTTACAATATGTAAACATCTGTCTCAAATAAATAAATAAATAGTTACCTCCTGCAAGATATAACATTTTTGAAAAGACAAAATTATAGAAATAGAAAACAGTAGTGATTGTCAGGGGTTAAAAAATATAAAAATTAGCTGGGCATGGTGATGTGCACCTGTAATTCCACCTACTTGGGAGGCTGAGGCAGGAGAGTCACTTGAACCCAGGAGGGGGAGTTTGCAGGGAGCTGAGATTACACCACTGCACTCCAGCCTGGGCGACAGAGCAAGACTCCATCTCAAAAAAATAATAATAATAAATAATAAATAAAAGTTAAGAAATAAAAATTTAAAAATAAATTATCTGGGTATAGTAGTGCACGCCTGTAGTCCCAGCTTCTCGGGAAGCCGAGGTGGGAGGATTGATTGAATCCAGGAGTCCGAGGCTGCAGTAAGCTGTGATTGTGCCACTGCACTCCAGCCTGGGTGACAGAGTGAGTCTCTGTCTCCAACAAAATAAAATAAAGAGAGAGAATGATTGTTAAATGTAATATGGCCTCCTAGAGTGAATACTGGTACAATAGAATTGCCAGAGGCGTTCTAACCAGACAGACTCCATCTTGAGTGAGGGCTAGGAAAATGAAGCTGGAACTTGCTGGGCTGCTGTACCAGAAAGGTATTCCTAGCCTCTAGATGTTTAGTAAGGGAACAAATTGATAATGTTTACTAAACAGACCCAGACTTGGGAGTGTCCTGATATCCCAATATCTTGAGAACAAAGGCATTCCTAATTTTGCTTTAAAGATAATAATATCGATTCTTGCAAAATACAGTAATTAAGAAAATTAATCCTTTATCACAAACCCTTGAGCACAGCACATCTTCCCATGATCTTTTTTTATTCTATATATACAAGTATTGTACCTAGGGTGGATGCGTTCTTCCTGTTACTTTCGGGAACGTTCTACTCTGTCTATGGAATAGCTGTACTTTCACTACTTTACTTTCTTAATGAACTTGCTTCTACTTTGCACTGTGAACTCACCCTGAAATCTTTCTTGTGCGAGATCCAAGAATCCTCTCTTGGGGTCTGGATCGGGACCCCCTTCCTGTAACAAAATGACATTAGTGAAAAATAACAATAACAATGAAGTCTCTAGATCTCTGTGTACCAATATGCAAAGATGTTTATATATTGTAACTTCTCAAAGATCATTATATTTTGCAAGGTCCTTTGTGTGAAAAAATGGAGGGGTAAGCCGGGTGCAGTGGCTCACGCCTATAATCCCAGCACTTTGGGAGGCTGAGGCAGGTGGATCACCTGAGCTCAGGAATTCGAGACCAGCCTGTTAACATGGCAAAACCCTGTCTCTACTAAAAATACAAAAATGAGCCGGACATGGTGGCACACACCTGTAATCCCAGCTACTCAGGAGGCTGAGGTAGGAGAATCGCTTGAACCCGGGAGGCGGAGGATGCAGTGAGCCGAGATTGTGCCACTACAGTTCAGCCTGGGAGACAGAGCTAGACTTTGTCTCAAAAATAGTAATAATTTAAAAAATGGATGGATAAGCAGGTCATGGTGGCTCACATCTATAATCCCAGCACTTTGAGAGGCCGAGGTGGGAGGATTGCTTCAGCTCAGGAGTTTGAGACCAGCCTGGGCAACATAGTAAGACCCCATCTCTATATTTAAAAAAAAAATGGATGGGTACATGCGTAGGTTTATGCAGAGAAACATGTATTATACATAATTATTTCAATCAAACTTTTCTAGAAGGAAATAGTGATTTCCTCTAATAGGGAGTGCAAATGGGAAACAGACAGGAAAACCTTACTTTTTTTTGAGGCAGACTCACTCTGTCACTCAGGTTGGAGTGCATTGGCACGCTCTTGGCTCACTGCAATCTCTGCCTCCCAGGTTCCAGCTATTCTCCTGCCTCAGCCTCCCAAGTAGCTGGAATTACAAGCATGTGCCACCATGCCTGGCTGATTTTTGTATTTTTAGTAGAGACAGGGTTTCACAATGTTAGCCAGGCTGGTCTTGAACTCCTGACCTCAGGTGAGCCGCCCCCACTTGGCCTCCCAAAATGCTGAGATTACAGATGTGAGCCACCGCACCAGGCCAGAAAACTTACTTTTTGCTTGACACACTACTGTTCAGTTTATGTTTTTTTAGTACCATGAGCATATATTAGAACTATAATTTTTTTTTTTTTTTTTTTTTAGATGGGGTCGCCCTCTGTTGCCAGGCTGAAGTACAGTGGCTCAATCATAGCTCACTGCAACCTCAAATTCCTGGGCTCAAACCATCCTTCCACCATAGCTTCCCAAGTAGCTGGGACTACAGGCAGGTGCCACCATGCCCAGTGATTTTTTAATTTTTATTTTTGTAGAGATAGGGCCTTGCTCTGTCACCCAGGTTGGTCTTGAACTCTTGGCTTCAAGTAATCCTCTCACCTCAGCCTCCCAAAGTGCTGGGATTACAGGCATGAGCCACTGGACCCAGTGACATTTATAATTTTTAAAACTATAATTACAATGCTGTCATTATTTAGGTTCGAGCAAATCTAATTGTGTCTTCCTTATTTTTTATTTTTATTTTTATTTTTTGAGATGGAGTCTTGCTTTGTCGCCAGGCTGGAGTGCAGTGGCACAATCCTGGCTCACTGCAACCTCTGCCTCCCAGGTTCAAGCGATTCTCCTGCCTCAGCCTCCCGAGTAGCTGGGATTACAGGCGTGCGCCACTACCCCCAGCTAATTTTTTTGGTACTTTTAATAGAGACAGGGTTTCACCATGTTGGCCAGGATGGTCTTGATCTCTTGACCTTGTGATCCGCCCGCCTCAGCCTCCCAAAGTGCTGGGATTACAGGCGTGAGCCACCACGCCCGGCCTGCGTCTTCCTTAAAACAAAAGATATGTTAGGGCATGATTGTTTTTTATTATGGGAGTATTTCCTTTATCAAATGACTAATAATAGGTTTATTTAAAAATGCCTTATATTGTGATTTAATTTGTAAAAGTGTGCCACTTTCTCCACCTTTTTTTATTCATCTCTAAAAATTTACTTATCCTGGCAGGGCACGGTGGCTCTCGCGTGTAATCCCAGCAATTTGGGAGGCCGAGGCGGGTGGATCACTAGGTCAAGAGATCGAGACCATCCTGGCCAACATGGTGAAACCCCGTCTCTACTAAAAATACAAAAAAAATTAGCTTGGCATGGTGGCGCGTGCCTGTAGTTCCAGCTACTCAGGAGGCTGAGGCAGGAGAATTGCTTGAACCCAGGAGGCGGGGGTTGCGGTGAGCTGAGATGGCACCACTGTGCTCCAGCCTGGGCGACAGAGACTCCATCTAAAAAAAAAAAAAAATTTTACTTATCCCGCCTGGGTGCGGTGTGCAGTGGCTCACGCTTGTAGTCCAAACTTCTCAGGAGGGTGAGGTGGGTGTATAACTTGAGCCCAGGAGGCAGAGGCTGCAGTGAGCCGAGATCTGGGTGGATAACTTGAGCCCAGGAGGTAGAGGCTGCAGTGAGCTGAGATCGCGCCACTGCACTTTGGCTTGGGTGACAGAGCGAGACCATGTCTCCAAAAAGAAAAAGAAAATCTGCATTATCCTTTTAAGATCAGCTCAAACACCTCCTCCTCCAGTATGAATAACCCTAGAAACAGAGTGGTTTCTTTCCTTTGGACTCCCATAGCCATTCTTTCTGCTGCTTTTATGATATGTTCTAGCATATTTAGTAATGTGTTTCATCTCTTCTACTAAATTGTATCCACCTTGAGAGGGTAGATTATGTTTTATTAATCTTTGTATCTCCCACAATATAAAGCCCAGTGCCTTGGTGCTTGTATTAGTTTTCTGTTGCTGCTGTAACTAAAACTGCCAAGTTAGTGACTTAAAAACAACACAAATTTAGTATCGTTTTTTTTTTTTGAGATGGAGTTTTACTCTGTCGCCCAGGCTGGAGTGCAGTGGCGTGATCTCAGCTCACTGCAACCTCTGCCTTCCTGGTTCAAGCGATTCTTCTGCCTCAGCCTCCCAAGTAGCTGGGATTACAGGTGCCCGCCAGCACGGCCAGCTAATTTTTGTATTTTTAGTAGAGACGGGGTTTCACCATGTTGGTCAGGCTAGTCTCAAACTCCTGACCTCAGGTGATCCACCCGCCTCAGCCTCCCAAAGTGCTGGGATTACAGGCATGAGCCACTGCGCCTGGCCGCAAATTTAGTATCTTACAGCTCTGGAGGTTAAAAATCTGAAATGGTCTCCTTGAAGTCTGGATATTTAGTTAAAAAAAAAATCAAAAATCTGAAATGGGTCTCACAGAGCTAAAATCAAGCAGTAGGCAGAGATGTGTTCCTTCTGGAGGCTCCAGGGCAGGCCTTTTTCATTATCTGGAGACTGCCTACATTCCTTGGCTCATAGCCACATCACTCTGACCTCTCCTTTCATCATTGTCACACCTTCTTTGACTCTGACCCTCCTGCCTTCCTCTTTTTTTTTTTTTTTGGAGACAGAATCTCGCTCTGTCGCCCAGGCTGGAGTGCAGTGGTGCGATCTCGGCTCACTGCAAGCTCCGCCTCCTGGGTTCACGCCATTCTCCTGCCTCAGCTTCCCAAGTAGCCAGGACTACAGGCACCCACCACCACTCCCGGCTAATTTTTTGTATTTTTAGTAGAGACGGGGTTTCTCCGTGTTAGCCGGGCTGGTCTCAATCTCCTGACCTCATGATCCGCCTGCCTCGGTCTACCAATGTCCTGCCTCCCTCTTATAAGGACTTTGTGATTCCAATGGGCCCACCTGAATAATCCAAGATAATCTCTCCATCTCAAGATTTTTTTTTTTTTTTTTTGAGACGGGGTCTCACTCTGTTACCCAGGCTGGAGTGCACTGTCACCGTCTCTGCTCACTGCAACCTCCGCCTCCTACTACATTAAGGAACCAAGCTCAGAGTGACAGAATAGTTCCTCCTATTTACTCCCACATTCATTGTTTTGTATTGTTACTTCTGCTGATATTATTTGTAGACTTTGTATGGTGTTTGCCCAAATTCAAAGCTGAGCCTATATCATGGGTTGGTAAGGGTGCCCTTTAAATGTAGTCCCTGCATCTAAGCCTGAGGCGCAGTCAACTCAGAAGCAAAGCAGCAGTTTACAGACCTTATTTTTTTGGTATAAATCCAGTCATTCTTCAGTTATTCAGGCTTCATAATTTTTGCTATACCTGAGTACTCTTTGACATATTTACCTAATTTTTCTTTTCCTTTTTCTTTTTTTTTTTTTAAGAGATGAGGTCTTGCTGTGTTACCCAGGCTGGTCTCAAACTCCTGGCCTCAAGCAATCCTCGCAGTTCAGCCTCCCAAAGTGCTGGGATGCCTAGTTTTTCTTAACAAATTTTTGTAACTATAGGTTACAATTCGCATTTACTTAGCTTCAGTGAAATCACAGGTTAAATTTGTTATATTTTTTCCAGTGCTGATTAAAATAATCACATAACTACCAAAATAAGTACTCCATCTGAAATCTTCTGACTGTTTGGGATATGCTGGTACTGACAGATTGTAGCCTACTGGAATCTGTAGTCATTAGCCAAATCATGGCAGAGGCAAATGTAGATTTTTTTTTTTTTGAGACAGAGCGTAGCTCTGTCTCCTAGGCTAGAGTGCAATGGCACGATCTCGGCTCACTGCAACCTCCACCTCCCGGGTTCAAGCAATTCTCGTGCCTCAGCCTCCCAAGTAGCTGAGATTACAGGCACCCACCACCATGCCTGGCTAATTTTTTGTATTTTTAGTGGAGACAGAGTTTCGCCATGTTAGCCAGGCTGGTCTCAAACTCCCGACCTCAGGTGATCTGCCTGCCTCGGCCTCCCAAAGTGTTGGGATTACAGGCGTGAGCCACCTCACCCAGCTAGATCTTGTTTTCAATGTAAAATTCTAAATAGTGGGACGGCTGAAGTCTGTGACTAGCCCCATAAGTATTTTCAGTTGTTGCTGGTGACGATTATTTTTGATTAACTACTAGGATTTGGGGGAAAAAATATCTCCTAGAACCACCACTATGCCACTTTCCTGCCTGTCCCCATTGAAACACTTGAAGTGATGCCTAAGTCGCTGGTACTTTCTGATACTACCTCCTAGAAGGTCTTTGAGTCTTCCCTAAAGAGAGAAAAGAGTCAAGGGGTAGTGCCCTTTCATTTTTATTTTCCTTTAAAATTTTGGGCTTAGCCTTGATCTCAATGAAAGAAACTATAAATTACAATATCATTTAATATGCTTTGTAAGAAAGCTATTATGTCAAGTACTTCAAATTTTCAAAGTATTCACCATTACTTTGTTATCCTCCACTGCACTCCAGCCTGGGCGACAGAGTGAGACCCTGTCTCAAAAAACAAAATACAATAAAACAGAATAAAATAAATAAGAAGAAGGGGTGAGGAATATGTACAGTCTGGTGATATCAGGATTAAAGGAAACGGATTGGTGAAGAAAACCTTCATTACAACTTATCAGGCTTGTGATTTTTTTTCTTTCAACATCTTATTTTTTAGTTTCCGAAATACAAATCAAAATACATTTTTGTTACATATCATTTTAACAAGCTTAACATTCTTTTCAATACAAGATGACTCAATATAGGTATTTTTAAAAAGCCATGCATTTTATTTTAGAGTAAACAGCTCATCACAAAAATACGTGGGTACATGGGCTATTGTTGTTTACTATTTCAGAGCACACCCTCCAACTTAACATTTGGTCCACTAAAATATGTAAATGTCCGTCTGGGCACGGTGGCTCACTCCTGTAATCCCAGCACTTTGGGAGACCAAGGCAGGTGGATCACCTGAAGTCAGGAGTTCAAGACCAGACTGGCCAACATGGTGAAACCCCGTCTCTACTAAAAATACAAAAGAGAATTAGCCAGGCATGGTGGCACACGCCTGTAGTCCCAGCTACCCAGGAGGATGAGGCAGGAGAATCACTTGAACCCAGGAGGCAGAGGTTGCAGTGAGCTGAGATCATGCCGTTGCACTCCAGCCTGGATGACAAGAGTGAAACTCTGTCTGAAAAAAAAAAAAAAAAAAGAAAAAGAAATGTTCCTCCTATCACAAAAATAAATTAAATCTCATGGCTGAACAAAACAGAAATGTGGCTGGGCATGGTGGCTCACATCTGTAATTCCAGCACTTTGGGAGGCCGAGGCTGGCAGATCACCAGGTCAGGAGTTCAAGACCAGCCTGACCAACGTGGTGAAAAACCCTCTCTACTAAAAATACAAAAATTAGCCAGGCGTGGTGGCATGTGCCTATAATTCCAGCTACTCAAGAAGCTGAGCAAGATAATTGCTTGAACCCGGGAGGCAGAGGTTGCAGTGAGCCGAGATTGCACCACTGCCCTCCTGCCTGGGTGACAGAGCGAGACTCCGTCTCAAAAAAAAAAAAAAAAAAAAAACAAACAAACAACAACAACAACAATTTTTAGGCTGGGCGCGGTGGCTCATACCTGTAATCCCAGCACTTTGGAAGGCCGAGGCGGGCGGATCACCTGAGGTCAGGAGTTCGAGACCAGCCTGACCAATGTGATGAAACCCCGTCTCTTCTAAAAATACAAAAATTAGCCAGGCGTGGTGGCATGCGTCTGTTATCCTGACTACTCAGGAGGCTGAGACAGGAGAATTGCTTGAACCCAGGAGGCAGAAGTTGCAATGAGCCGAGATCGTGCCATTGCACTCTAGCCTGGGCAACAAAAGTGAAAATCCATCTCAAAAACAAAACAAAACAAAACAAAAACAAACAAACAAACAAAAAACCAGAAATGTTGGCATAGGCCTGAGGAAGCTTGAAAAACAAGTTAGGATGTTTTAACTATATGGAGGCACATTACAGAATCCACATAGAAACATCTGGTAGAACAACTGGCTTATTTCTATTGGAGTGGTTCTGTTTCAGAAAGGGATATAAGGTACATGGGAGGGTGCTGAAAACTCACAACAGCCACAGAATTAGTTATTCAAAATTGACCAGAATTCAATATACAAGAATATATGACAGCAGTAGAACAATCTCAACAGTTATTTGATGCCTGGAAAGCAAAGCTGTAAGCTTAGAACAAGTAACTCAGCAGGAACAACGGTCAACATGTTTATACGACTTTGAAGGTGAGAAAACTTTATCATTCATAGATGATGTATTGTGCACAAGTACATTAGTTTCCAGGACACTGGGAACAACAACACAACATAAAAAGTAAGAATAGGGCCGGGCACGGTGGCTCATGCCTGTAATCCCAGCACTTTGGGAGGCCAAGGCGGCCGGATCACTTGAGGTCAGGAGTTTGAGACCAGCCTGGCCAAGATGGTGAAAGCCCGTCTCTACTGAAAATACAAAAAGTAGCCGGGCATGGTGGCACATGCCTGTAATCCCAGCTACTCAGAGGGCTGAGGCAGGAGAATTGCTTGAACCCGGGAGGCAGAGGTTGCAGTGAGCCAAGATCACACCATTGCACTCCAGCCTGGGTGATGGAGCGAGACTCCGTCTCAAAAAAAAAAAAAAAAAGGTAAGAATAAATCCAAGCTGTTTAACCTTCCACCATTCACTTGAGTATTAAACGTAGGCAACCTCTGGCCGCTTGCAGGGGTGTCTTTTCTTCTTTATTCTCAATGTGAATACTTGCTCCTTGGGACACTTGCTCCTTCTTCCACTCTCTCCTCATCACAGGCTAAGTGTAGAGGAGTGTTACCCTCAGTGTCTTGGATGTTCGTGGATGTTCTGTAGTATAGAAGGATAGGAATCATCTTCAAGTTACCCTTGGCTGCTGCCCGGTGCATTGCTGTAGCCTCACAATGGTCCTCAGCATGTGGATCAACCCCGCCTTCTAGTAACTTGACAACAATCTCATTCCTGTTTTTGGAAGCTGTATAATGTAGGGGAGTACAGCCATTTTGACTGACAGCATTTACTTGAGCACATTTTCCCAGAAGGGCTTTTACAATCTCATCCCGCCCAGCGGAAGCCACAGTATGAAGAGGAGACCAACCTGTATCGCCTTTGTCACTCACTGGCACTCCAAGTTGCAACAAAAATTCAACAATTTCTGCATGTCTGGCTGAGCATGCCCAGTGCAATGCAGTTCTGCTGTTCTAGTCAGTTCTACTAGACAGGAATTTATCGGCCAGAATACTCTCCTTCAACTCTTCCAGCTTCCTCTGTAGGCCAGGTTGCAGACCATTAGGTTAGACACACCTGTAAATCCCAGCTACTCGGGAGACTGAATCGCTTGAACCTTGAACCTGGGAGGCGGAGGTTGCAGTCAGCCGAGATTGTGCCATTGCACTCCATCCTGGACAACAAGAGCAAAACTCCATCTCAAAAAAAAAAAAAAAGAAAAAAAAAAAGAACACCTCCATTTTGCTTTCCCAGGAACTTGTGATATTATTTTTTATATGTGTGTGTGTGTGTGTGTGTGTGTGTGTGTGTGTGTTTTATTTATTTATTTTTAGAGATGAGGGCTCACTATGTTACCCAGGCTGGTCTAGAACTCCTGAGCTCAAGTGATCCTACCACTTCAGCCTCCCAAAGTGCTATGGGATTATAGTCATGAGCCACAGCACCTGGCCAATATATGTGTTTTCATCCATGGTTCGTGACTCATAACTCCCATAGCCCATGTCACAGTAAACAGAATCTCTCTCTTTGACCTTCTCTTGCCCTTCTTTCACCTGCCTGATGCAGGATTCTAATCTAATTGTGACTCATAAAACTCTCCATTCCAGAGGAAGTTCTGCCTCATTACCTGGAGGTAAGAATGCTGCACTGAAGAGCCAAGAAGAATCTGAACAGACAGGACTTGCTGGGTTTAGATCATTCCCTTTTTGTCCAATCACATTTCAACATGGTTGTCCATGCTTCAGTCATGCCTGTCCAAGAAGTCTTCATAAAAGGCCCAAGAGGACAGGGTTCAGGGAGTTTTGGAGACCTGAACACATGGAGGCTGACAGGAAGGTGAATAAGAACTCATTCAACAGCCAGGCGCCGTGGCTCATGCCTGTAATCCCAGCACTTTCGGAGGCCCAGGCGGGTGGATCACCTGAGGTGGGGGTTCGAGACCAGCCTGACCAACATGGAGAAACCCCGCCTCTACTAAAAATACAAAATTAGCTGGGCGTGGTGGCGGGCGCCTGTAAATCCCAGCTACTTGGGAGACTGAGGCAGGAGAATCGCTTGAACCTGGGAGGCGGAGGTTGCAGTGAGCCGAGATTGTGACATTGCACTCCATCCTGGACAACAAGAGCAAAACTCCATCTCAAAAAAAAAAAAGAAAAAAAAAAGAACTCATTCAACCAACTCCTCGGGCACAGAAGTTCCTGGGCTCGGGACCCTTCCAGACCTCTCACTATGTATCTATGTATCTCTCTCTCTTCATCTGTTTATTCATACTTTTAAAAATATCCTTTATAATAAGCCAGTAAACGTAAGTGTTTCCTTGAGTTGTGTGAGCCACTTTAGCAAATTAATCAAACCCAAAGAGGAGTTTGTGGGAACCCCAACCTGAAGCCTGTTGGTCAGAAATTCCCGAGGCATAGACTTGTGAATGGTGAGAAGGGGCGGGGCAGACTTGCGGGACTGAGCCCTCAACCTGTGGTTTCTGAGGCTATGCAGGATGATAACGTCAGAATTGAATTAAACTGGAAGACACTCAGCTGGTGTCCTCTGCTTGGTGTGTGAGGGGACATCTCCACATGTCTGGTGACAGAAGTCTTTTGTGTTGATTGTTGTAGTGAGACATTAGAGAAAAAAAGTTTTTTTTGTTTTTGTTTTTTGCTTGTTTGTTTTCTAACACAAGGCTCTGTCTCTTATTATATATAATAAGAAACACCGAAACTTCTACTGAGACGTTCCCTCTGCCCTCCGGGCTTAAGTGATCCTCCCACATCAGCCTCCCAAGTAGTTGGGATTACAGGCACACGCCACCATGCCCGGTCTTTTTTGTTTTGTTTTGTTTTTGAAGACAGGGTCTCACTCTGTGGCCTAGGCTGGAGTGCAGTGGCATGATCGTGGTTCACTGTAGCCTCAACCTCCTGGGCTCAAGCCATCCTCCTGCCTCAGCACCCCTGCCCTCAACCCCCAGTAGCTGGGACTACAGGTGTGCACTACCACACCCAGCTAATTTTGGTATTTTGTCTAGAGACAGGGTTTTGCCACATTGTCCAGGCTGGTCTCAAACTCCTGGTCTCAAGCTGCCTGGCCCAGGGTGCTTCTAATATGAACACAGCTCAAAACTTAGTTTTGGGACAAGGTGGTGCTGTGATAAACTCAGCTGGCAAACTCCCAGGGAGCAGAAAGCAAAGGAGATGCTCCTTGGCTGAACTCCCTCATTCCAGAATAAGTAAAAGGCAAAAGATCCTCTGGAGTTCTTCAACGGGAACTTCGTGATTTTCCTGCCTTCTCGAATTTTGAATTAACTGTTGAATCTGTTAGACTCACTGAAGTAGATATTGAAAGGAAAATCTACTGAAAGTGAACTAAGTATGGCCGGGCACGGCAACTCACGCCTGTAATCCCAGCACTTTGGGAGGCCGAGGTGGGCGGATCACCTGAGGTAAGGAGTTCAAGACCAGCCTGACCAACATGGAGAAACACTGTCTCTACCAAAAATACAAAAAATTAGCCGGGCATGGTGGCACATGCCTGTAATCCCAGCTACTCAGGAGGCTGAGGCAGGAGAATTGCTTAAACCCAGGAAGCGGAGGTTGCGGTGAGCCAAGATCACGCCATTGTACTCCAGCCTGGGCAACAAGAGCGGAACCCCATCTCAAAAAAATTAAAAAAAATAAAGTGAACTAAGTAGGCCAGGCGCAGTGGCTCACGCCTATAATCTCAGCACTTTGGGAGTCCGAGGCAGGTGGATCACTGGAGGCCAGGAGTTCGAGACCAGCCTGGCCAACATAGCGAAGCCCTGGCTCTACTAAAAATACAAAAAAGTTAGCCAGGTGTGGTGGCAGGCGCTTGTAATCCTAGCTACTCTGGAGGCTGAGGTACAAGAATTGCTTGAATCCGGGAGTTGGAGGTTGCAGTGAACCGAGATTGCAGCACTGCACTCCACCTTGGGCAACAGAGTGAAACCCTGTTTCAAAAAAAAAGAAAGTGAACCTAGTGATGTTCCAAGTTTCAAAAGCAGAGTCAGGGCATGCATTTCTATAAGTATATGGGAATTTAGATTAATCAGATCTAAGTCTGATAAAATAGAGGTACGCAATCTCTATCTGATCTCTCAGTTGTGTTTGTAGACAGTGAGGAATCATTAGGAATGGATGTACACGCTGAGGCATAATTACTAAATATGCCTGCGGGACACCTATTTTCCAACTTTGGCTGCTTTCCTTGCAGTGCCCTTGGTTCTTATAGGGCCTGGAAGGTGTTGGATTGTACGGAGATTAAAGGATTTATTCAAGATAGTTGTTTAAGTGCTCTGCTGGCGTGAACTGAGATGTGAGTTCCCCAGGGCAATCCTGTCGGCTAATTAGTGGGAATTGAGGTTTCAGGGCTTCCCAGGGAACTCTGAATAGTGTGTGGATCTAGGTGGATTTTGAGGCTCCCCAGGGCTCCCATGGCCCTACCTTGGCTTCTCCTTGCCCCTCCTCTTCAAACGGGATTTCGTCTCTATGGATTACAGTCTTGATTTTTGGTTAAAATCAGAAGATTGCTCTTTAGCTTCTACTCTCTCCTGAAAGCTCACTAAAGTACAGTAAAAAGTGTTATTAAAAAAGACTTAAAGTCTGGGCGCGGTGGCTCGTATCTGTAATCCCGGCACTTTGGGAGGCTGAGGCAGGCGGATGCCTTGAGCCCAGGAGTTTGAAACTAGCCTAGGCAACATGACGAAACCCTGCCTCTACAAAAAAATACAAAAAATGAGTTGGGTGTGGTATTGCAGGTGGGAAGATCATCTGAGCCCGGAGAGGTGGAGGCTGCTGTCAGTCAAGATCATGCCACTGCTCTCCAGCCTGGATGACAGAAAAACCCTGTCTCAAAAAAAAAAAAAAAAGTACTTAAACACTAAAGAAAATTGGAAAAGAGACAACAGCCCACAAAGTTGCTTAAATTGGAAAGCAAATGGGAAAATGATGACAAAATTAGCAGACGGGAGAAAGCTTAGTCCTAAAAGGGAAGTGAGGAAAGCTGATAAGCAACCTCATCTAAGCTGCGGAAAGACCCCAAAGACAAGGAACTGGCGGCACCATGTGCCTTTGGACATGGGGACGTGAGAGTAAAACATGGACGCTGGTTGAAAATCTGTTGAAAACGCAGTGGAACTTCAGGAATTTCTTCCCCTGCCACAGGTAATTAGGCAGCTTTCCCTCCTCCACTCTGGCTAGAGGTTTATTCTCCAAAAATAGTGAATAAAAAGACCTCTGGATTGAGGCCCTCATGAAGGTACACCTGACATTTGATGGTCATGTAGAGAAATGTTTTCTTCCGTGTCATACTGTTAGACTTGGGAAGGGCCATGTGTGTTCTCAAAAGCCTACCTAGTATCCCATAAAGAGGTTTTTGCTATGCCATAGTGATTCACTTCTCTGTTCTCTTTGCTACTATTGTTGACACCAAACTGAGAATTCTGTTTCGGTCATATTAAGCCTGACATTCAAACAGGGATGTTAAGTGGGAGTTATATAAAGTTGTATATATAAGCCTGCAACAGGGGTTGGGCATTAGAAATCAGGTTGGAAGATCTCAGTATGGGAGTCATTGACATATATATGGCACTAAAAATCACTGGACTGGATGGCATTACCTAGAGAATGAGCATAGAATTATGAGACTCAATAGAGGGCTGAGTCCAGAAATATTCAACATTTATTTTTATTTAATTTTTTTGAGATGGAATTTCACTCTTGTTGCCCAGGCTGGAGTGCATTGGCAAGGTCTTGGCTCACTGCAACCTCCGCCTCCCGGGTTCAAGCAATTCTCTTGCTTCAGCCTCCCGAGTAGTTGAGATTACAGGTGCCCACGACCATGCCCGGCTAATTTTTGTATTTTTAGTAGAGACGGGGTTTCACCATGTTGTCCAGGCTGGTCTCAAACTCCTGACCTCAGGTGATCCACCCATCTCGGCCTCCCAAAGTGCAAGGATTACAGGCATGAGCCACTGCGCCCAGCCATATTCGACATTTAAAGATCAGCAAAGGAGTATGAGTCCGCAGAGAAGACTGAGGAGAGGTAGGAAAAAGAAGAGAGTGCGACAAACCAAGAGAATATGGAGTTTCAAGGAGGGATTTCTTGAAGGTGTAAATGCTGACGAAAGATTAATATGACTACTAAGAAATGACCACTGGATTTGCAAGATGGATGCTATTGGTAATGTTGACTAGAACAAATTCAGTGGTAGGGATGAAAGCTTGATTAGTGTGGGTTAAAGAGAAAATGTGGAATTAAGGCTATGTGTAGTGAATTCATATGACCTGATAACATTCACAAATACTAGATAAATTATGACACAATTTTTCTTTTTCAGAGATAGGGTCTCGGCCTGTTGCCCAGGTTGGAGTGCAGTGGTGCAATCGTAGCTCACCACAGCCTCAAACTCCTGGGCTCAAGCTATAGTCTCACCTTAGTCTCCTGAGTAGCTAGGACTACAGGCATGTGCCACCACACCTGGCTAATTTTTTAAGAAATGGGGATCTTGCTATATTGCCTAGGCTGGTCTTGAATTCCTCATCTCAAGCAATCCTCCTGTCTCAGCCTCCTGAGTTGCTGGGATTACAGATGTGAGCCACTGAACATGGTGAACACAAATTATTTTAAATTCATAGCTGAGCTTGCAAGGGAAAAGGACTATCTGCAGATATATCAAATGAGGAGGAAAGTGAAGACCAGTAAGGATATAAGTTGACTCTGACTACTATAAGCCAAAAGGTATCTGAGACAGGCCTCGATCAATTTAGAAAGTTTATTTTGCCAAGGTTAAGGATGCACCCGTGACACAGCCTCAGGACGTCCTGACAACAGGTGCCCCAAGGTGGTTGGGGCACAGTTTGGCTTTATACATTTTAGGGAGGCATGAGACATGTCAGATGTACATTGTAAGATGTACATTGGTTCAGTCCAGAAAGGCGGGACAACTCGAAGCAGGGAGGAGGTTTCCAGGTCGTAGGTAGATAAGAGACAAATGGTTTCTTTTGAGTTTCTGAGTAGTCTTTCACTGAATGCACAATTTACAGGAATCATCACTTATGTCTTAGTCTGGCTTAATGAAACAGCAGGGCACAGGGAGCAATCAGATATGCATTTGTCTCATGTAAGCAGAGCGATGACTTTGAGTTCAGCCTGTACTTTGTCCACAGGGAATTTCCTGGTGGGCAGATTGTGAGGGAGGTATGTAGCTTTTTAAACTCTTTGTAGCTATCTTATTTAGGAATAGAATGGGAGGCAGGTTTGCTCTACGCAGTTCCCAGCTTGACTTTGATTTTGGGGATATTTATTTTCCTTCCAAACTACCTAAGGGTTGAATTGGCTTTAGTAATCTAGGGGCTTCATTAAAATATATATATATATGTATATATATATATTTATACATATATATTTATGTATACATAAATATATGAGACAGTCTCGCTTTGTCGCCCAAGCTGAAGTGCAGTGGCACAATCTCGGCTCACTGCAACCTTTGCCTTGCAGGTTCAAGCAATTGTCCTGCCTCAACCTCCCGAGTAGCTGAGATTACAGGCATGCGCCCTCACGCCTGGCTAATTTTTGTATTTTTAGTAGAGACGGGGTTTCACCATGGTGGCCAGGCTGGTCTCAAACTCCTGATCTCAAGTGATCCACCCTCCTTGGCCTCCCAAAGTGCTGGGATTACAGGCATGAGTCACTATGCCTGGCCTAAAAAATACTTTTTATTTTGGAATAACTGTAAGTTTGCAGAAAAATTGCCAGGTAGTACACAGAGTTTCTCCATATTCCTCTCACCCATGTTCCCTCACTGTTAACATCTCAGAGTTTAGTTTCTCCTAGGGGTTTAGAGTTTGAATTTTTTTTACCTATGTGGTACCCCAAACTCTAATATGAGAACTTACAGAAATGTGTACAAGCCCAGTGACGTTCCAAGACTCTCGGCAAGTGTCAACAGAGAACAGACGTGCCAAGACTCTTTCTCACAGTGAATTCTCTCAGGAAAAACCAAGCCCTGCTACCGATGAACTTATACTCCAGACATACATGGAAACGACTTACCATGCCTGCGAGTCAGCACCAACAACAAACAGCCAGGTTCATGGTTGTGAATTTCGGATAATGGAAAGACTATCTAAAAGAGAACATGAAAGGAACACATTTAAAATGACTAAAATACGCCGGGCACAGTGGCTCATGCCTCTAATCCCAGCACTTTGGGAGGCTGAGGCAGGAGGATTTCTTGAGCTCAGAAGTTCGAGACCAGCCTGAGCAATATAGCAAAACCCCATCTCAATTAAAAAAAAAAAAAGACTAAGACATAGAAGAATTGAATCCCTAAAATAACAATAATATACTGCACAAAAAAGAAAAATTGGGCCAGGCGCAGTGGCTCCACGCCTGTAATCCCAACGCTTTGAGAGTCCAAGGTGGGCAGATCACCTGAGGTTGGGCGTTCAAGACCAGCCTGACCAACATGGAGAAACCCCATCTCTACTAAAAATACAAAATTAGCCGGGTGTGGTGGCGCACGCCTCTAATCTCAGCTACTCAGGAGGCTGAGGCAGGAGAATCGCTTGAACCCAGGAGGCAGAGCTTGCAGTGAGCCAAGATAGCGCCACTGCACTCCAGCCTGGGGGACAGAGCGAGACTCCAACTGAAAAAAGAAAAGGAAAGAAAAGAAAACTCTTAGACACACTGAAATTACACAGAAACCCTGTAAGAACAAGAAAAAGAAAGGAGGGAAATGCATTCATTAAGAAGAGAAACACATTCTCCCAGCGGCCATGGGCTTCCCATTAAGACCTTCACCTGCGCATTTATCCTCTGGGAGGCAGCAGTTCCCTGCAAAGGAGGAAAGGTAAACTTGGGAAGGGGGTTCTGCGTGGAGTCCCTCCATTTCCTATTTTACTAGCAATGAGGAAAAGCACTCTACCAGCGCTCCAAGTTCACAAAGAATCCTTACTCACTCGAACAAGATTAAAAATGTAAGTTGAATCACCTCTCAAATGCAGAAACACCTATTCAGAGAGTAAACACTGTTGGTTCCTCTTGAGTCAGCTACTAATGACTCACAGATGAGTCTCCACCTATGTTATGGATCCACACTTCATGACGGCAGCCACAGGACAGCACAATAATAGCAATGACAAATACCATACTGACTGACTTTTCTTACCCACTGCAGTTTTCCGGCAGTGCATCATTATTAAAAGGCATTCACATATTTATAATTATAAAATAATTTATAAGAGTCAAATCTAAAGACTTAAAAAAGATCACAATATATATCAAGTGAAAAATAGAGATTACATATTGTATTTACAGCCTGATTCTGTTTTTGGAATACATGCATACACTTGGAGAAAACATTTCTGGAAAGTCATAACCAAAATTTCTTTTTTTTTTTAATTTAGTTTTTAAATTTTTAAATTTTTTTTTTTTTTTGAGATGGAGTTTCACTCTTGGTGCCCAGGCTGGAGTGCAATGGCATGATCTCCACTCACTGCAACCTCCGCCTTCCAGGTTCAAACGATTCTCATGCCTCAGCCTCCTGAGTAGCTAGGATTATAGGCGCTCACCACCACACCCGGCTAATTTTTGTATTTTTAGTAGAAATACGGTTTCACCATTTTGGCCAGGCTGGTCTTGAACTCCTGACCTCAGTTGATCCACATGCCTCAGCCTCCCGAAGTGCTGGGATTACAGGCGTGAGCCACCACGCCTGGCCTTGTTTATTTATTTATTTAAATTAGAGGTGAGGTCTCACTGTGTTGCCCAGGCTGGTGTTGAACTCTTGAGCTCAAGCGATCTTCTCACCTCAGCCTCCCAAAGTGCTAGGATTATAGCCATGAGCCACCACACCCAGCCCAAAATTTCAACAGTAGTTTTCTTTGGCCAGTGAGATTACAATAGTTTTTATTTCCTTCTTTGCATTATTTTGTATTTTCTAAATTTTCCACATTAAACACTAAAGTATATAATATAAACCAGCATATGAAAAGAAAGAATACACGTATCAGGAAACGTGGAGAAAAATTAATCATGGATTTTAACACTGAAATGAATAAATATGGATAGCCTCCGCCCTACATTTTCCTAGCTCTTATCTGTGAATATTTATAGAGCATGATAACTAGCATACAGTTGTTTTCAGACGGATAAAATTTCAGGACCAAGCAGTCTATGTTCGAAAAAGAACTAAATGCTGTAAATGAGCATATGCTCATTATTCTTTCAGTGCAACTCCGAGCAAATGTCAGTGCTCCTATTTTTCTCCTTTTCCTCCTGGTCCCGTGTTAGGTTTCTACAACTAAAGCAGCCATCAGGTTCTAGATTGCCTCATTCTACAATTCTAGGCTCTTGGAGGAAGGTGGGCCACAGTGATCCTCTCGTCCTGCCCTCCTACCCAGCTCAGAAATCTTTCCTAGTATACCTCTAACTTCCTCCCTCTCCTTCGGCATTCCCAGAGGTGTGGAGCTCAGTATTTAAATGCTTTTCCTCCTTTCCCCGCCTGGAGAACTTCTACTCATCATTCAATATTCAAATCAGGGGCAGTTCAGGGGCTGTGTTTCTGTGAGGCCCATGTGGTGCTGACATCTGATGGTTATAAGCATGGATTCTGTTGTCAGAGATACCTGGGTTCAGTCCCACCTCCCCTACTAACACCTGCTTATGTGAATTTTTGTTGTTGTTGTTGTTGTTTTTGAGATGGAGTCTTGCTCTGTCACCCAGGCTGGAGTGCAGTGGCACGATCTCGGCTCACTGCAACCTCCGCCTCCCAGGTTCAAGCGATTCTCCTGCCTCAGCCTTTTGAGTAGCTGGGACTACAAGGCACCCGCCATCATGCCCGGCTAATTTTTTTGTATTTTTAGTAGAGACGGGGTTTCACCGTGTTAGCCAGGATGGTCTCGATCTCCTGATCTCATGATCTGCCCGCCTCAGCCTCCCAAAGTCCTGGGATTACAGGCATGAAACCACTGCGCCTGGGCGGTTTTTTTTTGTTTTTTTTTTTTGAAATAGGGTATTGCTCTGTCACCCAGGCTGGAGCGTAGTAGTGCAATCAAGGCTCACTATTGCCTCAACCTCCTGGGCTCAAGCAGTCTTCTCACTTCAGCTTCCTGAGTAGCAGGGACTACAGGCACACACCTGTACTATACTGTACATCACGCCTGGTTAATTTTTTTTTCTTTTTGAGACAGGGTCTCACTCTGTTGCCCACACCTTAGTGCAGTGACACGCTCTTGGCTCACTGCAACCTCTGCCTCCCAGGCTCAAGTGATCCTCCCACCTCAGCCTCCCAAGTAGCTGGGACCACAGGCACGCACCACCATGCCTGGCTAATTTTTTGTATTTTTTAGTAGAAATGGGTTAAAAAAAAAAAAAAAACTCGACCATTTTTTAGTAGAGATGTTGCCCAGGCTTGTCTCGAACTCCTGAGTTCAGACGATCTACCTGCCTTGGCCTCCCAAAGTACTGGGATTACAGGCGTGAACCACTGTGCCCAACCAGCACCTGGCTAGTTAATTTTTTTTTGTTTTTGTAGAGACAGGGTCTCCCTATATTGCCCAGGCTGGTCTTGAACTCCTGAGCTCAAGCGATCCTTCCACCTTGTCCTCCCAAAATACTGGGATTACAGGTGTGACCCACTGTGCTGGCCTTATATGATCTTAGCCAGTTTATCTCACTTCTCTGAGCCTCAGTTTTCTCACCTGTAAAATGGGTTTCATAAATGTCATAATATGTATTAGATCTTCAAGTGGTGTCTGTTACATAGCAAGCAAGCAAATAATATTAACTACTCCTATTTGTCATATCAGTGGTTTCAATGCTGACCTGCACATTAAAATTACCTTTAATAGGTCTGGGCTGATGCTTCTAGCAAGGTATTTTTTAAAGTTAGGCAAGTGATTCCAATGAGTAGCCAGGGTTGAGAACTACTGCGCTTGACCAGTAGCTCTGAAAGTATGCAACCCAGACCAATAGCACCAACATCTCCTGGGAAGCTGTCAGAAATACCAATTCTAGGGCCCCACCACAGACCTGCTGAATGAGAAACTCTGAAAATGGGCTCCAGCTATTGGGGTTTTAATAAGTTTTCTTTTTTTCTTTTTTTTTTTTTGAGACAGAGTTTTGCTCTTGTTGTCCAGGCTGGAGTGCAGTTAGCAATCTCCGCTTACTGCAACCTCCGGCTCCCAGGTTCAAGCAATTCTCCTACCTCAGCCTCCCTAGTAGCTGGAATTACAGGCATGCACCACCACGCCCAGCTAATTTTTGTATTTTTAGTAGAGATGGGGTTTCACCATGTTGGTCAGGCTGGTCTTGAACTCCTGACCTCAGGTAATCCACCTGCCTCAGCCTCCCAAAGTGCTGAGATTACAGGCGTGAGCCACCGAACCCGGCCGGTTTTCGTAAGTTTTCTAGAAGATTCTGGTGCTAAAATTTGTGAAGAGCTGCACTAGATTGTAAGCTGAGCAAAGGCGTGAACTGTCTGGTTTTTCCTTTTCATTTTTGTTTCTTTTCAGAGACAGGGTCTTGCTCTGTCACCCAGGCTGGAGTGCAGTGGCATAATCATGGCTCATTGCAGCCTTGTACTCCAGAGCTCAAGCAGTCTTCTCTTCTCAGCCTGCTGAGTAGCTAGGAGTATAGGCACATGCCACCACATCTGGGTTTGTTGTTGTTGTTGTTGTTATTTTTTGTAGAGATGGGATCTTGCTATGTTGCGCAGGCTGGTCTTGAACTCCTGGCCTCAAGTGATCCTCCTGCCTTGGCATCCCAAAGTGCTGGGATTACAGCTGCGAGTCACTGCACCCGGCTTGTGTTGTTAATGCTGCATTCCTAGGGCTAAACGCTGTGTTGTGAACAAATTCAGTTTAACTCAATTCAACTCAAGAAATATTTATTGAGCACTAATTTTTTGTTAGGCCTTGTGCCTGGGCCCTAGGAATATGATGCTGTGTGAGATAGGTCTTTGCCCTCTTAGCTTCTTCCAGCTTTTCAGACTTGATTCTTCCTTCTCTATGCTTTCATTGCAGCTTAAACACACCTCTACTATTGGAATTTTTATGCTGATTTATATATTTTTTAATGTGTCTGTGCTTCTCTCTAAAGTGTGACATTGAGGACAGGAACAGCCTTTAATCATTTTCTTTCTTTTTTTTTTTTGAGATGGAGTTTTGCTCAGTTGCCCAGGCCGGAGTGCAATGGCGCAATCTCAGCTCACTGCAACCTCTGCCTCCTGGGCCTCCCGGGTTCAAGCGATTCTCCCGCCTCAGCCTCCTGAGTAGCTAGGATTACAGGCACCCGCCATCATGCCCAGCTAATTTTTGTATTTTTAGTACAGACGGGGTTTCACCATGTTGGCCAGGCTGGTCTTGAACTCCTGACCTCAGGTGATCCACCCACCTTGGCCTCCTAAAGTGCTGGGATTACAGGCGTGACCTACCTCACCTGGCCAGCCTTTATTTTCTTAGAAGATGCTCAGATGCAGTCGCATTGCCGGGCCTGGCTGTGCATTTGAAAGCAATAGAATGTGTTCTCCTAATATACCTCTGAAACTGGTCCAATTGTCCCATAGAACTGATATTTATGGCTTCTTTTGAATAAACATAGAAACTGATCCTCCCAGTCTTGAAACTTGAGGAAGTTACATTTGTCTTTGCTCAGTTTCTTTCTCAGGCATCCAACCATCAGGCTTCCTAGATAGTGTCAATAAACTGAAACTTACCAGATCACTGCATCTAGGCAATAAGACATCAGACTCCTCACCTACCATGGTTGCCTAAGTGGCTACCTGCTTCCTGTTGAACAGCTCCTCTTCCTTACCCCTCCCTAATTCCTGTTTTCCTGTATGTAGTTACATTTCTTCCCTGCTATATAATCCCCTAATTTTAGCCAGTCAGGGAGATGGATTTGAGACTGATCTCCCATCTCCTTGGCTGCAGCACCCAATTAAAGCCTTCTTAACTGGCAACACTCGTGTCAGTGATTGGCTTTCTGTGTGGCAAGCAGCAGAGCCTAGACCTAACCCTTGGTGTTTTGGTAACAAATTGATAGGGTGAAAAAAAAGGCTGGTGCATCAGTCAAGGTTTCATCAAGGAAGCAGAACCACTGTGAATCCTATGGCATAGGAGATTTATCTAAATCTAATGCCATTGTGGGAGGAGCTAGGAAAATAAGGTCCAGGGAAAGGGAGTTGGAGGATCTGAAGAAGGTTATTCATTAGCCTTCCAAAAGCATTGGTGCTCCTGGACAAGTCAGAGCTTTTAGGGAAAACTGGACAGGTACATATAGCTGCCAAGGGACTGCACAGGGGAGTTAGTGGAGAAATCTTTGGAAGACTCTTGCCCTGTTAGGTGTACTATGGCTATAGGTTAGCACGGCCAGCAGTGGAGGAAATGTTGAGTGCCAAGGAGGGGCGAGGGAGAACAGGCTGGAACCCTTCGGCATCCCTGCATCCATCTCTCACTGCAGCTTTTCTTTTTCTTTTTCTTTTTCTTTTTTTTTTTTTTTTGAGATGGAGTCTTGCTCTGTCATCCAGGCTGGAGTGCACTGGCACGACCTTGGCTCACTGCAACCTCCGCCTCCCGGGTTCAAGCGATTCTCTTGCCTCAGCCTCCCAAGTAGCTGGGATTACAGGTGCCTGTCACCATGCCTGGCTAATTTTTGTGCTTTTTAGCAGAGACGGGGTTTTGCCATGTTGGCTAGGCTGGTCTCGAACTCCTGACCTCAAGTGATCCAGCCGCCTCAGCCTCCCAAAGTGCTGGGATTACAGGCATGAGCCACCATGCCCGGCCCTATTCTTACTTTGTATGTTGTATGTACTTTGTATGAATTGCTCCACCTCCCAGCTTGAAGCAATTCTCCTGACTCAGCCTCCCGAGTAGCTGGGATTACAGGCATCCGCCACCACACACCCAGCTACTTTTTGTATTTTTTGGTAAAGTCGGGATTTTGCCATGTTGGCCAGGCTGGTTTCGAACACCTGACCTCAGATGATCCGCCTGCCTCGGCCTGCCAAAATGCTGGGATTACAGGCGTGAGCCACCGTGCCTGGCCAAGAATTTATCTCTTTTAATTCTCATAACACCCCATGAGGTAAGTACATTATTAAAGTAATATTTTGCATGGGGAAACTGGGACTTTGAGAATTTAAACTGGGAAGTTAAGCAAATTGGCAGTTTTTAGACTCAGGCTGTAACTACAGAACTCTGGTTTTTAACCACCTCACTATACTGCCTCAAATGTGATACACTGGGCAATACCTCAAAGTTTTGCAAAAGACAGAATGGTGTTCAAATGGAAATTCTTATGAAATAAAAGATGAAAGTATAACTTAAATAATTTTTTGTTGTTGTTTTTTGAGATGGAGTATCACTCTTGTTGTCCAGGCTGGAGCGCAATGGTGCGATCTTGGCTCACCGCAATCTCTGCCTCCCGGGTTCAAGCAATTCTCCTGCCTCAGCCTCCGAGTAGCTGGGATTACAGGCATGTGCCACCACACTCGGATAATTTTATATTTTTAGCAGAGACGAGGTTTCTCCATGTTAGTCAGGCTGGTCTCGAACTCCCAAGCTCAGGAGATCCACCCGCCTCAGCCTCCCAAAGTGCTGGGATTACAGGTGTGAGCCACTACACCCAGCCAACCTTAAATAATTTAACATAGCATTTTTGCAAGATGTTGAAGTGGCATTTTGGCTTTTGATCATCTATCTTAATATAGAGAGAGAGACACTGGGCTTCTGGAAGAGTGAGTTTTAAAATATAGCTGCTGGATCCTCTCAAATCTTCTCAGAGGAGCCTTGGGAGTCTGGGCTTTCCCGCGAGGTGAATGTACAGAGTATGAGCAGAAGGGGAGCATGGGCGCCAGACAGACTGGGGTGAGGCCGAAAAGCATGTGTCTTTCTGTGAGTTAACTCCTTTGGAACCAGGCTTAGAAGCAGGAAGTGGAGAGTGGAGTAAAAAGCCAATAGGGGCCTCCTGTTTGAGGAACTAGGCGTAGACAATGTGAGGAATGTGCGTTGGACTCGACGACAGGAAATGCCTGCCCTGAAGAGAAGCACGGAGCGATGTAGCTGTGTGGCCCCAGAGCCAGGGCCAGACACTTGGGGTGTGACTTTGGCTTGGTAGTTAGGTCTTTTTTTTTTTTTTTTTTTTTTTTATTTGAGGCAGAGTCTTACTCTGTTGCCCAGGCTGGAGTGCAGTGGCATGATCTCGGCTCCCTGCAATCTCCACCTCCCGGGTTCAAGCGATTCTCGTGTCTCAGCCTCCCCAGTAGCTGGGATTACAGGCTCCCACCGCCACACCAAGCTAATTTTTTTTTTAATTATTTTTTAGTAGAGACGGGGTTTCGCCATGTTGGCCAGGCTGGTCTCGCACTCCTGACCTCAAGTGATCCGCCTGCCTTGGCCTCCCAAAGTGCTGGGATTACAGACGTGAAGCCACTGCGCCCGGCTGGTATAGATATTTAAAAAATAAGAAAGTTAGTTTCTGGGTCACGGGAAACTCATGTTTATGTTACCTAACAAAGGCCTGAAGTGGAAATACTTCATGTTGTTGAGTAAGCTGAGAGGTATAGGCTTTATATATCAGCCCTTATTTTTCTGCTAAAACATGATTGTCAGGAAATACCCAGAACAGAACCCTGACTCCATTCTCTTCCCATTCTGATCCACCCTACCCAGAACCTTCAGAATCATCTATCTCAAACTCCCTCTGAGTATGGCAAAGACTGTAGAAGGAACTCTACTGCATATTTCAGCCTAGACTCCCAGCTGGGCTTCATACTACCTTTCACAGCTGATCCCTCTACCTAGTCAACTTCTTCCAGTCACATTGGTTGCATTCACTCACTGTTGCACAAAAGACTGCAGCCTGGATCAAATCTTTGTTCCGTATGCTTTCATCTTGACTTGCCAATGGGATTGCAAGATCTTTGAGGGAAAGGATTTATGTCTTTTAAAATTTCTTTCTTTTCCTCTCAGGACCTCATGCGAAGCATATGGTAAATAGTTAGTGACTGCTGCTTAACTCAGTTTATCCTGACCAATACACAGAACAGCACCAGCCACAATTAGGTATTTAATAAGGATATTTTGGATTGAGACAAGGATCCTCTCAGAGTCAGACATTGTCTTGGCATGCCTTTTTTTTTTTTTAATTTATTGGGTCTCTGTGACTGTAGTCAGTGACTTGGTGTGTCTTTTGTAATGACAACATTAATAATAAAGCCTTCAGATGACATGGTGTAATGGAGTTCAAAAGGTCTAAGTCTGAATGCCAGCCCTGCCACTTATTAACTATATGACCCTGGGCAGGGCACTGTGAACTACAGTTTCCTTGTAAAAGAATGATGTTCATGGGGGCCTTAGAGTGGTTGTGAGGATTAAGTTATATGCCAAAAGTAAATTATCTAGCATAGCAAATGGCTGTAATAGGTGTTCGATAAATGTTTTTTTTCTTTTGAGACTGAATTTCATTTTGTCACCCAGCCTGGAATGCAGTGGTGCAATCTCAGCTCACTGCAACCTCCACCTCTCAGGCTCAAGTGATTCTCCTGCCTCAGCCTCTGGAGTAGCTGGGATTACAGGTGCGTGCCACCACGCCCGGCTAATTTTGTATTTTTATTAGACATGGAGTTTCGCCATGTGGCCAGGCTGGTCTCGAACTCCTGACGCCAGGTCATCCACCCACCTCGGCCTCCCAAAGTGCTGGGATTACAGGCGTGAGCCACCATGCCCAACCCAATAAGTGTTTTTATTACAGAAAATTTAAAATCTCCGTCACTTTTTACTTTATTGATTTTCAATTTGCTTCTTTACCTGGATCAGAAAGATAATTTCAAATTGTTTGGAGGTTGAGTATTTTCTGATAGTGAGAAGTTGGTAGACATTCTATTAACAGAGATGATTTTAAAAATATTTTTGGTAATTAACTGGACCATAAGAAAACAATACTAAACAAGCCAAATTACTCTTAGCTAAGGCTTGGAAATCTGGAGAAAGAGGAAGAAGAGAAGGAGAGAGTCCTTAGATTACTGGTAGAAGCATGACCTACTAACTCTTCTTTTAGCACCCGTGGTGGTAAGGAAGTCCCGCCTAAGGACTTCTGCCTTGGCTAGGGAATGTTCCAGTGTTGGGTTATGAGCCTCCATGGCAGAGCCACAGCACTGACTCTCTGACCAGCTGGAATTTGCTGCAGAATGGGTAGGGCTGAAAGGAGACCACTGTGAATTAGAGTTAGAACATCAAGACTGATCTTTATTTCACCCAGAGGCAGAGTGATAAAATGGCATTCTTCTCTATTTAAATTCTATCCCATCTTTCTTCTTGTCCTTCCTCTCAAGGTTGCTGGCAGAGGTGGTTGGGGCTATGTGCCTGGAGTGAAGATTCTGCCCATTGGTCAAGAGACCTCCCTCTCAGATGCTGGCTCTGCCCCTGCCTTTGGGGGTCGACCCTTGTACTCGCAGGACCTTAGGTGACTCTGTAAGTATAGTAAAACGCAGTTAATATGATGTTATCATTCAATCATTTTTAAAAAGTGGAGCAACCAGTTGACAAGGTAAGACTTTTTCCTGACATCTGTGGTTGTTTATTTAAAAGAACAGACAATATTTAAAATGAAAGACAAACTCAGAGGTTCAAATGCATCCAATAACTTGAAGCAGCAGTGACATATACATCCAAAGATGATTGTAGCTATTTAAAGCCATATCTTGTTTTTCTAGGCAAAAGTACAACATTGGTTATAAAGCATATACCTTCTTTGCACTATAGGGCAATGAAAGGCAATCCTATTATTCTGCTTCTCAAAAATCAATGGTCTTCAAAGTCATAGCAAAAAGACTATAAAGTGAGACTAGAGAGTAATTTCCTCATAAAATTTCGGAACAAACTTTGCATCACATTCCATAATATTCCCTTGTCAATTATTTAAAAAGTTTTATTAGCAAGCCTGCTTCTATATTGCTCCCTCTGCTTTTCATCCTTATCATTAAGCTCGGAGCTTCTGTAAACTAAGAATTACTCAATCTAGGCTCAGCAAAAATAAACAGAATACTTCTATATGAAAGCCTGTTGCAAAGAGTAGTTAATGAGTAAACAGAAATTTTTGACTTATGAGAAACACTCTCACTCAGAAAGGGCAGTGGGAGTATTTATTTGATATAACTAGCCCATTTTGGGAATAGAAAGTCAATTAATTTATGTCCCCCCTTTCCTCCCTTTGGCCAACCTGTCTTCTTTCTTGTTACTTTGAAATCTGGAAGTTTTTCTTATTATTTCTTTTTTTTTCTTTTTTTCTGAGACAGAATCTTGCTCTGATGCCCAGGCTGGAGCGCAGTGGCACGATCTCGGCTCACTGCAACCTCCGCCTCCCGGGTTCAAGCAATTCTCCAGCCTCAGCCTCCTTATTATTTCTATTCCATTAATAAGTTCAGCATTTAATCTCTTGACTTCCCTTATTTTCACACACATTCAAATACCAAGTGCCACAGTTTATTAAGAATGACAAGAATCTTTGTATGCAAATTCATGACATATGTTGTAAGGTACATATTTGTTATCAGAGAAGCCAATTGCAGCAGGCCATACGGCACATTAGTTTGTCTGTTTACTGTGCTAGTTTAGAAAACTTGGGAAGAAGATTCAGAAAAGAGTTAGAATTGTGGCACACAATTTTATGCAGTCCGTGGAGACTGATGGTGTCTCCACTGGGAGTCTCACCACTTCTCTTTAGACTGTTCCGAAGCTGCATGGTTTTTGGTGCATTATATCAGGATATTTTCATCTGGACAATGGAGAGAGGGATATTGATACTTTAATAAAGTATGAAAGAAATACCCATAGCCACTTAAATTAAGAAAGGCCATCAGTGAGATCGAAATAATAAGATTCTTTCATTTGTGTGGTTGGATTAATTTCACTAACTGACTTCCAGGGGCGTCCAGGACATTTTGGGGAGGTCGTGTCTGGAAAATCTGATATTGGGTTAAATGAAAGGCCATTTGGGTCTATCTGGATATCAGGGATCCAATCGTCATCACTCTGTATGGGAGCTGGTGATATAGGAGGCATCATAGTTGCAATGAGATCAGAGTCCTGAAAGTCAGAAAAGGTAACTGTTACACCTGGCTTGGCTAGGGAAGGGATGGGTGTTGGCCCTTCTGTCTTCTCTTGTGTCTGTGCAGAAGGTGTAGTACTGTCTTCAGAAGAGCTTGCCAAATGCTCTGTTTTCCAACCATTGTGCTTTCCATTCTTTTTGCCTTTATTTTTATGTTTTCCGTGGCCATGACCATGCTTATGCTTATGTCCATGGTCAAGGACATGGCCCCCTTGGTGTTCAAGATCATCATCAAGTTTGAACTTATGTCCATGACCAAGACCATGCTGTTGTTCGTGTCCATGGCCAAGGCCATGTCCTCTTTGGTGCCCATGCCCTTGGTCACGTTCATGTTTATGGCCATGGCCAAGATTATGTTTTCTTTGTTTTTCATGGCCCCAGTCATGTCTACGAGTATGCCCTTGTTCTTTTCCTGAATCCCGCTCTTCATCTTGTGCAGGTGCCATGGAAGTGTGGGGTGGACTTACAGTTGTTTCTTCTTTTATTTCCCCTATTCGTGATGATCGGAAAGGTGAAAAACCTGGAGGCCTTTTCATCAGTGAGATCTAAACAGAAAATATTAAGATGAATGTATTACTGCAAAAATCATGCTATTGATGATAGAAAAAAACACTGAGATCTGGCAATGTTATCTTAGTTTACAATGGGGGAGGTGTTTGCCAGATTTTAAATGCTATATTAACATTCCAGAAAGGATGAATAATTTTTTTTGTCTTTTGATTGATCTTAAAATTTGTGGACATTAATTATTGTTGTTAATAATACCATAAAATAGCCAGGCATGGTGGCTCACACCTGTAATCTCAGCACTTTGGGAGACCAAGGCGAGCAGATCACTTGAGGTCAGGAGTTTGAGACCAGCCTGGCCAACATGCTGAAACCCCATCTCTACTAAAAATACAAAAATTAGCTGGGCATGGTGGCACATGCCTGTAATCCCAGCTACTCAGGAGGCTGAGGCAGGAGAATTGCTTGAACCCAGGACGTGGAGGTTGCAGTGAGCTGAGATGGCGCCACTGCACTCCAGCCTAGGCGACAGTGACTCTGTCAAAAAAAACAAAAAACAAACAACAACAACAACAAAAAAAAAACAAAAAAACCCAGCCAAACAACAACAAAAAAAACTGTAAAATAAGCTGGAGTGTTTTTGCTTCATCTGGATGGTTGAACTAGCTAATCTCTAGGGTAGCTTCTGAGCCTATGTTTTTACTGAGCACAGTATTTAATTATTGATACTACTGTTATTACCACCATCACTGCTTTTATCCTAAAAGGCCCTAAGTGGCTTTATGAACTGAATATATAGGGAGCATGTATCCATGATCACTTTGTTGTGCTGAAGCACATTAGGACATATTCGCAAGCTTGAAATGCAACCTGAGGACAATGTTTGTGTTACACCATCTACATACCTACACATGACAAAAGACCAAATCAGAAAAGAGGGAAAAGAGGTAACCTGCTTCAAATATGTCGATCTGTGGATTAATTCTACCTACACTTTTGCTACCTGTGAGAATGTGTTAATTGGAAGCAGTGTCTGGTGATGCAAAGAACATGGTCATTGGAGTCCGGCCAGACCCTACTGGTAATCAGCATCGTGATGGAAAGGGTAGACTCTGAATTGACCAAGATTTGAATCCAAGTGCCATCAGCTTCACTTTTCCTTTCTGTAAAATAGAAATAATAACAGCACCTGCCTCACAGAGTTATAAGGAGGACTCGAAAATGTGGGTGAAACCTTCAGTATAGTGCCTGGGACAGAGGAAGCATTTGATAATGTCATTATTCACTCAGGACCTCAGAGTCTTTCTAATTTTTAGTGTCTCATCCTTGACAATAGGGAAAGTGTTACTACCTCCCAGAGTTCTTTTAAGACTTAAAAAAGAAAGATGACATCAACGAATGCTTTTCAAACTTGATTCATGCATATGAATCCCCTGGGGATCTGGTTAAAATTCGGTAGCTGTGAAGTGGGGTTTGCGAGTCTGAATTTTTCTTTTCTTTTTTTTTTTTTGAGACAAAGTTTCGCTCTTTGTTGCCCAGGCTGGAGTGCAGTGGCAGGATCTCGGCTCACTGCAACCTCCACCTCCTGGGTTCAAGGGATTCTCCTGCCTCAGCCCCCTGAGTAGCTGGGATTACAGGCGCCACCACACCCAGCTAATTGTTGTATTTTCAGTAGAGACAGGGTTTCACCATGTTGGCCAGGCTAGTCTCAAACTCCTGACCTCAGGTGATCTGCCTGCTTCAGCCTCCCAAAGTGCTGGGATAACAGGCGTGAGCCACCGCGCCCAGCCATGCATTTTTCACATGGTCCTTGCATGTCAGCAGAATGCAGTGGAGTGCTGTATCTGGCCTCAGGTACACCTGGCATAGCCAATGTTGCTCCCCCACAGCAGGACTGCAGTGCACTAGGAGAGAGTCTATAGAAGCTTCACTGAGACACTGACAATGTGTGAGAAGTGATCAGGAGGATTGTTACTCTTCTTTCTAGCCATTAAACAGAGATCAGCACAGAAGTGTGAGAGTTACTCCCCATTTAAAAAAGATAGCTCCCCAATTCATTTCAGTAATGGTTCATTTTCAGCCCCCAAATATGGATTTTCAGAATGAGCAGAACTGACCCCACGCTGACTGTAATTAGAATCATACCATTCCCAGTGGTTGACAGTTGACAGTAGGGTAAATTTTTTTCTCCCAGGGTACCACATAAACTTCAGCGTTGCAATCTAGGCTTTGCTATCCATGAAAACAGAAGTCGAAAGAGAGACAGTGTTATTCACGAGACATTTAAACAAATGATTCTAAAAACATCAAATAGGCTTCCAGTGAAAAAGTAGACAGGTGCATGACTACTCACGCCAAGTTTTTTGGTCTCACAGCTTTCGGTCAACTCTTCATTACTTTCCTTGGAACATGTGGTTTCCCTGGCCACGAAGTCAATAAAATATTTCTTGCCAGCCACCACCTGAAAAATTAATTAGTACAAAGTAAACGCTTAAAAATATTTGCATAATAAATCATTTATCTTTAAGAAATGTTAAGGGAGAATCTTGAAATTTTAATTGACCAACTTAGAGAGTTACATACAAAAAAGTACACGTTTGGCATTAAAGCTTGGCATGCATATTTAAAATATTTGGCTATCGGTTGGTCCCATTTCCTTTTCTAAGTGGGGGAAGAAATAAGCAAGCTATAATTTTCTTTATTTTTTTTTTTTGAGATGGAGTTTCGCTCTTGTTGCCCAGGCTGGAGTGCAGTGGCACGATCTCGGCTCACCACAACCTCCGCCTCCTGGATTCAAGCAATTCTCCTGCCTCAGCCTCCTGAGTAGCTGGGATTACAGTTGCCCACCTCCACGCCTGGCTAATTTTATATTTTTAGTAGAGATGGGGTTTCTCCATGTTGGTCAGGCTGGTCTCGAACTCCCGACCTCAGGTGATCCACCTGCCTCGGCCTCCCAAAGTGCTGGGATTACAGGCATGAGCCACCATGCCTGGCCTATAATTTTTATTTATTTATGTATTTATTTGAGTTTTATTGTCCAACAGCTGTTAAATTCACTAGTAATTCAAGGGCTCAAGTTGTAATATCTAATAATCTAACAGGAATAGGAAGAAAAACTTAAAATGTTTTTAAATATGCCTTATTGTCCTGCCAAATCTTGAATTGGTGAAATACTGAGTTAGTACTACTATAGAAATTATGTGGATTAAATTTTGTAATTAGAAAAATTATTTGGGGTTTTTATTGTTCTCTTACTATTTTTAATATTAAGAAATTATTTTAGGCTGGGCGTGGTGGTTCATGCCTGCAATTCCAGCACTTTGGGAGGCTGAGGCGGGTGGATCACTTAAGGCCAGCTGTTCAAGACCAATCTGACCAACGTGGTGAAACCCCACCTCTACTAAAAATATAAAAATTAGATGGGCTTTGTGATGCACACCTGTAATTTGACAGCTATTTGACAGGCTGAGGCAGGGGAGTTACCTGAACCCAGGAGGCGGAGGTTGCAGTGAGCTGAGGTCATGCCACTGCACTCCAGCCTGGGTGACAGAGTGAGACTCTGTCTCAAAAAGAAAAAAAAATTATTTTAATCTCTAGCAACAGTTTTAATCACTACTCAACACTATCTTCCATTAAATATTTTGTGGCCCAATTTCTCAACCAAATTATTTAGTATTAAATCATAGTATTTAAATGTGTTGGCCGGGAATAGTGGCTCCTGCCTGTAATTCCAGCACTTTGGGGGCCTGAGGCGGGCAGATCACCTGAGGTCAGGGGTTCGAGACCGTCCTGGCTAACATATAATGAATCCCTGTCTCTATTAAAAATACTAAAAATTAGCCGGACATGGTTGCAAGCATCTCTAATCCCGGCTACTTGGGAGGCTGAGGCAGGAGAATCGCTTGAACCTGGGTGGCAGAGGTTACAGTGAGCCAAGATCACGCCACTACACTCAAGCCTGGGTGACAGAGTGAGACTCTGTTTCGGGAAACAAAACAAAACAAAAACAAACAAACAAAAAACAACTAAACAAATAAATAAATATTCACCAAAACCCAGGATGAGGAAGGCCTTTCTTAGGTGAAAAGCAGAGGAAAGAAATCTGAAGGAAGGGGAAAATACTAAAACTTGACTAGAGAAAAATGAAAACTGCTTCTGAAAAATCACAATAAGCAAAGTAGAAAGGCAAGCTGGGAAAACTATGATATAGAATCAATGTCTGTATGAATATAAAGCCCAACACTAAAAATGGACAAAAGCCATGAGCAGGTATTTCAGAGAAGTTAAAACGGTCATTAAGCCTAAAAAAAAGTTTAACTTCATTAATAAACAAAAACATGCACATTAAAAAAGCAATGAGACATCATTGTTAGCCTTCCATGCAGGCAAAGATGAAAACAAAAATTGATGATACGTGGCATTGGCCAGGCATAGGAATCAAGCAGCCTCAGTCACTGCTGGTAGGAAGAGAATTCAAATTAAGATCCTCAACTGGTGTCTTTTTTCTTTTATTTTTTGAGACGGAGTCTCACTCTGTCACCCAGGCTGGAGTGCAGTGACACACACTGCAACCTCCGCCTCCTAAATTCAAGTGATTCTCCTGCCTCAGCGCCCCCAAGTAGCTGAGATTACGGGCAAGTGTCACCACACCTGGCTAATTTTTGTGTTTTTTGTAGAGATGAGGTTTCACCATGTTGGCTGGGCTGGTCCCAAACTCCTGACCTCAGGTGATCCGCCCGCCTCGGCCCCCCAAAGTGCTGGGATTACAGGCATGAGCTACCACGCCTGGCCTCAACTGGTGTCTTATACCCAGGTGATGTGAATGTAAATTGGCATCATTGCAAATATTTGGTGATTCTGGCAATTTGCATCAAGTCTTATATATCTACATATTATTTGACATTCCTAGGACTTTGTCAAAGGAAAAATTTCTGCATGTGCACACACAGATCTTGGAAGTTTATTCATCTCAGCAGAGGCAGACAGGAGCATCAACAGCCTTGGGGACAGCAGCAGTGGTGGTAGGGCAAAATAAAACTTATATGAAACTGTAATCACTAATGTGTGAAAATGGAAGATTCAGGAAGTGTTTCATATCTGAAATATGAACCCAACGTGGAATCAACATGCATCCAAACAGGACTAAATGTGCAAACCCAAGGCAAGATTAAAACTATAAATATTTAGCAATTTGGCAAATTGGTCATTTTGGAGACTAGCTTTTAGCAAATTCATCATATGTTTAATTGATTTCCAGTAAATTGGCTGCTTCCATCAAGGCTGCCTTGGGTGACTATGTCCAAGCAACCAAATTGCTCTCTTTAAATGCAAAAATTAGTAAAGATTTATCTCTCTAAAGTAAGTTTGAAATTCTTGCAATATTCAGATTGACTTGGCAGCTATCTGATGGGTTACCTCTTTGTGTCCCCCTGACATCCTTAATGTAGACACATATGCATACTAGAATGTTGATTCATTAATCCACAGAGAAAACTGTAACTACTAAGAAGACTAGATATTCATGCTTGAGAATGAGTGGTTCTGTTTTTGATGGCAAACCTCTGACATACAATACATGGTGGCCTATTCCTACAACATTCAGAATAAAGAATAAGGGAGCTGGGTGCATTGGTGTGCGCCTGTAATCCCAGCTACTTGGGAGGTTGAGATGGGCACATTGCTTGCTCCCAGGAGTTCGAGTCCAGCCTGGGCATCATAGTGAGACCCCCATCTCTCTCTCTTTTTGTTTGCTCTGTTGCCCAAAGGGTCTTGTTCTATCACCTAGGCTAGAGTGCAGTGGCACGATCACAGCTCACTGCAGTCTCGACCTCCCAGTCTCAAGCAATCCTCCTACTTCAGCTTCCCAAAGTAGTTGGGACTACAAGCACATACCACCATACCCAGCTAATTTTTTAATTCTTTTTTTTTTTTATTATTTTTTGAGATGGAGTTTCACTCTTGTCACCCAGGCTGGAGTGCAATGGCATGATCTTTGCTCACTGCAACCTCCGCCTCCCGAGTTTAAGTGATTCTCCTGCCTCAGCCTCCCGAGTAGCTGGGATTATAGGCACCCACCACCACACCCAGCTGATTTTTGTATTTTTAGTAGAGATGGTTTTTCACCATGTTGGTCAGGCTGGTCTCGAACTCCTGACCTCAGGTGATCCACCTGCCTCGGCCTCCCAAAGTGCTGGGATTACAGGCATGAGCCACCACGCCTGGCCTTTAATTCTTTTTTTGTAGAGACAGGGTCTTGCTATGTTGCTCCAGCTGGTCTCGCTCCTGGGCTCAAGTGATCCTCCTGTCTCTGCCTCCCAAAGTACTGGGATCACAGGCATGAGCTACCATGTCTGGCCCGCGTCTCTCTTAAAAAACAACAACGAAAAAAGAATAAAATAATTTCACAAGAAAGCAGAAATATAAAGTGAGAAGTTAAAGCTGAAAAAAGCATGAATAGCATAGATTGGCGTCCCTTTCAAGTAAACCTAACGTGGTCATATGGCAATGAAATCAGAGAGAGAGGGTGGTTGTGTCTGGGATAGAAACAAGTGCTCAAGTAGCAGAGAGATCAAAGTATCAGTTTTGATTTACTTTAATCTAGTTTGTTTACTTTTTTTCAGTTACAAAAGTAATACAGAAAATTAGAAAGATTAAAGTAGTGTTATTCCATCACCTAAAAATCACCACTATGACTATGAGGCATTCGTTTTTTTGTTTGTTTCCAGGTGGAGTCTGACTCTGTCGCCCAGGCTGAAGTGCAGTGGCACAATCTCGGCTCACTGCAACCTCCGCCTCCCGGGTCCAAGCCATTCTTGTGCCTTAGCCTCCTGAGTAGCTGGGATTGAAGGTGTGCACCACTACACCCTGCTAATTTTGGAATTTTTATTAGGTTGGTGCAAAAGTAATTGTGATTTTGCCATTACTTTGGCAAAAACCACAACTACTTTTGCACCAACCTAATATTATAGATGGGGTTTCACCATGTTGCCCAGGCTGGTCTCAAACTCCTGACCTCAAGCAATCCACCCACTTCGGCCTCCCAAAGTGCTGGGATTACAGGCGTGAGCCACTTTTTTTTCCCACATTATTTTCTGTACTTTAAAATAACACAACTGATAACATCATGTATATTCAATTTTATGCCTCCTTTTTTTCACTGAATATTATAACACAAGACATTCCCCATATCAAGAGCTCCGCACAAAGATGCTTTTAAGTTGCTGCTTAACACTCTATTCTGAGGATATGCCAGACATGATCTAATCATTCTCATATTAATCATTTTGACAGTTTACTATTTTTGCTGTTATACTTAAAACTGCAGTGAATATCATTGTATATAAAGACTCCTACTTTAGATTCCTAGAAATTCAATTCTGAGCCAAAAGTATGAACTTTTTAGTGAGAATTTTTTCACCAGATTATGAGGATTATGTTGGCTTGCTGTAACAATTTGGCTCTATTTTGATTATTTTTATTTAGCTTGTATTTAGGGAAGCCAATTTTTAGTCTCTAAAATAGGGGTCTGTCCATAATGACATCAGTCAGAGACTATTGGAGTTGCTAGACATGTAGGCTCTTCTCTTTTTTTGAGAAGGAGTTTTGCTCTTGTTGCCCAGGCTGGAGTGCAATGACACGGTCTCGGCTCATTGCAACCTCCGCCTCCCGGGTTCAAGTGATTCTCCTGCCTCAGCCTTCCGAGTAGCTGGGATTACAGGCATGTACCACCATACCTGGCTAGTTTTGTATTTTTAGTAGAGATGAGGTTTCTCTATGTTGGTCAGGCTGGTCTCGAACTCCTGACCTCAGGTGATCTGCCTGCCTCAGCCTCCCAAAGTGCTGGGATTATAGGCATGAGGCACTCTGCCCGGCAAAATGTAGGCTCTTCTAATACAGTCACTCATTTTACAGACGGGGCCACAAAGGCTTAGAACGTTTGAATGACCACCCAGAGTGATCTGGGATGTGAGCGGCAGATGCTATGGTGGAACTGAGTCTCCTGACTCCCAGAAGACACTCCTGTCAGTCTTCTATTGATAGGGCATGAAAGGAGAGATGAATCCCCAGAGGGTACATTTGCAGGAGAGCGGGATCCCAGGCAGAGAGAACAGTAGGTGAAAGACATGGAGGCAAGAAAGCGTGGAGCCTTGGCAATGATGGATTGACTGATATGGCTGAGCCCAAGACATTATGTGATGTTATAATGAGAGATGAGTCCAGAAAGACATAGCGTAAGTCTTCCTGGCCCTAGCCCTGAATTTTATTAATTATATCATGGTTGCTATTGTATTTATTTATTTATTTATTTATTTATTTAGACAGAGTCTCGCTCTGTTGCCAGGCTGGAGTGCAGTGGCGCAATCTCGGCTCACTGCAACCTCTGCCTCCCAGGTTCAAGCGATTCTCCTGCCTCAGCCTCTGGAGTAGCTGGGACTACAGGTGTGCACCACCACACCCGGCTAATTTTTGTATTTTTAGTAGAGACAGGGTTTCACCATGTTGGCCAGGATGGTCTTGATCTCTTGACCTTGTGATCCACCCGCCTTGGCCTCCCAAAGTGCTGGTATTGCAGGTGTGAGCCACCGCGCCCAGCTGCTATTGTATTTATATAGCATTTTAGAGTTTGAAAAAGTGATTTGACATATATTAACTTATTTGATCCTCACCTCAGTCCTTTACATATAGAAAACAGAGAGAATGTTGTAAAATACTTGTCCGGGATGAAGCATACAGGGAGATTGGCACTTAATTTACCAAATCTAATGCACCAAATCACATTATCAAATGTATGGTTTCCCAATCCAGAGCCAAGATCAGTGGCAAAATTAGTCAGCAATTTGCACATAGACTATAGTGTTACTGCTTTTGTAGTATAGTTTACACACCTGTACTCTTGCTTTTTTCACATTGTCAATCTTGAAATAGAAAGTTGCGTTATTCTCTGCATTAAGCTTTGTGATGGTGTGAGTCAGTGTCTCCTCCAGCTCTGGGCTGTTGGTGGGTATATCTCTGGGGCAGCCCACGCAAATCTTGGTAGGTGGTTGTACAAAATCCTTCCCTGAAAGGATCAGGTTTTAAGTCAACATGTACACTGAAGTAGCAGCCTGGCCTAGCATCCCTCCTGCACAAGAACCAGCATCCACATGTATAAGGGGCTACATGGGAGCCCAGGCCCAGTAGTGAGTGGGGGAAGGTTGTCTGTCTGACTTTCACTTCCTGCCTCTCTTCTTTTCTCCTCCTCAGAGCACAGTGTACTTAGGGAAACATTTTCAATAGGAAAGTGCGAGTAACTCCAACAAAACGCTACACTTTTCCTGAATTTTTGCATTTTTGATGGAAACTGTAAAAAGCAATGCTTAATTTAAAGGAGTGACTCTCATGAGAAAAGTTTAAGTGCTATGGTTCTGATGAACAGGCAGCTTCAGACTACTCATGGAACGCATACAAACGTTTTCCAACTATGAGAAAAGCACACCCTTGTTATAAGAAACACTGACCTGACCACAAACTCACACTATCTCCATTTCTTCCCATTATAACATGCAGGAAAAAACCACCTTAATTGAAAGGGTTTTGTTCTGAGTGCTTAGAAATAAAATACAGGTCTCTTCAACTTACAACATCTGACTTAAGGACAACTTACAGAGAAGAGAGACCAGATGGCATTGTACCCAAAGGCCAACTTTGCCCAGGGGTCATACATTTCCCTTCTGTCTTCATAAACCATTCTGACAAGAACAGTCTGAGCTGCAGCACAACTGGGCAGCGAAGGGGTACAGTGTTCTCATCAAGGGGTGCATCTGTGTCTGCAGGTTACACAGACTTTGGAGTATATCACGGGAACCAAAACCCAACTTATAGGAAAAGACTCAGCCAGTTGTCTGGGACCACTATTCCTCTATTGCGGTGCCAACATGTGTTATTCCTTACCTGGATAAATGTCACAGTTCTGTGAGAAGGAAGCAATTCGTAGCTGAATATCGATGTATGCATTATCTGTACATTCACCGGTATCCTGGTTTTTAAAAAGCATATAAGTGCTCAGTTAAAAACATTTTTTAGAGTCTTAAAAGTAAACAACTAGTAAAATTGAAGAATAGGACGTGTACTTTCCAAATCATTGCATAGAAAAAAAAGAAAGAAGCAAAACATAGTCTTACTGCAAAAGAGATACTAAGGTAATAGTATCAATAGCATCAACAAATACATGCATATACATGAGCACATGGAAAGCAGGAAGATCTAGTACAGAAATAACAGCCATGTAAGTAAAAAGGTAAATTTCTAAAAAAATAAGGTAAGACTTTCACACTGTTAAAACACCAAATCAATGTATTACAGTTTCAAGAATCATCTTATGATAAAAACAATGTATAAAGCTTAAAAATAACAGATGAACAAAGCTACGTGAGACAAATATAAACGTAGCAGGAACTACAGTATTAGTAATATTGGACAAAGTAAAATTCACGAGAACAAAACACTCATTCCTAAAGGTAGTAAAAATGATCATTTTATTTTTCAAAAGCATAGACCAGAAGGCATGGAATCAAAATACCTAAAGTAGAAAAAATTACACGTGAATAGAAATGGATAGAAATAATATGGTGGGAAAATTTAGTATGCAATTACAAATCTAAGACAGGGCAAGTGAATAAAAAATAAACAAGAACATAGAAGATTTGAATAACATATTAAAGATTTATTTAAATGGTATTTTCATATGCTACATATGATTTTAAATGATACTTTCATAAGTATCATACTAATTTGTATGTATTTGTGTGTGTGTATATATATATGTGTATATATATATGTGTATATATATATGTGTGTGTGTGTGTATATATATATATATATATATATATATATATATTTTTTTTTTTTTTTTTTTTTTTTTTTTTGTGATGGAGTCTCTCTTTGTCGCCAAGGCTGGAGTGCAGTGGCGCAATCTCAGCTCACTGCAACCTCTGCCTCCTGGATTCAAGTGATTCTCCTGCCTCAGCCTCCCAAGTGTCTGGGATTACAGGCGTCTGCCACCACACCCGGCTAATTTTTTTGTATTTTTAGTAGAGATGAGGTTTTGCCATGTTGGCCAGGCTGATCTCGAACTCCTGATCTCAAGTGATCCACCCACCAAAATGCTGGGATTACAGGCATGAGCTACCGTGCCCGGCCAGTATCATACAAATATTTTTAATTGTTTTTACACCAGGTCACAAAAAGATCCAATACATTTTACAAAGCAGAAACAATACAGGGTATGTTCTTTCACCTCAGCACCAAAAAGAAAAAATAATCTCTAAAAATTCATAACATGTTTAAACAAACAAAAACAATATACTTGGAAATATAAACATGCTTGCCAATAAAGTTAGGGTCTTTCTTGGATAAGGAAAAAAAAAACAAAATAACAAAAATGAGAATTCCATATAATGTTATTAGAACAGCATTCTAAGTTAATTTTTGACTCGACATGATTTCATAATTTAAAAACAGAGGGAGAAAAACAAATAGAACAAACAAATAGAACAAACAAATAGAAAGACCTATGCCTAGGTCTCCAGAAGTGAGGGGAAAAAAGAATAATAAACAAACATAGCCAGGTGCTGTGTGATAAGTCACTTTGGGAGGCTGAGGCAGGCGGATCACCTGAGGTTGGGAGTTCGAGACCAGCCTGACCAACATGGAGAAACCTCATCTCTACTAAAAATACAAAACTAGCCGGCCGTGGTGGCACATGCCTGTAATCCCAGCTACTCGGGAAGCTGAGGCAGGAGAATCACTTGAACCCGGGAGGCGGAGGTTGCAGTGAGCCAAGATCGCGCTATTGCACTCCAGCCTGGGCAACAAGACCAAAACTCAGTCTCAAAAAAAAAAAGAAAAGCCTACATTACATTTCTAGCAACTCCAATAGTCTCTGACTGAATTTGCCTATTCTAGGTGTTTTATATAAGTGGAATCATACAATATTTTTTGTGTGTGTCTGGCTTATTTCACTTAACATAATATTTTCAAGCTTCATCCACATTGTAGCATGTATCAGAATTTCATTCTTTTTAAAGGGTGAACAGTGTTTCATTGTGTATATATAATAGCACATTTTGTTTATCCATTCACCTATTGATAGACACTTGGGTTGTTTTGACTTTCTGGCTATTATGAATTTTGCTGCTATAGAAATTCATGTATAAACACGTGTTTGAATATGCATTTCCAGTTCTTTTGGGCATATACCTAAGAGTGCAACTTCTGGGTCACATAGTAATTCTATAGTTAAGTTTTTCAGAAATTGCCAAATTATTTTCTATAATGGCTGCAGCATTTTACAGTCCTACCAGCAATGTACAAAAGTTCTAATTTCTCCATGCCCTTTCTAATACTTGTTATTTTATGAACAAAAAGAGGTTCTTTATATATTCTGCATGTTAAACTCTTATCAGATACATGATTTGCAAATATTTTCTCTCATTCTGTGGGTTGTATTTTTACTCTCTTGATAGTGTCCTTTTTACTTTTTTCTCCAATTATAAAATAAATGCATGCTCAATTAGAAAACTCGGGAAATATCAAAAACTTCCAAAAAATATAAAGAATCAGAAAAAGCGGCCGGATGCAGTGGCTTACACCTGTAATACCAGCACTTTGGAAGGCCAAGGTGGGTGGATCACCTGAGATCAAGAATTCGAAAACAGCCTGGCCAACGTGGCAAAACCCCCATCTGTACCCAAAATACAAAAATTAGCCTGGCGTTGCAGCGGGCGCCTGTAATCCCAGCTACTCAGGGAGGCTGAGGCATGAGAATTGCTTAAACCTGGGAGGCAGAGGTTGCAGTGAGCCGAGATCGCACCACTGCACTCCAGCCAAGGTGACAGAGCAAGACCTCTTCTCAAAAAAGAAAAAGCACCCACAATTCCAACTGAAAGTTAACTACATTCTATATTTTGTCATAATTTGTTTTCCATCACTTTTTGTATTTACATTTATTTTACATATTTAAATAAATCCGTATGTATAGTTTTGTATCCCACTTTTTTTGTTTTTTACTTAACATTGTAACCGTTTTACTATGTCACTAAAAACTAAAAATTTTTGATAGCTGTATCATATTCTACTGTATGGATATACTGTAATTTACTTAACCATTCTGTAATGTTGCATAAACTATTTGTTTACAATATTTTTCTATTAAAAAACAACTGACATTAACATCTTATGGTCTGGATTTCCCATATAAATGAATTAGAAGCAGAATTACTAGATCAAAGGACTTGCAGCATTTCCTTGGCTAAAGCACAGTCTTCTGCTCAAATGCAAACATCCCTGGGCACATATCATGTCTTCGCCATCTTAACATTCGCTAGCTACTACTACCTTGAGATATACCATTTTAATATAATTTTGGTTCAGATAACAAGATACGATGCTAAGAAGGACCACTAAGGGCTAGAGACTCAGGGTCTGTTTATTAAAGATAAAGGTAGGGAAGGGAAGATGAGAAAACAAACAGAGAAAAGTTTGACATGAAGAATAACCCTGGGTAGAGCAAGGGAACACCATATGGGCATTGAGCACCTGGGGAAGAAAAGGAAATGGGAAAGTGTGGAGACATAACAAAGATACAGTTGACCGTTCAAGCATTTTATCTATTCGTAGTCCCTGGTTATGCTCTGTAAATACTTATTGCTGGCCAGGCACGGTGGCTCATGCCTGTAATACCAGCACTTTAGGAGGCCAAGGTGGGCGGATCACCTGAGGTCAGGAGTTCGAGACCACTCTGGCTAACACGGTAAAACCCTGTCTCTACTATAAATACAAAAATTAGCCATGCGTGGTGGTTGGCGCCTGTAGTCCTAGCTACTTGGGAGGCTGAGGCAGGAGAATAGCTTGAACATGCGAGGTGGAGGCTGCAGTGAGATGAGATCACACCACTGTGCTCCAGCCTGGGGAACAGATTGAGATCCTGTCTCAAAAAATAAATAAAATAAAATAAAGTTATAAAAAAATACTTATTGCTAGCTGTGCAGATTCTTTGGCCAGTTAGGTAAGGCAGCTTGACCAGTGACGTGAGCTTTAGTCTTCCCAAGTAAATGTGAATATGAATTGCTGAATGTCATCTAAACTTTTCGTGACAGTCTTCCCACCCAGCTTGATAGTTACCACAAAATGTAAACAAAATGCTAAGAACTTTATCATTAAATTTTTGCCTACTTACACCATTCCAAAGGGACTTGCAGTCTGGAGTTAAGAACAGAAAATTCTCTTTGGAACAATTCGTTTGCACAATTGAGTAGGTAATTCGAAAGTTCAATCCAGCCACCACCTGAAACAATTTCAGATTGAATATTTAAAGGGCAGTTTAAACATTATTCGCTGTGGGATATGAATGTTATGAGGAGTTTAGAAAACAGTGTGGCAATATAATAAGTGCCCAAGAAATATAAAATATTATTATTACTAGGCAAAAAAATGCTGAATAAACATTGAGCACCTTAAGAGTCTCATATCTCTCACACAAACACACACACACACACACACATACACCGCTAGCCATCTGAAAATGACAAGCAATATATATATTTTTCTATTTTTCAGCCAGTTTTGGAACATGGATTTCCTTAAGTGAATCCTAACAATATTTCCTCTGCCAGGCTGCAGAGAGAAATGTTTACTGAATTTCATAAAATAATAATGCCCTTCTAGACGGATAAAGAAAACTTTAGAGGGGAGTGGTCTTTACTGTTGGGTCCTCAGGCTCCCAGGTTACCAAGTAGTAAGATTTCTTCTACTTTATTCTGGGCCTCTCCCACCCTGATAGCACTATACGGACATAATTGAGTAAAGCATGCTCGCATGAAAGCAAGTTGTAAGGTTTATTAAATGCAGAGAATGTTACTAACCAAAGGGAATCACTCATAATAAGAGGCTGAAATACAAGAGACCCAGTCAACTATCAGAAAAGTCTGGGAGGGGCGGGCGTGGTGGCTCATGCCTGTAATCCCAGCACTTTGGGAGGCCGAGACGGGAGGAACACCTGAGGTCAGGAATTTAAGACCAGCCTGGCCGACATGGGGAAACCTTGTCTCTACCAAAAATACAAAAATTAGCCGGGCGTGGTGGTGGGTGCCTGTAATCCCAGTTACTTGGGATACTGAGGCAGGAGATCTCTTAAACTTGGGAGGTGGAAGTTGCAGTGAACCAAGATGGCACCACTGCACTCCAGCCTCCAGCCTGGGCAACAGAACAAGACTCTTCCTCAAAAAACAAAAAAAAAAAAAAAAAAAAGAAGAAAAGTCTGGGTGTACTGAATCATTAAGAAGATTTGTAGCTGAGTGCAGTGGCTCAGGCCTGTAATCCCAGCACTTTGCGAGGCCGAGGTGGGAGGATGACTTGAGGTTGGGAGTTTGAGACCACCCGCTTGGCCACCATGGTGAAACCTCGTCTCTACTAAAAATACAAAAATTAGCAAGACATGGTGATGAGCGCCTGTAATCCCAGTTCCTTGGGAGGCTGAGGCAGGAGAATTGCTTGAACCTGGGAGGCAGAGGTTGCAGTGAGCCAAGATCGCGCCACTGCTCCAGCCTAGGCAACAGAGCGAGACTGTCAAAAAAAAAAAATTACGGATATATACTTTTTTTTTTCTGATGATATGGGAACTGTAACTTAGTGGGTACCCAGAAAGCCATGCCGACCATTTTAGACACAATTTAATATTTTGGAGCTGTGTTTAAGTCATGATGGCTAGGTGATAATATAGTTTTCTTAAAATCCTAAGGCCAGGAGATTGAGACCATCCTGGCTAACATGGTGAAACCCCGCCTCTACTAAAAATAATAATAATAAAAAAAATTAGCCAGTGTGGTGGCGGGCGCCTGTAGTCCCAGCTACTCAGGAGGCTGAGGCAGGAGAATGGCCTGAACCCAGGAGGCGGAGCTTGCAGTGAGCCGAGATCGCGCCACTGCACTCCAGCCTGGGCGACAGAGAGAGACTCTGTCTCAAAAAAAAAAAAAAAAAAATCCTAAGGCCGGTATGACTTTTCCTTTTCACTGTCTCTAGGAAGAGCCTGTAATGACGATTACCCATTTGTTAAAATCAAACATCAAAGGAAGGGGGTCTGATTCGACATCTTTTCTCACTTTACATATTGCACTATCCGACTCACTTTGACTAAGGAGAAAGCTCTTCGCTTCCTGTGCTAGTCACATGAAAACACCACCAGCCATGCAATCATACATTTTAAATGTAAAGATCTAACAAATTTTAGTAATACTGTGCTACTTAGAGAATTAAAGAACAAACCTGTCTTTGGGCCCGTTTTACTTCATTAAGCATGAAGAGGGAGGAATGTTGAGTGTTGTTGTTAAAGTACTGAATGCCGTGTCTCAGAATGGGCTCCAGGTCTGGGCTCTGCGTTGATATAGGATGCACACAGCCGAGGCAGTCGTACTGGGCTGTCACCACAGGGCCCTCGGCTTAACAAAGAGCAGACAAAAACACAGCATTAATGATCGCAATCAGCATTCGCATACACTGCCCTAAACAAAGAAGAGGCTGGGCGTGGTGGCTCATGCCTGTAAACCCAGCACTTTGGGAGGCTGAGGCGGGCAGATCGCCTGAGGTCAGGAGTTCGAGACCAGCCTGACTAACATGGTGAAACCCCATCTCTCCTAAAAATACAAAATTACAAAATTTAAAATACAAAAATTAGCTGAATGTGATAGTCCCAGCTACTCGGGGGGCTGAGGCTGAGGCAGGAGAATCACTTGAACTCAGGAGACGGAGGTTGCAGTGAGCCGAGATCATGCGACTGCACTCCAGCCTGGGCGACAGAGCAAGACTGTGTCTCAAAAGAAAAAAAAAAAGAAAGAAAAACAATATTTGCAAACCATGCATCCCACAAGGGACTAACATCCAGCATATACAAGGAATTCAATCAACTCACCAATAAAAAAACCAAGTAATCCCATTAAAAAGTGGGCAAATGATCTCAGTAGGCATTTCTCAAAAGACGACATACAAATGGCCAACAGATATGTGAAAAAATGCCCAGTATCACTAAGCATTAGGGAAATGCAAATCAAAACCATTATGAGATGAGATATCATCTTACCCCAGTTAGAATGGCTATTATTAAAAAGAGTTTGTATTAAATTATCAAGTAATGTTCATAACAGATAGCCCTAACCTACTGGTCAATAGAGGCAAAGTCCATAAAAAGGGAACGTAGCTGCAGAGTGAGTGGCACACCTGGAGGGACCCCCTGGGAGCCTGGACTTCTTCACCACAGAGCTCTCGCTGCCTGCCATGTAAGCGGTAAACACAGCCAGGAGGATATGGAGAAAAGAGAACTCTAATGCACTGTTGGTAAGAATGTAAATTAGTGCAACCACTATGGAAAATAGTGCGGAGATTCCTCAAAAAATGAAAACACCAAATACCATATATCCAGTAGTCCAGCTACTGGGCATCTACCCAGAGGAAAGTAAATCAGCCTATCAAAGGGGTACTTCCACTCCCAGGTTTGTTGCAGCAGTATTCACAATAGCAAAGATATGAAATCAACTTAAATGTCCATCAAAAGGTGAATGAATAAAGAAAATGTGGGGGACCAGGCACAGTGGCTCACACCTGTAATCCCAGCACTTTGGGAGGCCGAGGCGGGTGGATCACCTGAGGTCAGGAGTTCGAGACCAGCCTGGCCAACATGGTGAAACCCCATCTCTACTAAAAACACAAAAATTATCCGGGCGTGGTGGCGATGCCCATAATCCCAGCTATTCAGGAGGCTGAGGCTGAGGCTGGAGAATTGCTTGAACCCGGGAGGTTGCAGTGAGCCTAGATCGTGCCACTGCACCCCAGCCTGGGCGACAGTGCGAGACTCTGTCTCAAAATGAAAAAAAAAAAGAAAGAAATTGTGGTATATACTCACAATGAAATAGTATTTGGCCGTAAACAAAGAATTGAAATCATATCATTTAAAGCCACATGGACAGAACTAGAGGTCGTTAAGTGAAACAACTCAAGCACAGAAAGACAAACTTCACATTGTTCTCACTCACATGTGGAAGCTAAAACCATCACATGGAGATAGAGAAGAGAAGAGAATGACAGATACCAGAGGCTGAGCGGGGTAAGCGGGTAGAAGGGGGAAATGAAGAGGTTGGTGAATAGGTACTGAATTATAGTTAGATAGAAGAAATACGTTCTAATGTTACATAGCAGACTAGAGTGTCTATAGTTAGCAACAATATATTGTATATTTCAAAGTAGCTAAAAGAGAGGACTTGAAATATTACCAATTCATAGAAATGATAACTATTCCAGGTGATGGATACCCCAAATACCCTGACTTAATCATTACACGTTCAATGCATGTAAAAAACACTCACATGTACCTCATAAATATGTAAAATATTATGTATCAGTAAAAGAAAAAAAGAAAAAGAAGATAATACATGTAAGGTGCTTTGAGTCATGGCTGGGACATAAGGACTCAATATATCTTAGCTATTACTTTTATCCTGATTGTTGCTAATATGTTATTATGATTAATATGTTAGTATGTTATTATGATTGTACCTCCAGGCATATCATCTCATTTCAGCCTCACAACAGTCCTGTGAAGTGGGAAGTACTCTTACCTCCCTTTTCTAGACAAGGAAAAGGAGAGGCAAGAAGGCAAGGAGCTCTGAAAGATTCCAGGCCAGGTCTGCCCTCAAAGCCTATGCGCTCCTCAATCTGGGATGCTGCCTGCAATGGAGGGCAGGTCTTATGTCTTCTGGTCCTTCTGTTGAGCCCTTGCACACACTGGGTACAATGCAGCACACGGGAAGAGTTGGGATAGTCCTAAGGGGATGATGGTCACAAGCCTGGCTCAACCTCCGGGCTCTGCCGCTCCACCCAATGCTCCCTAACTCTGCAAATGGCTTTACTACTGCCACCCTCTGGGAGCAAGCAGAGCCTGGTCAAGATTGTGTTCCTGGCTCACAGAAATGGTTAATTTCCCACCAGGGCAGTGCCAGAGGATAAACCAGCCACCTGGAGTAATCTGGCAGGTCTGGGTAGCCACGGAGAATTTCGTACTGCTCCTCTTCCCCACGGTTGCCGTGCATTCTCCAGTGGCCTAAAAAGAAAAGAAAGAGATCATTTATCTTAATCTTTCAGATGGGAAAGTCTACCTAATACTGTTGCTAAATGTGGCTTTCCTTAAAAAGCAAAACAAAACAAAACTTGTGAAGATTTTACCAAAAGAGTTTTGAGACATGAGAATAAATTTTTTTAATAGCCTAATGATTACTTTATATAAGCCACTGATATTCATGAGATGCTGGAGGAAAGACAGTGTAAATGATGAGGTTTTAAAGCTTGAGTCTTTGTTTTGAGCCCTGGAGGGTATTTCTTTTTTCTTTTGTTTCCTATTTTTTTTTTTTTTTTTTTTTTTTGAGACAGAGTGTTGCTTTTGTTACCCAGGCTGGAGTGCAACAGTGCGATCTCTCGGTTCACTGCAACCTCTGCCTCCCAGATTCAAGTGATTCTGCTGCCTCAGCCTCCCAAGTAGCTGGGATTACATGCACGTGCCACCACACCCAGCTAATTTTGTATTTTTGGTAGAGACAGGGTTTCACTACGTTGGTCAGGCTGGTCTCAAACTCCTGACCTCAAATGATCCAATCACCTCGGCCTCCCAAAGTGTTACGATTACAGGTGTGAGCCACTGCACCTGGCTGAGCTCTGGAGCTATTTCTTTCTAACCAAGATGGACGCAGAGGTCTAGAACCAGCCTGCTAAACACTCCTCTTATCTACCACTCAACTTCAGTGAGTTAATACTGTTCACATAAACTTCAGTTTAACTTAATAGAAAGGGCAAGGACCTTGGCATCAAAATGTTATTCAGTTCCAGCCTTGTCACTTGCTAGCTGTTAACTCTGTCATGTCCCCTTGACTCTTGGAGTCTCAGTTTACCCGTCTTGTAGAAGATGGGATACATCTATCTCTTAGAGTTGTTGTGAACAGTATGTGTGCAAACACACACAAAATGCCTACTAGAGGCCCGCCACACAGCAGGCACTTAATAATAGGCAGCTGTTTAATTGTTATTGTTGAACAGTGTTTTTGTTTTGTTTTGTCTTTTCATTCTTCAGTCATATCCATTGGATTCTAAGTGACAGATACTATTCCATCAGGATAAAGCACACCTCCCTTTGTCCACACAGCCCCTAGAAGCAGGCAGTACAGAGCACAGCAGCTACTTATCCCCACCTTACAGATGAGATGACTGAGAAGGGAGAACCAGCACTGCAAAATCCTAGACTCCTGACTTGGAGTTCAGTACTCTTTGGTAATGGCAGATGACTGGCAGTCATCTTTTATGTTCTGACATAAAAGAAGGGAATCAATCCATGAAAAGAGAGGCTTGCTTCTGAGGCAGATACTGTCTGAAATCTTTCTTAATTAAAGCAAAACAACCATGGCTGGGCGTGGTGGCTCACGCCTGTAATCCCAGCACTTTGAGAGGCTGAGGCAGGCAGATCACCAGGTCAGGAGATTGAGACCATCCTGGCTAACACGGTGAAACCCGGTCTCTACTAAAAACACAAAAAATTAGCCAGGCGTGGTGGTGGGTGCCTGTAGTCCCAGCTACTCAGGAGGCTGAGGCAGGACAATGGCGTGAACCTGGAAGGCAGAGCTTGCAGTGAGCCGAGATCGCGCCACTGCACTCCAGCCTGAGCGACAGAGCGAGACTCTGGCTCAAAAAAAAAAAAAAAAAAAAAAAGCAAAACAACAACCAGCTATGGTGTGCCAGGCCTATATGTTAGGCATTTGGTTAAGATAGCCATTGTTATCAAAGTTATTTGCATAATTCATCTGATTTCATCCTCCAACAACCTGATGAGGTCAATATTATCTCCCATATACAGCAGAAAGTGCCAGTTCTGAGAGGTCACAGCTCCCCCGCTATCACACAGCTAATGGAAGGCAGAGTCAAGATTTGCACTTAACGTTGTGCAATGGAAGCACCCACCCCCTCCCCTCGCCAGCTCTTTGGCTTGGCCCAAATGTCAATTTGTTATCTCTCTGGAGTCTGAGCCACATGTTCTGGCTGGACACTAGAGCCCCCTTCTCATGGAAAGGCTTTCTCCATGTTTAACTGCTGGCTTCTCCATGATTTTTCTGTCTATACAAGAACACAGATATAAAGCATCTGACTTTTCTACACATTGGAATGTTTATTTGCATTTCTCATAAACAGGCTCACCAGTAGCCATCATTTCTGCATCAGTAAAAAAATCTGGCAGGGTCAACGGAGAAAACAGAAGGCCCAAGAATGGCCAATACACTTACTGCTTTTGCAGCATCCTTGTACTCACAGTCCTGCCAGGTTTTGCCACTTTGAACAGGACAATCCCCCTCCTTGATTTCGTACTTGAAGGAATAAAACGTGTCAGAGCCAACCTGAAAAGCAGCCAAAGATACTTAGGGTTCATCCAACTGACCCAACAGCAAATAATTCTAGTGGGTTCCGGTAAAGTTAGGAATATTGATCTTTGACTTGAGAGCAAAGCATTCACTTAAAATATATTTATATTTCTATCATAAACATTTATGTGAAAGAATGTTTATAATATATTCACAATGTACTTTTAAAGGTTACAAAGCAGTATGCATAGTATTAGCCCATTTTTGTCAAAACTGGTTTATATATAAATCTATGTCTTTTAAAAGTCTGGAAAGATACACAGCAAGCTGTTAAAATGTTTGTCTGTCAGTGGTGAGATTATAATTATCTTTCACTTTCTTCTTCAAGCAAACATTTCTTTTTTTTTTTTTTGAGATGGAGTCTCGCTCTGTCGCCCAGGCTGGAGTGCAGTGGCGTGATCTCGGCTCACTGCAAGCTCTGCCTCCCGGGTTCACGCCATTCTCCTGCCTCAGCCTCCAGAGTAGCTGGGACTACAGGCGCCCTCCACCACGCCTGGCTACTTTTTTGTATTTTTTAGTAGAGACTGAGTTTCACCATGGTCTCGATCTCCTGACTTCGTGATCCCCCCGCCTTGGCCTCCCAAAGTGCTGGGATTACAGGCATGAGCCACCGCGCCCGGCCCAAGCAAACATTTCTAAGTGGTCTTTTTCCCCTAATGAACGTATATGACTTTTACAAATTAGAAAAAGCAAACAAGAAAACCTTAAACAAATGTTAACAGTTATCTCTGTATGGTGGAATTAATTATGGGTGATTTTAGTACTTTTATTTGGTTTATTTTGTTTCCTACTTTTTCTTTTTTAAACAGCTTTATTGAGATATAATTTACATGCCATAAAATTTACCCACTAAAGGCATACAATTTAATGTTTTTTAGTATATTTACAACCATACCCACAATCTATTGGGTACCACACCACCAATAAACTGTTGCTTGAGATCACCATGAAGCAGAATTTCTCACATGACTGTACTAGATTATGAAAGAAAATGGCTCGATTTTACTTTCAGAAAAAATAACATGTCCACTGTGTTTATTTTCCTTTATCCCCATGTTGTCACATGGCTAGTTTTTTTTTTTCTGCTAAAGTAACCAATTGCTTGACATTCCCAGAGATATAGTCTTTTATAGTGAAATTTGTTTAAACATACTCTTGAAAGATTGGTATTTCTTTGAACCATGCATCCTGCCAGGATTTGTCTCCTGCTGGAGTGCATCATTGCAATAATATCAAAAACTAACTAAAACGTTGCTGTTAAACCCAGTACATTCAGCCATACAGACTTCTGTCTAATTCCGTAGAATCACATTAACCTCATTCCTCACTCCTCTTAGACATGCCCCATGAAGTACCCCCTCCCATTAAAGGTTTGGAGTTCTATAGTTTTTAGCCTAGGGCCAGAGACCCAGTGAATTCTTTTGCTGCAGTCTAACTAAATTCCTAAATTCTCCCTCTCTACTTGGTCCTGTTGAGATTTCTCCATCTACTTTTGTTTCATTTCACCCTAGATTCTACTTCTCTGATCATCCAGGAAGCCAACCTGCCTGAGGACGAGTCATACTCTGTCCTCCCACCCCAGGCCAGAGAGTGGTATCTGTCTTTCCACAAGTTGTAAGCTTCTACCTTTGATGATCACATATTTGGTAGTGCGTGATGGTGGTGGGTGGTGGGTGGCGGTGGTGGTGGGTGGTGAGGGGTGGTAGTGGTGGTGGGTGGTGGTGGGTGGTGGTGGTGGTGGGTGGTGGGTGGTGGTGGGTGGTGGTGGTGGTGGGTGGTGGGTGGTAGGTGGTGGGTGATGGTGGTGGGTGGTGGGTGGTGGGTGGTGGTGGGTGGTGGGTGATGGTGGTGGGTGGTGGGTGGTGGTGGTTGGGTGGTGGTGGTGGATGGTGGTGGTGGTGGGTGATGGTGGTGGGTGGTGGGTGGCGGTGGTGGTGGGTGGTGAGGGGTGGTAGTGGTGGTGGGTGGTGGTTGGTGGTGGTGGATGGTGGTGGTTGGTGGTGGTGGGTGGTGGGTGGTGGGTGATGGTGGTGGGTGATGGTGGCGAGTGGTGGTGGGTGGTGGGTGATGGTGGTGGGTGGTGGTGGGTGATGATGGTGGGTGGTGGTGGGTGGTGGGTGGTGGGTGATGGTGGTGGGTGGTGGTGGGTGGTGGGTGGTGGTGGATGGTGGTGGTGGTGGTGGGTGGTGGTGGTGGTTGTGGTGGTGGTGGTGGGTGATGGTGGTGGGTGGTGGGTGGTGGTGGTGGGTGCTGGTGGTGGTATGTGTGTGTGTGTGTGAGGCCTGGACTCCTAGTGATAGTACAAATCCCAAGTGACTTCAAGGTTAAACACAATTCACTCACCGTCTTAGTGGCTTCAGTTATGCGGTACAATACAAACTGGTTGTTACTTTGGTTTTGACTGTTATATTTCTTCAGAGCAGCATCCACAGCTTTAAATAAATCCTTGTCATTGCAGTCAATTTCCTCGGACTGTGATTCCTGGGTTAAACTTAGTAGCAGCCTGGAGCAGAGGAAAAGGATGGTAATTAGTTTCATGATCTAACAATCTCCCTCTAGGAGCTGAGGGATGGTTTCACCAAGAATCAAGAGCCAACTGGGATACTGAATTTGACAATCTCCAGCCTCTTGTTTCTTCTGTCCTCCTCTCTGCCTCAGAACTCAGGGCACTGGTTGGATTCCTGCTGCCAGACGCTAGTTGCCTTGTTCCCAAAGGTTAAATGGCTCTGCTGGGTTATCCAAACATATTTACAGCTAGAACATTGCAACACTGGGGTTGTTAACCTGCTCATTTGCATTTGAAAATCACGTGGCAGCACAGTGCATATTTCCAGGTGATTATACAACTTTATGTAGCAAATCAGAGCAGAATCTGATGAAGGAGGGGAAACAAGTGCCTACTAACTCGGTTATTCCCCTGTGACTTTTGCAAAGCCATTTTTGAAGGTCACTACATGGGTAAACAATGCAAGAATGAGTACAATGTGCAGACACATTTCATACAAAGTTTCTTTGCAGGATACCTACCTGCATAGAAGCAGACTGCTGTTAATTCTATTACATGCCTAAGAAGCTCATGCACAGGGGCATCCAGTGAGTTCCAGGAGTCCCATGCAGGACATTGGCACAACTGAAAATAAAATATGGGCGTCCTATCTGCTCTCTGGACAGGCCAGCCTTTCTCTGCTCAGTTGCATTAGTTCTGTAAAAGAAAATTGCTCCCAGGGTGGAGATAGAGGAAAAGCATAGGAAGGGATGGGTTGAGTGAAGCCCTGGATTCCCTATGCTTGCTTCTTTCTGGTTTGGTGTTGTTGGTTTGGCACAGAAAAAGATAGCCCCAAATATGGCTCTTTGGCATGCCGAGTACTTTGAACTGAAAGACATTAAAAAGGCTGCAAAAGCAAAGTCTCTTTCTTGCTTTCTCCTGCCCGTCTTTCTCCTGCTCCACTTCTCTCAAGGCAGGCCACAGAAGCTAGAATTTCTCTTCCCCAAGGCGGGTCATAGAACCCTTCTCCCTCAAAGCCAGCAATAAAACTTTATTATTCTTATTTTCCTCACATCAACACAGAGTGGGGAAACTATATTACAGAATGGTCCCCACCTGTAGACCAACATTGGAAAACTACAGTTGATAATCTCAGCAGAAGTGTGAGGCTTGATGGTATCAACATCCTTACTCCAGTAAAAATTGGCCAGGCACGGTGGCTCACACCTGTAATCCCAGCACTTTGGGAGGCTGAGATGGGTGGATCACCTGAGGTCGGGAGTTCGAGACCAGCCTGACCAACATGGAGAAACCCCATCTCCACTAAAAATACAAAATTAGCCGGGCGTAGTGGCACATGCCTGTAATCCTAGTTGCTCGGGAAGCTGAGGCAGGAGAATTGCTGGAACCCGGGAGGTGGAGATTGCAGTGAGCTGAGATTGCGCCATTGCAATCCAGCCTGGGCAACAAGAGCAAAACTCTGTCCAAAAAAAAAAAAAAAAAAAAAAAATTCGGCCTATTCACTCTGCTCCTTGTTCAGACTTTATTTTTTTAAAAAGTCTGTAGAGCCATGTTCATGAGGACAAACCTAATTTTTCTTTTTCTTTCTTTTTTCCTTTTTTTTTTTTTGACACAGGACATAGATGTTTGGACTATTTTCAATCTTTTTGTTTCTGATAAAAAATTATGTAAAGAAAATCTTTGTGCTCACCTATAAAATAGAACAAAGATTTCTTGGAGAGATGTAAAACATGGTTTTGCATCTTATTTTATATACACTTATAAATTTCAGGTTAAATTTATTCTTAGATTCTATGCCTAATTTTTTTTTTTTTTTTTTTTTTTGAGACAGAGTCTTGCTCTGTGGCCTAGGCTGCGGTGCAGTGGTGCAATCTCAGCTCATTGCACTTCCCGGGTTAAAGCAATTCTTCTGCCTCAGCCTCCCAAGTAGCTGGGATTACAGGGGACTGCCACTACGCCCAGCTAATTTTTGTATTTTTAGAAGAGACGAGGTTTCACCATGTTGGCCAGGCTGGTCTCGAACTCCTGACCTCTAGTGATCTGCCTGCCTTGGCTTCCCAAAGTGCTAGAATTACAGGTGTGAGCCACCGCACCCAGATGCTATGTCTAATATTAAAAGCTAGCAATGACTGAGCCTCAGCACTGGCGTCCTAACTACAAGGAGCACCTTTAAATTCATTCAAGGTTGATTGAATTGGATATGACTTTACTTTTCTGCCAAATCGTATTCCTCCCTAATTCTTGGAAAAGTTTTCATACTTTTTATGTGATACTAGCAATTGCACTCCCTTCCCCAGGAGTGTTGTATCTCTTCCCCTACTCCTCCCTCACACACACAGACACACACACACCCAGAGCCATAAGAACCAAAGACACTATGTGTGTGCAAATACCACTTAGTCTGGTACTGCTCATAACAAAGCCTACTTAGAAAACCAACCTGAGGGTTGAAGACTTCACAGTTTATGACATCATAGGACAAATCTGCTCTGCAGAATCCAAAGACGTTCAAAGAGGAGAGAAGCGTGTGTGTGTGTGTGTGTGTGTGTGTGTGTGTCTGTGTGTGTGTATGCATATGGGGAACTGAAGATGCCCAGCCAGAGTTGTGAGCTTCCAGTCTTTCAGCAAAGGAAGAAGAGCTTTAGAAAAATCAGAGTAATATGATCAGATCGCCCCACCAGTGGCTCAACAATCTGTCCTCGTGTACACTTTGAAGAAAGCACAGGTGGTGAAGTGTCTCATTTCAAGTTGTTGTGGTTTTCTGCCATGGAGGAAAGTGTTGAAAAAAAAGGGAACTATACAGCATAAAGATGGGTTTTCACAGATCCTGTCAAGGTAAGTGTCTGCTGGCTCTACCCTAAGTACAAGGGCTACAACTGGCTGGCACTCCTGTGCTCTAGAGGCCCCTAAACCCAGCTGTGAAAGGTGAACTAAGACAGGAGGATGGCTGTCTGCTAGACATGAGCAGGCACCAGCACTGGGCTTCCCCATGGGTGGTGGTGAGGAAAACCATACCATTGCTGCCTTGCCCTTAGGCCAACCCTTCTGCCCTGGAGACCTGAGTTGCCTGTGCTTCAACACCATTCTTCATTCTGCCTTTCACAAAATGTACCACCTAAGTGATAAGGTGAATATCATTTCACTGAAAACGTTCAAATGATATGAATATAAGAAGAGTGTGAAAAATCACCCATCCTGCACCCCAGCTTCTTCTCAGAGGTGCCACTGTCATTCATTTTATATGCTTCTCCTTCTAGCCTTCTATTCACTTCATGGCTTGTATACATTGCAGTCTATTTAATTTTGCATTTTCTTTCTTTCTTTCTTTCTTTCTTTCTTTCTTTCTTTCTTTCTTTGTTTCTTTCCTTCTTTTCTTTCTTTCTTTTTCTTTTTCTTTTCTTTCTGTTTTGATGGAATCTCACTCTGTGGCCCAAGCTGGAGTGCAGTGGCATAATCTCGGCTCATTGCAACCTTCACCTCTGGGGCTCAAGCGATTCTTCTGCCTCAGCCTCCCAAGTATTTGGGACTACAGGTGCGTGCCACCACACCTGGTTAATTTTTTGTATTTTTAGTAGAGACGGGGTTTCACCATGTTGCCCTGGATGGTCTCAAACTCCTGACCTCAGGCGATCCACCCACCTCGGCCTCCCAAAGTGCTGGGATTACAGGCATGAGCCACTATGCCCGGCCTAACTTTGCATTTTCTAAATGCATGACAAACATCAACCAACTGGCAGTATCTCTCATGTCTATTCCTCATTCTCATTGCCCTAATTCCCACTGCCTGGGTCTGGCCCTCATTCCCGCATACATAAAATAACTTCCAAGTTCATGTCCCTGTCGCCTGCCTGAGATTCCCCAGGCACCCTGGGGCCTCTCCCACTCACCCACTCTGTATGCTAGCTCTCAGAGGTAGCTCTGTGCTGAAGCACGCTGTGCTATAACCTGGAGCAGAGTCTGGAATGGGAGTAAGGTCACTGAATGGAATTCTAAGTTCCAGCACTCCTGTTCTCTACAACTTGCAGTGCTCCCTCTCTGATACATTAAGAAGGGTACATTGCTTTGTAGCACTCCTGTGGTACTCTGTAGTGCTCCTGGTCTGTCCTCCTGATTTCAGTTGTTTCACCAAAGAGGGAGTAGTTTATTTTGGGAGAGAGAAGGGAGGCTTCATGTCTTTCCATAATGTCTTCAGCCACTCAAATCCACTCCAGGTAAGCAAAGAATCGAAGTGAAAACAGTAGCCTTGTTTTGCCTTAAGATGAGCCCACAGGCTCATCTCCCAAATAATGACAGCTCCAGAGCCCACACAGAACTTCTGGAACCCCCTGCTTATATTCAATTATTCCCCAACACCCTTCTTTCTGATTCCCTACCCACCTAGAAGTAGTGGTGCCAGGAATTCACCAGGAATGCCTTTACCCAGACCCTCTTCCTATGCAAATCCTACCCATGCATCACTACACAGCTGAAGCCTCTTCCCATGCAATCCTAATAGATCCGCCTTCATTACGTAGCCCCAGTACGTTTACCACTCCTGTGTTCGCTTGAATATTGTTGGGACCCAGAATACGATGTTCCAAACTGTGGTGCCTTGATATGCTGAGTCCTTTGAACTGAAGGAAACCAAAAGGGCCTCAGAAGCGAGATCTGTTTGACCTTCTCCCACTCTACTTTCTCCTGCTCTCCTTTCTCCCTTAAGGCACCATAGAAACTAGAATTCTTCTTCCCCCAGGCAGGTCCCAGAAAGTGAAATACCTCTGCCCCCAAACAGCCATAAAACCTAAAATATAGCTCTACCTTCCCCCCTGGGCCTTTCTTTGTAGGAGCTGGCCATAAAGAAATTCCAGGATATACCCTGTCTGATAATAGGTCCTCAGATCCATATTCCAGAGGGATTGGGCCCTATACCCAGAAGCAAGAATTGCCACACAGAGGGGCCATGGAGAACTCAAACTGAAGGCCTCGCTGGGTTTCCCCTGACCGTCTATTACTATGGGATCTTTCCCTATTAATCCAATCACATTTTATACTGTTGTACAGTCTTCGTCGACTTAAGCCTAACAACGAACAGTGTCACTTGTGTGTTTGGGTCTTCATCCTGAAGACTTCCATGCTATAAAAACTTGGATTAAATGAATATGCTATGCTTTCCCTTGTTAACCCTTTTTGTTGTTGTAAGACCCTTATAAGGGTCGCATCTGTAAGGAAAGGCATCACACCTTTTTGCCCCTACGGTGGATATCGTGGTTTGCATTCACAAAACCTAAGCAAACTTTTAAATAAATTTAGACTATTCAGAGAGAGGAGTTTTAAAGGTAGGTTACAGACATGGGTTTGTCCTTAGCAAATGTGTATCTTCAAGGTTTGAAAACATAAAGTTTGAAGTTTTGTTGTGTTAGGATGTCTAACTTGCCAGTTGATTCTCCCTGGAGTCCCTGGAGAAGGGTCAGTGGGAGCAAATGGGGCCCTTGTAGGGGTGGGGCAGGAACATGAGCTCGGCAGTAAGTCCAACCTGGATTCCAATCTAGCTCTGCCACTTACCTATGTGATCCCAAGCAAGGCAGGGTCGCATAACCTTTCTGAGCCTTAGGTTTCTCACCTGTAAATGGTAGAAAATCATAATATTTTAACGGTGTTTTTGAGAAGTGAATGAGGTAATATTAATATATGTGCAGGGCGTGGTGATTATTTCTTATAAACTATCTCCAAAGCTAGGGAAAGGTGTCTAAGAATCCCTGCCTGACTGAAATAGCTTCAGGTTCATAGTCATGGGAGAAGGTAGATTGTAATGGGGAATTGTGTGGAAAACATGAAGAGTGGAAGAGATTTTGTGAAGTTCTGAGACAGAGAGGAAGGAAAAGTAGAGATGCAGTAGCTGAACACTGGGAGGATGGGGAAATGCATGAGGGAGCACTGTCCAGGGGGAAGTGGACAGGAGTGGTCGAGGCTGACCAGAATGTGTGTTTCCAGTGAAGGCTCACAAACAGGCCAGGCGCGGTGGTTCACACCTGTAATCCCAGCACTTTGGGAGGCAGAGACAGGCGAATCACTTGGGGTCAGGAGTATGAGACTAGCCTTGCCAACATGGCGAAACCTCATGTCTACTAAAAATACAATAATTAGCTGGGCATGGTGGCAGGTGCCTGTAATCACAGCTACTTGGGAAGCTGAGGCAGGAGAATCTCTTGAACCCAGGAAGGGGGAGGTTGCAGTGAGCCGAGATCGTACCACTGCACTCCAGGCTGGGCGACGAGCTGGAAACTCCATCTCAAAACAATAACAACAAAAGAAACAGGCCCGGGCAGCGTCTGCCGGCAGTGTCATCAAGAAGACAGCATGTGGCTGTGGCAGAGGCCTATCAAGGTTCTAATTCCAGTCCCACATTTTCTGACTGTAAGATCCTAAGTAAGTAATTCGACCTTTTTGGTTCTCCTCTTTCTTCCCTAAGAAATGGTGATGGTACAGCCCATTTTCCTTGCCTATGTCCCTTTCCTCCTTGGAGTACAGGTAGACTTCATTTCCCCATCTCCCTTGCATTAGGTGTGGCCATATGACTGAGTTCTAGCCAGTGAAATGTGAGCATGAATCATGCATGCGCCTTCCAGACCCGGCCCACAGAAACCACCTTCATGATCCTCCACTCTCTCCCCATGTGGGCTGGATGCAGAGGATCCAAGAGACAATTCTGAGGCCAAGGGGAAGGCAGAGCCACAGACAAAAGGGGCCTGGCATCCCGAATCACCATGCAGATGGCCACCTGCTGATAACCCGTATTGACCTGTAACATGACAGAGAAATCACATTCTCCATCATTAGGCCACTGAGTTTGTTTGTTCCAGCAACTGACCTATTTTGATACAATGATATTTTCTGTATAAGGGACTTGTTGGTAAAGATGAAATTACAAAACAGAAAAATCTTCAGAGTCATAATAAATGTTTACTGCACCAGGTCATTAAATAAACGTTTCTTGAACCCCTCGTGTTTGGGAGGCGCTTTAGTGAACAAACCAGACAACGTCTGTGCTATTATGTGGATGAAGAAAAAGAGGGAACCGGTAAGCATTTCTCTCCTGTAGGACGTAGAGAGTGGTGGTGCCACTGACAGCAAGGGTGATGGTGGGAAGTGGGAGAACTTTTCCAGAGAAGAGTGAGGCGACTGGGCTTTAGACATTTGAGGAGGCAGTCACATTCCCTCTGTGAACATCACCTGTGAAAGTCTACAGAGTATTTGCAAAGATTCATAGCCTTTTTAGCCATGATGACATAAAAAGTCTAGAAAGGCAAGGACACATGGTGTATCGTCTAAAGCCTCTAGTAGAATGTGTGATCTCAGGGTGGGAATGGTTTCTTTCTTTCTTTTTTTTTTTGAGATGGAGTCTCGCTCTGTCGCCCAGGCTGGAGTGCAGTGGCGCGATCTCGGCTCACTGAAGTTCTGCCTCCCGGGTTCACATCATTCTGCTGCCTCAGCCTCCCGAGTAGCTGGGACTACAGGCGCCCGCTACCACACCTGGCTAATTTTTTTTGTTTTTAGTACAGACGGGGTTTCACTGTGTTAGCCAGGATGGTCTCGATCTCCTGACCTCGTGATCCGCCCGCCTCAGCCTCCCAATGTGCTGGGATTACGGGCGTGAGCCACCGCGCCCGGCCCGGGAATGGTTTCTTATCCCATTATTCCCCTGCAGTATCAGGTGTGCATGTGAAGAATGCATTTAATTGAAATGAATTGAGAGCTTCAACTCCTCTGTATTCAAGGTAGTATTGTAATTAATTCAAGCAATGTTCATGAAAGTACTTTGTAAATTATTGAACCCTATTCCAGTGCTTCTGCAGGAGGATACATTCCGAGTTATTAACCTCTGTATCTTTTGTCCTCCCTGGTTCTCATCTTTCTCTTCTCCCCATTCAAGCAGCTGACCTGGTGTCCATGCCTCCAGGAGGAATGTGATTCTTCAGGGCCACATGCAGCTACATCTGCCAGCGTGGCCACACTGGTTGTTTATGGATGGTGGCTGTTCTGATTCGTTGTTTTATCTGGACTGATTGGTCAGTGCTTGTTTCATATTGGTTATGCAATACTTTGAGTATCACCATTGTAGTTGGAAGGTGTAGAGAATCTGAATTCTTTTTTCTTGTTTCAAATGATTGAGCTCTGATTTGAGAAGGAAAAGGAAAGACGATTTCAGCATGGAAAAATAGTCTTCTGGCCCTAAAAATAAATAAAGTGAACTTGCCTGAAACTAGAAAGAGAGCCCTTAGCTGAGGAAGAAGATATAAGAAGAGCAGCGGGGCCTGGGGTCTTTGAAGCAGAGGACACCTCTGCCCTGCTTTCTGGGCCTGTAGCCAGAAAGGCAGCAAGAAGCCAGGGAGAGAATAGTCACATGCCTTATCTTAGCAGTCATGTCCATTGCTAGTTACAGACACTCCTGCATCCACACTTTGCTACAGAAGTAGCAGATAAACCAGACTCAGAGTGATGTGAACAGGGTGGTGACTATCCCTTAGCAGGGGCGACTGTTGGGCTAATGATCAAGGATCAGACCTCCTTCTGGTGGTCACTACCGAGACAGCTTGGCACTGTGTGAGATTCTAGAACTGTGGCCCAACCTTGTGTGGAAAATAGCAGGGTAGGGCAAGGGTACCCCAAGAAGGACTGGGGCTAAATTTCCCACTAGGCCAGTAGGATTGCAACATGAAATTGAAATAAATTTGTTCAGAACATAAAGTGATATTTCTTGTGAACATGAATTTACGATCATGATTTATGCCAGCAAACTTCTTTGCAATTTATAGCCAGAGGTTTGTTTGCTTCATGATTGAATTTAGAACTTATTTTTCCAAGAGGAAATTTATGTAACTAGAAATAATCACTAGGAGAGAATTTGCATCACTTTTGTAATAATAATAATCATCATCTTCATCACTATCATCGTCCATCCTTTAAGTACCATACCTTCTTGGTATGCCCAGATGTAGCCCAAGCAGTAATAGAGACTGTAGAATTAGAGTCATGAGGGTGATTTTGGGTCCTGTTTGTGCCAGAAGGGGTGTGATGACCTGTTGACCAAGAAGGGGGCAATTGTGAAGGAGCTCTTTTGTTGAAGTGGAGGTCTGTCCGAGTGATCTTTTTCATCTGGGCGAGGTGGGAATCCAAGTTCTTGTGGCTTGTGGGGATAATGGTGATCTCGGGACCCGTGGGGTTTAAATGGAAGCTTAGCAGTAGGAGAATGCTCATGTCCACCAGAGTGAAAAGGTTAGCCCAAATGTGAAAAAAGGATAGCCCAAATGGGGTTTACACCATTGATGATTCTATATTCCTGGTTATGGAACACAGAAAAGTGAATATCATCATGTAACACGCAATGAGAACTTAGACATTTAACTGGGTTTAGACCAATGGCGCCCAGATCTTGGGTTCCACAAATGAATTTGAAAAGTAGAATTTAAAAAACGGTTCTGAAATTGTCATCTAACCCAGTTGATATTTAAAATATAAACAACTGTCATCTTCCATCATCATTTCACAAAAGGGTCAGAAATACAACTTCAGAGTAAAAGATAGTCCTACAGATGGATAAATGTTAGATATAAAAAACATTGTTATCAGCTGGATATGGTGGCTCATGCCTGTAATCCCAGCACTTTGGGAGGCCCAGGTGGGCAGATCACTTGAGCTCAGGAGTTCGAGACCAGCCTGGGCAACACGACGAAACCCCATCTCTATGGAAAAAAAAAGAAACATTATTATCCTTATTTTTCTCATTTTAACAGACAGTGGTGAAACTATATTATGGCCTGGAACCCATGTGTGGGACCAACACTGGGGAACTAGTGCCTTATCATTGATTTTTTTTTTTTTTTTTGAGAGGGAGTCTTGCTCTGTCACCTAGGCTGGAGTCAGTGGTGCGATCTCGGCTCACTGCAAGCTCCGCCTCCTGGGTTCACACCATTCTCCTCTCAGCCTCCGGAGTAGCTGGGACTTCAGGCGTCCACCACCATGCCCAGCTAATTTTTTGTATTTTTAGTAGAGATGGGGTTTCACCGTGTTAGCCAGGATGGTCTGGATCTCCTGACCTCGTGATCCTCCCGCCTCGGCCTCCCAAAGTGCTAGGATTACAGGCGTGAGCCACTGCGCCCGGCCTTATAATTGATATTCTTGATAGAGGTCTGAGGCTTGACGGTATGGACATCCCTTACTCCCCAAGGCTGAACACTTAACCTCTTCCCCCTCTTCCTTGTTTAGAGTTTAATTTTTAAAAATATCTACAGAGTCATGTTCATGGTGACAACCCTGCCCTTTGTTTCTCTTTCTTTCTTTTTTTAATTTGGGATGTGGATGTTTGGAGTATTTTCAGTTTTGTTTCTGATATAAAAAATTCCATGAAGCAAATCTTTGTACTCATGTAAAAAATAGAACTAAGATTTCTGGGACAGATGTAAAATATAGTTTTGCATCTTATTTATATACATTTATATAATAAATTTGAGGCTAATTTATTCTCCTTAGATTCTGTGCCTAATAATAAAAGCTAGGAATGACTAAGTCTCAGCGCTGGAGTCCTGACTGCAAGGAGCATTTTCAAATTCATTCAAGGTTGATTGAATTGGACATGATTTTACTTTTCTTCCAAATCTTGTTTCTCCCCAATTCTTGGAAAAGTATTTGTACTTTTCATGTGATAATAGCAATTGCACTCCTTTCCCCAGTATGGGGCATGCTCTGTATCTCTTGTCTTTCTCTTTCTCTCTCTTTCACACACAATCTCTCTTACAAAGCCATAAGAACCAATTACACTATGTGTGTGCAAATTCACTTAGTCTGGCACTGCTCATGACAAAGTTGCTTAGACAACCCACCTGAGGGTTGAAGACTTTGCAGATTACGACAAGATCTTTTGGGCTTTTCAAGTCCAAGGCTCCTGCATCGTAGGACAAATATACTCTGCAGACTCCATAAACTTTCAAAGGAGAGATAAACCTGTTAGTGTGTGTGTGTGTATGTGTGGTGTATATGTGCGCACATGGGGAAGTGAAGATGCCCAGCCAGAGGTGTGAACTTCCAGACATTCAGGAAAGGAAGAAGAGCTTTAGAAAAAATAAGAGTAATATGATCAGATATCTACATCAGCTGTTCAGCAATCTTTCCTCGTTAACACTTTGGGGAAAGTGCAGGTGGTGAAGGGTATCACTCAAGTTGCTGTGGTTTTGTCATGAGCAGGCACCAGCACTGGGCTTCCCCATGGGTTGTGGTGAGGAAAACCACATCATTGCTGCCTTGCCTTTAGGCCAACCCTTCTGCCCTGGAGACCTGAGTTGCCTGTGCCTAGAAACAATGAAGAATGTTATTGAAGAGGGATTTTTGCAACTTCAGCTAGTCCCTTGGAGGAAAGTGTTGGACAGGAGGGCACCCATATAGCATAAAGATGGGTTTTCATGGACACTGTCAAGGCAAGTGTCTGTTGGCTCCACCGTAAACACAAGGGCTACAACTGGCTGGCACTCCTGTGCTCCAGAGGCCCCAACCCCAGCTGTGAAAGATCGACTAGGTCAAGAGGACAGCTGTCTGCTAGAAGAAACTGCTAAGCATTGAGGTTCTGAGTACAGTTTGGGAATCAGAGAGACCTATGTTAATCCTGGCTTCTCCATTTCCTAGTTGTGAGTTTGGGAAAGTTACACAAAATTTCTGAAAGCCAGCCATTGTAAAATGGGGATAATAATATGTACTCACAGGTGTAGGAAGGCTCTATTATTATTATTATTATTATTATTATTATTATTGAGACAGAATCTCACTCTGTCACTGAGGCTGGAGTGCAGTGGTGAGATCTCAGTTCACTGCAACCTCTGCCTCCTGGGTTCAAGCGATTATCCTACCTCAGCCTCCCAAGTTCCTGGGACTACAGGAGCCTGCCACCATGCCCTGCTAATTTTTGTATTTTTTGGTAGAGACAGGGTTTCACCGTGTTGGCCAGGCTGGTCTTGAACTCCTGCCTCAAGTGATCCGCCTGCCTTTGTCTCCCAAAGTGCCGGGATTACAGGCGTCATGCCCGGCATTGGAGGGCTCAGTTAAATGAGAGTGTGCTGTAAAACATTTAGCCCCCAGCCTCTTCTCCGGCTTCCATGGTTCACGACTGGGCTTACATTACCCACACCAAACTCAGGAAGAGTTAGTTGGGGATGGGGATAGGGGAAGGAGGTGTCTTTTCTGGTGGCCTCTAAGCAGAATTCTACAACTGGTTCAGGTTGATAATTTCCACAGCCTGAAAAGTAACTAATATATGATTCCTTCCTTCCAGCTATGAACAATATGTTGTCAAGCCTCAGAAAAATCCTCAATGTGAAATCAGAATTAAAATTCTGTGTCCTAAAACTTTCTAGATAATTGCCCTTTGTTAAGTGTTTAAAACTCTAGGCCACCTTTTCCCAAGGAAATGGAGGCAGACACTTGCTTTTCCTTGTCAGTGGCATTATCTTGAGGTTCTAAAATGGCAGTAGTATATGTGACAGTGTTTTGTAAACTGTAGGTCACCATGCAAATACCAGTTATTATTAGCAACAATTTCCTGCAGGTACATGGGTATCAATTTGTAAATAATCAGGTGAAAAATCCCACAGGACTATGCATGAAAAGAAATGGATTTTAATCTCAGCTTGGTTGTGAATGTTGGCAAGACCCTTCATTAGTTGAGCATCAGTTACCTCCTCATTTATCAAATGGGATCTTTGTGGGTGTCAATCAGTTGGAATGAATAAAAATACTTGCTGTGTAGGGTCTTAATAAAAGCTGGTTATAAACATAGGAAAAAAGCTCAATATCACTAATCGTTAAAGAAATGCAAATCAAAACCACAATGAGATACCATCTCATGCCAGTCAGAATGGCAATTATTAAAAAGTCAAGAAATAACAGATGCTGGCAAGACTGTGGAGAAATAGGAACACTTTTACACTGTTGGTGGGAATGTAAATTAGTTCAACCATTGTGGAAGACAGTGTTGTGATTCCTCAAAGACTTAGAACCAGAAATACCATTTGATCCAGCAATCCCATTACTGGATATATATTCAAAGGAATATAAATCCTTCTATTATAAAGATGCATGCACACATATATTCATTGGAGCACTATTCACAATAGCAGAGACATGGAGTCAACCCAAATGCCCATCAGTGATAGACTGGATAAAGAAAATATGGTACATATATACCATGGAATACTATGCGGCCATAGAAAGGAACAAGATTGTGTCCTTTGCAGGGACATGGATGGAGCTGGAAGCCATTATCCTCAGCAAACTAACACAGGAACAGAAAACCAAATGCCACATGTTCTCACTTATAAGTGGGAGCTGAACAATGAGAACACATGGACAAAGGGAGGGGAATATCACACACTGGGGCCTCTAGGGGGGTGTGGGGGAAGGGAGAGCATCAGGAAAAATAGCTAATGCGTGCTGGACTTAATACTTAGGTGATGGGTTGATAGGTAAAGCAAATCACAGTGGCACACATTTACCTGTGTAACCTGCATATCCTGCACATGTACCCAGAACTTAAAATTAAAAAAAAAAATAAATAAAAGCTGGTTATTATTTTTAGCTAAGTCTTTAATCTGATTCATATGATATATGAAATTATATGAAAATTATATGATTTTATAATATACATGATATATACCTAAACTTAAAACTGAGTTTTTTTTTTTTAATTCTTTCCTTAGAAGGGAGGAAGCATGATTCACATAACTTCTGTGGCCTCAGGTTTCCCATCTGCAAACGGGATAAAAATAGTATCTATCTCAGTATCTCAGCTGATCACGGTGGCTCATGCCTGTAATCCCAGCACTTTGGGAGGCCAAGGTGGGTGGATCAAAAGGTCAGGAGTTCAAGACTATCCTGGCCAACACGGTGAAACCTCGTCTCTACTAAGAAAAAAAAAAGATTAGCTGGGCATGGTGGTGGTGGCACACGCCTGTAATCCCAGCTACTCAGGAGGCTGAGGCAGGAGAATTGCTTGAACCCGAGTGGCGGAGGTTGCAGTGAGCTGAGATTGCGCCATTGCATCCAGCCTGGGTGACAGAGCAAGACTCCGTCTCAAAAAAAAAAAAAGTATCTATCTTACAGGGTGGTGGGAGGGCTAATAATTTACCATATATGTAAAGCACTTATAAGAATGCCTGGCAGATAATAAGTGCTCCAAGATAATTATTTGGCTGAGACATTTTTTACACTCACATTGGGGTGTCTGGGAAAATGGTGCCTGGAGCAGTTCCTCACAGAGAAGTCCACATAGTAATTGGCTCATTTCTCTCCTCTCTAGAACAGGTGGGAACAAAACAGTTTCAGGAACAAAACAGTTTTCAGTTTTCAGTGAAAAGGAAAAAATAAAGCAGCAGATACCTACCATCCAACATATTGGAAAGCACTAGGAGGATTCAAAACCACCAATATGTGCATTTTTCTTATGGATTCTGCCTTCTAAAAATATATATCACCTAAGTGATAAGGTGAATACCATTTCATTGAAAAGGTTCAAATAATACGAACACAATGAAGCAGGGTGTGAAAAAAACCTTCCTGCACCCCAACTTCTACTTTTCAGAGATTTCACTCATTCAGTTAATGTGTTTTTCCTTCTAGACTTTTCCTAGATATGTAGCACATATACAGGTAGACCTAAGTAATTAATATAAATGGGTTCATTTTCTAAATATTGTTCTGTAACCTTTTCCCATAACAATATGTCTTGAAACTCTTTCAAATGCACATGAGTTCAAATATTCTTTGAGCAACTTTACTGTCCTCATTTCTTATATGCATCACAATTGATTTACTGTTGCATTTTCTGAATGCATGACAAACATCAACCAGCTGCTCTGAAAACAGTTCTGGGTGGGAGCAATTGAGTCCCTGTAGAGTGAGCAGGGAACTGTCTAATTCCACCCACACCACTGGGTGTGGTGAGGTTTCTCTGAGCCTCAGTTTTCTATCATAGTGCAAGGAGGTTAATATTGGATGATTTTTAATGACATATGCTCTTGTCTTTCTCTATTTCCTCTTTGGATTGTCCTTCCTTTCTAACAGATATTCACTGCCCCTACACCCTCCAAAAGATTAAAAGACTTGGAGGAGAGCAGTTCTTCCAGGATAGCAGTATCTGCTGCCTGCTGACTCTTATTCCTCCAAATGCTACAATGGGGGCCTCAGATGAAAAGGCAGCTGGTCCAGTGAGGCAGGTGGAGAGGGGGTGTCGTTCAGTTCCTGCTGCCAGGTTGGAGCCTGGGCCCTCAGACTCCAGCTGGATATTAGTGGAGACTCAACACTCTTGCAGTTCTCTGGACTTGGTCCACTCCGAAAGAGGGAAAGTCATCATTCTCTCCTTTGTACTTCACAAGGGCTTTGTTGGCTTGTTTTCTGTAGAGCTCGGTATCCTTGAGGGAATCTAAGAGGACGGGACTATCCTTGGTATTGGCCAATGCTGAAGAGACTAGAGAAAGAAAATGGCAGTGTCGCAGTTAAGGTTTGAAAATGGCAACGGGGACTCAGTGGAAGGAAGGACAATAACTTTCATTTTACAGATAGACAAATGGAAGGTTGGGGGATGTAAGTGACTTCTTCAAGATGAATCAGCCAACCAGCAACAGAACTGAACTGCTGATCCTTCCTTCCTTTCCTATGATGCCCGAGTCTCAGTTGTTACCCCTACTCATGATGCCTCCACCACTGCCACTCATCAAGTGCTAATATTTTAAAGAAGTCCTCCTGTGTTTGCCAAGGAGGAAGAGACATTATCAACATAAAGGTTTGCACAGAGAGCGGAGAAGATACAGCTCAACCTTTCTTTAAGGCAACCTCCTTCAGCAGTAGCTTGCCTACTGAATTTTTATATATAGAATCATGGTGAAATTTGCCATTAAACAAATTCTGTGATAATTCTTTTTGAATAAGTAAAGAAAAAGAGCATGGAAATTAGCGTCAACACTGTTAGTATAGAGTCCTATCTTCATTGAGCCTTGGCTGTGCTCCCAAGGGCAAGTCATTAAACCTCTTCCAGTCACAATTATTTTATCTCTTAAGTTGACAGTATCATAATCTATATTTTATTGCCTTGTTGGGACATTAAATGAGGTAACAGGCATCATTGTTTTGTAAACTGTAGAGTAATTCATGGCATTTAAATGTTGACATCAATACTTACTGAGTGCTAAGAATAATCTGCAAAGTGTGCTACATAGAGCATGTTATTTAATTCTTTTTTATTGCATGTTATTTAATTCTAAAAGAATTCAAAAAGCTAATGTTGTTGCTATCTTATTTTGCAAGTGATAAAAGTTTAAAAAGTTTAAGTAACTTCTGCCTTGTGTAATTTTACATAACTCCTAAGTGATGAGGTTCAGATTCAAACTAAAGCAAGGCTGGCTCCAGAGCCTATTTCTCTGTGTTGCTATCCTACCAGTCATAAATCTCTATTTTTAAGCCTTGAATTCCTTTAGAGGAAGGTGTACCAGTACCAGGGGAACCTGTCTCCCTTCTGTTCTCTGGAGGGTCAGTAATGAAGTCCATGAGGGCAGGGACCCTTTCTTTCATGTACATCATGGCATTATGAGACGAATACCACTGTATGATTGAGTTTGTATTAATCAAGAATCGATTAGCAATTTAACAGATTACCATACCACAACTTGTGGTGCAGTCAAAGTTACTCTGAGATCCTGAGATTCATGGGAATGTCTTGTAGCCATTACCTTACATTGTCTGATCACCTGAAAGAAAGAGGCTCTTGAGGCCGGGCGTGGTGGCTCACGCCTGTAAGTCCAGCACTTTTGGAGGCCAAGGTGGGCAGATCAGTGGAGGTCAGGAGTTTGAGACCAGCCTGGCCAACATGGTGAAACCCCGTCTCTGCTAAAAATACAAAAATTAGCCAGGCGTGGTAGCATGGCCTGTAATCCCTGTTACTCTGGGGGCTGAGGCAGGAGAACTGATTGAGCCCAGGAGGTGGAGGTTGCAGTGAGCTGATATCGGACCACTGCACTCCAGCCGGGGTGACATAGCAAAACTCCATCTCCAAAAAATCTAAAAACAAAAAATAAAAAGAGGCTCTTGAGGCCTTGCTGAGTCATTGTGTCCTGCCTTCCTCAGGTCAGATATGACAGAGCAAAAAGAAGCAACATCCTCCTACTGTCCATTTAAAATGCATTTGGGGTTTCCTTCATCAAAGCTTGTCTCAAAACCTGCCTTTTTCTTAGTCAGTCTGTGTGCTGTATCCTGTTGGCACCAAAAATTCTCAGGAGAACCAGAGAGAAACTATTTAAAGCATCATGGCCATACCCCAAACATTTTCAAGGGAAAAAGTGGTGAAACTCCTAGGAGTGTGAACCTCTCATTTTCTGGAAATGAAGTCTTGAATCTTTGCTTATTCATCTTCATGTTCTCCAGCTGTATCAGAGAGCCTGGCGTTTGAGTACCCACCTCCCACATGCACAGTGAAACCCTCTTCCTCAGTGTATGTGCAAGGCACAGAAGGAGACCCGAGCCCTCACATGTCCCCTCATAATTCGCAACATATCCCTTTGGCCATTCCTGAAAACAGGACCAGTGTTCATAGGACACAATTACAAGTTCATAGATTCTTTTTTTTTTTTTTTGGCTTAAAAGATATCATCAATCTTTTATTTAACTAAGCACTGCCCTTCATTTTGAAGGAAATGATAAATTCAAGTTGGAACTTCCTTCTCAAGAAGTGATATAAGAATGTAATATTGATTTAACATACAACCTTCCACAAAAATAAAGTTTATACAATTCACTGGGAAATAAAATGCATGTGGAATTTTATCCTGTTTGTTAACATAATTCTTCAGGAATCAGGAGTATTATAGCCAAGAACAAAACAACCTAATGAAAAGCTGAATGAATCAGTTTATTGTTACTCTGATTTAAAAAACATTTCACAAGTAAGAGGTAGCTTTCCAAACATATCCATTTGATGATCATGATCACAACTAGATTTTATTCTAATTTATAAAACAAAAAATGATTAGACAAGCACATGATATCAAGAGTCTTCAACCTAGTGGATTCCATTTCATTAAGCAAAAAAAAAAAAAAAAGAAAGAAAGAAAACAAGTAGCCCTTAAATTTTCTTAGCTCTCTATAGCATACATTATATAAAATTAAAGTTTTGCTTCCAAAAATATGTCTCCATGTTGTCGTGATGTTGTCCAGTACTATTAGGGCCAAAACACCAAAGACATGAGAAGTTTAACCACTGACTTGTCACTTTTCATAAAAACTAAACATTTCCTTATAGGTCTGGAGTAAAATCTTCTAGGCATTTTAGTGCTAAAAGTCATTTCAAATTAAGTGTGAAATAAAAGCTACAAAAAGTATGAGTTCTTTCAATACAAAAAGCTGTGTAGCTGAAGTTGTGGGCTCGTTTGACATACATAAGCAGTTTCAGTAAAATATTTGCTCAGGTAAGGAAATAGAATTTGTCTGCTGTCATTTAGCATACGTTCCAGTCCATGTCCTGCTTATACCTTCCAGACCTTCTAAAGAACATTAGAATCGATATTTCTAAAGTCTTATTCCTGCTCCCTCTGTCGGATTCTTATAGACGGTCAGGAGCAGAAGGCCTTAGAGTCCATGAACTCCAAACCCCTCTTCTTATTTTACAATAAAAAACACTGACGTGAAGGGGTGTTATTAGGTGATTTGCCCAAGGACTTACAGCTGGTCATGCTGTTTCATGGGCCCACAGCCCTGCTGAGGTATCTCAAATTGGGTTCCTAGGAATGACTCTCAATAGTATTATTCAAGGTCAATATCATCTTCATGAATCTCAAGGCAAAAGCTGCCCTTTCTCTTCTGCTGTGTTAGCTCAGGCATTGGCTGCCCTGAGTGAGAAGAGCAGATGGAAAGTAAAAACGATAGGAGCAGGGCAAAGGTGCCCTGTCACTTAGCATATCAGATGGACATCTGAAAACAGCTGGCTCACAGTCATTCCAGTGTTTCCTGGATAGGACCGAATAATCAGATTCTTGCACATCTAAGACTAATACACATGTGATGGTTAGTACTGAGTGTGAACTTGATTGGATGAAGGATGTAAAGTATTGATCCTGGGTATGTCTGAGAGGCTGTTGCCAAAGGAGATTAACATTTGAGTTACTGGGCTGGGGAAGGCAGACCCACCCTTAATCTGGTGGGCACCATCTAATCAGCTGCCAGCAAATATAAAGCAGGCAGAAAAACATGAAAAGGCGAGACTGGCCTAGCCTCCTAGCCTATATCCTCCTCCTGTGCTGGATGCTTTTGCCCTCGAACATCGGACTCCAAATTCTTCCATTTTGAAACCTGGACTGGCTCTCCTTCCTCCTCAGACTTGCAGACAGCCTATTGTGGGACCTTGTGATTGTGTAAGTTAATATTTAATAAACTCCTATATATATATATATATATATATATATATATATCCTATTAGTTCTGTCCCTCTAGAGAACACTGACTAATAAAACACAGCTGCAGTTTCCCGAAAAATGCCAAAAGCGATACGTGAATAGCATGCGGCAGTCCAGAGGTTTTTTTCTTTTTTTTAAATAGAAGTAATATCTACCTTTATATCTTACACAGAATTCTCACTGCTCTCCACATCTTTTCAGATGTCCTACCTTTATGTCATTTGATGAGTTAATTTGAATAAATAGCTTCAATGAGTTATTTCCAAATCTTCTTTTTATGTGGTCATGATGTTTCTTCTGCCCTTGAGCTTTAAGAAGCTATCACTAAATGGCAGTGGTGGTTTGGTGGAGGTGTTGAAGTGTTGAAGGGACACGCCGAGAAGTATAAGCGATGACAGCTTCATCAGGGCCTCCAGTCTGTTCTTGTAGTTGTGCGCTCTTGCCCAGGTCTATTCCTGAACATGAATTCCCTGCTTTGATGTCACTTTGCCCAAAGCTCAACCCTCTCTCTTCTCTTACAAACCAGCTGCCTCTCCACTTCCCTTGTCTTTGTCAGTGGCACCATTAATTACATATTGCCTTAGACTGGGGTAAAACATGTAAACCTACGAGATGTCTTACTTTTCCTTGCTTTTGTTATCCAGTACCAGGCCCTGAATGGTCTTTCTTGGCAAATGTCTCTCTTGTCTATTCCTCATTCTCATTGCTTTAATACCCACTGCCCAGGTTTGGCCTTCATTCTCTCACACCAGCATACATAAAATAGCTTCCTAGTTCATGTCCCTGTCTCTTGCCTCAGTTTCCCCAGGCACACTGAGTTCTCTCCACACCCACCCACTCTCTATGCTAGCTCTTAGAGGTAGCTCTGTGCTGATGTATCCTGTGCCTTAACATGTGACAATGAGCCTGGAGTGGGACTAATGGTCACTGAATTGCTGGTTGAATCCTAAATTCCTGCACACCTGTTTTCTACAATCTACAGTGCCCCCTCTCTGATACTTTAAGAAGGGTAGAAGGGTAAATTGCTCTGTTTGTCCTCTGTAGTACTCCTGGTCTGTCCTTCTGGTTTCAGTTGTTCCACCAAAGGGAGGGTAGCTTATTTTGGGATAGAAGAGGGAGGCTTCAGTTCTCTCCCTAATGTCCATCAGCCCCTCAAATCCACTTCAGGTAGGCAAATAATCTAAAAGTGAAGACAGTAAGCTTGCTTTCCCTGAAGATAAGCCCGGTCTCTCCTCCCATCTGATGGCAGCTCCAGAGCCAACATAGATGCAGCCCCTCTGTGTATATTCAATGGCTCTCTAGCACCCTTCTTCCTGATTCTCTACCCATCTAGAAGTGGTGTGCTATGAATTCACCAGGAATGCCTTTATGCGGGCTCTCTTCCTATGCAAATCCTTCCCTTGCATCACTACCCAGCTGAAGCCTCCTCCCACACAATCCTAATAGATCCTCCTTCATTAAATTGCCCCAGTACATTTACCACTCCTGTGTTCACTTGAATATTTTAGGGCTCAGAACAGGATACCCCACAGTATGTTGCCTTGGCATGCTGAGCCCATTGAACTGAAAGAAACCAAAAGGAAGCCAAATCTGGCCTCAGAGGCAAGATCTGTCTGACCTGCTCCCACTCTTTGTTCTCCTACTCTCCTGTCTCCCCCAAGGCAAACCATAGAAACTAGAATTCCTCTTCCCAAAGGCAAGTCACAGAAAAGGGAATCCCTCTGCCCCAAAGCGGTCATAAAACCTAAAATATGACTCTCACCTTTCATCCAGGCCTTTCTGTGTAGGAGCTGGCCATAAAATAAATCCTCTAACCTACTCTGTCTGATAGCAGGTCCTAAGATCTGCATGACAGATGGGTCCTGCTCCATACCTGGGTGCAGGAAATGCTGCACAGAGGGGCCATGGAGAACTGCAACAGAAGGCCTATGGGGTTTCCCTGATAGTCTATTACTATTGGATCTTTTCTTTTTTGTTGGATCACGCTGCTGTCCAGTCTTCATGGAATCTAAGCTTAGCAATGGACAGTTGTCCCTTGGGTCTTTGGGCCTTCATTCTAAAGGCTCTCATGTTATGGAAACTTGGATTAAATAAATATGCTCTGCTTTCTCTTGCTCACCTGTCATTTGTTGTAGGTAAGTCAGCTGTGACCCTGAGGATGGGTGAGGAAGGGCATTGCACCTTTTGCCTCTACAGTGGATATGGTGTTTTGCATTCATCAAGCCTAAGCAAACTTTTTCATAAAGTTAGACTATATGGAGAGAGGAGTTTTAAAGGTAGGTTAGAGACATGTGTTTTCCTGTAGTAAATGTGTGTCTTCAAGTTTTACAAACATAAAGGTTGACTTTTTGTTGTTATTAGGATATCCAACTTGCTAATTGATTCTCCCTAGAGTCCCTGGAGAAGGGTCAGTGGGAGTCAGTGGTGCCCTTGTAGGGGTGGGGCAGGAACATGAACTTGGCAGTAAGTCCAACCTGGATTCCAGTCTAGCTCTGCTACTTACCTATGTGATCCCAAGCAAGACAGGGTCACATAACCTTTCTGAGCCTTAGGTTTGTCACCTGTAAATGTTGGAAAATCATGATATCGTAACAGGGTATTTTTTAGAAGTGAACGAGGTAATATATGTGCAGGAGCTGGTGATTAGTTCTTATAAACCATCTCTAATACTAGGGAAAGGTGTCTAAGAATCCCTGCCTGACTGAAATAGCTTCAGGTTCATAGTCATGGGAGAAAGTAGATTGTAATGGTGAGATGTGTGGAAAACATGTAGAGTGGAAGAGATTTTATGAAGTTCTGAGCAGAGAAGAAGAAAGAGAATCAGAGATGGAGAAGTTGAACACTGGGAGGATGGGGAAATGCATGAGGGAGCACTGTCCAGGGGGAAGTAGACAGAAATGGTCCAGGCTGACCAGCAAGTGTGCTTCCCATGAAGACTCAGAAACAGGCCTGGGCATTGTCGGCTGGCAGTGTCATCAAGAAGACAGCATGTGGCTTTGGAGGAAGCCAATCAAAGTTCTAATCCCAGTCCCACATTTTCTGACTATAAGAGCCTAAGCAAGTAATTCAACCTCTTTTGTTCTCCTCTTTCTTCCCTAAGAAATGGTGATCGTGCAGCCCCTTTTCCCTACCTATGCCCTTTCCTCCTTGGAATACAGGTAGATTTCATTTCCCCATCTCCCTTGCATTAGGTGTGACCATATGACTAAGTTCTAGCCAGTGAAATGTGAGCATGAATCATGCATGCGCCTTCCAGGCCTGGCCCACAGAAACCACTTTCATGATCCTCCACTCCCTCCCCATGTGGGCTGGATGCAGAGGACCCAAGAGTCAATTCTGAGGCCTAGGGGAGGGCAGAGCCACAGACAAAAGGAGCCTGGCATCCCGAATCACCATGTAGATGGCCGCCTGCTGATAACCCATATTGACCTGTAACATGACAGAGAAATCACATTCTCCATCATTAGGCCACAGAGTTTGTTTGTTCCAGCAACTGACCTATTCTGATACAATGATGTTTTCTGTATAAGGGACTTTTTAGTAAAGATGAAATTACAAAACAGAAAAATCTTCACAGTCACAATAAATGTTTACTGTACCAGCTCATTAAACAAACATTTATTGTATCCCTAGTATGTGGGAGTCACTTTAGTGAACAAAGCAAAGTCTGTGCTGTCATAGAATTTATTGGGGATAAAGAAAAAGAGAGAATCAATAAATATTTCTAGCCTGTAGGATTTAAAGAATGGTCGTGCCACTGACAGCAAAGGTGATGGTAAGAAGTGGGAAAAATTTTCCAGGGAAGAGCGAGGAGTTTGGGCTTTAGACATTTGAAGAGACACTCCTATTATATTCTGTCTGTGAACATCACCTGTGAAAATTTATGGAATAATGGCAAACAAGATACATAGACTTTTTAGCCATGATGACATAAAATGTCTAGAAAAACAATGATCCATAGTGTATTGTGCAAAACCTCTAGTACAGAACGTATGCTCCTAGTGTGGGAATGGTTTCTTATCCACGGATAAGTTTGGGTGTGTATGGGAAGAATGCACTTAATTGAAATGAATTGAGAGCTTCAACTCCTCTGCATTCCAGGTAATATTGTCATTAACTCAAGCAATGTTTATGAAAGTACTTTGTAAATTATTAAACTCTACTCCAGTGCTTGTGCGGGAAGATATATTCTGAGTTATTAACCTCTGTATCTTTTGTCCTCCCTGGGTCTCACCTTTTTCTCCCCAGGACTCACCTTTCTCTCTTCCTCATTCAAGCAGCTGACCTGGTGTCCATGCCTCCAGGAGGAATGTGATTCTGCAGGGCCACATTCAGCTGCATCTGCCGGTGTGGTGACACTGGTTGTTTATGGATGGCGGCTGTTCTGATCGGTTGTTGTTTCTGGTCTGATTGGTCAGTGCTTGTTTCACATTGGTTATGCAATACTTTGAATATCACCATTGCAGTTGGAAGGTATAGAGAATCTGAATTCTTTTAGCTTGTTTCAAATGATCGAGCCCTGATTTGAGACAGAAAAAGAAAGAAGATTACGGAGTGAAAAAAAGAGTCTTCTGGCCCTATAAATAAATAAAGTGAACTTACCTGAGACTAGAGAGTCCTTAGCTGAGGGAGAAGATAGAAGAAGAACAGTGGGTTGAGGGGTCTCTGAGGCAGAGGACACCTCTGCCCTGCTTTCTGGGCACGCAGCCAGGAAGGCTGCAAGATCCCAGGGAGAGAGTAGCCATGTGCTATAGCTTGGCAGTCATGTCCATTGCTAGGGTACAGACACTCCTGCATTTACAGTTTGCTACAGAAGTAGCAGATAAACTGGATTCAAAGAGTGATGTGAACAGTGTCCTGACTATCCCTCAGCAGGGACAACTGTTGGACCAATGATCAAGGATCTGACCTCCTGATTCCACTACCTGAACCACTTGGCAACTGTGTGAGATCCTAGAACTGTGGCCCAACTGTGGAAAGTAGCAGGGCAGAGCAAGGGAATTCCAAAAAGGACTGGGGTTAAATTTCCTGTTAGCCCAATAGGATGGCAACCTGAGATAGAAATTAATTTGTTCTGAACATAAAGCGACATTTCTTGTGCACCTGAATTTATGGTCATGATTCATGCTAGCAAGCTTCTTTGCAATTTATAGCCAGAGGTTTGTTTGCTTCATGATTGAATTTAACTTATTTTTCCTAAAGGAAATTTAGATGACTAGAAACAATCACTAGGAGAGAATTTAGGTCACTTTAATAATAGTTTAAGCACCATATTTTCTTGCTATGCCCAGGTATAGCCCAAGCGGTAACAGAGACTCTAGAATTAGCATTCAGTCCAGGAAAGAAGGAAATTCTGAGGGGTATAGATTTCCTAAAGTGATGTAGTGGCGAGTGACAGAATTGACTACTAATTGGCAGCACTGAGCTCTTTCCTCTCCTTTCCATTTGATCTATTATCTCAGGCCATCACCACCCCCATCCATATTTTGCTTCATCCTGAGTATGCAAGTAAGGTGAAAGGAACAGTGATTTTCATGAGTGTTGGTCATTTAATTTATTATTCTAATTCAAACTATTATACATTTTTCCCCATCAAAAGAATTGCATTTTGTTTGGGAAATGTATGTCCAAAAGCCTTGAATGCTTCTGGAAACTCACTCTTGAACTTCCCTGGACATGATTCAGAGGCAGATTGAGGGAGGGCAGAATGTCTGGCTTTAGAGGGTTGTTATCATGCAGCAATGGGAAGCTGGGAAAATTGGCTTCAGGAAGTGGTAGCTTCTCACCTTTCCTTACGGGAGGGAGTCCGTACACAGATGCAGTTTGCAATGGAAGGGACAGTGTCCTTTACCTTGACCTCGTCCTTCTGAGTGCCCAGGTGGTGGGCCGTGGCAATGGCAATGGTGACCTTGGGGACCTTGGCTATAGGGTGGTGGGTTACAGGGTCCATCGTCAAAGCAATCACGGCCATGGTGGTGGTGTGCATAGGAACAGGGTCCTTGGAGATGGTGTCCATGGGGATGATGGTCATGAGGATGAAGCTCACTGGAGTTATGATTATGGGAGTAACTTTGTGTTCCAATCATGTTAGAAGAAACATGGTTGCATCTGGACCCTGAGGGGCAATAGTGGAGGAGCCCCCCCTTGAAGTGGTTAATGTCTGAGTCACCTTTTTCATCTACTGGAAGTGGGCATCGTGTTCATGTGGCTTCTCAGGATGACGATGATCTCTGGATCCTTGGGGCTTGGCAAGGATCCTTACATGGAGGCTTGGCAATCGGAGAATGTTCACGCCCACCAGGATGGAGCGGATAGGTCAAATGGGGTTGCACGCAATTCATGATCGTACATGTCTGATGAAGGACACAGAAAAATAAATATTATCATGTAACACACAATGAGAAGCTAGACATTCAACTTCTAAGAGAAGTTAGACATTGGATTTAGACCAATGGCACTCAGATTTTGGATTCCACACATGAATTTGAAAAGTAGGATAAAAAAAAGGGTTCTAAAGTTGTTATCTAGCCCAATTGATATTTAAAACATAAACAACAACTATCACCTACCACCATCACTGTTTCACAAAATGAGTGATAAAAGATAACAAAGGTGAGGAAAACCATAGAAACCTCAGAAGCCCATGTGAGAGTAAAGAATAGTCCTTAGATGGAATAAATGCTAGATACAAAAATATTACAGGAGGGAGTCGCTACACAGATCCAGTTTGTCTGCAATGTCTGAAAATCCTTGTTTTTCCATTTCAATACAGAGTGGCAAAAGTATATTATGTAATGTCAACCATCCGTAGACCAACACTGGAAAACTGGAAAACTGGTAATTTCTAGTTAATATTTTCGACAGAGGTCTGAGAATGTTGATGGTATCAACATTTCTTACTCCTCAAGGCTGAACACTTAACCTCTTCCATCTCCTCCTTGTTCAGAGTGTAATGTTTAAAAATCTGTGGAGCCATGTTCATAGTGACTTTCCTGCCCTTTCTTTCTTTTCTTTTCTTTTTTTTTTTAAACTTGGGATATAAATATTTGAATTATTTTCAGTTTTGTTTCTGATATAAAAAATTCCGTGAAACAGATCTTTGTACTCATGTAAAAAATAGAACTAAGATTTCTGGGACAGATGTAAAATATAGTTTTGCATCTTATTTTATATACATTTATATAATAAATTTGAGCCTAATTTATTCCCCTTACATTCTGTGCCTAATAATAAAAGCTAGGAATGACTAAGTCTCAGCACTGGAGTCCTGACTACAAGGAGCATTTTCAAATTCATTCAGGTTGATCGAATTGGACATGATTTTACTTTTGTGCCAAATCTTATTTCTCCCCAATTCTTGGAAATGTTTTTATACTTTTGTGTGATATTAGCATTTGCACTCTTTTCTAAATATTGTTCTGTAAATTTTCCTATAAAAATATGTCTTGAAACTCTTTCAAATGCACATGAGTTCAAATTTTCTTTGAGCAACTTTACTGTCCTCATTTCTTATATGCAACACAATTGATTTACTGTTGCATTTTCTGAATGCATGACAAACATCAACCAGCTGCTCTGAAAACAGTTCTGGGTGGGAGCACTTGAGTCCTTGTAGAGTGAGCAGGGAACTGTCTAATTCCAGCCACACCACTGGGTGTGGTGAGGTTTCTCTGAGCCTCAGTTTTCTATCATAGTGCAAGGAGGTTAATATTGGATGATTTTTAATGACACAACCCTCATATGCTCTTGTCTTTCTCTATTTCCTCTTTGGGTTTTCCTTCCTCTCTAACAGATACACACTGCCCCGACATCCTCCAAAAAATGTAAAAAATTGCGGGAGAGCAGTTCTTCCCGGAGAGCGGTACCTGCTGCCTGGCTTTCATTCCTCCAAATGCTACAATGGGGGCCTCAGATGAAAAGGCAGCTGGTCCAGTGAGGCAGGTGGAGAGGGGGTGTCGTTCAGTTCCTGCTGCCAGGTTGGAGCCTGGGCCCTCAGACTCCAGCTGGATATTAGTGGAGACTCAACACTCTTGCAGTTCTCTGCACTTGGTCCACTCCGAAAGAGGGAAAGTCATCATTCTCTCCTTTATACTTCACAAGGGCTTTGTTGGCTTGTTTTCTGTAGAGCTCGGTATCCTTGAGGGAATCTAAGAGGACGGGACTATCCTTGGTATTGGCCAATGCTGAAGAGACTAGAGAAAGAAAATGGCAGTGTCGCAGTTAAGGTTTGAAAATGGCAATGGGGGCTCAGTGGAAGGAAGGACAATAACTTTCATTTTACAGATAGACAAATGGAAGGTTGGGGGATGTAAGTGACTTCTTCAAGATGAATCAGCCAACCAGCAACAGAACTGAACTGCTGATCCTTCCTTCCTTTCCTATGATGCCCGAGTCTCAGTTGTTACCCCTACTCGTGATGCCTCCACCACTGCCACTCATCAAGTGCTAATATTTTAAAGAAGTCCTCCTGTGTTTGTCAAAAGGGAGAAGGTATCATTAACATAAAATTTTGCCCAGAGACAGGAGAAGATACACAGTCTTTCTTTAAAACAACCTCCTTCAGCAGTAGCTTGCCTATTGAATTTTTGTAAATAGAATCATAGTGAAATTTGCCATTAAAAATTCTGTGATAATTCTTTTTTTAAAAAGTTAAAAAAAAAAAAAGAGCATGGAAATTAGTGTCAACACTGTTGGTATAGAGTCTTATCTTCATCGCACCTTGGCTGTGTTCCTGAGGGCAAATCATTAAACCTCTTCCAATCACAATTATTTATTTCATAAGTTGACAGTATCATAATCTACATTTTATTACCTTGTTGGGAGATTAAATGAGATAACAGGTATCATTGCTTTGTAAATTGTAGAGCTATTCATGACATTTAAACATTGATGTCAATATTTATTGAGTGCTAAGAATAATCTGCAAAGTGTGCTACATGGAGCATCTTATTCAATTCTAACAAGAATCCTGAAAGCTAATGCTGTTACTATCCTCATTTTACAAGTGATAAAAGGTTAAAAAGTTTAAGTAACTGCCCTCTTGTGTAATCTTACACAGCTACTAAGTGATGAGGTTCATACTCAAACTAAAGCAAGTCTGACCCAAGCCTATGTCTCTGTAATGATGTCTGTAATGATGTTCTCCTACCTCTCATAAATCTCTATTTTTTTTTTTTGAGATGGGGTTTCACTCTTATTGCCCAAGTTGGAGTGCAATGGTGCAATCTTGGCTCACTGCAACCTCTGCCTCCCGGGTTCGAGCAATTCTCTTGCCTCAGCCTCCCAAGTAGCTGGGATTACAGACATGCGCCACCACGCCTGGCTAATTTTGTATTTTTAGTAGAGACGGGATTTCTCCATGTTGGTCAGGCTGGTCTTGAACTCCCGACCTCAGGTGATCTGCCAGCCTCGGCCTCCCAAAGTGTTGGGAGTACAGGTGTGAGCCACCGCGCCCAGCCAAATCTCTAATTTTATGTACTGAATTTTCTTAAAGGAAGGTGTACCAGTACCAGGGAAACCTGTCTCCCTTCTACCATCTGAAGAGTGAGTAATGGAGTCCACGAGGGCAGGGACCCTTTCTTTCATGTACTTTATGGCATTATGTGATGAATACCACTGTATGATTGAATTTGTATTAATCAAGAATTAATTAGCAATTTGACAAATTACCATACCAGAACTTGTGGTGCAGTTAAAGTCAATCATTCTGAGATCCTGAGATTCATGGGAATGTCTTGTAGCTATTACCTTACATTGTCCGATCACCTGTAAGAAAGAAGCTCTTGAGGCCTTGCTGAGTCATTGCATCCTGCCTTCCTCAGGTCAGATATGAGAGAGCAAAAGGAAGCAACATCCTCCTACTGTCCATTTAAAATGCATTTGGGGCTTCCTTCATCAAAGCTTGTCTCAAAACCTGCGTTTTCTTAGTCAGTTTCTGTGTGCTGCTTCCTGTTGGCACCAAAAATCCTCAGGAGAACCAGAGAGAAACTATTTAAAGCATCATGGCCATACCCCAAACATTTTCAAGGGAAAAAGTGGTGAAACTCCTAGGATTGTGAACCTCTCATTTTCTGGAAATGAAGTCTTGAATATTTGCTTGTTCATCTTCATCTTCTCCACTTGTGTCAGAGAGCCTGGCATTTGAGTACCCACCTCCCACACACGCAATGAAACGCTCTTCCTCAGTGTATGAGGAAAGCACAGAAGCAGACCCGAGTCCTCACGTGTCCCCTCATAATTTGCAACATGTCGCTTTGACCATTCCTGAAAATAGGACCAGTGTTCCTAGGACACAATTATAAGTTCATAGATTCTTATACTCATAGATGATCAGGAGCGGAAGACCTTAGAGTCCATGAACTCCAAACCCCTCTTCTTATTTTACAATCAAAAACCCTGACGAGGAGGGATGTTATTAGGTGATTTGGCCGAGGACTCACAGCTGGTCATGCTCTTTGATGGGACCACAGCCCTGCTGAGATATCTTGAACTGGGTTCCCAAGAACGACTCTCAAGGTTATCACTCAAAGTCAACATCATCTTCATGAATCTCAAGGGAAAAGTTGCCCTTTCTCTTCTGCTATGTTCGCCCAGGCATTGGCTGCCCCGAGTGAATGGAGTAGACGGAAAGTAAGAATGAATAGAACAGTGCGATGGTGCCCTATTTACTTAGCATATCAGATGAACGCCTGGAAACAGCAGGCTCACAGTCATTCCAGTGTTTCCTGGATAGGACCCGGCAGTCAGATTCTTGAACATCTAAGGCTAAATAATACACAGTTGCATTTTCCTGGGGAATGCAAAAAGCAACACGTGAGTAGCATGTGGCAGTCCAGTTTTCTTCTTTTCTTTTTTTTTTCTTTTTCTTTCTTTTTTTTTTTTTTTGAGATGGAGTCTCACTTTGTCGCCAGACTGGAGTGCAATGGCGCGATCTCAGCTCATTGCAACCTCCACCTCCTGGGTTCAAGCGATTCTTGTGCCTCAACCTCCCAAGTAGCTGGGATTACAAGCACGTGCCAACACTCCTAGCTAATTTTTGTATTTTTTAGTAGAGATGGGTTTTCACCATGTTGGCCAGGATGGTCTTGATCTCCTGACCTCATGATCTGCCCGCCTTGGCCTCCCAATTCTTTTTTTTTTTTTTTTAATAAAGGTAATGTCCATGTTTATATCTTACACAGAATTCTCACGGCTCTCCACATATTTGCAGATGTCCTACCTTTGTGTCATTTGATGTGTTAATTTGAATAAATAGCTTCCATGAGTTATTTCCAAATCTTCTTTTTATGTGGTCATGATGTTTCTTCTGCCCTTGAGCTTTAAGAAGCTATCACTAAATGGCAGTGGTGGTTTGGTGGAAGTGTTGAAGGGACACACTGAGAAGTATAAGTGATGACGGCCTCATCAGGGCCTCCAGTTTGTTCTTGCAGTTGTGTCCTCTCACCCTGATCTATCACTGATCGTGGATTTCCTGCTTTGATGTCACCTTGCCCAAAGCTAAATCCTCTCTCTTCTCTTACAAACCAGCTGCCTCTCCACTTCCCTTGTCTTTGTCAGTGGCACCACTAACAACATATTGCCTTAGACTCTGGGTTAAAAAGTGTAAGGCTATAATATGTCTTCCTTGTCCTTGCTTTTGCTATCCAGTACCAGACCCTGTATAGACTTCTTGGCAATGTCTCTCTTGTCTATTCTTCATGTTCATTGCTCTGAATCCCACTGCCTGTGTCTGGCCCTCATTCTCTCACACCTGCATACATAAAATAGCTTCCTAGTTCATTTCCCTGTCTCTTGACTCAGTTTCCCCAGGCACATTGGGTTGCCTCCCCACCCACCCACTCTCTGCACTAGCTCTCAGAAGCAGCTCTGTGCTGGTGCATCCCGTGCCCTAACATGTGTCAACGAGCCTGGAATGGGACTAATGGTCACTGAATTACTGGATGAATCCTAAACTCCTGCACTCTTGTTTTCTACAACCTTCAATGCCCCCCTCTCTGATACTTTAAGAAGGGTAGAAGGGTGAATTGCTCTGCTTGCCCTCTGTAGTACTCCTGGTCTGTCCTCCTGATTTCAATTGTTCCACCAAAGGGAGGGTAGCTTATTTCAGGATGGAGGAGGGAGGCTTCTCTCCATAATGTCCATCAGCCCCTCAAATCCACTTCAGGTAGGCAAATAACCTAAGTGAAGACAGTAAGCTTGCTTTGCCTGAATATAAGTCCACAGTCTCTCCTCCCATGTGATGGCAGCTCCAGAGCCCACATAGACCTTCTGCAATCCCTTGGTGTGTATTCAATGGCTCGTAACACCCCTCTTCCTGATTCCCTGCCCTCCTAGAAGTGGTGTGCCATGAATTCACCAGAAATGCCTTTACCCAGACCCTCTTCCTATTGCATTTCCTACCATGCATCACTGCCTGGCTGATATGGTTTGATTCTGTCCCCACTCGAATCTCACCTTGAATTCTTATGTGTTATGGGAGGGACCAGGTGGGAGGTGATTGAATCATGGGGGCTCTCTTTCCCATGCTATTCTTATGATAGTGAATAAATCTCATGAGATCTGATGGTTTTCAAAAGGGGAGTTTCCCTGCACAAGCTCTCTTCTTTTGTCTGCCACCATGTGAGATGTGCCCTTCACCTTCCACCATCATTGTGAGTTCTTCCCAGCCACGTGTAACTGTAAGTTCAATAAGCCTCTTTAATTTTGTAAGTTGTCTAGTCTCAGGTATGTCTTTATCAGCAGCATGAAAACAGATCAATACAGTAAATTGGTACCAGTAGAGTGGGGCAGTGCTGAAAAGATACCCAAAAATGTGGAAGTGAATTTAGTACTGGGTAACAGGCAGAGGTTGGAACAGTTTGGAGGGCTCAGAAGAAAACAGAAAAATGTGGGAAAGTTTGAACCTTCCTAGAGACTTGTTGAATGGCTTTGCCCAAAATGCTGATAGCGATATGGACAGTAAAGTCCAGGCTGAGGTGGTCTCAGATGGAAATGAAGAACTTGTTGGGAACTGGAGCAAAGGTGACCGTTGTTATGTTTTAGCAAAGAGACTGGTGGCATTTTTCCCCTGCCCTAGAGATTTGTGGAACTTTGAACTTGAGAGAGGTGATTTAGGGCATTGGGTAGAAGAAATTTCTTTTTAAAAAATTTTTATTTTACTTTAAGTTCTGGGATTCATGGGCAGAATGTGCAGGTTTGTTACATAGGTATACATGTGCCATGGTGGTTTGCTGTACCAATCAACCCGTCACCTAGGTTTTAAGCCCCGCATGCATTAGTTATTTGTCTTAATGCTCTCCCTCCTCTTGCCTCCCGCCTCCCAACAGGACCCACTGTGTGATGTTCCCCACCCTGTGTCCATGTGTTCTCATTGTTCAACTTCCACTTATGAGTGAGAACATGCGGTGTTTGGTTTTCTGTTCTTGTGTTAGTTTGCTGAGAATGATGGGTTCTGGCGAAAGAAATTTCTAAGCAGCAAAGCATTCAAGAGGCTGGAGTGCAATGGCATGATCTCTGCTCACTGCAACCTCTGCCTCCTGGGTTCAGATGATTTTCCAGCCTCAGCCTCTGGAGTAGCTGGGATTGCAGGTGCCTGTCACTGCACCCAGATCATTTTTGTATTTTTAGTAGAGACGGGGTTTCACCATGTTGGCCAGGCTGCTCTCAAACTCCTGACCTCTGGTGATCCGCCCGCCTTGGCCTCCCAAAGTGCTGGGATTACAGGCATCAGCCACCGTGCCTGGCCAGCATTTAGTACTGTAAGGGAAGCAGAGCATAAAAGTTTGGAAAATTTGCAGCTTGACAATGCAATAGAAAAGAAAATTCCGTTTTCTGAGGAGAAATCCAAGCCAGCTGCAGAGCCAAATGTTAATCCCCAAGACAATGGGGAAAATGTCTCCAGGGCATTTCAAAGGTCTTCACAGCAGCCCCTCCCATCACAGATCTGGAGGCCTAGGAGGAGAAAGTGTTTTCCTGGGCCAGGCCCAGGTTCCCCATGCTGTGTGCAGCCTAGGGACTTGATACTTTGCATCCCAGCCACTCCGGCTATTGCTGAAAGGGGGCCAATGTAGAGCTTGGGCTGTGGTTTCAGAGGGTGGAAGCCTCAAGCCTCGGCAGCTTCCATGTGATGTTGAGCTTGTGAGTACACAGAAGTCAAGAATTGGGGTTTGGGAACTGCAACCTAGATTTCAGACAATGTAAGGAAATGCCTGGATGTCCAGGCAGAAATTTGCTGCAGGGGCAGGGCTCTCATGGAGAACCTCTTCTAGGGCAATGTCGAAGGGAAATATGGGGTCAGAGCCCCCACACAGAGTCCCTACTGGGACACCACTTAGTGGAGCTGCGAGAAGACAGCCACCATCCTAAAGACCCCAGAATGGTAGATCCACAGACAGCTTGCACCGTGTGGCTGGAAAAACCACAGACACTCAATGCCAGCTGATGAAAGCAGCTGGGAGGGAGGCTGTACCCTGTAAAGCCACAGGGGCAGAGCTGCCCAAGACCATGGGAACCCACCTCTTGCATCAGCATGACCTGGATGTGAGATATGGAGTCAAAGATCATGGAGCTTTAAGATTTGACTGCCCTGTTGGATTTTGGACTTGCATGGTGCCTGTAGCCCCTTTGTTTTGGCCAATCTCTCCCATTTGGAATGAGTGTATTTACCCAATGCCTGTAACCCCATTGTATCTAGGAAGTAACTAACTTGCTTTTGATTTTACAGGCTCATAGGCAGAAGGGACTTGCCTTGTCTCAGATGAGACTTTGGACTTTGAACTTTTGAGTTAATGCTGAAATAAGTTAAGACTTTGGGGGACTGTTGGGAAGGCGTGATTGGTTTTGAAATGTGAGGACATGAGATGTGGGGAAAGCCAGGAGCAGAATGATATGGTTTGGTTCTGTTTCAACCCACATCTCATCTTGAATTCCCATGTGTTGTGGGAGGGACCCAGTGGGAAGTGATTGAATCATGGAGGCAGGTCTTTCCTGTGCTATCCTCATGATAGTGAATAAGTCTCATGAGATATGATGATTTTAAAAAGGGGAGTCTCCCTGCACAAGCTCTCTTCTCTTGTCTGCTGTCATGTAAGGCATGCCTTTCATCTTCCACCATGATTGTGAGGTCCTTCTAGCCACGTGGAACTGTAAGTCAATAAACCTCTTCCTTCTGTAAATTGCCCAGTCACAGATCTGTCCTTATCAGCAGTGTGAAAACAGACTAATACATTGGCTGAAGGCTTCTCCCACGCAATCCGACTAGATCTCCCTTCATTAGATGGTTCCAGTACATTTACCACTCCTGTGTTCACTTGAATATTTTAGGGCTCAAAAAAGGATACCCCACAGTATTGTGCCTTGGCATGCTGCGCCCCTTGAACTGAAGGAAACCAAAAGGACCTCAGAAGCAAGAACTGTCTGACCTGCTCCCACTCTTTGTCCTCCTACTCCCCTTTCTCTCCCAAGGCAAGCCATAGAAACTAGAATTCCTCTTCCAACAGGCAGGTCAGAGAAAGAGGAATCTCTCTGTCTCAAAGCAGCCATGAAACCTAAAATATGACTCTCACCTTTCATCCAGGCCTTTCTGTGTAGGAGCTGGCCATAAAATAAATTCTCTAATCTACTCTGTCTGCTAGTAGGTCCTAAGATCTGCATGCCAATTGGGTCCTGCACCATAACTGGGAGCAAGAAATGCCACAGAGAGGCCAATGGAGAACTCCAACTGAAGGCCTTGTGGGGTTTCCCCGATAGTCTATTACTATCATATCTTTTCTTTTTTGTTGGATCACGCTGCTGTCCAGTCTTCATGGAATCTAAGCTTAGCAATGGGCAGTTGTCCCTTGGGTCTTTGGGCCTTCATTCTGAAGGCTCTCATGTTATAGAAACTTGGATTAAATAAATATGCTCTGCTTTCTCTTGCCCACCTGTCGTTTGTTGTAGGTAAGTCAGCTGTGACCCTGAGGATGGGTGAGGAAGGGCATTGCACTTTTTGCCCCTACAGTGGATATGGTGTTTTGCATTCACCAAGCCTAAGCAACCTTTTTCATAATGTTAGACTATTCGGAGAGAGGAATTTTAAAGGTAGGTTAGAGACATGTGTTTTCCTGTAGTAAACGTGTATCTTCAAGTCTTACAAGCATAAAAGATTGAAGTTCTGTTGCTGTTAGGATCTCTTGCCAATCTAACTTGCCAACTGATTCTCCCTGGAGTCCCTGGAGAAGAAGGGGCAATAGGAGCCAGTGGGGCTATTGTAGGGGTGGGGCAGGAACATGAACTTGGCAGTAAGTCCAACCTGGATTCTAATGTAGTTCTGCCTACTTACCTAGGTGATCCCAAGGAAGACAGGGTCACATAAATGTTCTGAGGCTTAGGTTTCTCACCTGTAATGGTGGAAAATCATGATATCTTAACAGGGTGTTTCTGAGGAGTGAATGAGGTAATTATTCACTCCTGTGAATAATTCACTCCTGTGCAGGACCTGGTGATTAGTTCTTTTAAGCTATCTCTAATACTAGGGAAAGGTGTCTAAGAATCCCTGCCTGACTGAAATAGGTTCAAGTGCATAGTCATGGGAGAAGGCAGATTTTAATGGGGAGTTGTGTGGAAAATATGAAAAATGGAAGAGATTTTGTGAAGTTCTTAGGTTGAGAGGAAGGAGGAGAAGCAGAAATGTGGAAGCTGAACACTGGGAGGATGAAGAAATGCATAAGGGAGCACTGTCCAGGGGGAAGTAGACCAGAATGGTAGCGGCTGACCAGCAAGCGTTTCCAGTGAAGACTCAGAAACAGGCCTGGGCACCATCACCGGCAGTGTCATAAAGAAGACAGCATGTGGCTTTGGCGGAGGCCAATCAAGGTTCTAATTCCAGTCCCACATTTACTGACTGCGAGATCCTAAGCAAGTAATTCAGCCTCTTTGGTTCTCTTCTTTCCCTAAGAAATGGTTGATTGTACAGCCTGTTTTCCCTACCTAGGTCCCTTTCCTCCTTGGAGTACAGGCAGACTTCATTTCCCCATCTCCCTTGCATTAGGTGTGGCCATATGACTGAGTTCTAGGCAGTGAAATGTGAGCATGAATCATGCATGCACCTTCCAGGCCTGGGCCACAGAAACCACCTTCATGATCCTCCACTCTCTCCCCATGTGGGCTGGATGCAGAGGATCCAAGAGACAATTCTGAGGTCAAGGGGAGAGCAGAGCCCCCAGACAAAAGGAGCCTGGTACCCTGAATCACCATTTGGATGGCCATCTGCTGATAACCCATATTGACCTGTAACATGAAAGAGAAATCAAATTCTCCATCATTAGGCCACTTGAGTTTGTTCCAGCAACTGGCCTATTCTGATACAATGACATTTTCTGCATGAGAGAGCTGTTGGTAAAGATTAAATTACAAAATATATTAAACAACTTAATTTTAAGTTTTATTATTTATTTATTTATTTATTTGGAGACAGAGTCTTTCTCTGTTGCCCAAGTTGAAGTGCGGTCATGGAATCTTGGCTCACTGCAACCTCCGCCTCCCGGGTTCAAGTATTTCTCCCACCTCAGCCTCCATGCCCAGGTAATTTTTGTATTTTTTGGTAGAGATGGGGTTTCACCGTGTTGGCCAGTGATCCACTTGTTTCAGCCTCCCAAAGTGCTGGGATTATAGGCGTGAGCCACTGTGATCAGCCGTATCTTCAGACTCATAGTAAATGTTTAATGTACCTGCTTATTATACAAACATTTCTTAAACCCTTATTGTGTGGCAAGTGCTTTAATGAACAAAGCAGACAAAGTGTTTTCTGTTATAGCATAAATTGGGGATGAAGAAAAAGGGAAAATCAATAAATATTTCTAGCCTGAAGGATTTTAAGAATGGTATTGCCACTGACAGAAAGGCTGATGTTAGGAAGTGGGAGAGCTTTTCTGGAGAAGAATGAAGAGTTTGGGCTTTAGACATTTGAAGAGGCATTAATTATGTTGCCTCTGTGAATGTCACCTTTGAAAGTTTATGAAATATTTGTAAACAGATACTGATACACTTTTTAGCTGGGATGACATAAGAAAAGCAGCCGGGAGCGGTGGCTCACGCCTGTAATCCCAGCACTTTGGCAGGCTGAGGCAGGTGGATCATAAAGTCAGGAGTTCGAGACCAGCCTGGACAATATGGTGAAACCCTGTCTCTACTAAAAGTACAAAAATTAGCCGGGTGTGTTGGCGCAAGCCTATAGTCCCAGCTGCTCGGGAGGCTGAGGCAGGGGAATCACTTGAACCCAGGAGGTGGAGGTTACAGTGAGCTGAGATCACGCCACTGCACCCCAGCCTGGGCGACAGAGCAAGACTCTGTGAAAACAAACAAACAAACAAACAAAAAGAAGTCTAGAAAAGCATGGTGTATTGTCTAAAACCTCTAGTAGAACGTACCATCCCGAGGTGGGAATGGTTTCTTATCCCATTATTCCCTCGCAGTGTCGGGTGTGCATAGGAAGAATGCCCTTAACTGAAGTGAATTGAGAGCTTCAACTCCTCTGTATTCCAAGGAATATTTTCATTAACTCAAGCAAAGTTTATGAAAGTACTTTGTAAATTATTGAATCCTACTCCAGTGCTTCTGTGGGAGGATACATTCTGAGTTATTAACCTCTGTATCTTTTGCCCTCCATGGGTCTCACCTTTCTCCTCTCCCTGTTCAAGCAGCTGACCTGGTGTCCATGCCTCCAGGAGGAATGTGATTCTGCAGGGCCACATTCAGCTGCACCTGCCAGTGTGGTCACGCTGGTTGTTTATGGATGGTGACTGTTCTGATAGGTTGTTGTTTCTGGTCTGATTGGTCAGTGCTTGGGTCATGTTGATTATGAAATACTTTGAGTATCACTATTGCAGTTGGAAGATAGACAGAATCTGAATTCTTTTAGTTTGTTTCAAATGATTGAGTCCTGATTTGAGGAGGAAAAAGAAAGAGGAGTATAGTGTGGAAAAAGTCTTCTGGCCCTAAAAATAAATAAAGTGAACTTACCTGAGACTAGCAAGAGAGTCGTTAGCTGAGGGAGAAGGTATAGGGAGAAGAGTGAGGTAAGGGGTCTCTGAGGCAGAGGAGATCTCTGCCCTGCTTTCTGGGCATGCAGCTGGGAAGACAGCAAGATCCCAGGGAGAGAGCAGCCATATGCCATACCTTGGCAGTCATGTCCATGGCTAGTGTACAGACATTCCTGCACCCCCAGTTTTCTACAGAAGTAGCAGATAAATCAGACTGAAAGAGTGATGTGAACAGGGTTGTGACTATCCCTGAGCAGGATGGCTATCACTCATGATGATGATCATTGGTCCAACAGTCACCCTGGCTGAGGGATAGTCACTATCCTGCTTCCTACCACCTGGACAGCTTGGCATGGTGTGAGATCCTAGAACTGTGGCCCAACTTTGTGTGGAAAGTAGCAGGGCAGGGAAAGGGGACTCCAAGAAGGACTGGGGTTAAATTTCCACTAAGCCAGTAGGATGGCATCCTCAAATAGAAATTAATTTGTTCTGAGCATAAAGTGACATTTCTTATGCACCTGAATTTATGGTCATGATTCATGTTAGCAAGCTTCTTTGCAATTTATAGCCAGAGGTTTGTTTGCTTCAATACTGAATTTAGAACTTATTTTTCCAAAAGAAAATTTAGATGCCTAGTAATAATCACGAGGAGAGAATTTAGGTCACTTTAATAATAATAAATAGGGGGAGGGTGGGAAGCAGGAGAGCATTCGGAAAAAGAACTAGAGCATGCTGGGCTTAATACCTAGGTGATGGGTTGATAGGTGCAGCAAAGCACCATGGCATGCTTTTACCTATATAACAAACCTGCACACCCTGCACATGTGCCCTGGAACTTAGAAAATAAAATGAAATAAATGATAACAATAGTTTCAATACCATACTTTATTAGTATGCCCAGGTATAGCCCAAGCAGTAACAGAGACTCTAGAATTAGAGTTAAGTCCAGGAAAGAAGGAGATTCTGAGTGGCATAGATTTGTCTCAAGTGATGTAGTGGTGAGTGACAGAATTAACTACTAATAGGCAGCACTGAGTTCTTTCCTCTCCTTTCCATTTGATCTCTCTTCTCAGGCCATCTCTTTTCCCATTCACATTTTGCTGCATCTTCAGTATGAAAGTAGGTTGAAAAGAACTGTAATTTTCACAATTACTGGTCATTTTATTTATGTTTCTAATTCAATGTATTATTCATTTTCCTCTTCAAAGGAATCACATTTTATTTTGGAAATGTATGTGTAAAAAACATGGAAACTTGTGGAAACCCACTCTTGAACTTCCCTGGACATGATTCAGAGACTGATTGAGGAAAGGGCTGATTGTCTGGCTTTAGAGGATGTTTGTGGTGCGGCAATGGGAAGCTGGGAAAATTGGCCTCAGGAAGTGGCAGCACCTCACCTTTTCTTAGAGGAGGGAGTCGGTACACAGATCCAATTTGTCTGCAATGGAAGGGACGGGGTCCTTTACCTGGGCCTCGCCTTCTTAAGTGCCCAGGTGGTGGGCCGTGGCCATGGCAACAGTGACCTTGGTTATGGGGTGGTGGGTCACAAGGTCCATAGTCTTGGAAATCATGGCAGTGGGGATGGTGTCCATGGGGATGGTGTCCATGGGGGTGGTGTCCATGAGGATGGTGTCCATGGGGGTGGTGTCCATGGGGATGCTGTCTATGGGTATCATGTTCATGAGGATGGTGTGCATGGGGATGGTGTCCGTGGGGATGCTGTTCATGGGAATGATGCTTATGGGGATGGAGGTCACTGGAATTATTATTATGAGAATGTCTTTGGGCCCCATTTGTGCCAAAAGTGGCATGTTGACAACTTGAGCAGGACATGGGCAATAGTGGAGGAGGGCCTTGTGGAAGTGGGGGTCCATGTGAGTGATCTCTTTCATCTGGAGGAGGTGGGGGTCCATGTTCGTGTGGCTTGTGGGGATGATGATGATCTCTAGATCCATGGGGCTTGAATGGAGGCTTGGTGGTAGAAGAACGCTCATGCCCACCCCAGTGGAAGGGATGTCCCAAATGAGGCGGTACACCATTGATGTTCTCATGTTCCTGGAAAAGGTCACAGAAAAGTGCCTATCATCATGTAACATAAAAGAAGATGTTAGATACTTGACTTGATTTACACCAATGGCTCCCAGATCATAGATTCCACAAATCAATTTAAAAAGTATTACGAAAAAAGATTCTCAAATTGTTATCTAGCCCAGTTGATATTTAAAATATTAACAATAACTATCATTTACCACCATCATTGTTTCACAAAAGAAACTATTTTTTTTTTCTGAGACTGAGTCTCGCTCTGTCACCCAGTCTGGAGTGCAGTGGTGCGATCTCTGCTCATTGCAACATCCACCTCTCAGGTTCAAGCAATTCTCCTGCCTCAGCCTCCCAAGTAGCTGGGACTACACGCCCAAGCCACCATGCCCACCTAATTTTTTTTTTTCTTTTTTTGAGACATAGTCTTACTCTGTTGCCCAGACTCCTAATTTTTGTATTTTTAGTAGAGACAGGTTTCACCATGTTGAACTCCTTGTTTCAAGTAATCCACCCATCTCAGCTTCCCAAAGTGCTGGGATTACAGGCATGAGCCACCATGCCCAGCCTGGAATGAAATTTTGATTTAAAAAAAAAAGAAAGAGCCAGAAACACAATATCAGAGTAAAGGATTGTCCTTTAGATGGATAAATGTTAGATATAAAAAACTTCATTATCCTTATTTTTTTTTCATTTTTACTACACAGAGTGGTGAAACAATATTATGACCTGGCACCCATCTGTAGACCAACACTGGAAAACTAGTGCCTTATAACTGATATTCTTAACTGAGGCTTGATGGTATCAACATCCCTTACTCCTAAAGGCTGAACACTTGACCTCTTCTCTCTCTTCCTTGTTCAGAGTTTAATTTTTTAAAAAATAGCTACAGAGGCCGGGCACGGTGGCTCATGTCTGTAATCCCAGAACTTTGGGAGGCTGAGGCAGGTGGATCACCTAAGGTCAGGAGTTTGAGACCAACCTGACCAACATGGAGAAACCCCTTCTCTACTAAAAATGCAAAATTAGCCAGGTATGGTGGCGCATGCCTGTAATCCTAGCTACTCAGGAGGCTGAGGCAGGAGAATCGCTTGAACCCAGGAGGCAGAGGTTGTGGTGAGCCGAGATGGCACCATTGTATTCCAGCCTGGGCAATAAGAGCAAAACTCCTTCTCAAAAAAAAAAAAAAAAAAAAAGACAGAGCCATGTTCATGGTGACAATCCTGCCCTTTGTTCCTTTTTCTTTTTTTTAACTTGGGATTGGATGTTTGGATTATTTTAAGTTTTGTTTCTGATATGAAAAATTTCGTGAAGCAAATCTTTGTACTCATGTAAAAAATAGACCAAAGATTTCTGAGACAGATGCAAAATATGGTTTTGCATCTTATTTTATATACATTTACATAATAAATTTGAGGCTGATATATTCCTCTTAGATTCTATGCCCAATAATATAAGCTTAGGAATGACTAAGTCTCAGCACTAGAGTCCCGACTACAAAGAGCATTTTCAAATTCCTTCAAGTTTGGTTGAATTGGACATGATTTTAATTTTCTGCCAATTGTTACCCCTCTTCAATTCTTGGAAAAGTTTTCATACTTTTTGTGTAATCTGGCAATTGCACTCCTTTCCCCAGTTGTGGGATACTCTCTGTATCTTTTTTCTTGCATGTCTGTCTGTCTCTCTCTTTCTCTCTCTCCCTGTCTCCCTCTCTCTGTCTCTGTCTCTGTCTCTCTCTCTCTCTCTCTCTCTCACACACACACACACACACACACACCCACTCATAGAGCTTTAGGAAGCAACAACACTATTTGTGTACGTATGTCACTTAATCTGGCACTGCCATGACAAAGTCTGCTTAGACAACCCACCTGAGGGTCGAAGACTTCACAGTTTATGACAAGGTTTTTCGGGCTTTCCAAGTCCAAGGCTTCTACATCATAGAACAAATCTGCTCTGCAGAATCCAAAGACCTACAAAGGAATGAGGAGCTGTTAGTGTGTGTGTCCAGGTGGTGTGAAGATGACCAGCCAGAGTTAGCTTCCAGACATTCAGAAAAGGAAGAAGTGCTTTAGAAAAATCAGGGTAATATGATCAGATATTCCCACCAGTCGTTCAGCAATCTTTCCTTGTTAACACTTTGGGGAAAGTGCAGGTGGTGAAGGGTATCACTAAAGTTGCTGTGGTTTTTTTCATGAGCAGGCACCAGCACTGGGCTTCCCCATGGGTGATGGAAATGATGAGGAAAACCACATCATTGCTGCCTTGCCTTTAGGCCAACCCTTCTGCACTGGAGACCTCAGTTGCCTGTGCCTAGGACAATGAGGAATGGTGTCAAAGAGGGATTTTTACAACTTCAGCTGGTCCCTTGGAGGAAAGTGTTGGACAGGAGGGCATCTGTATAGCATAAAGATGGGTTTTCATGGACATTGTCAAGGCAAGTGTCTGCTGACTCCACCCAAGTGCCAGGGCTACAACTGGCTGCCACTCCTGTGCTCCAGATGCTCCTAAACCCACCTGTGAAAGATCGACTAGGACAAGAGGACGGCTGTCTGCTAGAAGAAATTGCTAAGCATTGAGGTTCTGAGTACAGTTTGGGAATCAGAGAGACCTATGTTAATCCTGGCTTCTCCATTTCCTAGTTGTCTGAGTTTGGGAAAGTTACAAAAGATTTCTGAAAGTCAGCCATTGTAAAATGGGGATAATACTATGTACTCACAGGTTGTGGGAGGGATTAATTAAACAAGAGGATGCTGTAAAACACTTACCCCTGAGCCTCCTCTTCAGCTCTGGTGCTTCAACTCTGGGTTTACATTATCCACACCAAGATCATGAAGGGTTTGTTGGCCATAGGAGTAGGGGAGGGAGGTGTCTTTTCTGGTGGGCGCTAAGAAGGTTTCTAGACCTGGTTCAGTGTGGACATTAGAAGAGCTAACAAAGGTACTAATGGATGGTTTCTCCCTTTTGACCAGGGAGAATGTGTTGTTAAACCTCAGAAAAATCCTGGACTTGGCATCATAATTAAAATTCCATTTCCTAACACTCTCTAGCTAAGTGCCTTTAGGTAAGTGGTTTTAATTTCAGGTCCCCTTGTCACAGGAAATGTAGGCAGATACTTGCTTTTCCTTGTCAGCAGGATTTTCATGAGGCTCTCCTGGCAATAACAGATGTGGAGGTGTTTCTTTAACTGTAGGTCACCATGCAAATGCCAGGTGGTATTAATAATGTCTTCTGGCAGGTACATGGGAATCTATTTGTAAATGATTAGAGGAAAAATCCCACTGGACTTTGTATGAGAATAACTAAGTTTTAATCTCAGCTTGGTTGTGAACATCGGCAAGACCTTTCCTTTGCTGATTTTCAGTTACCTCCTCATTTGTCAAGTGGGATTCCTGTGAGTGTGATGATGTGGAATTAATAAAACCACTTGGCGTAGGGTCTTAGTACGAACTGCTATAGTTCTAACTAAGCCTTTAATCCTAATCAGTTAGAAACTTAGTTTTAAGTTTAGGTATATATCATGTATATTATAAAATCATGTTCTTATGGTTCGCTTATGTTCTCTGTGCCTCAGTTCCCCTATCTGCTAATTTGGGATTAAAAATGGTATCTATCTCATATGGTAGTGTGAGGGTTAATAAGTTATCATAGGCTGGGCATGGTGGCTTGCGCCTGTAACCCCAGCACTTTGATTTGTAATCCCAGCCGAAGTGGGTGGACACCTGAGATAAGGAGTTTGAGACCAACCTGATCAACATGGTGAAACCCCATCTCTACTAAAAATACAAAAATTAGCTGGGCGTGGTGGTGCATGCCTGTAATCCCAGTTACTCCGGAGGCTGAGGCAGGAGAATCGCCTGAACCCGGGAGGCGGAGGTTGCAGTGAGCCGACACTGTGCCATTGCACTCCAACCTGGGCAACAAGAGCGAAACTCCATCTCAAAAACAAAACAAAACAATAAGTTATCTGATGTGTAAATCACTTAGAAGAGTGCCTGGCAGGTACTAAGTGCTTCCCAGATGATACTTTGTATTTCACAGACATTTCTTCCTCCTTCTCCTCCTCCTCATTTTCTCCTTCTCATTCCTCTTCTCCTTCTTCTCCTTCCTCTCCTTCTCCTTCTCCTTCTCCTTCTTCTCTTTCTTTTTTCTCTGTGACTCTAGTCAACGATCACAGACATTTCTTATACTCACATTGGGGTGTCTGGGGAAATGGTGTCTGGGGCAGTTCCGCACAGAGAAGTCCACGAAGTAACCAGTTCCTTCCCCTCCTCTCTAGAACAGATGGGATCAAAATAGTTTCAAGAACAGACAAAGAAAAAGGAAAAAAAAGCAGTAGATAACTACCATTCAATATTTTTTAAGGCAGTATGAGAATTCAAAATCACCAGTATGTGTCATTTTTTAAAATGGTTTCTGCCTTTTAAAAATGTATCACCTAAGTGATAAGGTGAATACCAGTTCACTGAAAAGGTTCAAATAATAAATATATGATAAAGTAGAGTGTGAAAAATCACCTCTCCTGCACTCCAACTTCTTCCCAGAGTTTTCATTCTCATTTATTTGATGTGTTTCCTCTTCGAGTGTTTTCCTAGATGTGTTACACATACACAGGGAGATCTAAGTGTTTCATATAAATGGGTCCATAGTCTAAGTACTGTTCTATAACCTGCATTTTCCTATACCAATATGTTTTCAAACTCCAGTGCGCATGGGTCCAAACATTCTTTGAGCAACTGCATGGTACTCATTTCCTTACTTGTATGCAACACAATCTATTTAACGCTGCATTTTCTGAATGCATAGCAAATGTCAACCAGTTGCTCTACAAGACAGCTCTGGGTGAAAGTACTTGGGTCCTTGTAGAGAGAGCAGGGAACCATCTAACTATAGGCACATTACTGGGTGTGGTGAGGTAATTTCTCTGAACTTCAGTTTTCCATCATAGTACAAGAATGTTAGTATTGGATGATTTGCAATGACACAACCCTCATATGTTCTTGTCTTTCCCTGTTTCCTCTTTAGATTTTCTCCCTACTCTGTCAGATGTCTACTCCCCTACCCATCCTTCAAAAAAAAAAAAAAGTGTTTGAGGAAAGCAATTTTTTTGTATTTTTTAAATACCTGCTGCCTGTCTTTTATGGCCTCAAAAGTGACAAATTAAAAGGCAGCTAGTCAATTGAGGCAGGTGGAGAGGGTATGCCATTCAGTTCCTGCTGCCAGGTTGGAGCCTGGGCCTTCAGACTCCAACCGAACCTTAGTGGAGACTCACCACTCTTGCAACTCTCTCGATTCGGTCCACTCTGAAAGAGGCAAAGTCATCATTCTCCTCTTTGTACTTCTCAAGGGCTTTGTTGGCTTGTTTTCTGTAGCGCTCAGTATCCTCAAAGAAATCTATGAGGACCGGACTATCTTTGGTATTGGCCAGTGCTGAAGAGACTGGAGAAAGAAGATAGCAGTGTCACAGTAAAGGGCTGGAAATGTTAATGGTGGCTTGGTGGCAAGAATGACAATAACTTTCATTTTAAGGATGGGCAAATTGAGGGTGGGAAGAGCTGAGTAACTGCTTCAAGATCAATCAGCCATTTGGCAACCGAACTAAACTGCTGATTCTTCCTTCGAGTCTTTCTGATCCCCATGTCTATGTTGTGACCCCTACTCATGATGCCTTCACCAGTACCACTGATAAAGTGCTAACATATATATATAAATATGACAACTATGACATTCGTTAATATATAAATATATATTATCTATTATATAATATCTATTATATATTTATATATTATATAATATATCATATGTTTTTATATTATATAATCATATATTTAGGTATTAATATGATATATATATTAACATATATATTAAATAATAGAGATGGGGTTGAGTCACATTGCCCAGGCTAGTCTCAAACTCCTGGGCTCAAGCAACCCTCTGGCCTCAACCTCCCAAAGTGCTGGGATTATAGATGTGAGCCACCGCACCAGGCCACTAATATTTTAATAAGTTCTTCCTGTTGTTGCCAAGGGGGAAGACAGAGCATTAACATAGAGTTTTGCCCAGAGAGAGGAGAAGATACAGATCATCCTTTCTTCAATGCAAACTCCTGTGGCAGTATCTTGCATTTTTGTATATAATATCATATTTGGATTTGCTATTTTAAAAAGGAATCCTGTGATAATTCTATTTGAAAATGTAAATTAAAAGGGTATGGAGGCTGGGCGTGGTGGCTCACACCTGTAATCCCAGCACTTTGGGAGGTCAAGGTGGGCAGATCACCTGAGGTCAAGAGTTTGAGGCCAGCCTGACCAACATGGAGAAACTCCATCTCTACTAAAAATACAAAATTTGTTGGATGTGGTGGCATATGCCTGTAATCCTAGCTACTTGGGAGGCTGAGACAGGAGAATTGCTTGAACCCGGGAGGTGGAGGTTGCAGTGACCCGAGATCACACTATTGCACTCCAGCCTGGGTAGCAAGAGCGACACTCTGTCTCAAAAATAAAAATAAATAAATAAAAAAGCTGTGGAATTTAGAGTTAATACTCCTGGGATTGTGTCACATCTTCACAATATCTTGGCTTTGTTCTTGAGGCCAAGTCATTTAACTTCTTTGAGCATCAATTATTTTGTCTTAAATAGAAAGTGTCATAACCTTTACTTCATAGTCCCAAGACTTTACTTCCTCCCAAGACTATACAACTGGCAGATGATGACTCAAGCTAAAGCAAGCCTGACTCCAAAGCCTATATCTATAATGAGGCTAACCTACCTCTCCTAAATCTCTATTTTTATGTGTTGAATTTCTTTAAAAGAAGGTGTACCAGTACCAGGGAAATTTGTCTCAATTCTATTCTCTGGAGAATGAATAATAATGGAGTCTATGAAGGCTTTTCTTTCATGTACATCATAGATATACATGAATACATCTGAATATATATGAATACATATGTACATAGATGAGACAAATACCACTGTATGATTGAATTTGTATTAATCAAGAATTAATTAGCAATTTAACAGATTACCATACCAGAACTTGTGGTGCAGTTAAAGTCAATCACTCTGAGGTCCTGAGATTCATGGGAATGTCTTGTAGCTATTACCTTACATTGTCCGATCACCTGTAAGAAAGAGGCTCTTGAGGACTTGCTGAGTCATTGCATCCTGCCTTCCTCAGGTCAGATATGAAAGAGCAAAAAGGTGATGCAACATCCTCCTACTGTTCATTTAAAAATGCATTTCTTTCATCAAAGCTTGTCTCAAACCCTGCATTTTCTTAGTCAGTTTCTGTGTGCTGCATCCTGTTGGCACTCAAAATCCTCAGGAGAACCAGCGAGAAACTATTTAAAGCATCATGGCCATACCCCAAACATTTTCAAGGGAAAAAGTGGTGAAAGTTCCAGGAGTGTGAACCTCTCATTTTCTGGAAATGAAATCTTGAATCTCTGCTTATTCATCTTCATGTTCTCCACCTGTGTCAGAGAGCCTGGCATGTCAATACCCACCTCCCACATGCAAAGCCAGATCTTATTCCTCAGTGTATATCCTAGGTGCTGAGCAAGACCCAATTCCTCACTGCAAGTAATTACTTTGGCCATTCCTGAAAATAGGACCATTGTTCATAGGACACAATTACAAGTTCATAGATTCTGATACCTGTAGACTGTCAAGAGTGGAAGGCCCTTAGAGTCCATGAATTCCTAAACCCACTTCTTATTTTACAGTCAAAAAACACCAAAGTGGAGGGATGTTATTAGATGATTTACCCAAGGACCCACAGCTGGTTATGCTCTTTGATGGGACCACACACCCTGCTGAGTTGTCTTGAACTGGGTTCCCAGGAAAGACTCTCAAGAGTATTGCTCAAGGTTAACATCATCTTCATGAATCTCAAGGCAAAAGCTGCCCTTTCTCTTCTACTGTGTTAGCCCAGGCATTGGCTGAGTGAACAGAGTAGATGGAAAATAAGAATGAAAAGAGCAGAGTGAAGGTGCCCTCTTTACTTACTATTTCAGATGGACGTCTGGAATCAGGTGGCTCACAGTCATTCCAGTATTTCCTGGATAGGACCGAACAGTCCGATTCTTGCACATCTAAGACTAAGTAATATACAGTTGTATTTTCCTGAGGAATGCCAAAAGCAACATGTGAGTAGCACATGGAAACCTAGCGGGTTTTTTTTTATGTATTAAAGCTATATATTTATTACTTAAACAGAATTCCTGTTCCTCTCACTGTCTTTGCAGATGCTCTACCTTTGCGTCATTTGATCTATTGATTCCAATACATAGCTTCAATGAGTTATTTCCAAATCTTTTTAAGTGGTCCTGATTTGTCTTCTGCCCATAAACTTGAAGAAGCTATCACTAAACGGCAGTGGTGGTTTAGCGGAGGCATCATCACCTACGCATGCCTGGAAGTATAAGTCATGACGACCTCATCAGGGCCTCCAATCTGTCCTTGTAGTTGTGTCCTCTTGCCCAGCTCTATTACTGATCATGGGATTTTCTGCTTTGATGTTGCTTTGCCCAAAGCTAAATCCTCTCTCTTCTCTTACAAACTAGCTGCCCTCTCCACTTCCCTCGTCTTTGTCAGTGGCACCACTAACAACATATTGCCTTAGACTCTGGGGTAAAACATGTAAACCTACGAGATGTTTTCCTTGTCCTTGCTTTTGCTATCCAGTACCAGGCCCTGAATGGTCTTTCTTGGCAACGTCTCTCATGTCTATTCCTCAGTCTCATTGCCCTGACTCCCACTAACCCAGGTCTGACCCTTGTTCTTTCATTCCTGAATACATAAATAGCTTTCTACTTCATGTCCCTGTCTCTTGCCTCAGTTTCCCCAGGCACATCAGGACCCCTCCCCATCCACCCGCTCTCTATGCTAGCTCTCAGAGGCAGCTCTGTGCTGATGCATCCTATGCCCTAACATGTGTTGATGAGCCTGGCATGGGACTAATGGTCACTGAATTACTGGTTGAATCCTAAACTCCTGCACACCTGTTCTCTGCAACCCACAGTGCCTCCCTCTGTGATACTTTCAGAAGGGTAAATTGTCCTCTGTAGTACTCCTTGTCTGGCCTCCCTAATTTCAGTTTTTCCATCAGAGGGAGAGTAGGTTATTTGGGGAGCTTAGAGGCAGGCTTCATGTCTCTCTATAATGTCTATCGGCTCCTCTAGTCCAGTTTAGGTAGGCGTGTAATCTAAGCGAAGACAGTAAGCTTGTTTCACCTCAAGACAAGCCCACAGGCTTGGCTCCTACCTGATGCCTGCTCCAGAGCCCACATGGAACTTCTGGAACCCACCTGCTTATATTCAATGGCTCCCTAACACCCTTCTTCCTGATTCCATACCCACCTAGAAGTGGTGGTGCCAGGAATTCACCAGGAACACATTTACCCAGACCTGTTCAAATCCTACCCATGCATCATTACACAGCAGAAGCCTCCTCCCATCCAGTCTTACTAGATCTCCCCTCATTAAATTGCTCCAGTACATTTACCACTCCTTTGGTCACTTGGCTATTGTTGGGGCTCAGAACATGGTATCTCAAAGTATGGTACTTTTGGCGTGCTGAGTCCTTTGAACTGAAGAAAATGGGAAGGGCCTCAGAAGCCAGATCTGTCTGACCTTCTGCCCTTTGTTCTCCTACTCTGCTTTCTCCCCCAAGGCAAGCCATAGAAACTAAAATTTCTCTTCTCCAGGACAGTCACAGATGGTAGAATCCCTCTCCCCGAAAGCATCCATAAATCCTAAAATATGAATCTAACCTTCCCCCTGTGTCTTTCTTTGTAGGAGCTGGCCATAAAGACATTCTCTGACCTACTCTGTTTGATAGTAGGTCCTCAGATCCGCATTCCAAAGGGATCCTGTCCCATACTTGGGAGCAAGAAATGCCACACAGAGAGGCCATGAAGAACTCAAACAGAGAGGCCTTGCTGGGTCCTTCTTTCAGTCTATGACTCTTAGATTACAGCCTTTTGTCCCATCACACTTCTGCATTCTGCACAGCCTTTGTGAATTCTAAGTATGCAAGTGGCCAGTTTCTTTGGATATCTGAGTCTTCATTTATGAAGACTCCAGTGTCAGGTAAACCTTGGATTAAATAAATTTGTATGTTTTCTTCTTCTTCTTTTTTTTTTTTGAGATGGAGTCTAGCTTTGTTGCCCAGGCTGGAGTGCAGTGGCATGATCTCGACTCACTGCAACCTCTGCCTCCCGAGTTCAAGCGATTCTTCTGCCTCAACCCCCTGAGTAGCTGGGATTACAGGCGTGCACCACCATGCCCAGCTAGTTTTTGTATTTTTAGTAGAGACAGGGTTTCACCATGTTGGCCAGGCTGGTCTTGAACTCCTGACCTCATGATCCGTCCGCCTTGGCCTCCCAAAGTGCTGGGATTACAGGCGTGAGCCACCGCGCCTGGCCTTGTCTACCAGTTTTATTTCAGGCTCAGTTAGGAGCCTTAGGAGGGTTGAGAAAACTTTTCCTTCTCTCTAGTTTATCCTAGTAACTTACACTGTTTGCCTGTATGTGCCAGTGTATTATTATTTCCTGGAGGCCAAGGCCCATAGCTTATTCTAATGTTTCTCTGGCAGTCCTTAGCATGTAACTGGGCTCAGCATAAATGCTTATATGTACCCACAAATCGAATCATAGTTGCGGGTACACTAATAACAAATATTAGTTTGAAGGAAAAAAGAACAATTTAGAGCAGCCGCAGAAGCCAAACAAAAAACTCTGACCAAAGCCATTCATTGTGCAAAGCAGTAAGCCTAGGGGGTAGAGTCACATTTGCCCCCGTGAGTAATCTCCCAACTCAGCTCTGCCATTGGCAATTCCTCACCACTCTGTCCAAGTGGGCATCAGCAATCCGCAGCAATTGGAAAAGGTAGCCATCCCGTCGCCTTTTATTGATCAGGTCTAGAGCTTTCTCAGCCTCCGGCTCAACAGCACTGCAGTCAGTGGGACTCACGGCACACGAATACTGCAATGTGATCAAAAGCAGTGCTGCAATGAGTGCCTTCATTTTGTTAAACCATCCCTTGCTATGATCTGCCACTGCAGAGAATTTTATACAGACTTTCTGAAACACACGCAATTGATTAAACAAAACCTTGATACATTTTTGTTGTGTAACTGAGGGTGTTCACCTTGACCCTGGGTTCAAATAACCATCAACAAGCTGTAAATGATTAGTGGGTCCTGGGGGCAGAAAGCTGAGAAATGCTGATGAGTGGGTGGAACTGTGATCTGCACAAATCTGGATTTTTCTAGTAGATAGCAGATCTAAAGTACGTCTTTGAATATAAGCAGTGCCTATGTTGGTGTAGGGGGTGGGGCTAGGGGTAATTTTCCTCCATCTGCCTGCCTGTCTCAGCTGGAAATCTCCATCATCAGTCAGTGGACTGATGGATCATGGCACTAAAACTCCTCAGTAGAAGGCAGCTGCATTATCTAAGCGGGGGAACATGTTAAACAGGTACCATTATAAAAGGAATGACTTCAGGTAAAATAGAACAATGAAGAGGCTGTCGTTTTGAAGTCAAATCTGAATTTCTCACCTGGCTCTATTACTTTCTTACTGTGTAATGCTGGGTAAGCAACAAAACTTCTCTGATAGTTCCCTCATTTACGAAATATGGATTGATACCTCTTGGCAGGCTTGTGTGATAATTAAATAAGAAATCAGGCTGGGTGCGGTGGCTCATGCCTGTAATCCCAGCACTTTGGGAGGCCAAGGCAGGCTGATCACAAGGTCAGGAGATTGAGACCAGCCTGGCCAACATGGTGAAACCCTGTCTCTACTAAAAATACAAAAAATTAGCTGGGCATGGTGGCACATGCCTGTAATCGCCGCTACTTGGGAGGCTGAGGCAGGAGAATCACTTGAACCCGGGAGGCGGAGATTGCAGTGAGCTGAGATCGCGCCACTGCACTCCAGCTCGGGCGACAGTGTGAGATTCCATCTAAAAAAGAAAGAAAGAAAAAAAGAAAGCAACCAGTATAATTCTTGGCATAGAGTAGATGCTGAATAAGTGATGCTATTTATTATTAGTGTGCCTGCAAAGAAGTTGGGGACACCTCATGCCACCCCAATTCCCTGCAAAAAGAATTGATTCACGTGGAAGAGGATGGTGGTGAGAGTAAGAGTCAAATAGTTGGATGCCCATCCCACTGTTAGAAGGGATCAGCAGGGGGGGACTGGGCTATGATACAGCTGACCCCCTACCTTCACACTTCAGAAGAAACCCGTATACCTATATGCAACCCTCAGACCAGCAGAGCCAGCAGCATCAGAAGGGACCAGAGGGAATCAGCCTAGGTTCCGTCCTCACTGCCAAGAAACAGCCAGTTAGGCAGCATCTCCATTCCTCCCTGTTCTATCCGCAGTGAGTGTCTGTGAGAGTCTGCAGTCATGTCTCTCAGACTCGGCTTCATGTTAGAATCACCCCAGGAGCTTTAAAAAGTCCTGATGTCAAGGACTCCTCCAGGACAATTTAATCAGAATCTCTGGGAGTGGACTTTGGTATTGGTAGTTTTTAAACTCCTAGGTAATCCAGTGTGTGCAGTCAAGGTTGAGAATTACTGGGATTCTAGAGTGAACTGAAGAGAGGGAAAGGATTTGAAGACAGAAAGAAAAGGGAGGTGTATGAAAAGTAGATCTCATTTCCACAAGTCACAGGGTTAATGAGTGCAACAGGTTTTGAATAATGTTTGCAATTGAACTTTTAATGTCAGTAACCCTGGCTTTTAAATACCCAATGGGACCAGTCCAGTGCAACAGAAAATGACAGGAATGTATGGAATCTGGTCAAGGTGTTAAGAGGCTCCAACCCAGTGGGGAAGGGGAAAGCTATTGATTAAAACAAAAACTATTTTGAGTTTTTGTTATTATGAGTTGAGCTCCTTAATGAAGTTTTTCTATTATGGCTATATTGGCTGCACCCTAAATGGGGTGTCCTGGGTGAACCAAATGCTGGTGTAGGGAAAGGAATGGGAATGTTGAGGGGATGGGAAGAGGCATCAAGAACAGGAATATAATTTTCCTACAGTGCTGTTCTGCTGAGACTACAGAGTACCTCAGGGAGTCATGCATCCTCTTCCTGTTGCTTTACTGAATCTTAAAGAGTGATACAGTACTAATGATGCCATTCTAGCAACTGGAGCAGCTTCAGGGGAGAGAGCACATTAAGGGTGCTGGGATGGTAATGGTTGGGAGGAAGCTGAATGGTAGTAAGAGAGACATTCTGTCCTGAGAACTCTGATCCAGTAAGTGATATTTGGCTTTGGGGATGGTTCCTATTAGCATTATGGGAACTAGAGAGTGGCCTCAGATGGAAGTGCTGACTTTACACAGATGGTATCTTTCATGCGCGTCCGTGTGAAGAGACCACCAAACAGGCTTTGTGTGAGCAATAAAGCTTTTAATCACCTGGGTGCCGGCGGGCTGAGTCCAAAAAGACAGTCAGAGAAGGGAGATGGGGTGGGGACGTTTTATCGGATTTGGGTAGGTAAAGGAAAAAGGGGGGTTGTTCTCTGGCAGGCAGGAGTAGGGGTCACAAGGTGCTCAGTAGGGGAGCTTTTAAGCCAGGATGAGCCAGGAGAAAGAATTTCACAAGATAATGCCATCAGTTAAGGCAGGAACAGGCCATTTTCATTTCTTTTGTAGTGGAATGTCATCAGTTAAGGCAGGAACCGGCCATCTGGATGTGCATGTGCAGGTCACAGGGGATATGATGGCTTAGCTTGGGCTCAGAGGCCTGACATTCCTGTCTTCTTATATTAATAAGAAAAATAAAATGAAATAGTGGTAAAGTGTTGGGATGGCAAAAATTTTGGGGGATGGTATGGAGAGATAATGGGCGATGTTTCTCAGGGCTGCTTCGAGTGGGATTAGGGGCGGCGTGGGAACCTAGAGTGGGAGAGATTAAGCTGAAGGAAGATTTTGTGGTAAGGGGTGATATTGTGGGACTGTTAGAGGAAACATTTGTCATTTAGAATTATTGATGATTGCCTGGATATGGTTTTGTATGAACTGAGAAACTAAATGGAATAAGAGAAGGAGAAAAACAGGTATTAAAGGTCTAAGAATTGGGAAGACCTAGGACATCTAATTAGAGTGCCTAAGGAGATTCAGCGTAGTCCTGCCAGCAAAGATTATTTATTTACTTCAAGAATGGCAGTTTGGGGATACCACCAGGAGATATCAGCTGTGATGGCTTGGAGAAACAGTGTAAACTGGCAGTGTAAACAAGAGCAGGACATGTATGAGTAGTTGAGAACAGTGAATAGGAGTATGACTAGAGAGAAGATAGTAGGGATGACAAGTTTTTTGGGGCACAGTCTAAGTTGGTCTGGTGTCTGGAATGAGACTGGGGCTTAATAAAAAGGAGCCTCTATACAGGAGCTCAAATGGGCTGTACCTTGTAGCATTCTGAGGACAGGCCTGACTTCTGAGAAAAGAAAGAGGTAAAAGTTTTTCTAGCCCTTTTTAAGTTGGTGGCTGAGGTTTTAAAAGACAATTAGTCCATTCTACTTTTCCTGAAGACTGAGGACTGTAAGGGATATAAAGGTTTCATTGAATACTAAGAGCCTGAAAAACTGCTTGGCTGATTTGACTAATAAAGGCCGGTCTGCTATCGGACTGTATAGAGGTGGGAAGGCCAAACCGAGTAATTGTGTCTGACAGAAGGGAAGAAATGACTGTGTTGGCCTTCTTAGACCCTGTGGGAAAGGCCTCTACCTATCCAGTGAAAGTGTCTACCTAGACCAAGAGGTATTTTAGTTATCTGACTCGGGGCATGTTGAGTAAAGCTAATTTGCCAGTCCTGGGTGGGGGCAAATCTCTGAGCTTGATGTGTAGGGAAGGGAGGGGGCCTGAATAATCCCTGAGGAGTAGTAGAATAGCAGATGGAACACTGAGAAGTTATTTCCTTGAGGATACATTTCCACGATGGAAAGGAAATGAGAGGTTCTAAGAGGCGGGCTAGTGGCTTGTACCATAGCATAGCCTGCCTTTGCTGGTGTGTGGCGATTAGGCCTGGTGGAACTGCCATCAATAAATCAAGCGTGATCAGGGTGAGGAACAGGAAAGGAGAAAATATGGGGAAATGGGGTGAATGTCAGGTGGATCAGAGAGATACAGTCATGGGGGTCAGGTGTGGTATCAGGAATAATGTGGGAGGCCGGATTGACGTCCGGGCCAGGAACAATGGTAATTGTGGGACTTAACAAAGAACGAGTACAGCTGAAGGAGCCGGGGAACAGAAAGCATATGCGTCAGGTATGAGGAAGAAAATCGGTTTTGGAAGTTACGAGAAATGTAGAGAGTGAGTTGAGCATAGTTTGTGATTTTTAGGGCCTCTAAAAGTATTAAAGCAGCGGCAGCTGCTGCATGCAGACAGGAGGGCTAGGCTAAAACAGTAAGGTCAAGTTGTTTGGACAGAAAGGCTACAGGGTGCGGTCCCGGCTCTTGTGTAAGAATTCTGACCGAACTAACCATGCCTAGGAAGGAAAGGAGTTGTTGTTTTGTAAGGGATTGAGGTTTGGGAGATTAATCGGTCACGATCAGCAGGGAAAGCATGTGTGTTTTTATGAGAATTATGCCGAGATAGGTAAGAGATGAGGATGAAATTTGGGCTTGATTGAACTAATGCGGGCTGTCTGTGAAGCCTTGCGGCAGTACAGCCCAGGTGATTTGCTGAGCCTAATGGGTGTCAGGGTTAGTCTAAGTGAAAACAAAGAGAGGCTGGGATGAAGGGTGCAAAGGAATAGTAAAGAAAGCATGTTTGAGATCCAGAACAGAATAATGGATTGTAGAGGGAGGTATTGAGGATAGGAGAGTATATGGGTTTAGCACCATGGGGTGGCTAGGCAAAACAATTTGGTTGATAAGGCGCAGATTCTGAACTAACCTGTAAGCCTTGTCTGGTTTTAGGACAGGTAAAATGGGGGAATGGTAAGAAGAGTTTATAGGCTTTAAAAGGCCTTGCTGTAACAGGCGAGTGATAACAGGCTTTAATCTTTTCAAAGCATGCTGCGGGATGGGATATTGGCATTGATTGGGGTAAGGGTGATTAGGTTTTAATGGGATGGTAAGGGGTGCATGATCGGTCGCTAAGGAGGGAGTAGAGGTGTCTTATACTTATGGGTTACGGTGGGGAGATACAAGGGGAGGATGTGAAGGAGGCTTTGAACTGGGGGAAAAGGCGGCAATGAGGTGTGGCTGTAGCCCAGGAATAGTCAGGGAAGCAGATAATTTAGTTAAAGTGTCTCGGCCTAATAAGGGAACTGGGCAGGTGGGGGTAACTAAAAGGAGTGATTAAAAGAGTACTGTCTAAGTTGGCACCAGAGTTGGGGAGTTTTAAGAGGTTTAGAAGCCTGGCTGCCAATACCTACAACAGTTATGAAGGCAAAGGAAACAGGCCTTTGGAAAGAAGGTAATGTGGAGTGGGTAGCCTCCGTATTGATTAAGACGGGGACGGACTTACTTTCTACTCTGAGAGTTACTTCAAGCTTGGCGTCCGTGATGGCCTACGGGGCTTCCAAGGCGATCGGGCAGCGTCAGTCTTCAGCTGCTAAGCTGAGAAAATGTGAGAAGGAGTCAGTCAGAGAGCCTTGGGCCGGAGTTCCAGGGGCTCTGGGAGTGGCTGCCAGGTGAGTTGAAGAGTCTGATTTTCAGTGGAGTCCTACACAGATGGGATACGGCTGAGGAGGAATCCTGGGCTGTGGGCATTCCTTGGCCTAGTGGCTAGATTTCTGGCACTTGAAGCAAGATCCTGATGCAGGAAGTCCTGTAGGAATGCTTGACTGCTGCGGCTTAGGCGTGTGCGGCTGAGGCATTTTGAAGTTCTCCTATGCTGGAGGTGTGGCTGGGTCTCGTCTCACAGCAGAGGCAAGTAATTGTAACTCAGAAACGCGTTGCCGTCTGGATGCTTCTTCTCTATTATTGTACACCTTGAAGGCAAGATTGATTAATTCCTGTTGTGGGGTTTGAGGGCTAGATTCTAATTTTTGAAGTTTTTTCTTAATGTCAGGAGTGGATTGGATGATAAAATGCATGTTAAGAATAAGGCGGCCTTCTGGCCCTTCTGGGTCTAGGGCGGTATAGCGTCCAAAGGTTGCTGCTAAGCCGGCCATGAACTGGGCTGGGTTTTCGTCTCTACCTTGGGTAGTCTCTTCAAGCTTGTCATAATTAACAGCTTTGTAAGCTGCCTTTTTAAGCCTTTCAAGTAGGCAGGAATCATGTAATCTCACCTAGCTATACCTGGGGAATTTGTCTGATAGTTCCATTGGGGATCTTCTCGGGGAACTGCTCTAATGCCTTCCTGGAGGTCTGGCTCGTGAAGCCGGCGGTTATCAGCGTGAGATTGGGCTAGAGAAAAAACTCTTTCCCGTTCATCTGGGGAGAGGGTAGAAGTTAGGATGACATTTCAGTCACTCCAGGTTAACTTGTAGGACAGAGTTAGATATCAGAATTCCTGTATACATTTAGTGGGGTCTGATGAGAAAGAGCCTAAACACTGACTGATCTGAGAGAGGCGTGATAGAGAAAAAGGTACATGTACCCTGACTATGCCTTCAGCTCTAGCCACCTCTCTAAGAGGAAACTGTTGGGCAGGTGGGGAAGAACTAGTCACAGAACTAAACTGTATGCCGGAACGGCTGTGAGGAGGGGAGATGGTAGAAGGATTATAGGGTGGAGGAGCAGAGGCTGAGGAAGAATTGGGACTTAGCTCGGCCTGGTGACAAGCAGCCTGGGGAGGAGGGGAAAGGTCAGATGGGTCTGTAGAAAAGGAAGACTGGAAAGACTCAGCAACGCTTGGGGTTGGGACTGAGGGGACAGGCGGGAGGGAAAGAAGGAAGATTTGGGACGAGTTGCATTGGGAACAGAGACCAGGGAGGGACCGATATGTAAAAGAATGCCTGGACATCAGGCACCTCAGACCGTTTGCCTATTTTACGACAAGAATTATTTAGATCTTATAGGATGGAAAAATTGAAAGTGTTGTTTTCTGGCTATTTGGAAGTACTGTCGAGTTTGTATTGGGGTCAAGCGGCATTGCAGAAGAAAATAAGACGCTTAGATTTTAGGTCAGGTGAGAGTTGAAGAGGTTTTAAGCTCTTGAGAACACAGGCTAAGGAAGAAGAAGGAGGAATGGAAGGTGGAAGCTTGCCCATAGTGAAGGAGGCAAGCCCAGAGAAAAGAGAGTAGAGACATGGAGAAGGGTTGGGGGGTTCTTGCCCTCCAGAAAAGCAGAGAAGGGGTCAGGGCACGGAAATAAGGGGTTGAGGCGCAGAGATAAGAGGTCGGGGCACGGAAATAAGGGATCGGGGCACAGAAATAAGAGGTTGGGGCATGGAAATAAGGGATCGGGGTGCAGAGATAAGAGGTCGGGGTTCCTGCCCCTCCCCTAGAAAAGCGGGACTTGCCGCTAAGGGTGAAAGACCAAGGCAGGTGTCCTTGCGTGGTCTGACACCTCTGAAACCTGAGTGAATAATCAGAGAGGCATCCCCACAATGATTAAACACCAAGGGAAGGCTGCCTTTCTTAGTCCACGACCGGCATTGGAGTTTTGGGTCCATGGATAAAACATGTCTCCTTTGTCTCTACCAGAAAATGAAAGGAATTGAAATTAAGAGAAGGGAGAGATTGAAGTGTGGCACCAAGATTGAACAGAGAAAGAGGTTGAGGGATAGTGAGGGAGGTTGGAGAAGAGTGTAAAAAGAGGCTGTTCACGGGATTTGAAATTGGTGAGATGTTTCTTGGGCTGGTCAGCCTGAGGACCTGAGATCGTAGGTGGATCTTTCTCACGGAGCAAAGAACAGGAGGACTAGGGATTGATCTCCCAAGGGAGTTCCCCTGATCCGAGTCACGGCAGCAAATTTCATGTGTGTCCGTGTGAAGAGACCACCAAACAGGCTTTGTCTGAGCAATAAATCTTTTAATCACCTGGGTGCAGGTGGGCTGAGTCCAAAAAGAGTCAGTGAAGGGAGATGGGGTGGGGCCATTTTATAGGATTTAGGTACGTAAAGGAAAAAGAGGGGTTGTTCTCTGGCAGGCAGGAGTAGGGGTCACAAGGTGCTCAGTAGGGGAGCTTTTGAGCCAAGATGAGCCAGGAGAAGGAATTTCACAAGATAATGCTATCAGTTAAGGCAGGAACAGGCCATTTTCATTTCTTTTGTAGTGGAATGTCATCAGTTAAGCCAGGAACCGGCCATCTGGATGTGTATGTGCAGGTCTCAGGGGATATGATGGCTTAGCTTAGGCTCAGAGGCCTGACACTATCTGGGCAGACTGGGCAGGTAGAATCTTCATCTTTACCTTTTCTTTTCTTTCTTTTTTTTTTTTTGAGACAAAGTCTCACCTGCTCTGTTGCCTAGGTTGTTGTATAGTGGTGCCATCTCAGCTCACTGCTGTAACCTCCACCTCCCAGTTTCAAGCAATTCTTCTGTCTCATCCTCCTGAGTACTGGGACTACAGGTGCCCACCACCACGCCTGGCTAAAATTTGTACTTTTAGTAGAGACAAGGTTTCACCATATTGGTCAGGCTGATCTCGAACCCCTGACCTCAGGTGATCCACCCGCCTCAGCCTCCCATAGTGGTGTGATTATAGGAATGAGCCACTGCGCCCTGCCGTCTTCACATTTTCATTCTGCATTTAGGTTATTTCTGTGTGTCCTGACCATTGTATCAGAAAAAAGAGTTAGCTAACAGAATTTTTATTCTTTAAACCTTTTTGACTCATAATAGAACACATGCTTTTTGCAAAAAATATGGAAAATACGAAAAGCATAAAGAAAATTCACCTCTAATTCTACAACCATAAGGAAAACCAACTATTTATAATGCATAATTGCTTCATACACTTTTTGCTATTTGAATATATGTAATATATATGTTTTGCATCATTAGAATTATTCTGTACATACAGGTGTTTCTTTCCCTCCACTGTAGTTGAGCATGTATTTACTTATAACCTCTATTTTTTTCAGGTATTAATAGAAACCATATAAGCTTTATAAATGTTTTTGTGTTTTTATAGGATTTTAAAATTTTGTTATTTTAAGTATACAGTTTTTAGTCATAAACACAATCCCTGCACAAAGTAAAAAAGCAAACAATATTTTAGAATATTGTAAAATAAAAATTAAGTCTCTTTCCTCCATTCTTTACCTCCCAAACTCTTTCCCAAGAGAAGGACTTTTAAAAATCCCTTGTTATATATGGCTTAAATATTGTATTTTCCCTTAAGGTTATACCATGAGGACTTTCTCAGATCATTAAATATTCTTCAGAAAGATTATTTTTGAGGTTACATAATATTGGATGTTATGTACGTGTTAATGTATTCAACATTCCCCAATTTTTGGCCATGTATATTGTTTCCAATTATTTGTTCTTATAAGTAATGCTACAGTGGACCTCTTTGTAAATCTCTGACTATGTCTTTGAGAATCACTAGACTGGTTGACAGAATTTTATGACATTTAATTTTTTTGTAATAGGAGTCACTTTTTAAAGAAAATGCAGTTTTTATCAGGCTTAATGTATCCATTTTGTTAATTTACTTTAAAAATGGGCTTTAATTTTTAGAGCAGTTTTAGGTTGACAGTACAGCTGAGTGGCGAGTATAGAGTTCCTATGTAGTCCCTACATCTGCCCCTCACGCTCACAGCCTCCCCTGCTATAAACCTCTGAACACTAGCAGCACATTTGTTACAACCGATGAACTTACACTGACACATAGTTATAACCTAAAGTCCATGGCTTACATCAGCATGCATCCTTGATGTTGTACATCTATGGGTTTTGACAAATGTATAATGAAATGTATCCACCATTGTAGTAGCATACAGAATAGTTTCACTGACTAAAAATCCTCTGTGCTCCACATAGTCCATCCCTGTCTCCTTGCTAACCACTGGCAACCAGTGATCTTTTTACTGTCTTCATAATTTTGCCTTTTCCAAATGTCATATAGTTGGAACCATACAGTAGTTAATCTTTTCAGATTGGTTTCTTTCACTCAGTAATATGTATTTAAGTTTCCTCCATGTCTTTTTGTGGCTCGATATTCATATTCCTTTTTCGTGCCAAATAATATTCCATTGTCAGGATTTACTTATCCACTCACCTGGTGAAGGACAGTTTGTTGCTTCCAAATTTTAGCAATTATGAGCAGATGTGCTGTGAATATTCATGTGTGGGTTTTTCTATGGACATAAGTTTTCAGATCATTTGGGTAAATACCAAGGAGTGTGACTACTGGAGCATATGATAAGAGTATGTTAAGTTTTGAAAGTAACTGCCAAACTGTCTTCCAAAGTGGCTGTACCATTTGCATTCCCAGCAGCAATGAATGAGAAGTTCCTTTTGCTCCATATCCTTGCTACCATTTAGTATTGTCAGTGTTCTGGATTTTGGCCATTCTGACGGATATGTAGTGATATCTCGTTGTTATAATTTGCATTTCTTTGATGACATATGAAGTTCACTGAAGTTCAGAATTTCAGATGTTCACTTACCTTTTTTTTTTTTTTGGTGAGGTTTAAATCTTTTGCCCATTTTTATTTTTATTTTTTTTAACTTCTATCTTAAGTTAATGGGTACATGTGCACATTTGTTATATAGGTAAACTCATGTCGCAGGGGTTTGTAGTACAGATTATTTGTCAGGCAAGTACTAAGCCTACTACCAAACAGTCATTTTCTTCTGACCCTCTCCCTCCTCCCACCCTCCACCCTTGAGTAGGTCCCAGTGTGTGTTGTTTCCCTCTATGTGTCCATGTGTTCTCATTATTTAGCTCCCACTTATAAGTGAGAGCATGCGATATTTGGTTTTCTGTTCCTGCATTAGTTTGCTAAGGATAATAACCTTCAGCTCCATCCATGTTCCTGCGAAAGACACGATCTCATTTTTTTTAAATGTTTTGCCCATTTTTAAATTGGGTTGCTCATTTTCCTATTGTTGAATATGTTCTTTTTAAACATTCAGCTGAGGTAACTCTTAATATTGTATAACTAGAAATACTCAGCTCCTGAAATTTTGTCGTAGAAGATTAGTGTTAGCAATTTGCAAACTACTGATGACTTGAACACAACAGCCTCAGATCAGTAATAAATGCAGCATTTTGCAACTATTGACAAGGATGCAGATTAGCTTGTCTGCACTGAGTCTGCAGAGTAAGAAAAAAAGATCAAGGACTGAAAGCCAGAGAAACAGCATCTAAGAGATGAGCCAGAGAAGAGGAGCCCAAGGTGGGATATGAGGGGGAGTGGTCAGAAAGCTAGAAGAAAAACCTGGAGGCTGTGGGACACAATCTCCTTGAAAAAATCTGAAGAGCAAGCAAAGTCAGCATTGCCAGATGCTTGAAAGTGTAAGTAAAAGTGAACAGAAATTTTTTTTTTAATTTAAAATAAAAGATTGTTAGGGAACACCAAGTCAGTGGGTTATGGGAAAAGAGATAGATTCACATTACTGTGACCTAAGGAATGAAGAGGTGGTGGGGAAGTGGCAAGCATGGGAACAATCTAGTTTTTCACGAATTAAGCCATGGAAAGACAAAGGAGGTGGTAGATAGAAGGAGAAACAAAGTCTGAGGCCCTTCCCCATCCTTTTACCAGTAGAGAAGGGCCTTATAGAACACCCCTTGGGAAACCCCAGCTAAGGCTCCTAATGGTTTCTCTCTGTTTGCCTCAGGCCCATCCTTTGATTTTCTCTGCCTGGTCTTGTCTCCCAGGCTGGCTCCAGGGAATTGAATAACCCAGGCTCTCCCTGCTGGCTAGTTTACCATTGAGTTCAAAGAGCCATTGGGAGGAGGAGATTGGAAGGAAACAGGAAGGGAGGGAGAGGGGAGGGTGCTTATTCCCTGCTCCTTCTCGTTCCAGCACCGGGTTCTGCAGGGGCTGCATCCCTCCACCAGGGCGGCTTCTGCAGGGCGGCTTCTCCACAGGATAGTTCCAACAGAGCGGGGAAGCTAGCCACTCCTGCTCCTGCTCAGCCTCGGGTGGCAAAGGCTGTCCAGGTGCCTCAGCATCCCTTGGCCTTCCCTTAGCCTGGGCAACAAGCCTTCACTAAAGGTCCCTTCACTGAAGTCTTTTTCTTTTTTTGAGATGGCGTCTAGCTCTGTTACCCATGCTGGTGGCGAACAGTGGCATTATCTCAGCTCACTGCAGCCTCCACCTCCCAGGTTCAAGCGATTCTCCTGCCTCAGCCTCCCGAGTGACTGGGATTACAGATATGTACCACCATGCCCGGCTAATTTTTGTATTTTTAGTAGAGACAGGGTTTCACCATGTTGGCCAGGCTGGTCTCAAACTCCTGACCTCCGGTGATCTGGCCGCCTCAGCCTCCCAAAGTGCTGGGATTACAAGCATGAGCCAGCACGCTGAGCCAACTGAAGTCTTTTTAGTTGAGCCACCTGAGTACAATTCTGCTTCTTTCAGACCCTGACCAACACGGTGTAAGACCCCACATGACACCCCCACATAATCACTTCCTTCTTATGAGAAGCAGATAAGAGGAACAGAGTGTGAACATTGTCTACGTCTCTTATGCAAATTATGCTGAGGCCTGTGTGCCTCTTCTAACAGCCACCAAGATAGAGGACAATAGCTGCATCTGCAAATTCTCTGTCAAAATGTCCAAAGTCTTATCTGCTGTGCATGTGTGCGTGTGCACATAGGTATCACTGAATGAGGGGAAATTGGCCCTGCAGTGTTTGAAAGAAGGAAAACGTAGACTGTAATTGAATGCTGTGATGAGCCCTCCTCTAACTGTCCTAGAGAAATTGTAACAGTGATGAGAACTGTCACGGTCTGCTGCTCCCACAGTGTCTAGCACAGGCCACATGTGCACTTCCCTTCTATGTGCCTCCAGCTCTAAGTGAATTACCCCACTGTTGAGACCTGGAGACTTCCAGACAGATGAAAAGAGGTAGAGGGTTGGAAATGGTATGGGCCCTACGCAGCTAATACCTGTCCTGGAATTAAAGGGAATTTAGGGACTGAAACTGTGCTGGGCATTAGTTGCTCACGCCTCCCGGTGTTAGGGAAAGTATCTTTACTCATGCAATGCTTTCATGCTGAGATTTCAGCACATATATACTGCTGAAAAGATAAGTATCTTTATAAGTGAGTGGCTGAAGACATAAGAGAGGCATCTCTCCATGGTATGAGACTGCTCAGTTTAGGAGGTGATGCAGCTCAGGGTACAAGGCAGTGTACAGGGTAGAGTGCAGCCCAAGCCGAGGGCTCAGTCTCATTATTTCCAATCCCAGTCAACATGCTGAGACCAAGAAGAGTCAAAAAGGCGTCCTTCACTAGCCACTCTACGTGTGCACGCTCTGTCTCTGTCCATCGTCCCCATCGCCTCCCATGTCATGCGGCGCACCATACCCCTACAGAAGACTCTGTGTGATTCTCATGGCGGAAGGACAAGAGGGCTGGCATTCTGGGCTGGCCCTGGGCACTCAGCAGTGCGTGCTTTTTCTTTGGGGAAAGGCAGGACCACCAGCTTCTCCTCCATAGGCTCCAGGAAGAGGAAGGAAATATCCAGGGTTTCTCCCTGGGGATTCGTGGTTAGGTCCAGATGCACAGGAAAGGCCTCCTGAGGGCCCTTTTCCTGGGAATTTTTATCATCCAAGTCAGGAAGATATTGGACAGATCCTCTTGGCCCAGCTTTGGAGGGGGAGTCTGTTGGGGGGGTGTTTTTCTGCTGGGATTCTTCCACCTTGGGAAGGTTTGTAGGTTTCTGGTTAACAGCAGAGTTTTCACTTCCAGTGGCTGGAGCCTGGAATGAGAACATTTTTGAATGTAGAGTTCCACAGGGAAAGTCCTCCCATGCCTAGTACCAGCCTAAGCTGATCTGTGCCTTTCTGTTGGAACATTTCAAAGGGAGACTAGGTAGAGGGATGGGCCTCCTGGTGAAAGGGTTAAAAAACAAAACAGATAAGGGCCAGGGGGAACCAGGACCTGTAGAAGCTTGACTGTGAGACTGTAAGTCTCACAATTTCAGAGCTGAATAATGGCCCAGAGAGGTTCAATGACTCACTCGAAGTCTCCAGCAAGCTCTCTTTCTGTTCCCAGTAGTGGAAGCAGCAGGTGCCTTTCCTTGCTTGTTTATTCTGCACCAGGCCTTGTACAGCACCCTTCATTCAGGTCCTTTCACTTGCTTCTCACAGGGATCTGAATGATGCAGTGTCGCAATCCCATTTTATAAATGAGGCAACCAAAACTCGAACAGGTAAGTGTGTGCCTGTTACACAGCTCACAGGTACCAGAGCAAAACTGGATCCCAAGTGTCCTGTTTCAACTGCTTCAAATATACCAGGCACAAATACACCTCAAATATAAACTGCCTCTCAAATATACCAGGCTACCTTATAATAAGTGCGCAATAAACACTTCTGGAAAGGGATTGAATATTTTCATGGAAATAACTTCTCCCTGTGGCTTGAGGTAAGGTTTCTTTGGGACGCTGAATTTAATGTCTCAGAGGCTTGAATCACATCCAAGCCAGCAGTTCCCTGTTTCTGAATTTGTCTTGCTTATTCTGCAGGACCATATTGCGACTGAAACAAGGCATAACAGGTCTTTGACTGGCTATCCTGTGGATGTGGACTCAGGCTAGCCTGCGCAAAGTGGTGAGCAAGGTGGTTGGGAAAATCAAAGGAGGGGGTAAGGTAGTGGCAGGTAACTATCGATAATCTGCTCTTCTTCACAGAAAGACAGGCAATTAGATTGAAAAATACCTGTGATTCAAAGAAGTCACAAGTCACAGAGACAAACTTTTCCCAGTGTGTTCGAGTCAGAGAACCTTTGCAAAGACCAACAGGCTAAAAGAGAAAATACAATGTCATGTGAGTATTACCAGTGATCACAGATGGAAATCAACTAGCTTTCTACTTGTGTAGATACACAGCCAATCAACATTTTTATGCTTCTACTATGTAACAGGTAGACTCTGAGTCAATTCTTTCTAGATCACCCCTACCAAGAAATCATCCAAATTAGGCTAAATTGCCTCCAATAATGAGAAACTCAGTATTTCTTGAGGAATGAAACTCTGTTTGTTAAAAAAATTCTTTGTGTTGAGTGGAAAGTTATGTCCATACAACTTCTACCTCTTGGCCTTAGTTCTACCCTTGGGTCAATTAGAAAACGTGTTTTCATCTTTTATATAGCAGCCCTTTAAGTGCGTTCCACCTGACATTTCTCTTCTCAGACAAAACCACTCTCAGCTCCTTAAATTTCTCTTTACTTAAAAGTAAAGTAGCTTTGTTTCCTTATTACAAATGTAATAGTTAGAATATAGATAAACAAAAGAAAATAAAGACCTGTAAATTGCATGAAATATATTTGTTACCTGCAGTGATTTGATTTCCTTCCTTCCAGTCTTTTTTTCTATGCATATACATTTTTCTTCTACAAAATAGAGTCATATTATATATATATTACTTTATAACTCTATTTTGTCACTTAACAATATATTGTAAAAACCCTCTTATGGCATTGAATGATCTTCTAGGGTTTTTAAAATAATGGCTACATAGTATTCCTCTGTGATGTTTAACAAGCTCTCTTTTGTTGGACAGCTAGATTGAATCTAATTTTTCTGTTGTTTAAACATTGAAGCTATATCTTTTCATGTATTCCTAGTTACTTCCTTAGAATAAATTCCTAGAAGAGGAATTTTAGAGTCATACTGTATGTACATTTTCAAGCATAAATAGAATGTTATAATAAAATGTTGCCTCAATTTCTAAAGAAGAGCTCTTAAGTATATCCACATAAAATTTACTAAATTTATCTAAAAATAAACTAAAAATAGAACTACCATTTGATCCAGCAATCCCACAGCTGGTGATTTACCCCCCCCCCCCACCCCCGCCAACAAAGAAACTACTATAAGAAAAAGACAACTGCACTTGTATATTTATCACAGCACTATTCATAATAGCAAATATGTGAAGCCGATGTTGTGTCCATCAATGGATGGTTAGATTAAAATGTGATGTGCATGTGTGTGTGTGCACACACACACACACCCATGGAATACCACTCAGCTATAAAAAAGAATAATACCATGTCCGTTGCATCAACATGGATGGAACTGGAGGCCGTTATTCTAAGTGAAATGACTCAGAAACAGAAAGCCAAAAACCACATGTTCTCACTTAAAAGTGGAAGCTAAAGAAAGGGTATACATGGACACAAAGTGGAGTAACAGACACTGAAGACTCCAAAAGGTGAGAGGGTGGTGAGGGATGAAATATCATCCTGAGCTGGGCGCAGTGGCTCACGCCTGTAATCCCAGCACTTTTGGAGGCTGAGGCAGGAGGATCACTTGAGGTTAGGAGTTCGAGACCAGCCTGGTCAACAGGGTGAAACCCTGTCTCTACCAAAAATACAAAAATTAGCCAGGTGAGGTGGCAGGTGCCTGTAGTCCCAGATACTTGGGTTGTTGAGGCAGGAGAATCGCTTGAACCCAGGAGGTGGAGGTTTGCAGGAAGCTGAGATTGCGCCACTGTACTCCAGCCTGGGCGACAGAGCAAAATTCTGTCTCAAAAAGAGAAAAAAAAACAAAAAACAAAAACCACCCTGAATACAATGTACACTATTTGGGTGATGGATACACTAAAAGCCCAGACTTCACCGCTATGCAATATATTAATGTAAGAAAACTGCACTTGTATCCCTAAATCTACAAAAAGAAAAAAAGTGTCTAAACAGATTGCCTAAATATTACTTTGTCACTCAGCTCCAGAGCATATGAAAAAAAGACTAGAAATTCCTTAAAGTGGGAAAAGCCATTAAAGTATGAAGTGTCTGGGGAATGGTGCTTCAGCCTTTTCCTTCTCTTCATCACCAAGTCACAAAGAGGAGGGGCTCTCAGAGAACCTTCTGGAGAAACTGCAGGTACTTGCACCAAGGAGATCTGGCCACTCCCACCCTAGCTAGGATTTGCTGAGCTACCAAAGTTCATAGGCCTACCTGGCGCTGACACTGGAGTGGATCACAAAGGGACTTTATAAGTGTGCTGAACATGTGAGCCCTAGAGGCTGGGAACACATGTGGCATCCAGATTTAAAAGGGAGAAGTAAAAAGCTATCTCTTTTCAGGTGACATGATCATATAGAAAATCCTAAGAAATCCACTAGCAAACTATTAAAACTAATAAATGAGTTCATCAAGGTTATAATATATAAGATCAATATAAAAAATCAATCGTCTTTCTACACACTTTCAATGAACAATCCAAAAATGAAATTAAGAAGACAGTTTCATTACATAAGCATCAAAGAGAACAAAATATTTGAAGAGTAAATTGACCAAAATAAATGAAAGTTTTGTACACTGAAAACTACAAAACTTTGTTGAAAGAAATTAAATGAGTTCTAAACAAATGGAAAGATACCACATATTCATGGAATTGAAAACTTAATATTGTTAAGATGACAGTACTTTCAACGTTGATGTACAGATTCAATGCAATCAAATGTATCAAATTTCCAACTGCCTTTTTAAAAATAGAAATTGACAAACTGGTCCTAAAATCAGCATGAGAATTCAAGGCATCCAGGATACCCAAAGCAATCTTGAACAAGAAGAACAAAATAGGAGGATTTAAATGTTCCAATCTCAAAACTTACTACAAAGTTATATAGTATTCAAGACAGTGTTATACCAGTATAAGCTTAGAAGTGTAGATCAATGGAATAAAATTGAGATTAAAGAAATAAACTCTTACATTTATGATCAATTGATCTTCAAGAAGTATGCCAAGGCAACTACATGGGGGAAAGAATAGTCTTTTTAACAAATAGTGCTGGAAACAGTGGAAGTTCACATGCAAAAGAATGAAGTTGAACTCCCTGCCTCACACCGTGTACAAAAACTCAAAATGTGTCATAGGCCTACATATAGGGGCTTATTTCTTTACTTTCAATTTTATTCTATTGATCTACATATCATTCTTATACCACCAAGACACTGTCTTAAGTACTGTACCTTTGTAGTAAGTTTTGAGTTTGGGAAGTATGTCTTCCTATTTTTTTGTTGTTGTTGTTGTTCAAGATTATTTTGGCATTCTGGATCCCTTGCATTTTTACACATGTAAATCTTGGTGATTATGGATTAGGCAATGGTTTCTTAGATATGACATTAAAAGCATATTCAAAATAAGAAAAAATATATATAAATAGAACTTCATCAAAATTTAAAACTTCTGTATTTCAAAGAACGTTGTCAAGAAAGTGAATAGACAACCCAGAGAATGACAGAAAAATACTTAAAAATATATATCTGATAAGGACATTGTATCTAGAATATGTAAAGACTCTTATTATTCAACAATGAAAAGATAAGCAACTGGATTTTAGGTAGGCAAATGATTTATGTAGACATTTTTCCAAAGAAAACATACTAATGGATAATAAACACATTAAAAGACGCTCAGCATCATTAGTTATTAGGAAAATGCAAATAAAAATCATGATGAGGTACCAATTCATGCCCAGTAGGATGGCTATAACCAAAAGAAAGATCATAATAGGTGTTGGCAAAGATGTGGAGAAATTGAAACCCTCATACATTGCTGATGGGATTGCAAAACTGATGCATTCACAGTGGAAAACAGTATAGCAGTGAAAGGGTTAAACATGGAGCATTTTTTTGTTGTTTTTCATATGACAAAAACTCCACTCTGAGGTATATACTCGAGAGAAATGGAAACATATGTGTACATAAAAACTTGTACACTTGTTCATAGCAGGAAACAACTCAAATGTTTATCAACTGATAGATGGATAAACAATAAACAATATCTATGCAATAAAATATTATTTGCATAATAAATTATGCAAAGAGGTAAAACTACATTTATTTATAGATGGAGAAGCTTTGAGAACACTATGCTAAGTGAAAGAAGCCAGATACAAAAGACCATATGCTGTATGATTCTATTTATATGAAATGTCCAGAATAGGCAAAGCCATAGAAACAGAAAGTAGGTAAGTGGTTTCCAGGGGCTTGGTAAGGTGGCAATGGGGAATGACTGTTAGTGGGCATGAGGTTTCTTCTGAGGCTGATGAAAATATCCTAAAATAAGAAAGTGGTGATGGTGGCACAACTCTGTGAACATACTAAAAACTACTGAACTGTACACCTTAAATGGATGAATTTTACAACGTATGAATTATTTCTTAATAAAGCTGTTACTGTAAGTAAATGAGAGGAAAAGTATTTTGGTGCATTTTGCCCAGTTGCACTCCAACACATTGTGCCAAGTTAAATTCCCACCAGGTGTATTTCAGATGACTTCAAGGCATACTTTCCCTCTTGGATGCCTCTTTGAATGAAGGCCTATTTGACTTTGTCCTTCTTAAAGAGTGGTCCAAGGAATGGAACACCATGCTATATTACAAACGTAATTGGATTGTGTTAGACTGAAGCAGGGCCATTACCCATCACTGAGATGTCTATATTTTACAGCTCTATATAATCACTTTTGCAACTACTGATGAAAGTTGCACTTACAATTGAATGCAGTCTGGATCTGTCTAATCTCTAACTAGTCAGATGCTCCTTGAGGGGAAGAAAAGCATCTCATGCCTTATGACACCTCATATGTAATTTATGCTCCACAAACACTTAGAGATGATCTGTGAACACTCAAATTATGAAGACATTCAGGAAAACTCACCACAGAGTCGGAGGACTGAAGTGAACAGCTGCTGGCCTGGGATTTAGTACATGGTGATTCTTTAATTAAGTATTCCACAAAGTAAGAAGGGCCGACCACCCACTGTTATGAGACAAGAGTTGAGACATAAAAATCAAACATTTCTGCCTAGGGAAAAGACTCAGGTTTGGCAGCGTTATATCTACAGAAACAATATGTCACCAGAGGCATTGTCAAGGCACATATCTGTTGTTCCGCAAATCCCCACACTGATCAAACCATGTACCATGATTTAGTTATTAAGAAAACATAATCTCACACCTTTCTTCTCTTCTTTAAGATTTGAGGCTGGGCACGGTGGCTTACGCCTGTAATCCCAGCACTTTGGGAGGCCGAGGCGGGCGGATCACGAGGTCAGGAGATCAAGACCATCCTGGCCAACATAGTGAAACCCCATCTCTACTAAAAATACAAAAATTAGCTGGGCATGGTGGCGCATGCCTGTAATCCCAGCTACTCGGGAGGCAGAGGCAGGAGAATCCCTTGAACCAGGGAGTTGGAGGTTGCAGTGAGCCAAGATCGCGCCACAGCACTCTATCCTAGCGATAGAGTGAGACTCCGTCTCAAAAAAAAAAAAAAAAAAAAAAAAGATTTGAATGGGCCCTAAACACCTTCTTTTGATTTGTTTATTTTTCCTCATGTAGAATTGTCTTTTAGATTTTTCTGCTTATGAAAGAAATATCGGCCAGGTATAGTGGTTCATGCCTGTAATCCTGGCACTTTGGGAGGCCAAGGCGGGTGGATTGTTTTGAGTCCAGGAGTTTGAGACCAGCCTGTGCAACATAGTGAGACCCAATCTCTACAAAAAATATAAAATTAGCCAGGTGTGGTGGTATGCACCTGGAGTCTCAGCTACTTGAGAGGCTGAGGTAGGAGGACTACTTGAGTCCACCCTGGGTGACAGAGTGTCTCTGTCTCAAAAAATAAAAAGAAAGAATGAAATAGAGAAAGAAGGAAAGAAATCAACATAATCTAAATACAAATGAGCCTTCATTTTCCCTAATCCATAAAATTCAACACCCACTCTGGTCTTAAAATAGAGTAAAAGTTATGTTGTAAAATGGTCCACGATCAGTCACATTTGAGAATACAGCAGTGAGTGGTGAACGTATGGATAATCCCCCAAGGAGACTAGGAGTTCATTTCTGTTCTTGCCTTAAGGTTAGGGAAGCAAAATCAAGCCGCCTGACTCTTGTAGAAATGCCATGGAATCACTTAGAAAGTGAAACATGATAGAATGGGCATCAGGTCTATCAAAGTGGGGAAAGTAGAGAAAGGTATTTTGGTTCTAATCAAAATGAGTGCCTTGACATTTTCCTCCCAGCTTAGGAACCTACAGCAACAGTTATGAGACACACTGTGTAACTGGCTTGGGCAGTTTTAGCCTTACCTGGCTAGAAGCCCTGGTGACTTTGAAGAGAGAATACTGCTTGGATGTGTTCTCATTGTTGTATTTCGCAAGAGACTCGGTGGCAGCCTCCAGCACTTGGTGATTGGAAGAGTCAGTGGGTATGGAGCTTGGGCAGTCAGGGCACGTCATGTAAATCTTTTTTTTTGAAACTGTTGATGCCAATAACATAAGTTTTTAAATGCTATTAATTTTCAATAAATCATATGACTGTAAAGAGGCAAGGATGGGGTGAGGAAGTTACCTCTGGAATATACCCCTGGAATAGAAGTTAGCTGTCAGCAGTGTTTTCTGTAATGACCATGTATTACTTTCACAATTAAAAAAGAGACCAGAACAAAGCAAAGTTTTCACCTCACACACATTTACTCTGAGAATTTTGTTCAAAGACACATAATATAGTATATTAAAATAGGACCTTTTCCTCCAACTAGTTCACTATCTTTTCTCATTATTGACCCTGTAAAGTAGACTGTCTTCAGAGATTGGGATTTCATTACCGCAATATCTTATTTACCTTTCAGTTCCTAACACCGAACATCATATCTGATACATAGGCAGTGCTTAGTAAATGCTTGTAGAATGAATGGATAAGTGAATGGCATAGTAGAAGGCAGAAGCGCACCCCGTTTGGTTAGAAATGCAAGTGAGATCTGTCAAAGGATACAAAATTACAGCTAGATAGGGGGATAAATTCTAGTGTTCTGGACCACTGTAGGATGACTACAGTTAACAATAAGATAAAATTTCAAATAGCTAGAAGGGTATTGAATGTTCCCGACACAAGGAAGTGATAAAGGTTTGAGATGATGGATATACTAATAACCTAATCCGATCACAATACAGTATATATATGGAAATATCACTATATATGCCATAAATAGGTATAACTATTATTTATCAATAAAAAATAAGACTAAATATTTTTTTAAGAAGAAAAATGCAAGTGAGCCAGAAAACAAAATGGGTCAAGTCACTGTGTGACTGAGTAGAATGATCACATTAAGTACAGTCAGATTTCTGTTTGGGAGGAGCTGAGGTCAATAAGCCTAGTGTGAAAGTCAAGGTACAGAATTTATCTTGAAGCTGCTTTTGCAGAGCAAACACATTGTTTTTAGAAATTTTGTGTTTATCTGCATGCACTTGGGGACTGGTGGAGATAATGGGGGACTTCCAGCTACAGCTTGTCACTCCTGAATCATCACCACCTGTCACTTCCTGACCTCCCATAGCTCTGATACTTATGACTTCCATTTAAGTCCTGAGACTGTTTACTACTTGCTGTTCTGTGAATCTTGCCTTCACAACCAGGAACCTTAAACTGTGCCTAACAAAATGTTTGCTCGCTTGCCTTGTTATTCAAAGCAACCAGCAGCATTCTTATCTCCTGGAGCTTATTAGAGATGCAGGATCTCAGGTCCTGACCAAGACCTGTGGAATCAGAATCTACACTTGCACAGGATCCACCAGGGGAGCGACACGCACGTAGTTGTTCGACAGGGGACCAAATTCTGTTTTCCTGCACTGTGGATGCTCTCTTTCCAAAGACCTTCCCTTGAAAAAAGGAAGGTCCCAAATGAATGCATGTGCATATTTCAAGTGTCATTAAGTTTCAGCCTCATTTCTAGTCCAATTATTTACTTAACAACATTATTGACACCTTCTACTTGGTGGGAACTGAGGAAGGGTGCAGCAGGAGGAGGAAAGGAGAAACTATTCTACATGATGTAAGATATGCGACCCTCAAATCAAGGCAGTGCATTATGTGTTCCCTGAGTAGTTTAGACAAAATTTTATAGGAATGCAGATTACAAAAGCACCATTCCTTTCTAGAATAGAGAACACTGTGGAAGAAGTGGTGTTGGTCCTTAAAGAATAGGTGTGTCCCAAGGTCAGAGGTCATCAGGGGAGGGCATGCTCAGCAGAGGGAGAGGCACAAGCAAGACACAGAGACTGGAAATTGCAGTGCATGTTCAGAAAACAGGGTGGCATCCAGTAGAATGGAGTGAAGAGTTGGTGTAGTCTGGGAAATAATGGCAGAGATAGCAAGAAAGGAAGCCTGAGGGAACAGTCATAGAAATTATACCATTTATGTCAGACTGAAAATGTAAGATCTGATGCAGCATATAAATGTAGAGGTAGTTTAGTAAGATTAATTGTGGGAAGAGGAGCAGTATAGTATGAATTTCAGTAAGGAGGTAAGTACTGGAAATATTAAGAAACTGGCATTAAGAATAAACAGAAAATAAGAATGAGAGATACCCTATACATTCTTGGCAAAGACCTGGTTAAGTACTCTTTTCCATCCTTTATTAAAACTAACAAAATCGTAGTGATTTCTTACCTGGGCGAAGAGTACAGTTATAAGCAGCTAAATAGAGAACTCTACTTGGGTTGTTCATATAAAATATTGCTTTGCATTGACCATAAACCTGAAACCAACAAATGCATTTTATGACATAGCGAATGCAACTATGAGCTTTTAAAATACCTCCAAAATTAAAGTCAGACATTTTCTTTTAAAGTAGTTAGAAACTTAAGATCAAATTCTGTGGTTTTGGCTGGGAGGAACTGCAGTTGATGATCAAACTGTTTAACCTTTCCCTAGGACACAGCTAGAATATGTTTCCAAGCCTCCCCAACACGTGTGACTGTGTATAATTGAGTTCTAACCACAGGAAGGTGAGCAGAAGTGAGGTGTAACCATTTCCAGATCTGGCTCATAAGGGTCTCCCACGTTCTCACTGTCCTCTATGCTCTTTCTCTGTGCACAGCTTGATGCAGATGAGCAGGTAACCATGGAAGTCGTGAGCTGAGGCTGCAGAGTCTAGAGCCAGAGTGTGGAATAAACTTGGGTCTCAAATCACCCCTGGAGCAAAGCACCCATCTAATCAGGAACTTCTACTTTCAACTTTACATGCGTGAGAAATGAACTTCTATCATGTTAGAGTGAGTATACAGTTTTTGTGTCTGTGTTTTAGTAGCTAGTGTCACCATAACAAATATAATTCACAACAGGATATTCACTTTTCAAAATCAAGTTGGGTACAGTTTGACCAATTGGCTACATGATTAGGAAAATATCTTGATCAAATAGTTTTCTTCTAAACACTTACATCACTATTCTGTACTCACACTGTAAAGTTTTATATCAATTACTGAAAATCATCCCAGGATAATTAAGAATGAAATGAAATGGATTATCTATTTTCAAGTCTCTTCTATGATCATCTTTAGAAGATTAATTCTGAGGCCCTTTATTATGCTCTGTGGTTTCAGGAAATCCTTACACGGCGCCCTTGAGAGCTTTCATACTGCAAGTCATCCATTTTCCTCCCCTCAAACCTGGCATCGGAGTTTATTGAAACAAAGCAAAATAAAACAAATAGACAAAGCTCTACCTCCATCACTTCTGCAGTCTACATTAACCCCACGTCCAGAATATTCACACCTCAGGTCTTTTTCTCACAATTGAAACACTGGTTCAGAGCCTAACGGAAGGTCTTGGAGGTAAAAACACAACTTGGGGCAACTTTTCCATTCTGTTCTGCATGACCCCAATGGGACTTCTCAGAAACCCCTCTCATGAATTAAACTTTGTTCTGTCTAGAGCATTAGAATAAGCTTATGGGCACCTGCCAGGAGATTATAAAGTGGGCCATTTAAAAGATGACAGATATTGAGCACCCTTGACCCTGTAGAAAGAGTGTACCTACTTGCTTTCCCTAGGGCCCTTAATGGTTTATAAAAACAAGCACTCACTGATTCAAAAAATATCCTCATTCCACAGTCTTGCCATGCCTTCTTTCTGAGCACATGGCAGTCAGTCTCTAGCACATCCAGTGTAAGATAGAACAGAGATCCCAGGCCACCCTGTGGGAAGGGGTAGAGAAATGCAATACATTTCACAGGAAGTAGAAACCTAGAAAGACCACACAAAAAAACCCCTGCTTTATGGCAAAGCCAAAGAATATTTGTGAAGATTCCCCGTAAACCATTAAATCTGACACAAGTGTCAGAGTAGGATCACTGTTAACACTTGTTTTTACTAACAATAAGTGCGTTGTTGCTGACCCTGGCAGAGGAGAACAGAGAGTTCTCGGCAGGGCTTCCAATACAGAAAACACCTGCCAGGGTGTCTCTGGGTTCCCTCACCCTGGCCAGTCTCTCCAGCTTGCCCACATCCCTGCCCCAGAGTGGGAACTGTCCCTACTTGCCCGTCTGTATTCCTGGGCGTCGTTCACTCGGTTGAGTCTCAGCACATAGCCATCCTTTCTGTCTTTGTTAATATCCCGCAGGGCAAAGCCTGCAACTGCCAGCACATCTGAGTCATTGCAGCCCCGGGAGAGCAGAGCCGAGGGGTTGAGGGCCAGCTGGGGTGGAGACATTGCTCCGCAGCACAGGACTAGGATGCAGAGTGCCAGGGGAAGGAGCAGACCCATTCTGTGGAGAACAAGGCCCAGGATGGGTCAGTTTGTGGAGCTGCAGGGACTGGCTGGCTTGTAAGGCTCTTTAAGGCAGACTTGAGCGGTTTTGTTACAACTGGAAGGGCTAACCAAGTTCACCTTGAATTCTGAACTTGGATTTTCCTAAGTCAGTACTTTGGATAGCATTTCCCAATGATTCTAACCTTAGACCCTTGAGCAACCTCATATCCACCTGTACATACAAATGAATTTAAGTTTCCCAACTGTTTCCTGAGAAATCATAACATTTGTTCAAGGCTCTTATGATTAGATTCTGATTTGCAGGTCCCCTCCTGAATAGGAATATGGAGGACTGTCCCATTCTCCCCCTCTCCCCTAACACCTTTGCTGTGGAGGTCTCCTTGGCCACTCTAATAGTTATCTTATGTCCCAGTGGTGCTTGGTGAATTCAGACTTCCTGGCTGACACTCTGTGTGCAAAGCCCTTGTTAGATCAGGGAGGTAGTTGAACCCCACAGTCATCTGCCAGAAGCACAGTTGAGATTCCTTAAGCACTTTGGCCATCTGGGTGGAAAATGTTCTACTTATCATCATTTAAGTTATTTTTAAACAATGACTTTACTTAAGGGGAAAAAGTCAAAGAGATATAAAAAGTTCTCACATTGTATTTCAAGCCTATTCTTCCTTTTATGCATATGTATGGAAGCAAGCTCATTAAGAGACTAAAGCCCCATACTCTTGCTAAAAGAAAGATACTGAAGGGCAGGTGGGTGGCAACACATTGGTTGGGACTCTTGCCTTCTTTTTTTTTTTTTTTTTTTAGCTTCTATTTGTGATTCAGAAAGGTTCTACTTATTGGGACCATACAAAAGACAATTATCTTTTAAAAACTGTATTTCAACAAAAAACACATATCAGCAGTAGTTTGTCATGAGAGAAAAGAGACAAAATGGGAAAGAAGCCTCTAGAAGAGGTTATCATGAAGGGCATTCTATAAAGCCCTAGTCCATGAGGTGAGTAACCACCCCCTAACTCTCTCCCTACTCCTAGCCCTTCTCTTCCTTCCTGTCCCTGTCCAAGGATTCTGCATTCAAATAAGTTTAGGAACTGCTGAATCCTTCTGTGTGCTTGCTGGTACACAGTGGTGGCTATTGTGTAATGCTGAGAGGATTATCCTATCCTGATGAGGGCTCCACCCTCATGAATGGAATATGCCATTATCTTGAAAGTGAGTTCCTGATAAAAGGATGTGTTTGGTCCCCTTCTCTCTTCCTTTCACCTGTGTGATGCCTTCCACCATGTTATGATGTAGCATGAAGGCTCTCAGCAGGTATAGCCCCTCGATCTTAGACTTCCCAGCCCCCCAAACCATGAGCCAAAGTAATTTCTGTTCATTATAAATTCCCTGGTCTCTGATATTCTGTTATAACTACATAAAACTAACTGAGGCACAGCCCTAATTAATTTCTGGAGAGAAATAGTTTTTGAGGATTGATTGAAAAACCCAAATCTAAAGATCCCAGCTCTGTGGATGTGGGCTGTAGGCATTGTTTTCAAATAGGAACGATACTAGCAAAATGGGTACAGAAACCAGACATTCAGATTCTGGGGCACAACAAAGGTTTAGCTTCAGCCAGTGAGGAGACAAACATTCATTGAGCTTGAGCAACGTACAGAAAGAGGTTGAGAAGGATCTGGGGCCTGAGGATGCAGAACAAAGAGGAGGAGAATGGTCTGGGACCTGAGGAATATATTAGACTTATATAGGTGAAGGCCATGAGTGCAACTAAAATAAAAGGCAGGACTCAAACAGATAAAAAGATCCAATAACATGGAAATCGTGCACCACCACTTATGCACCTGGGTTTCAACCCAGTCTCAAACAACCTGAGCTGGCCTTCTCCTAGGCTGTGGAGTATGGGAGCCCTGGGAGAGGAAGCAGGGGAAGAGTCCAGCCTTTGGTGTCAGGCAGTCTTGGGTTTAAATTCCACCTCTTCCACTGCACGGTAAGAGGGCCTGTGACACTGGGTGTGCCACACAGCATTTTGTTTCCTTATTCATAAAACAATGGCACTCCCAGCATATGTATACATGCACAGTTGCACCTGCCTGTAGAAAGAGAATAGAGTTCCTCTTTCCCTAGAAGCCCAACCCAGGTACACTTGTGTTTGGTTCCCATCACATATGGGAACAACTTTAGTATCAGCATGGAAGTTAAATTTCTGCTCAGGAGTGAAGAACAAGGCTGTGGAGATAGATCAATCTAGGTTTTGTTGAATCCAGTGTGTCTAATAGAAATACAATGCAAGTTACATATTTAATTTTAAAATTTCTGGTATCTGCATTCGAAAAGTAAAAAGAAACAGATGATATTAATTTTAACAATATTTTGCTTAACCTGTCAATCCAAAATATTATAATTTCAATATGTGATTAACATAAAAATTATGAAAGGCACAGTTTACATTCTTTGTTTCACACTATGGCATACCCCAATTTGGAGTAGCCACAGTTAAGACGCTCAAGAGTTGCATGTGGGTACCTTATCAGACAGCCCAGGTCTAGCTCTTGGGAGCCTCAGGCTCCTCCCATGTAAAAGGAAGGTAGCAGGATTCTCCATCTCCTGAGGTTGCAATATGGACTTATCACAGGGGAAGTATGCAAAGGTGCTTAGCACAGCCCTGGTGCACAGGACGTCCAGAGACAATGTCCAAGGACAGCTGTCAGTGCTGTGACTGTACCCTGTGGTCCTCACTTTGTCTCCCACGGTGCAGATTCTTATGTGACTCTGCCAGTGGCCTTTTTCTGGTTACACTTGAATGGATGCATCGCCAGGTGAACCAGGTTGGGAGAAACAAGGCTGATTTTCCCTGAGTGAGGAGGGAGAGGCAGGGGGCTCCCTGGCCTGCCCACCTCCTGACACAGGTGTGATCCAGGGCAGTGACTTAGGATTATTGATTTGAGAACAGGGAGAGATCAGACAGGTGAGACATTGTTGGCTGCAGAGCTGAGAGAGACACAGCACACGTGATTAGGCATCTGGGGAATTAGAAATCTAGGTACCAAGTCTTGGCCTAAGGGGACAGGATGTGTACTTAGCAAAACTGGACGGCAGCCATGGCTCCAAAATACCAGGTGGGAGCTGCCTGGTACATGATGGTCTCTACAGCTAGTTGCTGTGTTTCTCTCTCTCTTCCCTTTCCTCCCTTTATCTTTTCTTCCTTCCACAAACACTGAATGAACATCTCCTCCAACCACTGCCAAAGCCCGGCACTATATATGAAACTGATATTTCTCAGTGTGTGCCCAGCCCTGTGCTAAACACTCTGTGTTCCTTCTCTCATGTAAGCCCATGACCAACCGAGGCCTGTAGGTGCCACTATTATTCCCATTGTACAGATAAGGAGGCTGAGGAACAGAAAGGTTACATTGCCTGCCTGAGGTCTTACAGCCAGGGTTTGCATCCAACCTATGTGGCTTCAGAGAAGAAGGCATGGTTCTTGCCCTCAAGGAGTGGATGCTAGGAACGCACCAAGGGGAGAAACTAGTTCTACTGGGGAAGTCAAGACAGGCTTCCTAGAGGGGGTAACATTCACTCTGGAGCTTGAAGGAAGAACAGAGTATGCCTGAGGCACAAGGCAGGGAGCGTATTTAACAGAGCGTTCACTTTTCCTGCAGGAGCTGTAAAGGCGAAAACTGTAAATCACGTCGTTTACTTTCTATGTCCTTGCAACTTTCGCAGCTGTCTCCTCTGTCATTGGGATAGTATTTGCTGCTCCCAAACCACCTGCTAGCCTCAGGGCTACCTTGTGGCAGTTTCTCCTTGACTCCTTCCTGAAGTATCCTATGTTTGGAATCTCCCTCTTCCTCTTACTTTTATCAGCCATATTTAGACAATGTGTGGAAAAAAATCAAAATGTTTAGAGAACACTTTTCGGAATCAAAAATATTCTTAGGGCAAATCTGCCTTATAGCATCAAAAGTGGGATTTCCTCCACAAATCCCTATGGCGGTATGGCTAAGAGCACAGGGGTTCAAATCCCAGCTCCGCCACTCATCAGGTCTGTCCAAGGATGTGTTTCTCACATTCTCTGAGGCTACAGCTAATCCACAGGATGGACGTGAAGACCAGGGGAGATTTTATACACTAAGTGCCTGGCATGCAGTTTGCCCTTAGTACCTCACCAAAGAAATTCTAAAAGATAAGAAGGGGGCAGGTAGGATCTTCAAGCCATATCTCATACTCACAGTTGTGCTGGTTTATGAAAAGATGTCAAGGATGCTGTAGGCGCAGTCCTCTCAGGGAAGCAGCTCCCGAGCCAGGGCCTCAGCTTTGCCAGTCACACCTTCAGGGTTCCTGAGGACCCAGAGTTGTTCAGGCCTGGGGGTGAGTATACTGACCCTATGCATAGGCAACTGATACATAAGCCAGCAGCCGGTTTGTTAATTTGTACTGGAGACTGATGCCTCTCCTAGTGGCTCTCCAGCAGGGCTGGACAAATGCTGACAAGTTCTTCCTCTCTGATTGTCCTTTTATATCTGGCGAACAGATTGCATTGTCACTTCAGAACACCTGGTAACAATACAGGTGGTTAGCTGGATTCCAGTGCCAGGCATACACCCTAAATCCTGAATTGAAGGCAGGGTGATAGGCAGAAGGCTAAGCTTTAATTAGGTACAGTCTTTTTTCGCAGGAGCTGCCCTACACTTTGCACAGACCTGGGCTCTTCCCAGATTACCTCATCAACATCTTTACAAGCCAACTCAGAGAGTGCAGCAACCCTGTAGATGGACTGCTTCACCCAGTGCTGCTGGTTCTTATGGCTGTCACTCCCAATGGGTAGTTTTATTGCCAAATTCCATCATAAGCAGTACTACCCATACCCTGACCAAAGAAGGAAAGGGGAATTAACACGACCACCTGCCTACTGAATGCCAGGCGCTGTGCTAAATGTGAGGTACGTACATTTCATCCCATGAGGCTTTGTTGGGAGGTATAGGCTTTTGTTGCTTATGATAGAATGCCAATTGCTAAACATAGAAGAGATGATAGTTAGAAAAATCACCATTCTGCAATCATCATTGTAGTAACAAATCCAGGCAAGAATCATCAATATATGTTAAAACTAGGGAGTAAATATTTGAAATGGGAGAGGTTATCTACATAGTCTCTGAGTATCTCCCCACAGATTACTTAATAACTGTAAAGGGAGAAATTATAATTATATACCAAAGGAACCTGGAAGACATCACCTTAACCAAATAATCAAAATCAACATCACCAATAACAAGCCAGACAGATACCATGTGTTTCCTGATGCGATGCACTGAGAAGGACACAACATCACTTTTATGGTATTCCAGAGGGGACAGGTAACCTACGCTAATTATGAGGAAAGACAAGACAAACCCAATTGAAGGGCATTCTGCAAGACAACTAGCTTGTACTCTTCCAAAATGTCAATTCATGAGAGATAAAGGCTGGAGAAATGTTCTAGATTGAAGGAGACTAAAGAGACTACATAACTAAATGAACATGTGATCAGTTTGATTCTGGATTGGCTCTTGAGATAAGAAGTTAAAATTCCTCTAAAGAACATCATGGGGTAGTTGGCAGATTTTGTATATGGAATGCAAATTATGTAATAATGTATACATGTTAACTTCTGTGAATTTGATAGCTATATGGTGATTATGTAAGAGAAAGTTAGACCCTGAGATACTTAGGGATAAAGAGAAAAGTGCATGATATCTGCAACTCATCAAAGAATCATAAAGTGTTAGAGGTTGAAGAGTCCCTAGGGAGTCAGTAGGCCAAACCCTACTTTCTTGAAATGATGTAACCAAAATCCTGAGAAATTGAATTACCTGCCTAAGACCACACATCCAGCCAGGAGTTGAGCCCAAGACTCTCTGGCCAGGTGTTTACAGTGAGTGCATGATATTGGTTGCTGTTGTTTATCATGGGTCAATACTCAGACAAATACATTGTTATCCATTAACTACAAGCCAATATACACCCCCGTGGCTTCGACCCAGCTTCTGCTAACGCAAAGGTCCCTGACCTCTGGTGGGCTTACATCAGAGGACAATGACCCTGGGAACTGATTTATTTTCACCCTTCTCAGTGCTGACCATGGCCTCAGAGGTGGGTGCTCTCAGGAGAGCCCTCTGCTGTGTGCTGTAGTGGAAAGGGCTGGAGCTTATAGTTGGGTAGATCCGCTAGATGAGATCTGTTACTAGCCGTGTGACTTCAGGCACAACTACCATTTATTTTCTCTGGCACTCAGTTTTCTCATCAGTAAAAATGGAGACAACATGCATATTTATGGGACTAAATGAGATCATGTATGTGATATATGCCCATCCAACAGTAAGTCTTCGTAATTGGTCATTGTTTTCTTCTTTCTTTTGGTCCAAAAGTATTTATGACTATGAATGGAGCTGGGTGGAGGGCTTAGAGAACTCAATACAAGTTATTTAAACTTTTTTTCTCATTAGAAGAATATTACCAAAGTGATATGCACCTTACAGAAAATTAAAAAGCAAATAAAAAGACAAAAATATCTGACCATACTGTTAATAGTTGATGGATGTCCTTCCAGACTTTCCTGTATGCATATGTCACATGCATTTTTATACAAAAATACTGTAGTAGTATACTTACTATATAGTAACTTGCTTTTAAAATCCAACAATAGATCCTGACCATCTTGACATATAAAATAACCCACTTCTGCAGTTTAATTTTTAATTATTGCACAATAGTCTGTTGACAGGTGAGTCAGTTCTTCAAGCCAACTGTCTTTGATAGACAGGTAGATTGTTTCCAATTCTCTGCTATTATAAACAATGTTGCAATTAACATTCTTGTGAGTAGATCTTTGTTCATATCCTTAATAATTTGCTTAGTACAAATGCCTCAAATGGAATCACTGGGTCAAGGGCAATAATTAATGATAAAGCTTCTGATATAATTTGCCATATTAGGCCTGGTACAATGGTTCATGCCGGTGCTTTGGGAGCCCAAGGTGGGTGGGTCACTTGAGGCCAGGAGTTTAAGACCAGCCTGGGCACCACAGCAATACCTCATTTCTATAAAAAATGTTTTAAAAATTAGCTGAGCTTGACGGCATGTATCTATGGTCCCAGCTACTCAGAGGCTGAGGTGGTAGGATCACTTGAGCCCAGGAGTTTGAGCACTTAGTGAGCTATCATTGTGCCACTGCACTCCAGCCTGGGTGACAGGGCAAGACCGTGTCTCAAAAAAAAAATTAAGTAATAATTATAATAATTTGCCATATTGCTCTCCAGAAATATTATAACAATAGCCTTCACACCAGCAGTGGATAAAGCATTAGGAAATGATCTTCATTTGAATGTTCCAAGCACAGTAAACAAAAACTTATCTTGAAAGAGTAGAGAGGCCAGGAGAGGTGGCTTACGCCTGTAATCCCAGCACTTTGGGAGGCCAAGGTGGGCAGATCATGAGGTCAGGAGTTTGAGACTAGTCTGGCCAATATGGTGAAACCACATCCCTACTAAAAATACAAAAATTAGCCGTGTGTGGTGGCGCGTGCCTATAGTCCCAGCTACTTGGTAGGCGGAGGCAGGAGAATAGCTTGAACCTGCAAGGCGGAGATTGCAGTGAACCAAGATCATGCCACTGCCTTCCAGCCTGGGCAACAGAGTGGGAGTCCATCTCAAAAATAACATAAAATAAAATAAAATAAAATAAATTAAAAAAAGGCAGAGAGAGGCTGTGAAGCTTGACTTTCTGGGCTCCTCCATGGACTGGTGGATCAGGAGTTTAGGGGGTAAGAAGAAAGTTCCTTCATTCAAGTAATGTCGTAAGTTCTTCTCCAGTGAGTGAAGTAACTGCTCTGTGATAGGCACTATGCTAGTTGTTGGGGATAAAAAATTAAAAAGCTAGCTGGCACAGTGGCTCATGCTTGTAATCCCAGCAATTTGTGGGGCTGAGTTGGGAGGATTGTTTTAACCCAGGAGTTCTAGGTCAGCCTGGGCAAAATAGCAAGACCCCATCTCTTAAAAAATTTTTAAAAATTGGCCAGGCATGATGGCATGCACCTGTAGACCCAGCTACTCGGGAGGCTGAGGCAGGAGTATCACTTGAGCACAGGATGTCAAAGCTGCAGTGGGCCGTGATTGTGCCACTGCACTCCAGCCTGGTGACAGAGCGAGACCTTGTCTCAAAAAGATAATAAATAAATAAATGAATAAATAAGTGCCTAGTTTTCAATCCTCTGCATTGTAACAATTGAAGAATCCTTTGCTCGAGTGTAAGATAACAGACACCACAGGGCTGCCAAGGACTGGTCAGTGACAACAGGGAGGACAGCCTCCCTGATGAGAACATGGCAACACTCTTTGATATGAAATCTCGCATGATATTTGAGATATCTGGCTTGTAATGTAAAATTTGTGACAATTATTGCCTTCTATATGTTTTAGCAGGTAACAACATAATTGTTCAAGTGTTCTTTTTTCTGGAGTTAAGATAGTTAATTTTGAGTAAACCAGGCCCCAAATATTATGGGTAAATTTTTTTCTACTGTAATTCTTTATAGCTTGATATTATGTGTGTGTGCACGTGTGTGTGTGTGTGTGTGTGTGTGTGTGTGTGTGTGTGTGAGAGAGAGAGCTAGAAAGTGGAAGGGAAGAGGTGAGAAGAGGCATGGCGAGGGAATGACAAGATTAAGCGTGGAATAGTAGTGAGGCAAAAGCCTGAGAGTCTTCTGTGCTGTAATGATTTGCATAGCATACTAAAAGTACTGGGGAATCACTGAAGGTTTTAAGAACTAGATTCTCAGAAAGATCATTCCAGGTAGCAGCGATGAAAGGCCCCAGCTTCTTCAGGATACCCTTATCACCAAGGCCATAGGCAACAAAAACAGATGTGGGTGACGGTCCATCCTTGTAGGGTCTCAGCTCATGCTTGTGGGTTCCAATCTGCTGTCAATTCCCCCTACGTCATATCCATCTTCTCTTTCTGAACACCTGCCCTGCGGACTTCAGGCTCCAGCATCAGATACAGAGACAGGCTTACAGGGACTGTTTATCCAGCCCCCACAATTGCATAAGCCCTGTGGACTTCAGGCTCCAGCATCAGATACAGAGACAGCCTTACAGGGACTGTTTATCCAGCCCCCACAATTGCATAAGCCAGTTCCCTATAATACCTCCCTGGTTATGCTAAACCTGGTTGAACCCTGAGTGGTACAGTTGTGAATGAGAAAATCCTGTCAGAGGAGACACTGCTGAAAAGATGGAAGTGACAGTGGGAACAGAGAGGAAGGACTGGATCCGAGATATAATGAGGATGTAGGAAATCAAGACCTGGTGACTCATAAAATATGGCAGCAAGAAAGGGTGAGGGATCAAGAATGACTCCAGAGTTTTCAGGTTATTTGACCGAGTCAAAGAGTTGAGCTACCATTACAGGAATAGAGCAGATTTGGAAGGGGGAGGGGATGGGGACCTGAGTTTGAGGCTGTTAAATTTGAAGAATCTGAGCGATCTCTAAGTGGAGACTCATAATATGTGTTGGGTATACGGACTCAAGGTTTAAAGGGGATGAGCAAGATCATCATTAGCCAGAGGTGGAGGCTAAAATCTTGGGAGAGGGTGAGCTCATTCTGGGAGGGCAGGTAAGGCAATGAGATGAGAATGAGGTGGAGCTCTGAGAAAACTAATATTTAAGGAGGAAGCAGAGGAAGAGGAGCTAAAAGAAAAAGAGTCTGAGATTGAAAGGCTGCAGAGAAGAAAGACAGGCTCCATAGACCAGGAAGGATTGCATTCAAAAAGGAAAGGCGTGGTCAGAGGGTCAGATGCCATGGAGAGCTTGAATAAAAAAGGGCTAAACATGTATCCATTTGATCCAGAAGTTCCCCCGTGATCTTTGTTGGTAGCAGTTTCAGAGGAGTGGTGGGGATAGAAGCCAGATTACTGTGAAAAAAAAAATGAATAGGAGTTCAGGAAGTGGAGACAAGCAAGTATAGACCATTGTTCATAAAATCTTGTTTATAAATAGAAGGAAAACAAACATTAAAGAGAAGAATACAAGGTTGAGGAAAGACCTTTAAAAAAATAAATAGAAGGCCAGGAGCAGTGGTTCACACCTGTAATCCCAGCAGTCTGGGAGGCCAAGGCAGGCAGATCATTTGAGGTCAGGAGTTGAAGACCAGCCTGGCCAACATGGCTAAACCCCATCTCTACTAAAAATACAAAAAACCCCACAAAAATTAGCTGGGTGTGCTGGTGCACACCTGTAATCCAAGCTACTTGGGAGGCTGAGACAGGAGAATCGCTTGAACCCAGGAGACAGAGGTTGCAGTGAGCTGAGATGGCACCACTGCACTCCAGCCTGGGCGACAGAGTGAGACTCTGTCTCAAAATAAAAAATAAGCTGGGTGTGGTGGTTCACGCCTGTAATCCTAGCATTTTGGGAGGCTGAGGTGGGTGGATTCGCTGAGCTCAGGAGTTGGAGACCAGCCTGGGCAACATGGTGAAACCCCATTTCTACTAAAATACAAAAAACTAGCTGGGCGTGGTGGTGCATGCCTGTAATTCCAGCTACTAGGGAGGCTAAGGCAGGAGAATTGCTTGAACCAGGGAGGTAGAGGCTGCAGTGAGCCGAGATCACACCATTGCACTCCAGCCTGGGCGACAGAGCAAGACTCTCAAAAAATAAAATAAAATAAATTTTTTTGAGATGGAGTCTAGACAGAATAAACTGAAGTTACAAGAGTGGATAAGATTATCAATGGGAGCATATAAAGTGAGAAAAATAAAGGTGAAAATCTCAGGAACCCTAATATTTTAGAGGTAACTGGAAGAGATGGAGGCAGAAAGAGTTCCAAGTAGGAGGTAGGCAATAACATCAAACATTGGCGAGAGACCAAATAGCATAAGAAGGAAAAACAAATTACTGGGTCAAAGGTTTTGACAATAAGAAGGTCAACAATGACCTTTGCCAGAATAATCTTACTACACTGGTGTGTATATGAACCAAGGTATAATGGATTGAGATGTGATGAAGAGATGATAAGTTATCTCTTAATAACTGAGACAGTTATACGTTGGTATTTTGAGGGGAGAGAAATGATAAGGCCAAGTGATAGCAAAGGTTCAGTGAGATGGGCACACTCAGGTTTTGGAAGTGTAGATTGGCAAAATCTGTTTGTAAAGCACTTTGACAATACATGTCAAGAGTCGTAAGATATTCATATTATTTTGGAATATTAGTTATATTTCTGAGACTCTACCTTGGAAAGTATTCACACATATAGGAAAGCTTTTATGCATAATAATATTTATTGATATGCCATTTACAAGCACGAAAAAGTGTCCATCTAAATGTCCAACAACAGGAGAATGGTTAAGTAAACTTCCATTTAGGTAACAGTGAAAAGGAGGCTTAACACGACTAACTTCATTTTTCTCCCAATCTCCCTGCAACTCCATCCAAAATGATATCTTTTAGGTTAACTGCTTTTGCTTATCTCTGCACACAGGCCAACCTAACTATGGGAGGCATTTAGTTGGCAGTTTAACTTTTTTTTTTTTTTCTTTTTTGAGACTGAATTTCGCTCTTGTCGCCCTGGCTGGAGTACAATGGCATGATCTCGGTTCACTGCAACCTCCGCCTCCTGGGTTCAAGCGATTCTCCTGCCTCAGCCTCCTAAGTAGCTGGGATTACAGGCACCTGCCACCACCCCTGGCTAATTTTTGTGTTTTCAGTAGAGACAGGGTTTCACCATGTTGGCCAGGCTGGCATCAAACTCCCGGCCTCAAGTGATCCACCTGCCTTGACTTCCCAAAGTGCTGGGATTACAGGTGTGAACCACCACACCCAGCCTACAGTTTAACATTAAAGCAAGGATGATAATAGTCTCTTCCCAAAACTAACTCCCAAGGAGAAAAGAAGGGGGTACACACAAGTAACGATGTCATGTTAAAGATTTATAAGAGCACTGTGACCTGGCCAAGGACAAGGAAGTTTCACCTCCTCAGAGCCTTGCTGCCGCCCAGGTGCCTGTCATTGGTTATTTCTTTACCTCAACCGCCTCCCTATTCTCCCTTACTCTAACATAAAAGGAGCCTGAAATGCATATTAACTTAAGATGGCTTTTTAGGACATGAGTCTGCCCATCTTCTCAGTTTGCTGAGAAGACTAAAGAAAGAATAAATATTGCTGTAAGAATAAAGTTGCTTTCCTTGCCCCAGTGCCTTGTCTCTTGACTTACTGGCTGTTGTGCAGCAAGTGGTACCAGCTTGAATTTGGCTACATTTGATGAATACCAATTAGCCATCACAAATGATGTTTATGATGTTTAGTGACATAGAAAATGTTTAAGTTGTAATGTTAACTTGCAAAGCAGGACAGCAATGGAAACTACACTGCCGTGACACAACGCTGTGTTTTATAAAGCACCCCTGCACAGTGGTGCAGGTGGGAGGCGGAAGGAAGGTAACGCAATATAGGAAAATGTTAATGGTGTTTGTATTTGAGATATGGGATTGTGGGAGGCATTTATTTTCATTCCTTCAACTTCTCAGTGTTTTCCATAATTTTTTTTAGTAAACGTCGCATTTAGAAATTTTTAGAAATCAATTTTTTTGGCTTTTGTTTTTTATTTTATTTTATTTTTTTAGAAATACAGATTTATTTATTTATTTTTTATCCCTCCCCCCTCCCCCCACCCCACAACAGTCCCCGGTGTGTGATGTTCCCCTTCCTGTGTCCATGTGTTCTCATTGTTCAACTCCCACCTATGAGTGAGAACATGCGGTGTTTGGTTTTTTGTCCTTGCGATAGTTTGCTGAGAATGGTGGTTTCCAGCTTCATCCATGTCCCTACAAAGGACATGAACTCATCATTTTTTATGGCTGCATAGTATTCCACGGTGTATATGTTGGGTATATACCCAAAGGATTATAAATCATGCTGCTATAAAGACACATGCACACGTATGTTTATTGCGGCACTATTCACAATAGCAAAGACTTGGAACCAACCCAAATGTCCAACAATGATAGACTGGATTAAGAAAATGTGGCACATATACACCATGGAATAAATGTTTTTTAAAAGGAGGATTGGTAGTAAAACAAAGGGGGAAATAGGGAAATGGCTTGAGAGGAACGTAGAATCAGAGGAGAGTGATCATTTAGCATGGGTGTCATCTGAGAGTGTGGTCAGTGGAAAGGGTGACGCTGGTGTAGGTGGAAGGGATGCTGGGAAGGGTGAAGTGGTCAGGGAAGGTGAGGGTGGGAGGAGTAGCCAACGTAACAGAGGAGAAAGATACTTCCTCTGAGCCAGAGAGAAGGAGGTGAGAGTGGGTGACTTCAGAGATGTATTGGAGGGAATTTTTACCTAATAGCTTTTATTTTCTTTGGAAGCTGGGAGATTCATCTGTTGAGGGTTGAGATGTGGAGGTGTGATTAGGATTTGAGAGGGGAAAATATGTAGCTGAGTCATTGTGGGGAGTGGGAAATGAAGCCATGAAGAGACAAGAATAATGGTGGGGCTCTGAGGGGATCCTGCCTGAGGATGGAGCACAACCTTTGTCAGGGCATCAAAAGCCACGCTCCGGAGAGCCCTTCAGTGAGAACCGCAGGATGGGAACAGGAACAGAGAGAAAGTCCAGCTGGAGTTGGGCCCCGATAAGGCATGTGGTCTGGAGGACAGAAGGTTAAGATCCACAGAGGGTGCTTACATGAATATCTTTGAAATGACCCATGTGGGGTTGGGTCCAGAAGACAAGGAAGTGAAGCCAGGAAGTGTCTGACACCTTGAACAATACATAGGACAGAGGGATTGATGCTCTCAGTGAAGCTGATCAGGCGTGAATCAAAGGTGAACAAAAGGTGGCTGAGGGCAGAGTGAGGGGGACACAAGGTCTGCCATCCAGGAAGAGGACCACTTATCCATGAGGGTGTGACTGAGGGAACCAGGGGGTGGCAGAAACGCTGTGGAGGTAGAGAAGGCAAGATGGAAGGAGATGCAGATGTTGGATGGGTGGGCCATCAGCAGGGTCGTTGAAGGTGGCTGAGGCAGGGGAGGAGAGAGTTAAAATGGACCAGACAAGCTGCCACATGTATATCAAAAAACGCAAAACAGATCAGAAAGACCTCTGTACCATAAAATAGGTCCAGAAAAAGCTGACGTTTTCCTAGTTGGGGCTCAGGGGAAGACTTCTGAAAAAGAGGATATTTGAGGTGGGTGCAGAAGTAGCATTTAGACTTATGGTGTTGGGAAATGGGGCAAGAGGCAGTACACACAGAGAGTAATATGCGGTCACAGAGGGACAGGAAATCCCAGGTTTGTTCGAGTAAGATCTAGTAGCTGATCTTACCTGGTTAGAGCATAGTATTTAAAGGAAATAGGATGGAGAAGGGGAGGGAACAGATTTTGTAAAGCCTTGTTGAGTCCTTCCTCCAGGCAGTGTACCAAGAGGTAGTGAAGTGAAAAAGAAAGTCAGGAGTAGGTGCTATGGAGAGTGCAATAGAGGATGAGATGGAGATGATAAAAACATTATTGCCCAATCCAGTTATAGCCATGGCTTGTCTCAGTGGAGACCCAAGGAAACATAGCTATATGTGGGCTATGGATGAGATGGGATTCCAGAACGGGGCTGGCAGCTATCCAGTTCGGAAAAGTCCTCCCATCCTCCAGAGATTGCCATTGCTTCCTGTATTGAGGGCCTGAGAGTTCATTCATCCCATGGCCTGGTCTTGACCTGAATCATCAAACTACGATCAAGGCAGGCTGCTGCCTACTCATTCCGGACCCTAGCTCCTGAAAGCTTGATATGCCTCAAACAGAACTCTTTTTGTTGTCTGTCCTTTCTCAGCAGTATCATCTCTTTTCGCTTTCTGCTTCCTCTTCCTCGACTTGCTGTACCATCAGATATGCCTCCTTTGCCCAAATCCTTCCACCGTGCCTTCTGAAATTTCCATTCCATAGTGGATAAAAGACTACCTGCCCTACTAATTGAGTCATTTTCTGTGCTCAACTTGAGTCTCACTTTTGCTCAAGCACAACTTCTCCATAACAACTCTGGAATGGATGCTTATTTTTAGTAACATTGGTATCCTCCCCATTTTCCAATGTTACTTCCAGGATATTAGTCCTCTGTGCTCGCATAAAACCCTTTTTCTCGGCCGGGTGTTGTGGCTCACACCAGTAATCCTAGCACTTTGGGAGGCCGAGGTGGGCAGATCACCTGAGGTCGGGAGTTCGAGACCAGCCCAACCAACGTGGAGAAACCCGTCTCTACTAAAAATACAAAATTAGCTGGGCATGGTGGTGCATGCCTGTAATCCCAGCTACTTGGGAGGAGGCAGGAGAATCGCTTGAACCTGGGAGGCAGAGGTTGCGGTGAGCCGAGATCGCACCATTGCACTCCAGCTTGGGCAGCAAGAGCGAAAACAACAAAAACAAAAACAAAACAAAACAAAAGAACGCTTTTTCTTTGAGGACCATGCCACCTAGCTTGCAGACACTTTCCTCTTCCTGTTCCTGCCATCTTCTGACTTACTGGCCTCTCTGTATTGCTAACATCTTTGTCTCCTGGCTTATACTCCTGCCCTCCACCTTCACCTTGTCGTTATTCACATGGATTCATCTTCTGTACAGACAACACCCTTACTTCTTTCTCGCTTGACCAGCTTGATACCAGAGACCAGCATCTAACTCCATGTGAAACTGATCTACTCTTTGACTGCCATTTTTCCCCCCAACTCGATTTCTCCTTATTTCCACTGTTCTAGGCCACCCTGGCAAACTATAGCCAAAGGCCAAATTCAGCTCACTGCTAATTTTGTAATAAAAGTTTTATTGGAATACAGCCATGCCTATTCATTTATATATTGGCTATAGTTGCTTTCTTCCTAAAATAGCAGAGTTGCATTGAAATAGAGACCACATGGTCCATAACACCAAAGATATTTACTATCTGGTCCTTCACTAAAACGTTTTCTAACCCCTATTCTGGACAAACAAAATAAAAATATCTTTCTACGAAAGTAAAACTTGAGCATTATAGAAAGTTTAGGAAATAAGACAAAGCATTAATACAACAAAGAAAAGCAGCTCCCCATTATTCCATAATTCAGATATAACCACTGTTAGTATTTTAGTTTTTCTTCCTGTTACTTGGTAATTTTTTATGTCTGTATGTGTATATTAATATGTCTACATATATAAATTAATTTTAGAAATTCAGGATTATACCACTTTATAACCCACTTTTTTCATTTCAAAATATATTATCAATGTTTTTCTATATGAATTGTTACTTTTTAATAACATTTAATTGTTACTTTTTTATAAACATGATTTTAAATTTCTGCAAAGTAGTCAATGGAGTGAAGATAACATCATTTCACTAGCCAGCCTACTAGTACAGAATTTTTTTTTTTTTTTTTTTGAGATGGAGTTTCGCTCTTGTTGCCCAGGTTGGAGTGCAATGGCACGATCTCAGCTCACCGCAACCACCACGCCCGGCTAACTTTGTATTTTTAGTAGACACGGTGTTTCACCATGTTGATCAAGCTGGTCTCCAACTCCTAACCTCAGGTGATCCACCTGCCTTGGCCTCCCAAAGTGCTAGGATTACAGGCATGAGCCACCGTGCCTGGACAATTTTTGTATTATCTTAACATCCACCAAATATTCTTAATTGGTAGTAGTGACACAAGTATGGAAAAATGCACCTGAAATCCAATAACTTTGAAACATGTGTTAGACATGATTAAAATCCACTAAGAAGGCAAAGAAATGAGACATATGTAATGCTATTAATTTAGGAGAGAACACTCTGTAAAATAATAATGTTAAGAAAGTACCGAGCAGCATTAATACAAAAAATGTGCTATAAGGGTGGTAGATTTAACAGCTCTGTAACTCATTCTCTCTATTATTATTGGGAATAAGTAATTTTAAAATAATGCACATTTTGAATAATGCTGTCTCCAGATATGCATCATTTAGAGGAAACAAGTCACATAGGAAACTGTTTTAGGTAATTCTAGTGAGGAAATCCTGAAGGTATTTGGAAATGCAATGTTAGAATTCAATAAAGAGGTCCAATCTGGAGCTATTAAGTTGCAGTTATCTGGGTAACAATGATAGTTTAAATCATGAGAGAGGATAAACTTGCCAAGCAGAGTACATATTTAAGAGAAGGTCAACAACATAATCTTCTGAGGCCACCAAATTCAGAGGATGAGGAGCAGCAGCAGAAAGGGAGGGCACTTACTGAGAACCTAGAATGTGTCAAGAAGGTGTCATACATAAATTTGTAGCATCTCATTTAATCCTCCCAACACCAGTACATCAGCTGTTATCTATGTCTGGTTGTATAATGTGGGCAGAAAGAAGTGAAAGGTGAAGCAGCTTGGCTCAGGTTTTGCAGGTCTATGTGACTTCACTGCTTCTTTGAGAGACATGAGATCAAGGCATGCATTAGCCAGACACAGAAAAATAGACATAGAAAAATCATCTGCACGAATTTTAAGTTGGAGAGGAGGGAAACTGAGGTAATGCAAATGAAACAAACTAGAATTCACTGCCTCAGTAAATGCCCCCCCCCCACACACACACACACATCTATCCAGTTCACAAAGCCACAAATCCAGGAATCATCATCCTTCACGTCTTTCTCACTCCCATATCAAATTCATCAGCAGGTCTTGGGAGTTCTACCTCCAAATTATAACCTCTTTTTATCATGTCCACTGCCCACCACCTTAGACCAACTCATGTTAATCTTTTCTCTAGAAAGCTCTAGTGACTTTCTATCCTGTGGCTACTCTTGCCCAGCTACAGCCCACTCTCCAGTCTCCCTACAGCAACAACACCAGTAAACTCTTGACAACCAGGATGCCCCTAGAGCAACTGCATCTGCCAGTGGTCACCATGACCTCAGAGTCAGTCGTCCTTACTGCTCTTTCTACAGCATTTAGCACAGCTGCCCATAGCTTCTTCTCTGGCTTCCGTGACACCTAGTGGTTTTCTTACCTTTCTGGCCTTTCCTTTTGGTTACTGGAATATTGGCAAAACCTCTAGGCACAAGTGATAAGGTGAGTGTCAACACTTGATTCATTCTCCTTGGTTTAAAGTGAAGTCACTCAACTGGGTGTCAGTCCTGCCCTCTAAAATTCCATCTGAAAGGGCCCATCACTGAGGTAGATCGGAAAAACTTAATGCTGATGGACAAAAATTGAAATTGCCCAGGGACCATGCTAAAATGGGGAGGGTTTATTCACATATGCTATCTGAGCACTTGGACGGTGTCTACAAATGTCCACGGGATTCACCTGTCCAGGCATCCTTTATCTAATGATACTACAAGTCACAGCTTTAACTTGGGTCCTTAAAATAGATTGGCTAGGAAGACCAATCTTGTGTTATAAAATGAAGTGTATACAGTACACTCAACGTATATCTTAAACATAATTAACAACAGATATAAAGTGAGGATCTTGTTTTAATTACCAATCCCTCCTTACCTCGGTACTGGAGAAAATCAATGGATAGTTTATTCTGTACAAAGTTCAGGAGCTTGGCCCACCTTTAGCAATATTTTCTCTCTCTTATAAAATGAGAAGAATTATTTTCTCATAAAGAAATGGTCATATCTTGGCCAGGTGCGGTGGCTCACGCCTGTAATCCCAGCACTTTGGGAGGCCGAGGTGGGTGGATCATGAGTTGAGGAGATCAAGACCATCCTGGCCAACATGGTGAAACCCTGTCTCCACTAAAATAAAAAAAATTAGCTGGGTGTGGTGGCACGCACCTGTAGTCCCAGCTACTCAGGGGGCTGAGGCAGGGGAATCATTTGAATTTGGGAGGTGGAGCTTGCAGTGAGCCAAGATCATGCCACTGCGCTCCAGCCTGGGTGACAGAGTAAGACTCCGTCTCAGAAAAAAAAAAAAAAAGAAATGGTCACATCTTATGGGTTGTGGAAAGATCCTAGTCTCACTTTTTCCTGTATCTGGCAATACAGCAGGTTTTTGTTCTCTTTTGGTTCTCTTTTCACTTTGATTTTGATTAGGGACACTGTGTTTGTTGGGGTAAAAGGCTATGCATGTGAGGGGAGCTGGGATGAAGTCGCAATAAGCATGACCACATTCAGCTTAGAACCTTCTTTATTAAGGAAGGTCTTTCAGGCACTTTCATTAACAGGCACATATAAGCTTAGCAAGAGCACCTTTCAAAGTCACAGTTCCAATGGTTTTTGTAAGGTCAACCAGAGGCAGAGAACACAATCATGGTGGCTTACCGTCAAAATCATGACAAGTTGTCAACCTAATGCCTTCTGTCAAACATAACCACCACCCACTCTGCTTCTGTCCTGTGAGGAATGACGGGAAGTAGGGAGTCAAGACTTGATATTAATGTAGATCGCATGTGACACTTGCGTGGCCAGCAGACAAGGCCCCCCACCCATGCCCAGGCTTGGACAAAATGGTGGCTATGTTTTCTGTGCCAAACCTCCTCATCTCTGCCATGTCTAGCCTAGACCTTGAAGTGTCTGATCCTCCCCGGACATGGAGGAACCACTGGCCCAGCAGCAGCACCAACACTAGGCTGCACCACTGTGCGTGTTTTCCGGGGGTGCGACACTTCTCCTGAGGGTGACCCCAATGAGACCACACCCATGAAGGTGTGGCGCAGGTCGTAGTGCGCCCGGTGCAACTGGTGTCCTGGAGGAGCTGCCAGTAACACATGGGAGTCTGGGGGTGAGCCAGCTGGAGGGAGTCCAGGTGCGCCAAGTGGAGGGGACGGAGGTGCATCTGGGTCCACCACGGGTGTGGGGACTGCTTCATTGGCACCTTCTGGTTGGGGCTGTGAGCTCACGGGCTGGAAAAAGGACCATTTCCTTCAGTTAGTTTGCTTCCTCCTCCCAGGCAAGACAACCCACAGGCCCAGGTGGCACTGGCACCCAATTTCCTCACATTATACATTTTTATTTGCAAAGAGTCTAGCAAGAAAGGACCTACCCAAGTACAAGGGATTGTCATCAAGGTTACAAGGAGGGGTGACTGGCCTATGTTGGCCCCGGCCTCACTAGGATTGTCTTTGTGATGGTGGACTTACACGCATATGTCCAATGAGTAAAAGCACCCCACCTATGGCTCACCCTTGCCCAGCAGTGCCACCCTCTTTGTCATCTGAAGCTGCAGCCACTGGGAGCTAACAGGTAGATCTGGCCACCTGGTCTCTGCAACTCAGAAAACCACTCCCACCTCCCACAAATAAAAAGGTGGCTTTGTCAACTACACAGTAAGATGGTTCTTCCCTGTAGTCACTAGTTCGTGGGAGGGAAAGGCATAGCTAAAATATCCTTCCATTTGTTGATGATTCCGCATACCCCAGTGTTATTTCATACTGTGAGATTCAGAAGCACAGGAGAGCAAATGTCCTGTCATCACTACTGCACTGCATAAATGTGAAGGGGTCATTGTATTCTGAAGGTGTAGGCAAGAATATTCACGGAGCTGTTACCTGTGTTTGGAACACCATGCAGGTCACTGCAACCTCTGCCCCACCAAGCTTCTCACTGAGTGTTGCCTTACAAAAGCCATATTGCTGCCCACAGAGAAAGAGGATTTATTTTAACTAATTTCAAAAATGGATCCCCCCCAATTTCATTGACGCGCCAACCTTAAATTAGTTTGAAAAACCATTTTTCTTAAAGTTATAGTTTCTGCTTGTGGGAGGTATATGATTCTATATATAACATGGAAATACAGAAATACTTTGAGAGTGAGAGAGATTACCCATAATCCCTTTCTGGTGGTGGCCTAGAAAGAAGGACTGTTAACATTGATGCATTTCTTTCTTATTTTAAAATACTATTAAATATGATTTAAAAATTGAGATCATTGTGACTATACGATGTTGTATCCTGTGTGTTTTCACTTGCCATAATAGCATTTTCTCATATCATTCATTATTCCTTGAAAACACAATTTTTAGTGTCTGCACAATTTTCTATTTACTGATGTGCATGGATTATTCAATGACACCTTCCTGTTGGACATACAGATCTCTCTTTTTTGGTCTCTTTATATCCATAATAAATCATTTTTATAGATATATTCTGTCAAATGTCACTGATGAATTCTTTTTCTTTTTCTTTTTTTCTTGAGACAGAGTCTCGTTCTGTTGCCCAGGCTGGAGTGCAGTGGCACGATCTTAGTTTACTGCAACATCTGCCTCCTGGGTTCACACCATTCTCCTGCCTCAGCCTCCCGAGTAGCTGGGACTACAGGCGCTCACCACCAAGCCTGGCTAATTTTTTTGTATTTTTAGTAGAGACGGGGTTTCACCATGTTAGCCAGGATGGTCTCGATCTCCTGACCTCCCGATCCACCCGTCTTGGCCTCCCAAAGTGCTGGAATTACAGGCATGAGCCATCATGCCTGGCCACTGATGACTTCTTTAGACTAAAATCCTAGAAGTGTACATTATTGGCTCAAGGACTTGAAAGCTTTTGTATCAGAGTTATATGTCTAGAAAATGTGCACTTCACATTCCCAGTGGGTGGGCGTGACTTGGCTTCATTAGCAAATAGCCTCTCTCTTTCTCCTAACTTCATGTGCTTCCAGTGGGTGAGATGATTTGATGACAGCTCTTAAAGGGATGAGGTGACACCCTAAAAGAAGGCTTGCCGTGATCCACAGGGAGAGGGGATTTGCACTGTTATTCTCTGTCTGCAGCCCCAAGATACAAACTATCCAAGGATGTTCTGTTCCACAAACAGCTCTGTCCGAGTGGTAACACCCCAAGGTCCCGGCCCACTCACCTTTTCTGCCAGCAGGTTACACTTGGCTGCCTCTGTGGCCTCTTTAGCAACACAGTCAGTGCCAGACACTGTAAACTCCACATAGGTAGAAGGTGGGAGGGGCTGAGAAGAGTACATGAAAATGCTCTTGAGGAAAGATGACTTACAATGAAAAGGGCAGAGAAGGAGAGCGGGAAGTAGCCTCCTTCGGGGAGCACCATTCATGCAGACCATGCGTCGGCCCAGAAGACATGTCCCTCAATGGCTTACATAGGGCAGTTGCTATGGGGTTGTGTTCTCAAGTGCTTGTGCTTTAGAGGTAGGGGTTGTGTCTTCCTTGTAGGAGGGGCAAGTATCCATCACCGGTCCTTCAGGGTGGAGGTGAGTTTGCAGATAGGAAACCGGAATCAGAAGGCCAGCATTAGACTGATAGGAGTGGGAACCCTGCCTCCCCCCAGCCCTCACTCTTGGGCTGCACTTGATACCCAAGGTTCAGGTTATTCCAAAATAGGGTGGGAAAGTGAAGAGATTAATACCTCTTCCACCTGTTTCATAGAGCAGGCTCAAATGAAAAGATTTAGATGAAAGTATGGAAGATATCACTTGAGCTTTTCTTTTTTAAAGTAGTTGGAGCATATGGACACAATAAAATATCTGTTATTTGGTGTAGTCTGGGGTGGGGATGTTCTGAGAATCACATATTCTGATTAATAGAATTGCCGTCTATACTAGCGTATTTCCAAGTATGGCCATGGCTGATATCCAGAATACATTTTCTTAAACATTTGAATTCTGTTGAATTCCAATGTGCTAAACCACCCACAGTACAATGAGATGTTTTCTCCAGTGACTCGAAAGGCATTTTAAGATCTTGCCATTATAAGCTTGTCAGCACAAGTGAGTATTAATTACGAGTCTGTGGCAGATGTTCAGCGGAGATGGGTGGTACTGGAGCCCAGCAAATTTACAGTGAGTGCTTCTGGCCGACGTGGGCAACTCTACCAGCTGACACTGAGCTTTGGTTTTAGCTGGAACGGAGGGAGTGGGGATGTACCTGCCGGCAGCTGTGGCTGCTGGACGTTACAGTGGCTCAGCATGGGGGAGGCGCTGAGGGTGTTGGGGTCCTCATGACACTCAGGAGCCTCATACCCCCTTAGGATGCTTTCTTCCCTTTCCAAACAACCCTCTCCTTGCTTTCTCATCGCTGCCCCTGCGCCTGTTCTTCCCTGCCTCCCGCTCCACCACGTACAGTACATTCCCGAAGTGCCACCGAACTGCCCAACCTGTCAAAAGAATCTCAGTCTTTACCACAAGCTGAGCCCGGGAAATTTCCTCCAGCTGAAAATTGGAGCCGTTGTTCTGAGCGTTGAAGGCGGCCAGGGCAGCTTTCGCGGCGTGCACCACCCTGGTGTCGTTCAGCGGGGCCAGCAGGGGGCAGTCTTGGCACACCTTGCGCACGTCCTCGGCTGAGTCTGCTCGGAGAGAGGAAACCAGGATGTGGGCAGCCATTCTCCCTGGCATGGCCCCAGCTCTGCTGCGTTAGCAAGGGCTAAGGCATTCCCCAGATAGCTTCAGGCACTTTCTCTGCTTCTTACTAAACCTTCAAAAGGCTTTTGCTATGCTGACATTTCTGCAGGAGCTCTTATCATCACGAGGCAATTTTCACTTCCAGTAAGAATAACTTCTTATTTTTTTGAGACAGGGTCTCACTCTGTGTCACTCAGGCTGGAGTGCAGTGGTGCGATCTCGGCCCACTGCCACCTCTGCCTCCCAGGTTCAAGCGATTCTCCTGCCTCAGCCTCCCTAGTAGCTGGGATTACAGGCGAGCACCACCACATTTTTGTATTTTTAGTAGAGATGGGGGTTTCACTATGTTGGCCAGGCTGGTCTCGAACTTCTGACTTCAGGTGATCCACCTGCCTCGGGTGGGTGGATTACAGGCGTGAGCCACCGCACCAGGCCAAGAGTAGCTTCTTAAAACACAATTTTAAAAATCCCAGAACCCAGGAAATTTGGCTTCTCCTTTTCCTCACCGACAAAGCTGCTAGAACTACTTAAGTTGAAAATTATTCAGATCCCTTCCCCACTTTCTCTACAAGGAAAAAATGAGAATAAGAATAGTCATCTGTACCTGGACTGGAATCACATTTTGCGTATACCACGGAAAACTTGCCATCTAGTTTCAACAGCTGGAAATCACAGTCTCCTTCGACAGCCTGGAGAAAGAAACCCACGTGAGGATGGCTGCCCTTCCCCTTCGCACCCCGGGCAGGCTCCCTCCAGGCACGGCTGTCAAAGGTGACCCTTGCAAAATCGCCTTTGCTGGGTAATACTGAAACATGGCACTCTCTGCTTTCAGGGATACAACGATATAGTTAAACGCTTGTAAAAATCAGCCCCAGGGCAAGTGGCATCAAATGGCAATTTTATTTATGATGATGATTATTATTATTATTATTTCGAGATAGAGATTCACTGTTGTTGCCCAGGCTGGAGTGCAATGGCAGGATCTTGGCTCACTGCAACCTCCACCTCCCGGGTTCAAGCGATTCTCCTGCCTCAGCCTCCCGAGGAGCTGGGATTTACAGGTGCCCGTCACCACGTCCAGCTAATTTTTGTATTTTTAGTAGAGATGGGGTTTCACCATACTGGCCAGGCTGGTCTTGAACTCCTGACCTCAGGCGATCCACTTGCCTCAGCCTCCCAAAGTGCTGAGATTATAGGCATGAGCCACTGCGCTCGGCCACAAATGGCAATTTTAGAAACTGCACCCTGGCTAGCCAAGAAGGCAGGCTGAGACGCTGGGTGAATCGGTGGAGCTGGCCGAAGGGCCACCTACAGTCATCCTAAGAAGGGTACTCACATGCTCCTTCAGCTGCCTCACGCTGCATCTTGCCACAGGGGTGGGGTCCAGCACATGGCAGGTGGTTTCCAGGGTGTCTATTTCAATCTCAAACAGCTCTCCGGAGGGCTGCTGTGGAGACAAAGAGTGAAGCCGTGAGCAACCTATTCCCCTGATCCTGTGGTGCGGTCCACGGTATGCGCCCTCATTGGGCTTGAGAGCACCCCGCTTTTGGAGAGGTGAGGGAAATGTCATTCTTACTGTCAGTCTGCAACTCCGTCTAGCTCTGAACTGGCCTGTGGGCAGGACAATGACCAGGGCTTGTCTGGTCTTCGTCTGTTGATTAAGGAAGCACCAGATGATGCTCGCAAAGCAGACGGGGTCCTGGGCTTGAACAAGTCGATGGAGCCACAGCCCTCACTCTGAGCTCTATTTGAAAACTACAAATGGGTGTTAACACTTATTTGTATTTATTATTTATTTAATTTTTTAAGATTTCACTCTTCAAGCAGTGCTTTGGAAAATGCAAGTTTGGATTTTTCTCAGACAAGCTGCAAAATAAGGTGGTGTAGGGTAATATCTTACTGTCTTTTTTTAATCTCCTCTATCCCTCCCTCTCCTTCTTTCTTTCTTCCTTTTCATTATTTGCTTTCCTTCCTTCCTCCGTTTTCTTTTCCCTCCTAGAGGTTTTTGCTGCTGTTGTCCTTGGTTTTTCCTTTGTCTTGGCTTGTGCAGCAGGTGCCGGCATGCAACGATGCTGCTCTCTACTTCCCCCTGCTGGCGATAATGGGGAAGGGCATGTCTCCCTCTGACAGGAAACTGGATGTCACTAGTGTAGACACGAGGGAGCTTGCAACAATCCTTGGAGATATTCTTGTGAGTTCACCTGTTTCTGTATCTTGTCTTCGAAGCCTGAAAAATCCAGAAGGTACAAGTATGCCTTTTCTCCTCTCAGCCCAGCTCTGTTTGCCTCTCATTGGTTCTGCCTGATTCACTAGTACCTGAAGCCTCAGCATCCCCTCCCCTGGGAGAAGCTCCGCATTTTATGATGTCCAGGTGTGCCCAGAGTGACTGCCTGAAAGCGTTCACAGCTCTGGCGAACAGGAACCGGGTACACCTGGGTTTCTCAAGGGAACCAACTCTGAAGCTCTGCCTTTAGTAAAAGTCACAATGCCCATTCATGATTACCTTTTCCCTCAGATGTGCGTGTTGCGTGTTCATTTCCCCTGACTTGATCAGCGTTTCCTCCTAACCACCACTGTGCTTTAATATGGCTGCAGCACTCTTAAAATCCATCCGGAGCAATCCTGATTTCAAATATTTTGTCTCTTTGTGAGACGGATGGCAGTCGTCAGTCGGTCCAGGCTTCCTGTTGTTGACCTTATTTTCCAACCTAGATTGTAAGCTCTTGTGGGCACATATTGTGCCTTTTTCACCACTGTATTAGGTTGAACCATTAAAACGGCCAATATTTGGTTGCTTTTGATATAGAAAAATGGCAGTTTTATATGGTTCAACCTAATATCTCTGGTTCTTGTCCAAGGAAGGCTTGTAATACATATTTGCTGAAAGAATTGTCCTTAATCAGAAATAAATCTAATTTCAAAACAGGCAGTAGGCAGACAGCTTCTTTCCACCTCTCCAAATCTCTTGACTGATCCCCGAGGCATATTTCCAGCTTGATTTTTCTTGTCACTGGCTTCAAGCTGCGTTGGTTTCCTGTCTAGTGTGTGAGGAGGTGAATTGTGTTTATGCCAAGACTTCTCTCTGGGATGTGGGTAACTCTCTTTGGGAGGCAGTTTGTGTAGAAGAAGGAACACAGATATGGAATCAAATCCCAGCCTGAAGACTTAGTAATTATATGATTTTGGACCAAAAAAAAAAAGACAAAAACAAAAAACAAAAAAACTGCACACACACACACAACAGAGCCTTGGTCTCCTCTTGGGTAAGACAAGAACAATATATGTACCACACAGCACCAGGAGGCAGGACCGGGAAAGAGTAAATGAGATAATCTATGTGAATGGGCCTGGCATATAGTAGGCATCTGCCAGATGCTAGTTTTATTCATTCTCAGTCTTTGTTAGAGAGAAACCAAACCAAAGACAGATACGTGATTTTCAGCCAGTGGTAACTTGGCAACTAGGAGCTGGTCTCTTGGGTCCTAGTTTTTCCAGCAAGTTACACTTTCTGTCTGTGATCTGCACACTACCATTTGAAGCACTTTTTCTCCTGCACACCACCTCACACCCCACCCAGCTCCCTCCTGACACCCATGACTGCCATACAGAATGTCTCCTCTCCTGCCCTCTGCCTGCCCCTTCCCTCACTCCTGGGAAGAAATCAGAGAATTTACTCCTCTGTGGTTTCATTTGCACTGGGTGATGGTGATTTTTTGAGGCACCTGATTGAGCTCCATGTACACATTATTTCAGCTCATAGACAGCAGGTCCACTTACCTGAGGCCACACCTTTACTTCATCAATCTGGTTCAAGGTGTGTTTGTATCCCCAAGGAAGGTTTTGATTGATGTAGTCTATAGCCACCAGAGCTGCTTCCTCAGTTTCTGGATCATCGCAGTTCGGTTGTCTATAAATCAGCCCTGGGCCATGTGGGGCTGAGTGGCAGCCCCAGAGCTGAGCAAGACAAAGGAGCAGGACGAGGGACTTCATGGCTGCCCCAGAGAGGCCCTGGCAGGCGTGCAGGTGGTTGGAGGCTTCGGGACCAACCCAGGTGCTCTGCTGGGAAAGGTAGACCCATGGAGGGTGGTGGGCTTTATTTATCTGTTGGAGCCTGCCGGAAGAATTGCATAAGGATACAGGATGATTTCTGCTTTGGTTCAAAAGAAAAAAAAAAACACCCTGCAAACATCAGCCCTGGAAAAGCAAACAGGTTAGGACATCGCTGGTCCCCAAGAAATCTGCCAAAGTCCATGCTGCTGTGGGGGAGATGCTCCAAAGTCTGCTTGGAACATGGTAATAGCAGCAAAGAGAAGACAGCTGAGGGAATGAGGTGGACACAGTCAGCCTCAGAGTGCCATGGGTTTGGCAGCAGAGGAAATGTCTTCTACTGTGATCTGAGCATGCCATGGGGTCTGTGAGAGGGAAGGGAGGATACTCAGCAATTTGATAAAATTCTCCAATGTCAGGGGGAGTTAGCTTTCCAAGAGGAGTCCTACAGGGAGAACAAGGCCCACAGATATAGCAAAGGTACAGATGTGTATAGGAGATGCCAAGATTTTGGGGGAAGATTCTTGGAGAAAAGAAAAAGGATGAGAGATGTTTCTGCCTAAAGTGGGGAATGGAGGTGGAAGAAGGGGGTTCCCGTGGCAGGACCACGGTGGGAAATGACCAGCAAAACGTGTGGGGTTCCCTGCCCCTTCTCTTCCTTCTCCAGACCTCACTGCCAGGGCCCTGCATGTGACAGCACAGATGGGCACTGACCAGAGTCTCCTAGCACTAGTAACCTAGTGCCCCTGCCAGTGCACAAGGGCAGCAGAGGGGAGTCCTGACTCATTTGACACAGCTCTGGGTTCGAGTCTGACACCGCAGGCTGAGATGCTGCACGAGCAGCTACGGACACAAATACCCCTTGAACATTCTTTGCAGACTCAGCAGAATTACAGTGTGTCTTTCTGGCCAGAACAGAGGGCCAGTGTTGACTCCAGGCACTGCCTATTAAGTGACCCTTGACAATTCCAAGTGTGACATCCAAGGAGGGTTGGCAGGATAAAGAGAGGCTTGGGAAATATCACACAAGGACCTGGTTTGGTTTAGTCTGAAGCAAAGAAGCCCTCTCATGGAGACCAACATGGTCTTCAAATATTTAGAGGCCATCATTGTGTGTGGGTGAATTTGTTCTAATGTTTGATATTGCTTCAGAGAAAAAAAAACTGGTTAAAAAAAAAAGAAAGAAGAGGGGCCCCTCCAAAGGGAAGCTTAATATTGATTTTCTGGGGTGAGAATCGGGGTGAGGGAGGTGAAGTGAGTGGTGATGGGGCAGAGAAGGTAGTTGGCAGGACTGTTCTCACATTTACTCCCAGCTGCTCACACACCACACCGAATCTTAATGTCAGAAGCTCAGAAGGTGTGGCCAGGACTCCAGGTTCTCTCCAAGAGGGGGACCATGATTCTTCCAGATGAAAAACAAACTCTGGTCATCCAGCAAGATGATCCTCAAAGCCAGGGGCAATCTTCCATCACCTTATACTCCATTTCACTCAGGGCCCTGACTCCTGAACTGTGTGTGGAAGCTATGCTTTTCTTTATATAATCTTTAAAAATATTGAAGGGCTGGGCACGGTGGTTCACACCTGTAATTCCAGCACTTTGGGAGGCTGAGGTGGGCAGATCACGAGGCCTAGAGATTGAGCCCAACCTGACCAACACAGTGAAACCCTGTCTCTTCTAAAAATACAAAAATTAGCTGGGCGTGGTGGCGCGCGCCTGTAGTCCCACCTACTCGGGAGGCCGAGACAGGAGAATCACTTGAACCCAGGAGGTGGAGGTTGCAGTGAGCCAAGATTGCGCCACTGCACTCCAGCCTGGCAACGGAGTGGGACTCCGACTCAAAAAAAAGAAAAATTGAATAAAGTGTGGTAAGGTGGCACACACCTGTAATCCCAACTATGAAGGCAGGATGATAGCATAAGACCTGGAGTAGGCTATGGTTGCAGTGAGCTATGATAGTGCCACTGCACTCCAGCCCAGCCAACAGAATGAGACTCTGTCTCAAAAAAGAAATCATTCACAATCTCATCATGCAGAGATAAACAGTGTTAATGTTTTGATGCATTTATATCTTTTCTTTTTTTCTATGTAAAATAATATTTTAATATAATTTTGATTATACTGCATATACAGCTGTTAAAATTTTTTCACCTATTGCTTTAACTTGAATATTTTCCTATGTCATTAAGTAGACTTAAAAACATGTTTACAGGCCAGGCACGGTGGCTTACACCTGTAATCCCAGCACTTTGGGAGGCCAAGGCAGGTGGATCATGAGGTCAACAGATAGAGAGCATCCTGGCCAACATGGTGAAACCCCATCTCTACTAAAAATACAAAAAATTGGCTGGGCGTGGTGCTGGACGCCTGTAATCTCAGCTACTTGGGAGGCTGAGGCAGGAGAATCACTTGAACCTGGGAGGCAGAGGTTGCAGTGAGGGGAGATTGTGCCACTGCACTCCAGCTTGGGCAACAGAGTGAGACTCTGTCTCAAAACAAAAAACAAAAAAAAACAAAAAAAAAACAAAAAACAAAAAAACAAAAAAACACACTTTTTTATTTAGGAATCTTTGGCTTTTGATTCTTTTTTTCAGGATAGATTTTTAGAAGTAAAATTATTGATTCTAATGATTTGCACATTTTTAAAGCTCTTAATTTTTATAGTCAAATAGTCTATTTGGCTATGCCAATTTATCCCCCTTCCATTTAGCTGTTGTGTGATGTCAGCTCAGCTGTTTTCTCTTTTCCTCTGTTACTGCTTTCATGCTGACTTTTGTGGGAACTTAGATATGTGAACACTCTCAGAATTCTTTTTTAAAAATGTAATTTATGAATATCTTTGCTTTTATCACAGCTACTCCATATGTCTAATACTTATAAACTAAAATAACTTTGGTATCAAGCTGAGTAAAATGATCCCTTAGATTTTTTCAGTTTCCTTAGAAAGAAATGTTGCCATTTACTTACTGGAAATGAGGAAGAAAATAGATGATATTTTGGTATGTTTTCCAAGATGGCTGTAGCATTAGTGCCAATGGGTAGTTCCCTGTGCCTGATGACACCAGTTTTAAACTTTAAAAGATTCTCACTTGCCAAATGTATATGGGACTCATGAGTGATCTTCACGTGCTGAATACATATACTCATGAGTAATCTTGGGTCAGTTTGATCCAACTGGCTCCAGCTTCTTTGCATATCAGTAGGAGATAGGCATTTCCTCCATTTTCTGGTCCTTTGCTGCATTATTTTAGTTACTTTTCTGTGCATTTTTCTATGAGGCTCACATCACAGCAATAAAATAATCCTCATTCCATTCACACTATGATGGCTGATAGTGTATTGAGGATATCAAGGGCTTGTTAGAACTGGTCAAGGAGAGCAGGCCCAACAGTCTAAGGAGCAGGAGAGGATCAACAATCTCCAGGAGATGGCAGCAGGGTGCCGGGCAGTGCTTGCTGGGTGCAACCCTTGTGTGGCTGATGGCAGAAATCTCAAGATGGCAGCTGTCTTAGTCCATCTGTGTTTCTATAAAGAAAAACCTGAGGCTGGGTAATTTATACAGAAAAGAGGTTTATTTGGCTCATGGTTCGCAGGCTGTACAAGAAGCATGACACCGGCATCTGCTTCTGGTGAGGGCTATAGGCTGCTTCCACTCATGGCGGAAGGCAAAGAAGAGCTGGCGTGCGCAAGCTCTTGGTGAGAGAGAGGAGAGATGCCCGGCTTTTTCTTTCTTTCTTTCTTTTTTTAACAACCAGCTCTCACGGAAAATAATATAGCAGGAATTCATTCATTACCACCAGGATGGCACCAAGCCCTTCATGAGGGATCTGTCTCCATGACCCAAACACCTCCCATTAGGCCCCACCTCCAACATTGGGGATTACATTTCAACATGAGACGTGGGGGGACAAACATCCAAAGTAGAGCAGCAGCTAAGGATGGCACCAGGGTTCCTGAATTTGTCAAAAGGACTCTTTGCCAGGGAGCCACTAGGGCAAGTGTTGTATTTAAACTATTCCAAGGCAGAATTCAGTGTTTATAGTTGCAGGCCAGGAGCCACAACAACAAAGATCACCAGGGTCAGAGCTCAGGGTCAGAGTTTCTCAGAGGTTGGTTCCATTAGTGGATGTGGGTATAGGAGGGAGAGGATAGATATAGAAAGATATGAAATATCCCGTCAGGCAGCAAGAGCTAAGGTGATAGCTAGAAACCAGCCTCTCACAAAACAGAAGATGAAAAAGTGCCTGTCAGCAAAAGCCAGAAGGACAACTGGTTTCTGTAGGGAGGAAATAGCAGTGGTTGGTTTTTAAATCATTAGGTCAGGTTCATGGCTCTGCCCTTTCTGGTACTTAAAGGGCCTAGGCCCTGATAGACTGGGTATTAATTTCACTCAAAGACTGGGTGTTTCTTCATTCATATGTTCAATGAACAAACATTTATTGAGCACCTACTATCTGTGTTATCAGATGCCTGGACACAGAGTGATGAGAACCACATGCTCTGGAGGAGCTCATCTTGACTCATTTAGTCCGGCAATGCCTGATCAGCAAAGAACTTTATGTTAATATATGAAACTATCATAATATTATTATACAAATTATCATATTTTCCTGTGGAGACAGGTTGGGATTTACTTCGCCAATGCAAAGCACCAGTGAATGAAAGCAAATTACCTTTGTCCAAGGACCCATCTGGTTTCTTGTGAAAGTAACTTAGCACCAAGCACCCTGGAAGTCATCAACCCATAATTAGGAAGAGCCCCTTGTACTCAGCACCAAAGTTGGGAGATGTGGGCCCAACCGCAGGTGGCAAAAATGACCATAAGTAATGGCTCCATCTTTTGGGGTGGAAAAAGGGCTCTGCAAGCCTTCCTCCAACGCTGCCCTGATAAGCAGGACCTAGCTCTGCAAATCCAAACCCCAGAAAGGAAATTGCATTTGAGAACATATAAAGGGAACAGTAAGGCCTGGACTAGAGTAGGGCAAGGGAGTGGGTAAAGGTGCAAATTTCAAGGAGGCCTCTCCCTTGAGGTTGCTGCTTCTTAAGTGTTGTGCTCTAGGCCTCTCTTGCTGTACCTTTGTCCTGCCCTGCGGAAGAGGCATAATCGAAACCCAGGATAGAAAAAATGTTTCTGGCTGGATGCGGTGACTCACACCTGTAATCCCTGCACTTTGGGAGGCCAAGGAGCGTGGATCACCTGAGGTCAGGAGCTTGAGACCAGCCTGGCCAACATGAAGAAACCCCATCTCTACTAAAAACACAAAAATTAGCCAGGCATAGTGGTGCGCACCTGTAATCCCAGCTACTCGGGAGGCTGAGGTAGAAGAATCGCTTGAATCCGGGAGGTGGAGGTTGCAGTGAGCCAAGATCGCGCCATTGCACTCCAGCCTGGGTGACAGAGTAAGACCCCGTCTCCAAAAAAGAAAAAACGTTTCTACTTCATCAAATATTTTTTCTCTTTCAAGGGAAGTTCTTTTAACATTTGGGCTGGTGATCCTATGTGTGCAATGGGCCCCAAAACACAGCAGTCCTTGCAGTAAACTTTTCATCATCACATAAGAAACAATGGGAAACCTTCCATTCTCTTTTGTACAATAGGAAGGAGACTTACTGCTACATACTGTTTAGTGTGGCCTTGACACTCACTTAAACATTCTGTCTTATAAGAGAATCACTTCACGGTTAAAGAAATGGGGAGATTTGAGCTTTCCAGGCCTGGAACAGCACCTGCTCAGGAAAACAGCATCATCATAGCTCCTGTTACTGACTTATTCATAAAAGGCATGAGAGCTGAACTATTCTTATCCTTCCTCCTTTACAGAGGGAAAAAAGGCTGAGAGGTTCTGGAACTTGACCACATCACACGCCAAGAAAATGGAAGGGCCTGGATTTAGCCCAATCACTTTATTTCTGTATTAACTCCAAACCAAAAGTATAAGGGACCCAAGAAAAGCTGAGGAGGTTGGCTGCTAGACACCAGTCTCCTGCTAGACACTAAATTGAGTAAATCATTATTCTTGAGAATAGAAAACATGGCTGCATTAAAAAAGGATGAGTTCATGTCCTTTGTAGGGACACGGATGAAGCTGGAAACCATAATTCTGAGCAAACTATTGCAAGGACAGAAAACCAAACACCGCATGTTCTCACTCATAGGTGGGAATTGAACAATTGAACAATGAGGACACTTGGACACAGGGTGGGGAACATCACGCACCGGGGCCTGTCGTGGGGTGGGGGGAGGGGGGAGGGATAGCATTAGGAGAAATACATAATGTAGATGATGAGTTAATGGGTGCAGCACACCGACATGGCACATGTATACATATGTTACTAACCTGCACCTTGTGCACATGTACCCTAGAACTTAAAGTATAGTAATAATAAAAAAGAAAACATGGCTGCATGTTGCTATATTAGAAAAGAAAACTGATTCAAACTCAATCTTGTTGATATGAAAATAAAAATGTAAAATATAAAAAAGAAAGGAATAGAAAAATGTATTGAGTTTGGTCAACAATTAAATAATTTAAAAGTTAGTTTGTGCCCATAATTTCAGTCAGTAGAAAATATCTGGATCTTAGTTTTTCCAAAAAACACTTTGACTTGTTGACTTTAGCAATGACTCAGCCGGTCTTAAAGTTATCTCTATTTCAGGTTTAGAAGGTAAATAAAGGGTAAATGATTACACTGTTTCTAGTCAGATGTTTTTCAGGGAAAATGGTAGTCAATGCATATAGTCACATCCATCTTTCCTGCTGGTTTCTGTCACCAGACTTTGATGTCTTCAAAGCAAGGCGAGTGAGTGGCACTCTTCAGACAAGAAGGAAGATGGCAGGTGAAATCATCTTCTTCTAATGAGCCCTGTGCTATGCTTGCTGATGTCCTTGGTCACGGAGATTTTCAGAAAAGCCATGGCCTTACCAGTGAAGGTTACACAGAGGCCACTGGAGTCAAGTAATTCATTGCTCCTTATTACATTTAGGCACTTCTTTATCCATCATGCAGGCTATTGGGATTAAAATGGGTCCTTTCAACAATGAGTCAATATTGAAGATTCTGTGGATCCATTTATTGACACATATTGGGTATTCTCTGGACACATTCCTTAACTTCAAAACTGTTTCTTGGACATTGTGCTAGGTGCTAAGGAAACACAAATGGAAGGTATAATTCTTGTCTTCTGGGTGTTCACTGTTGGGTCTGATGCCATACAACTATTGTGAACACACGAGGGAAGTGTAAGCTGTGGTTCTTGCCCTCAGCCTGAGGAGCACAGTCCCTGAGGTGGAAGGGTCTCCAGATGACAGCAGTGTCCATGCCTTATTTACCCTTGATTTCCAGCACCTGCCTCCTGCCCAGCACAGTTGGGCCCCAAACCTGATCACTGACGGGGTTGCTCTGGACCAGCCCATCACTCAATGCAGAGCTTCCTTCCAGTGTTTGGTGTCTGCTTGAGGATGTGGAGATATGAGGGCCTCTCTCCCACTCCTGCAGCCCATTCCATTGTTGCTTCACACTGATTACTAAGAGATTTCCCTGCCTGCCTTGTAACCTGACCAACAAACCCAGATTCTGCCCTCGGGAGTTACCCGAACTAAAACACTATACAGACTAAATCCCTGGTCTCTATATTATGCTTCAGGTATTTAGAGACATCTGTGCTGTATCTTGTTTTCCTTCTCTGGCCTCCAATATCCCTATTCCTTTACATACTTCTCAGGTGAATTAGTTTTGAGACTACATCATCATCCTATTGACCAGGCAAGACTAGCACCAATGATTAAATAATAGGATGAATCATCCTGTGATTAGGAGTGAAATTAATTCTTAGCTCTCTGAGTGGGTGTGATCTGGTGCATGCACATGTGTGTACATGTGGACAATTCAACAATTACAGGATGAAGATTAGCCAGCTGCTACTGGCAGGACAGGAGGGGTTCTCTTGGTTTTCAGAGGCATATCTGGACCCTCAGAAAGATTAACAATGAAACCAACAAACAAGTCCTTCTTCTCCATAGACTACCTTGATGAGACTTCTTGAATGTTGAGAGGGAAAATATATGAGGCTAATGGAAGACCCATAAGAGGGGACTAAGCCTCCTACTCTGCTTGGATCTGGCATGGCTCTTGGCTGTAGCATTTCTTCACTCTTTGTTGTCTGATCTCTTGAATACACTTGAGGATATGGGCAGTCTTTGCCTCTCATGCTCTTGTTAGAATAGTAAAAGGAGACAAATTGAAATTGAGAAGGTGCAGATCACAGGGACAGGGCAGCTAATGTGGGCAGTTTTCTGTCTGTGCTGGGATTATGCAACAGGCAGCGAGATCATTTGGTAGGTTAAACAACAGATTGAGCCTCCAGAATTTAGATTCTTTTGTTTTTGTTTTGTTTTGTTTTGTTTTGAGACGGAGTTTTGCTCTTCTCACCCAGGCTGGAGTACAGTGGCACAATCTCGCCACCTCCTGGGTTCAAGCGATTCTCCTGTCTCAGCCTCGAGTAGCTGGGATTACAGTACAGGTGCCCGCCACTACGCTCGGCTGATTTTTGATATTTTTAGTAGAGATGGGGTTTCACCATGTTGGCCAGGCTGGTCTCGAACTCCTAACGTCAGGTGATCTGCCTGCCTTGACCTCCCAAAGTGCTGGGATTACAGGCGTGAGCCACCGCGCCCTGCCAGAATTCAGATTCTAATGGAGACTGAGGCGTGGGAGGATGGATACTTGCAGGAAGGTAAGGGTAAGATGGAGAGAGGCTGGATGGGTGGGAGGAAGAGGTGTGGGAGCAACCTGATGAGGGAGCTTACATGGAGAATCAGGATAGACCCAAGTCCAAACCCTGGTGCCACTATTTACTTGCTATGTGACCTAACTAGAGATTAAATCTGGCTCTGCCTTTGTTTCTTCATCTGTTAAATACGGGCAGTAAAACCTGGCTAGTAGAGATGAGCTGAAAATTTAGTGAGATAACATTTGCAAAATGCTCAGCGTAGGGCCTGGCACAGGGTAAGGTATCAATAAATGGGAGTCCTTTTTTGTTGTTGTTTTTTGGGATGGAGTTTCACTCTGTCGCCCAGGCTGGAGTGCAGTGGCGCGATCTCGGCTTGCTATAACCGCCACCTTCTGGGTTCATGCGATTCTCCTGCCTCAGGCTCCCGAGAACCTGGGATTACAGGTGCCCACCACACCCAGCTAATTTTTGTATTTTTAGTAGAGATGGGGTTTCACCATGTTGGCCAGGCTGCTCTCGAACTCCTGACCTCAGGTGATCCACCCGCTTTGGCCTCCCAAAGTGCTGGGATTACAAGCATGAGCCACCGCGCCTGGCCGATAAATGAGAGTTCTTTATAGCTCTAATAATACACTAGGACTGAGAGCACAAAGAGGCAATATAGGGAACACTAAAGACCAAGATACGGTCTTTGCCTTCGAGTGGCCTGTCTCTAGAAGCGATACATCCTGGTGGCTAAGAGTAAGGGTTCCTTAGCTTTAACAACTCAGGCAAATTACTTAACTCACTGCATCTCATTTTATCCTTCTGTAAAAGGAATAGCAGCAATGTATACTTCAAAGGACTAATGAGAGCATTAAGTAATACGGTATGCTTAGCATTCCTGGCATCAGGTAAGCGGCTATATTACCACTTACTCAGACGGTAGAAATATAACAGGTAAACAGTGCTAGAGGTCACATCTTTTTCCATCAACAGGCTGGCAAAGAGAGGGTTGTGTGTCGGCAACTTCCTGTAACAAGAGGAACCGGAACAAAAGGGGGATAGTGGTACTGTAGGAAAGTAACCGATCAATCTTTCCCCATTCTTTGTGCTACAAGGAACAGCGGCCAACTCAGGGAACCCAATGAGGCAGGACTCAAAGAGAAGAAGGCAGTAGGCATAGGTCAGAGTGGCTGGTTGGGGCTCAGGATGCGAGTACACAGCTAAGTTTCCTGCAAGGTGGAGAAGCAGGCACAGAGGTGCTGGGACAATGAAACAGGGCTGAGGAAGGAGAGGCGAGCAGCTCAGAAGCTTCCCTGGGAGGGGATTCCGTAGGCATTTAAAAGATTGTGTTTGCCCAGTGGACTTTCAGCTTCCCATTGGAGTCTGCAAGTATAATCACCAGGGCTGGCTTTCCAGGTGTGTGTCCTGTGCAGGCCCCTGCACTTAAAAGGACCCTGTGCCTGTGGAATGTTCTGCTGTGGCTGTCTTGAAATTCTTTTTTTATTCAAGACAGAGTCTCGGTCTTTTACCCAGGCTAGAGTGCAATGGTGCGATCTCGGCTCACTGCAACCTCCGCCTCCCAGGTTCAAACGATTCTCCCGCCTCAGCCTCCTGAGTAGCTGGGACTACAGGCATGTGCCACCCTGCCTGGCTAAGTTTTGTATTTTTAGTAGAGACAGGGGTTCACCATGTTGACCAGCCTGAATTTTTAGCAAGGGCCCTGGGTTTTCATCTTGCATTGGGCCATGTAAATCATATAGCCAGTCATTAATCATAACTAGTACGTTAGAGGAACCAAGTGCTGTAGGCATTTGCAGGAGAGTGGGGGTGGGGTGGGGGGAGTGGATCATTTCCAGCTGAGGGTGGACAGGGGGAGAGGAAAGAAGGTGTTGTGGACAGGGGACACTTTGAATTTGACCCTGAAGGATGGGCAGGATTTGGATAGATAGAAATGGGAGTACGGCTATCGGTTGGAAGGAATATGTTGGCAAAGTCGAGGTGTAGGAGTATGGACTTTGCTTAGGGAATGGTAGAAATCCTTGTGAACCTGGAGTCTGCTCTTGAGCTGCTCACATCTAGGCCCTTCCACAGGAATGCCATGCTCAGGTGGCCTTTCTATAGGGAGCCTTTTTCAAGGTCTTTAAAATCCTTTCTTCCAATTACCACTCTGCTAGGTGCCTGCCCAACTAATAAATTAAATCCAGCCATGTTATTCATCGAAACCTCAAGGCACAGCTGGAGAAAAGCAGATTTTTTAAAGAATCAGAAATTTTAAATTGAAAATATGGTCACTGCCGGGCGCGGTGGCTCAAGCCTGTAATCCCAGCACTTTGGGAGGCCAAGGCAGGCGGATCACCTGAGGTCAGGAGTTTGAGACCAGCCTGGCCAACCTGGTGAAACTCAGTCTCTACTAAAAACAAAAATTAGCTGGGAGTGGTGATGGGCGCCTGTAATCCCAGCTACTCGGGAGGCTGAGGCAGGAGAATCACTTGAACCTGGTAGGTGGAGGTTGTGGTGAGCCGAGATTGTGCCACTGCACTCCGGCCTAGGTGACAAAGTGAGACTCCATCTCAAAAAAAAAAAAAAAGAAAAATATGGAATTGAGGCTGGGCGTGGTGGCTCATACCTATAATCCCAGCACTTTGAGAAGCCAAGTTGGGAGGACCACTTAAGCCTAGGAGTTTGAGAACAGCCCAGCAATATGGTGAGATGCTGTCTCTAGGAAAAACAAAAAAAATAACTGTTATGGTGGCGTGCACCTGCATTCCCAGCTACACTGAAGGCTAAGGTGGAAGGATTGCTTCAGCCCAGGAGGTTGAGGCTGCAGTGAGCTATGATCATACCACTGCGCTCCAGCCTGGGTGACAGAGTGAGACCCTGACTCGAAAAAATGGGAAAAAATTGTCATTTAAATAAAAGAAAAATACTTAAAACAGGTCAAATAATAGATCAAATACAGACCAAGGGAAAAATCAATTAAGAATCCCTATCAAGCTTGGTGTCATGGCATGTGCCTATAGTATCACCAGCTTCTAGGAGTATCTAGTAGCTGATGAGACTACTAGGAGCCCAGGAGTTTGAGTCCAGCCTGTGCAATGTAGCAAAACATGGAAAGAAAAGAAAAGAAAAGAAAAGGGAAGGGAAGGGAGAGAGAGAAAGAAAAGAAAGAAAAAGAAAGGAAGGAAGGAAGGAAGGAAGGAAGGAAGGAAGGAAGGGAGGGAAGGAAGGAAGTAAGGAAGGGAGGGAGTGAGGGAGGGAAGAAAGGAAGGAAGAGGGAAGGAAGGAAGGAAAGAGAAACGAAGGAAGGAAGAGAAAAGAAAAAATATACAATTCTCATCATCTATCTTGCTCTCTTGATCTTTTATATCACAACTTCTGTGTAGGGATTTGCACAGCTGGCAAGAGGTAGAGGCAGAATTCTGACCAGGATCCAAATCCTGCCCTGTGTCGTGTGCCCCACAGTGCGACAACTCCTGCTTCACTCCCTCAGGGTGGGTTTCCCCAAACAGAAGCCTGGAGTTGTTCAGAAAACAGTGCAAGTGTTGGCTCTTACAAAATCACCTAGAGTCATACCATAGTGACACAGATGAGAAACAACATAAAATGAAAAAGGCATTTTTCTTTTAAAAATCTCACAATTTCTACCCTCAACTGACTATCCTAAAATTTGCATTTGAAATTGTATGTCTATGAACATATGACTGTCATCACTTATATTAACTCAGCATATTGTGAATGACGTGCCAATGTACATGTTGTTGTATTCCTTAGATTTGCATAAATATTGAACCTTGCCACTTGCTCAACAAGCTTTGATTTTTCTTTTTTCTTTCTTTCTTTTTTGAGATGGAGTTTCACTCTTGTTGGAGTGGAAGGCTGGAGTGCAGTGGTGCAAGCTCGTCTCACTGCAACCTCCGCCTCCCGGGTTCAAGTGATTCTCCTGCCTCAGCCTCCCAAGTAGCTGGGATTACAGGTGCCCGGCAGCATGCCCAGCTAATTTTTTGTATTTTCAGTAGTGAGGGGGTTTCACCGTGTTGGCCAGGCTTGTCTGGATCTCCTGACCTCAAGTGATCCGCCCACCTCCTCCTCCCAAAATGGTGGGATTACAGGCGTGAGCCACCACGCCCTGCCAAGCTTTGATTTTTCTTTTCCAATATGTGTCCCATAGCTTCTAAAAGTTTCAGCTCCCGCTCCTGAATTAAACAGGACAGAGTTGCATAGATAGCTAGTATGTTTTGTGCAGTCCCAGAGCCTCAGCCTCCTCCAAGCTGTGCTGCTGCTCTCTGGGAACTAGTGGGACGGACCACCTGCAGTAGGGCTGGAGAGTCAGGACCAACAGGCCTGGCCTGGTAACAGAGCCTCCGTGATCAATGGGAACAACAAGAGTGTTGCTTAGTTTTGGCTTCTGGCTCAGCCCTACTTTGAACTCATATCCAAGTTCTGTTACAAATAAGAACTGAAGAGACTGTCCCTAGAGGACCCCAGGAAGTTCAGGTATCTCTGTTTTGATGCCTGTTGACAGCTTGTAACACAGCAGAGAAAAGAGGCCTTCCTCTACAGTCTGCACAGAGCTCTGGATGGCCCTGGGTGCTCCGTGGCCTCAGCTGGGGCAGGAGAGGGCAGGGTCCAGTAGCCGGGCAGTGCCCGGGTCGAGGAAGCAGTGCCCAGCAACAGGCCGCAGTGTCTAGGAGAAGGCAGCAGTGCCCAGGGCAGGCAGTCACGCCCTGAAGAAGGGAGTGGTCCTCTCATAGTTCCTATGTCATTTGATCACTGCTAAAAAACAATGTCCACTCACTGTATACTAAAACACAGCATATTCTGAAAAGTGAACAGAGAATACAACCCTTAACCAAAAGAAATTTGGGAACGTCACATTTAAGAAGGGATAGGAAATGGTTACCAAGGACAGTTTAAACCAACAGAGACGACATGTAAAGAGGAGATTGTAAAGAGGGGCGGCAGCATTATCTCTTGGTAGAAAATCCAAAACTAACAGGTCAAGGTTCAGTGACTTTCTGATGTAATGAAGTGTAAGTTCAAAGTCCTTTTGTTATTCAGTGTCCAGGGAAAAATTATTGACCAGAGAACCCGAGCAGGGAATCGGGGCATACAGGGTGACCTGGAGTGGATGGGGATGGGGCCTAGGGCACCCTAATTTCCGTCAGCACTTCCCTTCCTTTGCTATGAATGACTGGTGTTTTCTCAGTTGAACATAAAATGCTATGTGAGCGCCACTTTGTGACATGTCAGTCCACCTCACCACCGGCCAGGCTACCTGAGCTCCACCCAAGTAGAAATTCTAACCCACCAGCAGCTACGAGCCTAAGTTCTGTCTCTGCCCTGCCACTCTCTGATGGTGTCTCTAACACACACACACACACACACACACACACACACACATGCCACATGTACTTTTCCACTTACAGGCCAGGCTGTTTTGGGGTGCACAAGGGCAGAGCCAGGGGGCCTACTACTCTGGAAACAGGGCTATAACCATGAGGTTGTCAGACTTTGATTTTTTGCAATTGCCTCAATTGTTTAGTTTTTTCCTTAGCCGAGGCATTTTGTTAAATACTAAAATAAGTGTGTGACTTAAAGTTCCTATCATTCTAACACTTTCCATTCAGATGCATTCATCAACAAGGAATGAAGTCACCTTTCAGAGCACACGTGTCAGGTCTGGAGCAGCTACAACTTACTGCTGTCCTGAGAGCACAGGGCCTGCTTGGCACAGCTCCTCTACTATGGTCCGCTTCTCTTGCTATAAACAGCGGTGGCCAGGGTCTGGTTCCGTGCCATACATAGAGGAGGTGGTGATGACATTTTCAAAGAAGAATGTGTGTGAAGGAGGAGGAAGGGGAGGTGGGAGAAGGTGATGAAAACCATGCTGCAGGAGTGGAGAAAACCAGAACCAGGGCAGGCGCTGTGGCTCATGCCTATAATCCCAGCACTTTGGGAGGCCAAGACGGGCAGATGACAAGGTCAGGAGTTCGAGACCAGCCTGGCCAACATGATGAAACCCCCATCTCTACAAAAAATACAAAAATTAGCCAGGCGTGGAGGTGTGTGCCTGGAATCCCAGCAATTGAGCAATTCTCATGCCTCAGCCTCCTAAGTAGCTGGGATTACAGGAGGCAGAGGTTGCAGTGAGCCGAGATCGTGCCATTGCACTCCAGCTTGGGTGACGAAGGGGAAACTCTTTCTCAAAAGAAAAAAAAAAAGAAAACCAGGCTGGGGCACAGTGGCTCACACCTGTAATCTCAGCAGCTTGGGAGGCTGAGGTTGGCAGATCACTCAAGGTCAGGAGTTTGAGACCAGCCTGGCCAACATGGTGAAACCCCGTCTCTACTAAAAATACAAAAAAGTACCCAGGCATGGTGGCGCACGCCTGTAATCCCAGCTACTTGGGAGGCTGAGGCAAGAGAATCATTTGAACCTGGGAGGCGGAGGTTGCAGTGAGCTGAGATCGCGCCACTGCACTTTAGCCTGGAGAACAAGAGTGAAACTCTGTTTTGAAAAAGAAAGAAGAAAGAAAGAGAGAGGGAAAGAAAGAGAAAGAAAGAAGGGAAGGAGCGAGGGAGGGAGGGAAGGAAGGAAGGAAAAAGAAAGGAAGGAAGGGAAAGGAGGGAAGGAGAGAAGGAAGGAAGGAAGGAAAAAAGAAAGAAGAAAGGAAGGAAGGAAGGAAGAGAAAGAAAGAGAAAGAAAGAAAGAAAGAAAGAAAGAAAGAAAGAAAGAAAGAAAGAAAGAAAGAAAGAAAGAAAGAAAACCAGACTCATCATCAGCAAACCCCAGATGAGGATGCCTAATAGATTGGAAGGCACCTTCTTAAGCTGTGTGTTGGGAGGAGTCTGAGCTCAGGGATCTGCTGCGGAGGACAGGCTGGAGCACGGCCTGCACCCCACCCTGCACTGGCTGGACTCCTCTGTGTAGGAGCTGGGCTCTGGGTATCCCTGGTTTCCCAGTGCCTCCTGAAGTTCATGCACATAGTGGCTGTTTAATAAATGTTTAAGCAATGAAGTATATTGTTTTAATCTTATTTTTCCCATTGAAGAAACCTACAATTGCTCCTGATGTTTTCTCTTTTTTTTTTTTTTTTTTGAATAACAAGGAACTGAGTATATGTATATTTCATCAGGGGAGGGGCTAGGACTCCCACTTGGAGGCCTCAGGAGTTCTGCTGGGCGTCGCGAAGGAGCTTCTCCTCCCGCCGCTTCCGCTTCCGTAACCTCTCTTTGAATTCCTCTAACTCTTGAAGCTTCTCAGGTGGCCACAGCTCCCTCTTGCGCTGTATGACATCATCCTCAAACCACTCGGCCTGATTGGAAACCCAGAACATAGCCACAGGGAAAGTGAGGTAGATTATCATCCGAAATATCTCCAGCTTCACCCCCATCTCGTTTCTCCCCCTGATTGTTTCTTTATACCAAATGAAAGCTTTCACGAGTGAGCTCTCCCTCTCTCCTTTTGATGTAATTGTGCCCACTTCATCTCTACACCAGAGATCATGGGCTTTTCTCTGGCTGCCAAGAGTACAGAGAGCCCCTCCCTGAGTCATATGGGGAGGGGTAGGCATGAATAGGCCCCGGGCAGCACTCGGAAAGGGGAGTTAATATGACACTAGAATGACCTGGAAGCTGGACAGCAACCAATCTGTTTCCCTGCATGACTCTCCATAGTTGATAGAATGTGCACCGGATCCATCCTTTCCACAGCAGGCAGTGCCCTTTCATGCAAATAGAGGAACATTTTAAAAAATGTTCTTTGTGGCAGGGTGCGGTGGCTCACGCCTGTAATCCCAGCACTTTGGGAGGCCGAGGCGGGCGGATCAGGAGGTCAGGAGATCGAGACCATCCTAGCTAACACAGTGAAACCCCGTCGCTACTAAAAAATACAAAAAAAAATTAGCCAGGCGTGGTGGCGGGCACCTGTAGTCCCAGCTACACGGGAGGCTGAGGCAGGAGAATGGCATGAACCCGGGAGGTGGAGCTTGCAGTGAGCCGAGATCACGCCACTGCACTCCAGCCTGGGCCACAGAGCGAGACTCCGTCTCAAAAAAAAAAAAAAAAAAAGATGTTTTTTGCTGGTTCTGGGCTTTCCTTCTTGAGGGTTTTTGCAAACTGTGCCTTCAAGCTCAGACTGTGACAGGGACTCTCAGACCAGCCAGTGGGCTGTTGCCAGCTGTCAGGAGTCCAAGTCAGCCAAAAATCTGAAATATCACTGTTTATAGCAAACAACTAATATATTTTATTATCTAAATTGTAAAAATCCCTTAATATTTACCTTAAGGAGATTCATAAAATTAATAACTACACAACAAACAAAAAGAGACAAACAAAAATTTAAAAAATAATAGAGCAAACAGGCTGAGCACGGTGGCTCCTGCCTGTAATCGCAGCCCTTTGGAAGGCCGAGGCGGGAGGATCGCTTCAGCCCAGGAGTTCAATACCAGCCTGGGCAACATAGTGAGATCCACATCTCTATATAAAAACATTAATAAACAGTATTTTAAAAATAATAATAAATTTTTAAAGGAATACAGCAAACAAAAGTGGGAGAATTTTGCCAACATACGATTAGAAAAAAAAAATTTAAAGATATTTACAACCTCGTCTCTACAAAAAATATGAAAATTAGTCAGGCATGGTGGCATGCACCTGTGGTCCCAGCTACTTGGGAGGCTGAGATGGGTGGATGGCTTGAGCTTGGGAGGTCAAGGCTGCAGTGAGCCATGACTGTGCCACTGCAGTCCAGCCTGGGTGACAGAGTGAGACTCTGTCAAAATGTATATATAATATATATATTTATATATAACATATGATGTTTATATTATATATATTATATACAATGTTTATATGATATATATTTTATATAATATACAATGTTTATATTATATATATTTATATATAAATTTTATATTACATATTTATATTTTATATATAATATATATTTATTTATAAATATATTATATATATTTTTCCCCAGAGGCCTTTAAGCCCATAACCATGTAAGTAGCCTATCTTCTTAGTATGTATAAGTGTTTAACATTATTCATTAAAATAAACAGAAAATGGAAATGAAAGCCAATTATAGTTATGCTTATGTTTTTATCATATAGTCAGCACATGCAATAATTTATCTTTAATATAAAGGAAGAGGGTGCATATACAACTTGTACCAAACAAAATTATTTTCTCCCTGTCCCCTGCGTAAATGTGCAATGTAGAATGTTGTTTTCAGTGTGTGCCAATCTGTGAACCAGCTTGGGAAGGCTCTGCCTTGGTCTGGCCCTCCCCTGGCACGTGTTCACCCGGGTGACAGTTGTGCTATGGTGCAGCCCGACCTGGTCTCCATGCACAGCTCTCATGAGTTCCTCCTTCATGAGACAGTCTCAGAACTCAGCCTAGCTCTAGCCCCTCCTGTGCCTTCAGCCATCACTCTGCACTTGCTCATAACAGTTCTGAATGACGTGAGCTGCATGGGCTTCCATGCAAGCAGCACCTTTCATGCTGGGGCTTAGAAGGATCAACTGTCCAGGTTTGTCTGGGACTGAGAAGTTTCTGGGACATGGGACTTTCAGTGCTAAAACAGAAAAAGTCCCAGGCAAACAGAGATGATCTGGTTACCCTAGTGCTGGTGGGGAAAGGCAATGGGTCACACCAAGCGCTGTAACTCTGGACTGCCAGATCTCTAGCAGTGAAGGTCAGAGGTCTGAGGCTTCCTGCTATACAAACACTCTGCCAGGTGGCGTGTCTCAGGCCAGCTCCTGAGATGTCTGCTCTCATTTCTCCCGAGGCTCTGTGGCTGTTTTATCTTTCCCTCTTTCCATGTTTAGTAATAGCCCTCATAGCAGTTTCTGTTTTTCTGGGCCTAGAGCAGGCTGAGAATGTAGGATTGGTTTCCATGTATTCTCTGCAGATATTCTTCAGCGGAGACATTCTTGGTTTTTTCCCAAGGAAAGGGTGTCACGGGGTCAGAAATCCACACCTGTGCAGGTCAATGAATGTTTTACACTGTTTGACATTGGGGAAATTTGTTAGTGTTTCAAAAATATGTCTTAACAGAGATGCAAATTGGTTCAAAAAGTTTAGTCACATTTATTATATAACAGTAATAATACCTAATATTTAATGAGTGCTTGTTACATACCAGGTACTTTAAATATATCATATTGTTCAATCTTCACAATATGAGTTGGGTGAGGAGGCTCAGAGAGGTTGTCATACTTGTTCAAGGTCATGGAGCTAATAATTGGAAGAGAAGGGATTTAAATCCAGTCTCACCGCAGAGCCAGCACTTGGACTTAGAACTGTAGACTCGGAGCTAAGCACAATCATGTTTGAGCAAACCAATGAGAAGACTGCAGTTTCACATACTGCTTTCTGGACAACTGTGCGGTGTGTCAATTAAGTGTGTTTCCTTCCTGGACCTAGGTCTATGTAATTGAGGGGGCTCTCAGTTTCTATAGCAAGAGTTAAATAAAAGACAACATGATATCTGTGCACTGAGTGGATCCAGGAATTATCCACGGTTTGGCCACAGTGTCCAAAATTTTATTATCATTCTGGGATTCATATTCATGTGGGATTCATATCACCAGAATTCCAGAGACACCACACTCAGGGCTGGTAGCCTATGGCTACTTCTCAGCTCAGCCAGTTCCTCTCAGAAGTGAGCCATGCTGATAAAAGTCTGGGCTTGAAAATTCCTAAGGTTTGTGCTTCAAAGGCCACCATAGAAATAAATTTTAGAAACCACGTACTGTGATAGTTTGTGACAGCTCAGTTTTGCATTACCTTCCTTGATCAAATTCTCTGTATGCACATACATGCTCAGATGAGCTGGTTTGAGTTCTTCCCTAGAGTTTCAAGTTCAGTGCCTTCAAATATCACATCAATAGTGTCTTGGGGCTGGGCAAGGTGGCTCACACCTGTAATCCCAGCACTTTGGGAGGCCAAGGCAGGCAGATCACCTGAGGTCAGGAGTTCAAGACCAGCCTGGCCAACATAGCAAAACCCTGTCTCTACTAAAAATATAAAAATTAGGCGGGCATGGTGGTGGGTGCCTGTAATCCCAGCTACTCAGGAGCCTGAGGCAGGAGAATCCCTTGAACTTAGGAGGCAGAGGTTGCAATGAGCTGAGAAAAAAAAAAGTGTCTTGGTCTGTTTTCTGTTGCTTGTAACAGAATATCTGGAACTGAATAATTTATAAATAAAAAAATGTATTTCTTACAGTTATGGAGGCTGAGAAGTGCAAGTTCAAGAGGCCAGATCTGGCGAGGGCCTTCCTGTTGGTGAGGACACTGCAGACTCCCCAGATGGTGCAGGGCATCACATGGTGAGGGGGCTGAGCATGCTAGTTCAGGCCTCTCTTTCTCTTCATAAAAGCCAACAACCCTATTGATTCACTGGTCCATGAGTAGATTAATCCATTCACAAAGGCAATCACCTCATGATCCAATCGCCTCTTAAAAGCTCCCCCTCTCAATACTGCCACATCGGGGATTTTCAACATGAGTTTTGGAGGGGGCTAAAATTCAAACCATAGCAAGTAGAAATGCCTATTTTTAGGTTGTTCTTATGGGCTTCACAGAGAATTTCTCAAAGGTCTTGTTCTGAGTTCTAAAATCTCTTTCATTATCTACAGTTTTACCATCTAAGTGGATCAAAAATCGAGGAATCCTTTACGTTCTTCTTCAATGTCTTCAAAATGCCCCCTACAAAGGCAATGGCCACACATGAAGGGGACATAGCTTTAACCACTTGCTCATCAACAGACTGGGCTTGTGAGGCCCAGGGCAAAAATCCTGTGATGGATAATGCAGGCAATGCAGAGTGTGGCCTCCTTCTCTGTTTATTGCATAGACTGTTGAAACATGTTTTACTGTCATTTTTTTGTTTGTTTGTTTTTGAGACAGAGTCCCGGTCTCTTGCCCAGGCTGGAGTGCAGTGGCGTGATCTCGTGATCTCGGCTCACTGCAACCTCCGCCTCCCGGGTTCAAGTGATTCCCCTGCCTCAGCCTCCTGAGTAGCTGGGATTACAGGCATGCACCACCGTGCCCAGCTAATTTTTGTATCTTTAGTAGAGATGGGGTTTCACCATGTTGGTCGGGCTGGTCTCAAACTCCTGACCTCATGATCCGCCCGCCTTGGCCTCCCAAAGTGCTGAGATTACAGGCATGAGCCACCGCGCCCGGCCATTGTCATAATTTAATTGTAAGTGTTCTTTCTGTGGTAAATGAACTCAACTTTCCATGTTTAACTAACATATTTAAGATTTCTTACTGGCCAGTGATTCAGCCTTTGTTTGTCTTGCTTGCTGGCTAATTAGGTGTGTGCGTTTTATGTTAAAAAGCTCTCTTATATATCCCAGCACCTAGCACAGTGCCTGGCAATCAGAAGAAATAAATTCAGTGATGATTATGTTGAGTCCTGTAGAGTAGTAGAAGATACAATTTACTTGAAGAGACTTTTCTCATACTATTAGGTTTAAAAAAACAGATAGTTGTCCTCTTTTTCTGGAACTGGGATCTGAGAGGTGTTGGCAGCTATAGTGAGAAACCAGATCTGTCATTTGACATTCCTCTCAGTTTCGAGTGTCCATAGATCAGCATCTCTCATGTTCTCATTAATATCACCGATGTGTAATCCACATTTCCCAGGCACCCCAGCAGAGAAAGGGATAATCCTAGGGGCCAGAATGGTGTGACATTTGCTCAGATCTCATCCCTGAAACTCCAGCTGCGAGAATGCTTTCCTTCCTTGATGGCAGGGATAGGGGTTGGTACTCATGGACTTGCAAATGGTCACCTCATTCTTTCTGAATTCACTTGCCTTTTGTGAGCACTATGTGGCCCCTCCATGGCTGTTCTGATGTTCCACAGTCTCAGCTGCTAATTGTATGGCTGTCTCATTTGATCACCTGGGGCAAACTGTATTTTCCAAAAAATGGCCACAACAATATTTGCAGGTCTACATATCCTTCAGAACCTTAAAGATTCTTTTCTTGAAAGGTCCAGTCTAATTCCCCTCCCCAGGAAGAGGGATGAGCCTTTGTGGCTGCCTCCATAAATGAAAATGCGATGGAAAGGATGCTGCACGACTTATGAGGCTAAGTCATAAGAAGAACTAAAGCTTCTACCCATTTCCACTTCCTTTTGGGAAACGTGTCTTGGGAGCCCTGAGCCAATATGTAAGAAGTCCAGCTATGTATAGCCACCATGCTGCAGAAACCACACAGAGATAAAGATTCGTGAGGAGTCTCCCCATTTCCAGTTCCCAGCTGCTTGAGTCCTCCCACCTCCCAGAATGAACTGTCAGACATGTGAGTAGAAATGACTCCAGACCCAGCCTTCAAGCTGTTGTCCCAGCTGACACCAAGTAGAGCAAAGGAGTTGTCTCCATCAGTCTAGCTCATATTGCAGATTTGTGAGAAAAAAACAAATGTTGCTGCGTTAAGCCAGTAAATGCTAGGATAATTTGTTATATGACAATGACAAGAGTAACCAGGACACCACCCTTGTGTTATCATTACGTTCTCCCCTTGCTTCTTGTGATGCCCTTGCTTTTCTTCTCTACCAGTTGCTGAGAATTAGAGGAAGACCTTTGCTCCCACCAATGTCAACATTTCTTTACCAGAAAACACAGAGGCATTTAACTCATATTTCGAAGACTTACAGCTTCTTATAATGGCCCTGGTGGTTATACTTTTTGTTCTACTGACTCTATTTTGTTACAGTTACTCTGCCCACAAAGTGCAAGACCCTTTGTGATTATGTTGGGGGACATCAATTCAAATGACACCGTGATAGCATTACTGTCAAATCATGCTTCCCTCTCAATGCTGTTGATGAAGCTGGTGTACCCCAACCCTGTTCTTACAGGTTAAGTTGCTTTTTCCCACTTGAAACATTGTACAACAGCCAAAAGCTTATCTGGTCAGTTTTAATGCGTCCTGCCCCTTCCTAGGACTTATTGCAATGACAAACATATAAGAGCTGTGAAAACTCTGTGACTTACACACAGTAGGCACCTGGTGTTTTAAGTGCTCTTCCTGAAATGCTCACTGACAATAAAACTATTGAACAGATCAGGACTGAAAACATAGCTTTGTTTTGTGCCAGCAAAGACTCTCTTCTCTCCTTTACAGGTTGACATTGAGCCATTAATCAACAGTATGTTCAACAGTAACTAGTGAGTTATGAATCCAACTATGTGCCTCTATTTTATCTCCAGGGGATATCACAAGATGAATCATCAAACACCTTGCTGAAAACATTATCACATTTCCTGTTCTGGTTTAATGTTACCTAACTGGTAGAAAACACAGAAGACTTAATTACATGATTGCTTTTTTTTTTTTTTTTTTGAGATGGAGTCTCGGTGTGTTACCCAGGCTGGAATGCAGTGGTGGCGCAATCTTGGCTCACTGCAACCTCTGCCTCCCACGTTCAAGTGATTCTCCTGCCTCAGCCTCTCAAGTATCTGAGATTACAGGCATGTGCCACCACACCTGGCTAATTTTTGTATCTTTAGTAGAGATGGGGTTTCATCATGTTGGCCAGGCGGGTCTCGAACTCCTGACCTCAGGGGATCCGCCTGCCTCGGCCTTCCAAAGTGTTGGGATTACAGGCATGAGCCACCGTGCTCGGCCTTGTTCTTAATCACCTAATTTGGCCCCTTGCAGTGGCTTCCATAACTGTTACTAATTCTCGGAAACCATCCTTTAATTTATTATTATTATTATTTGGCAGAATCAGGCTCCAAATCAAAATCCAGCCTGTATGGCATCTGCCTTGTCTACGTTAAGATTAAGGGAGACTAAAAGAGGAGGGTAGTTAAATGCATTATTATTTGAGTTTGCATTGAAAATTATAATTATTATTGTTTTACTTAATATCCTGATTTTTAGTGGCAAGAGCTAGAAAATGGCTTAAAAAAAAAAAAAAAAAAACAGGTCTGGGGCTCCAGAGCCGATAGCTCTCACGGCATTATTTTAGCGCCACCTTCACACAAACATCATGCATTGCAGAGGGAAGGAAAATTTTAAAAAATCATAAGCCTCCCAAACCTCAGTTGTGCAACATATATTATTAACTTGTTCTTTTTGAACTGCCTATCCCAAGAGAGGCATTCCAGTTGTAAATGTCAAATCAACCAACAACTCTATGAAACATGTACTGTTATTATCACCATTTTACAGAGGGAGAAATTAAGGCACAACTAGTAAATGGTAGAACTGGAATTTGAATCTGATCAGTGTGATTCTAGAGCATGCACATGGTAACACTATGGTACATAAAACCTCCCGTTTTGTTTCTATATTCTGTCAAAAAATGATGTTTTCAATATAAAAGGGTAAAGTGAACATCAGTAAGAGGAAATGGAAGTCCAAGAGGGAAGAGGTGATTGATGATAAGAAACACTTTCTTTGAAGGAAATCCTGTCTTCTGGACTGGAGACAATTCCAGAATACTGAGAAAATCACCTAAATGTGAAAGTGAAGATCCCTAGGCCCCAGTATGGGCTCACGAAGAGTGTCATAACAGACACACCTCATTTCCTAACAGGCTGTTGTCTAACTGGATTTCAACAAGATCTCTCAGCATACCTGTGTGGACAAGATAAAGAAATATGGCTAGATGCAAAATCAATTATTCTTATGGAGGTTGATACGACTTTACCCTGATGTTCAGATGATTGTCAACCTGGAGCAAGCTTTCAGTGGCAAAATCTAACTAAGAGTTGACTTCAATTCTTTGGCTAGTGCTTTTATTCACTGTTTAGATGAAAATCTTATGTCTCAGTCAATACAGTGCACAGATAACATCAGGTGGAGAGGCTCATACTGAATGCCTGAATTGGAGGATCCCAAAACATGGTAACAGACTGGACCACTGGGCCAACTGAGTGAGGGGGAGGTAACTGAATAGGAGTAAATATGAGGCCCTTTATCCCAAAGTACTAGTCAACTTCTGTTGAGTGACCTGGCACAGCCTGGGCGAGACTCTTAGAGCAGTGCAATCCACAGAAATATAATGTGAACTACATACGTAATTAAAATTTCCTATTAGCCAAATTCTAAAAAGTGAAAAAAACTCAGGTGAATTTTAGTAATATATTGTTTTTAATAATCTATTTTATTTCACCAGTTATATTCAAAATGCTATCATTTAAACATGTAGTCAATATAAAATTGAGACATTTTACTTTTTTTTTATACTAAGTCTTCAAAATCCAGTGTGTATTTTATGCTTCATAGCACCTCTGTTTGGATGAGCCACATTTCAAGTGCTCAATTGCCACATGTGGCTACCAGATTGGACTATGCAGCTCTAGAGGGTTTTCACTGACACTCAGTGTGATGAGACTGCCCCCAAATTATGTCATTCTCAGGCTGGCTGCATTGTTGGAGGAACTGTGCTTAAAGTTATACCACTCAGAAATATTTCATTTCTGTTAATGGAATAAGAAAGGGTCGGGGCTCTTTGACATCTAAACTCATGACGGAAGCTGTACTGGTGCCCACTGCCTGTGACCTGTGTCCAACCCTTCACTGTGAGTCCTGGAGCAATTTCAGTGACTAAAATACTAGAATTTTAAAAAGTGAACACTTACCAAGTGGTGTCTTCTTCTCTTGCTTATCTTTCAGAGCCCTTGGATATCTTTTGTTCATGGTAAAGGTTGCTACTGGAGCCAACAGCAGCTTTTTTTCAAGGAATAGAATAAAATTATCTTTCCATTCCCATTTCTAGTAACACCCATTGGACCTTTTCAAACAGGTTTTAAGTTTCCAAATCCTGTTCCCTTTTCAGTGATTTCTGAGCACTAACATCCATCTAGGATTTGGCAATCCAGCACCTAACCAATAGTGAATGCAGCTAAGGGGCAGGAGTATATGTAAGTGAATAAATCTCTGAGTAGCCCAAAAAGATGTTTAAGATGCATAAAAGACCAAGCACAAAAATATCCCCCTTCATTATCTCCATTTTGCAGATGAGAAAACTGAGGCTAACAAGCTTCCTCAGTCATAGAAATTAAATCTGATTCCAGGCCAAGCATCCTTTCAGCCTCATTGCATAGCTCCCTGGAATGGCTTTTTTCCTTGCAGAACTGAAGACACTATTATCTGTTCTTCCACATTAATTACCTAGCATCCTTCCTCTATGGTGTTTATCTTCCCTTCTTAAGAAAATCTATGGAATTTTAATATAAATCTTTCCAAATTACAATGTGCCTCAGATAAAGCACTTAAAGCTACCTGAAGCTCAGAGTCCAATAATGAAAGAATATTCTTTAACTTATTAAATCACGACAATCTAGACAATGGATAAAAAGGAGTGACAAAGCCCAGGAGTGACAAAGCCCCATTAACATTCTTCTTTGTAGGAAACACATTATCCCTATGGGGTCTTTCTCACCAAGACTAGCAGCTCTAGCTCTTAGTATCATGACTGACCCTTGCATACATCTTGGAAAAATGGGGATTAGTAAGTGCAAATAATGATCAAGACTTCTCCGGGGCTGATATATAAAGGAAATGATGATCACTCCTGAGAAATGCTCAACTAGAGGCAATTCAGTACATAATGAATCTTACAGGTACAAAAAGTCCACTAAACTTACATACGTATTTGTGTGGTTTCACTTGATTTTTTGTTTTTTTAGAGATGGAGTCTTGCTCTGTCACCCAGGCTGGAGTGCAGTGGCACGATCTCCCCTCACTGCAACCTCCACCTCCCAGGTTCAAGCAATTCTCCTGCCTCAGCCTCCTGAGTAGCTGGAATTGCAGGCGCCCACCACCGTGGCCGGCTAATTTTTGCATTTTTAGTAGAGACGGGGTTTCACCCTGTTGGCCAGGCTGATCCTGAATTCCTGACCTCGTGATCTACCCGCCTCGGCCTCCCAAAGTGCTGGGATTATAGGTGTGAGCCACCACGCCTGGTGATTTCTAAGGTATGTATAGCCCAAAGGCAGGGATGCTGCTAGAACTATGCTGATGGCTAGAAGGCAGCTCCACACACAATACGCAACATCAGTTGTTAAACAGAATTGAAATACTCACTAGCAGAGACAAAAAGTCCAAAGTACATGAAAAGTAGAGTGTGATGTGACTATATATGTGAAAATGAGGGAGATTCAAAAGTCAAATGTACTCGTCACATAGCATCTGAATTGGGTGCCATGAGATGAGCAAACATAATTTGCAACTCTAAATTCCTTTTCTAGAACCAGTGGTAGTCCTTGTTCCTAAACAAACCAAAGGCTTTCTAACCATGAGGTCAACTGAAATTATATACATGAAAGGTGCTTTCTAAACAGTAAAGTGTCCATATCAGATTATTATTCCCAAATTAAATGAGAGAAAATATACTTCAAGGACAATTAGATCTTTGTGTAACCTTCATTCATGGACCCCAATCAACCATTCAGTTTCTTCCAAGCTCCTTTCTAGCAGATGCCGTATGTGTAATTGGGCATGGGGACTGGATCTATATCACTCTTTTGCATGCGTGTGCATCCATCTTGCTTGATGGGAGGACAACCCAAATAGCTCACAGAAGAAACAGGAGTCATGAAAAAAATAACAACAAAATGTATTTAAAAACAGACTTCTCCAGTTGGCATTTTGAATGAAATTGCTAACAACTCCAACCCTCTATATTGTGTTTCTTTTGCTCCTGGAGTCCTCTTGCAGCTTTAATTCTTGAAACTCAGGCGGCAGCACCAGACATTAAATCCCCAAAGGGAGAGGTATTAGTAAACCTTTTGCTGGTCATTCTTTTCCGAATGCAAATGGACAAATTCTTAAGCCCTCTTATTCATTTCATGATGATCATTAGATAAAAAAATTAAGCCTAACTTGCATATTGAAAATAAAAACAAAAACACACACAAAAAAACCTTGCAGATAATAAATATCGCTTATTCACTTATTTTAAACAAAGTCCAATTTTATTCACTCTCAATATCCTTGCAGTCCATTGTATACCTTCTGCACTGACCCTTGTTTCAGTAGCTGTTTGATACCTGAAGAAAGAATGAACAAATGACTCCATTAACAAAAAAATGTTACTTTCCTAGCGTTTAAAGAGCATATTTCAAGAAAAAGCTCATAAAAGGCCTTATGACAAACATGGATGTGAATTAAATAACTACCAATCTCCAACGTAATTGCATGTAGGTAACCCCACACATGCACATGTGTGTCCAGGATGATCCCTTGTCTTTTAGGCCCACATACCACATACATGTCCCACAAAGCTCTATGAAATGAGGAATGAGAAGAGGCAATCAAAAGGGAAAGAAAACTCTTCAGCTCAGTCTTCCATTCCTTCTTCTGTATCCTCTTTTCAGTTTTTACCTCCTTCATTGCTCTCCTTTCTCTTACTATTTAGGACCCCCAGTGGGGCCCTCTTCTCAACCAGTCATCCTAGACATGCACCCATAAGCTTCTAATCTTTCTACAGTCTACCTCATCTTCCCTTTTACAGTGTGGTCCAGTTCATTTGTTTTAAGTGATTCTGTTTCACTCCCATATACTCTATCACTCCCTAGGTTTTGAAGCACAGCTTACATAGACTTTTGTAACACAAAGATGCAGGATTTTTAATATATCGCCTTTACAGAGAAAGATGAGTTCATTCCTTAGTGTTCTACTAGCATTAATGATTGATGTCTCATGTCACTGGAGAGTTCTTCTATTGCCATCCTTTTCTCATCTCACACACACACACATACACACACACAAACACACACACACACACACACTAATATGCCATACCTTCTCTCGCTTCCTCTGTTAACTGTTCTTTTGGAAAATCCACATCAAAAGTGATTATCAAAGAGCCCTTGATATTGTTGTTGTCAAAGTTGGGGAGCCCTTCCCCTTTCTTCCATAGCTTCGCTCCTGGCCTGGTGATCTTATCCCGGGAAATATGTACCTAGAAAACCAAAGGGAATGTACTGCAGCAGGAGCGGTACATCTGAAGTACATCACACAGCTTCTAGTGAGCACTGGTACACAAAGCTAATGTCACAGCTCAGCAAAAAGAAAGAATGAAGGAGCAAAGGAAATACCATTAAGACAATGTGAGTCAAGAACAAAGGATTTTAAAGAAGAAAAATCAAACACAAAAACAAGTAAACAAAGAAAGGTTTTCGTCAATAGAAACTATAAGGACAAGATTGTCAAAGGCCGTGCAATCCATTCTGAGTAGCTGAAAGGTCTGGCACTGTTATTGCAGTATGCTCAGCAGCAGAGTAAGTACAGACGGCAGAATACGACCAAGAAAGGAGTCCATCTGGTTCTCAATGACTGAAACAGCTGATACATCTCAAAACTACCCACATAAAGGCTTCAAAAGGATGCAGAACGAGTAAATTGGTTTGTTTACCTTGTGACCATCCAAGTGAGTAATATCCATCTCAAAGCCAACCAGTGACTCAACTAATGAGATTGTCACATTTGTGTACAAATCATCTCCTCTCCTTTCAAATATTGGGTGCCTAAAAACAGAATAAGGTAAAAATCATTAATTTCCAACTTTAAGTTCAAACAGTTGTTAGAAAATTCTTGGAAAAAGGTGAACACCACTCTTTCAAACAATAAACATTTCTTAGACATACTTTTGTGTGTAGTATTAATCGAGAATATAAAGTTGTTTAAGTCTTATTAAATGCTACTGTTAAGGAACACACAATCAGCAAAAGCCAGAGTATAAGTAAAACTATAATCATTAGATTATGGAAAAGAGAGAAAGGCAGCTTCTGGGGAGATCATCTTCAGAAATAGGTCTACAGAAGTTTTCCTGAGCTGGGCTCACAAGACTAAGTTGGCTGTAGAAATGCAGATAAAATGGGTGGAGGGAAGGGGAAATAGAGTGAGAAGGAATTCTGGCAAAGACAAGGAAGGTGTCAGGTTTATTCAGGAAACAACACATGTTCCAGTTTCTCTAAGAAGTGATGATAAAGACAAGGTAGGTAAAGAAGCTGGGGAAAACAACACTGAGATTAAAGAGTGCAGGAAGGCAAAGTCCCAGACAGTGGGGGGCCATTTCTCCATATTCTGGTGGGAACCCTGTTTTGATGACTCCTTACAAAGGCAGAGATATTACTGGTTTCCAAAGTGGTAACAAGAGAGCAACAGTAATCAAGAAAGCTGGAGTCCCAGGCAAAACTGTCTAAGCAGCACTTCATGCTGAAGAGAAGCTCACAAAAGAAAAGCTCTCTTTACAGAAGCTGCATATTATGTAGAAGGTTCTGTCTATGGAAAAGTCTCCTATTCTTGTATGGTGCCATACTTCTTCAGCTAAAATCTCAGCTTTGACTCCCTATCTTGTTTGTTTCTCTTTTATAACTCCTTACTTATCAATTATTTCCTTTCAACATCTTTTGCATTTTTAAGTCCTAAGTAAATAAATAACTGGGGCTCAATCCTAGGGCCCAACCCCAAGTTTTCAGCCTTGTAGAGGAGTTACAAATCATCGTTTAGGGTAATAAGGGTAAGAAACAGAGAAAAAAGTCTAACTGCTCTGGTGGCCACCTACGTCTCTATAATTTGACTCATCTGAGAAGACCTCTAAAATTAGATTACTTACTTGACAACTTTGATTCGGAACCGTAAATCTCCAGGCTCCCCATCCACGTGAGGCTCACCTAGTCAGAGCAGATTACAGCATATTGTAAATCATACAAGTTGAATACCACAAATCTATTTGGCAACTGATACATTTTTTTAATCCACTACTTTGGGCATTGACCTGTCAAATCTGTGACGGCAGTGTCTCTGCCTGGTTGTATCAAGTTTCAGATTATTAGAAATCATCACCTTTGCCTCAGATACAGCAGTACATAACTTGACCCATTTCCTAAACAAAGAATGATACACTGGTCTCCTGAACCTAAGTCTTAAAGCTTTTTTTATTTTTAGAGTTTTAAACTTAAGTCTAAAGGTGAGGTCCTGAGAGCATCTTATTAATGCCAACTAGAGTTACATATCTTCTTTCATTGCTGAATTAAAACTCATTAAGGTCTGAACACCCTAAATTTTGATGAAACTTAGGCTACCTCATAATAACTTTTGGCCATGACATTCAAAGGATAAACGGTAATGCTACTGCTTCAGGTAAACAAAAGGCTTTGTATATCCTAAAATTGGCCGAAGAGTGTTGGAAATTATATATGCGTTTACTATGTGAACATTAAGATGGAGTAAGGCAGGGGTGAAAGGTATTCACAAACAAGCAGAGAGCAAAAAGTTATCACAATCAAAAAATCAAATATCAATATTTCACCTTCTCCAATAAAGGGGTACTCCATGCCGTCTCTCACCCCAGGCTCTATTTCTACTTCCAGCGTTCGTTCTTCATTCACTAGTCTGAGGTAAAGAGAATTAAAAGAGGAGAAAAATAATGAAAATATAAACAAAACATCAGATATAGATAAAGTTATACCTATTTTATCAGAGCTTTTTCTTGGAAGACTGTAGTGTGCCTCTACTTGACAAAACTATCTGATAATCATTTACATCTTCTATATGCTAAAATCCAGGGTGAAGCTACTATACATTTATAAACATATAAGGCTGCTCTAATAGTACAAGAAGGAAGAAAATGAAGCATTAATACTTGTTGAAAATGTATCAGAAATAAAGGGCACTGCTTGTTAGTTCAGAAACATAAAAGGAGATATTTACAAATACTTCAGAAAAAAATGTACATTGTTTTGCTCTATCCTTTTGCAGAACATGGCAGTGGGGAGGGGACAGAGAAAGATCTAGTATGGACCATTAGTGTTTGACTAGATGAACGAAATTAACAAGTGTTTCTTGGTAGAACAAAGAAGGTGCTTTCACTTACTTGACATTAGGGCATTCGTCGCAGACCACCTCCTGGGTCATTTGGAAGCGCCCAGGGCCCAGCTGGGTGGTCCGCATCTCTTGCCGACAATTGCACTTCCGTTTGCCAGGAGCCTGCCTTGCCACAGGTTTGTTTCTAACTACCTAGGAAGTGCATAAACAACATCAGCTTCTCTCTTGTGTAAAACAGCCTTTCCTTTCCTCAATTGATCAAGGCTCTGCACATATGCCTGGACTGAAACTTCCCCTTCTCTGGCAATCTATCCCTCAGAGATCTAAAGCTGACAAAACTCTTTGAAGAGTACAAATCAGCCCCCAAACAGGAATGAAGCAAACACATACTTAAATGACTCAAATTCTAAAGCTGGAGAAGTAGAGACGGGAGTAAGAAACAAGAGAACCGAAAAATAAAGTGTATGATATCAGCATTTCTAAGCCACAACTAAATGCTACTGAGTTAAAGTACTTCATGTAATGATTATCTTTTAGGAAATCCGAGCTGTGTAAAGCATAACCCCTGAGGAACAATCACTACCTTCAAAACCTGGTATGTGGCTACTATCCAATCCTCTGGTTAACCTACTGAAAATGTCTCCTTATTTCAGGAAATGCAATCCAGGACTATTTTCTGGAGCTATCTCCATTCAGATACTTTAACATGTAGGAAGAGAAACAATGACCATCTCTTTGTAGTTGACTGCAATCAAACATTCTGATCCCTCTAAGAATGTAAAATTGATATATATGCAGAAATGTATTCCTAGTTTTGCCTGTTTAAATAGTCAAACATCTAATCACAAGGTATGTGCTCACGCAGCAGAATGACGAATGCTTGGAGAAAAATCCTTTAAAGCCTACCAACATATGAAAGGCCCAGGTCAACAGAGTAAATTATAGCAACAATAACAGTAATCAGAGCAAACATTTTATAGCACTTACTACATGCCAAGCCATGTGCCAAACACTTTTACATATTCATTTAACCCTCACAACTCTATGAGACAGGTACTGTTATTATCCCCATTTTACAGGTGAGGTAACAGAAGTATAGAAAGGTTAAGTAACATGACCAAGGCCACATGACTAATACATGGCAGAGCCAGGATTCTAAACTAGGCAGTCTAGCTGCAAAGTCCATGCTCCTTAACCATTGTGCTATCCTATTTCTCAAGGTATTTTTTTTTCTTTAAAAAATAATTTACATACAGAAGGAGCAGGATTGAAAACAAGGAAAAAAAGAATTTAGCATGGGGTTACTGAACCAGCAAAGCCATTTACAGCCTTTACAATAGTTGGATTAAAAAAGAGTTTGTTCGGGAACACACTAACAGCAAAAAGTGATGTCTACTGTGTATTAGTGACAACTGCAGAACAGGCTTGGAAGGGAACATGGGCGCTAATTAGGCTCACCTCTTTCCTCCCATCTAAACAACCTCACTGGTTTATGAATATTTTTAATGCCCTTTTCTCCTGCAGCCTCAACAGTATTACAAGTCAGTTGCATCTTCTGTGATTGTCTATATCTCTTCTTTCAATTATTCAGAGAAGCAGCTACAACTAAGAAGAATACGCTTCTTGTCAAGATGGCACATATGCACAGGCTACCGGCTGTCTCCTCCAGTATCCTGGAAAAACTACAAGAAAACATGGATTCCAGGAAACAGTAACTACAGCACAGAATATATGAGAAAATCCCACAGATAGAGGGCTGTTTTGAACTGTTTCCCATGACTGCAGAAAACAAAAGACTCCAGACAGCAAACAAAACAAAAAACACCCCAAGACACCAAACAAAACACAGTTAAAACCAGTGGGCCAGGGCTCAGCCCATGATGCTCTGCAGGGAAAGGTAGTTGCTGGTACCTGTAAGGGAATATCAGCTCAAAGGCCAAGACAGCTAGATACCTGAGAAGGTCTATCATCTGCCCCACAAAAGACAACAAACTGAATAACACATATATTTTAAGCAACTGTACTTTGCTTAAAAAAAGATTAGACAGACCAGGAACTTAAAACAAGCATGATAATACTTAAGGAGGGAAGGCATTAGTAAAATGATATAGAGTAAGAAATAATGCAAGAATCAAGTAGAAATATTATGCATAAAAATATGAGTTGAAATTAAAACACAGCAGATGGGTTATTATTAGAATGGATATAGCTGAAGACTGAAGTAGTAAGCTGGGAGATCAAAATGAGGTACCTCCCAGAAGGAAGCAGTGAAGGATAAAGAAAATTTATTTTTTGTATTTAAAAGAAAGTTAAGAGCAGACAGAAGTAGGAGTGATAGAATTGTAAAAAATAATGAGACATATTTTCCAGAATTTAAAAAAGATGAATAACCTCATATTAAAAGATCCCAGAGTTTTAGCAGAAAATATAGGTGAACAGCTTTCTTATTTTATTTTAAAATTTTTTTCCAGAGATGAGTTTCAGTTATGTTGTCCAGGCTAGAGTGCAGTGGCTATTCACAGATGCAATCACAGGACATGATAGCCTCAAACTCCTGGCCTCAAGCAATCCTCCTACCTCAGCCTCCTGAGTAGCTGAGATTACAAGTGTGCTCCACTGCACATGGCTGCTTTCTTATTTTAGAACAAAAACGAATTTCTTTAAAAAGACACAAAAACTAACCATTAAAGACTGATAGATTTAATTACATTAATTAGTTCTGTTTGCTGAAAATTGAAATAAATCTTAAACATAATGAAAAGACAAGTTACAAACAGATAGCCTATATCTGCATTACATACAGCCAACAAAGAATTAGCAGCAAGAGTGAAGTACTCTTAGAAATCAATAAGCAAGAGGCAAAAGAAAGAACAGGCATTTCACAAGAGAGGAAACAAATATGGCCAATAAACACAGGAAGAGATGCTGATCCTAATTGGTAATTTAAAAAATGTAAAACAAGACCATAATGAGATATTTTATACCCATTTGATGAGCAAAAATTAAGAAGTCTAATAATTCCAAGTATTAGTGAGGCAGTGAATCTATAGGATCTCATAAATTGCATGTAGAAGCATCAGTACAATCAATTTCAAAAGCAATACAGTATTAACTTGTAAAAATGAACATTGGTTCATATTACCCAGCAATTCTACTCTCAAGCATATCCACCCAAGAGATATTCTTGTTCATCTGAACCTGGAAATATGGATTAAAATGTTCATAAAAGCGCTGTTTGGAATTGAATAAAACTGGAAGAAACAAAAATGCCTATTAATAAATTATGGTCACAATATAGCAATAAGCAACAAGGGTGAATCCTAGTAACATAATAGTGAGTGAAAATAACCAGTCCCAGAAAATAATGAATAAAATACCATTTCTAAAAAATCAAAAACAATATAATAAACAATATATTATTCAGGTATTCATATATACATGATAAAGTAAGAATGGCAAAAGAACAATAAAGACATAACTCAATACAGTAGTTACCTTTGAAGGGAGGCAGGGTAATGGAACAGGGAAGTAGCATGTAGGTAGATTAAGTCATGGTAATGTTTTACTTAGTTCTTAAGCTGGGTGATAAAACAATGACATCAGTGTATCATGAACCAAGCATTATAATTAATTCAATTTTGTGCATTTGATCACTCTCTCTTACCCTCAAAAAGACAGAGAAGGTACATATAAACCTCTTATTTTTAGTCAAAAGTGCAAGTTCTGGGAGTCAATATGAACAGCTATATTGTTTGAACTTACTTCCACAAAATTTCCTGCATATACTTCTTCCAAAGTGACTTCTAGATCTACAATAATATCACTTCCTCTTGGAATATTTCTGTCTTGCTGACGAGGGGTTCCTCCAAACATGAAACCAAAATCCCCAAAGAAGCTAAAGATAAGTGCAAAATCATCAGGAAAAAAAAAAAAATCAAGACTCTATGTTTCACAATTAACTCATTTTCTTTACGTTGATAAACTATTGTTTCTATCAATGCATTGTGCAAAACTACAAGGTATTTTTTAATACAATGGAGTCAACTATCATACATAATTTTAAATTTATATACTATCAACCATGTTGTAACTATACGGTCCCTTACTACAAAAAAATCCACTTTTTAACAAAATATAGCCCATACATATAGTACAGTACATACACACACAGTATGCCAATGAATTCAATGTTGGACCCAACCAATGAAATAATAATCTTTCAATATTGGGAAAAATCTGAATATGGTGGACTTATTGAGAAAGAGTATAGTATACATAAACTTGTGTAATGCTAAATGTAATGGTTAATTTAAGAAATTTTTATCGGTAATTTTAACATATGTAGTGTTCTCTTTACATGCTTTTTAGAAGCTAACTTGTTGAAAGAAGCTACTGCTCTACACAAAAATCTTGAGTATGTAATTAAATAAGCTAAAAAAGCATCAGCCTTAGTAAAATCCTAGTGCTTAAGGAGAAGGAAGTTCTAGCCTCTATAAGACCCAAACTAATTTTTGTAAGTAACAAGAGTAACTTGAGATTAACAAAAAAGGTGACCTTCAATCCTACAGGTGGTTTAATCTAATGTTAATTTTTGGTGTTATTAAGAAGCCTTGTATATTAGCATAGCGAAGATGATAACTATATAACTCCCTCTCCCACCAACCAACTCAGGTGAATGAATTCCCTGAATCTTAAATAAAGGCAAGGGGAAAGAACAGGGTGGGGGCTGGGGAAGCTGTTTCTCTTTCTGGTATTCCCTAGGGATCACTTCAGCCAGCCAAATTGATCCTGGCGGGGGGAAAAGATGTCCTAATCATGTTACTCACACATCTTTACAGACCCTAAAAATCTACTCCCCCACCCCAGGCCCCTCAACCAAGCACTAAATGGTGGTAACTACTATATGCAACAGTGATTCTTACTTCTTTTGGGGAAGGGTTCACAGAACCCTTTGAGAATCTGAAGAAAACAATGAACTCTCCCCATAAAAATGCAGATTCGAACATCTTTTTGTTTATAATTTCAGACCTGAAACCCCAGATTAAAGTCTCTTAGTATATGTAATCATCAGGGAATGTGGAAATTCAAATGCTCAATAAAGAGAGGTTCAAAGAGTGAGGAAGAAAGTGTTTATTATTCCAACCACCCAGCACTCCCAGAAAGCAAGAGATAAAGGTCCTCTACCCTAATTCCTTCCCCTAATGCTGGTTATTATAATCACCCTCACTTGTTGATAGCACGAAAGAGAGGCAGCTCTGGGTATGGGAGCAGGAATTTTTCTATCTCTGCTAACAATAATTTTGCTCATTAAGTGGTTTGCAGATTGCAAGGTAGCAAGTAGGCAAGGATGAACTGATTTCCAACACATGTCCCCGTGAATTGTCTGCACTGATTTAACTGATATGGTTGGCTAGATGGAATGTCCTTTCAGTGCCATCAGTCTTTCCTGAAGCTTTGTGAAAATAGAAGACTATCTTCCCACAGGGAGGACAATAATTGATCTTTGGATCAGCTAAATTGTACTGTTCATCAAAAGTTTCTGAACTAGGGAATGAGAATAATTCTTTAATCGCTAAGTGACCCTCTCTCAGACACTAACACTTTGCAGATGGGTAAATTACTCACTGTGAAAAAATGTCTCCATGGGAGCTCTGATGACCATCTTTTAATCCTTCTTCACCATAAGTATCGTACTGTTTCCGTTTCTCACTATCTGACAGAACCTGGGGATAAAAGCCAGTGGAGGAAAAGATCATGAGTTGGTAATATCCAGTTAAGGCACAGTCATATTTATGTTTGTTTTTACTTTGACAGTGGGTCTAAAATTTTAATAGAATGCAGTTTCCATTATGTACTGTATTAAGGCATATTTACAAAGTTATTTTCTCTAAGACTAAATTCTTTGATGCACTGTTCATTCCACATTGCTCCATTCATGTTTTTAATTTAAAGTTCTCAAAACTCGTGTAGTCACTAAAAAATAATACCTGAGATTAGCAATGCAGCTGTGAAGGTCAGGGTGGTGACAGGAAAGAGTTAAGACGGATTCCTCAGGTTTACTTCCCATGCAGTTTGACTTTGGTGCTTATGCTGTTAACCACTATACTGCCTTCAGAACAACTTGGCCCCACAGGTCTATAACACCCCCTACCCAAAACACACACACACAGACACACACACACACACACACACACGCGCGCGCGCGCGCATGTATTAGGAGATTGTCAAGTCAAGGAAATCAAATGACAGGCCCTCCAGAGAGGCCTACACTGATATCTTTTCATCCTCCTTTTTTCATTTTTTGGTATATGCAGAAATCCATTTGTGGAAGAATTTTGCCTGCCATATATATATATGTTTAAGTTTGTAATGTCCTGAGTTTGAAATGCAGAAAGAGTAGTAAGTAAAAATACTCTATGAAGGTTATTCAAGGTCAATTTCATTGCTTGAAATAATTCTTGAAGTTTTAAGTTTCAGAGAACTACATACACAATCATGACTATATGCTTTCTCTCTGTATATTAAAGAATGTAACAACAAAATAAGCTTCCATCCTTTTCAAAATTTGCCTTCAACATGCAAAAAAAAACTTTCTCTTTTATTTAGAGCAATCTGATATATATGCACATATATACTTGTGAAAATTAAATGGCTTTAAAATCTTCCTTTGATATTTATAAACTCCTACTTAGACAAGAGTCTGAAGGAGAGAGTTATTTCAAAACCACACTCATGGTGGCCCAGAAAAAGAGAGGTTCAAAGTAGACGGGGCTTGTTGACTTAAAAGAAAGGCATATTCACACAGGACACATTTTTGGCTTAGGGCCCAAATGAGGTGTAAGGAGTCATGGCAAAAATGTATTAACATTTAAGATATCCTTGAAAGGATAAATAGAAATTGAGTATACAAGAGAGTGAACATTCTTAAAAGCAAAGGCAAATGGGTTATTCCAGAAGTGACCACAGTACTTGATTACAGCCACTATGAAAGAAAAAGGGAGAGGAAAGCATGTTTTCACAAGTATCTTTAGAAAATAGGTACTTTGGGGAAGCAGAAATGGGCACAATTAACTTGAAAAAAAAAAAAACCCTTATTATTAACTGGATCTCCAATATTTTCACTTTTAGTCTACTTCTCTGATCTGATCTTCACAAATAAATGAACCCTGCATTTGAGACTATAAAAAACACCATTTCAAAACCCCCAAAGACTAGTTTTAAGTCAGTTTCTTTTTAGACATCAGAGGCTTCTGTAATAACCCCCTAAAAACTACTCTTGAAGTCATTATCATTTACTTCCTCCTCACTTTTCTTCCATCAAGGAATGCAATTTTATTCTATGGTCTTGGAAACTATTTTAAAAGAAAAAAGGTTTTTAGTTGATTGGCCAACCAATACACAGATTCTCAAGTAATTAAAATGCCAGCAGTGATCCTAGCTCTGTAGAGAAAACAAATTTGTATTCACAAAAGATTCTTCATAACTGTACTCGGATTCTAATTTGTGAACACTAATTTACCTAAGACTAAAGGCAATCAAGCTTGAATGATAAAAAGAAAACAGAAATTTGAACTAGTGGCTAAAAGGATTGTTATAGTTAAATAAGCCACGATTTCATGACTGACCTTTGTATAGCCTGCCTAGGTCATTGATAAAGAACGTGAAGATTCTTTAGAGAGCATGGTAAATTCAGCTTCCCTAGAAAATGTTTTTGAGTATTAGGTTCCTAGCAAACAAGGGGACTATTCATGGAAAATACAGTGCAAAATATAGAATGCATATTATCAACAAGAAACAAAATATTACATATAATTTAGGATGGGCCATTAACCTTCCCAAGTTTATTGATGTGCCTCAGGTTAAGAATTTCTGTCCCTTGGCCAGGCACGGTGGCTCATGCCTGTAATCCCAGCACTTTGGGAAGCCGAGGCGGGTGGATCATGAGGTCAGGAGATCGAGACCATCCTGGGTAACACAGTGAAACCCTGTCTCTACTAAAAATACAAAAAATTAGCTGGGCATGGTGGTGCACAGCTGTAGTCCCAGCTACTCAGGAGGCTGAGGCAGGAGAATGGCGTAAAACCCAGGAGGCGGAGCTTGCAGTGAGCCGAGATCGTGCCACTCTACTCCAGCTTGGCAGACAGAGCGAGACTCTGTCTCAAAAAAAAATAAAAAAGAATTTCTGCCCCATAGGATCCCTGAAGGTGTTGAAAGATGAAAGGACCCCAACAGCTCTTGGGTTCACCTGGGTATAACTCACTGTTTCAATTCCATTGCTTCTTTAATCTAGAGATCTTGGGATTCCTTCCTTTCAAGGTTTGTGTCTTCCTAAAATATTTTTCAATTTGTTTTTAGCCTTCTCAATATACAAGAATTTAAACTTAAATTCAGGAGTTTTAGCTCTATGACTTTTAGTTCAATTAATTTTTTTCTGTGTCCATTTAGAAAATGAGAATAAAAATATGCCTAGCTCTAATATATTTCCTGGTGTCCTAGTGAAGATTAAATGAGATGATACACATGAGAGTGTTTTGATCCCCAGATTAGAGGTTGCAAAATCAAATTAAAACTGTGCTCTGTTTGATTTATGTAAAAAAGAAATTTAACTGAATTAGTTACCAACACTTTTACAAGCAGAACTCATATAAAAAATCTAGATTTTCAACTTTTCTTGAAAAATTAAATCATCCAGGAACATACTGTTTGCATTTGTATGACAAAAACTGGCTGGGGTTGAGTAACAGCTGCTCCCTTGAAATGGGGCCAGAAGGCTTCAGTTTGTCAAAGTCCTCAACAATCCTTATTGCTTCCCAATATGGAGGCAGAATATCTGCTGCCATGTTTTAACTTATACCTGCCCTGCATGTTATTTGTCTAGTTCATATGAACATGCAGGTTTGCAACTCTCATGAAGGCTTTCTTTTTATTTTTGGTTCTAGCTCCCAAACTGATTGAACGACAGACCAATCAGTTGATCTACTTATTAATCTATAATAAGTTCAAGACTAGCCTGGCCAACAGGGTGAAACCCTGTCTCTACTAAAAATACAAAAATTAGCCAGGTGTGGTGGCATGCACCTGTAATCCCAGCTACTTGGGAGGCTGAGGCGGGAGAACTGCTTGAACCCAGGAGGTGGACGTTGCAGTGAGCGGAGATTGCACCACTGCACTCCAGCCTAGGCAATAGAGACTCAGTCTCAAAATAAATAAATAAATAAATAAATGTGAGCTGAAAGGAGTGTTTCTCTGTATTGTATGTTTTTTCTAGAGCTACAGATTTTATTCGTACTTTATCACTTTTCCCAACTCACCTCATAAGCAGCACCCAGATCCTGGAATTTCTCCTGGGCTTGTGGATCATCAGGGTTCCGGTCGGGATGAAGCTGCAGGGCTAGTTTCCTATAGGCCTTTTTAATATCCTTTATAGAGGCACTTCGAGGCACCCCCAAGATCTTATAGAAATCTCGTCTGGGAAGTAGAGGGAGAGAATACTTCATTAAAGAGTTACATGTTACATTTTTCAAAGTAAAAGATTTATTTTTCCTCTACATTTAGGTTTGTATCTGAGCAAAGAGGTATAAAAATGAAGGTTTATGTGACACATACACACACAAAGAATGACTAAAGAGAGAACACCAGAATTTGTAATGAATCTTATATATTGAAGTAATCACAGTAAGAGGCTATATACTTCTTTTCGGATTATTCAAAACATCTGTGGCACTTTTCTTTCAGAACCACCTTCGGTCAAGAAAACCACTTCCTTATTTTATGGTCTCATGTTATCTTTAGGCAATAACCATATAATCAAATTAACTCTTCCCCCCTTTCCCTATACTGGCTCCAAATGATTTTGACTTTTCTAAAAGTCAAATAACACTCTCAAAGGATGATTTTCCTTCTTTAAAAAGATTATGCCACATAAATGTCCTAACAGTAGCACTGCCAGAATGTTAAAGATGAAGCAACTTAAGATAATAAATAGCTCAAGAAGCTGGGAAGTACAAGGGCTGTCTAAAGATCTTCTTGTTCCCATCCCGCATCCAATTTCGTTCAGTCCCAACTCGGGCTGGCATCATCCACCCACTTTAATGTCAGCCCCAGAATGGCTCTTCGAAGGCTTGGCATAGAGCATCGTCCGCTTCTCCACCTCAGCGGGGCACAGCAACTCACCTCTTTGATCAAACAAACGTCCATCCCCTCAACCTCAGCCTGGCACTGTCACTATCTTTCCTTACAGTCAGGCATCCCTCTTTCTTCCCCAGCTCTACGTGACACTGCTTCAGCTCGCAACCACCTTCTTTCCCTCATCCCCCAAATGCCGTTTGGCAATGCATCCAACTCCCACTCCTCTGGGCAAATCTAGCTCTACCTAAGACCCTCTCTGGACCTAAGGCCCTCTCACTGGTGTCACCCACGGTTCTCCTCTCACCCCACTAGCCTGGCCCATACTACCCCTTCCTCCGCCACCCCGCCAACCCACAGCGATGCCCCTCTCCACTCCGTCAGTCTGGCAATGCCACTTCCCCCACCCCCTCCCACCCCCCAGCAAAGGCTGACCCACAGGCCCCGTTGTCTGCGAGTGTCTGTTCCTCACCCGGCAATCACCGCCCCGATGAGGTATAGCAGCAACAGGCAAAAGGTGCTCAGGTTCTGCGGAGCCATGGTTCCTCTGTCCCGGGTCCTGTTCCACACACTCCTCACAGCCTCCTCCGCCGCCGCGTCGGCTCGCCAGCCCACCCGGCCCTGTGAGGCCGCCTCACACCGGGGGGGCGCGGGGGTCTCCTTGGTCCGCAGAGACAGCTAGCTAGCCCCCTCTTCTGCCGGTCCACTTCCCGGGAGTCCCGAGTCCCGGTGAGAGAAGCCCCCGGTAGGCGAGAGCCAATCGTTGCCCGGGACATCACACGCGGCCGGCGCCTGGAAGCCAATCAGCGCAGTACACTTCACCTCCGAGGCGGCACGGGCAACCAGTTAGGCTTCAGAACTGCAGTCGCAGCTCTTGACCAATTAGAAGCGGAGACGTCAGAGGGTCGCGCCGCTGCAGGAACCCGCTCTGCCTGAGCTACCGCGAGTCGTAGAAAATTACGTAATGATAGGGGGCCGGTCAGAGTGAGGGCACCTGAGGTACACGAAATCCCTCCGGCTTGCCCACTTCCTCGGACTTTCCACCAATCAGGAGCTTCCTCCCCAGCACCAACCAATTGTGGGAGAGAAGTTTTCTCTGTGCTACAAGCCCGGAATTTCATTCATACCCAGCTACGCTCCGAATGAGGGAGCAGAGGTACAGCGGCCGAATGAGCGGGAACAGTTATTCCACGACAGGTGTACATCAGACGCATTGCTTAGGCCTCTTATTTTACGTTCTCCAAGCAACTCCATAAGACAACTGTCTCGGAAAGGCTACAGTGATGACAGACCGACTTAAGTTCGGATTCGGCTTCCACCGCTTCTTAGTGGTGAGACCCCCCACCCCTCCCCTCCTCCCAAGTCTGAGCCTAAGTTTATCAACAAAACTGAGGCAAAGCACTTATTGGCAGTTCTGTGAATTTTAACAGGGAAAAAAATCGGTAAATCATCGGGCGTATAGTAAGCAGGCAACGAGTAAAAACCATTATTACGGTTCAAGCAGAACTCTTTGATTCCCCATCTTCCCCCCGATTTTGCTCATCGCAGTTACACAACACCTAGTTGATCAGGACAAAGCTCTAGGTGTTTTTATTCCTTTCATGCATAAGCTATCCAACTCTTTACCTCTGAACTATACTTCAATCTGTTCACTACATCTCCATTACCAGGATTCTGGGTCACAGTGTATCTCTCACCTGGCCAGGGCCTCCTAACTGGCCTCCTTGCCCCCACTCTTAATATCTTCCTTAATATCTTAATATATGTTGCTCATCCCTGTCCCTCACTCCATGATTTAAAAAAAAAAAAAAAAAGCCCGGGCGCGGTGGCTCACCCACCCAAAGTGTAATCAGCACTTTGCGAGGCCGAGACGGGCGGAGCACCTGAGGTCAGGAGCTTGAGACCAGGCTGGCCAACATGATGAAACCCTGTCTCTACTAAAACTACAAAAATTAGCCAGGTGTGGTGGCGAGCGCCTGTAACCCCAGCTGCTCGGGAGCCTGAGGCAGGAGAATTGCTTGAACCTGGGAGGTGGAGGTTGCAGTGAGCCGAGTTCCTGCCACTGCACTCCAGCCTGGGCGACAGAGTGACACACCGTTTCAAAATAAATAAATAAATAAATAAATAAAAAATAAAAGTCAAATCATGTCACTCCCCTGTTTAAAAGCCTGGAATGGCTCTTCATTTGCACTTAGAATAAAATCCCAACTCCATGCTAGTTTACAAAGCCGTTTATGCTTTGTAAACCTATTATACTCCTAACCATGCTCCAGCAAAACTTGCTTCCTTTCTTTTTTTTGTATACACCGAGCTCATTCCTGCCGAGGGCCTTTGTGCTAGCTATTGCCTTTGCCTGAAACACTGTACTCTCCCTCATGTGCTAGCATGGGTGATTCCTTCTTTAACTCATATATCAGCTTAAAGGTCGCCACCTCAGGGAGGACTTTCCCTGACCAATTAATCAAAATTAGCCCCTACTGAGTTCCTTACTCTTACACCACCCTGTTTTCTTTTCTTTATTTCTTTTTTTTTCCTGAGACAGAGTCTCGCTCTGTCGCCCAGGCTGGAGAGCAGTAGCGTGATCTTGGCTCACTGCAACCTCCGCCTCCTGGGTTCAAGCGATTCTCCTGCCTCAGCCTCCCGAGTAGCTGGGACTACAGGCGCACACCACCATGTCCGTCTAATTTTTTTGTATTTTTAGTAGAGACTGGGTTTAACCATGTTGGCCAGGCTGGTCTCGAACTCCTGACCTCAAGTGATCCACCCGCCTCAGCCTCCCAAACTGCTGGGATTATAGGCATGAGCCACCACGCCCGGCCTCCTATTTTTTTCATCCCTGGTCCCTAGACTTACACACTGAAATGCCAGTTTCATGAGAGCATGAATCTATATTGTTCTGTTCACAGCTGTATAAAAGAGCACCTTAGAACAGTGCCTGGCATGGAGTAGGTGCTGAAGTACTTTTGAGTCAAAGTTACTGGGATGGTGATCATTGTATGGCTGGCTTCTTACTCTTCAGGCCTCAGCTCAAATTTGGCACCACAAAGTGGCCTTCCCTGACCCCCCGCCCCAATTTTCATAGCATTTTTCACTATTTGAAATTATCTTATTTTATTCCTTAATATGTATTGTCTATTCTCCCTGTTATACACTCCAAGAAAGCAAGGACCTTGTCTGTTTTGTTCACTTCTGTCATTCTAGTGCGTACCACTGTGCCAGACACACAGTGGTACTCAACAAGTAACAGCAGGGTCACTGAGCTAATAAGTGGTGCAGCCTGGATCCTAACCCAGGTATGTGTAAATTTGAAGCCCCTGCTTTCAGGAAGATACCCAGTAGGGACAATGGCCACACAAAAGAGGAACTAAATTGCATTTTACGGTCTAATTTACCTTTGTATCTATCACACCTAGAGAGGCCATAAAGGAACTAAAAAAAGCAGGAAATGTCCAGAAATTCTGAAATGGAAGTTTAAAGGAAGGAGTGATGGCTTCTGCCCGGTAATCTGAAAAAGCTTCATGAAGGTGGAAACACGGCAGGAAAGCTAACAGAGTTAAGGAGCTGACACCGAGGGGCGGCAGGGAGTGCCAGTCTTGCTTCAGACGCCCTGGGCTTGAATCTTGGCTCCATCTCTTGTGTGACCTTAGGGTTGTGTTATTTTCACCTTTCTAGGCCCTAGTTTCTTCATCAGTAAAACGAATGTACTTAAAGGGCTCTTGACAAGACTTAGGAAATACACATAAAGTTGCTTTACACAGTGCTGAGACCATAGTAAGTGCTCTATAAATGCAAACTGCCATTAGTATTAGTAGCATTTCTGATGAAAGCGTGCTGATCTTACCAGCAGCTATTAGCTGACCACAGTTATGCGGAGCAACAGAAAGCTTCCTACCCCCCCGGGTTGAAAGGCGCGACACCAGAAAGCGGTGGGTCTGGCTCCAGGTGCCACTGTTGCGGACTCTCGACCCCAGCCTAGATTTTCTCAGACGCTTGAGCCGCAATCTGCCGCTCTAGCAACGGGGTCCGCCAGGTCTCGGTGGTGCGGGGCCTCGCGCTTGCGCAGTGGGCACGGCAGCGGCGCGCGGAGGAGGGTGAGGGGCGGGCCCAGCGAGCGGACGCCGGGCGCGGCGGCGCGCGGAGAAGTGCGGCGGAGCGGCGCCTGCATTAGCAGGTAACCGCGCACTGGGTGCGCCGGGGAGGGCGGTGTGGGTTAGTCAGGCTTCAGGCTTGGGTCGAGGAGGCTGCCTTCGCGCTTACCGCGTCTCGGGTCAGCTACCGACCCTGTCAGCGTGAGCGTCTGTGTTCCTGAAGTCCGGTCGCGACGCTGGGGCGGCCCACGCAGAGTCCCACCCCGGATCGCGTCCAAGGTGGCGGCGAAGCCCCAGGACAGCCGCCTTGGACCCACGCCGATCTCCCGACCTGAAAAACCTTAACCTCAGGGCACCGCCAGGGTCAGAGCCCCAGTTTATGTTTGTTTACGGATTGAGCCCTCTCGATTCTCGGAGTTAGAATGGAGGGCTCATCTCTGGGATCTGGCTGTTGACAGGGGCTCAGTACCTCACAGAGCAGCCTCTTTACATTTTGGAGAGAACCGAGGTCTTCCTCGCCTAACTTTTATCGTCTGGTTTTACTCAAAACGACTCCAGTCTCTCCACATTGGAAGACAGCTGCCTTTTGCCCTTCCACGCCCTTCTTTTGAGTTTACTCTCCCTGGTTCTTTCACCTGGCTTCCTGTCTAAGACTCTTTATTCTGGAAATTCTCTTCTGGATCCACTCCCGTTTTTAAGAGATTCTCCCAAAACTGGATTCCTAGAGTACATTTATAGTAATGCAGTTCTCAAGTCAGACCTGAATCCTAATCTAGAGCTGTGCCAGCTAAGTAGGTGTCCTTAGGGAAATCCCTTAACTTCGCTAAGCCTCATTTTTTTTTCATCGAAAATGTGTACAGTCTTAAGTACTGTATCTCCAGGTGGTTGTGAGGATGAAAGGAGGTGAAGTATGCAAAATCATGAGCATGATACCTGGTACATAGTAAGCACTCGATTGATGTCAGTTATTTTTCCGAACAGATGATTCTCGAGAGAGGCACAGTTGGCAGGCCGGGTGCGGTGGGTCACGCCTGTAATCCCAGCACTTTGGAAGGCCAAGGCAGGCGGATCACCTGAGGTCAGGGAGTTCAAGACCAGCCTGGCCAACATGGTGAAACCCTGTCTGTACTAAAAAAATACAAAAATTAGCCTGGCGTGGTGGCGGGAGCCTGTAATCCCAGCTACTTGAGAGGCTGAGGCAGGAGAATCGTTTGAACCTGGGAGGTGGAGGTTGCAATGAGCCGAGATCGAGCTATTGCACTCCAGCCTGGGCAACAGAGCGAGACTCCGTCTCAAAAAAAAAAAAAAGAGAGAAGCACAGTTTTCTTAGAATCAAATGCAAAATATAATAATAGCAATAAAATTTTCATCAGTCATATAATTGATTTTTTAAATTAGTTTTTATATTTTTAAAAAAATGATGTTGCTAATGTTGAGGAGTGCACAGTGAAGTAGGTACCAGAGTCAAAGGATGGTACAATTTGATAAAATCATTTGGAAGCAACAAGGATATATTTCACAAGCTTTAGAAATGTCAATTACTTAATTTCACAAAAGTACATCTGAAAATTTTCACACAGAAATAATTCGTAATGCAGAAAATATGAAGAAAGATGGTAGTGATAGCATTATTTACACTTGTGACAACATTTGAACTTTTGTAATGAAATTTTTTAACATACACAAAAATAGAATCAGTGAGCCCCCCACGTACCCATTACCCCACTTCAATAATGATCAGTATTTTGCCTATGTTGTTTTTGTGAAAAATCTGAAACCTAGTAAGGTGTCTAAAAATGGGAGAAGAGTTGAATAAAATGGGATACATTTATTTAGAATACTATAAAGCTTTTGAAACAGTACAGAATTGTGTATGTAACATCACAACTGTGAAAATTCAAAAACTAACATCTAATTTATGTGTAGAAAAAAGACAAAGAGGCCAGGCATAGTGGCTCAAGCCTGTAATCCTAGCACTTTGGGAAGCTGAGGCGAGGGATCACTTGAGGTCAGGAATTTGAGATCAGCCTGGCCAACATAGTTAAACCCCATCTCTACTAAAAATACAAAAATTAGCCAGGTGTGGTGGTGGACGCCTGTAGTCCCAGCTACTGGGGAGGCTGAGGCATGAGAATCGCTTGAACCTGGGAGGTGGAGGTTGCAGTGAGCTGAGATCATGCCACTGCACTCTAGCCTGGGCAACAGAGGGAAACTCCATCTCAAAAAAAAAAAAAAAAAAAGAAGAAGAAGAAGGAAATACAATAAAATATTAATTTGTTGCCCTTTACTTGTGGGATTGTGGATGGTTCCCTGTTTTTGTATTTTATAAATATTCCATAAAAATCATGTATCATTGTTACAACAAAAAAAAATCTAAAAAATCACACCTGAACTGAGCAGGATCAAATATGCTAGAGTGGGTTCACTGTTATAGAGAATAAAGATGCTGTAACTTCTCCTGATCTATTCTTGCAGTCTACATTTACATTAGCATTCTTGCCTGCTGCCTCACATTAGCACTTCATATTGAATTTATATGCTCAGCTAACATGTCCAGATCTTTAACCAACTGTCTTCTGTGTAAGTGATTTAACTCTGTGAAATGTATTTCCCTTATTTTGAACAGTGTTCCCCCTCAGAGTAGAAAAAGGTTTCCTGTGATAGGATGACTTTTTTCCCCTCATTCATTTTCTTCCTGGGATCTCACTCAGACTTCATGCATCTACACACACTTCCTAAAACAAGGATTTCTAACAATTCAAGTAAGATAATTTTGTTTTATCACAATTTTTTTCTCAGATTATAATGAGATCTGATTAAAAAAACTGTTCTGCTCTTGGTTGGTGAACTAGAGCTGCCTTTTAAGATGATGATGTAGTACATATGACACAGTTGAGAGAGAGGGGTCACCTTCCAAGAAAAAATGCATAAATGAGACTTGTTTCAAATCAGTTTATGAAGAAACTTTGTTTCCTAGGTATGCAAAGAAGCCTTTTCACCCTGATGTCCTTAGAGATAATATGGATCAGTCCAGAGTTCTCCTCTGGGTGAAAGCAGAACCCTTTATAGTGGGTGCCTTGCAGGTCCCCCCTCCATCCAAGTTTAGTCTTCACTATCTCAGGAAGATATCCACCTATGTGCAAATCCGGGCCACAGAAGGAGCTTACCCGCGCCTCTACTGGTCTACATGGAGGCACATCGCTTGTGGGAAGCTGCAGTTGGCCAAGGACCTGGCGTGGCTTTACTTCGAAATATTTGATAGTCTTTCAATGAAGACACCTGAGGAGCGCCTGGAATGGTCTGAGGTTCTGTCCAACTGCATGTCTGAGGAGGAAGTTGAAAAGCAGAGAAATCAGGTACGGATTGATATGTGTGTATACTTAATTACTTTTGGAAAGAAACCATTCTTTTTTAAATTAAAAAATGTTTTTGCTTATTACAATTTTTAGATAGAAACAGAGTTTCACTTTGTTGCCCAGGCTGGTCTTGAACTCCCGGCTTCAAGCAGTCTTCCTGCCTCGGCCTCCCAAAATGTTAGGATTACAGGCATGAGCCACCATGTCTGGCCCAATAAACCATTCTTAATTTTTGTATTAGCTGTAAAATTTTAGGTTTTAGGCTAATGGCCATTGTAATCTCAAGTTATCATTTGAGTTTTAGTAGTTCCAGTTTGGCAGTATTTCATGTATTCAATGAATTAGTCCTTACTTACCAGACCTTACTCACCTACTCCCAAAGCAGTAATGTTACAGAGACCCTGTTATTGAAAAAGGGAAATATTTTACTGACTTTAAAAAGATTTTGGGGTGAATGAGTGTTATGAACAACTGATATGTTACAGTCAGAGCACCTGACTATTTTAAAATGAACATCTGCTACATGATGGGATTCAAAGATGATTAGGATAGCATCTCAACCCTCATGGAGCTTATGGACTAGTAGAGGAAGCTGGTATTAAAAAAAGATGCTATTTAATAGTGTGATATGTATAATAAAAGAATACACAAAGTACAGAAATTGAATAAAGAATGATTTATTTCAGTGATAAGGAAAGACTTCACAGAGAAAGTATATTAATCAAGTAGGCTGATTATAGTAATAGACAACCCAGTATTTCAGTGGCTTAGAACAGTAACAGTTTATTTCTCATTCAGGCAGCAATCTAACACAGTTGCTCCTGGTTGGACAAATCTCTGGGCTGCTGTCATCCAAGCGATGACCAGGGATCCATGCTTCTATCACTTGGAGTCACTGTTAATCAGCTTTGTTAAAAGCTGATTTCATTCATTAAGAACAAACAAATGAAATTCCAGTGGCTTACAGGGGAAAAGGTTTATTTCTTGCCCATTTTACATGTGGGCTTCATTTTTGCTATGGCATTTGTCCAGGCTCCGTGTTTCCCCATTTAGGGACACAGGCTAAAGAAATAGCTTCTGTGTAGATCATTCCCATTCTTATAACAGAAGGGAAGATCAACAGAATGGAGGAAACTCATGATGTCTCTTTTTAAATTCTTATTTTATGTATACAGCTCAATCAGTTTGGGGATAAGTATATGCTGTGAAACCATCATGACCGTCAAGGACATAGACATACCCATCACCCCCCATAGGTTCCCCCTCCTCTTTTATGCTTGTTATTTTGTGTGTGTATCTGTTAAGAACACTTAACATAAGATCTACTGTCTTAGAGAATTTTAAGTATACAACATGTAATTGTTATCTCTAGGCGGTATGCTGTAGAGTAGATCTTCAGAACTTAATTTTCTTGCATAACGGAAACTTTGTAGCCTTTGACCATCAACCTCCCCATTTCCCCCTCCTCCTAGCCCTTGTCAGTCACCCTTCTGTCTGTTTTTATGAGTTTGACTATTTTAGATTCCACATATAAGTGAGATTACATAGCTTTGTCTTTCTGTGTCTGGCGTGTTTTACTTAGCATAATGTCCTCCAGGTCCATCCATGTTGTTGAAAATGGCAGGATTTCTCTCTCTTTCTGTTTTTAAGAGACAGGATCTCACTCTGTTGCCCAAGCTGGAGTACAGGGATGTAATCATAGCTCACTATAGCCTGGAATTTCTGGGCACAAGCAATCCTTCCACCTCAGCCTCCTGAGTGGTTAGGACTACAGGTGTGTGCTATCATGCCTGGCAAATTTTTGTATTTTTTTCATAGAGGTCAGGATCTCACTGTGTTGCCCAGGCTGGTCTTGAACTCTTGGCCTCAAGTGATCCTCCCACCTCAGCCTCCCAAAGTGTTGGGATTACAGGCATAAGCCACTGTACCCAACATGATTTCTTTCTTTTTTAAGGCCAAATGGTACTCCATTATATATGCATGCCAAGTTTTCTTTATCTAGTCATCCATCTGTGGACATTTAGGCTGCTTCCATATCTTGGCCATTATCAATAATGCTGCAATGAACATGGGAGTGCAGGTATTTGCAGGATCCTGATTTCAATTCCTTTGGATAAATACCCAGAAGTGGGATTGCTAGATCGTATGGTAGTTCTCTTTTTTATTTTTTGAGAAACCACTATACTATTTATTTATTTTTTTTTTGAGACGGAGTCTCGCTCTGTCGCCCAGGCTGGAGCGCGGTGGCGCGATCTCAGCTCATTGCAAGCTCCACCTCCCAGGTTCACACCATTCTCCTGCCTCAGCCTCCTGAGTAGCTGGGACTACAGGCACCCACCACCATGCCCGGCTAGTTTTGTGTATTTTTTAATAGAGATGGGGTTCACCATGTTAGCCAGGATGGTCTCAATCTCCTGACCTCATGATCCGCCTGCCTCGGCCTCCCAAAGTGCTGGGATTACAGGCGTGAGCCACCGCGCCCGGCCCTATTTTTTATAATGGCTGTACCAGTTTACATTCTCACTGACAGTGTACCAGGGTTCCCTTTTCTTCACATCCTTACTAATACTTGTTAATCTTTTGTTAACAAGTGTGAGGTGATATCTCATTGTGGTTTTGCTTTATATTTCTCTAATGAGTAGTGATGTTGAGCACCTTTTCGTATACCTGTTGGCCATTTGTATGTCTTCATTGGAGAAATGTCTATTCAGGTCCATAGTCCATTTTTTAATTAGGTTATTTGGTTTTTCTTGCTATTGAGCTGCAGGAGTTCATTATATATTTTCGATATTAACCCCTTACCAGATACATGGTTTACCTTTTCTTCTGTTGATTGTTTCCTTAGTTGTGCAGAAGCTTTTTAGTTTGATATAATTCAACTTATTTTTGCATTGGTTGCCTGTGCTTTTGGTGTCATATCCAAACAATCATTACCAAGACCAATGTCAAGGAGCTTTTTCCTTATTTTTCTCTAGGAGTTTTACCATTTCACCCCTTACATTTAAGTCTTTCCTCCATTTTGAGTTGATTGTGTATGGTATAAGCTATGGTCCCAATTTCATTCTTTTGCATTTGTAGATCCAGTTTTCTCAGCATCATTTATTGAAGAGACTATTCTGCGTTTTGTATTCTTGACACCCTTGTGGAAAATTAGTTGACCATATATGTGTGAGTTTGTTTCTGGACTCATGATGCCTCTTAAAACTTTTGCTCAGATTTGACATAAACTAAGACTACTTTTATTCCATTGGCTAAGGCATTATTCCCATGAAGATGGGAAGGTAAACCACCTTTCAGGAGATAAGGAAAATCCCATGGCCATGGGTAGGGCTGTATAAGCCTCTTAGAGAATTTGAAAGTGAGCAATAGTAAATAATAATACAATTTGCCACAGCCATGCCCACTGGGGCCTCAGAGTCCTTTTGCTTTCATTTCTTTTGAGAGTTTTATTATTAGGCTTGAAAGTGATAAAGATAAATTCATTCACATTCAGTTGCTGTAATTCATTTATGCCATATCTAACTCCAAAGGAAGATGGGAAATGCCATCTAATTACATACCCAGGAAGAAGAAAAAAAGTAGTAAGCATCTAGCAGTCTCTGCCTTATAGGGTCATATCTAAACAACGTTTTGGAAATTGAAAAGTTTATCAAGCAATGAAGAGGGAAAGGGCAGTACATTTATTCATTAATCAAATATTTATTATCTACTATGTACTCGGTATAGTAGTGGATGCTGGGCATATAGAGATGAATAAAACCTTCAGGAAGTTCCAGATTTTTTGAGTGCTTTTTATGTACCAGATGCTTTGCTAGTTACTAGGAGTATAAAAATGGAAAAGGCAAGGATCCTATAGTCTCCATGAAGAAATAATGATAATGTAACAAATAATTGTTTAAAATGGAAGTATATATAAAATCAGGGAATTACACTTAGTGAAAAAAGCCAATCCCAAGAGGTTACATACTATATGATTCTATTTACCTAATGTTCTTGAAATAATAAAATTATAGAGATGGAGAACAAGTAAGTGGTTGCTAAGGGCCTAAGAAGGGGTGAGTGGGACAGAGAAGTGCATATGGCTGTAGAAGGGCAACATGAGAGATTGTTCTGTTGATGGAAATGTTCTCGTATCTTGACTGTATCGGTGTCAATATCCTGATTGTGATATTGTCCTATAGTTTGGCAAGGCGGGTAAAGGGTACATGGGATCTTTCTGTGTGAATTCTCACAACTATATCTCAATCTACAGTTATCTCAGAAGTTCAATTAAGAAAGTAAAAATTTATAAAATATACAAATTCATGGGGCTTCACATTGTTAGTTGATTAAATAGGTCTGGGTGATCCTGAGAATCTGTACTTTTAAGTTTCTCAGATGATAGTGTTTTTAGCCAGGTTGGGAATCAGGGTGAATATAGCTGTAGACCCAGATGTATTACTTTACTTTTTTGCCTCTCCTGTATGGGGGTGGGTAGATGAGGGTAATCAGGGGCTTCAAGTCGTGAGCTTCAACCACACCCTTCCTTGAATAAGAAATGACTATACATCTATCAGACCAACAGTGTTTTTGTCTTTAAGTGAAACACCCCTTTAAGAATTTGCTGAAAACCTGAGGCCTACTCCCTTGAAAAATGCACATATACCAAAAAATTACATACAATTTCAGGTATTGCACTGGTATCCTAAACTTTCTTGACAGGTTTGTGAGTCTTAAGTTAGACCTCTGTCTTAACTGAATTTTCTTCTTTCTTACTTCCATCTACTTATTTATTCAAATTACTAAGGTTGGTTTTTTTTAAATTGTAAGTTTAAACTTCTGAAATAATGTACTTAAAGTATGTACTACATCCTTTCATCAGTTTTGAGAGATAATTTCTATAGCCATAGATGTTATACAGCTTTCTGTGAAGGTAAATTATTCCACTTTAATTAGTTTTAGGAACTCTTGGCCAGGCACAGGGGTTCACGCCTGTAATCCCAGCACTTTGGGAAGCCAAGGCGGGCAGATCACCTGAGGTCAGGAGTTCAAGACCAGCCTGGCCAACATGGTGAAACCCTATCTCTACTAAAAATACAAAAAAATTAGTTGGGCGTGGTGGCACATGCTTGTAATCCCAGCTACTCAGGAGGCAGAGGCAGGAGAATCTCGCTTGAACCAGGAAGGCGGAGGTTGCAGTGAGCTGAGATCGCATCATTGCACTCCAGCCTGGGCGACAAGAGTGAAACTCTGTCTCAAAAAAAAAAGAAAAAGAAACTCTTACATCTGGGTACCAGAGACATACATATCAAAACTGGCAATGTTTCTAAGTTGGTTTTTTTAGGATCAGCCAACTTGTGAATTTACTATGTCTACTTAGTTGTTAGACTAGTGGTTGATGTTTTAAAACGTCTATTCATCTTTTATTTTCTTCTTGGACAGCTTTCAGTGGACACGCTACAGTTTCTGCTCTTCTTATACATTCAACAGTTGAACAAGGTCTCCCTAAGGACATCTTTGATTGGCGAAGAGTGGCCCAGTCCCAGAAACAAATCTCAGTCTCCTGACCTGACTGAAAAATCTAATTGTCATAATAAGGTACTCCTTATATCTTGATCTCATTCTCTAAAAGGGACAATTTGTGTGGGAGATGGTTCACTTGCATTAAAAATTATGATGAGATTTCTTACATAAGCCAGTGATTTGATGGCTTGTTTTGTTTTTCACTTTTTTTTTAAATTATAAAACAAAATCAGTGTGTACAGTCTTAATCACAATAGAGAACTGGTTGCAGTGCCTTCACTGGTAGGAAAACCACTTGCTGATTTGTGGGCAGATCATCACTATGTTCAATTAGCACTGCCGTTTTCAACATGTCAATCAATGCGAATCAACTTATGTGACTAAGGAGCATCAAGAAGATGGAGTGCTTGCAAAATCTTTTGAAATCTACTGAAAAAAATTATAAAAATATCTTCTCATGTTGTTTAAGTAATTACATACGTGACAACCCAGAAGCTAAATTTAACTGCCTCACATTGTGAATTTTAGAGGATGTCTTATTGCTTTTTTCTTTCTGTTTTTGTAAAGAAAACCAAAATATTTTTACTTGTTCTTGTGTAAGTATATTGAAAAACTTTAAGTAAAATGTAGGCCTCAGTATTAATGCCATGTACAAGCTCTTTAAAAATGTTCTAAAGCTAAGAAAAAATATCTCTTTGCTATTTGGAACTTTTCTAATCTCCTTTTTAATAAGTCTCTCCTCCTTTATATTCCATGATGCTATTACTCTTGGTTTTGCTTCTAACTCTCTCTTCTCACTTTCTTTCATAAATTTCTCTCCCCTGGCCCTTACAAGCAGCTATTCTGTCTGGGTCAATTTTCCCTTCTCTCTTAACTTATTCATTCAATGTAATTCTTTATATTCCTACGACTTCATATATCTCAGTGACTCCCAACTTTGTGTCCTTCCCAGAGCTCTTGCTTTATAGTTACCGCTTTATATAGATGCCCTAGCTATAGCTTAAATTCAGAATGTTCAAGCCCAGATGTATGAGAGATACCAGTCACTACCTCTCTCTCCACATGTAGTTCCTGCAGAATGGGCACTGTTAGGAGATGGTGTTTTGAGCCAAGGTAGCCTCCATTCATTTCTGCCTCTATCATTTATTATCATTTAGTCATACGATTTTAGGCAAGTCAGTTAACTTCTCTAGGCCTTGGCTTCCCTTCTGTAAGTGAGGATAATAATGCATGTTTCTGAATGACTATGAGACTTCAGTAATATATTAGCATGGGACTTATTGCATAGTAAGCACCAATAAATGGTGACTTTGGTTTATACTACAGCACGACCTCTCTGAGTAACTGATTGGACCGGGGTGGACACTTGAGTAGCCCATTTATTGCTATACATTTGAAATTGGCCAGATTTAAAGTGACGACCTGGGCCAGTCAGTTCCCCCAGGAAGAAATTATGCATTGGTGATAGGTGTTTGAACTAAAAACGCATTTGACATTGGGACTGGAATAGCCATCATGCTTGTTAATGAACTGGAATTCTAAGGGATTAGAAATTCTGAGGCCAAGCCGGGCGGATCACCTTTATAAGGTTTATATAACTACCTAATTCCTTTTGGGGGATGAGGCAGAGTATAAATACAAAATAATTAAAATATAGAAATTTTAGATCTTGTGGAATCTCTTTATTAAGAGTGCTTTCTTTTAACTTTTTTTTAGAACTGGAATGATTACAGTCACCAAGCTTTTGTCTATGATCATCTGTCTGATCTCCTCGAGCTGCTTTTAGATCCAAAACAACTCACTGCATCATTTCATTCAACCCATAGTAGTCTAGTGTCTCGAGAAGCTGTTGTGGCGCTCAGCTTCCTTATTGAAGGTACAATAAGTAGAGCCAGGAAGATCTATCCACTTCATGAACTTGCACTGTGGCAACCACTGCATGCAGATAGTGGCTTCTCAAAGATCTCTAAGACTTTCTCTTTCTACAAACTGGAAACCTGGTTGAGGTCCTGTTTGACTGGGAATCCATTTGGTACATCAGCTTGCCTCAAGTCTGGAAAGAAATTGGCTTGGGCTCATCAAGGTATTTTTTAATATTTTAATCTACATTAAATTGAATGACAACTTAAGGAACCTAGTGTTTTCTAATATATTAGTGATCTCGTGTCTTCTCTAGAAGACCTAAAAAATACTGCTCCTATAAAAGAGAAAAAGGAACATCTGTCTTTTGTGCATGACTTTTTCTCTCAAGGATTATACTAAAATATTAAAAATGATAGTAGGATTACAAATTATTTTTATCTTCTTTTACTGTTATTTTTCTAAATAACCATATATTATGTACCTGGTACATGTGTAATAAAAGTAAACGTATGTAATAAAAATAAACAAGAAATGTTTTAAAAGAAGAAGAATAATAGCATACTCATGTGACCTCCCAGTATTTCAGCGGTGTTGTTTACAAGGGTGTCCCGGTGGCTTGCAGGGAGGTACAGTCTGAGAAGGCAGTCACGTAACGGTGTGACTGTGTTAGGAGAACCTGCGCGTATTTTTTGAGTGTCAGTTTGTGCAACACACTGTGTGGGATAGGAAGATGTGCTCTCAGGTAGTAATGATCTTAGGAGTAAAGACATGAACTCAGGCTGGGTGCGGTGGCTCACACCTGTAATCCCAGCAATTTGGGAGGCTGAGGTTGGCGGAAGGTGAGGAGTTCGAGACCAGCCTGGCCAACATGGAGAAACCTCAGCTCTACTAAAAATACAAAAATTAGCCAGGCGTGGTGGCATGCACTGGTAATCTCAGCTCCTCAGGACGCTGAGGCAGGAGAATCTCTTGAACCTGGGAGGTGGAGGTTACAGTGAACTGAGATTGCACCACTGCACTCCAGCCTGAGTGACAGAGTGAGACTCCGTCTCACAAAAAAGAAGAAAAAAAGGCATGAACTCAAATAGGATTAATGGGATAATGTGGTAAGTTAGGAAGGGTACAGAATTAATATTATGGTAATTTAGAGAGGTGAATTACGTTTGGGATGATAAAGTAAAGCATCTTGGAGGAGAAGATATTTGAGTTAGGACAGCTTTGCCACTTACTAGCCATATGACCTTAGGCATAGACCTTAACTTGAAGCGTAGACACGAAAAAGTATCTTAGACTTATAGGCAATCTTAAATTCATTATAGGTTTTAAAATTTTTTTTATAACAAAAATGAAAATTCCAAACATACAGAAAGGAATAGAGAATAGTATAGCAAATACCTCTATCCAAAGCCCAGATCTAACGTTTTTGTCCCTACATGTGGTATCTAATTTGAGACATATATACATGTAGACGTGTAACCTCATATGTTTGTTTGTTTTTCTTTGATTTGATACTGCCTCATCTATTTATATGTTTTCTTAAATAGTTGAAGGGACCACCAAAAGAGCTAAGATTGCTTGTAATACTCATGTGGCCCCTAGGATGCACCGACTGGTAGTGATGAGCCAGGTTTACAAGCAGACACTGGCTAAGAGCTCAGACACTCTGGCGGGGGCACATGTAAAGATTCATCGTTGCAACGAATCTTTTATATATCTGCTCTCTCCCTTACGGTAAGCACAGTTTTCATGGTGTTCTGATGTTCTGACATTTTCTTTGGACTGTGACTGATTCTTTTTTTGCCATCAGATAATAATATTTTAGTCAAATTTTTAAAATCTTATTCAGAGGACTTTACCTCATTTTTTCCTTTTTTCAGATCTGTGACAATTGAGAAGTGCAGGAATAGCATCTTTGTCTTGGGCCCTGTAGGGACTACACTTCACCTCCACAGTTGTGACAATGTTAAAGTCATTGCTGTTTGCCATCGTTTGTCCATCTCTTCTACAACAGGTTGCATCTTTCACGTTCTTACGCCTACACGCCCACTTATTCTCTCTGGGAACCAGACAGTAACTTTTGCCCCTTTTCATACACATTACCCAATGCTAGAGGACCATATGGCCAGGACTGGCCTTGCTACAGTGCCTAACTATTGGGATAATCCAATGGTTGTGTGCAGAGAGAACAGCGACACAAGAGTCTTCCAGCTTTTACCACCTTGTGAATTCTATGTATTTATTATTCCCTTTGAAATGGAAGGGGACACAACAGAGATACCCGGGGGTCTTCCATCTGTATATCAGAAAGCACTGGGTCAAAGAGAACAGAAGATACAGATCTGGCAGAAAACTGTGAAGGAGGCTCATTTGACAAAGTGAGTATTTTTTACAAGTAACAGTTTGTGTTTTTTGTGAAACTCCATGGAGAAACAAATTAGTCTGCACATTTTTACAGCTGTGCTAAAGTAATAAAAAATGTAAGGCTGGGCGCGGTGGCTCACGCCTATAATCCCAGCACTTTGGGAGGCCGAGGTGGGTGGATCACCTGAGGTCAGGAGTTTGAGACCAGCCTAGCCAACATGGTGAAACCCCGTCTCTACTAAAAATACAAAAATTAGCTGGGTGTGGTGGCGTGTGCCTGTAATTCCATCTACGTGGGAGGCTGAGGCAGGAGAATTGCTTGAACCCAGGAGGCGGAGGTTGCAGTGAGCCAAGATCGTGCCATTGCACTCCGGCCTGGGCAACAAGAGTGAAACTGTGTCTCAAAAAAAAAAAAAGTAATGTGTTTTTAAATTAAGGTTTGGATTTCAAATTAGTATTTCAAACACTGTTAGGTTGGGGATGGGAGTGGGTAAATATCCAGTATTAGACTCCCTTTTCTTAAGAAGCTAAAGTTTAGTTGGCAAATATAAGACTTACATGAATTTAAAAAATCATACATAGAGTATGCCACATAATCCAATACCATTCTAGGCACCTTCTATGTGCTAACTCATTTATTCTTTGTAATAACACCTTATTACAGGTGAGGAAACCGAAGAACTGAGGAATTAAGTACTTTACCCAAAGTCACACAGGAGCCAGGATTCACACCTAATCAACCTGGTTCCAGAGGTTCTTTTTTTTTCTCTGTTCTGACTTCTCAGTAACCAGAGGTTCTTAAATGCCTCTAATGTCTTCATTGTTTTCTTTCAAATATTGTCATACCATATCATACTGTACAATAATAACATTATAATAATGTGTTGTAAAAATGGATGATCATGAAAAAACATTCTTTTAAAGCAGTTCTGTTGTTTGAATGGTTCTAGTATTTAAATGGTTAGATTCTCTACACTTGATCTCAGCCAAAAGGCCAAGAAACGATGAAGTGCTTAGATTCTCTTACATGTGAAAAGCTCCTGCATATACATGTGCAGACTGTGGGATGTAAGCACTTAATAAATGCTGACTCTGAGTCAGTGTTTTCAAGTGGTGAGATCCACAGTGATCCCAGAAACAATGAAAGTAGTCAGTTTAACTTTGGGAATATAGGAAGACAGAAATCAGTTTGAAACAAATTGCCAGTGTGACCCTTTTAACAGTGATTACATCATGTCATTTCCCTGCTCTGACCCCTCTAATGGCCTCCCATCATACTTCAAATAAAATCCAAAGCCTTTACCATACTTACCAGGCTCTCTCTTCCTCAATTTCTGCCGTTCTTTTCCTCATTTCCTCCTTCCCGGCATACAGCAGTCATCTTACTATTACTTAATCACTGCCCTCTGACCAAAGACCACCAGGAACACATCTATAGAACAAAGGTGGATTGTGTTGACTCATGGCAAGGAGGGAGAGAAGTGTGTTTCATCTCAGTAAAAGGTTGGGGAACATGGAAAACTGTGTTTCAACTCAGTAAACAGGTGTTAAAAGGAACTTATCGTTGGATTTTGGCTTGTGTTAATGATTTGGGGGAGAGTTCTAGGAAGCAGGACTATCTGGAAGTGAGAGTAATGTGTGATTTGACAGTTTAATAACTTTTATATCTAAGGCAGGAGGAAGGAAGGAAGAGCTAAAACTATAATTGTAAAGAAGTAGCCACTCCTCCAGGAAAGGAATGTTTAGTGATTTTATGGTTTGGGTCACAACATTTTTTTGGAGGTTGGTGTGGGGGTTTCTGAACTGAGATACGATTACGGAGTGATCTTGTTCTTTCTTTGGTCTATCATCATCCCAGAGTGGCTTTGTCTAATGGTGGTGGTTTAAGGTATTGTTTATGTTCAACAAAAGAATACAATAGCAAGTCCAGATCCTACACCAAGGCCTAGCTGACAGTGCTAGGCTAGCTCCTGGCTGTCAGGAGCTACTCTTCTCTTTCTTATCATGAACATGTGAAATACGCTCTCACTTTGGAACCTTTGTACTTTTTTGGTCTCTTCTGCCTGGTATATTCCTCTCCAAATACTCATTCTGCTTATTCCATCATTTCATTTAGACCTAAGCTCAAATATTATCTTAGGGAGGCCATCTCTCTCCATTCTTTCTCTGAAATAACATTTCCAGAATTGCTATTCCTTCACCCTGCTCTATTTTTCTCCATGGCACCTAGAACTACTTAACTTTATATTATATTTTTATTGTATTGTATTGTATTGTACTGTATTTATTTTGAGACAGCATCTCGCTTTGTTGCCCAGGCTGGAGTGCAGTGGTGTGATCTTAGCTTACTGCAGCCTCCACCTCCTGGGTTCAAGCGATTTTCCTGCCTCAGCCTCCCGAGTAGCTGGGACTTAACAAACATGTGCTACCATGCCTGGCTAATTTTTATATTTTTTGTAGAGACAGGGTTTCACCATGTTAGCCAGGCTGGTCTTGAACTCCTGGCCTCAAGCGATCCACCCGCGTTGGCCTCCCAAAGTGCTGGGATTACAGGCGTTAGTCACCATGCCCGGCCTATTTATTTTATTTTTACCTATCTTTCCTACTAGAATATATAGTCTTCAGGAGCATGGATTACACAGATCACAATGTGAATGGTGCCCTCTGGAGTCGTGAAGTGTCATCCTGCTTCAACAGGGGCCTTGTCTCTTCTCTATACATTTATCCCCATCAGTCAGAACAGTACCCAGTGTTCACTTGGTCCTTGGTAAATATCTGACAATGAAAAAGTAGAAAGAGGACATTGTATCTGATCAATCCTTTGTGGGGTGGGGGTGTCCAGTGTACTCTGAACAGTGAGAACAAAAGGATAACAAGAAATAATTAATCATTTAACATTATCCTATTAAAATATTGTATAATTGCTTAGAGTACAATTTATATGAATTCATGTTCTTATATTCTTTTTACTCATAATCGCAATTTTAGGGATCAAAGGAAGCAGTTCCAGGTACTGGTAGAGAACAAGTTTTATGAATGGTTGATTAATACAGGACATCGCCAACAGCTGGACAGCCTTGTACCCCCTGCAGCAGGCTCCAAACAAGCAGCTGGATAAGGATCTTACATGCAGACACTGGTAGGCATTTATACCACTTAAAACAGATTCTTTTGGGGAAATCTTTCAAGCATAAAAAAAAGGCACAGAATATTATATACTAAACATGCCCAAATTTTTTCTACCGCTCCTACCAGCATACACGGACCTTTATGTACCCATATTTACCATATTTTATAGTGAGAAAACCAACCAAAATATTCAGATGGAGCCTATAGAATTTGGGGCCAATATAATGGCCAAATTTTGTCTTATTTTGCTTTTTGCCTGGGACAAGTTGTACTGTCCAAAGATACCACATTCCCCCATACATAGTTCTAAGTTTTATTCTCCTTTTCTAAACCTTTCCTCTTATCCATTCCCCTCACAAAAACCAATTTACAAATTAGCTGATCTTTGCTAATTACACATATTAGCAGTAATAAATTACCAGAATTAATCCAAATGAAGATTTGATTACTGAACACTAGAAGATCATGGATTAAATAGAAGAGAATATGCATACAAACAAATTTACTGGAAGTAAATTTAATCCAGACATATGGTATTCTTTTTTTTTTTTTTGAGACTGAGTCTCTGTCTCTCGCCCAGGCTGGAGTGCAGTGGCGCCATCTCAGCTCACTGCAGCTTCCGCCTCCTGGGTTCAAGTGATTCTCGCACCTCAGTCTCCGGAGTAGCTGGGAAAACAGGCATGCACCACCACAGCTGGCTAATTTTTGTATTTGTAGTAGAGGCTGGGTTTCACCATGTTGGCCAGGCTGGTCTCAAAACTCCTGACCTCAGGTGATCCACTTGCCTTGGCTTCCCAAAGTGATGGGAGTACAGGCATAAACCACTGCGCCCAGCCCCAAACGTATGGTATTCTTTTTTAATAGAGATTAGTATACTGTGTTAGTTTAAAGTTTTTTTTTTTTTTTTTTTTGAGGCAGAGTCTCCCTCTGTCACCTAGGCTGGAGTTGCAGTGGCACAATCTCAGTTCACTGCAAGCTCCGCTCCCCCGGTTCAAGCAATTCTCCTGCCTCAGCCTACCAAGTAGCTGAGATTACAGGCACGCACCACCGTGCCCAGCTAATTTTTGTATGTTTAGTAGAGACTTAGTTTCACCATGTTGGCTGGGCTGATCTTGAACTCCTAAACTCCTGAACATCGCCCACCTCGGCTTCCCAAAGTGTTGGGATTACAGACGTGAGCCACCGGAACTGGCCTAAAGTATTTTTAAATGCTAGCAATAGAAAACAGACAAAGGACAATAATAGATAGTTCACAGAAAAATACTTAGAGACACAAAAATGCTTACTTAAAATTAAAGAAATGTAAAATACTATTTTTTATTAGACTGGCAAAGAGCAAAAGCTGGTAGTACACAATACTGGCAAAACATTTCGTTTACCACTAGGAAAGTGTATATGTAACCTCTGTGGGGGGCAGTTTGACAAAATCAAAATTAAAAATACAAATTTTCTCTGACTCAGCGATTTCTTTTTTCTTTTTCTAGAGATGAGGTCTAATTCTCTTACAGGCTAAAGTGCAGTGGCACAATCATAGCTCACTGCAGCCTCCAACTCCTGCGCTCAAGCAATCCTGTCTCAGCTGGGACTGCAGGTGCATGCTATCACACCCAATTGATCTTTTTATTTTTCTTTAGAGACAGGGTCTCACTTTGTTGTCCAGGCTGGTCTTAAACTCCTGGCTTAAAGCGTTCCTCCTGCCTCGGCCTCCCAAAGTGCTGGGATTACAGGCATGAGCTACTGCACCTGCCCTGATTTAGCAGTTTCACTTATTATTAATAGAATTTATCTTACAGATAAACTCATGTATGTAGGGATCAATTAATTAATTAATTAATTTATTTATTTATTTTTGAGATGGAGTCTCACTCTGTCCCCCAAACTGGAGTGCAGTGGTGCGGTCTCGGCTCACTGCAACCGTCACTTCCCAGGTTCAAGTGATTCTCCTGTCTCAGCCTCCTGAGTAGCTGAGATTACAGGAACCGGCCACCGCACCCGGCTAATTTTTGTATTTTTAGTAGAGACGAGGTTTCACCATGATGGCCCAGGCTGGTCTTGAACTCCTGACCTCAGGTGATCTGCCCACCTTGGCCTCCCAAAGTGCTGGGATTACAGGCATGAGCGACTGCTTCTGGCCTATTTATTTAATTTTTAAATTGACAGATGAATTGTATATATTTATCATTTCCAGCATGATGTTTTGAAATATATATGCATGTGGAATGGCCAAATCAAGCTAGTTAACATTAGAACCTCACATAGTTGTCATTTTTGCAGTGAGAACACTTAAAATCTACTCTCTTTGTTTTTTTCAAGATCACACAGTATTGTTATTAACAACAGTCACCATGTTGTACATTAGATCTCTTCAATGTATTCCTCTTAGCTAACCGAAATTTTGTAACTGAAGATGTTTGATGTGGCATTGTTTAAAAAAACTGTGGACTAGAAACACCCCAAATGCAGTGTATTTATATGCTAATTATATGCCTAACAATCTTTGAAAGAATATAAAGAAATTATAAACAGTGTTTGTCTTTGAGGAATGAGATTGGGTGTCTAGGGTGGGAGAAAACTTCTTAAAAATTTTATTGAGATAAAATATTACCACATAACATTATGGGAAGTAAATTCACCTTTTTAAAGTAAAGAATTCAGTAGCTTTTAAGTATATTCAGAAGTTTGTGCAACTATCACCACTAAAAAATCTAGAACATTTTCATCACCTTCAAAATAAAGCTCGTACACATTGTAGGCCACTCCTTATTCCTCCAACCCCTACATTTCCTCTTCCCCTTAGTCCTTGGCACCACTAATCTACTTTGTCCATTTTGGACATTTTATGTAAATGGAATCATATAACATGTGGCTTCTTGTGTCTGGGTTCTTTCAGTTAGTGTAGTGTTTTCAAGATTCATCCATGTAGCCATGTATCAGTACTGCATTCTTTTTCATGGCCAGATAATATTCCATCGTGTGGATCTACCATTTTGTTTATCTGTTGATCAGTTGATGGACATTTGGCTTGTGTCTACTTTTCAGCTGTTGTGAGTAATGCTGCTGTGTACATTTGTGTACAAGTTTTTGTGTAGACATTTGTTTTTATTTCTCATGGATATATACCTAGAAGCGGAATTGTGAGGAATATATTTAACTTTTAAAGGAATTGCAGTTTTCCAAAGCTGTAAAAGTGTATTTTTTGCTTTAAATATTTACATTTCTTAAGGGTGTATTTTTTTTTAAAGAATTTAGCATGCCTGTAATCCCAGCACTTCGGGAGGCCGAGACGGGTGGATCACGAGGTCAGGAGATCAAGACCATCCTGGCTAATACAGTGAAACCCTGTCTCTACTAAAAAATACAAAAAATTAGCCGGGCGTGGTGGCAGGTGCCTGTAGTCCCAGCTACTCAGGAGGCTGAGGCAGGAGAATGGCGTGAACCTTGGAGGCGAAGCTTGCAGTGAGCCGAGAGCACCCCACTGCACTCCAGCCTGGGCGACAGAGCGAGACTCCGTCTTAAAAAAAAAAAAAAAAAAGAATTTAGCAATATTTATTAATAAATGCTGAGAATTAAGAATTAGCAATTTGGCTGAGCGCAGTGGCCTATGTCTCTAATCCCAGCACTTTGGGAGGCTGAGGTGAGAGGATCACTTGAGGCCAGGAGTTTGAGACCAGCCTGGGCAATATAATGAGACCCTGTCTCTACAAAAAAATTAAAAATTAGCTGAGCATGGTGGCACATGCCTGTAATCCCAGCTACTCTGGACACAGACTGGAGGATCTCTTGAGCCCAGAAGTTCAAGGCTGCAGTGAGCTATGATTGCACTGCTGTATTCCAGCCTGGGCAACAGAGCGAGACCCTATCTCTTAAAAAAAAAAAAAAAAATTACAAATCTGATGGAGATTATGCAAAGGAAATGTGAACTATAAGCGGGTAAATAATTTTGTTTAATCTTCACTGCTTAACAATTTTTTACATTCATGTATGAATTTCTCTTTTATTATGATCTAACATTACACCTAGCAAAAAGGAATATTATTAACTTTAAACTTTGTGTATCTTATCACTCTAATCTATCATTTGACCTTGATAATTTATGTGATTTTTTAAACGTAGAGTTTTAAAATTATTTACATGAAGCAATAGAAAATTAAGTGATTAATATTATTTTTTCTTTGATCTTCAGGGCCCTGGAAATACAAGGATAAATGGAGGATGGTGCTCATCTTGAAACTTGAAACTAAATTGGGAAGGTGCTATTGCTGCTTAAGAGACATTGGGACTTTTCTGTCTTTTTTTTTTTTTTTTTTTGAGGCAGAGTCTTGTTCTGTCGCCCAGGCTGGAGTGCAGTGGCGCGATCTCGGCTCACTGCAAGCTCTGCCTCCCGGGTTCACGCCATTCTCCTGCCTCAGCCTCCTGAGTAGCTGGGACTACAGGCGCCCGCCACCACGCCCGGCCAATTTTTTTTGTATTTTTAGTAGAGACGGGGTTTCACCGTGTTAGTCAGGATGGTCTCGATTTCCTGACCTCGTGATCCGCCCATCTCGGCCTCCCAAAGTGCTGGGATTACAGGCGTGAGCCACCGTGCCCAGCCTTCTGTTCTATTTAAGAACTTTGATTTCCATTCCATTTTCATTTATTACTGTTTAGGCCGAATTTTCGCTAAACTTCTGACTTTCATATAAACATATTGCTTATAGAACATCAGAAGACTCGTCTTTGTGATGCCCAAATGAAAAAGTTGGTGAAGGTAGTACCATTGTATGTATGTTAATATTAAAGCAACTGAGTGTAGATTTGCAACTATAGTGTGTATCTTCATTTGTGTGATGAAAGAGTTTTATTCTTTCTAGAGTTAAATAAGAGTTTTATAGTTCTTTGTAACTATTTAAAAGGAAATTGCTACTCCTTTTAAAAAATAATTGGAAAGGAAGTATGATTTGTTGGTATATAGACATAGAAATAGTTTTATACTATATTTTAGTCCTTAAAGTATGGAACTTAATGAAATTGTTTAAAAAAATCTTTATTTTTCACTTCCTGCTTCAAATTTTCAATAAACAAACTCTAAAGAATAATTTCCTTTTTTTGTAAAAGATAAATCTTTAGTTTTAATTTTAGAAAAGGTTTCCAGTGTCATTTCTCAAAATAACTAGTAAAGTTTACATTTACTTGGGAAAACCTTCTTTCAGATAAATGAGTGAAATTACCAAATTACCAAATGAGTGAAATGAATCAGATTGCTGATAAACATTGGTTCATATGCTCTCTGGCCATTTAATTAGTATTTCTATCAAAAAACTCTTTTGTATTTCTAAAGTAAAAATTAACCCTCAGAATGTTTAATTCTAATTGAAGTTTACATGGTTTTTATTTTAAGATGAAATTCAAGGAGCAGACCATTACCAAATAAACACTGGAGTAATAGAAATATATTTTAGATATTGCTATTTGTTAATGAAATAAATGGTACTCAGATACTTTTTTTAAAGTTTTAAAGTTTTATAAAATTTTATAAAATTCAGAAAACCAAGCATATAGCTTAATATTTTCTCAATAATCTTTATATTAAGGCACATTTGCCATTTTCTGAATTGACCATAATACATCCCATTTATTAAAATATTTGTTAGTTTTGTTAACAGAAAGATGAGGAAGTTTGACTTTTGAGAATATACTTGATTTTGAGAATATACTTGATCAGTTAAAGTTAAAAATGGAGAAAAGTTAATTTATTGGGTTTTTTTGTATTTACATAAGATGCAATCTCATTCCTAAAGTCAGAGGTGTATTAGGGCCAAAAAATGTTCTCCGATCATGTTCCAATGTTGTATTGTGGGCAAAGAAGACCACCTAGCCAGTAGCTTGTTGTGTTTAGTTAGCTAACCCTTGGCAAATTCAGGAGTCCCACAGTCACTTTTCTACATACGGTGGCACCCTTCTTATGGATTAGAGCTCTTTTTTTAAAAAAAATTGTGTTTTGAAAAAAATTAAATAATAGTTGCAAGAATAAGTCAGTGAACTTTAACATACCCTTTATCTAGATTCCATTCACCAGTTGTTAACATTTTGCTACATTCTCTTTACCACTCAACATGATAGTATTGTTTTATTTTTGCTCAACAATTTGAGAATAGGTTGCAGACATCTTGAACCTTTCTTCTAAATGGTAGCATACATGTCCTGGAAACAGACATACTCTTACCTAGTCATAGTACAATGATCAAATTCAAGAAGTTAAACTTTGGTACAATAGTATTATCTAATTTACAGTCCATATTAAAATGTTTTCTGATTGTCCCAGCAGTGTCTTTATAGTGACTTTTTTCCCCAAACACAAGATCATGCATTGCATTTAGTTGTCATGTAAGTTTTGTTGCGTTTAGAACATGTCACTTCTGTCCAGAAATAGAGGTAGTCTTCTGACTCTTACCTCTCACAAGCTTTGTTGAAGAAAAAGGACATTAGGAATTTCAAAGAGGCTGCTTAAAAAAAAAAAGAGAGACTCTTTTGTTCTTAATTTTTACAACTTTGTCTGGGTTTTGGTTTCTTGACTCAGCAAAGTCTGTAATGCAGCCCTGCTTGGTAAGCATTAAAGGCGGTACTGAAGCTTTCCTTTATTTTATAATCCCAGTTGTTTTTTCTAGAAACCATCAATAGCGTCTAAATGACTGACTCAATTTTTGGATCCTATTCTCATGACTAAGCAAATGTTTGACTGAAACCAGCCCATATAAATGTCACTGTGCCTCTAACTCTCTGTAGCCATTCCTGAATTTCTTTCAGCACTGGGAAAACCAGTCTATGCACCAAAAATGTCTAAAACTGGAACCAAGGTAAGTAGTCATATTGATTTTTAGCCTACCCGCTTTTCACCTAATGATGCATTCAACACACAGAAAAGCTTTTGCTTCTTTGCCTAGAGGTGAGTATGATAGTGGTTAGAGAACTGGGATTGAGAGAGAAGATTAAGAAATGCTTATTATATTTTCCACCCTTAACAGAATTACCGAACACTTTATTAAGGGTTTATCTTTATGTATGGTGCTATGTTAAATACTATACAGGTAATTTATAAATATCATTATTATTTCTGCCTTCTAGCAACTAATATTCTATGCAACTGATATTCTCCATAGGAATAAGGCATGCTAATGGGGATTATATTGAGCAGAAAACTTTTAATAATCAATTAAAATTTTGTTTTCTGAAATTTAGCCTCAACCATTTGTGTTCTAAAAGGCCAAAGTGGATGGGCCAATCAGGTGAATAAAGTCCTACATCTCTCTTCCATTCAAGCAATTATTTTTACTCGTTCCTCAAATAAAGTGCTCCCTTACAGTCAGAAAATTGCCTCTAAAATATTTAACTCACAATTACTGGATTGGAAATTATTCTTTCAGGTAGGGCTTTGGGAATGAGGGAATATGCTTTCATTTTCTTTTTTGCGCTTCCACTGATGAGACAAAACTGCTGCCTGATTTTTACCCCCAGCTATTTGAAAATTTTCAAACCCATTGAATCCTCAAAGAATGGCAAAGAAATGTTGAATGAATATTTGTATATCTTTCACTTATATTCTCCAGTTGTTGACATTTTGCCATATTTGGTCTCTCCTATTTCCATCTCTCTTTATTAAACCATTTGAAAATTAGTAGCAGATTTTATTATACTTTTGCCTTAAGTATTTAGGCATGTATCTCCTAAAAACAAGGGCATTTCCCTGTATAAACACTGTATCACTAGCATGTCCCCAAGAGTTATCATAAATATAATAGCTAATATTGAGACCATATTCAAATCTCCCCTGATTGTCCCCAGAAAAGTGCTTCATGGTGGACTTTTCCCCTAATACAGGATCCAGTGAAAAACATGTATTGTAATTGGTTGTCATGTCTCTTTATTCTCTTTAGTTTTTTTTAGCCTCTCTAAAAATGTCCCTCTACCCTTTTTGTTGTTGTTCTTGAGACATTTTTCAAAGCCTAGGTTAGATGTCTTTTAGAAAGTCTTGCAATCTAGATTTGTCTAATTGTTTCCTCATGTTTAGATTCAGAATAAATATATTTGGCAAGAAAGCTACATAGGCAATGTTGTGTACTTCCTGTTGCATCAGGTCAGAAGGTACCTGTTAACTTGTTCTGTAATTTATTAGTGCTTGATTTTTTTTTCATTGGAAAATAGAACTAATAATCATGCTTGTCATTCAGGAGGTTTGGGGAGAAAAATTAGTGTCTTCAGTGCTCTGAGGTTCTTGAAAATATACCATGCAAATCCCACTAAAAAAGAATTTTTGGTCCTTAGAGGAGGGATATCCATGTATCTTGAGGTAAAGCTGTTCTACAACCATCTTAGATGAAAACATCTGCTTTTAAAGATTTGCAGAGTAGTAATAGTGTACTCTTTTTTATTTATAGATGAGTCGTTCATTTAGTTAAATAACTTTTGCTTGCTAGGGTAAAGGAGATAGTAAATTATTTCTTACTTTTTCTCATTGCTTCTTCCTTTCCCACTATCTTGATAGCAGTTTAATCAGAGGAGTTATGGGCTTGGCAAAAGGAATAGATTTTACTAAGTATGTTTTCATTACTTCTGGGATACTCAAGATATTTTTCTCTCTGCTGCATTGGATTAGTAGGCCATTTTTCCAAAAATAAACCTGATAATGATAGGAATTTTGTAATAATTTCTAGGAAAACTTTCTGCACATTTCTTTAGCCTTCTCTACAAAATATTTTGCCCAAAGGTCAAAACCTCTAGGCTGACAATAGCATGGATTTCATGGTTATTCTACAAAAAGAAATTGAGCACAGCTAGGTGCAACATTCTCTGGCTCTGAGATATAGAAGGTCTCCCACTGAAAGGAGAGCTTAGTCTTGGAGCTCAGTAATGATTCCATAGCAACAGGATGAGGGCTTTGTTTCAACTTTTGGATGGTTGGCTGGTCTCCTGGGAGGGTGGACATCAGGTGACCGTATCAGGCATCATGTATCTTTTTACTTAGCAGATATTGATAATTAGTCACGCAAATGTGCAGAAGGCAGTAAATGTGAGAAACTATGAAGTGAAATAGATGGTATTATTAACTTCATTTCCCATAGGATATCTTTTGCAAAGGCTCTTTTTAGTGACTTGTTTGGTCAAAAACCAAAGGCAAATAGAACATATGAATTAAGGAGTTTAGAATCTATCCATTCTTAGAGAAGTTATTTGACTTTCCTAAAGATCTCTCCACAGGTCATGAGGAAGAGCCCCTGAGGCTTAGGCCCAGCCTTGGTCATTGTCCAAGAGAGTAAGTGCTGCCATGTTAAACGAAGCTAACTGGGCAGGCAGAAAGACAGCAAAGGAAAATAAAGTGAACAATAGTTTACTCACCAGGAGTTTTGCACTGCAGCCCACCAGCTTGTCTGCAACTAACTTGTAACTAGGTAGTGACATTAGGCCAATCACTTAACTTCTTCATCTGTAAAAACTGTAGCAAAAGCTTATTGCTAATCATGAGTCAGCTATTCAACTAAGTACTTTATCAACATCCCCTTGGACCCTCAGAGCATACCGTCTGCAAGAGACACTATCATCCTGTTTTGCCAATGAAGAGCTGTAGAGAAAGGTTCATTGCCCTGTCCAAGGTCACGTAGCAAGAAAGCAGTAGTATTGAGACTTTTCTTTTTTTTCTTCATCCGTAAACTGAGGTACCATATATCTAAATCTGTACTGTGCTAAGATGGGAAGGGAACTGAAACACATAAAGAAATTTGGGCAGGGGATAAAGGAGAGGAAGTAGATGATTTAGGGGTGGGAAGGAAAAGGGACCCTTTTAGGGAACAGGAAAGAGAATAATTGAGATAAATGGGAAGGGAAGGGAAAGATTAAGGTGGAGGGAAACAATTATTAGTATATTAGTATCTAGATAGAAAGAACTACCCAGGATAGAGGAGAATGAGATTTTATAGCTTTTTATGAGTCATTCTTCGTTTCTTCCTCTCATTCCCTCCATCTAATTAGTCACCAAATCCTGAAGTTCTTTACTGTTTTCTCATCATCATTCACATTGGAGTTGCCTTTTGGTTGGCCCTCATCATCTCTCACCTGGCCCACAGCAGCCATCCGTTTCTAGGCACACACTACTAAGTCCAACTCACTCATAATCACCAAAGGGATTCCAGCATGATTCTGGTGTCATTTTTCTGGCTTTATTTTCTAGTACTTCACCACATATTCAATATGTACTGGACTTAATGAACTACTTATTGTCCCTATAATGGGCCATGTTCTTTCACTTTATTCTTTTAAACATGTTTGTTCCTTTTCATTTGCCTCTGGAAAACACCTACTTATCCTTCAATGCTCAGCTCAAAGATCCTCTCAAGACAGTATCCGGCTCTGCTCCTTTCATCTGAAATGACTCACATAGTTTTCGCCCGTGAAATCCATAAAGTAAATCAGCCACAAGGTGGCGGCATAATGCCAGGTAATTAACGGTTCGAAGCATGACACCTGTGGTTTCAGTTTATAACCTAGCATTGATCTGAAATTCCATCTTAAAAAAAAAAAAGATGAAAAGATTGTGGAATTATTGAATAACAAGGGACAAGCTCTGTAGCTCATTTGTAGTTTTCATCGTGGTTTTCAGGAACTGCTTGGTGAATCCTTGGGAGTTCCTAGGAACTCTGTCTCCTGTTTCAGCCAGAAAAGCTCTGAGAGTTGTTTTAAAGCCAGAACTTCCAGTCTGCTGTAGTCTTCAAATAGGAAGCTGAAGCTCAGAGAGGTGGCTGGATGAAGATAGTAAGGCTAATTGTAGAGAGGGAGCTCTGTAGTCCAGACTTACTGTTTCTGCTTTCACAGGGCTGCATATTTTTCAGTGCCATCAGAGACTTACCCCAGGCATTGTGGTAGAAACTTGATAAGCGTTGGAGGCAAAGAGGATTCTTATCATTTTGTTACTTTGCAACTACTCTGTTGGCAATAAACTAATAATAAAGAACATGATATGATACATTTTCATGTATGAAAGCTCTACATCTATCTAAAATAAGCTCTGTAAAGCTAAGGTTCATGCTTTATTTTTCTCTATGTATCCTCCATATCACCTAGGAGTCATCTTCATGAAACAATTATTGAAGTCAAGTGATGGGCACAGAGGATTGATAGCTCAAATAAGGCTTGGTACTTGCCCTTGGAAAAAGTATGCTAGGATTCTGGTGGGAGGGGTAGACATATAAATGGATAATTTATAATATGATGTAAGTACAGAGAGCTGTGGGAACATAAAGGAAGGAAAATGAACTTGAGTCTGAGACTGCTCACTTCTATTAGAGCCCTCTTCTGTTTTGCTTCATGTTCAGCCTTCAGGAAGAACTCATTTCTGTTGTTGACAACTGAAGTTGTCTGTCAGAAAGCAATGTTGTAAGGTGACGTACAGCTACATATTTTTCCTCAAAATTGAGGTGAAAGGAATTTCTAAAGTAGGCATTATGTTCTTAATTTTTATCTGTGAATTAAGCCACCCAGCTCCTCAGCTCTTTCTCTGTTGGCCCTCTACTTCAGATTACTTTCTATGAAGACAAAAATTTTCAAGGCCGTCGCTATGACTGTGATTGCGACTGTGCAGATTTCCACACATACCTAAGTCGCTGCAACTCCATTAAAGTGGAAGGAGGCACCTGGGCTGTTTATGAAAGGCCCAACTTTGCTGGGTACATGTACATCTTACCACAGGGAGAGTACCCTGAATACCAGCGTTGGATGGGCCTCAACGACCGCCTCAGCTCCTGCAGAGCTGTTCATCTGGTGAGTCTGGGGACTGTGTACTCCCTCTGTTTCCCACGCCCTCTGTCCGCTTTCTCTTGCTTTTAGGTGAACATTTTCTTGAGTCTTCTCTACCTCTTAATGAGTAGCTGCTTGTTGGCTGCTGAGGCTTGAGTAACATCTTAGAGCAGCTCATCACTAGAATGACTACACTAATTTCCAGGGTGCTGTCTCTGCCTCTTGAGTGTTTTGAAGAATTAATTTTTTCTTATTGAAAGTTAGCTGTTTTAGTCAGTACATGGTGAGATGGGAGTTCAGATCATCTAGCTTTCAAGGTGATAAGTTCTGAGCAATACTGTTCTCTAAGTTCTTGACCTGCTGGTGATTTCCATAATGGTTTCTGTTCATTTTCTCCTGTGTCTTTTCAGCCTAGTGGAGGCCAGTATAAGATTCAGATCTTTGAGAAAGGGGATTTTAGTGGTCAGATGTATGAAACCACCGAAGATTGCCCTTCCATCATGGAGCAATTTCACATGCGAGAGATCCACTCCTGTAAGGTGCTGGAGGGTGTCTGGATTTTCTATGAGCTACCCAACTACCGTGGCAGGCAGTACCTCCTGGACAAGAAGGAGTACCGGAAGCCCATCGATTGGGGTGCAGCCTCCCCAGCTGTCCAGTCTTTCCGCCGCATTGTGGAGTAATGACATGAATGGGGCCATATTCTTCCTGGGGCCCAAATGCTGGCTGGCCTTGTGGTCCAAATAGGCATCATCAATAAAACAGTTGGCATGCATCCCACTGCTGACTATAATGCCTCTCCTTAAATGCTTCTAGGGACCAGCAATACAGTGCTCGCCACAGTGGGCAGTCACACAAAGCTACCCATCTGCCAGATCACCAATCTAGATCTTTGTGCCAAACAAAATGAGATCTCATTAAAAGGTTAGAAAGTCATACTGACATGTGGTGGTTCCTTTAGCTTATGTTTTGCATTAATTCAACAGGCACAGTAATAATTGCTACCATTTATTGAGTGCCTACATTATTTCATTTTCTCCTTACAACCCTGTGAGAGGTAGTTTTTCGGTATTTTATAAATAAGGAAACTGAGAGAAATTTAAAATGTGCCCAAATTCACCAGTTGGTGGATGGAGGAGCCAGGATTCAGTCCAGGCTACTTCTGCTCCCAAAGTCATTGTTCTGCTTTCTAACACATACATTCAACACATTGGCTGGAGATCTGTGCATATAGTGTCTGTAGAAGCCCCTGAAAATTTTTAAAGGTAGAAAAGACGGGGTCCTCTGATGTTCCAGTTGAGGGGACAGAGTGTCTATCAAGAACAGCCAGTGAAAATAGGGTTATTATTTGAAAATGGTGGAGCCATAAGCCATCTGAAGTCCTTGTTTAAGATCTAAAGCCTGCTATGTTAGTTACTTCTCAATCCTAAGTTTAGATTTTTTGTGTAAAGAAAGGACATATTAAAAGTGTCCCTACATTATAATAGTTGAAATGGAGTTTTATCAAGTTTTACTTGCTTTGAGTAACCCCTGAGATTTTATTTAATCTTGAAGAGAAGAATGAAGAAGGAAACAGTATGGCCAGGAGTATTTAGTGAACATACAAGTGAACCTGGGGATATGCAGAATGCACCCATCTGTAAATGAGATAGCAAAGCCCCTGTCATCTAGGAGCCTTCCCCAAAAGGACAAATTAGAATTGCTAAATTTCCCTTGTGTATACTCTATAGTGCACAGTGCATACTCACCCCAAAATATGTTTATTCATGTTGTTATCTTCCCCTCCCTTTTGTCATTTTGTCTGTTTCAAGTGAGAGACTGAAAAAAGTGGGTGTAAGTAAGGGAGGGAAACCTGACAAATGGAGAAGGAATGGGAGGCCATTTGCTGAGCTGCAAAGAGCTCTGGCCTGTGAGCTGACTGCAGCCATCAGCTCTGGATCTTGCCACCATACCATGAAGCTACCTTTCCTTATCTCCAAAACAAGGGAGTTGAGCCAAATGCTCTCTGGAGTCTCATCCAACACAAACATTCTAATTCCCCAGACACCAGCAGGAGGACATTAAAAAACTAGCTGATGACCAAGGACTACTGACACTTACTTTTAGAGGCATAATTTCTGGAAGTGACCTCAGAAATCCACTGATTTTTTGCCAAAGAAATAGGCTGTGATAAGTAAGTTAGTATCAGTCTCTTTTCTCATATCAACTGCTTGCCATGTTCTTTGGTGAGTTGGTCACAGTCTGTTCAACTAGAAAAGCAGTTCTGGCAGCAGGGTAGGAAAACAAGAAGTGTCAGGATGACTAACCACAGTTTCAGAGAAGTAGAAGATGGCTTTTGACAGATAAAAGCAGGATTATTATTTTGGAGTGTTGCATGCCTCCTGGTTCATGCCTTGGTCCAGAAAGAGATTGCTATCATTTTCTCCAGTTGCAGACACACCAATCAACTTTCTGCTTAAAAGGAATTTGACTAACAATTGATATTAGAGGTCAAAAACACTTTATATCCTTATCTATCAGTCAGTCCCAGCTCTTTTGGTAGAACATTCAGCTGTTAGGACAAGAAGCTGGTGTCTTACCTGTCACCCACACCCAGAACAGCACCTGATAATTCAGTTATCTCCCCCTACCTTTTATTGTTTTATCGCTCTGAAATGGGGGATCTCAATAAAATAAAGCAAGGGCACCCTTAAACCATTTTAACCCTATTTCCATCACAAGAATTTCTCTAAGACAAGTCTCTGAATATTCCCATATATGGAGCTCACTGTCTATTGGGATAGAAAAATAAACATAAGTATGTCCCAAATGTTACATGGGACATACTTACACTAAGAAATTGTCATTTGTCTGAAATTCAAATTTAACTGTATCCTATATTTTTATTTGCTAAATCTGACAACCCTACTTCAAGGACAAGGCAAGTTACACAGGAGTGACATGGGGCTAAGAGCAGAGAGTGGTGCAAGCTGTGAAAATGAGCACATTCCCCAATAGAAGGGCATTTAAATACTTTTTTTTTTTTTTAAATCACTACACACCAACAAAATACATCTGCATCTGAATGTGGCTTGTGGACCACCAGTTTCCAATCTTGGCTGTAGGACAGCTCTGAATATCAGAAATTGTTTTTTAGATTGAGCCAAAATCTGATCCCTGAAGCTTTCAACCTGCAATCCTAGTTTTCATCCATAGGATATAGCTCTTTAGGTATTTAAAGATGCCTCCAGTTTGCTTCCATGCTGGCATTTCTACACTGAGCAATGCCTGTTTCTTTCATCCTTTCTCTCCTCATGTGTGGGCTCCCAGACTCCTCACCATCCTGGTGCCTCTCTTCGAGCTAATGGTCATTTCTCTCTCCCCACTGTCATAGCTGTATGTAGTCTGACCAGTGCAGACTACAGCTGGAGGATTATGTTCAGTTCTTTCATCTTTTTTCTCTGATCTATGCTGTTCTTAACTAAGCTCAGCTCTCCCTGTGGCCCAGCCCTGATATGGATGACTGGCTACCTTTCCCTAAGAGCCAACTCTCCAGTCAAAGGGCTAAAGAGTTCTCTTCCTCTTTGGGTAGTTAGACAGAAATGGATTCAAATTCTGCCACTTCCATATGTTAGCTCTAAGTCACATAATCTAACATGTATATCCTCAATTTTCTGTGAAACTAACATAACACCTAATCTGTGGGCATTAAAATGAGATAATATGTGAAAAATATGTAGCATATACAGTTAATTCTCATTATTTTCTGTAATTATACTCCATAAAAATACCTCAAACACTGAATTGCAAATATTGAATTATTGCTCTTAGATAAAATACTAGGTTAAGTTCCTGTAAGCCTCTGGTCACATTTTTGTCAACTGATCAATGCATAAACTTTTTTCATATGTGTTTCTCTTTAAAGACTCTTGAATATATGTTGTGGATTCATTAACATGGAGCTCAGGACCAGCAGCACTCTAACTGCTGCCTGAAGAAAGATGATCTAACAGGTATCTCAGTAAGGCACGTCGCAGCCTTCTCATGCTTAGGAACACTAGACAGCCCTTCAGCACTACATTTGGGGATGTTTTCAACAGTGAAATTACCAACGAAGAACAGTGCAATGCGGAAAGCATGACACTAAATGGGTTGAAAGGAGACTTGTTTACAGTATGGGAGCTGAAACAAGAAGGGGGAGCATTTGTTCGACCTTAGCTGGGAATATACTCATTGGATGACTCAAATTTTTCACTGCTCTGCTCATATCCATAAATGATCACAAGAGCACCACGATTAGTGATTTTGCGATTACAATGAAATTGGAGGGAGTGGGTGAATTTGCAAGTATGAAATCTATGTTATAATGAGGGTCACCAGTTCTTTACCACCATGGTTGTCATATTAGTACTGTTTCTGAGTAGTAAAGTACTGCTATTATCAGTTTTGTGTGTGTGTGTGTGTGTGTGTGTGTGTGTGTGTGTGTGTTTTAACTTGTCTAGCTTTTTAAATCCCTGTTTCTACCCCCTAGTTGTTTTCAGAAAAGCATTTCTGCATTTTTGGCAGATGCCTCATAATTGGGAAGAAATATATCAGAATGGTCCAACCCATCCTACTACCTTGAAAAAGAGCCATATTTTTGTTATCACGGGAGTTCAGCCTTTTCTTAGCTCTCCCATAAGCTTCTCCCTTGGTTCTAGCTCCCTTGGTTCTAGCTCCCAGCAATTTCCACAGCCAGCAGAATTGTCCCTAGAGTTCACGCAAGTCTCCCTTATTTTTGTCTCTCTTCTCTGAGGTTCCTCAGGAGACAGAGGGCAGCTAATCACTGAGCTTTGGGTGACCAGCTTCTGGCACACACAGGAGAGGAGAATCCCTCATGGGCGTGACTTCAGAGCAAGGGAAACTTTTCTGTCCACAGACACCTCACACCTTTACCTCTTCCTTCAAGCCTCAAACTTCAAAGTCAGGCAATTTTAGAACAGGAGAGGCTGGGGCTTCCCCATATACTGTAAAAACAGTGAGATTGGGGCTTACTAACCCCAGTTTACAGATGAGGAACTGGGGCTCAACGAGGCTAAACAACTTGTCTGAGGTCATTGGTTCCAAAGCTCTCATTCTTTCCACTGTACCGTGCAACTTCTGCTTCTCAACTTTCAAGACGGAACCATGGTAACTTGTCTATCATAGAATGAGCTATTTCTTTTTAAATAACTTTATTGAGATGTAATTCACATGTCGTAAATCCACCTGTTTAAAGCATACAATACAGTGGTTTTTAGTATCCTTACCGTTGTCTGTATGCAATCATGACCACAGGCAATTTTAAAACATATTCCTCACCTCAAAAAGAAACCCAGTACCCTTTAGGGATCACTGCCTTATCTATCTCCCCAGCCCCTCAGTCCTGAAGAACTACTTTCTGTAGATGTCCGAGTCTATTTTCTGTATGTATGTATTTGCCTATTCTGGACCTTTTATGTCAATGAAATGATAAAACACGTGGTCTTTTGTGACTGGCTGCTTTCACTTAGCAAAATGTTTTCAAGGTTCACAGATATTGTGGCCTATGTTGTTGCTTCATTTCTTTTTGTGACCAAATAATATTCCATTGTATGGAAATTCCACATTTTGTTTATCCATTTATCAGTAGATAGACATTTGTGCTGTTTTCACCTTTTGGCTATTTTGTTTTTTTTTTTTTTTAAACAGAGACAGGGTCCCACTCTTTTGCCCAGGCTGGAGTGCAGTGGCATGATCATGGCACCCTGCAGCCTTGAAATCCTGGCCTCAAGCAATCCTCCTGCCTTGGCCTCCCAAAGTGCTGGGATTACAGGTATGAGCCACTGTGCCCGGACTGTGTATAAGTTTTTATGTGGAGATGTATTTTCATTTATCTTGGGTATATACCTAGAAGTATAATTGCTGGGCACCTGAGCTATTTATTAAATGCTGGAAGCCTGCAGGGCCTTAAAGACAATACAGACCTAGGTCGAATTCTACCTCTCCCACTTTCTAGTTGCAGGATTTGGGCAAACATACTTCTCTTAGTCTTAGATTTCTCATATGTAAAATAGAGGTAGTTATAACTACTTTGCAGCGTTAGATGAGATAATAAGAGAAAAGTCCTTAGCCCGGTGAATGACCCAAAGGAGCAGGTCCTGAATAAAGGCAGCTGTTTTAAAATATGGAATCTCTGGAAGGAGGAGACCTAAGAGGAGTCCCTTGTGGTAAACAGATTGGGAACTAGAGGGCTGTTTGTTTCTCCAACCCCTCTCTGCGTTAATAATCAATGATTTTATGAGATCATTTCTGGGAGTAAGTGGAGGGGAGGAGGTTGGGGAGGGGAGGGGAGGGGAGGTAGTGGTAGGGAGTACAGGAGAGCCAGAGAGCTCTGTGCAGCTGAGGGGGGTAGCTGATTGCACAGAAAGGGGAAGTTAATCTCCTCACTCTATTTCTGCCAGGCCTGTGCTGCCCACTTGGTCTTATCTCACCTAAATGATCTCATTTCCTTTCACTTTGGTCCTGTTTCCCCAGCACCAGTGTGCCCCTTTGTGAGTCTCAGGACCCTGGTTGAGTGGTTCTGGAATTGATTAGCTTTCAGGGGAAATACTGCCAGCACTTTGCCTTCTGGGACACAGCAGGCAGAGATTTATTCCTATTGTTCATGCCCCCACCCCCCTGAACAGGCCACATTAGCCTGTCCATTGAACCGTGGGGCCAGAACAATGGTGGGGCCTGGCTGTAGTGCTGACCTCCACAATTTCTGGGTACACACTGGATGGTTTGCTTGAGCTCACAGTGAACCTGGTGACCCTGGCTAGGCTAGTACTCCAGGATCCAGCACTCAGGACAGAAAGATGAATCTTTAGACTGTTTCTGTGAGCAGGGGGAGAGGAAAGGATGAAAGAAGGGGGAAGAGGGTTACCTGCAAGTTAGTTATAAATTAGAACCACTCATAAGCTTTTGGGGCCTCCCTAAAGGCCAGAGGTGCTAGCAGTTGTGAGGGAGTCACATTTACCTGCCACACTCACTGTGTCTTGCAGCCACTTAGCAGCAGCTCATATTTGCACATACTATTTCAGAGTTTGTAAGGCTCTTTGACATACGATACCTCATTTGACCCTCACCATGATTATGTGAGAAACAGGAGATAATTATCATTATTCCCATCTTACTCATGAATAAATTGAATCACAGAAAAGGCTCTGTGACTTTCAGGTGGATTACAGACTTTCTAGACCCCCATATTTAAGACCAGCCTGTTGGTGTGATGGGGGTTCATGCCAAAAGTCTTCTCTGTGATGTGACAATTTCAAGAAAGCCATTTTCCTCACACAAGTTTAAGGCATGCTTTCAGTGGACCCTATGGTTTCAAGTAATGTTAGTGAAATACAAGTGGGAAGTGGAGTGCTAGAGTTGGGGGAAAGTGTGAATGTCTATGAGTATGCACCTGGAAGACAAATAGAAATGTATTTATCCAGAAAATGTGCCACATATACTCCATGGAATACTATGCAGCCATAAAAAAGAATGAGTTCATGTCCTTTGCAGGGACACGGATGCAGCCGGAAGCCATCATTCTCAGCAAACTAACACAGAAACAGAAAACCAAACACCACCTGTTCTCACTCATAAGTGGGAGTTGAACAATGAGAACACATGAACACATGGAGGGGAACATCACACACTGGGGCCTGTCGTGGAGTGGGGGGCAAGCAGAGGGAGAGCATTAGGATAAATACCTAATGCATATGAGGCCTAAAACCTAGATGACAGGTTGATGGGTGCAGCAAACCACCATGGCACATGTATACCTATGTAACAAATCTGCATGTTCTGCATATGTATCCCAGAACTTAAAGTTAGATTAAAAAAATAATAAATGTATTTATCCATGGTTTTGCTGATCTTTTGCCCTCCTGCCCTCCATTTCTCTGGTTTCTGTCTGGGTCCTGCCATAGTGGAAGGATGAATTTGGCAGATCTGCAGAGCACAATGGAGGTTCGGGGCATACTCTTCAGGCACCTTTCCTTTTAAGCAAATCTAATCAGGAAAAATTTCAAATTTGCACAACCAGTAGATTAGGGGAAAATATTCACTTTTAAATGACCATGGGACTGTTTTTAAAATGTACACTCAAAATTTCAACAAAAATTCAGTGTTCATAGAATGTCTGTTATCAAATAGTTGTGTGTTAAATGAGAGAAAAATCCATAGGATGTTAAAAGTTGACCTATGCCTAGATTTATCAAAGCAGATTCTCTCAGGCAGTGACATTCTCACACTGTCCTTAGGCCCTGGGAAGAGGAGCCCTTCTCTGCCTTGGGGAGGTTCCTACATATCTCAAAATCTACAATAAAAAAACACTTTCTGTCTTTCCTGTCTAAATCTTTCTGTCTCTCTCTGTCTGGTTTGGTAACCAGTTGGGCGAAGGGAAATTATGGGAGAGGGCAATGGGCTGGAATACACTCTGTAGACTAGGGGATACGGATCTGAATGCTCAAGTAGGGAGGTGGGTGAAAGGAGAAAATCACAGCCTCTTCTCTGGGAAACTAGAGAAAGAGGGTCTGATTGATTGATCAATTGCTTACTAATTACTTATTTGAGGGGTTTGCTTTATTAAGGTATCATTTGCAAACTATAAAATTCACCCTTTTTAAGTGTTTGGTTTGCTGACTTTTGACAAATGCATACAATTGGCTAACTACCAACACAATCAAAACATAGGACATTTTCATCACCCAATTAAACTCCCTATGTCCCTTTGCAGTTAATCTCTGTCCCTGCCCCCTCACTTCCTGCTGTGGAATCACTGATCTGTTTCCTCTCCCCATAGCTTGCCTTTAATGTCATGTAAATGGAATCATGCAGTATGTAGACTTCTGTGTCTAACTTCTTTCATTTAGAATAATGCTCTTTAGATACATCTATGTTGTTGCATGCACAGTGGTTTGTTCTTTTTTATTAGAGTATTATTCTACTGTATGTAGACATTCTACTGTACGTATGGATGTATCCCATTGTTTTTTCTTTTCTTTTCTTTCTTTTTTTTTTTTTTTTTTTTTTTTTGAGGCGGAGTTTCGCCCTTGTTGCCCAGGCTGGAATGTGATGGCGTGATCTTGGCTCACCGCAACCTCCACCTCCTGGGTTCAAGCAATTCTCCTGCCTCAGCCTCCCGAGTAGCTGAGACTACAGGCATGCATCACCATGCCCGGCTAATTTTGTATTTTTAGTAGAGATGGGGTTTCTCCATGTTGGTCAGGCTGGTTCCATTATGTTTTACCATTCACTAGTTAAAGGACATTGAGTTGTTTCCAGAAAGGCTACTATGGTTTATAGTTGCTTCAAACCACCCAAAGTGGGTGTATAGCCAGGCTAGTTTCCCCAAGATAACTGTGCTCTTTCCCCTCTCTCTGCTCCAGTGATGGAGTTTTGGCAGGTCCTTAGAAATACCTGGAAATCCTGAGTTGAGAAAATGACAAGTGAAACCTATTTGCCTTGGCTTCCTGGGGATCTTGATTGTGTTAGTTTCTATCCTGGGTTCAGAAGGTCATCAGCTGGGAGTCCTGGAATCCACGTCCGGCTTTAGCGCCATCTTGTCCCAGCAGATCTGAGCTACTCCCAGGTTCACAGTTAGCAGGGGTGGCCTAGGGGAGGGCTTGGCTCCTTTTGCCTCTGGGTTGCAAGCTAGGAATGCAGACTGGCACTAGGAATAGCTTAATTTACAGATTCTAAATGTTTAGACGTCGCGTATGTGGGCGTCCGTTTGTATTCTTGCTCCAGGTCTGCAAATGTTAGGGAGGACCTGTTCCTGGCCGTAACTGGGGAGGACATCTCACAGTTTCTTCCTACACTCCTGTAACCAAATTACTCCATCAGGCACCAGTGGCCCTCTGGTGGTTCAGAGGAATAAATTCTTTACTAGAAGTACCTGCTTTGCTCCCAGGGTGTAGCTTCTGTGCTGGGAGAATCTTACCTCATTATTCCATCTGGTCCCCTGACTGACAGCAGCTGTCAGGGCAGGAGAAAACAACCCGTGCTTGGCAGTCCTCCTCTATGTCCCCAGTCAGCTTCCTCACCCACTCTCAGCAGCAGCTGCTTCCTCCTCACTCTCCCCAAGTCCCCCCCATCACATGGCCTGGCCTCCACAGATACCTCCACCTTCTACTTAGTAGAGAAAAGAAAGACGTTTGTTCAGCTTCCTCCCCACTGCAGCACATTTCTTCCTGTCTTGAATATATCAGGGTTCCCTGACATTTTGTTCTTGGTCCTCTTCACGCTTGACTCTCTCATGGATTTAGCTTTCCTCTCTTCCTACATATGACTTCCAAATCTACCTCTCCTGACTCATTCTCTCTTAGCTTCAAGATCCAGCCATCATCCTGTCCTTATCCTCTCTTCTCTCATATCCAGCTGGTTAGAAAATCCTGTCCAATCCACCCTCTGTGGATTTCTCAAAGCCATCCTCCATCCTCTGCCTCTCTGCCTTGTGCCTCTGCACACGTACTTGGTGTGTCCTCCCACAGGTCTCACAGCCTTCTCTGTCACTCCTCAAAAATCAAGAACCTCACTGCCTTCAGAGCATTCTTTCTACAACACAGTCATGAGTGTGTCAAATCCTTAATTTAAACCCTTCTAATCCTCTGGGTTCCAAGTGTTTGCCAAACAAAATCCCAACTTCCTGGACCATGACATATGTACTTCATGACACAGTACACAGAGGCATCCAGCAGGCATGAGGGGTGATATGGTTTGGCTGTGTCCCCACCCAAATCTCATCTTGAATTCCCATGTGTTGTGGGAGGGACCCGGTGGGAGGTTAATTGAATCATGGGGGTGGGTCTTTCCCAGGCTGTTCTCGTGATAGTAAGTCTTGTGAGATCTGATGGTTATTATAAGGGAGAGTTTTCCTGCACAAGCTCTCTTTCTTTGCTTGGTGCCATCCATGTAAGGCATGACTTGCTCCTCCTTGCCTTCTGCCATGATTGTGAGGCTTCCCCAGCCACATGGAACTGTAATTCCAGTTAAACCTCTTTCTTTTGTAAATTGCCCAGTCTAGGGTATGTCATTATCAGCAGCATGAAAACAGACTAATGCAAGGGGCTGCAGCGCCGCTGGAGGAAGGGGCTTGGGAAAGCCTAAGGCCTGCAGAGGGGCCCCTTAATTCCACCTGGCACAAAGGTTCATAGCTCTCCACTCCCCCAGTACCCTGACTCCCACCTCCGATCGAATATACTTGCAGTGAATCACATAATTTTCCAAGGGTGTCATGCTGTTTTCCACTGGGAATAACCCTCCCTACATTTTTTTTTTTTCTGTGAGTCTTCTCCTTATCATTTTTAACAGCTTAGATGTCCCCTCAGGGGCTTCTCTGACAACATACCTCTCTTCAGTGCTCCTGTGACACTCCAGCTTCACCGCTTCTCAGTCCATAGTATCCAGAGTAGTTGTTTCTCATCTCCTTTAGATTGTGAGCTCCTTGAGGTCAAGGACTGTGTCTTTTGCCCACATATCACCGGGGTAAATGTTTGTTGTTAAATGGGCATTTATCATGCACTTACTATGTGTCAGGTTATTTGTGTACTGTTGCCAGTACTGATACATTAGGAATTTAAAGAAACAAGAGTCCTCTTGAAGACCTAAAGTTATCAAGTATCCTTATCAAGGATATAGCAGAGATCCTCAAAGTCATCTTAATAAGACAGATAGGCTCCCCATCCTTCCAGTTTTACTGTATCCTGATTGGAAGCAAAAAATGTCTTATATGCAGAAACAAGTCAAAAAACAGAAGGGGCATGGCCAGCCACAGAATATAAGAAAAGTTGAGTCCTGGGGACCAAGGTTGGATGAGTAGGTGGGTATGTCCAGGTGTTGTTCCTGAAAGAGGAAGCCTTGGCTAGTGCCTTTAGATGTCGCTGTCCCTTGGGCAGGAGCAAGCAGGACACTCACCTACTGCTGATGGACTCAAGCTTCTAGCTGTCAGACACTTGAGTCCTCTAATATCCCTCATCCTGCTCCATGTTTCTCAGGCAAACCTCTGATTCTGACTTGGCTTTCAAGTAATGTGACTGCTATTAGTCATAAGGGTTCATTTCCTATGATAGTTATTCCTCTTTGTAAGTTACAAACTTGGATGCACCCACCCATCTTCACTGTGCTGACCGAAGCTGGTTTCTGGACTCAAGGCTAGGTGAGCCTTTTGAAATGTGAACTCAGATCATTTGCCCACTTTAAATTCAGATTATTAGATTTTTTTTTTCCTATTGAGTTGAGTTCCTTATATATTCTGGTTATTAATCCCTTGTCAGATGGGTAGTTTGCAAATATATTCTCCCATTCTGTGGGTTGTCTCTTTACTTTCTTGATTGTTTCCTTTTGTCAAGACTCATAAGCCCATTCAATTTTTGCAGCAATTCTCAGCCAATGCATGGGGATGGCCAGAAATGCTGGGAAGTTAATGCTTCTGGGATCATTCCTGACCAATGATGGGTGGAAGTTGGAAGATAATATGCCCATTTCTTCACCCCTCAGGTGGGGCAACCCTGAGGCATGTTCCACACTGTCTCCCAGAGATCCACAGTGGAGCTGAGCTCCACAGACTTGTCACCTGCTCCGTGACAAACTTTCACTGGTTTTCTTCTCATTCCTGTCTCACTTTCCCACTCTCTGACCAGGGCTTCCTGGGGTCACCTCCCAAATACCTTACCTCTACTCAAATCCTTGTTTTTGGTTTTAGTGGAACACAGCCTAACACATCCTGTAAGCTCAGAGAGATGAAGTAATGGCCCAGTATCACAAGTCACAAGTGACAGAGCCCAGATTCAAACAAGTTCTGCCCATTTTGCCCCCACTGCCTTACCCTGTGTGACTCTTTTGCTTTTCTCTCCAGTTTTGTGCCACAGATGGGGGTCATGTGCTTCCACCTATATCTGGTTCCAGCTGCTGCTTTAATTCAACACTTGCCTGCCAACGCTGCTGGCAACTCCCACTAGCAAAGGGAACCCCCCCACCGCTGCGGGCAGCCAGGCAGAGCTGGGTTCTTCAGATGTATCCGTCAGCTCGGTAGAGTTGGTACCCATGTGGCTGGCTTATTTCTGGTGGACAGAGTTTCATTTTCTGCATTTGTACAGATACTGGCATCGAGCTCCCTCTTTTTAAATAAAAAGCTGATATTTTAATACACTTAAATGTGATTTTCAAAAAATCACCAAAGGCGGATGACAGCAAGAGTTGCAAAATCCCCAGGGTGCTATTAGCAATTTGGCTCCAACAGGAATCTTACTAGCACTCTAGAAGCAGTGTCATTATGATTAAGACACTGTAACTGTAGAAACTTAGAAATGTGAACTTCAGTGTAGGAACAAATGCAAATATCCCACCGGAACTGGTTATATACATAAGTTTCCATGGGCTCCCCCTTGTAACTAAAGTTCTAATCTGGTTACAAGGAACACCAAGAGATTTGCTAGGATCATTGACTATTTGAGCTGCTGGGCACATGAGACCATCTCGTCCATCGACCTGCCTTGGAGATAGGAAACGGCTAGAGAGAATGCATGACTGACCACAAAGTTCAAAGTGCAAAGCCAGGAGTAGGACACAGGCTCTACCCCCCTCCACCCTTGCCCCCCAAACACTGCACAGACCAGTTCTCTTTCTCTCTTATGTCATGCTGACTCTGTGCTCCGATCTCAGAGCCTCAATTTTCCCCTTCTGTAAAATGAGAATTAAAATAATTCCTAGATTTTAGAGTTGTGAGGATTAAATTAGATAGTTTAGATGAGCTGCCTTGTAAACTGCAAGTGCTATGCAAATGGAGGGAGGTGGTGGGGCAGAGCGGAAGGAGTGTGCTTTTTAGAGACAGGTCTGGTGGGAATCCCTGCTGTCCACCTGCCTCTCTGAGCCCCCGTTTCTACAAAATGGGGTGGTCCCATCTCCTGCCTGAAGTTATTACGGGATATAAATGAGATATGTTATGTAAAATTCCTGGCAAAAAGTACAAAATCTCTCTTTTTCATATGCTACCCATTATTTTGAAGACGGCACTGAAATTGGACATTTGGTAGTACTTCTGGAAATAGAAGAATGTTTATTGTAAAAGAATTGGCCCAAATGAAATGCATAGGGTCTTTTCTTTTCTAAGCCTGCCTACCTTTTTCAAAAGGTGTCAGTGAAATCAGCAAACATAAAAAGCAGAAACGACATCCCATGAGGTTGACAGGGTATCAAGAGGCTATCAGAAGGAAAACCTGTTGCTCCAGTGTTTAAAGCAAATGAGCTGTGCTGTTTGTGGGAGCCTTATTTATTTATGGAAAGAAAATACTCCAGGTTTGCCATATTTACAACCAGAAGCAGATTAGCTTGGCAGGGATGCTGTGTAAAGGGAAGGCTTCACTTCACTTCTTCGAAGGTGAGGGAGCAGGTACTACTAGTCCTGTGTCCAGCCCTTCCCCTTCTGTTGTAAGAGTGCGGTACCAGGAAGATACTCTTGACCAGATTTCAGATTCTTTCCAACCCATTTTTAGACTCAAGGGGTCCTGCTTTCTTTCCCTTTCTTTCCCTTCCTTTCTTTTCTTTTCTTTTCTTTCTTTTCTTTCTTTCTTTCTCTCTCTCTCTCTCTTTCCTTCCTTCTTTCTTTCTTTCTTTTCCTTTCCTTCTTTCTTTCTTTCTTTCTTTTCTTTCTTTTTCTTTTGACAGTCTCGCTCTGTCACCCAAGCTGGAGTGCGGTGGCATGATCTCGGCTCACTGCAACCTCCGCCTCCTGGGTTCAAGTGATTCTCCTGCCTCAGCCTCCCGAGTTGCTGAGATTACAGGCATGCACCACCACGCCTGGCTAATTTTTGTATTTTTAGTAGAGACGGGGTTTCACGATGTTGGCCAGGCTGGTCTCGAACTCCTGACCTCATGATCTACCTGCCTCAGCCTCCCAAGGTGCTGGGATTACAGTCATGAGCCACCGCGCCTGGCTTTATTTTCTTTTTTTTAAGGTAGGATACCTGTATAGAAAATGCACACAAGGCCAGGCACGGTGGCTCATGCCTGTAATCCCAGCACTTTAGAAGGCCAAGGCGGGTGGATCACCTGGGGTCAGGAGTTCAAGACCAGCCTGGGCAATATGGTGAAACCCCTGTCTCTACTAAAGATACAAAAATTAGCTGGGTGTGGTGGCGCGCACCTATAAACCCAGCTACTTGGGAGGCTGAGGCACAAAAACCACTGGAACCTGGGAGGCGGAGGTTGCAGTGAGCAGAAATCATGCCACTGCATGCCAGGTGACAGAGTGAGACTCCATCTCAAAAAAAAAAAATTTTAAAAGTGCACACAATATAGAATGGTACTCAGTCTCCTTCTCATCCCTCTTCTACCCCTCATCCTGCCTGCCCCCTAACAGGTGCTCAGGAATGCCATTTTCTCATGTGTTTCTTCAAGGATATTCCTTTCATTCGGTTCCATGGACTCATTCAATAAATACTTATTGAGTGCCTGTTCGAGGCACTGGGGATAGAGCAGTAAGTGGAAAAGTTGAGAATGCTGCCCTACAGGAGTTACATTCAAGCACTCAAGTGGTGCTGCCATTCTTACATGCTTGTATATGCATTTTATGGCCATGTCTACCCTATTTCAGCACATCAATCATTACTGATTATACACTGTACCTTGCTTTTTTCATTTTCTCACACATCTAGGAGATTAATAAAGGCCATGTTTAAACCTAGCCCGGAGGTTTTTTTTTTGGGGTCACTGGGGTCACAGACATCAGCGGCAGCCAGAAGGAAGGCAAAGTCCACAAATAACTCTTGATCAGACAGAGGTGGGAACAAAGGGCTGGCATTACAAAGCCATCTCTTTTTGGGACAGCTTTGGTAATCAGGTCCAGATTCCAGCAGGAGATTTAATGCTGAATTAGTTAGGATTCTTTTTGAAACCCAGCTTAAACTGGCTTAAGCAAGAAAGAGAATACATGGGCTCTCCAAGCCAATGCGGACACAAGGGCAGCCCTAGGGTAGACAGAGGAGCCAAAGGAACCGGCTTGAGGACACAAGGTTCCCCCCAACTCTCCATCTGTCTCGCGTCTCTGCTTGTCTCTGCTTCAGTGGGCAGGGTGCTGCTCTGTCCCCCAACAAGCTGATCTTTTCATTTTGTGGGGAATTGGCCCTTCACATCAGGCAACCACTCCTATTGGCCAGGACAGGGTCACGTGCTCACCTTTTTGTCCAGTGGGATGGAGTCTGTTACTAGGAGAAAGAAGATGGGAAAGTCCTCTCAATAGACAGCGACAATGATTAAAGCCCTGTTTAATGTGTTTCTGGGCTGTATTCCTATTAGTCTAATGTATCTTGCACAAAATAGCATGCTTAAAACTTAAATTACATTAAAATTTCCAGAAGCACTTTTGACAGCTTCATACAACTTGTTTGCATTTTGCTGCGCTAACATGTTATTCTTTTGTTGGTTCATTGGCTCATGGATTCATCGAACACTAATAAAGCACCTATGATATGCCAAGCACTGTGCTAGGCTGCGCTGAAGATACCTGGCTCCTAGTCAGGAAAGAAACTCAGTCCTTGCCACAAAGTCATGGGGAAAATCAATGGGCAAATGGCTCCTTAGATCATAGCCACACATGGGATAATGTACAGCAGAACTGTGCACAAAACACAGTGGGAAGAGAGGCAGCAGCAGCTCACTCTGCCTGGAGAAGACTTCATTCAGAATGGGGAGGTGCACACAACAGAATCTTAGCAAGGTGGGCGAAGGGGCCTGAGATATTTATTAGGACTCTTTGGAGGATGACAAATAGCAAGCAAATTTAATTAGTTAACTCGCCGGTCGTGGTGGCTCATGCCTGTAATCCCAACACTTTGGGAGGCTGAGGACGGCGGATCACGAGGTCAAGAGATTGAGACCATCCTGGCCAACATGGTGAAACCCCATCTCTACTAAAAATACAAAAAATTAGCTGTGCATGGTGGCGCACACCTGTAGTCCCAGCTACTCAGGAGGTGGAGGCAGGAGAATCGCTTGAACCTAGGAGGTGGAGGTTGCAGTGAGCCAAGATCGCGCCACTGCACTCCAGCCTGGAGACAGAGCGAGGCTCAGTCAAAAAAAAAAAAAAAAAAAAAAAAGTTAGTTAACTTTAACTAATGGGATTACAGCTGGATTTGGGAAATTCCAGAATCAGGCCCTTGAGGAGCAACAGTACCCAGGCAGAAGCCTTCTCTTCATCTTTTGTCTCTACTTCTCTCTGCCTCTGTTTCTCTTTCCCTAATTGCCTCCCCAGATGGGCTTTCTTTCCTCTTCAGTCCTCAAGCAGGAGCATGATGTGCTGGAAAGGGGCTAAGGGGCTGGAGGGGACACCGAATGGGAGAACAGAACGGAGAGCTGGACAAAGCCTGGATGGAAAAGGGCAGAATTGCAAGTCGAGGACTCCTGCACTGGCCCTGGGCCCTCATGGAGGCCGGGCCACGTGAGCCTTCCCAGGAGGCAGAATGGAGTTGACTGGCCACACCGTGCAATTTGTCACAGCAAAGGGAGGACCACAGATTTCCAAAGGAAAAGGAAAGGAAAAGATGCCTAACCTCAAAGAGTGACGAACATTCCAGCTGCAGAGGCCTCCTGACAGAAGAAATGTCCCAGAGAGCCAAGTGAGGGGGCGTGGCCTTTCACCAGGAGAAGGAATAGTAGCAGGAGGTATGCCTCCCTTTGCACAGCACCTGCTCGTCACAAGCCAGTGAGTTTTGTTCAGAGTGCAATGCAACCAAAAAAGAAGAAAGTCCTTTCAGTTTGAGTTTCACACTCACACAGCCTTGTTTTCCCAGAAGCCCAGGCCCCGGGGACTCTGGAGTCAAAGTTACTGGTAAGAGTTACCTCAGCGGTCCCCCAGGGCTGCCCACACAGACAAGGACCACACAGACAAAGAGAATCTCCAAGAAGCCACAGATTGTGGGCACAGCAGTGCTGAGTGACAAAGACATGAACTCAGCAAGCAGTGCCCTGGAGAAGGATGTGATGGGCAGTACACCTCTGGGGCCCTTCTGCATGTCACCCACACCTCAATTGGTTTATCAGTGGCCTGGATTCTGAAATCACTAACATCACTAACATCACACACACAAACACTCTCTCACACACACACAGACATACACACACACACACACACACACACACACACTTCAGCTCTTACCCCTCCATAATCTACTGAGCAGTCTCCATATTGTTCACAGAGTTCGGAACACTCCCAGCAGCCATTGCTGCAATCTATTGCTCCCTTATTTCTCCGAGTGCTGGAGCAGGGAAAGTGTTTATCCACCCTCCAGATGATTCCGGTCTCAAAGGCAGAGGGATCAACTGGGTGTTCAGACTATTTTATTTACATCCCGAGTGGCTTTGTTTTGGCTGTGCAAAAAATGTTTCCCGTCTCTGTCTGACTGGAGCAAGGGACTGGGTAGCATGGGGAGAAGGAGGTGTCAGAAGGGATTAAAGAGTGCCTGTTTGATCCACAAAGCTCTAGAACTATCCTACTTTCCTCTGGGGTGTGTCTCTAGGTAGGTGATCTCATTTCATCTCTTATAAATATTCTGTCTGCTCTCCGCATTCCACCTCACCCCACTGGTGTGGGGCAACCAAGTTTCTAATAATACAAAAGGAGGTAATATATCTGGAAGTCGAAGTCCACGGGGCTGGTGGGCTTTAAAATGAGATGCATTTGGTGCATGCGTTTGGTCATTTCCTTTCTTCAAGCCTGGACTTTTGAAGACAAATGGTGACAGCTGGAGCCCAGCACGCCAGAAGCCCATGTGAAGGGGCACATCCAGATGAAGTCAACACTTACAGAAAGTCATTTCTGAGTGCCTGGAAGAGGGATATGCATCTGGCTAAAACCATAGTTTGCATTTATTGGACTCACATTCTGTGCCAAACATTGTACCAAGCATTTCACATGGATTATGTCATTTAATCCTTACACTTCCATCCTGATAAATAGAAATAAATACCTTCATTTAATAGAAGAGCAAGCTAATGTTCAGAGAGATTAATAATTCATTCAAAATCACACACTTTGTAAGTGACAGAGCCAGACTTCAAATCCAAGCAGGTTGAATTCAGAACCAATTGTCCTACCACTTAGCTGTGTGTTTGGGGGAAATTATTTAACTTGTCTAAGCTTCAATTTCCTTATCTGAAAACATGGTTATAAATAATAGTACCTACCATTTTGGTTGTTGAAAACATTCAATGGGATAGTAAGTCTGAAGCAGCTCCCAGCACACAAGGAGCAGTGGGTGGTAGCATTTAGTATGCAGTACTTTGAAAGAGACAAGCAACCAGGACACACATGGGAATGATGTTTTTCCCATTTTTTTGAGACAGAATCTCGCTCAGCCGCCCAGGCTGGAGTGCAGTGGTGCGATCTCGGCTCACTGCAACCTCCAGCTCCCAGGTTCAAACAATTCCCCTGCCTCAGCCTCCCGAGTAGCTGGGATTATAGGTGCCCAACACCATGCCTGGCTAATTTTTGTACTTTTAGTAGAGATGGGGTTTTACCATGCTGGTCAAGCTGTCTCGAACTCCTGACCTTGTGATCCACCCACCTCAGCCTCCCAAAGTGCTGGGATTACAGGCATGAGCCACCGCAGCTGACTGGGAGTGGAGTTTTTCAAACCCTGTGCTGGTGTCCCAGGCTCTGTGGTTCTCAGTGCTCAGATCTCTCCAAGGGAGGGTGGCTCAGGACAGACCCTGATTCACAAAGGTGCCACCTGTGAGAAGGAGGTTCCTATTAGGCACAGTGTGGAGCTGTTAGTCCAACTGGGTGAACAGTGCTCCTGTCCTTTGCTCCCCCAAGCTAAGCTAATTGGGGCCCAGAGTTAGGAGCCCCACTGCCTGGCACTCAGGGGAGGACCTTCTTCAGTGGCCATGGGTGGTGGATGGTCTTTCTAGCTGGAATGCTATTGAGAACAAATGGGGCTTTCCGAGCTGTTTCATGGTGGCAGCTTGATGTATATTAACTGGCAGACTGTTCATCGTGTAGGGGAGGTCCGGAAGGAGGCTGTGGTTGTAAGTGGGTGAAGGGAACCTCAGAGGGAAGTTGGCATGCAGGAAGGCATGATGTAGGTGGAGGCGAGGGCAGAGCTGTGGGTGAGTTGTGCTCAGGAGATGAGGAGGTGAGACAGCTTGTCTCAGAGCTTGCTTGGCCCTGACTCCTCACCAAGAGAAACGTACTGGATAACATTTGCATAACTAGTCTCATAAAAGTGGTGTCATGTGAGCCAGGAATCAGAGTGTGGGGCTGCAAGAGGCCTTGCAGCTCTTCTGGTGCAAACTGCAGGCCAGGAAACTGAGGCCCAGAGAGGGGAAAGCGTTTGTATAGGTTGCACAGTAACCTGTTTTCCTCTTGGTCTGTGTGAAAGTCATTCTCTGTATAAATTCAAGTATTCAGACATTAATTTGCTTTTTTTGTTTTTTTGTTTGTTTGTTTGTTTTAAAAGTATAACGATCAACACAAAAGACGTTTTGAAAGAAGAAAAAAAATCATCCAATACCCAAATTAGGATCATTTTGTGCTTTCATTTTTAGGCTTTTTAAATGTATATTTTTATGCAGCTGCAATCACAGAGGAGAGGAAATTCTGCTATTTCATTTAATAGTTTGATATTTTTTCATGCTATGGTTTTCAGAGTTGTCACAAAACACTATATCCCATTGTTGCAATGTTTAAAGAAACAGAACTGAACCCGTGTAATATGACTGAACCTGAATTTAGTTAAGACTTGGCTGGCAACAGCTTCATGTCTGTCTCGTGTCCCTCCCGTCCTGGAAGGCCAGGCATGTTTTACAAAAAGCTAATTTGTAGCTTTTTGTAAGAAAAATGGATAAGAAACGGGACAGGGCAGGAAACTGTTTGGGTTTGCCTGGAACCACAGACATCACTAACGTTCATGTTCTGCGGAACAATGGTTCTCAGCTCTGGTGCACATGGGAATCACCTGGGGAGCTTTTGAAAAGCTATTGATGTCTAGACCCTGTGCCCAGGGATTCTGATTTAATCATGTGGGCTAAGAACAGACATAGGTTTTATTTTCAAAGCTTTGCAGGATCCTATTATGCATCCAGGATGGAGAACGACTTGTCTCACAGGCCAACTCCTTAGAAAGAGCCTCACCACAGTCACACTTAGGATAAAGGCACATTGATTAGACTCTTCTCCTATAACAAAGTAGAGACTTTTGTCATCTGTATAGTGTGACAGCTGCAGTTGCATAAAACACACTTAAAATTATTTGGCAGAATATGAGAATGATGGGAGGGTTGTTTAATGAGAAGGGAATGGAGGTGATTAGAGCGAGACCTGGAGAGTGCTTTAAAAGAGGGGATAATGACATGGAAGATTTATTTCTGGTCCACAAGAGGCACTTGTGGTGGCTTTCTGATGCTGAGACTCAGCAATAATTAAAAGACTTGGGCTGGCACTATCTGGTAAACTAAGTGTTTGTAGCATCCATCTAAGGCAGCCTGTGGCGGATATCTCTGGGCCACCCTGATGGACTAGAATCCTCCAGCCCAGGACCTATGGGAGCTGTCCAGGGAGTTGGGAAGTATGCTCCTCGCCAGGAGGCACCAGGTCCACAAACACTGAACTGCTATTGATGAGCAAAGAGTGATGGTCACTTCCAACCTCCTCCATCCCTCTTTGGTTCAGCTTTTTTAACATTGGCTCAAAGGTTTTTCTTTCCTCTCTTATGGAAAGCTTTTCCAGCACTGATTTGGCACATTCAGCCTCACTAGTCAATTCTAGGCACTCTGAGGTTTCCTTGATTATCTCTGTTGGGTCTTGTGGCTGCCTATCTGCCTTGAGAGACTAGAGAAAGGAAAGAAAATCAATTAAATTTAGTACACATTGTCTGAGCATCTACTCCGTGCCACAAACCGTGATTGGCACCAGAGCTACATAGATGAGCAAGACAAAAATCCTCGCCCTTCCCAACTGTTGTGAGTCAGCCCAGTGAGTCTCTGCCAGGCATCAAGAGCTGTGAAGGCTACAGGGAAGACAGCAATTCATTCCACCCAAGGGCTCGGGGATCCCTTCACTGTGGAGGGAGTATTTGACCTGTCCTTAGAAGGAAGCTGTTCCAGAAATCTATCCTTGTGTCACAAACCACTCCCAAACATGGTGGCTTAAAACAGTGATTCATTATACCCTCTCATAGTTCTGTGGGATAACTGGTGATTCTCATTCCAGGTTTCCCACCGAGTTGCAGTCAGGTTACAGCTGGGGCTGGAGTCATCCAAACGCTCAGCTGGGCTGGGCATCCAAAATGGCTTTGCCACTGCCATGTCTGGCACTTCCTCTGGGATGGCTGGAGCAGTGTTGGCTGGCAGAGTATCTCTCGCTACATAGCCCCCCTCCACTTGGCTAACTGGGCTTCCTCACAGCATGACAAATTCAGGGTAGTCAAGCTTCTTGCATAGTAGTTAACTTCCCTCAGAGCATGCACTCTGAGAGGCCAAGGGAGAAGCTGTGAGTCTTTTTATGATCCATCCTGGGCAGTTACGCAATATCACTTCCACTGCATGCTATTGGTGGAGCTAGATTCAAATGGGAGGGGATTCCATGATGGCACCATGACCACAAAACAGGGTTCTCTGGGGAGGCTTGCTGGAGCCTAGCTGCCACCAATGGAAAATATTTTCACATCTAAGGTAGGAGGAGAAAAACATACTTGGCAGAAGAGACCTTGGCTGGACACAGTGGCTCACGCCTGTAATCCCAGCACTTTGGAAGGGCAAGGAGTGTGGATCATTTGAGGTCAGGAGTTTGATACCAGCCTGGCCAAAATCACAAAACCCTCTCTCTACTAAAAATAAAAAAAAAATTAGCCAGGCATGGTGGCAGGTGCCTGTAATCTCAGCTACTTGGGAGGCTGAGGCAGGAGAATCACTTGAACCCAGGAGGCAGAGGTTGCAGTAAGCCGAGATCATGCCACTGCACTCCAGCTTGGGCAATAGAGCAAGACTCTATCTAAAAAAGAAAAAGAAAAAAAAGAGAGACCTCATGAGCAAAGCACTGATGTGTGTGGAGAATAAAAAGCAGTATTAGTCTTGATCATTTTAAATCTAAAGGGAAGATAAGATTGTGCAGGTAGGTGGGGGTGGGGCCATGGAGGAATGTGGATTTTCCTCAACAGGCCGTAGGGGACCACTGCATGTTGCAGGGTTGGGAAATCCATATAATTAGACAAGCGCTGTAGCACATGCTTGCAGGGATATGGAGGACAGTTGGTAGATGGGGGAGTCTGGGGACAAAGGGACCTCTCAGAAAACTAAGACAACAGACCAGGTGAGGGAGGGTGAGAATTTCACCAAGGGCAGGGCAGTGGGGCCCAATGGGACAATGAGAGATGGTGGATACAAGGAATGGCCCAGAAACAAAGTTAACAGGGTGGAGCAATGGATCATATGTGGGGAATGAGGAGGACGGAGTAGAACAGGAGACTGGGTTTCAAGAGAGAAGCCTGAAGACTGTAATGAATCTGCAGCATTCAGAGTCATCAGCCTGCCAGTGGCAGGTGGAGGCCTTGGAAAGGCTGGGCTACCGGGAAAGCACTGTTACTCTAGGAACAGAAGAATCTCCTGGAGAATTTATTAAAAATGCATACCTAACTTTGAGAGTCTGATTCAAAAGGTTAGGAGTGGGTCCAGGAGCTGCATTTTTCACATATACCCCAGGTGATGCTGATGCTGATCGTAGGGCCCTGGTTTGAGAAATACTTATGTAGATAGAGGGTCAACACACCTGACAGCAATAATTGAAGAATACACTCAGAATGGCAGATACACTTGAATGTGTGTTCCAAGCTAGGGAATCCAGGAGTGGCCAACCCGGAGATTCATTCCTTATCTATGATAAACTTCTGAGCCCCTGGCCTGTCCCATGAAACATGGTCCATACAGGGGATTGAGGCCTTGAGTTTTGGGTTAAATGAAGATTGCCAGGTGGAGGTCGTTAGGGGAGGCTGCTAAGTGACAATGTTATGTAAACTGCATGATGTTTGCAGGCAGTTGTGGTTTTCCTGCCCAACCCGCCACCACTGAACTGTAGGCAAGACAGATCTCTTTTCCAGCCTCCCACCACTGGACCACGTGTAAGGTGGTTCTCCTGCCCAGCCCACTGCCACTGGACTCTCTCCCCTCTATGTGAGCCCCTCATAAAACCCCATGTCTCATTTGCTGGCTCTGGGTCTCTTCTTTGGCCTCTTGAACCTGGTGCCTTCCCTATTGAGGTTAGTAGTGGTTCGATGCAACAGTAGACAGTGATGATCATACTAGTTAGTACATTTGGAAAGTCAGTGCATTATCTTTGTAGAAGGAGACAAAGGAGTCAGGGTCGTTAACAGGAGAATCCCATCTTTGACAGGTCAACCAGAGAGAGGACTCTAAGAAGGAAGAAGCAGACAAGTGAGCCATGTGTTGCAGGGAGGTGAGATGAGGCTGAGGGCGTTCTCCAGGTTGTGTTCATGAGGTCTTTATGAACTTGGGGTAGTAGAAGTCAGAGTATGGGAAACTAAGAAATGAATGGGTGTGAGGATGAGAAGGCAGGTAAGTGTAGATGACTGTTCCCAGCAGTGTGGGGGAGGGAAGAGAAGAAAGAAATGACTGTGCCACAGAAGGGGTGGGTGGAAGGGAATGTTCTTGCAGGAGGAAGGAGCCTAGAGGAAGGAGATGGTGGAGAGGGAGAGACAGGAGATGAGCCAAGGAGAAAGAGGGAAGACAATAGCAGAGCATAGTGATGAAGATCAGAGGCTCTTACATCTGCCTTCTAATCCTGATTGCCCCTTACTAGCCAGGCAATGTTGAACAAGTGACCTAATCCCTCTGAACTTCAGTTTTCTCATCTGTACAGCAAGGATAACAACATCCACCCTACTGGATTGCAGGGGAATTACAGCACCAGCACAGTCCCAATCACACCTGACTGGTGCTATTGCTGCTGCTGATTACGGCGGCAATCATGAAGTGAGGGAACAGATGTAATAATACTAGTACTAATGATATCTCACACTAGAAATGCAGAGGGCTTCACTTGTTTTATTTTATTATAAAAATGAAAAACTCAAATAATGAACACGCATATGCTCATCATTCAGATTTAGTAATTCCTAAAATTTTGTCACACTTGCTTCATTTTGTTGTTGTTGAAATGTTTTAAAGTAAATCCTAGCCCCCCTATTATTCTGCCCCTTTACACCTAAAAAACCATGGATTTAAAAAACACTTCTTACATAAACACTATGTCATTACATACCTAATAAATTAGCATTAACTCTTTGGTAGCATCTAATATCCAGTTCATAATCAAGGTTCCCCAGTTGTATAAAAATGATTGGTTCCATTCGAGATCCAAAATCCTGCATTTGGTTCTTATATCTTTGAATCTCTTAATTTGTAACTGTCCCTCCTCCCCTTTTTAAAGGTATTGGATTATTGAAAAAATACAGTGAGTCCATTGCTGGACAGAACGAGCTACACTCTGGATTTGTCTTCCTCACATTGTCCCTTAACTTGTTTCCCTATGCCCCAAAATATTTTCAGCTACAGATGAACTTGAAAGGCTTGATGAGACTCAACTCTTGCGGGAGCTAGCACAGTTCACACTGAAGCCTTGTACTTCATTTGGCAGTGGTCTCAACCTTGGCATCTCATTGGAATCAGCTGGAGGCAGTTTTTAACCATCTCTATGCCCAGGCTACATCCCAGGCATTTAAAATCATAATCAGTGGAAATGGATCCCAGACATCAGTAGTTAAAGCTCCCCAGACAATTCCAATGTGCAGGCAAAGTGCCACCCATTGTATATTTCATCTCATCGGCAAACCCATAGCATTGTTGATGCCATTGTTAGCGATCGTGATAAAACTGAGCAGCAGGATCAGCTTGTGGCAGCTTTATCTCTCCATGGAAAGTCCCCCATTAATAAACCGTCTGATTGTTTCATCTGCTTATGATTTTTGCCTAAACCAAATGGGATTGCAAAAAGATGACTTTCTACTTCTGCACTCTATTCAAATTTTTAAGCTTTTATGAAAAAGAACTTTCCCTTATCAACCTGGGCTTTTTGCTTACCCTGCAATACAATCCAGGCAAGGCAAAATAAATGCTCAATTTTTTTTCCAAGGGGTTAATCTCAAAAAGAATAATCGTATCTCTTTCTGAGATCGTTTGAAGGAGATGGGGTTGAAGACAAACATTCTTTGAGGTGGAGATCACAGTGGGAGGAGGAGTGGGAGGCACATCATAATAGGAGGTCAGGTCACCCTCAGTGAGTGGGGTAGGTGGGAAGAAAATAGAAGCCTGGAATACGTGCTGCTGGGAATGTGGCAGGCAGTTAATTATCATGGAAAGAAGGAGTACCGAATGGCCAAAGATCCAGCTGGGATTAGAGTGTGAGTTTGTGTTGGAACCAGGGATGGCAAATTTCTACAGCAGTGTTCAGCAGTGGAAGAGGATTTACCCAGCCTGGCTAGCACTGGAGTTGCCTAGGTGGGGACTGAAGGATATGGGGGTGAGGGAACTAAGGACCCAGGCAAGGCCACTGTGACAGCAGCGTCACGGTTTCTCAGTTCACATGCGTGGTTTCCCCTGCCTAGAGCATTCTCATGCGGCTGACCTCACCCTTCAGGACTCATGTCAGATGCCCTGGCCTCCAGAAGCCATCCCTGGCTTTCTGTGTCTGAGCAGCTCCTTTTCTGTGCTTCCACAGTCCCCAAAGCCGCCCTATCACAGTTCATATCACCAGCAGTCCAATGTTTACTTGGTTGTGTCTCTTATTAGACTGTAAGTTCTAGTTGAAGCCAGTTGAGTCCATGAGAGAAACAATGTGGGCTTTGGAGAGAGGGGGGTGTTGAGAAATAGCAGTGGCAACAGAAAGAACTCCTAAGAAAACATCACTAAAAACGCCACTATTGATCTCGTAACTGAGGGGGACAGCACATACATAAACTCATGCTTTCAAGTTTTTAAAACATGGCACAGATTGTGCCGGCCCCTTGCACAAGCCCCTCTGAGATGTTTCTAACACATTGGGAATAAAATTGCAAAGGCTCTCCATGCCCCCTGAGGACTTCCAGGCTCTGCTACTGTATTGTCCTGTCTCACTCTGCGCCTGCATTAGTGGGCTTCACGCTTTCTCAATCTCTCCCCATATGAGCCACTGTAGAGCCTTGGCTCTTGCTGTTCCCTCTGCCAGGGAACACTCTTCCCCCAGATATCAGCCTCCCTCTCTCCCTCTCTTCATCTGGTCTCTGCTGAAATATCACATCCTCAGAGACAACCCTCCCTGACCACCCCCTTACTCTCTGCCATTATCTGGCTTTCTTCTTCACGGTGCTGACCACCACGTGGCACTGTATTACTACTCAGCTGCTGATGGCTTACTGTCTGTCTCCCCAAGCAGAATGTGACACCACGATGGTGGGACCTTGTTCTTGTCCCCGCACTGTGTTTTCAGCACCTAGAACAGTGCCTGATGTGTGGTGGATATCCAAACATTATTAGTTGAATGTATGAACACACACCAAGTGCCTTTGAAAGGCAAAGAAAAATTTGAACTAGGAATGGGGTACAAGTTTGTCAGTACCCACAGCACCCCTTGAGCTCCACGGGATGAAGCACTGAGCCCCAAACAGGGGCAGGGCCAGGGCTGGAAGCAGCAGCAATGAGGTTCCATCCTCAGCACTGAGAACAGGGCCAGGGACATGGGATGGGTGAATGGAAGAAACAAGAGCCATGAAGATGCGTGTGAACCATGGGAAGTAGCCACTATGCACAGGGACATTGGGCACGGACACATGTGTTCAGCAAGTGTGGATTAACCCCACCCACACACCTATGGTCTCGATACTGAGTCAAGCACAGAGATACCTAGAGGAAGAAGACAGAAGTCTTCTCAAGTAGCCCGCAGAATAGAGGGGAAAACTGAGACATCAACAAGTAAAATGAGGTGTGACTGGTGCTGAAGTGGCCATATGATGTGGTGGTTACAATAAGCAGTTTGGGCCAGAGAGTAGCTCAGATTATGACTCAACCACACACTATCTGAGTGAGCTTAAGCAAATTATTTAACTTATTTTACAGAAGGGGAAACCAGTGACAGATTGGTTTCCTATAACCAAGGACAAATACCTGTAGATATGCTCAGTAAATCTCACTAAACCAATTATAGATTGGTTTCCCCATCTGTAAAATGGACAGCAATAATACCTATTTCATAGCATTGTGAAGATAATATGAGTGTGTGTGTACATAGATAGATAGATAGATGATAGATAGATAGACAACAGTACTTGGTACATAAGAAGTACTATATAAATGTTGGCTGGTATTTAATATTATTGTAAGAGATGTGTATATATGTGGAGACAGTGAGGGCACAAAGCAAGCAGGGGCAATGCTACCTGGGGTGTGGGAGCGGGCAGAGAAGACTCATACAGGGGAACCCCTGGAGCTGAAGCATGAGAATGAGTAAGTCTGCCACCTGCAGGGGAGAGGGGCCGTGTGAGGGGAGTGGTACGGGGGCTTGGAAAGCACTTGATCATATGTGGAACATCGGTTCAGAGGAGACAAGGGTGTAACAACCTGTCACTGGCAGGAGCAGAGGGTCTGGCCGGAGCAGAGCACAAGGCTTAGACCACCTCTGGAAGGGGCCCTTCCGAGGGGCCTGATTGCTGTTTCCAGCCTGTCCAGTGGAAGCAGCCACAGGATGGCTCCATGTCCCCAGAATAAACCAGGGCCCTTTGCAGCCTGACTGATTTTTCAAAGAAAGAAATGCAATTTGCTGGTGCTGGACAAGACATTAATTTTGTTCTGTGGGCTGCATGAGTCATTTAGGAACAAAGCACGAAATGTAGATACACTTTCCACAGCCTCTGCATGTCACTTCATGCCTGCCCAGGGCTGGACATTATTTCACGCAGCTCAGAAGACACACCATGGGAAAGGCCAGGGCTGGGCCCCTCCGAGCTGGAGAAACTGTGTCATAGACCCCCTGGGTCCAAACTCAACCCAACCCCATTTTGCAAGTTCAAAGAGAGAGGGGAACAACTGCCTCCTTTCATTCCATGGTGGGATTTTGGAGCCAGCAGGTGTGTGCTCCCACCTTGGCTGTGCTTCTTCTCATGTGACCTGGGACACCTCCCAGGACCCCTCAGCTTATCAGGCTTCCCATCTGGAAAGGGTGTGCAGGGACCTCGAATCAGAGCTATGATGAGGATGAATGAGATAGCACAACACTAAGGGCAAATACCTGCAGACTCAGAAATAGTGCTCAGTGAATCTTCATCCTGCTCCTCCCAACAGGTGTGGAGCACGGAGAAGATGGTGTCCTTTCTTATGTCTCTCCTCGAAGCCTTCAGGCCAGCCCCTTCCCTTCTCTGTACCTCAGTGTGGATCTGTGAGAAGAGGTACTCGAACCTGGTTGTCTCTAAGCACTCCATTGCCTTCCAGCGCTGTAGTCTAAACTGCTATGACTGCGAACAAACTTGCCTTGGGTGATGTAAAGAATGTGTTTGTGCCACTAATGGCTCCCAGCAGGTGTGAAATGAATCCAGGTTGTTGGTTCCAGTGGGCAGGTATTATTTGAATTGACAGTTACGTATTTAGGTTATGTATTTAGGGCTGAATCACAGACAGAGGCTGGAGAGAGGAACTAGCCCCTCCTGGGAGGAATGTGGCCCCTCCCAAGCCTACTCTCAGGCTTTATTGGTCCCCTGTGGGAAGAAGATGAAAGGACATTAGCTGTGTCTCAGAACAGGCGGTTTGTACCTGCCTAGAAGCAGAAGCAGAAGGAAGGCCCTCCCCACTCAGAGCTGTGTGACAAAATATCAGCCTTATTTCAGGCCCAGGACAAATTCAGCCTCCTCTAAGAAGTAGGTAGCCTGGCCTTCTTGAAAAAGCACATGTTTCAGACTCAGAATCTTGTCCTGGTTGTACCTCTTACTGGCTATGTGACTTCTGAGCAAGTTATTTAACCTTTCAGAACCTCAGTTTCTTCATTTGCAACATAGGGGTGACAATAATCCCATTCCTCACAGAGTTGTATAGATTAAACAAGGGGAGTATCCTACACATAGTAGGTACTCAACAAATGGCAGCTGTGTGAAGCCTTTCTAGGGCCCCCTCTGGTTGCAAAATCTCATCCTTCTCTATATTTCTATGATAATTGCTCAGTGGCATACTAGAGGCTCAGGACTGGTCATAGATTTGCCTTCATCTCTGTTAAATTCTAAGTTTCTAGGGAGTGAGGATTGCTTTAATTCACATCTGATCCCCCAGTGTGCCTGGCACAGAGTAGGTGTTCAATTAAAGCTTCCTGAATTAAATGGGATTCAAACTCCCAGAGAAGAAACCATATTTCTCTCCTTGCCAACCTCCTCGAACCAGCCTCGCTTCCTGGCTCCTGCTGTCTAGCCAGGTGCCACTGAGCCTGTGTGAGTGTGCAGGCCTGGCCCTCAGGACTGAATATGCCATGGGGACCCAGATCACAGGACAAACTTGTGCAGCGGGAAGGACTCAGGCCAGCCATGACCTGCCCAGGGGCCCATCTTCTGTCTCTTTAGCAATAAATCGTGAGGTGAAACAATCAAGCCCACCACACTCTGTTTAGGCCAAAGTAGCTGTTCTCGTCGTTTCTAATGGAAGCCTCCAGCAGAACATCACAGTTAATTGCAAAGAACGGTGAGTCACACAAAGCGGCCTGGAAGGAGAGGGCAGCCACTGTGAAAGGACAAAAAGTCCCACCAGAAGGCAGCCTAGGACCAGCTCCGGTGTCCGGGGAACTGCAGGGCATTCAGGGCGAAGGGCAGAGAATGATCATCATACACATGCTACCCCTTTAGGTGCCAGGGACCAAACATAGGTGATCATTCTATAATTGCCTTTTATTATTGTATTTGGGGGTTTTAAAAATACAAAACAAGTGCAAATAATATAACACATCTGTATACATAATTATTTCATCCTTGTGGCTGTGCTGTGGAGTGAGACATATCAGCCTTATTTATGGATATGAAAACTGAGACCTAGAGATCTTGTGGTTTGCCCAGTGTGCCAGTGGTAGCTGCACGATGTGACCAGAGCTGTCTACCACCAAAGCTCTTGCTTTGTTCTCTGAGCCATGGTGTGGTCCCATCTCCCACTCAGTGTGGGAATGGCCTCTAACATCCCTGACATTTGTCTTGCAGCCATGGTTTAACCTTTTCCAGCAATGAGGTGCTGATCACTTCACAAGCATAATCCTCCTTAATATCTAGCACTTTGATGATCAGTATATGTATATATCAGGCACTATTCAATGAAGCTATATTGAGCCTTTCTAGGACCGCTTCCAGTTGGAAAATGTTTTTTCTCCACACTTCTATGGCAATTGGTCAGTGCCATAGTACAGCAATATTAACCCTCACAAATACCCTCAGAGGTGGGTACTATTATTTCCTTCCCTTTACAAATGAGAACAGAAAGACTCGGTAACTTACAAAGGTCATGTGACTGTTATACAGTAGGGCTGGGACTTGTCCATGGTTGCTGCCTCCTAACGCAAGACTCTTGTCCACTATTCTGTCAGCCTCCGAGAAGTAGCCTACGTCGCTGCTATACTGCTTGGTTTAAAAGATTTTCCTGGCCAGGCGCGGTGGCTCACGCCTGTAATCCCAGCACTTTGGGAGGCTGAGGCGGGTGGATCACGAGGTCAGAAGATCGAGACCATCCTGGTTAACACGGTGAAACCCTGTCTCTACTAAAAATACAAAAAAAAATTAGCCGGGCGTGGTGGCGGGCACCTGTAGTCCCAGCTACTTGGGAGGCTGAGGCAGGAGAATGGCATGAACCCGGGAGGCAGAGCTTGCAGTGAGCCGAGATAGCGCCACTGTAGTCCAGCCTGGGCAAAAGAGCGAGACTCCATCTCAAAAAAAAAAAAAAAAAGATTTTCCTTAGTCTGATCCAAATCTGCTGCCCTAGAACTTCTACCCATCGGTTTCAGTTTTGCCCTATGATGCAGAAAGATTCTAGTCCCTCTTAGATGTGTTAGTGCTTCAGCTAGCTGCCCACTTGACTCTTCCTCTCCATCTGAATCTTCTCTTTCTTTGTTTCTGATTTCCCTCTATCTCCTGGTGTTGAAGTGCCTTGGTGGGGGCACAGAGCTGGCCCCAGTATTCCAAACATCATCAAAATGACTCTCCAGATTGACTGAGCTTATTGGGAGTCATATCACCCCATGGGTCTTGAGTTGTCTAAAACCTCATTTTCTGTTGAACATGGTGAGTCATGCGACCCTCAACCTGTGCTTATGCACTTAGCTATGAGTCAGGGGGCTCCACGGTCCCACTGGCTCTGCTCTTGCCTCTCCAGAGGGTTCAGTTCAGCAACTGAGCCTCAGCACAAGAGCTTCTACACCACCCCTTGGGGTACATGCCTTTTCTGGTCTTCCTGTTGTTCTGAGAGCCCCATAAGGGTATCCTCATAGATGAGGCTGAGTGAGAGCAGAGCAGAGCACTGATTCACAGCATGACCCCGGGTTGTGGATCATGGGCATGTGGAGTGAAACTCTGTCTCACCTCAAGGCTGCATAGGAAACATACTTAGGGCTATTGCAAGCAATATGAAGGTACCACTCATGGGAATAATGAGGATGGATTGCAAGCTGTCTGATCTGATTCCTCAGCACTTACTTGAATACATAGAGGAAGTTCTTCTCTTAGCCCGTCATTAAGCAGCCATGTCTTGAGGGAGAATAAGGGAGATAGCAGAAAAGTCCTTTGACTTTTTGATCTCTTGGTGACTTGACTCTTCTATCTTGTTGCTTATTTCTAAATAATTCAAAGAATGCCAGGGAAGGAAGTCGTCCTTGGTTTTGGCCAAGTCCTAAAACATGATCTATGCAGAAGAGGAAATTTATTAGAAAGTTATCAGAGAGTTCATGGAAGTGCTGGGAAGTCTGGAAGACTGCTTGGAAACAGGAAGAAATCAGGACAGGATGTACTTGACAGGGTGTTGCTTCTCCCCTCTTGGCATCTTTGTGTTACTCTGCTCAACATTCAAAGTCCCAGGGGAGAATATTATTAGTTGGGCTTAGGTCACATGCCCACATGGCTGTACTGGGATGAGAGAGAAGGAATCCGATGAAAGGAGCCCACAGTAACCCTTCTGCTTCTGTTATTTGGGGGCAAGACACACCAATCTGTCATACACCAGTCTGAAAACAATGGGGGAGAGGATTTCCTAAAAGGAAACTAGGATGTTATTTACTTATTTTTATTTTTATTTTTTTGAGATGGAGTCTTGCTCTGTCGCCCAGGCTGGAGTGCAGTGGTGCAATTTCAGCTCACTGCAACCTCTGCCTCCCAGGTTCAAGTGATTCTCCTGCCTCAGCCTCCCCCCATAGCTGGAATTACAGGCATGTGCCACCATGCCCAGCTAATTTTTTTTGTATTTTTAGTAGAGATGGGGTTTCACCATGTTGGCCAGGCTGGTCTCGAACTCCTGACCTCAGGTGATCCGCCCACCTCGGCCTCCCAGAGTGCTGGGATTACAGTTGTGAGCCACCATGTCCGGCCCTAGGATATTTTCAATTAAGAAAAGAATGCTGGATAGCCAAAGTGAAAATACACACACACACACACACACACACACACACACACACACAAAACCCCGTCCATAAAAACTGGAGCTCAAATAATTCGTAATTATTTAATAAAAGAAAAACATCAGAATCTTTCATCTTTGAAGGCACAAAGAGTTAGTATTCACAGAGGATAGCTATCTTATCTCTCCTCTCTGGAGGGTTCAGAAAATGTTTGATCTCATCCTGGGGAAAGCCAGATGATAACGTTCAATGGAGCAAAGAAAAGGTGCACACAAATTGAGGTGTCTTACAAAACAAATGGAAGTTTCATATCCTGCTACAAAGGGCCAGAGGAATATTTCCCATAAAAGCATTGTTGCGAGGGATGAATGAGATAAGGATGTAGACCTCTGAGTATGATAAATGGTTAGTTCTTCCTATTAGTTGTTGTTTCTGATGTAGAAACAGCGTCTTTCTCCCTATATCTGGTCTAAAATCCAACCTGATAGGAGACGTTTTCGTTTGGGATTATGGAAAGATACAACAGTTCTGGGGGTTGAGTTCAGGGCTAATTTTCTGAAGGATAAGAGAGCAAGCCCCAGCCAAGAGCCAAGAGAAAGCAATGATGAGGAAGCGGGCAGTAGCAGCCATTTAGACTGGTTGCTTTGTGGGACTCCCTTCTATTTGTACATTATTAGGCTTTCCAACAGGGGACAATAAACAGTATGAATCCAGACAGGATGAGGGTGGGTTGCACAAGCAGCTGGGCCCACTGAACTAGAGCCTGACTCAAAAAAGGAAGGAGGCTGGGCGCAGTGGCTCACACCTGTAATCCCAGCACTTTGGGAGGCCGAGGCGGGTGGATCACGAGGTCTGGAGTTCGAGACAAGCCTGGCCAATATGGTGAAACCCCATAGCTACTAAAAATACAAAAATTAGCCAGGCATGGTGGCAGGCACCTGTAGTCCCAGCTACTCGGGAGGCTGAGGCAGAAGAATCACTTGAACCTGGGAGGTGGAGGTTGCAGTGAGCTGAGATTGTGCCACTGCACTCCAGCCTGGTGACAGAGCAAGACTCCATCTCAAAAAAAAAAAAAAAAAAGAAGGAAGATCTGCCATGGTGTTAGGACCCACCATCCGTTCCTTCTGGTCGAGTCAGGCTGTGTCCCCATTGACTGGGGCATGATTGCACTTCTTGTGATCCGGTAGCATGTTCCCAGGCCCAGGGAGTGTCCAGGCAGTGCATCAGATTATCAGGCATTGACCAGAGATACCTATAAGCTGAGAGCTACAGCCATTTTGGCAAGCTCTGAAAACCCAGAGTTGGCGCTGTTCATGGGGGAGGGATCTGCATGGTGACTCGCTGAGCCGATGGTTTTTGTGTTCTGTTTGGAAAGCCTACACATATGTGTTTAAACCATCCCTATGCATCATTAGCCTGCTCAAAATATTGAAGAGGGCTCACTGGGTCCCTTGTTGGCTCCATAACCGGTAAAACATCCACCAACATATCTCACTTGGGGCATTGTTGTTTCAAATCCAAACAGGTCATCCTTCTAAAGACCTCAATCCCGTGCTTGCTCCATGGCTGGCCACTCCCAGTGATGGAAATTCTTCCTGTGACTTCTACCCTCTGACTCTAGTTCTGCCTAAACGCATCCCCTAATTATGGCAAATTCCTTTTCCGCAGATGAACCCTCACATCTATAAATCCAGGTGTCCTTAAAGCTTTTCTTTCCCTACTAAGCACCCTCAGCTTCTTAAATCATTAACTGGCAATTTTTCCAGATCCTTGAGCAGATCCTGGCCACCCTCCTCAGGCCTCAGCCCAGGAGGGTTTATTAACCTTTACTGTGTCAGTAAAGGCAGCCTGCATTGTGGTGTTACTCCTGCTTGTCTGCTCTGGAAGTTTTTAGATATTGAGGGTCTCACTCTTCCTCCAGTCCTAGGGAGCTAAGGGTCAGGGCTCAGTTTGGTTGTCCCAAGCTCAGGCAATGGCTATTGTTTGATTTGGCCCTCCCTTGACATACCAGCTGTTCAGTGCTTTCCTTCCAAGCCCCCCACTTCTCCCAGGGCTGAGTATGGGTGGTAGGCTGTGAGCTGTGAGATTCCAGGATTGGATCCCACTAATTTTGTTCTCTGTCCCTTTGTCAAAGACATTCGAACCAGAGCAACTCATCTTGAATAAGTGCTGGGTAAAATAAGGCTGGGACCTGCTGGGCTGCAGCCCCAGGAGGGTAAGCATCCTTAGTCACAGATGAGACAAGAGGTTGGCACAAGCTGCAGGTCACAAACACCCTGCTGATAAAGCAGGATACAGTAAAGAAGCCAGCCAAAAGCTACCAAAACCAAGATAGTGACAAAAGTGACCTCTGATCATCCTCACTGCTCATTATACACTAATTATAATGCATCAGCATACTAAGATTCACTCCCACCTGTGCCATGACAGTTTATAAATGCCACGGCAATGTCCAGCAATTACTTTATATGATCTAAAAGGAAGAGGAATCCTCAGTTCTGGGAACTCCTTTCCCCTTTCGCCGGGAAACTCATGAATGATCCACCCCTTACTTAGCATACGATCAAGAAATAACCATAGAAAGAGCCACTCAGCAGTCCTCAAGGCTGCTCTGACTATGGAGTAGCCATTCTTTTGTTTCTTTACTTGTCTAATAACCTTGCTTTCACTTTACTCTGTAGACTTCCCCCGAATTCTTTCTTGTACAAGAAAGATCCAAGAACTATTTCTTGGGGTCTGGATCAGGATCCCTTTCTGATAACACTTTGACATCCCCAGAAGCCCATGCTGTAGGACCTGGCTCAGATGCAGAAAAGACAGCAGTGGTAGCCTCTTAACTCCTGCTATTTGTCCAACACCCACCCAAGTAGGAGCAAGTCTCCTCTGAGCCCAGAGTGGTGACAGGCTCTGTGCAGCCTCGTGCAGCTCTGCAAAGGCAGGGCTGTGGTTTTATTCTTTGTAGAGGACCTCAGTGGGGTAGAGATGACTGAAGGGGGGAATGTGCATTGGGCAGGAGCCACAGAGGAGCTGCAAAGCTGACGGACAAGTTGGAGTGCTCTCTGTGCCTCCAACTCTCGGCACCTCCCACCTTCCTTAGGCTGAGAAAACAATCCAGAGGCAGAGGAGGCTCCACTGCAGAGACAGGGCTTCAATTTTCAGCTGGGAACAGGCTCCCAGCTCCAGTTGGCCCCATTGTTTCTGGCCACTGTGGGGAGTTTATCAGAGGCTCTTGTAGAAGCTGTAATCTGCATTTCATTTTATGGATTTATATTTGCTTTGTTCATTTCCCTTTGTTTCCTCAGAGTCACTTTTGGTGTAAATGTTTCTTTTGAATATCCTTCAATAATACTAAAGAAGGAAGGAGTCCTCCCCCAACCCCTGTTCTATCTTGATGACTCCTAAGCCTGCAGGGACTAGGTACAGACACCCTCCCCCAGGCAAAGGATGGCAGCAAGAAAGAGCTCGAGGCGGTGAAGTGAGGGGTGAGGATTACTGAGTCCCTTCTAAGTGCCAGCCACCTTTATGTATGTAATCAGATTTAATTCTCACTGCAACCCTGCAGATAAACTTGATTATTGCCACTTCATTTTTTTCAGATGTGAAAACACAGAGACTCAGAGCAGTTAAGTTACTTGGATTACCCCCAGTAGTAAGTGGCAGAGTCAGGATTGGAATTCAATCTGACCCCAAAGCCTTTCTCCTCTCCATGGTGCCTTGAGGCTCAGAGGGGAAAGAGAGAAATGCTCCACCTCTCCAGCCCAGAGCTGATTTCCTCAGGACCCTGTCTTTTCTCATCCCTTGAAAAATCCTGTATTTTATATCTATGGGCTGATCCTCTCCCAGGTGTATAAATGAGCATCCTCAGAAATAAGGCATGCCAATGGGAGAAAGAAGAAATATGGCACTTCAGTCTGAAGAGCCCAACCCATTTAGACAGGCCCCTAGACTGCACTCTGTTCTCAGAGCCTCTGGGAAGGGCATACATGTTGGAAAAGCACCAGTTGGCATGAGGTGTTCTGACTGGGCCAGGGACTCATCTCCATGCCCTTCTGCAGGAGAGAATATTGTCTAGTGAACCCTGTGCTAGGGGGTGTAAATGTGGCCAATGCCCTCAGACACTTTGCATCTGTATTCTCAGCCAAACCAAGGGTTCTGAGTATTTGGAACTTGTCAAATGGCACAACCCTGGGATGTCAGAACTGGAGGGTTCGCTGGGGTTATCCCATCCAACTTCCTTATATAACAAGAGGGAAGTGAAGGAATTTGTCCAAATCACACAATTTGTTCACCCAGCAAGCTCCAGATTCCAAGTCTTTCAGGGACTCTCCCGGTACTCTGTCCTCTTCCTCGTGCTTTTCACTGGCCTAGGGGTCATGTCGGTTTCAGCTTAGAATCTCCAGGGGAGTGTTCAGGAATCCACATTTTAAAATGGCCCCAAGGTAATCCCTATGCCCATTAAAAGTTGCCCACATCAAAAAGTTAGAAAGATCTCAAATTAGCAACCTAACTTCACAACTGAAAGAATTAGAGAAGCAAGAACAAATCAACCCCAAAGCTAGCAGAAGATGAGAAATAACAAAAATCAGAGCTGGACTGAAGGAAATTGAGATACGAAAAGCCATTCAAAAGATCAATGAACCCAGGAGTTGTTTTTTTGAAAAAAATAATAAAATAAATAGGCCACTAGCTAGGCTAATTAAGAAGAGAAAAGATTGAAATAAACACTATTAGAAATGACAAAGGGAACGTTACTACTGACCCCACAGAAATACAAACAACCATCAGAAACTACTATGCACACAAACTAGAAAACCTAGCAGAGATGGATAAATTCCTGGACACGTATACCCTCCCAAGACTAAGCCAGGAGGAAACTCATTCCCTAAACAGATCAATGATGAGCTCTAAAATTGAATCAGTAATAAATAGGCTACCAACCCAAGAAAGCCAGGGACTTGATAGATTCACAAGAAAATTCTACCAGATGTACAAAGAAGAGCTAGTACCATTCCTACAGAAACTATTCCAAAAAATAGATGAGGAGGGACTCCTCAATTCATTCTATGAGGCCAGCATCATCTTGATACCAAAACCTGGCAGAGACACAACAAAAAAAGAAATCTTCAGGCCAATATCCTTGATGAACATAGATGCAAAAATCCTCAACAAAATACTTGCAAACTGAATTCAGCAGCACATCAAAAAGCTAATCCACCGTGATCAAGTAGGCTTCATCCCCAGGATGCAAGGTTGGTTCAACATAAATGTGATTCATCATATAAACAGAACTAAAGACAAAAACCACATGATTATTTCAGTGACACAGAAAAGTCTTTTGATAAAATTCAACACTGCTTCAAGTTAAAAAAACTCTCAATAAACTAGGTATTAAAGGAACATACCTCAAAATAATAAGAGCCATCTATGACAAACCCACAGCCAACATTATACTTAATGGACAAAAGCTGGAAGCATTCCCCTTGAAAACCAGCACAAGACAAGGATGCCCTGTCTCACCACTTCTATTCAACATAGTATTGGAAGTCCTAGCCAGAGCAATTAGGCAAGAGAAAGAAATAAATCACATCCAAATAGAAAAGAGGAAGCCAAATTATCTTTGTTTGCAGATGACGTGATTCTGTAACTAAAAAACCCCATAGTCTCGGCCCAAAAGCTCCTTCAGCTGATAAACAACTTCAGCAAAATTGTAGGATACAAAATCAATGTACAAAAATCACTAGCATTCCTATACACCAACAACAGCCAAACCGAGAGCCAAATCAGAAAGGCAATCCCATTCACAATTGTCACAAAAAGAATAAAATATCTGGGAATACAGATAACCAGGGAGGTGAAAGATCTTTACAATGAGAATTACAGACCAGGTGTGGTGGCTCATGCCTGTAATCCCAGCACTTTGGGAGGCCAAGGCAGGCGGATTACCTGAGGTCAGGAGTTTGACATCAGCCTGGCTAACATGGTGAAATCTCATCTCTACTAAAAATACAAAAGTTAGCCGGGCATGGTGCCACACTCCTGTAGTCCCAGCTACTCAGGAGGCTGAGGCAGAACTGCTTGAACCCAGGAGGCAGAGGTTGCAGTGAGCCGAGATCGTGCCACTGTACTCCAACCTGGGTGACAGAGCAAGACTCTGTCCCAAAAAAAAAAAAAAAAAAAAAAAAAGAGAATTACAAAACACTGCTCAAAGAAATCAGAAAAGACACAAACAAATGGAAAAACACCCCCTGCTCATGGATAGGAAGAATCAATATCATTAAAATGATTATACTGCCCAAAGCAATTTATAGATTCCATATTATTCCTATCAGACTACCAATGACATGATTCACATAACTAGAAAAATCTATTTAAAAATTCATATGGAACCAAAAAAGAGCCCAAATACCCAAGGCAATCCTAAGCAAAAAGAACAAAGCTGGTGGCATCATGTTACCCAACTTCAAACTATACTACAAGGCTACAGTAACCAAAACAGCATGGTACTGGCACAAAAACAGGCACACAGACCCATGGAACAGAATAGAAAGCTCAGAAATAAGGCCCCACATCTACGACTATCTGATCTTTGACAAAGCTGACAAAAACAAACAATGGGGAAAAGACTCCCTATTCAATAAGTGGTGCTGAGATAACTGGCTAGCTATATGCAGAAGACTGAACCTGGACCCCTTCCTCATACCATACAGAAAAATCAACTCAAGATGGATTAAAGACTTAAGTGTAAAACCCAAAACTATAAAAACCCTGGAAGACAACCTAGGCAATACCATCCTCAACATAGGAATAGGCAAAGATTTCATAACAAAGACACCAAAAGCAATCACAACAAAAGCAAAAATTGACAAGTGGGATCTAATTAAACTTAAAAGCTTCTGCACAGCAAATGAAAATATCAACAGAGTAAACAGACAACCTACAGAATGGGAGAAAAATTTGCAAACTATGCATCTGACAAAGGTCTAATATCCAGCATCTATAAGGAATTTAAACAAATTTACCAGAGGAAAACAACCAACCCCACTAAAAAGTGGGCAAAGGACATAAACAGACACTTCTCAAAAGAATACATACATGTAGCCAAAAATCATATGAAAAAAGCTCAATATAACTAATCACTAGAACAACACAAATCAAGCCCACAATGAGATACCATCTTATACCAGTCAGAATGGGTATCATTAAAAAGTCAAAAAATAACAGATGCTGGTGAGGTTGTAGAGAAAAGGGAACATTTATATATTATTGGTGACAGTGTAATTTAGTTCAACTATTGTGGAAACTAGTATGGTGATTCCTCAAAGAGCTAAAAGTAAAACTACCATTCCTCCCAGCAATCCCATTACTGGGTATATACCCAGAGGAATATATATCATTCGACCATAAAGACACATGCATGCAAATGTTCACTGCAGCACTATTCACAACGGCAAAGACATGGAATCAATCTAAATGCCCATCAATATCAGATTGGATAAAGAAAATGTGGTATACATACACCATGGAATACTATGCAGCCATAAAAAAGAATGAGATCCTATCTTTTGCAGGAACATGGATGGAGCTGGAGGCTATTATCCTTAGCAAAGTAACACAGGAACAGAAAACTAAATACTAAATTTTCTCACTTGTGAGAGCTAAATGATAAGAACTTATGAACACAAAGGCCAGCCTTGAGACTGGGTCTATAGGTGAAGACCTGATGACTAGGGCTCTGGGGTCAACCTGGTGCTGGGGCAGGCCTGAAGCCTGGGGCTGTGGGAGGCAGCCTAGTGCTGAGGGTGGTCCAGAGTCCAGGGCCACTGCGTCTGGATATTGAGTCTGTGGTGGTTGGCCTGGTGCTAGGTAGTCCCAAAGTCTGGGGCCACTGGGGTCAGCCTGGCAGTGGGACGGGCCTAGAGACATTCCACTATGCAGGCCCGGAGCCTGGGGCTTCAGGATCCCTCCTGGCACCAGGGCTGGTTTGGAGGCTTAGTCCATGGGTATTGGCCTGGAGGCTGGGCTGTGGAGTCCTGCCTGGTACTGAGTTTTACTGAGAGGGCCCAGTGTTAGGCCCCAAGGCAAAGTCAGGTGTTCACTTCCCTCTCCCTCCCCGACATAGAGGGTATCTCTCTGCCCTCTGCTGCCTGGACTGGGGGGAGGGGCAATTTGGATGATGTAAAACTCTCCTCCCTACCCTCTTAAACACCTCTTACTTCTGTGCTACAACCCACTTGCTATAATCTCTCACTTGGTTTCCTTAACCCTTTGAGGGCATTTTTACGCATGGAGAGTTGTTCAAATTGATGTTTCTGTGGGTAGATGGGCACTGGAAAACCCTATTCCTCCATCTTGCTTATGTGTTGATCCACACAATAACCCCAGTCTGAATCTAGTAGACAAGATAAAGACCTCACTGTCTACTGAGATGTATGGCTCATGTCCAGAGTACCTGAGAGTCAGTGATAAGAAACTGCAATATCCTGGAGCTCACACACATCTCTGAACCCAAATCCTTGCAAAGCCAGGCTTCTGGAGATCCCTGTGCACATAACAAAGGAAGATTTCCAGGGCTGTGCTGGCATTAACCCATTAAGGTACCAATGCTGCACTCACAGCAACCTGGTGACCACGAGGCCCGGTATCCATCATGACTACTTAAAGAATGATTATTCTTTGAGTTAAAGCCCCGCAGTCACAGGTGGGACCATACCAGTGGCTCACATTTATATACTTTCATACTAGTTGATGAATAACCTCTGTCCAGAGCCCCTCAAGTCCTTTGGAGAACTCCAGCTGCCTTGGGCTCCTCCTACAGTCCAGCTGGAGGCCTCCAAAGGCTAGGGCTGAGGTTGGTTCTGATTGCTCATGTGGGTAAGCTTCCCCAAAGTCCTACTGGACACCACCCTTGGCTTACTATGTCCAGAGGACCAGTCTGTGCCTTGCATACACCTGGCTCCAAAGAATCCCAGGTAGGTACCTATGGAGTTACTTTGGTATTTTTCACAAGCTGTTGGCCTCTGAGTCAGCTCTCATTCCTGTATCTCCCCTGGCAAAGTGAGCCTGACCTTGGTTCCTGGTGCCCAGCTAATCCTTAGGAATGCATCTCCCAATCATCAGCCAGTCTCCCCTAGACTTCTCAGACAGCAGCCCCTTGTAAAAACTGCAGCCTCTGAGAGAGCTGGGAAAAGAAGGGGAGGTAATTTAATAATTACCCCTGTATACATGGGGCTTGTTCTATTGCAAGGGATAAAGACCCATTCAAGCTAGCTTGGTAGAGAGGATTTATTGTAAGGCTCCACATATAAGATTAAGGGGAGCCTCTGGGAAATCTGGGACCAGAAACTATATTAAAGTTTGCCTCAGTAATTCCAGCTGTGTATTCAAGGCAATTGTAGTTTCCAGGAAGCAGTTGCTAGGGGCCTTCCCTCTAATTTAGGGGTTGCACACACCAATACCTACACAGGCATGCACCAGTGCCTACATGGGGCAGGCAGGTAAGCTGAGTGTGAGCGTAACAAGGCAGGGTGGAGGCTGGTGGATGGGAGAACATATGGCCCAGGAAAAGCGGGCAGCTGCAGGCCCTAGCTCCAGCTGATTGCAGCCAGGACATGCTGACTCTGTGTTACAGAGCTTCTGGCTTTTTAAGAGAAGCCAAAGAGCTGGGTTTTTATGCAAAATATCCCAAAGTTTAAAGATTGGTAACAGATTCACAAAAATGCAGAACACGATATGGTCTGGATGAGATGAATCTTATTCCATGACTACCAGTGTTGTGCTTTTTCAGTTCTTTCACTATTGACCTGACCTGTCCTCCAATGACTGGGGAATTCCTTTGCTTTATTTTCGTTTTGTTTTGTTTAGACAGGGTCTCACATTGTCACCCAGGCTGGAGTGCAGTGGCACGTTCTTGGCTCACTGCAGCTTCGACCTCACAGGCTCAAGGAATACTCCCACCTCAGCCTCCCAAGTAGCTGGGACTACAGGCACACACCACCATGCTCACCTAATTTTTTGTATTTTTTGTAGAGACAGGGTTTCACCATGTTGCCCAGGCTGGTCTTGAACCTCTGAGCTCAAGTGATCCACCCAACTCAGCCTCCCAAAGTGCTGGGATTACAGGCATGAGCCACCGCGCCAGGCTGAATTCTTTCTTTACTTCCTATTCAGGCTCCTAAGGAAAGAAAACCAGCTGACCCAGCCAATCCTTTTGGGTCAGATCAGGTCAGGCCGTGTTTAGTTTGTCTTAAGGTCAGGGATCTACTCCTGCCTACTCTAATCAGCTGTGGCCAGCAGGCAAGACGGGATGTGGGAGCAAAGTGCATTCCCACTTTCGTATGACTCCAAAGCCCACTCTAAACTCCTGCACTCCATCCTGCCTCTCAGTTAGGTCAGAAGTCTGAAAAGGTCTGAAGTGACTTTTGTAGATATTACACTTTCCAAGAAGGGCTTTGGTGAAGAGGTATTTCAGCTTCCTCCTAAAGTGGCACCAGCTTCTTCTTTTTCTTTTCTCCCCGGCCCTCCACCCATGTTTTGTTCCATTTCTCCTAGTCTCCATACAAATCCAGCAAAGTGATTTTCTTGCCGGCTAGTAAAATTATAAAAACGATTTAAACTGCTCTTTTTCTCTCTTAAAACAGCTTTCTCCCTGTCAGTAAGAAGCAGGAAGATGAATGAAAGAAAACAGGTCAGCATTTCTAGCTTTTCAAGCTGTTTTTCAATAAGGAAAGAGGCAAAGAAAACTCCAGAGATGGATATGAATTGCATTGAAAACATTTCCTCCAGGAGAAAAGTCGCTGCTTCCCTGAGAGGGCTCATTTATTGATTTAATCAGCCTGCAGGAGCACCTTCTCCAGTAAAAGATGTTGAGTTGGAGTGGCCTGGTCTGCAGTGTGTGCTTACGGTGCTGATAGCACCACTGCCGCTGATGCCGACGGTGCTTTTCACCTGTGCCCACACGTGTGATGGGGGAAGATGCACCTCCCTGTGAATGCTGGCGTGCTCCATGTCACTCCAGGATGTCACTTGTCCTGATGTCCTATCTGAGTTCTCTGTAGGCATGCTACAAGAAATCTGATGACTTTGGGAGAAAGAAGATGATACATTCTTTTTTTTTTTTTTTTTTGAGACAGAATCTTGCTTTGTTGCCCAGGCTGGAGTGCAGTGGCTCAATCTCAGCTCACTGCAACCTCTCAACTTCTGCCTCCCGGGTTCAAGCGATCCTCCTGCCTCAGCTGCCCACATAGCTGGGATTACAGGCATCCACCACCATGCCTTGCTAATTTTTGTATTTTTAGTAGAGTCGGGGTTTCACCATGTTGGCCAGGCTAGTCTGGAATTCCTGATCTCAAGTGATCCATCCACCTCGGCCTCCCAAAGGGCTGGAATTACAGGCGTGAGCCACCGCGCCCGGCCAGATGATACATTCTTGATTCCCCCAAATTCCTAGAGTGTAAGAGCCAGAAGGACCCTCCACTCAACCCCTTTATCGTACAGATGAGGAAACTGAGGCCCGAGAGGCAACCTGCCCACTTGTTGTGACTGAGAGCTGAACCTCAAGGAGGACTGGTCTTTCCTATAAAACTCTCCCCTCAGAGTTGCTCTGGACTGATAGAGAAAAACGTGCACCCAGTCTCCAGGGGCAAGAGCAAGGCCCTATAAAAAGGATGATCTGTGTATTTATTCTGTCTCTTGTTGTCTTTGGCACGGCTCTGCCTGCCAGTCCTTAACCCTTTGCAGAGCTCTGGGCAGCGTCTCCATGGTGGATTAGGGTCTAATCACTAGGAGAAGGGCGAGGGCAAGCTCTTGAAAGAGTAGCAAATATGGAAAGTTCCCGAGTGAGCGTTAGGGGAGATGTACTGGGGGACCGGGGGGACGGACCTGGAGGGAGAACGAGGGCGCGAGAAAACCGTCTTCCAGGACTTCCCACCAGCGGAATGGCACTTTTGACAGATTTTCCTTATTTGTCTGTGAAGGGGATTCAGATCATTCAAGATGGACTCAAGTGGTTGCTAAGGCAACAGTGTTACAGTCGTCACTGTCATGGAAACCCGTTCTGTGGCGTAATATAAATATTTTCCTTTAGGAATGAGAAAGAGAGTTGAGTGGGCGACAAGTTGTTTTCTAATGCTCACGCGCTATGGCCGAAGTCTGCAATGGATGGGAGAAAGGGGAGGACCAAATTAGCTCAGATTCTTTACAGTTCACAGCATCAGCTGTTTTATTTATTTGTTTTAGATAGCGAAGCCAAAAAAAGTTGGATGGGGGCAAAAATGCCAACTAAAATAGCTCATAGTTCTGAAGTAGAGAGAAGTCAGAATTTCCCGTTTTCTCTTGTTTCTCTCAGGGATGGTCTATATGACTGGCGCTCCTTGGAAGCAGTGCTGAGGGCATTATCAAGAGTTTCCAGGGCCTCCTCTTTCTCCTGAAACCTTCTTCAAGGAGGGTAAAGTTTTAAGAGAGTTCAAAAGTACCACAGACTTCCAGGGAATAGTAGTTTTTGTCGTGACAAGCATGGACATTTTCTTGCGTCATGTACTATTTCAGAAGGTAGAGACCACAAAAAGGCTTCTTACTGTGGCCACCGTGGACATCTTCCCACATCTACAAGGTGTTGTGGCCACATCATTGCTGCACCCAGTTTCCTCAGAAGAAATACCTGTTGCTTAGGTGGGGAGACAGAACCCATTTACCTGGGAGGTAACTTCCAACGCCAAGATTCTAGAATTTCATGGTTCTTCTCTCAATAGTTTATGATTCTAACAGTCAATGGTTCTGTATTCAAAGATTCTCTGGTTTTATTATTCTAAGAGCCTGCTTTTAAAAATTGGGTGTCAGAGCAAGCCCCGAGGGCAGCAGCTGTGGGCAGGCTGGAGGAAATGGTCCCTGTTTAGGTGCTGCACTGGTCTCTGCATGATCAATCCCAGCGCCCAGAACACCGATATCAAGGCCTTTGCCTGGCTCTTCTCCAGATGGTTTTCTATTGCAGGAGTTTTGCTGGCAGAGAGCTTATGAAGAAACAGGCTTACAGAAGGCACGGCCAGGCTGCAGGGATGACTGGGACCTGAAAACAGCCAGCATCATCATTCTTGAAAGTTTGCTGACTTTCCTGTATTTATTTTCCATGGACTATGAGGAGGAGAATAATAGTGGTTCTCTAATCAAGGGGCATTCACAGAGGGGCCTAGCCAGGCAGCCTGACCCTGTAGACCTGCTCTGCTCCAGAGAACAGTGGAGGGGAGGGTGGCTTTGCATGGAAGCTTACACTATAGTAGGATGAAAAGATTGGCTTGGGAGACTGTGAAGGCTCAAAATTTTTATTCCAGTCTATCTACTAGCTCCCAGGGGATGTGTCTGGGAGAGCTCTCAGTTGTGTGATGCTGGGAGGAGCTTTAGATCCCCTCAGCCCTGGCTTACTGGTCTGCAATGGGAGAATAGCACAATTAATGGAGCAGACAATAACCAAATCTGTTAAATGATTTCAGGTTTAGAAACGAGGCATGTATACGTATTTAACAGTTCTCAGAATGTCAAGGATCCCTCCTCAGAGCAAGAGCTCGAATTTACAAAAGAAGCACTACCTCCTTTATCACATAGTAAAATAAAGGACCGTGTCTGCTCCAGGACATGGCTGGTTACAATTTTGTTTTAAAGAAATCACCAGGTGGGTGCATGGATAAGGGATCCTTGATAAGTTGTTTTTTTTTTTCCTCCTCACTGTGTAAACAGCTTTATTGCTGTTTCAGTTTATATAATTAACACTTGCTCTTTGGAACAATTTGAACAGTGTATAAAAGTGTAGGAAATAACTTAAAAGTTCATCTTCCCACAGGAGCTGAATTTTATGAAATAATTAATTAATTAAAATAAAAAACCATTTAAAATCCCACCACCCTGAGATGATCCCATCAGCCACTTGTTGACAATATTTTGCATATACATAAGTTTTAGACATACACATATTTAACATAAATGAGATATTTTTATTTTGGGAGATATTTTTATATCTCCCAAATCAGTCTTTTGCTGTCTTACCTTCCTGCTTCCCTTCTGCATGTCTCTTTATCTGCACCAACTCTCCTTCCCATTCCAGGTAACCCCTGAAAACCACCTGGTGTAAGCCACCTTGTCTAGAAACCAGGGAGGCAGGGAAGAAATAAGAAGCATATTCTAGAAATCTCTTCAAGTCTTCTGAAACAGATCTAACCCTTTTATTAGCTTAGTTCCCGGTCGTTTTCTGGTTTTTGTTTGTGTACTTGTTTTCCTTTTGTTTGGATTTTAGTTGGGGGTTTGGGTGGCTACTTGGAACACGGGTGCCATGAATAATATTGAATCTATGGTCATTAAACGCCCATGGACTCTTGCTTCTATCAGATAGATTCCAAGGAGAGGGACTCATGAAGGGAAGAGTACGTAGATTTTTTCATTTTAAAAGGTAGAGCAAAGTTGATCTCCAAAAGAGGCACTATCACATTTCTACTTATGAAGAAAGACAGTATCTGGGGGGAAACTTCACCCCAATATTCCCATTAACTAGTAGCTGTTTTCATTCTCTTCAACTTTTTGCTATTCAGGTGGGGCTAAAGTGATACCTCATAATTTTTTTCTTTTTCTTTTTCTTTTTTTAAGATGGAGTTTCACTCTTGTTGCCCAGGCTGGAGTGCAATGGCGTGATCTCGGCTCACTGCAACCTCCGCCTCCCGGGTTCAAGCAATTCTCCTGCCTCAGCCTCCCAAGTAGCTGGGATTACAGGCAGGTGCCACCATGCCCAGCTAATTTTTGTATTTTTAGTAGAGACAGGGCTTCACTCTGTTGGTCAGGCTGGTCTTGAACTCCTGACCTCAGGTGATCCGCCTGCCTTGGCCTCCCAAAGTGCTGGGATTACAGGCATGAGCCACCGCACCTGGCCAATACTTCATAATTTTTAAGGGCTGCATTCCTCTAATTATTGGGGGTGCTGGGCATATTTTTATATATTTATTGGCCACTTTGTATTTCTGTAAATTGTCTGTTCAAAGCTTTTGCCTTTTTTTCTCTATCACTTTTTTTACTTTTTAATTTAGAATAATCTTAAACTTTCAGAAGATAGCCACATGATATCACGGGGGTCACTAACTTTGATCACTTGGCTAATGTTCTTCACCGCAAAGTTATTTTCCCCAAGTTCGGGGTTTCTCTTGACTTCAGCTGAGCCACACTGCCCAGCTCTCCAACCAAATCTAAATACTGCAGCTGACACATGAGAAATCCTGCCATTTATAGACAAAGGCCAGTCATGGACGGGCAATGATCTTGCAAAGTCTGCTGGCTTCTCCACTAATTGTTAAATGACAATAATAGCTGTTCACACTTTTTGAGTTCTTACTGTATGCCGTAGGAAGCCTATGGAATCTTTTATTGCTACTCATTGATTTCAAGCAACCTGTCTTAATCCTTAGCAGTGTTCTTTTTGTCAATAATTAATTTTTCATCCAAGTAGCAGATGTTCATAACTTGAAAGTCAAATGGCGCTACAGGGCCCATATTGAAAACCCCAAAGCCTTTACCCACGCCTTCCACCATCCCATTCTCCAGTTCTGTTGCCTGGGGCAACTATCCACAAAACTTTTAGCTAGCTCTTCTAGTATTTGCTTCTATTTTTCTTTCTAATGTTTAACCTATCATTTTTAGCCATTTTCTACTAACCTCCCACCATGGTAGATAAGGACTTAGTTTTCATATACTAATGCTCCTTCTCATTTTGTCTCTTGCATCTTCCAAATATAGTTATTTCACAATGTTTGGTTAAATTGACAGTCCATATTTCATTCTGGCTATACAAATATTTTTCATGGTTGAATCAAGAAGTGGGCTATATTATGCTTTAATTCTTATATGGCCCTTAGTTTTTCCAGGGCTTGTAATTTATGTTTCACATTTGCGTGCTTTTCTGCAGTGTTATTTCCCCCCAAATGTTCCATCATCCCTAACTTATTCCAATCTACTGAATTTTCTCTAAGCTTTACCACATCACTTTCATGTATTTTTTCCCCAGAGACTGTTTCTGGTTTAAAGTTCTTTCTCATAGTATCATGTTCTTGTTTTATGATGCAATATCATTTCTTTTTTCCTTTTTATTTTTTTTTTCTTGAGAGAGTCTTGTTCTGTTGCCCAGGCTGGAGTGCAGTGGCATGATCTCGCCTCACTGCAACCTCTGCCTTCTGGGTTCAAGTGATTCTCCTGCCTCAGCCTCCCGAGTAGCATGCCACCACACCCGGCTAATTTTTTTGTATTTTTAGTAGAGACAGGGTTTCACCATATTGGCCAGGCTGGTCTTGAACTCCTGACCCTGTGATCTGCCCACCTCGTCCTCCCAAAGTGCTGGGATTACAGGCATGAGCCACTGTGCCCGGCCGCAATATCATTTCTAATGTTCCCTATATTGTCTGTTTCCCCCCACATTCCTTTTTCTTTTCTGGATATTTTGTCTCTCCTATGTTGGAAGCTTTCCTCATATGTCATATCCTTGGCTATCTATTCATGTTAAGAGTGAGGCACTAAAAGTCTTGTAGGAAGCTCTGCAGTGTGTGCATAGAGCTGTTAGCTGATTGGCTTTTCTTTAGGGTTTTCAAACCCTGAGCCATCATTTTCACAGGGACAAACTCAAGTATCAGCTTCCTGGCTATGTGGGATGAGGAGGGGACCTGGGATCCCAACACACTCTATGCAGACTTTCAACCAGTGACTCTTGTTTTCAGACCAACGCCTCATCCCTTTTCTCAGCAGAGCCTCCAAATCCCAAACCTCTCATGATTTCTCTGGGTTCCTCTTCATGCCAAATTTTTTATGACAGACCCTTAAGTTATACTTTGCTCCTGTCCACTGAGTCAGCAACCACTTCTTCGTTTGCTATTTGTCCTCCAAAAACTCATCTAAATGTCTTGTCTGCTGTTGCTCTCCTGTTCTTCTTGTCCTTGTGCCCATTTTTATTCTTTACTATCATTTTGGCAAGGTTTTGGTAGGGCAGAGAAAGAACAACTGTAGTCAATCAGCTTTTTAAAACTGAAACCTATTATATGAGTTCTAAAACATTGAGCCTCCCAAAAGAAAGGAAGTAGAGTCTCGATTCCTTTCTTCTAGAAATCTCCTTGCCACCTACAGAAACTTGCAGACTTATTTCTTTTTTCTTTTCTTTTTGTTTTTTGTTTTGAGACGGAGTCTCACTCTGTCACCCAGGCTGGAGTGCAGTGGCACGATCTCAGCTCACTGCAAGCTCCACCTCCCAGGTTCACGCCATTCTCCTGCCTCAGCCTCCCGAGTAGTTGGGACTACAGGTGCCCGCCACCATGCCCGGCTAATTTTTTTGTATTTTTAGTAGAGACGGGGTTTCACAGTGTTAGCCAGGCTAGTCTCAAATTCCTGACCTCAAGTGATCCACCTGCCTCGGCCTCCCAAAGTGCTGGGATTACAGGCGTGAGCCATCATGCTTAGCCACAATCAAACAAATTTTAAGTAAAATCTGAAAAACTGGGAAGAAAAAAAATTAAAAGAGGCATTTTGAGCAAAGTGCAGGAGAAGGAGGAAACAAATGTAATAACTGCCTCCCTCCTGCCAACTGGTTGACTATAGAAACTTTGCACCTTATAAAATGTGGTTTCACATCATGCAAGGGCCCAGCTGGAGCAGTAGGTGAGAGAGCCACAGGGAATGAGTCTGAGGAACAACAAATGGTACAAACCTTTGATGAGGCTGGTGAGGAAGGCAGCAGGGGGGCGACAAAGCCCCAGGGAGAATGATTTGGAGGAATCTAAGAGATCATATTTCCCAACACTCTGTGCCTAAAGGGCCTGCCTGTAAGTCATACAACCAGTTAGTACAAAGTCTGGGAAAAGAGGAGTCCCAGGGCTCCCCACGGCTCTTCCTCCTAACCCCGCAAATGGGAGTGACAGATCTGGAGAAAGTATTTAATTCCACAAAGCAGGCACAGCCCTGTGATCTGCGTTAATCTGATTTTATCCACCCTATTCTGGCTCCTCCTGCAGGGGATGGAATCTCAAGGGAAACTCAGGCTTCAATGAGCTGGGCTACCTCTCATTCCAATGACCTGCTGCCTTGGCATCTCCAGAGGCCAGTGGCAAAGAGTGCCCCTCCAGCCTGACGTGTTGGGTCCAGAGAAAAGAGTGGGGGATTATAGCTAAACCACTTTACCAGGATTCTTGCAGAAACTGAGGCCCAAGGTTGAGGCCTAGTTGAGAAGAGAGCTCAGAGGCACTTCACTGAGGTCTGAATAAGGAGAGAGTTTTGAGAGTTTTTGTCCATCCTTCCTCTTGTGCAAGGAAAGAACATCTTTCTTTCCTCTGAACAATATAAGTCTGTTGCTTGTTCAGTTGCCTTTATTCATTAAGGACTATCTGAAGCATGTGTAGAGATTAGATAGGAGAGAATATTTAATGAGGGAAATTTCTATGAAAATAAAAAGCAGTACAAAGATGAGTGGTTGGAGCAGACAATAAACCCAGTTTCTGAGTCCAGAGGGCAGCCAAGATTGCTACACGTTAGACTCGAGACATCTTTAGACGGTGGAGTGAGGACGGCAGTGGCAAGCTGACAGGTTTCCTGGTTTGCAGTGTGAATGTCTTTGGTGATGGCATAGACATGAGGGCCACAGTCATGGTTATTTCTCAGTGTAGATGGTAGAAGATGTGGATGAAAGAATGTCAAATATGCATGACAGCAGAATCCAGTTACAGGTGAATAACAAAACCTCCAAGGCAATAAACAAGACCAGAATCTGATAACCCACAAGGGTGTGCTATAGTTTTTCACTGCAACACAAAACGTTCTCTATGATCAGCCCCATTTCTGATTAAAGATAACCAAACTAAGATTATTCTTGCTTGTGAAATAAGTCAAATCTTATTAGATTTGGCCTGATTATTTAGATAAGTGCAATGAGAATGGTAACTGATCACACAGACCTTTTGAAGTTTTCTTTGCTGGACATCTCCATGACGAATCTCAGATAAGACTTTTAAAATGCTTCTCAAGACCAGACAGCCAAGCCAGGAACTCACCACCAGATTTTACTGGCAATACCTATAGATTTGGGTTAATTCCTCTTCTTGAGGTCCCCAAAATTTCCTGGGTCTGCTGGGAAGTGGCCTTCCTTGCTCAATTGTATGGCTGGAAACACTGTAAGCCAGGTACTGAGACAAGTAGTCTGTCCTTCCTTCCTTCCTTCCTTCCTTCCCTTCCTTCCTTTTCCTTCTTTCCTTCCTTTTCCTTCTTTCCTTTCTTTCTTTCTTTCTTTCTTTCTTTCTTTCTTTCTTTCTTTCTTTCTTTCTTTCTTTCTTTCTTTCTTTCTTCTCTCCCTCTTTCTCTCTCTCTCTCTCTTTCTTTCTTTTTTTTTTTGAGACAGAGTTTCGCTTTTGTTGCCCAGGCTGGAGTGCAATGGGTGTGATCTCTGTTCACTGCAACTTCCACCTCCTGGGTTCAAGCGATTCTCCTGCTTCAGCCTCCCAAGTAGCTGGGAATTACAGGCATGCACCACCACGCCCAGCTAATTTTGTATTTTTAGTAGAGACAGGGTTTCACCATGTTGGTCAGGCTGGTCTCAAACTCTGGACCTCAGGTTATCTGCCTGCTTTGGCCTCCCAAAGTGCTGGGATTACAGGCACAAGCCACTGCACCTGGCCCAAGCCAGGTTTTCCTAAGAGAGTTTTTGTAGGCTCCATATAGTCAGCCTTGATTTCTTAAAACTGTCTAGTCATATCTGAATCTATGTATCATTTTCAAATATAACATTATAGTCAAAGCCTTGGCTATGTAACCAATGTTTCCAATTACATCTTTAATAAAAAGAACATATTCTTTTTATTTTTATTTCATGGGTCCATAGTGTGTATATATATATACATACATATATATATATATGGGGGTACATGAGATGTTTTGATACAGGCATGAAATGCATAATAATCACATCATATAAAATAGAGTGTCCATCCCCTCAAGCATTTATCCTTTGTGTTACAGACAATCCAATTATGCTCTTTTTTTTTTTTTTTTTTTTTTGAGACGGAGTCTCGCTCTGTCGCCCAGGCTGGAGTGCAGTGGCGGGATCTCGGCTCACTGCAAGCTCCGCCTCCCGGGTTCACGCCATTCTCCTGCCTCAGCCTCCCAAGTAGCTGGGACTACAGGCGCCCGCCACTACGCCCGGCTAATTTTTTGTATTTTTAGTAGAGACGGGGTTTCACCGTTTTAGCCGGGATGGTCTCGATCTCCTGACCTCGTGATCCGCCCGCCTCGGCCTCCCAAAGTGCTGGGTATGCTCTTTTAGTTATTTTCAAATGTACAATCAAATTATTATTGCCTATAGTCACCCTGTTGTGCTCTTCAATACCAGGTCTTACTCATTCATTCATTCTTTTTTTTTGCACCCATTAACCATCCCCACCTCCCCCCATCATTCTCCTGCTACCCTTCCCAGCCTCTGATAACCATCCTTCTACTATCTCCATGTGTTCAATTGTTTTTATTTTTATGTATTTATTTATTTATTTTTTGAGAGGGAGTCTCCCTCTGTTGCCCAGGCTGGAATGCAGTGGCATGATCTTGGCTAACCGCAACCTCTGCCTCCTGCGTTCAAGTGATTCTCCTGCCTCAGACTCCTAAGTAGCTGAGATTACAGGTGCCTGCCACCACGCCTGGCTAATTTTTGTATTTTAGTAGAGATGGGGTTTCACCATGTTGGTCAGGCTGGTCTTGAACTCCTGACCTCGACTAATCTGCCCGCATCAGCCTCCCAAAGTGCTGGTGTGAGCCACTGTGCCCAGCCTGTTTTGATTTTTAGATCCCACAAATAAGTAAGAACATGTGACGTTTGTCTTTCTGTGCCTGGCATATTTCACTTATAATAATGATCTCTAGTTCCATCCATGTTGTTGCAAATGACAGGGTCTCATTCTTTTTAATGGATAAATAATACTCCATTGTGTATATGTACCACAGTTTCTTTATCCATTCATCTGTTGATGGATACTTAGGTTACTTCTAAATTTTGGCTATTGTGAATAGTGCTGCAACAAACATGGGGGTGCAGATATCTCTTTGATAGACCGATTTCCTTTCTTTTGGGCTTATACCCAGTAGTAGGATTGCTGGATCATATGGTAGCTCTATTTTGAGTTTTCTGAGGAACCTCTGAACTGTTCAAGGAGAACAGACTCTGACTGCATCTCTGCAAATAATTATATTACCGTGAAAATAAGAATACTCAATATGACTTTCCAAATTCTGGAAAGTCTAGGCAAGGATAAAGGGTAAATGTTTCATTCTGTTTACAAAAGCATACTCTATTAATGAGTTACAGATAGCTTCAGAGGAAAGAGAAAGGGGTTCCTTAAATCCAGCAACAATATTTCAAACAAAAGCCATAACTATTCTTCATCAGTTCATTCCGTTTCATCTAATTAATTCTTGTTCTGCTTGATCTTAGTTGTATTAGTCTGCTCAGGCTACCATAACAAAATGCCATAGGCTGGGCAGTATAAGCAACGAAACTTCTCACAGTTTGGAGACTGAAAAGCCAAGATCGAGGTGCCAACATGATTGGTGTCTGGTGAGGGCTCTCCCCTTGGGTTGCAGATGGCCACTTTCTCACTGTGTGCTCACATGACCTCTTCTTTGTGTAAATGTGGAGAGAGAGAGAGAGAGAGAGGGAGAGCGAGCATGAATTCTCTAGTGTTTCTTTTTTATAAGAACACGAATCCTATTAGATCAGGGCCCCATCCTATGACCCATTTAACTTGAATTACTTTCTTAGAGGCCCCATCTCCAAATACAGCCACCTTGGGGATTAGGACTTCAACATACGAGCTTTGGATATGATACAAACATCAGTCCATAGCACTTAGATTAGCAGTTTTATGAACCCGTAAGCTTCTCCACTAGAGTTATGGAAATTCTTACTCAGTCCAGTGCTATGGTCTCAAAGTTATGTGAACAATGCTATCAGAATCCTGTAGCCCAGAGTACTTGACAGTCCTTTCTATGAGTCTCTGAGACAATTCCTTTTTGCTGAAAATGAAGCATGCTTGCCTGTAGCAGGTTGCGAATGCTTTCAGAGAAGAATCAGAGTAAAACAAAAATTATCAGTGAATGACAAAAGCCTTAAAATGACCATGGCTAAAGATCTGCTAAGAGTTCATAATAAAAAATACGCAAATGACAAGGAAATTCGGTTGTCTCTGTGGCATGCAACATTTTAAATATTAAAATGATGGAATTATGATTGATAACACTTTACCAGTACATGTTATGAGCAGCAAGGACAATGACAGATTTCTACAAACTTCATACAATTTCTGAAATATTTATATTAATAACATTGACCCATACAAATATAACACAGGGAAGGTTAAGCATCTCTTTATGTAACAATGCTTTTCATGCAATTCAACATACCAAATAAACCTAATTGTTTTTTAACTTTGCTGTTTTTAGAAAGTGAAAGAACAAATTTTTTGAGATTTTGCAGGGGCTCCCTGAGAAATCTCAAGGTCAGTTCAAGATCAAGATTTCATTTAGGATTTTATTTTGGAAAGGCCAAATTGTCAAAAATATCAAGAGGTTTGAACAGTTAACTAAATAGAACTCTAGGCCACTGTGAAACAATACTTAGTTACCAGCTTAACCAAAGTGATAGTAAAAGAATTCAAAAGTAAATATATGTAGAAACAAAATTGCTAAAAAAAAAAAGGCTTAGCACTTTTACTGAAGCCCATTTTTTAAACACTTTATAAATCTGTTTACTCTTACCCAGTTTTGATTGCACAAGATAAGATTTCTTTTCCAATATCCCTTTCTAAAATTTACTTTTATTGAGGGAAAATATACATATATTACTTACTATATTTACCATCTTAAATGTACAGTTCAGTGGTAATAAGTACATTTATATATTTTTTAATATATATATAATTTTTTTGCCTTTCACCTCCTCCTCCCCCTCCCCTTCCCAGCCTTTGATAACTACCAGTCTACTCTCTATCTTCATGAAATACATGTTTTCAGCTCCTACATATGAATGAGAACATGAAATATTTATCTTTCTGTGCTTAGCTTATTTCACCTAACATAATGGTTTATAGTTCCATCTGTGTTGCTGCAAATGACAGGATCTTATTTTTTTATGGCTGAATAATATTCCACTGTGTATATATACCACATTTTCTTTGTTCATTCATCCACTGATGGGCACTTTGACTGATTATATATTCTGGCTATTGTGAATAGTGCTGCAATAAACATGAGAGTACACATATATCTCTTGGACGATTCCCTTGCTTTTGGTTATATACCCGATAGTGGGATGGCTGGGTCATATAGTAATTCTATTTTTAGTTTTTTTAGGAGCCTTTATACTGTTCTCCATTGTGGTTGTACTAGGAATTTGTATTCCTACTAACAATGTATGAGGGTTTCCCTTTTCCATGGAATTATGAGCATCTCCTCATAGTATCCTCACTGGCATCTGTTAATTTCCTGTCTTTTTGATACAAGCCATTTCAAGTGGAATGAGATGATATCTTGTTGTTATTTTTATTTGCATTTCTCTGATGATTAGTGATGTTGAATTGAGCATTTCTTTTCATATAGCTGTTGGCTACTTGTATGTCTTCTTTTGAAAAATGTCTGTTCACTGCAAAGCAAAGGTTGCATGACCTGAAATCACACCACTACACTCCACTTTGGGGAACAGAGCACAACTCTGTCTCACCACCTCCCCTGCAAAAAGAAAATGTTTGTTCAGATCTTTTGCCCATTCTTTAATCAGATACTTTGTGTTTTGCTATTGAGTTGTTTGAGCTCCTTATATATTCTGGTTACTAATCCCTTGCAGATGGATAGTTTGCAAATATTTTCTCCCATTTTGTGTGTTCCTTTTTCTTTGTTGATTGTTTCCTTTGTTGTGCAGAAGCTTATTAGCTTGATATAATCGCAGTTGTCTATTTTTGTTTTAGTTCCCTTCGCTTTTGAGGTCTTACACAGGAAATCTTTGCCCTGACCGAGGTCCTGGAGCATTTCCCCTATGTTTTCTTCTAGTAGTTTCATAGTTTCAGGTCTTAGATTTAAGTCTTTAATTCATTTTGATTTGCTCACGTGAGGGACAGGAGTTTATAGTCATGTTTCTGCATATAATTATCCAGTTTTCCCAGTACCATTTATTGAAAAGACTGTCCTTTCCCTACTGTATGTTCTTGGTGACTTTGTCAAAGATGACTTGGTTTTAAATGTGTGGATTTATATCAGGTTTCTCTATTCTGTTCCATTGGTCTGTGTGTCTATTTTTATGCCAGTCTATTTTGGTTACTATGGCTTTGTAGTAAAATTTGAAGTCAGATAGTGTGGCACCTCCAGCTTCGTTCTTTTTGCTCAGAATTGCTTTGGCTATTTGAGGTCTTTTGTAGTTTCATATAAATTTTAGGATTTTTTTTTCTATTTCTGTGAATATGTCATTGTTTTATTTTGTTTTATTTTATTTATTTATTTATTTATTTATTTATTTATTTATTTATTTATTTATTGAGACAGAGTCTTGCTCTGCCGCCCAGGCTGGAGTGCAGTGGCGCTATCTCGGCTCACTGCAAGCTCCACCTCCCAGGTTCACGCCATTCTCCTGCCTCAGCCTCCCCAGTAGCTGAGACTACAGGCGCCTGCCACCACACCTGGCTAATTTTTATTGTATTTTCAGTAGAGACGGGGTTTCACCGTGTTAGCCAGGATGGTCTCGATCTCCTGACCTCATGATCCACCCGCCTCGGCCTCCCAAAGTGCTAGGATTACAGGCATGAGCCACCACGCCCGACCTATTTTATTTTATCTTTAAAAAAAATTGAAAACATTTTTATGGGTACATAGTAGGCATATAACATTAGTATTTTGATAGGGATTGCATTAAATCTGTAAATTGCTTTGAGTATTGTCATTCTAACAATATTAATTTTTCTGATCCATGAGTATAAAATATCTTTCATTTTTTGGTGTCTTCTGCCATTTCTTTCATCAGAGTTTTATAGTTTTCCTTATACAGATCTTTCGCTTCTTTGGTTAAAAGGATTCCTAGATATTTTATATTTTTTGTAGCTATTGTAAATGGGATGGCTTTCTTGAGTTCTTTTTCAAATTGTTTGCTATTGGGTATATAAATGCTACTGATTTTTGTATGTATTTGTATTTTTTTGTTTGGTCTTCTTTTTTTTTTTTTTTTTTTAGACACTGTCTCGTTCTGTCACCCAGGCTAGAGTGTAGTGGCACAATCATGGCTCACCGCAGTCTTGAGCTCCTGGGCTCAAGCAACCCTCCCAACCTCAGCCTCACAAGTTAGGTGGGACTATAGGTGCACGCCACCACACATGGTTAATTTTTAAATTTTTTGGTTGAGACTGGGTTTTGCCATATTGCCCAGGCTGGCATCAAACTCCTGGGCTCAAGCAATCCACTCACCTTGTACTCTCAAAGTGCTGGAATTACAAACGTGAGCCACTACGCTCAGTTTGTATGTTGATTTTGTATCCTGAAACTTTACTGAATTTGTTTATTAGTTTTATCAGTGTTTTAGTGGAGTCTTTCAATTTTTCTAGGTCCAAGGTTACGTCATCTGCAAACAAGGCTAATTTGACTTCTTTCTTTCCAATTTGGATGCCCTTTGTTTGTTTGTCTTGCCTAATTGCTCTGGCCCAATATTCCTTTTACAATTTTTTATATCTATTTCATTTTGTTCTATGTTTTCCTCTTTCTTATTCTGGAACAGCCAGTCATTTCACTTTAAGACAGTTATTTTTATTTTTCCCATACAAAAACACATTCTTCCTGCTTTGCAAATTGTGCTTGCAAGTCATTTCCCTTTATCTTTATTAGTTCTAGTAGCTTTATTTACATATGTTGATTAAAATTTTTAACCATAAGTAACCTCTTTTTTTGGTAACAGAAAAAACTAGGTTATAGACAATTGTGAGTTGTCTGTCAAGTACCAACATTCTGTAGCAGATCAGCAAATTTTATGAATATACCATCTCACAATTTTTATAGGTATGTGCTTCCTCGTAATACAATTGTTTTAATGTGGCAAAAAGAATGTTTAGTAACAGACCTAAATATATGTAGCCTCTCTATATGATATAAAAATAAGAAGCCAAAAGTATATAAAATTAAACTTATGCTTAAAAATAAATTTTCAGTGGTTTATCTGACTTAGAAATAATCTAGATAGTTAATGAATATGTATTACTTAGCATAATTTTAAGATTGCAAGTTACCAAAAAGATTGTGGAAAGCATTTTTAGGCAGATATTATAAAACATAATTATTGTCAAAAAGTTCATTTATAAAATTTTGATTCCACTCACATGAATTTAATACATGTGATAACTCAGAAGACAGCTGTTTTATTCAATCAACAATTTTAAACTGGTTTTATCTAACAAATATTTCCCAAAGTCACATGAACTTAAAAAAAATTGGGGTTAATTCCTATATTTCTGAGAGCTTTATAAATATTTAATTGATATAAGCAATTTGTCCCTAAGCCTGTCAGAATAGAGCTTCTTTATAGGGTTTTATAAATTAATTGGGTAATACCATCAGAAGATAGGAAAGTATCACATATACATAACATACATATGTACATACATAAACATACAGATAGATGCAAATGGAGACCTTATAGCTTCCATTTTAAAATTGTAGCCATGAGTCAGGTAAACACAGTAATACAGAACTCTGGTTTATATGAAATGGTTGGCTCTCGTCTTTACTGCACTTTAATTTTTTTATCCAAATTGTGTTTTTGGTGAATGGAACAAGTTGCTACCTGACCAATGTGAGAGCAAAAATATTTTTTACCAATATTATGGAGGACATTTTTAAGATATTGTAGTTGCTTTTGGAGGCTCTTGAGTCCCATAGAGTCTCCAACGGGGCTCCAGTGAGTGTAGGTAGTTGAGAGCCTGGAGTGGGAAGGGAAAAGTCTGGCAGGGCTGAACAAAAATGTGGAGGAGGTGGGGGTTTAAAGGAGGGCATATCAAAAATGGAAGGAGGAATGGAGGCAAAAGGAAGAGAGAGATCTTAGAGATGCCACTTTAGGGAAGTCCCAAATTATCCTTTGTAAGATCATATCAACAAGAAGGGAAGCAGACAGAGTTAGTGCCTAGGTGGTGGAGCACATAGTCAGCAGGGGTTTCAGAAGGAGGTTGGGGTGAGGTTCAGTCAACTGAGAAGCTGCCATGTTCATAACTCATGATACCTCACAAACAATGGAGCCTGGCACTCTAATCCCAACTCTATGTCTTAAAACAGGAAAGCCTGGGAATCTAACTCAGCCTCTTTCTTACAGAGAAACCTGAGATTCCAACCCAGCCTTTTGTTTGCCTGGGATTATAGCCCAGTTCTTACAAGCAGAGAAGCCTAGGACACTAACCCAGCTTCAAGAGTATACTCAGAATCTCAAGAATCACAATCTGTGCTGCCCATTCTTCAACAGACTGTCATCTGGAGGCCTGGATTGGATCAGGAGTCGGGCTCACCAATGGAGCCCCAATCAGTCAGTCAGGAGTGAAGATGAAAGCTTCAAAGGTAGGCACCTGGGGTCCTGGGTGAGAGGCCCAGGGATCCAATGATGACTCTCATCCTGTCTGAGTCGTGACACCATACCTGTTAAGGAAAAAATTATTCTGATGCTTGTTCAGACTTGAATACAGTCCTGCAAAGAAGACTGTATTCAAGACTATTCCAATAGGTGTGTAGCAGTAGGAGGGACTCAGGAAAGAAGCACACAGAAAGTTGAGCCCAGTCGAGAAGAAGGCTCAGAGGAGCCCAACTAAACCTTTGTCAAGGAGATAGTCTTTGTCGGTGCCTGTGCCTTTTAGTGCTTGGGTGGTTTGGATTGCAAAGCCAGATTCTGAACAACTGCTGAAGTGTTTTCGTGAAAAGAAAATTTAATTTATGCCAAAAAAAAATTAGTAGGAGACTCACTCTGTCTCCTGCTCACTTTTATAGTATCTCATGTGTAGGCATGGGGGACCTGAGTGGGTTATAGACTCAGGGATTCTCTCTGCCATCGTTATTGCAAGGGCAGGGAGAACAGTGCTGAGATGTAGAGGTATCAAGTCTTATAGCTGCAAAGATCTTAGTATAGTGGTTCTCAAACTTTAATGTACATAGAAATGCTAGGGGCATGTGTCAAAGAAAAGTGCTGAGATATAGAGGCATCAAGTCTTAACAGCTGCAAAGACCTTAGTACAGTGGTTCTCAAACTTCAGTGCACATTAGAAATGTCAGGGGTGTGTGTCAAAGATGCAAATTCCCAGGCCATATTCAGACCCACCGAATTAGAATTTCTGTGGAGACCAGGAGTCTGCGTTTCAACACCCTCCCGTCAAAATGTTGCCAATGCAAGTAGTCCCTCCAGCAGCACTTTGAAAAACACTCCCTCTCCTTACTCCCACCCTCTTCCTACATCTTCTCTCCACGATTCATAACCCAGAGTCCCACAATCTGTGTTGGAACTGGTTCAAGGCAGCCCATGCCTTCCGTGGGCAGCTTTTACGGTTAGAGTGTCTCTTCTCCTCTTCCCACAAGGTTAAAAGGTATCTCCCCACTACTTACTCATGCTGCCGACCTTCATAGAACCGGTCCATCTTGGGCCTTTAAGTGCTCAACACCAAGATCACTTCTGTAACCAGTCTTCCCTAGAACCCTTGGTTACAAACAGAGTCCCAGGAATGATTCTAACCCCATTTTACTGCTTCTTCCCCCTTTGCTGAGCGTGACTCACACCAGCTCACAAGTAGTCTTCTATCACCCAGGCTTCTACAGGTCTTGCTCCTCTCCTGCCTGGCTCCTCCATGCAAGGCAGGAAGGCCTGTGAGGTCAGGATGCTGCCATAGCTGCTGCTGCTGATCTCCACAGTGAAAAGCTGTGGCGGTGCCCCCCAGAGCTGCTGCCCTGAGGGACCAGACCAACTGGGTCTTTCTGCAGTGCTTAGTTGTCCAGTACCTGGCTTACTGCTCTTCAGAGCTGTGGGAGGCTCTGTGCCATGCAGTCATCTGAACCCCCAAGCATCCCTGCAGGCTTCTCCACATCCACAGGGCCCTTGAGAAAAACGGCTCCTTCAGCTTCTGCTTGCAGCCTCACTCTGCAAAGGGCTCAGTCAGATGCCCATCCTCAGGGCTGGGCCAGGGTCCAGGAATTGGCACTTCTTATTCTCCCAACCCAGTCCCTTGTGAAGCACATACTTTGTGCTTTTTTGTATAGGAAAACCAGAAAATTGATGTAGGGGATTTACCCTATTACTCAGTTATGCATGCCCAGACATGTTAAGTCCAGCATGGGGCCCCATCACATGCCTGACCTAGTCCCACAAGCAGGGGTGGCTTCATGGGAATGTAGCCTGTGCCATCACTTAGGCCCACCCTCACAAGAGGCCCTGTGCTTGTTTTAACACTCTGCTGTCACTGCTGTGAATTTGCTTATCTTATCGTTTTTATCTGACTCTTGTGTTTTGTAAATGAAGTCAGATAGGACGGTGTGTGGGGGCAGAGGAGATGCCAGATGGCAGTGAGATAGGCTGAGTCCACTGCCACAGTGAGCAGGGGCACATGCATGCCAAGTGGTTGGCCTGGCAGCCTGCAGCAGGACCCAGGCCAAGATCGAAAACAATGACAGTCCAGTAGTAGCAGAGCAACAGTGGTGGCCCACACGGCCACTGAGAGAGAGGGGGGACTCTGCGTGAGAGTGGTGGCAGGACCACTGGTGGCAGCCAGATTGCCTACCTGTCCCCAGAAACCTTCTATCTTAGTTCATTAGTGCTGTTCCAGCAAAATAGGTGAGACTGGGTAAATCATGAAGGACAGAAATTTATTTCTTACAGTTCCAGAGGCTGGGATGTTCAAGATCAAAACGCTAGCATTTGGTGTCTAGTGAGGACCTTCTTGCTTTGTTCTCACACATGGCAGATGGGTTAAAAGGACAAAAGGGAGGAACACTGTGTCCTCATGGGGAGAAAGAGAGGAAGAGCAAAAGGGCCGAACAGCTCCCTGGAACCTCTTTTATAATGTTGGTAATTCCATTCACAAGAGATCTGCCCTCACGCCTTAATCACCTCCTAAAGGCCCCACATCTAAATACTATTGCATTGGGGGTTAAGTTTTAACATACATTTTGAAGGGGACACAAATATTCAAACCCTAGCACCATCCCTGCACCATCAGCACAAATATTAATGTGGCCTGAATGCCATCCCAGTTGATGCCAGAGCTCAGACAGTAAACTTTGTCTGTAAATTATTACAAAATAAAAGCATATATATTGCAATAAAGCATCCCAAAGAGTTATTCCTTTTTTTTTTTTTTTTTCCTTGAGATGGAGTCTCACTCTGTTGCCAGGCTGGAGTGCAGTGGCGCAATCTCGGCTCACTGCAACCTCCGCCTCCTGGGTTCAAGCAATTCTTCTGCCTCAGCCTCCTGAGTAGCTGGGATTACAGGCACGTGCCACCACACCCAGATAATTTTTGTACTTTTAGTAGAGATGGGGTTTCACCGTGTTGGCCAGGCTAGTCTCAATCTCTTGACCTCGTCCTCCCAAAGTGTTGGGATTACAGGCGTGAGCCACTGCGCCCGGCCAGAAGTTATTCTTCAATGAGATTAGACTCTGGTTTTGAAAACTGCTGCAACAGTGCAAAGAAAATACCCACAGCCTTGGAATAGAAATTAAATTTAAATATTATTGCATTCAATGGAAAAGAACACAATTTTCATACAAAGTGTTAGGTGAACCAATTTTTAACATAACGAGGACAATTTTATAACTCATTTCCTTTGTAATTGAAGATGCGGTAATAGAATGCATAAGCAGAAGCTCTGCATTATATAAAACCATGAAGCCACTTTTGGTTTCTTATATGACTTTCACAAGTTACAGAAAATATTAGATGAAAATTTTAAATGCCATTGTATAAAATTACTTTAAAATTAAATTCAGACTATATGAAACTGATTTATATGAAGAGTGAAATCTTTCTAGAAAAATTGTTTCATGAGAATCACCAGCTCTAGAGATGCTAAAATTTATATATTTCAAAATAATTTACCAGAAATTTATCTGATAAACGTATCTGTTGCCATAGTCTGTAGAAACTCTTAATAGCTCAGTAACAGTTGCATCATCAGACTCTTCTCAAAATTAAAAAGAATCAATTATCAACTTCCAGTCTTGCATTTGCCAAGAGCAACTCACATTGCCTTCAATAATATTAATGGAAAATAAATTGCTAAAAGTATAAATGAGTTTGCAGAAAAATGAGCCAGAAAAATCTTACAGTCATCAGTCATATATTAATAAAATATTATTATTTATTGTTTTATATAAAATTATGATACTAGGCCAGGCGCGGTGGTGCACGCCCGTAATCCCAGCACTTTGAGAGGCTGAGGTGGGTGGATCACCTGAGATTAGGAGTTCAAGACCAGCCTGGGCAACATGGTGAAACCCTGCCTCTACTAAAAATACAAAAATTAGCTGGGCATGGTGGCGCACGTCTGTAATCCCAGCTACTCCGGAGGCTGAAGCAGGAGAATCACTTGAACCCAGGAGGTGGAGGTTGCAATGAACCAAGATCATGCCACTGCACTCCAGCCTGGGAGACAAAGCCAGACTCTGTCTCAAAAAATGTAAATATAAACAAATAAATAAATAATACAATTATGACACTAAAAGTTATTTTGTAATCTGTACATTTATGTTGCTATTCACATATTGCTATTTATTACTCCTATTATGTTTTATAAGTAAAAAAACATAATATCAGTGCTACCTGATGCAGAAGAACAAAGTATCTGCAGTAGTTTGCCACGGCTGGGGCCTTTTGCTTCTTCTCCTTTCTCTCTCCCCCTTTCCCACTTTCATCAACCCAGATATGCACAATTCCTCTTAGAAGCTTGATCTTCAATCGTCTTCTCCCTATTAGGCATTCTGCTCAGGATACCTGTATTCAGGAATAACTCTGGGTAAAATGCTTGATGCAGGCAGAGATCGCTTTGGGCCACTCTCTCTCTTCCTGCTTCCTTACTTGTTTTCAACATCCCAAGGTCATAGGGCAGGCAGAAGAGACTGTTGACATCTCCTGTGCCTCCTTGGTGGAGACCCACCTGGGTCTTCTCCGAGCTAGGGTACCAGTTAACCACACTGGCAGCTTGGCAGCAGCAGGAAGGAAAAAGGCAAGTCAAATGCTGAGGCCCTCAAGATTTAATTTCCTTCCTGGAGGAACTCCCTTCAGTCCAATAATATGCAGTAGACGTGGCTTTGGAAAGAGCATCTTATCTCTCTTATTGGATACCTGACAAGTTGGCTATGTACCTTACTCAGGTAACAAGAGTTACAGAAAGATTAGATCTTGGGAGTATAAATAGACCCGGAGGCAGCAGAGAATAAAATTTAATTTCCTGTTCTTTGGACATTATGGCATCACTGCTTCCAAAGATAAACCATTACATGTGAGTCCTTGTTTCCAGCCCAACCTCTGACTCTCCCTTCCAGGCAAGTGATCCTATACTTCTAAAATGTGGTTCATCTGTTTCGTGCCTACAGGGCCTGAGGTTCCTTGGCTGGAGCTAAGGAACCCTCCAGCCTTCATACTACCTATAGCTCTGCTTCCTGCCTGCATGAAGTCTCAGGACATTTGAGCCCCTGGTTCTTTACTGAATTCAGAACCACAACTTTGCCTTATCCTTTGGCTTCCATGAATTTCTTGGTTCTTAACTGCCTGTCTGGTTCCTGGCCCATGACCCCTGTCCAGGCCGAAGCCCCGTCTCATTCTAACACAAGCTTGCTTCACTAGTCCTTGTCCATCTCTAACATCCTCCATCATCTTTGATGGTGGTATGACAAAATATCCCCTGTTCCTTCCTCATCACTTTACTCACAAACTGACAATTATCTCGGTTGTACTAGTCATCGTAATGATTCACTGGGACAATCCCTTAGAAAATAGACTCTTTTGAGAATTCCAGGAAAAGAGCTTCTGCAAGTCATCTGGACGTTGCCTTTGCCATTTTCACATAAACAGTAGATCCTCCTTTCTTGTAGCCAAACCAACCACTGTGCTTTTGCAAACATTGCACGTTGCGAACAGATGGGCTTTTTGTAAATCATGCTATATTGTAAGTGATCCGGAACAACCCTTTATCAAAGGGAATCCTGAGAAAAATCTTACAAAATATAAAATCTTACTTTTACTAATTTAATTGCTCCCCAAAGCTGAGTTTCCATGTTTGGGGTGTTCTTTAAGGGGCACGTGGCTTCTCTGCCATCTCACTGCTCCCACCACTGCTCTGCGTGTTCATTATAAATGGATCTCATCCCAGCTGCATGCCTTATCTATCTCACTTACATGTTTACATCTCTCACAAGAGAACCGGTGTTTTGGATGTTATGTTGGAGGACTGGAGACCCTTTCTGAAATACAGTTTTTAAAAACATGCAGATTAACTGTGATTGCAGATGCAAGCTTTTACTGGTGAAAATGGTTTGTTATGATTGTCGCCTGGCATCAGAAAAATAGAAGTTGTGAGAGTTACAGGTGACATCTTCACAGAGAAAACGCAGCAGCTGTTCTGCTTTCAAGAACGGTCCTCTTGGAGTTAGTATATGTACTTTTTGAAAAAAAAATCTAGGTCTTAAGCATGCATGGAGGCCGCCTATTTGACAATCACCTTTCTGCCAAGCTCCAGCCTTTGCTGTCTCTATCAGCAGCAGGTGGCACATGGGGAGGAGGGGGCTTGGCTCTCATCAAGCTGTCTCCATCTGCGCAGCCACAGAGGGCTCTGTCTGCTCTCAGCCCTGCCCTCTTTGGGGGCTTTGGACTTAGAAGACCCCTGGAGGAGTCACAGACTGTACCTCTAGCCAAAAAGGATTATTTCCCCAGCGTCTTTCCACTTAACTCAAATAACACCACTTCTCAAAGATGGCCCTTTCTCTTTCTTCTCCCTTAGCTCAGGGGCTTGGAGGGGAGAATTAATTTGCCCAAGAGACACAGCTAGTGCCAGACAGAGCCAGATTCCAGTTATGATCTGCTTCCTTTTGAACTATATTTGACATTCAGGGCAAACAGTGATCTTTGGAGTGAGTACAGGGGTGGTGGGAGCAAGGGATGCCCTCCATTTGCAGAGAATCACTGCAGGTCTGTTTATTTGAAGAATTCCAGGAAAGTTGCTGAGGGAGGATAAACTGCATCTCTTCTTCTGTACCCACCTGGTTCTGCATTTCTTTCCTGTCTGAAGGACCATCAGAGCCACAGGGCTTGGACTCCTAAAACGAACAGTGAGAGCTTCCGTTCCTAGATTTTTTGAGAAACCACAGCGGAATTCTCCCATAGGTTATAATTTTCAAAACCAAAGAGCAGACCTCTTCTATAACCCCTAACCCCAGCATATACACAGCTCTATTTTCCTTCCAGCTCAGACAGTGTGACCACTTCAGGTCATACTAAGGGAGGGAAGAGCTGGTCTACACTGGTGCTGGGAAGCCTCAATGGTGCTGTTCTCCCTCTAAAAGGGAAGAGGGAGGGTCTGCAGAAATTCAAGCCAGCAGCTGCTTTCTAGTGGGGCAGGACTTATCCAGGTTCTACCAACTTATTAGCGTCAAATGGGGAGGATAATGACAATAGCTGCCATATACTGATCCCTTACTGTAAATTAATACCGAAGCTAAACAGCTTTTCCCAGATTATCTCATTTAATTCTCATGGCAATCCTGTGAAGAAGATACTATTATTATGTCTTACTTTTTAACGGTGGAAAAGCCAAAAAATAAAAACATATCATCAGGGACAAAAAGTATATCAATTGATGTTTCAAAATATTATCTCTGGCTATACATAAGAAGGAAGAACAAATTCTATTCATGGTCAGCATAGTATGCCCCCATCTATCCATCCATCCATCCATCCGTCCGTCCATCTTCCAGGACTCCACAGGCCTCATGTTGCTGTTCTGCAATGCTCACCCCATCCATTGCTGCTGCTGCTAAGTTCTAGCATTTCAAGTCAATGGACATGATTGAGTGATCCAGAGACAAACCTCACATTTGTCCAATGGCCAGGCCAATTTATGGTACAATAGTTCTAGGAGAGGGCCAAGGACAGAGCCACAGTGGCCAGCTGCTCCAGAAATTGCACCTTGTGGCCTGGAGCAGCGGGAATTCACCACAGCTGGGAAAGTCATCCCTCCTGCCCTCCCTCACACAAAAGAGCCTCCTAAGTCCTGGCCTTTGTGTGTGTGATGAACTGATTTAGAAATTATTCTTCTCTTTATCTTCATCTTCCCCTAAATCTCTGTTGGGAATAGAATTGTGGTAGGTTTTAGATAACAGCCTTACAGCCTTAATTTTATTTATCTGACAAGTTTGACTCTGGGGACACCAGCTGTAAGCTTTTGCAAAATAGCATGGAAATTATTAACTTTTCAGCCAAGGGCTCTTATACCCTCATAGCAGAACCGCCAGAGCTGATGGTAGCAATACTCAGGACTTTTGGAAAAAAATTTGTGTGACTCCTGTGCAAGAGGCTGTGAGGGAAAACTATGAGCTTGAAATCAAATTTCCTGGAGGGATTTTCTCAGCTGGCTTTGTAGCCCTATTCACACCCCGAAGCAGCCACAAGCAGTGAGTTAGCTCAGAGACAAACACCTCTTGTGATTGGTGTGGGAAACGTGTTTGCTCCACTATTTATTAGACTTTCTATTCCCTGCTCTGGGGGTGGCAGACCCAGAGCAGAAGAAGCAACTGGAGAGGAGACTAAAAAAAGAAAGTAAAATAAAGAATAAAGTAAAAGAGAGAGGGATAAAAATAGAAATAAGCAAGCAGAGCTGCCTGCTTCCTGGGCAGGTCGAAGTGCCTAGATACAGATTAATGAGCCATTATGACAGGATGCTAAAGGGGCCTGGGCTGAAGATGCTCTGATGTGGACTGGACAGGGCAGGGTTATTTAGCGATGGAGGGAAGCTGGGGCAGGTGCTCGGAGAAGGCAGGAGGGGGTGAAGAGAACAGTCAGGCTGGTGGGACCTGGTATCCAGAGAAATGGGGCCCGGCAAGATGGGGAAAGGAGGAGCAGTGAGTTTGCTGCATCAGAAGGACCTGGTAAGCAGTGATAAGTGTCCCAATAGGTGACAGAAAGGGTAGAGTCCCACAGTAGGTCTTAGAGAAGGCAAATGGATAGGACAGCAGAGGACCAGAGAGAGAATTGACCAGGCTAGCGACACTGAGCAGTTTCCCAGAAGGCAGGCAAGAGAGGCTTAGACACAGGGCACAATGCAACGATGAAGCCAGAATCACTCAAGCTCATTCTTGCTGATAAAATTTTTAAAAATAATGGTAGAATCAGAAGATTTGTCAGAGCCAGAGCAAAAAGGTCAGAGTGAGACCGGCAGCCAAAGTGTAAATGATGGGACAGCATGGCTGCCCTGGAGCTCCTCAACCCAGCTTCCCAGACTGAGGTTGTTGGCCTAGAGTCTGGGACCAGAGCTGAGCTTGCAGCAGGGAGGGAAGATGGTGGGCAGATTATCAACCTGGGTTAAAGGGGCTTCAGGCTTGTTACCTTGCATAATTTGAAGACTTTGAGTACAAAACTGCTACTGCTTAGAGCAGTGGTTCTCAGCCCTCATTATACATTAGAATCACCTGGGAAGACATAAAATATACTGATACCTAGGAAATCCCCTTCTTCTACCCCCACATCAATTAGATGAAAATCTACAATACTGGCATTGAGATAATTCCATGCCAGCAAAGGTTGCAAACCACTGACTTACAGGCAAAAGCTGCACTATCTGTATCCGTAAAAGGTGTGCTATGCAATACGGCAACCACTGCCGATATGTGGCTACTGAGCATTTCAGATGAGGCTAGTTGGAATTGAAATGTGCTGTAAGCCTAAAACACACACTGAATTTTGAAGACCTAGTCTGAATAAATAACCCCAAAATACCTCATTAATAATGAGATACTTGTTAAAATGATATTTTGATATATTGGGTTAAATAAGTTATATTATTCATTTCACCTCCTTGTTTTCACTGCTTCTAATGTGGCTTCTAGAAAATTTACCCTTATATATGTTGTTTGCATTATATTTATTTTGAATAGTGCTGCACCAGAGCTTCTTTCAATTCCGATTCACAAACTGTACAACTGAAATTGCTTTTCCAACATCGCTGCTGCAGATGGTAATGCATTGGGAAGAAAATTTTCTTTACCCAAATTTATCACAGTTTGTCATTATGTATTTATTTGTGTGTTTGTTTTTTGAGTGTCTCACTTCCTCAGTGTTTACCTCTCTACCTCAGCATCTAGCTCAGTGTTGGACATAGTAACAATTCAACAAATATTTGTCAAATGAATGGATTGGGGAATGAGTAAACAATTAGATGAATTAAAATATTTCTTTTTCTGCTGCTGTAATCCCTAGACACACAGGTCAATAGGAAACCTGTCGCCTGCTCATACTAGTGCTGCAAAAAGGGGGCCATTGTGCATAGAAAGGAAGGGCTGTAGCAGAGAGGTGAGGTCCAAAGGCTTTGGAAGCAGATGGACTGGGGCCTAAATCCAGGCTCAGCCAATGCAACTCACTTAGCCTCTTGGCCTCTGTGATCTCTCTTATCTGTGCCATGGAGATAATACTACCTTCAGGGTTGTTGTAAAAGGCTTAGCACAGTGCCTAACACTTTGTGGAAGTGTTGGTGTAAGAGAGAAAAAGAACGGGACTGATCTCTGGGTTGCAATCTGTTTTGCACAGGAGGTTGCACCAGTACTGGGCCTCCTGGGGGAGCAAATTTGCTGCCCTTACCTGAGCTGGGTATACTTAGTTCTTCAGAGTCTGACCCATATTGTGTCCATGGGCAGTTTATCACAATGGAGGAATTTCTGGAGGAATGAAGATTTCTGGGGACGTGTTACCTAAAAAGATGTTTGCTTTGGATAACAGCTAAGGTCTTCGGTTATTCTCAGACTGCATTTGTCTTCTTCCTACATCAGCTGAGAAGATTTTGGATAAGGTCTCAGACTCAGAGCAGAACCTTTGGAGGTGGCAGTGTCTTTTACATCCATATCTTGATTGGCATGAAAGGAATTAATTGCCTTCTCCACCTTGCTTATGTAGCCCATGACATAATCCACATGAAAAGAGAGGGGATGTTAGGAAACATGAGACTTGACTGGTGTGTTCCAAAATGTTCTAGTCTGGACAAACAGTATCATAAGAGTGGACCTACTTATCAGGCTCACATCCAAGAAGGGAGCAAGGAGAGAACTGTCAAGAAAAAGAAAGCAGTTCATTCTGTTCCTTGGGGGCTACTTAAAATTAATATTCAAGCTAAATCTATACAGTTAAAGAAAATGCTATTGGTATGGACACGTTTTAGTAATTTATATGTCTCTTCAAAATGGGTAGAAACATATCTATGTTCCAAGGCTGACACAAGGGTGACCAGCAAAAGACCTCCAGAAAATCTCATTACTAGGTTTAAAATACTCTACAATCACAGGGACATGTATTTGAACATGTATTTGCTAGATTGGTTCTTAAAGTTGTAAAGCCTACAGAATATTTAGTGTTGTCAATGCCCACATTGTCTGCAGTCAACAGAGGTAATAAAATATCAAAATGGGATTAAAAATAATAAGCTGGCCAAGGTTTGTGCAGAAAATGGATTGAAGAGGACAGATGTACTGCCCATGGCTCTGATTAGACAACAAACAAATTCCCAAAACTTAACTCTTATGAAATATTAGCAGATGAGACTCTGGTTTCTTCCTCAGCAGCTAAGGCCAGTAGCACATTCCTAAGCCAGATAACATTGTGTTATATTGCAGGACACTAACAAGGGTGTCAGAAATCATTCACAGGCTCAAGACATTTCATCCACCCACCCGCACAGATAGGACCATAATGTAAGGCTCCCTGCCTGGTCAACTTTCATCAGCAACAATCACTGCTTAAAACTCCTCGGAAAGGTCCTTAACAATAGCTGTTGTCAAAGAATGTACTGTGTGGTGCCAAGGACTTTGTCTTGGATTCATGCCTCCCACTAAAAAAACACATGGAACCCAACACTGAATTACTAATCTTTATTTTTCTCATTGATACAGGCATTGATGACTCACTTCTCACTTGAGTCCAGACCCATCTGGATTGCCTGCAAAAAGGTCTCGGCAGTGACCTGAAAACATATGTAAATTACCCAACCAATTCTAACCAGGACCTGCTGTCTGGCAATTCATCCCCATGTTCTAGACTTGTCCAACAAGCACCCAAGCAACTTTGAGTTCCATCCTGCAACTCTCAGTCAGGCTCAAGAAAAGCCCCAATTTTATCTGGGCATGGTGACACATGACTGTAATCCCAGCTACTCGGGAGGCTGAGGCAGTTGAATCGCTTGAACCCAGGAAGCGAAGGCTGCAGTGAGCCGAGATCATGCCACTGCACTCCAGCCTGGGCAACACAGCGAGACTGTCTCAAAATAAAATTAAAATTAAATTTTTTAAAAAGGCCCCAATGATGACACTTAGCCTCTTTGACTCTATTTGACTCTTTCTAGCTTGACTCTAGTTTGTCAGCCATAAGTGCAGACCTACATTTGCTTTATGCATTAAGATTGGCCACTTCTGAATGGAGACCAGAATCTATATATTTTTAAAGGCAGAATCATTGTGTTGATTCTGTATCAGTCAGGAGAGTTAGACTGTACTGTGGTAACAAACAACCATCAGATCTCAGGTGACTTAAACCGCTAAGGTTGATGTCTTGCTCCCCTATATGCTCATGCAGGGTTAGTAGGAGCTCTGCTTTATATCATCCTCCCTTGTCTACAGTAGTTGAACCATTGCATGTAGAGGCAAACACTCCTAACTCATGTCAAGAGCATGAAGAAAATTCTGGACTCCTGGGGTCAAGCTCCCCATGAAACAGATTCTGCGACAGGTGTTTGTGTGTGGGAAATTTGTTTGCCTGCTCTTGGGAACAACACCTGTAAGGGAGTGAGGGAGCCGGAATGAGCAGAGAGAAGAGTTGAGCTGCAATGCAGAAGCAACAGAGGCCTCAGCCAATTCTACCAGGGTGCTCTGGAGCTGAGATGGGCCTTCTGAATTGTCCCAAATTGAGGCAAGGGTCCTCAGCCTTTTGGGCCAGAAGCTCCCTTCAGTGAGGGGTAGTTCCTAGAAGGCTCAGATGTGAACAGTCAGCAGCCAACATTCATGGCAGCCAAGGAAACGGGGGCTTTGGCCCTAAAAGGAGAGATCTGGGTGATACACCAGCACATCCTCTACAGTCTGTATCTTGCACTGATCAAATCTACTGGCTTTGTATAAGTCCAATCCACCTGGGAACAGCTCTTCTGGAATTCTGGTTGGTTTCTTCACCACTTACGAGAAAAAGACTAGAGAGATGATATATTCCCTGAGTGACTGCAGTTGGCCTCAAGGTCACTCATTTTATACTCTTCTTACTGTTGCCTTTGCTAGTCAAGGTGCCTAACCTGGTAGGATGACCCAAACCATCATCCCCAAGTTTCTGGTCATTTTGCTGTTCTCAAGCCATGGCAGCTACACTCACCAATTTACCACCAAAAGTAGGCAGGAGAGCACCAAGAAAAGCCCCTAACAGATCACCAGAGTGTCAGCCTTATTCCACCCTGCCTTCACTGTGGAACAGCAGCCCTACTCCCCTGACAGTCAGGGTCAATCACCCCAGCTAGCATGGGGGCCTTGCCTTCTCATCTTTTGGCACGAGGAGCCCAAAGTGCCTAGGCAGCAGCCAAGACTTAAATTCTAATGGGACACTTACCATGGCCCCTGGTGCAAGCGTTTCCCTCTGGGAACCAGGACCTCTGGACCCACAGAGCCTGATGTTGCAGCAATGACAAGCATTAATTGCCAAGTGTGACACTAGGAATGCTGGTATGCAGGACCTTTCCCAATCTTACTCCTTGGTTCCTGGGCCCATGTATTCTACCTACTGGGGACACCAACTCAGATAAAAGTCTGTGATTTAGGGTGTTAACCACATCCTAAAGGAAGGGACCCTATCTTCACAGAGTGAAGTGCTTCTTCCATGGTAGGTGCTCCCTAGTGGGCACTAACATGCATTGCAAAGGTCTTGACTCCCTATGCCCGCTCCCATAGGTCCATCTACATGCTTTGTCCCCAGTCCCCAGTCTTACATTCTTTCCCTTTTCAGGCCCCTGGCCAACCAGCCTAGTCATTTTTCATAGCCCTGAGTTATATATTCCTACTTCAGGCCACTTCTCTTCCCACAGAAAGTGAATGACCTTGTGCTCAGTCTAATGAGAGGATTCCTCTTTACCATTGTTTTTTGGGACCACCCTGAATGGGACTACAGTAATACACCAGCACATCCTCTACAGTCCATATCTTGCACTGATCAAATCTACTGGCTTTGTATAAGTCCAATCCACCTGGGAACAGCTCTTCTGGAATTCTGGTTGGTTTCTTCACCACTTACAAGATAGACTAGAGGAATGGTGTCTAGCAGTTCATTTTTGGCTAGCACCCCCAAACCAAGCTTATACTTCCTTGAACCGGTCTCAGTCCTTTTTTTTCCCCCTCCATCAGCTTGGCTGTAAGGCATACTCCACATGGCCACAAGTTTTGTCTAAGGGAGAGACATTGGTACAACAGTGATGGATGCCCTGGGGTCTGGGCCATCTATTAGCATAGCTTACATTCACCCTCTGGCCCTGCTCACACCTAATCCCAGATGTACTGTTCCCAGCTTGCCAACTTTATGGCTTGGTAGGTTAGATGCTACTTAGCTCGTGCTGGGTAGCTTTGGCCACATGTCACTTGTCAGATGCTCTGTCTCTATTAGGGAAGTGGCGTGCCAGGAGCTCTTTTCAAACAGTGTTAAGGTCTCCTCTGCAGATGGCATGGCCTTGCTCCGGGACTCTGGGGTCTACATTATGATTCTCTTGTTGGAGCTTGCCATAAGCTCCACGTGGTGAATTCTTCCACCACAGATAACTAATATCAATAGGGTCTCCTCAATCATTTGGCCCAAGCAGTATGGCATTTCATCTTACACCTGCTGTGACTCAGAGCTGACAGCCTTCCATGTTACCTGGTAAATTGGTCAGAGCAATATCACTAAGTACTGCCTCTAGAACTTGAAGAGGCCTCCCAGGCATGGGGCTTCTTTCTTAATGGTAAGAGGTGAGATGCAGTAACTTGTCGTTTATCTCTGGGGGATGTTGCTGCATGTCCAAAACCTCTGGATCCCTAAATATTTTACTTATATGACTGTGATACATCTTTTTCAGGCATTACATCAGGTGGCACATGATGTTGACATGTGTCATTACTAGAGATGTTAACTCTGACCACTTGGTAGAGACAGTATCTTCAGGTTTCTCTTCTGTGAAGTTTGAGGTTTCCCCCAGTAATTAATAAGTATCAGATGAAGAGGTGCATTGATACTGGTACAAATATGCCCTTTATCATCCTACTTTACCCACTGATTTTCGTATTCATTGGTGATTGTTGCCAATAAAAATTACTACCATGGTATTTGCCAGATGATGATTTTTCCATTTCCACCTTTCCATGTGTATTAATTGAAATCTTCTATAAGGAAGAACTGTTCCTTCTCCCCCATTTCTTTATTTAATCAATTATTTTATTTATATCACTAAACAGAAGTGAATGAATACAATTCATTACCATCATTGCTCAAACGATCCCAGATTTGGCCACTGGGAGCTTTTTCATGGTGCTCCCATCATTTTTTGAGCACTTCTCTAAAAGTAAACACCACTTATTGCAATTGGTTAAGACCACTGTTTCTTTCCATTGCAACTTCTCCATCATAGTCTTGCTGATGCCAGGTAGTGTTGTAGTGTCCATGGACATTTTGGGTATATTGGTTAAGGGGAGGTTGAATTGGCACATATTAATTTACATCCATTGGGATATAATTATGTGTTTGGAAATCACTGTCACTTTCACGTATAAAGGAATTGTTATTGGCTGTCTGGTATAGGTTTTGGTTTGTTGTTGTTGTTATTGTTATTCTGAGATGGAGTCTCATTCTCTTGCCCAGGCTGGAGTGCAGTGGCACAATCTCAGCTCACTGCAACCTCTGACTCCTGGGTTGAAGTGATTCTCCTGTCTCAGCCTCCCTACTAGCTGGGATTACAGGCGTAAGCCACTGCGCCCAGCTAAGTTTTGTATTTTTAGTAGAGATGGGGTTTTACTATGTTGGCCAGGCTGATCTCGAACTCCTGAACTCAGGTGATCTGCCCACTTTGGCCTCCCAAAGTGCTGGGATTATAGGTGTGAGCCAACGTGCTCCGCTGGCTGTCTGGTATAGGAATGGCTTCCAGGAATACTTCTGTTCAAAACGTGTAGGACCCAAATTTCATTTTAACATGAATGTGTCTTATGGCACCCAGGTAATATTTGCAGGTAACATTTGGTCTACCATTATAAATCTGTTCAAGCCCTGACACATAGATACAACAATCTTTGAGAAAACGTAGGCCGGGCGCGGTGGCTCACGCCTGTAATCCCAGCACTTTGGGAGGCCAAGGTGGGTCGATCATGAGGTCAGGAGTTCAAGACCAGCCTGGCCAACATAGTGAAACCCCGTCTGTACTAAAAATACAAAAATTAGCCGGTGTGATTAGCCAGGTGTGGTGGCACGTACCTGTAGTCCCAGCTACTCGAAAGGCTGAAGCAGGAGAATCACTTGAACCCAGGAGGCAGAGGTTGGAGTGAGCTGAAGCCACACCACTGCACTCCAGCCTGGGTGGCAGAGCGAGACTCCATCTCAAAAAATAAAAAATAAAATAAAATAAAAATAAATTTTAAAAATGTATTTTTGAAGATTCAGAAGAGAAATTCAAAGACAAATAAGTAGCAAGGTGTTTACTTACAAGTTTATAAAGCTCAACAAGCCATTTGAATTCAATTTGGAATGACATTTTTGGAACATTTCAAGAAAAGAAATAAGAGTACAGACTCCCAATTTTGGCATTTACGATGGGTATAATCTTTTGTCATCTTTAAGTGTATTTATTCAGAAACTCAGAGAAATTTCAGAGAAAAAGTTAATGGAGCAAAAAAGAAAAGAAATGAGATACATAGAAATTATTCAGACATCAAGGATAGAATTACAATAAAATACTGTTTAATCGCATCAAAAGCAGTAATTCAGTAAAAGGAAGAGATAACTTTCCAATAGAATAATAGTGAATAGACTCCCAGATCATTTAATAGTCCAGTTAATGAAGAGAAGTGAATCATATGAACACACTGGAGAAAGATTTACATTTCCTACTGTCTCAATATGAAACTGGCTCTTCTGAGGATAACACACAACTCCTCATGTATCTCCACAATGAGAACGGGGATGACTAACTGGTCAATGAATCAATGAGTCATTCTCAAGTCAAAGAGTGTTTAAGGAGATAGCTGCAGAAGGCTTGCAGTCATACAGGAAAGATATTCTGTTAAGTTTTCCCCAAATTTACAACAATCCTAAACATTTAAATGGCATGTTTAATAATGAGTTGTGAAGCTAAAAGAAACTTTTGAAAAAATCAATGAGAAAATATTAATAATTTGAACCAAACATGCTAGACGTCAGACTGAATTGTCTTCTCTCTGCAGAACTATTACAAAACTGTTGCCATTTGAAGAAGTGATCTAGAGAGTGTGTGACCCAGAAAAGCAGAAAAATATATTTTAGTCATATGTCAGGCAGTTAATAAAACATTTTTCTGAATTTTGTGATATTCATGGTACTTATCAGCATTTTTAAGATTTAAAATTTGTTGTGATTTCTTTAATCATTCTAAATAAATGGTGACTTTCAAATCTCACTTTGAGCTAGGTGTGGTGACGTGCACCTGTTAGTCCCAGCTACTTGGGAGGCTGAGGCGGGAGGATTGCTTGGGTCCAGGAACTCAAGGTTGCAGTAAGCTATGATCATACCATTGCAGTCCACTCTGGGTGACAGAGCGAGACCTCCACTGTAAAAAAAATTTTGTAAGCCTCACTTTGTATTCATAATTTGATATTCTTTTTCTTTAAAAAGGTCCCCAAATTGTACAACTTTCAGCCCTCATGAAATCAGAATTTGCCTCTTCCTTGAGATCTCAGAAAGCACAAGTTCCCAAAAGCATGCCCCACCCTTTGGAAAGGGCTTCCCCCGACCTGGGGATCAGAGTCATGACTGTGCCTCCAGTGCATGCAGGCACATCACATGCAGGAAGCTGGTAGGGTCATGTCTTTCCCTCTTTCCCACAGGTGAGAGGAAATCCCAGCAAAACAGCTTGCAAATCTCCCACTGTACAGTCAGGACCTCTACCCCTCACTTCCCATTCATTAGACATAAAATGATTGCCGTATTTATGTGTGTGTGTCCAACAGATCTGCAAGAAGTGTGACTCTCTGCTGCCAGTTTGATTCTCCAAATGGAAACTGGTGGTGGTGGCAGCCGGGGGTGAGAGAAGAGGGTGATGACAAGAAATTGTATCAAGCAGAAGGGCTTATTAATATCAATATTTCTCACCATGATAAATGAGTGTCCTGGGGGCTCTGAGGGTCTGACAGTTTTCATTTGCTCCAGATGAAGTCCTCACAGGGCCTCTGCTTTTCCAGCCTGGGATAGATTTGCTGAAATCACAAACCCACAGCAGTCTCAAGACCATGGGTTCCTATAAAATCACATGTAATACACAGGATTAAACAAAAACCACCCCAGTATGGTGTTTCCATCTTTCTAGCTCATCATTCTGTCTTTGGTTAGAGTGAAGCCTCATTTTTCTCATCTTAACTCCTGTCCTGTTTCCTTTCCTAGAGTGCCCTTCTCCCACCTCTACCTTCCCCAACCATAACCTCCTTCAAGAACCGGTTCAGATAAAGCCTACTCAGGTAACACCCCTATAGCCCCAGCTCTCTCCGTGTGTCATGCTTGTCTTTGTCTTTTTAGGCCACTATCATGAAATACCATAGATTTTTCACAGTTTCACATTTATTTTTCACAGTTCTGGAGGCTGGAACATCAAAGATCAAGGCACCAGCAAATTTAGAGTCTGGTGAGACCCACTTTCTCGTTCATAGATGGCACCTTTTTTTGCTGCATTCTCACATGGTGAACTGGGCAAATGGGCTCCCTTGGGCCTCTTTCTAAGGGCACTAATCCCATTCAGGAGCTCTCCAGTCTCATGACCTAATTACCTCCCCAAAAGATCTAACCTCCTAATCCCATCACCTTGGGAGCTAGGATTTTAACATGAATTTTGAGAGAACATGATCATTTAGACCATAACATTGCTCTCTATTCCTCTACAAAAGGGCAACTCTTGCTCTATGCCTCAAACTTAGCTATTTTTGTACCTAATTTATCGCTTCAGGACTGAAAAATTTTTAAGGTCAGGACCCAAGCCTGAGTCACCACTGTGTCCCCACTGGGATCAGCACAGTGTCTGTGCTTGATAAATAAATGTTAAATGATTGGTTCCATTGACCGTGAGCCTTAATTTTTCTAGTGTGTACAAAGCACTCAGCCCAGGGACTGAGACATAGCAGATGCTCAGTAAATGGTAGCAGTTTTTGTTTCTATAACAGCTTTCAATGCAGCTCTAAGATGAGCTAGATCCAGAAGGGAAGGCACTACTGAGTTGCAGTGAGGAGTATTCTGAAGCTGGGCTGCCTCCCTTTAAATCCTGCTCTGCTGCTTACTGGCTATGTTTCCTTGGGCAAGTTATAACCTATTTGCACTATAGTTTCCTCCTCTGTGAATAGGGGCAATAATTCTGAGCTTTTGTGGGGATTAAATGACTTAGCACATACAAAACACATGGAAGAGGATCTGGCAGCCTGTTTAAGTGCTATGTCAGCACTAATTATTACTGTTACTGCTACGATTGTTATCTAGTGGCTCAGGACTGGTGCCATCCATTTCTCAAAATCTCCCAGAATCCAGCCCCTCTTGGATTGGTGCATGCAGGACTGTGGCCTAATTCCAGGCTATGACATTGGGATTTAATAAAAAAAATATATTTTTCCTCTTCCCACCCCTCCCCGTTTTCTGGCACATAGCTCATAAACCCCTTGTGACAAGTGATAAGTGTCATTCTGCATGCGAGTGAGATGACCAAGGGCTGGAGGCTCCTGGACAGCCTTGGGGTGAGGACTGGTTACCAGGGGAACTCACCATGTGGTTAGAGAGTTGGAACTTTCAGTCCCACTACACCCTCCCCCGCCCACCGCCTCAGCAACCAACCTCCAGGGAGGGGAAAGGGGGCAGAAGTTTGAGTTAATAACTAATAGCTAAAGATGTAAACAATAAGCCTCCATAAAACCCCAAAAGGACTGGACTGGTTTCTGAGAGCTTCCAGGTTGTTGAGCACGTGGAGGTTCTGGGAGGGTCCACACCCAGAGAAGGCATGGAAGCTGACCCCTTCCCCATACCTTGCTCTTTGCATCTCTTCCATTTGGCTGTTCCCGAGTTGTATACTTTGTAATAAGTGGGATTTCCACCCAACAACAATTCAGCCACACTGCTTCACACATCTAGAATCCATCCAAAATTGTAAAGGCTTTGTGGCACTACAGTGAAACAGGCAAGAACATCTTCCAAACATGTAAGTAGAGTGTTTCCCTGAGTTCTGTGAGCCATTCTAGCAAACGATTAAACCCAATGAGGCAGCTGCGAGAACCTTCCGTGTAGCCAGGTCAGAGAGAAGTTGCGGGTAACCTGGGGACCTACTACTCGCGATTGATGTCTGAAGTGAGAATTGGTCTTGTGGGACTGGGATCTTAACCTGTGGGGTCTGCACTAACTCTAGCTACTGTCAGAATTGAATTAAATTGTAATTCAATTACAATTAAATCTACAGAGAATTAGAGAATTGCTTGATGTGGGGGAAAACCCCACACATTTTGGTGACCAAAAATGTTGTGAGAGTACAAAAGAGAGCATAAAGCAGTTTTTTGTTTTGTTGTTTTGTTTTGTTTTGTTTTGTTTTCCTATAGACAGACTATGTCTCTTCTCCCGGGCCCCTCAAAAGGTGCTGCCTCCCCTTCTTCTCTCTTTAGCCAGCACAAGAGCACACAGGAGGCCGGCATAATCACGAATTGCAGCTGTCTGAAGGGCAGTCACATAAAAGAGGAGAAGCTTCACCTTTGCTTCACAAGGCACATCTTGAACCAGGGATGGAAATTACAGAGAGGCCAAAACCAGCTCGGTGTGAGCAGGACTGGTAACAGACTGGCCAAGCAACAGAAGGGGCTGCCCTGTGAAGAAGCAAGCTCTCTGTCAATGGGAGGTGCAAGCTGAGCCTGCACTACCTTTTGTCACGGTTGCTATGGAAAAGATTAAGAGCCCGGTATTAACTATCTATTGCTACATAACAGAATACCACACAACTTAAAAGCTTAAACAACACATTTTTATCATGTCACAATGTTTGGGGTCAGGGATTCTGGAGTGGCTTAGCTGGGTGGGGTCTCCGGGTTGGTCTCTCGTGAGGCTCCAGTCTAGATGTTGGCTGGGGATGCAGTCGTCTGTCAGCTTGGCGAGGGCTGGATGATCTGCTTCCGGAATGGCCCACTCACATGGCTGTGGGAAACAGGCCTCAGCCCCTCTCCATGTGGCTTCTCCATAGGGCTGCTTGAGTGTCTGCATGACATGGCAGCTGGCTCCCTGAAGAGCACGTGATCCGAAAGAGAGAGCAAGACAGAAGCGCAGTGTCTTCAACAGCATATCTTTGAAAGTCATATTCCACCGTTTTCACTACATTCTATTGATAAGTGAGTCACTCAGAATAGCCTACATTCAAGAGGAGAGGAATGAGGCTGCATTGAAGGGAGCACACTGCAAAGAATGTGTGGATTTATTTTAAAACCACTATAAGCCCCTTCAGTGCTGAGTTATTGTGATGCCTTATGCATTCCGAAGCCAAACGTGGATGTGATTTTAATTAGCAGCGATGCTAAGCTCTTTTGCTAATGCTACTAAAAAACACAGGAGTCTCTGCATTGTTCCATCCCCAGTAGGTAGCTTAAGATGCTCTATTTAATTCAGTACAATACAGATTTATTAACCACTCTCTCTGTCTGTAGGGCCTGGCTGTTCCCACCTCAAACCACTTCTTAGCTTCATTTGTTCTCATAACAACAGGATAGCCCTTCCTCCTCTGGGGGCCTGGGCATCAGCAAGTCGGATGGCAGTGGAAGGTGGAGAAATGGAATCCTGCTGGGGGCTCAGGAGGCCTGCCCCCTGATGCTGCCGTGCACTGCAGATGTCCTTGATGAAGAGAATGAATGGAAGGTATTGGAAGGGAGCTGAAGTTCAACAAATGACCACCTAATGAAAAAGTCAGCAGTGGATTGCTTGAGATCTTGAGCACCCTGTACTGTTATTAGTATTTATAAACATGTTTGAAAGATGTTCCCTTCCTTCACTGTAGTGCCAGAAAGCCTTTAACATATTGGGTCCGGTCTAGATTTGTAAGGAAGTATGGCTGAATTGTTATCGGGTGGATACAGTTTACATGTTTAAAGGTTAGTTTTGTTTAATAGTCAGATTTCTATAGCCCAGGGGACGAGGTGGTGGCTACAGTGCAGAATGGTCTCAGGGGGACATGTATGTATAATGCAATGGCATCTGTTTATCTTACAGCTGTCTTTCTCAATGGCAAAAGGGCATACTGCTGTTATTGTCAGTGAGGGGTCAGTAGGTAAGAGAGAGAGAAATGGTAACAGAAAGTGCTTCCTTAAGTGAAATTAGGGGAGTGTGTATGTGTGTGTGTGTGTGTGTGTGTGTGTGTGTGTGTGTCTTTGGGGTGGGGGAGTGGTAAATGCATATTTAGTTAGCGAAAGTGCCAGGCTTACAGTATCTCTAAAATTAATGCTCATAGCGGCCATATAAATAAGTATTATTATTCTTTTCAGTTTAAATGATGAAACTCTGGGGATCAGCGTAAAGTAAACCAACATACTGCATGTAAGTATCAAGTAAATGAGCAGAGACAGCCCCTGGTTTACAAACACCTGACTTAAGCATCGTCCATCCTACAGGTAAATTCCTCATTCTTACTGCTGTGAGAACAATTGTTAGGAGCCAAAAACTTCAGAGCTTTCAAAGAACTGTAATGAGATAGCACAATGCAGGCAAAAAGCCAGTGTTAACGGAGCAAGAAACTTCCCAGTTCTGACATTCACAGCATGACCTAGAGCATGCGGATTCCCCTCTCTGAGTCACTGGTTTCTCACCTGCAAAAGAAAGCGGGGTGCGTGTATTTATGGGAGTAGGGTGGGTTTTGGCTAAGCACAGGAGTCATCTGGGTGGCTTCATACACAGATAAAGGGCTCATCCCACCAGGTCGGGCTTTTGAACCCGAAATGTTTGGCGTGACGGTGGGGGCACCTATTCTGAGAAACTACCTCTCCAGGGGTTGCAGTCACACAGCCCTTGCCAATCAGTGTCTGGGAACCAGGGACCTGATCATCTCTAAGGTGCCTCCAAGATCCAGCACTTAATTCCATTTTAGGACAGGGAAGGAGGAAGAAGCTTCGAGAGGCTGGAACAGTTGAGGGAGCGCTGACACGGTAAAGGCCACTTTGCTCATCATCACCAGGCGTGCTGCCGAAAATTTCCACTCTGTTTACTCCCAAGACCTTACTCCTACTATGTGGAGACACATTTGAATAAAAAATTGGCCTCTTTTCAAAGTCAAAATTCTGAGCCAGCTTGAAGGGATTGTTTTTGGTCAAACCTGCATCAATTTGGGCATCAAAATAAATAATGCTACCAATTTATTGCACCCTATTGAATAGAATAGCAAGTCATGAGTCTATGTTCATATAAATAAGTAAAACTGAGGAGAAGGGAAAGCTCTCTTTTATAGTAGAAATCCATCTAATAGGTGTAGAAGAAAATGATAAAGTTAGAAAATCACCATTTGGCCACCATTGTAGTAATCATGGATTCAGCTAAAAATCATCAATGGATGCTGGAACAAATGAGTGAAAGTTTAATGAGGGTCAGAATATTTATATGGCCTCACAGTGTATCCTTATACAATTCTTAATAATTACTGACAAAATTCTTACTAACTTTATGAGAAACCTGGCAGAAACCATCTTCACCTGGTAACAGAAGCTAACAGCACTGCTTGGGTCAAGTGGGCACTGTGTGCCACCTGATAGGATGGACCGAGGACACGGCACTGCTTCCGTGGCATTCCTGCCAAACACATGTGAAGTGCCCAGTCTCAGGACCAAGACAGGAGACGTAACAAATGAATGCAGTGTGTGGTTGTGTATTGCATCCCAAACCAGAAAGGAAAGGGGGTAAAGGAAAGATGGCATTGTTGTTGTTATTTCTTTCTTTCTTTATTTTCTTTTGAGAGAGACGGAGTCTTGCTCTGTCACCCAGGCTGGAGTGCAGTGGTGCGAACTTGGCTCACTGCCACCTCCACCTCCCAGGTTCAAGTGATTCTCCTGCCTCAGCTTCCCAAGTAGCTGGGACTACAGGCATGCACCACCACGCCCGGCTAATTTTTGTATTTCTAGTAGAGACAGGGGTTTTACCATGTTGGCTAGGCTGGTCTCAAACTCCTGACCTCAGGTGATCCACCTGCCTCGGCCTCCCAAAGTGCTGGGATTACAGGTGTGAACCACCGAGCCCAGTCTTCTTGTTGTTGTATTTCTATAAAAAATATTGGGATAATCAGCAAAAGTTGAGTGGAGGCTGTAGATTAGAGAAGTGTGTTGTGTAAACATTAAGGTACTGATTTTGGCCAAGCGTATTGAGGCTATGCAAGAGAGTGCTCTTGTTCTTAGTAGCTTGTCTCAGTCCATTTTCAGTTGCTATCACTGAATGCCAGAGACTGGGTAATTCACAAAGAAAAGAAATGTATTTCTCATAGTCCTGGAGGTTGGGAATTCCAAGGTGTAGGGGCCACATGTGGTGAGGGCCTTCTTGCTGGTGGTGACTGTCTGCAGAGTCCGGAAGTGTGCAGGGCATCACATGGCATGGAGGCAAGTGCATGCAAGTGTCAGCACAAGTGTGTCTTCCTCTCTTTATAAAGCTACCAGTCCCATCACGGGGGCCCTGCCCTGATGACTTTATCTAATCCTAATTACCTAGACTCCACGTCCAATCAACATAGGAATTTTAATTGGATTTCCTAACCTCTTAATACCATCACAATGACAACTAAATTTCAACACATGAATTGGGGGGCGGGAGGCACATTCAAACCATAGCAGAGATGCACACAGAAGTATTTGGGGATATGCTTGCAACTTAGTTCTGAGTGGTTCCGAAAAATAAATATGCGTGTATACATATGAGTGTGTATGTGTGAAGAGACAGAATAACACTGATATGTTTTAAAACAGAGTATCTAGAAAATCTCTTTTGTAACTTTTCCATAAGTGTGAAATTATTCTTTTTTTAAGGTTAGAAAAAAAATTTAAAATCAAATACCCTTAGGTGGGGTTTTGGGTCATCGATCATTTATATCTTACTGCGAATTAGTCTGATCAGATTCCTTCCATTTTAATGAGATCTTGAAACACTTTCGGGGTTAGAATAGTCAGGCAAAATAGCGGTGCTACCATGGAAAACCTAAAAATCATAAAAATACCCAGAAGTGAAGGACAAGGACCCAAGGAAGAAGGTAGAAGAGAAATTCAGAAAATGAGGCAAGAGTGAGTGAGTAGTAGTCCTCAAATTTGCCTGGAGCTGAGAAGACATCAGCCTGACTTCCCTTTCTCGGTCATGCTCTTTTCAAACTGGGCTGCAAATGAGAATCAGCCGGGGTGCCTAAACCCACCCTGCACGGTGAAATCAGAAACCTGGTGGGGAGACTGAGTGTCGGTGTGTTTTGGAAACACCCAGGTGACTCCAACGTGCAGCCACAATGGCGCGCCTCTGAGCTGTCCCATGGAGTCAAAGGGCACTTGCTGAACCAACTAGGACGGCTTCCCACTGGGCCTCGCTACTGCCAAATGCCTGTGGTTAGTTTATTAAGATAATGTAATACATTAAATGCCTGTCCCCCTCTGACTCAGTCTTCACAGGATCACCAGGCTGTTCTTTCTAAAGCATGGGTCTAATCATGCCAGTCTCCTATTCAGAAACCTTTCCTGGATTTCTCATGTCCTGGTCCTGACATATGAGGCTTCCCACACTGTTCTCCTCTTTAAACTTCCACAGTTTTATTTTCAGTGTTCTCAGTGCCACTATATTGTCCTCAGCTCCCCAGCCCCGACATACGCTTTCTCCTGCCTCTGTACCAACATCCACCTTGCCCTATCACCTGGCCAGTTGCTCCTTCTTGCTTCTAATCTTAGACCCTCGAAATCCTCTCATTTTTTCATGTCAAATGCCACTTCCTTCATGAAGTTCCCCTGGATTATTCCAGTTGGATTTAACGTCCTTTCCAGCGCTTTTTGTACCTCTACGATAGTACACAATTATAATCTGCTTCATTTTATTGCTATTTGTTTATAAGGCTGCTTCATCCAGTAAATCATAAAATTACCCAAGGGTGAGGATGGAGCCTAGAATGATGGAAAGGGCTAGAGCTTTGGAAGGTGGTTGTGGTGGGTTTAAAAATGTCTTCACAAATTCTTTGATATGCCTTCCTTCAAGACGTAGAGCTTAATTCTCTCCTATGCCCATTTGAGTGTGCACTGGACTTAGTGACTCACTTTTGTTTGTTCGTTTGTTTTTGAGACAGAATCTTTCTCTTTTGCCCAGACTGGAGTGCAGTGGTGTGATCTCGGCTCACTGCAACCTCCGCCTCCTGGGTTTAAGCGATTCTCCTGCCTCAGCCTCCCGAGTAGCTGGGATTACAGGCACCCACCACCATGCCCGGCTAATTTTTGCACTTTTAGTAGAGACGGGGTTTCCCCATGTTGGCCAGGCTGGTCTCAAACTCCTGACCTCAGGTGATCCACCTGCCTCGGCCTTCCAAAGTGCTAGGATTATAGGCATGAGCTACCAAGTGCCCGGCCTTAGTGATTCATTTCTAACAAATAGAATAAGGCAGAAGTGACAGTGTGACTTTTAGACTAGCTCATAAAAAGGATGGCAACTTCCTCCTTGCCTTCTCTTCCTTGATGAGTGGATGTAGGCGATTCCAGCTGCCACGTCATGAGGACACCCAGGCTGCCCATGAAGAGGCCCTGTGGTCTCTGGCCAACAGGCAGAAGTGAGCCGTCCTGCCGTGAAGCTTTCAGCCTCAGTCAAGCCTTTACTCCTGTAAGGCTGGGACTCTGTGAATGAGGCACCAGGCCATTTTTTGGGGGAAGACCTTATAAGTATTGGCCCCATTAAGTTCCATTAAATGAGATTATTCACAAATGTGACATTGCAGGAAAGGCCTTGCTTGTATATTTGATTTTCCTAATTATATTCTGATTTTTTTAAAAGACAGATTTTTACTGAACATATACAAACAAGCATATTGATGTGAAAAGTGAGGACACTTAAGAATTTCTGATTTCAGAGGAATCGGGGAGAATCAGATATCATTTTAAAATGTTACATTTCAGTATAAAAGAGCAGAGTCAGGTCAGGTGCTGTGGCTCACGCTTGTAATCCCAGCACTTTGGGAGGCCGAGGCGGGTGGATTGCTTGAGGTCAGGAGTTCGAGACCAGCCTGACCAACAGAGTGAAACCCCGTCTCTACTAAAAATACAAAAATTAGCCGAGCATGGTGGCAGGTGCCTGTAGTCCCAGCTGCTCGGGAGGCTGAGGCAGAATTGCTTGAACCCGGGAGGCAGAGGTTGCAGTGAGCCAAGAGCCCACCACTGCACCCCAGATGGGCAACAAAGTGAGACTACGTCTCAAAAAACAAAGCAAAACAAAAACAAAAAGAAAGAGCAGAGTCTACTAAATCATTACGGATTACAGAGAGTTTAAGAAGAAAAAGAAAGTGCTTGTTTGCTTTTAAATATGGAAAAGAGAACATTTAAACATCAATAGTATTCTCTACCAATAAATGCAATAAGATTTTCCTCATCAGTTTATTCAGTCCGATATAAGTATTTCTGTTCCACCGGATCTTGAGTTAGCAATCTCATGAGCCCGTATGCTCTTGAAATGAAAATAGTTCTGTAAATCCTGACCCAGCCCACTGGTATGGTCTGAGAGTGTCTCAGAATGCATCAGAAGCCTGAACCCAAGCTCTGTTCTTTGAGGTGTCAATAGTTTGAAGTATACGGTACAGTCCTTTTCTGTGGGGCTTTGAGGTGGTTCTTTGTCGGAGACACAAACCCAGACCTGTAGCTGATAGCAGAATCTTCAGGCAAGCATCAGAGTAAATAGTAAAAACAACAAACAGAAACAAAAACAACAACAACAAAAAACAAATGTATCTTAAATGATAGAGAAAATGGAAAATGTCTGTGGTTAATTTATTAAAATAATTTTCCAACGTAAAGGTCTAATGAGAGTTAATAATAAGAATAATGTAACCCACAGAGACATTTGAGTGCTTCTGTGGCACACCTAACAAGATGATAAAGCCATTCTGAGATAAACTTTCAGACAATATGTCTCTAAGAAGAATGATTAGGCCTATTTTCAGAGGAGTCAGTGAATGTTACATCTGATTTGTAAAATAGGAGAACATAATTTTAGAGAGGAAAAGCCTTGAGATATAATAACCGAGACATAATATAATAATATACTAAGATTACAGCAAACATATACTAAGAAAATATCAAGAATAAAAAGAGATTCAGTAAATCTGGCATCGGTCCTAGACATCTGTATTTTTATATAACTCCGTAAGTAAGTTTGAGGTGCATCCCCAATTGAAAATCAGGCCGGGTGCAGTGGCTCACGCTTGTAATCCCAGCACTTTGGGAGGCTGAGGTGGGCAGATCACTTGAGGTCAGGAGTTTGAGACCAGCCTGGCCAACATGGTGAAACCCTGTCTCTATTAAAAATACAAAAATTAGCCGGCCGTGGTGGCACCAGGCTGTAATCCCAGCTACTAGGGAGGCTGAGTTAGGAGAATCGCTTGAACCTGGGAGGCGGAGCTTGCAGTGAGCCAAGATCACCCCACTGCACTCCAGCCTGGGCGACAGAGTGAGACTGTCTCAAAAAAAAAGAAAAAAAGAAAATCAGTGGCATAGAATATATTAAAGTCAAATTAAAGAATTAAGTCTGTGATGAAGTTCATATTTTAAATAATAATGGAAATTATGACTAATAACATACAGTTGTTGTCTAGTATCATCAGGCAAAGCAACACAAAGATTCTGGTGAATATGGAAAAAATCCACAGAGTTTAGGTCAACGTTCCCTCAGAAGTTAAAACATAGAATGCGAGGTCACTGACAAATCTCCAGGGACTTTCCAAAATCATATAATTTCTGAAATCATTACATTAATAAAATATTTTAAATACCCAAATTTAACTGAATGTCTCTTCTGATTTGACAACTTTTCCCATGAAACTTTATAATAGTAACATATCAAAAACGCTAATTATCTCTAGTACCTCTCTTCTTATAAAGTGAAAAAACAAATCTTTGCAATTTTCCAGGGACCCTCTGGGAATCTCAAAATGGATTTTGATGTAAAAGATATCTTGAAATATTCTTTTTTTACTTATATGTTTCTATATTTGGATTTGATTTTGAGAAGGCAAAAATCAAAAAGTTGTCAGAGGAGATTTGGACATTTGATTAACATATGATTGTGGGTGCCTGAAAATGATATTTAGTTATCTATTTAATCAAAATAGCATTTTTTTAAATGTAGATAGTAACATGATTGTAAAGAATATGTAAGTTCTTTTATAACTTGATACTTTTTTCTTGAATAATCAAGGATGTAACAAAGCTAACATAAAGAAGCTTTGCTATTAGGCAGATTACACAGAAAGTGAGGAATAACATTTCATTTTGTTGGCAAAGGAATTAATGAGTAAATCAAGGAAGCACTTCCACTAAAGTAGACCAGACTTCACTACAACGTCAACACATTTCATAGCTTCTTTTAAGAATCAGGTATTACAAACCAAGGCAAGTAAAATTCACCTGCCAAGTGTCCTTCACTATGCTCCTTCCTATTCTGGGACAATCTGACACTTTAGGAGAGATTCCAGGGTTCCATGAGGTCAAAACTAACTTCATAATAATTATATGAAGGTGTTATATCTGTTAACATGCAGTGTGTTCCACCCTATCTTCAAATGAGTTGAAGTATTTTAAAGTTTCCTCAGTTTTAATTTCTAATTCAGTAAGTATTGGTAGTTATCACCCTCAATGAGCTTTGGGCTTCTGTTTAAAATAATTTTAACAGTGTAAAGGGGTCCTGAGACCAAAAGTTTGAAAGCTACTGCTCTAAATCAACTGCCTTTTCATGGTTCTGTGTTCTCAATAGGTAAATCCAGAAACCAAGGGAGACGATTAGGAGTTGCCCCACTTCCCATCAGTACTACTGACACACTTGTGAAATTTGTGTTTCCCATTTCTATAACTCCCAACTTTATGGGTTTAGAGGTTCTGGTTTTCAGACCAAAAAAAAATGCTTCCACCAGGAAACCCAGGAGGGCTCCCATTAAATGTTAGCTATGGCTGTCAGTGGTCACGTTTGACTCCTTGTGCCAACAGTAAGCAAGGAGAGGAGCCAGCCTCCCGGCTCTATTATAAGGAGGAGATAGAGCTGCCGTTACCCAATGGGAGCAATTTTGGTAATGAATGGAAGTGCAGCAGTCGTGGCTATGAAGCTCAGGCCCCTCAGAGATCAAAGTCTGGTCACTACATCAGGCCAGCCACATGGACCAACAAAGTTACCACCCGTGGACAAGGGGATCTGGAATGGTACTTGAGGAGGAGCTGATGAATGTCATTTGCAACCTCTATATGAGCTGCATGTGGTGAGGCTGTAGTTCCTCCATTTCCTTTTTCTTGTAAGTTTCTCCAAGAGAAATGACCAACCGAGATCCTGGAGGAAATGTTCTCAGAACTTAATCTACAAAGCAAATGGATCCAAGTGGCACAAAGTAGAGGCTGCCATGGAGCCCCTCCAGTGCCCTCTTTAGGGATGAGGCACTAAATCTCCGAATTGTTGATGGCCTCTCTAAGACATGGGGACTCTGGCTGAATCCTTCTTCAAGAATTACCCTCAACCCAAGATAGCAGTTCTTGATCCACCCCAGGATCATGACCTCTTCCTGGAAGCAACCTGGTAAGGAGGGTTATGAATGCCCAGCCCCGCTGCCTCAAGGCAGGACAAATGTAAAAGCCCATTCCGGCTTCGGTGATCCCCTATGACAGAATGAGAACTTTGTTGTGGCTAGAACACAGTTCAAATTCTCCCTCGGCCCAGTGCTATGTCTTTACTTCCTTGCAGGAATTGAACCTGAGAACACCACCCAGTAAACTTCCCCACACAAGTTTTTTATCTCGAATTGTTTTTCCTGAGGACTTGATTTAAAGTAAGTCTTATTCCCTATCCTGTTCCATTTAAGTTCTACACATGTTTCAAAATTATACATTTGACTTAAAATTTACATAGATCAATATGTCCTAAAATTAGGATCTGGGGAAGCATAAGGAAAAATTTAAAAATTGTCTGTGTTAAGGTAAATTTGGGAAATGCTTGGTTAATTAAAAGCAAATTTCTTTACAATGGAACTTCTCAGGTCTTTAAATATACTAATTGGAGAGTAAATCTCCAAGAAGAGTCCCCTATAGTAAACAAATTCTTTCCAAAGTTTTCTGACAATGGATTGAAAATTTTTCTTTCATTCACTTATTTTTGTTGTGTACCTATTAACATCTCCTAGAAGCATTTCCTAGAGGGCACAGTTTGGGAAATACTAGTCCACATTTATAGAACTTAATTATCAAATTGTTTGGCATCTTTAAAAATTAAAATGGTTTTGGAGGATGCCCTTTATACATGTAAGTCACTTATAAAAGCTGTTCAAGGAAATTAGAGCTGATGCCTACATTCACTCTCAACAAATTAATCAGTAACAGACAGAGATATTGAAAAATCAATCCACTAAATTCTCTGAACTGCCTCAAAATTGGAGTCATTATTTTGAAAAGCTAGCCCCACCAGGACTTTAACTGTAAGAGAATATAAAGATGTCCCCTGAGAATAATTATACTGAGCCAGTTGAGGGGCTTCATTCATTAATTCATGAAGACTCCATGTATCCTTGGCCCCCAGGTGCCCTTTAGTAAAAGAAACTCCAACAGGCTTCTTCCTACATCAGTTGCTGTGGCTCTTGCCAAGTGAATTGAGTGGCACCATCCTGATGACCTCACCCCAAATGATGAGCCCATGAATTGACTAAATATAAGAAAGGCTAAACACCATGCCCTAGCAGGTTGGCATGAATCTCTTCCCAGTTGAGGCACTTCATTTGGATGGTGGCCACCTCATTCACTCAAATTCTCTATTTTAGGAAGTATAAATGCCAGAGCAGATCTCTCAAGCTGAGGTTGTAACCCAAACAACCTTGAGCGTTCGTTTTAGGGTTTTGTTCTGGTTTCCTATTAAATTTGTTGTACTTCTTTGTCTTAGCAGCACTTGGATCCAGATTAAGCAGGCAGTTAGGGAAATGGCTTTTCTTGTTACCCCACCAGTCCTGTGCATCTTTGTATAAATTCCTTATACCAAAGGATAAGGATATGCTTTGCAAGCATAAAAGAGTGATTTCTATTAACAGTGAAGTTGCAAGAGGCTCTCAGGGGAAGTAAGAACTAGATTAACATCCTTGCTCACCACTGGGTAGAGCAAGGCGAGAATATCTACATCTTAGTGTGAAAAGATAGTAGGTTTACAGCAGAGGAGCAGTTCATTAAGCTCTATATTTTGGTCTCAGGATCCAGGTGAGTTGCCCACCAAGGATGAGGCTTTGAGGCAGTGACAGAGGCCATTTCACAGGTTTTGGAGAAGTGTCCAGGTAAGGGTAAGTAGGCTGCTTCTCATGGCTCAATGTGAAGTCTGTTGGGCAAGGAATTGACTCTGGTCCGAGATCACACTGCTCCAGCTGGATAAGGAAACTTTGACTCCTTTCAGGATGCACTATTTCCTGGTGATTTTTCTTCTTGCAGAGAGTTGCAGAACAAGATCAGAAACTGATTAACTTCAGAACTTCAGTGGAAGCTGAGTTCCTTGATGCAACAAATGTCTACAGCCAATGTTACAGCCCTAATTGTCATAAACAAAGATTGTAAAAACTAGAGTGATATCTGGGAAGGCTTAGATGAGCCCATGATTAGAAGATCCACAACATAGCTGGAGTTACTTCGGATAACTCTGCACCATCACTCTCATTTCCATTGGATGCAAGTATAGATTCATCCAAGGTACTACTTACTATGGAGTAAGTATAGATTCATCCAGGGTACTACGTAAACGGCAGGCCAGGGAAGAGAAAAACTTATTCGGAATTCACTGCAGGACTATTGACAGAGATAGATTACCGGATTTGTTGGTGGGGGATGGTGGTGGGGGCATGGAGAGAGGATATGTAGAGCTGGTCGTTAAGATCACGTGATTGAGTAGAGTGACAGCATGGTAGGATGGAGCTGCTTTTAAAGCTGTAATGCCAATGGCTAAGGTGGGCTTTAATGTGTGCTTGTCTGGCTGATGACAACAAGGACCCAGCTCTGTCCCATACTGCACAGGATGAAGGAGCCAGGCTGCTGTTGGCTTAACGTAGGGTAACTTCTCAAATTGGAGTTCCTGGTCATTAAAGGCAATAGTTTAGATAACTCTTAAAAATTCTGGAGGACTCCCAAAAAGTTTTTGTTTATGTGGGTGGTATCTAGAAAAAATTAAAATATTTATTAATTCATTTAGTAAATGATAATAGTCCTTGGGGAAAGGGCCCTCAGCAGATATCAAATAATAATATTATGTATTTAATAAATTAATTTGATATCTTCTGCAGCTATCAAATAATAATAATATTATGGCGAGGATTTATCTGAAGTAACTCCAGCTATGTTGGGGATCTTCTAATCATAGGCTCATCCAGCCCTTCCCAGATATCACTCTAGTTTGCACAATCTTTGTTTATGCCAATTAGGGCCATGACATTGACTGTAGACATTTGGTGTGTCTAGGAATTCAGCTTCCACTTAAGCTGTATCTATTGATATTCTCATATTAGCAATTAAAACTAAGGGAAACTAAAATATTTATTAATTAAATTAATTAACATTTAGTAATTTATTTAATTTATTAATTGATTTATTAAATACATAATATTATTTGATATCTGTTGAGGTTATCAAATAATGGATGAATTTAGTCATAATAAAAGCCCATTATATTTTATAATAAATAACATATTTTACCAAAAAAACCCTGAATTTTTACTAAATCAAAAACTTCATAAGAATGACAGTGTTTTATATTTTTACAAATCTCATTAATGTGTGGCTTGAATCAAAGACACCTGGATTCTTATATCTGCCTCTGCATTCAATCTGTGAAATATGTTGGTTAGTTGAAATATACAAGGAAAATCTGGCCTCACGTAGATATGTAGTAGGTTAAAAATAAGAGTATTTTAAAAGCCTTTTCAGGTAATTGTGGATATTTCTTAACACTTCTTCAAAATTTGACAAATGATAGTTTCTTTAAAGTTAATTACAACAGAGTCTGAAACCATGCCAATAAACTTCTCATACTCTGTTACATTAAAATCCATTTGTCTCTCCTGAACTTTGAATAGATCTTTTACTATGCATGGTTTTGTAACAATATGCATTGGTCAACAGGAAAATATTGGTTTACTGCGTTACATAAATCTTCCAAATAGTGACACATTTCATTACAGTATATAAAAAAGATAAATTCATTAATATCCCTAACATCTTATCAGAAAAGTTTTTAAATATTTAGAAACTATTAAACTTATGGATATAGGTTTTCTAATTTTTACTTGAAAACCTGCATTTTATCATTTGCTAAAAATATTGCGAGTTGTTTTCCCTAAACTATTGGGCTCACTAACGCATCTCTGGGAAAACTGTGCGCCAAACCCCTAAGTCTGAGCAACCATCGTGTGTGCTAATCGTTCTTAAGAGTAAATATGGTATTCAATGGAAAAAAGCAGCTGGTTTAGCTCTGTAACTCAATCTCATAAGTGATTGTCCTCAAGACAATATCTTACTTTAGTATGCAGCAGAAGTGCTTTGCATGTAATTCCCATTTTGTCGCTTAGAATATTATAAAGTTGTGTATTTTTTTTCTGCTTCATCATGGACATTAAATAAAATTGGCTTTTTTTTTTTTTTTTTTTTTTTTTTTTTTAAGATTGAGTCTTGACCTGTCGCCCAGGCTGGAGTGCAGTGGGGCGATCTCGGCTCACTGCAACCTCCGCCTTCCAGGTTCAAGCGATTCTCTTGCCTCAGCCTCCCTAGTAGCTGGGATTACAGGCAGGTGCCACTAAGCCCGGCTAATTTTTGTATTTTTAATAGAGGCGGGGTTTCACCATGTTGGTCAGGCTGCTCTCCAACTCCTGACCTCGTGATCCTTCCGCCTCAGCCTCCCAAAGTGCTGAGATGGCTTTTTTTTTTCTTTGCAGAAAATGCATGATGACGAAGAACATAATGCCTTCTGTAACAGTTTGGTGCTGTGTTCAGATTCCAGCAGTTTCACCCATTGCTATGGTCTGAACATTGGTGTCCCCCCAAAATTCATATGTTGAAACCTAATATTCCATGTGATAGTATTAAGAGTTGGGTACTTCAGGAAATCAGTAAGCCATAAGAACTGCCCACTTCATGAATAGAATTCATATTCACCACCCTTATAAAAGAGGTTGAAGAGAGCTGCTTTGCCCCTTCTGCCATGGGAGGGCACAGCTCAAAGTTTCCGTCCTTGGGGAATGGGCTCTCAGCAGACATGGACTCTGCCAGAGCCTTCATCTTGTACTTCAGATTAACTGCAAAGCAACTGTGAGCCATACATTTTTGTTGTTTATAAATTACTTGATCTAAGGTATTTTGTTATAGCAACCTGAAAAAACTAAAACACCCACTATTGCTTTTGCACCTTCAGTGCAAATGTCAACAGGATGAAAAAGGCAAATAACATCTTGGTTTTATTGCAAACCACGTAGACCCCAGTAGCAGGACTCAGGAACCCCAAGGGATCCACAGACCACACTTTGAGAACCACTTATCTAAGGATACTTTGAGGTTTCCTGAGAATTTATAAATTTTGTGTAATCATCTTTATGATAAACTAAAATACGTGTGTACAAACACACTGCAGGTCACCTCCCAGTTTGAACAGTGCCACATGCCTAAAGGCCCACGTGACATGGTGTCTGGCTCTGTGGGTATCACATTTGGAAGCAGTGCAAATAGGAAAGTGCATGGAAGTACAAGGAGACTGAACTGATAAAAAACTGGGCTGTGGCCAAGACCACATTCATGGAAGAGGAGGAGCTTATTTCATGGCTCCCAACTTATTAGCAGTAGGGATATTTAAAAATATTCAATTAAAAATTTTTCCATTTCTAAGTCCAGATATCTAATGGAATTAAATGCCCATTTTATATGCCCATTTTAGATATTTAGATAATTTAGATAATTAGATGCCCAATTTAGATAATGTTGTAACATAGTCCTTACCTGCAGATAGCCACACAGCTGATGGAGTTAGAAAGAAGTACCTCATTAAAACTGGTAGTCGAGATCAGAACTATGAATTCTGATTATCCCAAACTGAGAAACAAAGTCTTTTAACAATATAATTTTAGGCTAGATGCGGTGGTTCACGCCTGTAATCCCAGCATTTTGGGGAGGCCAAAGTGGGAGGATGGCTTGAGCCCAGGAGTTCCAGAACAGGGCTATAGTGAGAGCCCATCTCTACAAAAAAATTTTAAAAATTAGCTGAGTGTGGTGGCATGTGCCTGTAGTCCCAGCTACTCCAAAGGCTGAGGCAGGAGGATCACTTGAGCTCAGGAGTTCAAGGCTGCAGTGGACCATGATTTTGTATGTATATATATATATATGATTTTATATACAGCATTCTCTGTGTTAAGTGTTACTAAATTTAAAATGCGGAAATACAACCAGTAAAAAACCAACATTAAGAACTTTCTACTGTTTCAACACTGGCAATTTGCTTTCCACAAGACATTGCCACATTAAATTAATGTTGCTGCTTTTATTTTGATCAGTGTTGTAGTTTGTTTGTATTTAATCTAGAAAGTTTATTTGAACTTTATAACTGAACAAAAACCACAGCCATATACTTTTTACTTGTACTGTGATATTATAATAAAAATAATTTAAGTCTACACTGGTAATCTGTGAGAATTATTGGCCCTCTAGAATGAGTGCACATAGGACGCTGATGATGTAGAGAAAGAGAAGGTTGCTAATGGCAAGAATGAGAACGGCATGGTGGTTGGTAGGCATTTTGCGGGCCAGAATGCTCCCTGACAGTGTCCCAAGGGTTTTTCTGTTTCACTGATAGCAAATATTAGACAGATGGGAAGGGCCCCTGCAGATTCAAAGGTACAGCTCACAGTCAGCAATGCTCTTGGGAGGAGTTGGAGACAGGCAAGCAAAGGCAGCCACTGTTACCAGGAGAAGCCAAGTGGGGTGGTATTCCAGGGGCTTGAGAGCAGCGACCAATGTGTGGTGTTGTCCCTCTTATAGGTGGATGACTCAGATCCAGCAGGCCGATCCTTCACCAAGAGCCAGGGCAAGAATTCAAGCAGAACCTGCATATCATATGACTATATTTAACAGTTCTAAATCACAAAGAGTTGAACAACATGCTTTCTATTCTCCTTCCTTGACAAATATATCTTCATAATGATTAGATAGAAAAATACGAGTAAAGTTCAAAGTTTCTAATTGACTGAAAGCTGGCAAAACGTCAACGATGACTGAACATAATTATTATCGCATATACTGGGAATTCTGTTGATGGGCCTGTGGTGTTTGGATGAATAATCAATGAAGATATTAATAATTCATAAATTATATGCTTTTTAAATAACATTTACTTTTTCCTTTATCCTGGCAAAATCAGTAACTATGTCATTGTACTCAAGATTTTCATGTAATTTGTGTTCTAGGGAAAGTAATGATCTAAAGCTGCATTTGTAATATGATATACCATGTAACATATGATATGATATATAAATATGATATGATATAGGATACAATATAATAGCCATAAAATAAATGTGGCTGTTTTAATTTAAATTATAGAAAATTTAAAATTCAGTTCCCCAGTTGTACCAGTCACCTTTCAGACACTCAGTAGTCACAAGTGGCTAGTGGTTACCATATTGGATAGTGTGGATATAGAGCATTTTCATCATTGCTTAAAGTTCTACAGTCATGCACCAAATAATGATGCTTCAGCCAATGGCAGACCACATATACAATGGTGGTCCCATCGGATTCTAATAGAGCTGAAAAATTCCTATTACCTAGTGATAGTGTAGCCATGGTAACATCATAGTGTAATGCATTACTTACATGTATGTGGTTATGCTGGGGTAAACAAATTGACTGCTCTGCCAGTTGTATAATAAAAGTATAGCACATCCAGTTATGTATAGTACATAATACTTGATAATAAATGACTATGGTACTGGTTTATGTATCTACTATACTTTTTGCTGTTATTTTAGTGTACTCTTTCTACTTATGAAAAAAAAGCTAGCTGGAAAACATCCTCAGACAGGTCCTCCAGGAAGGATTCGAGAAGAAGGCATTGTTATCAGAGGAAATGAAGCTCCACGCTTGTTATTGCCCCTGAAGACCTTCCAGTGGGACAGGAGGGGAGGCGGAAGACAGTGATCCTGATGATTCTGACCCCGTGTAGGCCTAGGCTAATGTGTGTATTTGTGTCTTCGTTTTTAACAAAAAAGTTTAAGAAGTAAAAATTAAAAATTTCAAAAATAGAGAAAAGCTTATAAAGTAAGGATATAAAGAAATAAAATATTTTTGTTCCGCTCTACAATGTTTGTGTTTTAAGCCAAGTGTCATTACTAAATAGTCAAAACGTTTTAAAAAAATTTAAAAGTTTATAAAGTAAAAGAGAGTAAGGTAAGGTTAATTTGTTACTGAAGAAATAAAAGTATTTTAAAATAAATTTAGTGTCTTCTAATGGACAGTATTTATAAAGCATAGAGTAGAATACAGTAATGTCCTAGACCTTCACACTCACTCACCACTCACTCACTGACTCACCCAGAGATATTTCCAAGCCTGCAAGTTCAATTCATGGTAAGTGCCTTCTACAGGTGGACTTAAAAACAATCTTTTATGTTGTATATCTACTGCAGCATTTCTGCATTTAGGTATGTTTAGATACACAAATATCATTGCGTTACATTGCCTACATTGTTCAGTACAATAACATGCTGTGCAGGTTGGCAGCCTAGGAGCAATACGCTATACCATATTGCCCAGGTGTGCAGTAGACTACACTCAAGGTTTATGTAAGTACACTCCATAATGTTTGTGCAATGATGGAATTGCCTCACAATGCATTTCTTAGGACATATCTGTCACAAAGCGACATATAACTGTATTAAGTTGCACTGATCTAAAGTATTAAAAATTAAGATATAATTGCATTGAAATTATACCAAATTGAGTATACTTAATAAAAATATAATTGCGGTAAATATGAAAGATAAAAAACTAAAATTATTTTTATATATATTTTCCATAAGTTTTTCTAAAATTTTCAAAATGATTGTTTAGTGATACAATCTAAATGATAGTGAATGAATACCAGTGTTTTAATAAAATATTTAAATAAAGCTGAAAAACCTTTTATTTAATTTTTAAGTTTTAATTAAATATTATTAATTTTTATACAATTAAAACTATTTGCAATTTTCATGTTCAATGTCCATCTAGTTGCCAATGTAAAGAATCATTATCAAACTTCCATAAATACACACACACATTTAAAAGTGATGTGAAATGTTTAATATTGCAAAATGTTCCCCAGGCATCTTGTGCAATTGTTTTGAATAGTGCACTAATTTGTGAGAATCTTTGAAACCATGAATTGGCACACAAAAAGAAGAAAGAAAATGGATATTTAGCACTACTGGAAATCGATACTTCATTATACAAAATGCTGAAACAGAGAGATTTCACAAGTTAATCAACGTGTCTTTTCTCTTATATGGGCACTTCTGTCATTAAAAATGTTCCCCACATATCTTTTGATAAGACTCAGTGGTAGCAGCAGCACAGCCCACACACCTTCCCATCATCTGAACACGGTGTCCTTTTGTCCCATCATCTGAACACTGTGTCCTTTGTTTCAAGAACATAGGGCAAGGGTTGTGAAGACACGCTTCCCTACGTGAGTTGTGCGGTGGATGTTAAGGTTATGGGTTACACTGCGCCAGTAACAGAGGCAGCCATGTGTTTCTTTGTAAATATGTTTTGTTGTGTGTTTGTGTTTACGTGGAGCCCACTAAAGCACAGGCCCAGGGTGGAAGCCCTTCTTGCGAGGACCAATGGCATCTCTGTGTCAGGGAATTGGGATAGAAGACTGGGTTTTTCAGGCCGGGCGCAGTGGCTCACGCCTGTAATACCAGCACTTTGGGAGGCCGAGGTGGGTGGATCACGAAGTCAGGAGATCGAGACCATCCTGGCTAACATGGCGAAACCCCATCTCTACTAAAAATACAAAAAAAAAAAATAGCCAGACATGGTGGCGGATGCCTATAGTCCCAGCTACTCGGGAGGCTGAGGCAGGAGAATGGGGTGAATCCCAGAGGCGGAGCTTGCAGTGGGCTGAGACTGTGCCACTGCACTCCAGCCTGGGTGACAAAGCGAGACTCCATCTCAAAAAAAAAAAAAAAAAGAAAACTGGGTTTTTCATCTCACAGTATGCTACTGACAACTTTCAGTACTTTTTCTTCTGGTTCCTTACACTCAGGCCCTGCTTCTCCAGAAAACTTGGTGCCTAAGCAATGGACACAATGGTTGGAGTATCTGAAATTTCAAAATTTATTTATTTAATTATTTAAAAAACATTTGTATAGGGCTTACTAACAACTATATACTTTAAATGTGTTAATTCACTTAATTCCCATAATAACTTTGTGAAGTATGCACTATTGTTATTTAATTTCATATGTGAGTAAACTGAGGCACAGAAAGATTAAATAACATGCCCAAGATCAATCAGCTTGCTTGTGGAGAAGCCAAGCTTCCAGTCCAGGCAGTCCTGCTCTACAGATCATCATCTTAGCCTCACTATCAATTTGCTCCTCTTTTAACAAAGATTATTTTTTTCCCATTTAAAAATATATTTTTAAATTTTGATAGTTAATATATTCCTATAGTTTAAACAAAAAGCAAAATGATATAAAAATATGCATTAAGTGCTGAGACACATGCAAAGGAATAAAATTGGACACCCCCACCTCATACCGTATACAAAACTCCAAATGGATTAACAAACTAAATGTAAGAGTTCAAACTGTAAAGTTCTTAGAAGAAAACATGGGCCAATCTTCATCACCTTGGATTTGGCAATGGATTATTAGATATGCCATCCAAAGTGTGAGCAACAACAATAAAAAGCATAGATAAATTGAACTTTGGGAGGCCAAGGTGGGAGGATCACTTGAAGTCAGGAGTTCAAGACCAGCCTGGCCAACGTGGTGAAACCCCATCTCTACTAAAAATAAAAAAACTAGCCGGGTGTGGTGGCATCCACCTGTAATCCCAGCTACTCAGGAGGCTAAGGTGAGAGAATTGCTTGAACCCAGGAGGCGGAGGTTGCAGTGAGCCGAGATGGAACCACTGCACTCCAGCCTGGGCTACAGAGTGAGACTCCATCTCAAAAAAAAAAATTAAACTTTTATATATCACAAACATTATGGAGAAAGTGAAAAGATATTGGTGAAAGAAGAAAATTTCAATTAAACAGGAGGAATAAATTCAAGAGATTTATTCCACATCCTGGTGACTACAGTTAATAACAATATATTATATATCTGAAAATTGCTAAGAGCGTACATTTTAAGTGTTTTCATCACAAAAATGATAAGTAGGGAAGGTAATGCATATGTTAAACAGCTGGATTTAGCCATTTCACAATGTATACATATGTTAAAAGCATGTTGTACACCATAAATATATACTATTTTTAAAATTTGTTGATTAAAAAAATAAAGTCATGCTGAAAGTTAAAAATGAAAGTGAAAAGTCAACCTATAGAATGGGAGAAAATACTTGCAAATTATATATCTGATAAGGGCCTAATATCTAGAATATACAAGGAATGCATAAAAGTCAACAGCAAAAAGATTTTTAAAAATCCGGTTTTGAAAATGGGAAAATGACTTAAATTGACATTTCCTCCAAGAAGATATACCAATGGCCAACATGCACATGAAAAGATGCTCAACATCATTAATCCATAGGGAAATGCAAATCAAAACCACAATGAGATACCACTTAACACCCACTAGGCCTCTGCCTCTCCCTCTCCCCCTCCACCTCCCTCTCCCTCTTTGCACCGTCTCCCTCTGATGCCCAGCAGAGGCTGGACTGGACTGCTGCCATCTCCACTCACTGCAACCTCCCTGCCTGATTCTCCTGCCTCAGCCTGCCGAGTGCCTGGGATTGCAGGCGCGCGCCGCCACGCCTGACTGGTTTTCATATTTTTTTGGTGGAGACGGGGTTTCGCCGTGTTGGCCGGGCTGGTCTCCAGCTCCTGACCTCGAGTGATCTGCTCGCCTCGGCCTCCCGAGGTGCTGGAATGGCAGACGGAGTCTTGCTCACTCAGTGCTCAATGCTGCCCAGGCTGGAGTGCAGTGGCGTGATCTCAGCTCGCTACAACCTCCACCTCCCAGCCGCCTGCCTTGGCCTCCCAAAGTGCCGAGATTGCAGACTCTGCCCGGCTGCCGGCCCGTCTAGGAAGTGAGGAGCGTCTCTGCCTGGCCGCCCATCGTCTGGGATGTGAGGAGCCCCTCTGCCTGGCGGCCCAGTCTGGGAAGTGAGGAGCGCCTCTTCCCGGCCGCCATCCCGTCTAGGAAGTGAGGATCGTCTCTGCCTGGCTGCCCATCGTCTGGGATGTGGGGAGCGCCTCTGCCCCGCTGCCCCTTCTGAGATGTGAGGAGCGCCTCTGCCCGGCCGCAACCCCGTCTGGGAACTGAGGAGTGTCTCTGCCCCGCCGCCACCCCGTCTGGGAGGTGAGGAGCATCTCTGACCGGCTGCCCCGTCTGAGAAGTGAGGAGCCCCTCCGCCCGGCAACCGCCCCATCCGGGAGGTAGGGGGCAGCCCCCGCCCGGCGGCCGCCCCGTCTGGGAGGTGGGGGGCGCCTCTGCCCCACCGCCACCCCGTCTGTGATGTGTACCCAACAGCTCATTGAGAACGGGCCATGATGACGATGGCGGTTTTGTCGAATAGAAAAGGGGGAAATGTGGGGAAAAGAAGGAGAGATCAGATTGTTACTGTGTCTGTGTAGAAAGAAGTAGACATAGGAGACTCCATTTTGTTCTGTACTAAGAAAAATTCTTCTGCCTTGGGATGCTGTTAATCTATAACCTTACCCCCAACCCCGTGCTCTCTGAAACATGTGCTGTGTCCACTAAGGGTTAAATGGATTAAGAGTGGTGCAAGATGTGCTTTGTTAAACAGATGCTTGAAGGCACCACTCCCTAATCTCAAGTACCCAGGGACACAAACACTGCGGAAGGCGGCAGGGTCCTCTGCCTAGGAAAACCAGAGACGTTTGTTCACATGTTTATCTGCTGACCTTCCCTCCACTATTGTCCTATGACCCTGCCAAATCCCCCTCTCCGAGAAACACCCAAGAATGATCAATAAATACTAAAAAAATTTTAAAAAAAAGAAAGAAAAAGAAAAGAATAAAGGACTTATTATCCTAAAAAAAAAAACAAAAAACAACAACAAAAAAACACCCACTAGGATAGTCACAATAAAAAAATTTCTAATTTAAAAAATGTGTTGGCAAGAATATGGAGAAATTGGAACCCTCACACATTACTGATGGGAATATCAAATGGTGCATCCACTGTGGAAGACAATTTGGTGATTCCTCAAAAAGCTAAACAGAATTGCCATGCAATCCAGCAATTCCACTCCTAGATGTGTACCCCAAAGAGCTGCAAACAGGTGCTGAAACACATACTTACACATGAGTGTTCATAGCAGCACCCTTCTTGATAGCCAAAAGGTGGACACAATGCAAATGTTCATCAAGTGATGAATGAACAAGCAAAACGTGGTATCTAAGTACCATGGATTATTACTCAGCCATAGAAAGGAATGAAGTACTGATACATGCTACACTATATGTGAAATTTTAAAATATCATGCTAAGTGAAAAAAGCCAGACACAAAAGGTCACATATTGTGTGATTCCAGTGATACGAAATATCCAGAATGGGTAAAGCCACAGAGTCAGAAAGCAGATTAGGAGTTGCCAGGAGCTAGCGGGAGGAGAGAATAGGGAGTGGCTGCGTAGCGAGTATGAGATTTTCTTCTGGGATAATGAAAATGTTTACAACTAGCTAGTGGTAGTGGTTGTATAGCATTGTGAATGTAATAAATGCCACTGAATGAAACACTTTAAAACGGTTAATTGTATGTTACATGAATTTCACCTTTTGTTTTTAAAGGATGCATTGAGATATCATGCCCCCACTCCTGTCCCTCATCTTTAACCATTTCCACATTTCCTTTATCCTTCCAGGGCTGAAGGATGGAAACAGTATTCTGCCTTCAAAGAGAAAGACAGGCAAAACCCCAGCAGGCGTGTGTTGCCCCAAGTTTCAGAGCCCACAGAATATATAGAAGAGCATTCAAGATAGGACTGTACTAAACATTTAATGTAGAAATAATGCCAATTCTACATTAATTCTTCTACAATATTGTGGAGAGGAAAATAGTCCCCCACTCATTCTCATTAAAGCCAGCATCGCCCTGAAACCAAAACTAGACAAAGACACTGTAAGAAAACTATAGACCAATATCCTTCATGAAAATTGATGCAACAATTTGAAACAAAATTTTACCAAATAACCAACAATATATAAAAAGGACAATACATTATGACCAAGTGGGATTTACGCAAGTTGAATAGTACTGGGTTGGTTGAACACTCAAGAATCAACAATGTAATTTGCCATAGTAACAGATTACAACAACAGCGACGTGTGATCATCTCAATGGATGCAGAAAAGCCATTTGACAAAATCTAAACACATTCCTGATTTTAAAAAAAAAACCTCTTAGAAAACTAGGAATAGAAAGGAACTCCCTCCACCTGATAGAGGCTGTGTACAAAATACCTAAAACTAACATCGTATTAAATGCTTTTTCCCTAGTACCAGGAACAAAACAAGGATGTTGGCTCTCCCCATCCCTATTCAACAACATATGGGAGGTTTTATCTGGGGCCATCAGGCAAGACAGAGAAATAAGGTTATCCATATTGGAAAAGGAGAAATAAAACTGTTCTTATTTGCAGGCGACATGATCATTCATGTAGAAAGAATGCAATCTACAAACAGCTGCTATAACTAATACATGAGTTTAACAGTGTTGCACAATACACAATTAATATACACAAATCTACTTTATTTCTATATTATAGAAATTAAAATTTAAAAATACTGTTTACAATGTCTCAAAATATTTGAAGCACTTAGGAGTAGATTTGACGAAAGATGTGCAGGATCCATACCCAGAAAGCCACAAAACACTATTGGGAGACATTAAAGAAAACCTGCATAAATGAGAGAACCCCCACAGGAGGAGGGGAGTCTGGTTCTTTGGTAGAGTGTCCCAGCCTCAATGGGGCTTGCTCAGATGGTCAGATCTGAACTACAGTCCGTCAGTTATAAATCAGAAGAAGTATGCAGACAAAGGCTTGGGCAGTGAGCTTAGGCTGACATGTTCTTCCCTTCTGTGTGGCTTATGGGGGATGCCTATGAGCTGATTGCAGAGGTAGATGTATAATGGAAAGAACATGGGCTTTAGGGCCAAGCATACCTAAGCTGAGTCCCAATGCTGCCACTTCAGCTGCTTGACCCTTGGGTAAGTTGCTGTCTTCTGAGCCTCCATTTCTTTATCAGTAAAGGAGTGACTACAGCAATACTGGCAGATTCTGGCCAGAGGCTCACTGATCTCTTCCTGGCATCAAGGAAAGCCACATTTCCCAGTCTCTCTTACAGTTAGTTTGGGGCCATATGATTAATTCCGGCTAATGTAATCAAGTGATGTGACAAATACCAATTTCAGACTTGGTCATAAAACCCCAGTTTGACTAATCATGTTCTTTCTCTCCCCGAGGCCATGGCTGGAAGTGAAAGCTTCTGAGATGGCAGAGCCACGTGATAGAAGGAGCCTGGATCTCTGGGCTACTGCCTGGAAGACAGCTGCTCGGGAGAGCTGCTTGACTCAGTGGACTGTGACATGAACTAGAATTAAGTTTTGTGAAGTCACTGAGACTTTGGATTTGTTACAGCAGTTAGCATAACTATTAACTTACCTTGCAGGGCTGGTGTTGGAATTCTTTACAGCGTATCCATCCCATGGGTCAGTTTCCTCTGCCTTTGAATAGGGTCTAGCACATAGTAGGTGCTCACATAATTGTGATTACAGTTTTCAGGAGAGCTCCTCCTTCTCTCCAACCTGCTGCCTCCTTCTGTTTAAGATACTGCCAAGTACCAGCATCTCAGATACTTTGACTGCTTAAACCTGTTTGATATTACTTAGGGACAGAGAGTTCAAAATGAGGGCACAAAAAATGTGAGAGCCAAGATAGAGACAATTTTTACAAAGCTTCAAATGAACAGATAAATGTACAACAATAAAATTTAGGGACTTCCTGTAGTCACTTGGAAATTTCTGCTCACAGCCTGCCACCTTTTTCCCCACTACAACAGCTTTTGCTGCTCGGTGTGGTGCCTCATGCCTATAACCGCAGCTATTCAGGAGACTGTGGTGGGAGGATCATTTGAGGCCAGGAGTCTGAGACAAGCCTGGGCAACATAGTGAGATCCTGCCTCAAAAAACATAAATTAATAAGTTATATGGCTACTTTATTTTAAAATAAAATATGTATATTATCTTCCTCAAGTTGTTTAAGCTAATTGACTGCTCTTCACTTACCATTTGAACCACCTATTTTACTCTACAGCATGTTTTCACTTTGACCAAAAATAAAATCATTAGGGGAATAGACATATTAAGGTCACAGAAGTCTCAACAATAAAATAGGTACTGCTGAGAGCAGAGATAAGGAGAGAAGTAGAAACCAGTTTCTTATTCCTCAGCATATCTCTAGAAACTGCCATCTCTGTATTACTAGCAGCTTATCCAAATCCCCAGTGTCAATAAACAGGATGAGGATTCCGTCTTTGGATGGCTGGCAAATGAAAAATATGCTCTTGTGTTTTAAAGTGAGTGTCAAAAGTGATATACGAGGGGAGCCCGGAGTCCCTTTTCTGTCTCCATGGAGGTATGTGGCAAGTCCTCTCCTAAGTGAGAAGCCAAACTTAAGCCAAACCTCCCTAGGCACACTCCAAGGAAATACCAGGGCCAGAATTAAGGCTGCCCGAGAGGAGGACCTGCAGGAGCCAGGGGCTTACTCAGGAGCAAATCCTTTGCCTTCGTGGGGAAGGAAAGCGATTCACCTAAAAACACTGTAAAACTCTGAACACAAGGATTGATTCACTTTGTCTACCAAACCCTTCATTTTGGGTGGCTAGGAACAGTATAAATTGAGTACCTTTATGCATTCTTACCGAGCAAAGCTTTGTGGAAGATACAAAGGTGACCTCTGTTCCCAAGAAATCAGACATCGCAAACTCAGATGCTTGCAAGAGTCAGAGAGGTAACATGACTGAGTGAAGAGACCAGATCCGTTATAAGAAACCTGAGAATGGCCACTGCCATTCAGCCTCAGAGTCCAGGAGACAGCAGCAACTGAAGCAGCTGGGCACCTGGAGACCCCACGTCTCTTTCAAAAGGTGCAGCCACCACTCAGATCCAGAAGGTTATTTCCATGAAGGCCCAGTATTGCCAGATGTTACGATTTGTGAAGAAAATCCAGAAATGTAGGTTTTTATTCAAAATGGCCCTTTTTTTTTTTTTTTGTCACAGAGTCTCACTCTGTCACCCAGGCTGGAGTGCAGTGGTGTCATCTCGGCTCACTGCAACCTCCGCCTCCCAGGTTCAAGCAATTCTCCTGCCTCGGCCTCCTGAGTAGCTGGGACTACAGGCGCATGCCACCACGCCTGGCTAATTTTTTGTATTTTTAGTAGAGACGGGGTTTCACCATGTTAGCCAGGCTCGTCTCGAACTACTGGCTTCAAGTGATCCTCCCGCCTTGGCCTCCCAAAGTGCTGGGATTACAGGTGTGAGCCACCACACCTGGCCAAAAAGGCCCTATTTTTAAAGATTGGTAAGTGACTATTTTTTCCAAATTCTGTGCCCTTCTAACTCTGTGAGCCAAAAAAGACATCTCTGTGGGCTGGACTCAGTCCTTGGGCTTCCGGCTTCCGGCATGCACCTGGATCCTAGACTTGTAGTTCACACTACTCCAAAGATTTCAGGGGGCAAATTGGGTTTTGGAACATCCATAAAATTGAAGAGCAACTGTTTACCTCCAAACAACTCCCAGAGCCAGGAGGAAACTTAGAGTTCAAGTTTAACTTTTAAGTTTAAGTTTCTCATTTTACAAAAGTGGAAACTGAAGTCCAGAGGCAGTAAAAAAGGTAATTAAGGCCCTGCTCAAGGCGAGGTTTTTGTCAGCCTGCTGAGAGCCACCATATATATTTGGAAAACAAGTGAGGCAGTAAAGGCATTTAACTGGCCACCCTCTTTCTTGCCACATGCTAGTGAGGCCACGCCTCAGGCTCCTGGAATGCAGCTTTTGTGCCTAGGCTGTTTCTAGGTGGGTGCCCTGGGCCTGAGAACCTTGTTTGCCCCTGAGCCCACTAGAAATGTTTTACAGCCCTGTCGGGGACAGTGGGGTTGGGGGTGTCGGTGGGTTGGGGGGGTCGGTGGGGTGGGGGGGGTCGGTGGGGTTGGGGGGCGGGGTTGGGTTAAATGTGAGGATAACATTTTGATTCATGACAAAATGAGACCAGTCCAGAGAGGGGGTTATAAAGGGTCTGAATAGCTCCCTCCAGGTTTTTGAGCAAATTAGCATTCAACAGTGATTTAAGAGCTAGGGAGGTCTCCCTCTACCTCCAAGGAGACTTGTCTTTACTTTCCATCCCCTGGGAGTTTCTGAAGGCAAGAAAAGGCCACTTCTGCCACCAGACCACTAGTCTGCCTTTGTTTGGCCATGCCTAAGAGAAGAACAACTTTCAGCTTCGTAATGTGGATATATTTTTTAAATTGCATTAGGAAGTTGTAAAGTAATGAAATACTCCATGTAGAAAAATCTGAAATATAAATAAAAGCATATAGAAGGAAAAATAACTATAATTGAACAATCCAGAAACAATCTGGTATCATATTTATTTATTTATTTTTATTTTTTGAGATGGAGTCTCACTCTTGTCGTCCAGGCTGAAGTCCAACGGCACAATCTCTGCTCACTGCAACCTCTGCCTCCTGGTCCAAGCAATTCTCCTGCCTCAGGCTCCTGAGTAGCTGGGGATTACAGGCACCCACCACCATGCCTGGCTAATTTTTTTATTTTTAGTAGAGACGAGGTTTCACCATGTTGGCCAGGCTGGTCTCAAACTCCTGACCTCAGGTGATCCTCTTGCCTCGGCCTCCCAAAGTGCTGAGATTACAGTGTGAGCCAGCACACTTGGTCCATATTTATATTGGATGTACATATACAATTATATACATGTAACATGTGGCAAGATGTAATATTTATATACATATACTTTATAATTTTAAACATTAAGATTTTATTTATACTGTTTGGTAAACTGTTTTCTACTTTATTGTGAGTATTTTTATACATTTTAATTATTATTCTTTTTTTATAGCTTTACAACATCCCAAAACATTGAATATCAGACTTTATTTTGGTGGTTCCTTTGAGGGGATCAAAGACTGCTTAACTAGGAAGTTTCTCATAAAATTTAATGCCAGAGTCCTGAATCTTTTCCTGAAAAAAAAAATAAATAAAATAACTGCTTTTGCTATCTCCCAAAGCCTGGTAATAGTGAGGTAGAGTCTCTTAAGTGGAGAGAGGAGAGATGGACACAGATTTAAACCACAACACCTTCCTGGGATACTCACTAAGTAATTTTCAAAAATCGGTTGGTCCCCTCACTGGGATACTTGGCCTGAAACACTCACACTGAACCGAGAAAATAGCCTAAAGTTAGGGTGACGTGGCTGGGACTCTGGCTGCCATTACCCAACACAGCACACCAACCCATTGACACTGACACTAAAAAATGGGAATTCCTAATGCAAAAAGTTGAAGAGGATGTTGCTGGCCCTGTGCCACTCTTCCCTTGCACACGGCCTCTCCCAATAGAACTCCTGTCGACAGGCGTGCTTTGCAAAGCCTCATCTTGATATTGGCAGAACAATCATTCTGAACCTGATCCTGAACACCGACTGTTTGTTTCTGTGTAGAGACTGCCGGTGTCCTCCTGGCTGCAGGTCCACAGAGTGAACAGGGCCTTCTCCAGAGGCAGCCGGGTCCTTACCAGAAAGAGTCCACAGCAGACCCAGGACAAAAAGATTGTCTTTCAGGTAAGAAGCACAGTAAACACAGGACACCTTCCTGCAAGGGAGGGTCATTGCCTTTGAGGATTCACTGACTTTGGTTTTCCTGCAAAAGGCCACTTATCTTCATTCTTCCCCTGCCCCCTTCCCCAGCTGCAGAAGCTATTTTTAAATCACCCTAGCAACTGGAGGACACAGGCGAGGCCTCCTGTGATGCTTCAGTCACCAGAGACTGAGCAGGAGGGTGCTGGGAGAGTGTGGCTGCCCTGCCAGGAACCGCAGTCTGCTTCTCTTTCGCCTGGCAGAAAGGCGTCCTCATAGTACATACAGACCCAAGTTCCTCACCTCACCTCTGCCTTTGTTCCTAACCTTGCCATTGTCAGTTTGTACTGAGATGACTTCTCAGACTTTAGCTCCCAGGGAAAACTGTGTGGGCTGAGAAACCTCTGAGGTACTTCTGTGCTGGGCAGGTTGCAGGCAGGGCTGGTGGTAGAAGTGGCCCACCCCCAGTGCAGTAAATAAAAGCATACATAGTCTCTAGAGAATTTTTTGTTTTGTTTTGTTTTAGATGGAGTCTCACCCTAATGCCCAGGCTGGAGGGCAGTGGTGCCATCTCGGCTCACTGCAACCTCTGCCTCCCTGGATCAAGCGATTCTCCTGCCTCAGCCTCCAGAGTAGTTGGGACTACAGGCGCCCGCCACCATGCCGAGTTAATTGTTGTATTTTTAGTAGAGACGGGGTTTCACCATGTTGGCCAGGCTGGTCTCGAACTTCTGACCTCAAGTGATCTGTCCACTTCAGCCTCCCAAAATGCTGGGATTACAGGCGTGAGCCACCACGCCTGGCCTAGAGAGTTTAAAATCAATAATGAAACTGACTTAAAGCGGACTTACTCTTTCCTACATCATGGGGCAGCAGTTCCTTTGTCAGTGATCAATACTCCTCTATGGTCCCCTCCCTGTGTGCCTGCTGCTTTGGTGGCTATCCTGCTGGGAAGCTAAGACATTCCTCAGCTCAATCACTTCTATCCAGTCCTTTGTGCTGGAGCTTGACTATTAGAAACAGAGACCTCCCTGGCTGCATGGACAATTGCAACCATGCACCTGAAATGCAAAGTGTCTACTGTTTGAGGAACTCTTCCTTCCAAGCCCAGAAAAAAGTGAATTACTGTGAACTGGCCCCCAAAAGGCCTTCTCCCACCCCTCGTGATAAGCCTACTCACAGAGATTCACTCCTCCAGGTCCTGAATGGAATGTGTCCTTCATAATTCCTCTCCAAAAGGAATTACCACTTGAGCCAAAAGCACTCATCCCTCAGAGGGGGTTAGATTGACCACTGGAGGGCAAAGGGAGGTGAAAGGAAGATGGAAGAAGTAGTCACAAAAAATTTTCATTTGCTTACAAGTTTGGCCTGGGACCTATCTGTGCGTATTTTTGGCTCTGAGACCAAATATGTAAACACAATAAACATATGCCAAATGAAGGAAATCTTATTGCATGGTCAAATTTCATGCCATGCCCCGAAGGGATATTTTGTAAGTGCAGTGAGTTCCGAGGATACACAGGCATTTGCTAAATTGGGGCCTTTGGTGGCATTTACTCTTTAAAGGAATTATTTGCTCTTTCTGCATTTTTATACTACCCCATCTGGAACTTTTCCCTTAACCTCCCTTATAAGTCCCTCAGTTGAGTTAAATTCTCTCTTACTTTGGTAAAAGCACCATTCACACTGAGGTGCGTAAGACGCAGGAGTTCAGGACCTTGGCAGTCTGAAAATACACTTGTGGTTTGGATTAATATTCTCTTTTTCTGTTTTTAATCCTCTTGCATATTTACGTAAGACTTTTCCCCTCTGGGGTTCCTGTTGCTTCTTAGCTGTGATCTGTTCCTCCCAGCTTCTCCTAGAGGCAGTAAATGGGTATTGCCATGCCATTCAGGACCAAGGAGGATCCTTCTTCATGTAGTGAGTCCAGGAGGCTTCAGCACTAACAGCCCCTCACTCCCCATCCCCAGGCAACCTTGAGCTAGTCTCTTCTTCCATCTCTACCCAACTTCCTTGCCATCCTGCACTAAGTTACTTTAATAACTCTCTGGCTTAGTCAGCAGTGTCGCTTACGACCATTGCCTGAGAACAGATAGGATACTTTCACAATCAGTGTAGTCCAGGCACCAATCAGTCAGAATGAACATTCTAGAGCTGCAGCAGTGACCTTCGGGGCCAGGCATTCACCCTGGCGGGAGTGGGCAGAGGTCTGGGGAGTCCCAGTTGAGGAGCTGGGGCAAATGGGATAGCTGGTAGCATTCCGGTGGTTCAGATAGCAGTTCTTTTCCAAGGAATACAGAAATACTTAATCATTTTTAACAACTGGGGCAGTTTTGGCTGTGTGTATTGCCCTACCAAAGAATAAAGCTTGGGATTATTATTAGATATCCCTTGAGTGAGGACAAAGGTAATTTACTCAATTCGTTTGCTGCCTTTATGCAGATTGTGAGCAAGTTGGGAGTCTTGCATAAATTTTCCTTCAAAGAGGTTGAGAGCAGCCTTTCTCTTCTCTCTGAAGTTCGCCCTAAAAGTCATGCCTATTCTCCTTGTGTCTTCTTTAGTTGACCCCAGGTTGCACCTGGTTGTATCATGCCCCCCTCCCCCAACCCCCTGTCTCTTCCTTCTCTTTTCTAGGAGTTCAAGCAGCTTACCGAGGCTTAAAATAGACAGTAATAGCAGCTCTCAGTTTGTTATTTTGTATGTACTCCGTATCCTTAACACTTGTCAAGGATAAAAACACACTCAAGAAACACACTTTGCTTTCAGTAACTTCATTTTTCAGAGAAAAAAAAGTAGACGGAGTCAGCTCTCAAGACAGCTGTAGCTGTATATGCAGGTATAGCACTACAGAAAACCAGCCAAGCAGAACCACAGAGGCGTGACCCACCAAAGACTGAGCTCTGCCTCCTCCTGCGCAGCCATGGCCACCACTGACCGAGCACTGCCCAACACCTGATCTTTGTTTGTTTTGAGATGGAGTTTCGCTCTTGTTGCCCAGGCTGGAGTGCAGTGGCGCGATCTCGGCTCACCGCATCCTGGGTTCAAGCGATTCCCCTGCCTCAGCCTCCCGAATAGTTGGGACTACAGGCTCGTGCCACCACACCCGGCTAATTTTTTTTTTTTTTTTTTTTTTTTGTATTTTTAGTAGAGGCGAGGTTTCACCATGTTGGCCAGGCTTGTCTTGAACTCCTGACCTCAGGTGATCCACCCACCTCGGCCTCCCAGAGTGCTGGGATTACAGGCATGAGCCACCACGCCCGGCCCAACCACCGGATATTTATGCCCGTCTGGGACCCTCAGAGCTTTCTCAAAGGGATTCCCAAAATAACTCATTTTAACACTTGGTTTTTGGCCACTCATTCCTTAAGCCTAATTCCGCTAATCACAGTTACTTCACAAGAACCTAAATATGCACTGGGTTACCTCTGTTGTACGTTTCAAGTGATCATGCCACCAAACTTTGCATCCAGTGTCTTCTGTTGTTCGTGTGGTCATATCAGTCTAATTTTACTTTTATTGTTAGTTGCCTGACGTAGGACGTTATTTTAGATTCTGCGTGAGATTGTAACGTTCACTTATATGCTTGTTGTAACTATCTAAATATTTCAGTGGAGTAAAAAGGCTGATTGGCACAGGAATGTCCAGCTGATGAACAGGTCATTTAGGATTTCCTTTCTCTGGACAGACAGTCAGAACCACTGTTGGAAGGGGAGGCACCACCTTGGGAGCTGATTGTTCTTTTTGTCAGATGGTTGGCCTGGGAAAAGTAAATCTGCAGAAAGCTGTTTCCTCCTAATGTAAATTCTAAACTTGACATTAGATAGCTGCTCCAACAGTATGAGATTCCCCAGAACTCAGCATAAAACTTACTACCTTTTATGATCTGTTGAATGTGAAAGAAAATTTGTTTGGCTATTGGTTTCGAGACCAAGATGACAAACAGCCCTCCCATGATATTACCCTGAAAACATTTGATTCCTTTCAGTCAGTGGATAATCGAACCCAAAAGGTTATTAGCTAATTCTTATAGAAAATTGTTCAAGTTATCATTCTTGGTCTCTTCTTGAGGTAATGAAATTCATAGCTGTAGAAAGTATTGTGTTTTTAAGCTTCACTGGTCTTTCTTTATTTTCTGGCATTTTGCAAACATCAGTTTGTTCTCTTCTGAAGGTTAACACTTTTATAGCTGATCATATTCCATGTCAAGCCTTTCAATTTCTAGACTGGGCCCATTTTTTTAAACCCTGGAATCATGTGGCAGCATTTCTACCCTCTGACATAAATCCTTTAACTCAATTGTGTCTTCCTTAACATTCAGCAGCCAGGATTTGGCTCACAGCTTCCTAGTCTGGAGGCCCCCATGGTTTTTATAATGAGAGGATAGTGTTTCTGATTCATATTTCATTCAAAGTAACCCACATCCCATTAGGGGTAATTGATGTTGCCCAGCCTGTTTTACTGTTTTTGGCTATCACACTCTCTAGAGTCTAGAGGCAACATCTTTTGTGAATATGGTGACTCTCAAGTCACTGCCCTTTGTCTTAACTGGTCCTTTAGTTGCCTATCACCCTATAAACATAATTTGGTTTACCTAAAACACTCAGCTTTATAAGATTATACAAGAGCTTGTTCCCACTGAATTGACATTCACAAACTAGAGATATTTAGTATCAGTTTTATTTGTTTCTGCATGACAAAATATTCTGAGGCCAATCTCTGTTCTTTTTACCTCCTCATTCAGAAAAATTACCCTTTTATTTTCATGCCTTTTATTTCCTGTTTCTTAGGCATGTCCCTGGCCATAATGGAGGAAAACTGAGTTATCATTAATATAAGGGAAACACTGTGACAGACTTTTCACAGATCTTGTTACAGGGTTTTGAAAATATCAGTAATGTCTAATAATTCATTTTCTCATGAGTGCTCCTTACCCCTCAAAAAAATATGGTGTGTGGCCAGGAATGGTGGCTCACGCCTATAATCCCAGTACTTTGGGAAGCCAAGGCAGGTGGATCACTTGAGCTCAGGAGTTCGTGACCAGCCTGGACAACATGGTGAAACTTTTTCTCTACAAAAAAAATACAAAAAGTTTGCCAGGTGTGGTGGTGCATCTGTGGTCCTAGCTACCCGGGAGGCTAAGGTGGGAGGATTAATTGAGCCCAGGAGGTCAAGGCTGCAGTGAGCTGTGAACGCACCATTGCACTCCAGCCTGGGTGACAGAGCAAGACCCTGTTTCAAGTATATGTATGTATGTATGTATGTGTGTATATATATATATATACACACATACATGTATATATATATATATATATATATATATATATATATATATATGTATATAGTGTGTAAGTCTGGTTTTAATTTTAACTTATGAGCAATATCCTTTCATTCCTTTAACACCCATAGATTTGCCTAAGCACTCAATAATTATATCTTTCTGTCTAGCATCCATCAACTCACCTAATATGACTGTAGCTTCCTATGTTTCAGTAGCATAGCACCAAACTTCCACATTCTTGCATTTTTTATTCCTGAAAGAAACACATAGATTACCTGGTCCAAGTTTTTCACTTTATAGATGTGATAACTGAGGCCCAGAATGCTGAAGTGACTTGATTGAAGCTGCAGACTGAGTTGTCTCCAAGACCAAGTTTCTCACCAACTCTCCAGCATTTCAATATGACCATTTAGATTTTCAGGTGCCTGTCATTTATAAGTAAGCATTCAAACATTCTGACTTGGCATTTCTGCCAAATCCCTCAGAGGCCAGTTGTCCAAAGGGTTGGGCCAGTTACTCAGTTACCTCCATTTTTAGCCTACCATATAGCTTCTTCCTAAATAGTCTAGTAGGTTCTTGACATGAATCATGAAATGATTCAGATTCTATTCTTGGGCAGAACATATGCAGCTTGTTACTCTCTGCATCATAGTATAGTTATATACTATTGACATGTATTTCTCCTACACTAGACAGTAAACACCTTAAGGCAGTGATTCTTCATGATTAGTATCTTAGATTGTAGCAGGTACTTGAGAAATCTTTGAATAACTGAATGAATGAAAGACCCACCAGGGACACATTGGTAACCACATTGTAATGAACTATATGTACATTTAACTGTCCAGTAAACCCAAGTACAGGTCATTCAAATGGTTTTGGCAACTGACATCCAAATGTAAAAAAGAGAAATGTGATCCATGCCTGGTATTATATACAAAACTCAACTCAAAATGAATCAGATCTAAGTGTAAAACTTAAAACAACAAAATTTTTAAAAGAAAACATAGGAGAAAATCTTTATGGCTATAGGTGAGATGAAGATTTCTTAGCTATAACACCAAAAGTATAGAAAAAATAATAAATTAAACCTTTTCAAAGTTGAAACATCTGCTCTTCAAAAGATACTGTCAAGAGAATGAAAAAACAAGGTCGGGCATGGTGGCTCATGCCTGTAATCCCAGCACTTTGGGAGGCTGAGACAGGCAGATCATCTGAGGTCAGGAGTTTGAGACAAGCCTGGCCAATGTGGTGAAACCCCATCTCTACTAAAAATACAAGAATTAGCCAGGCATGGTGGTGGGCACCTGTAGTCCCAGCTACTCAGGAGACTAAGGCAGGAGAATTGCTTGAACCTGGGAAGCAGAGGTTGTTGCAGTGAGCCAAGATGGGGCCACTGCACTCCAGACTGGGTAACAGAGTGAGACTTCATCTCAAACACACACACACACACACACACACACACACAAAATGACAAAACAACAAGAAAAGACAAGCACACAACAGAGGAAAATATTTATAAAACACATATCTGATAAGTCCTTAATACAAAGAACTCTCCAAACAATAATAATAAAGCAAACAATCCAATTTTTCAAATTGGCCAATTTCAGGAGACTCTTCAGAAAAGAAGATATGTTGGTGGGAAGTAAGTACATGAAAATATGTCAACATCATTAGTTATGAGGGAAATGCAAGTGAAATGCATTTGAAAAACCATGAGCCGGGTGTGTAGGTCTATTAGAATGACTAAAAACAACAATAAATGCTGGCAAAGATGTTGAGCAACTGTGACTCTCATCCATTCCTGGTGGGAATGCAAAATGGTATAGCCACTTTTGAAAACCATTTGACAGTTTTACAAAGTTCAACAGACACTTACCACACAATGCAGCAATCCTACTCATAAGCGTCAAGAAAGAGAAGGAAACTTTATGTTTATACAGTAACCTGGAATAGGATGTTTATAGTAGCTTTATTCACAATCATCAAAAACTGGAAACAATGTTCTTCAACCAGTGAATGGATAAACAAACTCTAGTTCATCCACACAATACAATACTAATCAGAAACTTTTAAAAAAGTATTGACACACACAACAAAGTAGACGAATCTCGAGTTGAATTATGGTAAGCGAAAGCAGGCAGATCCAAAAGGCTACACAGTGGGTAATATATGGCATTAAGGAAAAGGCAAAACATAACAGAGAAAACTGATCGGGAGTTGACAAGGACTGAGAATTGAATAAGGGCTTACCACAAAGAGACACAAAGGTATTTTCGGGGGTGATAAAAGTATTATGTGTCTCGATTGTTGTAGCAGTTATATAACTGTATGCATTTGTCAAAATCTACAGTACTGTACACTAGAAAGGTAAATTTTACTCCATATAATTATATTCAATAAACCTGACTTTTTAAAATAGTGTTTTTTCTCCTTTGATTGATTAAAAAAATTTGAATACCAATCTTTCTAAAATAAAGTGTTCTGGATCGTTTTTTAAAGTGTTTTTGGTGTTTCTAGGTTCCTAAATTTTGAGAAATTCATTTAGGTGTTATTAAAATCGGAACACCAGAACTGACTGGATGCCCCTCCACACCGCACCTGACCACGTATCCTCAGACCTTGGCAAGAACCTTCATTGCGTTCCACATTTATGATTATTCAAATAGCTGTTAAATAATTAACACCTGGAGCATGTCTATGGTTTGGATAAGGCCAGGTAATATAATCTTTACCAAGAATATACAATTTTAAAAAACGTGTATACTTTGAGTGTACAAGACCCTAAAACAATTTCATGCCAAATATCATACTTGGCTTACAAAGACAAACCCATTAAAGCTACTGCTACTGGTTGTGAACAAAAAGTGTAGCAAAGATAAAGATATCCCATATTTGCCTAGGAAGCTTTTTGAATATAGTATGAATTGATGTCAATATAGGGGTAGGAAAATAAGCAATATTTAAATGTTAATAATGTTTACATGAAAAGAAAATTATATAATGAATTCATTAACACTGCAAGATCACAGGTTTTGGGATTCCCCCACCCCTTTTTTTTTAAGAGTTGGAGTCTTGCTCTATTGCCCAGGCTGGCCTTAAACTCCTGGGCTCAAGTGATCCTCCTACCTTAGCCTCCTGAGTAGCTGAGACTACAGCCACATGCCACCACCATGACGCCTGGCTGTTTTGGTGCCTTGTATTACTCTTAATTTCTAAAAGCATAAATATTCTCATATATTTTCAAAAATAATATACCCTGGTCATAAAAAAAATTTGAAAATACTGAAAAGTTCATGTAAACATACACAAATAAATATATCTTTATTTGCTGCATGAGTCCCACTCTTTTTTTAAATGAATGTATATCCATATTTTTCACATTCTTTTACAAACCTGGACTCATCCTACTTCATAACAAGCTGTTTCCATTTAATGATATTTCATTATCCCAGATTCCTCTCAGTCTGCACCCCCTGAAATGAACCCAGCTGTGAGAGACTAATGTTTACTGCTGCAGCCTGATTTGATAAGTAGCCTGCAAGTTAAGCAGACTGTCTTTTTCCAGTGAAAGTTTTCTAGGCTAATGCAGGAAAAATGTGTAATTGAGATAAATGCCCCTGGTGTTTTCCCAGAGTGCCATCCAAGTCCCCAGAGGCTTGTTTATAGGCATGCGGTCGTGGGGGTGGGGGGTGGTCTTTCCTCTCTGCAGCCTCTGCCTTACCTCTGCTGTTGCTGTTTTGCTTCTGTGGAAACCGAGGTGCTGAAAGGGTTCAAGGCATTTGGGAACCACCTGGGGAAGCTCACTGTCATTACTTGCTCAGAAGGCTGTTCTCACCTAGACCCATAACTCACTTCTGGGGCCTTGAGATAATCTGCTTGGCTCAGTTGACTGCAGGCCAAAAGGAGCAATTCATAAAGCTGCCACCTGGGAAAGATAACCCAGGCTACAGATTCCCTGAGTCCTAAGAGCCAGCTCGCTCTGTCCCGGCTACAACTCAGTGACCATGGAAACCAGCCGGCACTCACACACCTGCTCCTGCTCTTTGCAATTCCTGACCTCTCCCACCTGAGAAGTGTGCCTAGACTTGTGACCCTTGAGAGTGACTGCTTGGGAAGGGGCTGTCTTGAGCATTTCCATAGTCTGAGCTATGTTTTAACCTGGCAGCTGTGTGCAGGACATCTTGGAGCCAAGAGGGCTTTGAGGGAGGAGACCCTTTGGCAGGCACCAGAACAGTCTGGTTCTAGAATGACCACAGTGGTGGCCTGGGGAGGAAAAGAGAGCACTACTGAGAGAGATGTCTTTTCCAGTGGAAGAAAAGAACAAAAGCAAAAATGGAAGAAAAAAATCAGCCATAACTCTACTGCTCAGACTTAACATTGTTAATAGGTATGGAATCTTCTGGTCTTCTTCCTATGTATATGGAAAATGGATGATACTGTACACACCATGCTATAACCCACTGTTATTTGCCTAATTATAGAGAGAACATCTTTCTCTGTCATTAAATGGACAAAATGAATGAATGTTGCCTTCAGCTCTTCCTCTCTTCTCTGTCTGTCAGGGTCCTCCTCCCCAGGACTCCAGGCTCAGACAGCTGCCAACTCATCTCTGATAAAGTGCTACCCTTTCCAAGGCTGTTTGCCTTTTGCAAGAAACTCTTAAAAGCAGATCATCTTCATACTCCCCAAATTAGTCATTGGTGACTAATGGCAGAATATGAGAGTGGAGAGACGTTTCTACTCTGTCAACTCTCTGGTGAAGTAGGAATCTGAAGAAAACGGGAACACCCTGGGCCTTTGGTGTGTGATGCAGAGATGTCTGAATGTTCCCTAGAGCCTGACAGGATGGTATAAGTGAATCCACAAATGCATGAAAGATTTGTTGATTATGGGGGGAAGCATTGAGGAAGGACTCACCCACAGCCTGGAGTAACAGTAACAACATGGGATTCGGAGTCACACAGCCGTGGGTTAAAATTCTGGCTCTGTCAATTTCTAGCTGTGTGACCCAGGGCAAGTTGCTTAGCAGCTTCATGCCCTAGTTTCCTCACCTGTAAATGGAGATAGTAACACCTCCCTCACAGGGTTGTCATAAGAACTAAAACAAGATTCTATAGGTAAAGCATCTAGTCAGTGCTGAGCACTCAATAAGTGGTAGATATTAAGTCTAAAACAATAAAAATAACAACACATACCTTTTGAAATTCATATTTGGCCAGCAGTGAAATACGTAGGTACAAACCACATCAAGAAAATTTGATATACGAATATCTGAATTTGCATAACAAAGTAAGGTCTGATTGGTCATGCCATCTAGAATAATTTGCTTTACAAAGATGCAGTCAGTCAGTAAACAAATATACACGAGTTTCTACTATGTGCCAGGCACAGTAGAAGATCTTGGGTACTTAGAGGTGTGTAAAGCAGTCTCTGCTCTCAAGCACCTCATTTTTTAGTGGGGAAGACAGATAATTAACTCATACTTTCATATTTGCAGTTACACGTATTGAGACATGAAGACACAGGCATAGTTGCAGACATAGACATGGACATTTTTTTCCTTGGCGATAGGCACTGTGAAGAAGATGAAGCAGGATACTCTGATAGAGAATAACTGGCGTGGGATGTTTTAGCCAGAACAGTAATTGTGGGGGTAACGTCTGAGCTCAGACCTAAGTGGTGAGAAAGCAGCTGTGTGGAGATCCGTGGGGAGGACAAAGCGAGCAAGAACTCCAAGTGCAAAGATGCGCCAGCTAGAACAAGCTTAGCATAGGTGAGGAGGAGAAAGCAGTGGTGTGTCATGAAATACTATGCAGCCATAAAAAGGATGAGTTCTTGTCCTTTGTAGGGACATGGATGAAGCTGGAAACCATCATTCTCAGCAAACTATCGCAAGGACAAAAAAAACAAACACCGCATGTTCTCACTCATAGGTGGGAACTGAACAAGGAGAACACTTGGACACAGGAAGGGGAACATCACACACCAGGGCCTGTTGTGGAGTGGGGGGAGGGGGGAGGGATAGTATTAGGTGATAGACCTAATGTAAATGACGAGTTAATGGGTGCAGTGCACCAACATGGCACATGTATACATATGTAACAAACCTGCACGTTGTGCACATGTACCCTAGAACTTAAAGTATAATAAATATATATATATATGAAAGAAAGCAGTGATGTGATTAGAACCTTATGAGCCAGGATGGGAATAAAGACAGCCATGACTGAAGAGGCAGGAGCCAGACTATGTAGGACAGAGGATGGCAAACACTCTCTGTAAAGGGCCAGATAGCTCGTATTTTAGGCTTTGTCACACCGACTCTGTCACAGCTACTCAACTCTGCCCTTGTGGTACCAAAGCAGCCATAGATAATTCATCTTTAGATGCAGCCATAGATAAGTCATCTATAGATGGGGGTGATGGGGGTGTGCATGCTCCAATAAAACTTTATTTACAAAAAGTGGTGGGAGAGAGAAACAAAGGGCCATAATTTGTTAACCCTTGATTTAGACTGGTGAAGGCCTCGATGAGGAAGCTGGATGTTATTATCAGTGTGGGTTTTAAGCAGAGGAGTGATAGAGTCTGATTTATATTTTTAAAAGGATTGCTCTGTTCTATGGAGGATGGACTGGAAGGCAAGGGAGGAAGCAGGGACCTGGGAAAGAGGCTGGTGAAATAGTCCAGGGAGGGATGGCAGAACAGCAGAGGTGCTGAGAAGTGACCAGATCCTGATTATACACTGCATTAGAACCAGCAGGATTACAAATGAATTGAGTGTAGGGGATGAACGAAAGAGAGGAATCAAGAATGATTGCTGGTTTTTTGGCTCTAGCAGCTGGGTTGATGATGCCACATATACTGAAATGGGGAACACTAGGGGAGAGGTATATTTTAAGGGATAAAAAGCAATCTATCAATTTTGTCCTTGCTAAGTTCGAGCTGCCTAACGGACAGGCAGGTGATGATGGCCAGCAGGCAGTGGTGTTTGCACATCTAGAACTCAGCGAGAGATCCAGCTAGAGATAGAAATTTGGCAGTCGACCAGGTGCGGTGGCTCAAGCCTCTAATCCCAGCACTTTGGGAGGCCGAGGTGGGCAGATCACCTGAGGTCAGAGGTTTAAGACAAGGCTGGCCAACATAGTGAAACCCCATCTCTACTAAAAATACAAAACAATTATCCAGGAGTGGTGGCTGGCGCCTGTAATCCCAGCTACTCAGGAGGCTGAGGCACTAGAATTGCTTGAACCCGGGAGGCAGAGGCTGCAGTGAGTTGAGATCATGACACTGCACTCCAGCCTGAGTGATAGAGCAAGACAAAAAAAAAGGAGAGAGAGAAAGAAAGAAACAAGGGAAGGAAGGAAGGAAGGAAGGAAGGAAGGAAGGAAGGAAGGAAGGAAGAAAGAAAAGAAAAGAAAAGAAAAGAAAAGAAAAGAAAAGAAAAGAAAAGAAAAGAAAAGAAAAGGCAGGCAGAAATTTGAGAGTCATCAGAGTGCCAGGATGGGCATCCTCCAGTTTTCTCTAGGAAGGAGGAAATGAAGCCAGGAGGAACAAAGGTAGAATGCAGGTCCTTCCAGTACACTGAGGTGTGGTAGAGGCAGGGAGGACAGCAGAGGAGCCTGAGAAGGAACAGTCAGCAACCTGGGGACAAGCCAAGTGAGTGTGAGGGTCAAGGAATCACACCCGTTTCAAGAAGGAAGCCATGGGTGATTGCATCGAATGCTGCTGAGTGACTCAAGTAAGAGGAGGTTTCTGCATAGGACTCGCCAGAGGAGTCCCACAACTGTTGAACTGTCCAGGACATTTACAATATGATTCCGTTTCCAAAAATTCAAAACTGCAATTTACCCACAACTTCTTAGTAACACAAATCAGCTCAACATCTATTGAGTTGCTACTATGACTCACCTTTTTTGCTTAAAAATCCTTGGAACAAAGACAAGTTTGCAAAATGTCTTAAATCAAGCAGCCTACACTTAGAAGGAGAAAAGCCGGGTAATGATATTTTTAACTTGCAGGGGCTGTAGAGGTGATATGAAAAAAGAGCCGTTTTTTAATTTATATATAGCCAATCAGAATCAGACACGGTAGGGATCATAGAATTAATAACTCACAAAATCCACAGGTGATCTCTTTTAAGGCAATGATTTTCACCTCTTTCACCATTTAGATCCATCTTTAAATGTGAACTTCTCCTTCCTTTTCCCTGACAGCTTTAAGGAGGGGTTGATAATAGGAATTGAACTGGCCACAGGGCACCAGGCAAGGAATAAAGATCAGTGCACTTCTAGATGGTCATCGGTCTGGTTCTCTAGAGCGGCAGGAGGTACAGTCACAGTTCCCTGGTCAGGCTGGGCCGGCACCCACTAGGCATGCACCTGGCCCTGCTGAGGCAGCGATTCACATTTCCTGACTTGCATTCAAAAGGTTGTTCTTTCTGACCCAATTTGGTCATTGGCACAAGGGCGTCACCGCCTCTTGCCTCGTTCCCTTTCTCATTTCAGTCTCCTCCCTCCCCTGACACTGCTCCTTCTTCCTGCCCCAAGAAAAGCGGTTAGGTCTCCAGAGGCTGGATGGTGCGTAGTGAACAGAGTACCTGTTCTATGAAAAGAATTCTAAAGCTTTCCCCAGCTTCCACCTCAAACCGTGAGCTCTGCAAGCCCCGTCCCCCGGCCCCCCTCAACACACACACACCGCGCCCAGGGATCGATGAACTAAAAATAGCCGAGGCTTGTAAATGAACTGGAACCTTTTCTGCTGTGTTCTTAGCCCTTCACAGTCGTGGCAGGGACACAGGGAGGAGCACAAGCCAGAGCTGCTTATTTTTCCAGCCATGCCTGTTGGAGGCAAGCGCCCCCACCCCCTGCTGCTTGGTGGATTAATGATGGCATTTCCCCCCTCTAGCTTCCCATCTCCTGTGAAGTACAACTTGTCCTGTTCCGGGACGCCACTTGGCATTCCTCCTGGAGGAAGCGGATTTTGAGTTGCATTTCAAAAGAAATGTACTGTCACACTGGTGTGCTCTAAATTAGCGATCTCCCAGGGCAGTCAGGATAAGTCCCACTCCCTGCAGCTACAGTTCTCCCTGGAAACATTCCCTGCCTGGCATGGTGACCGTCTCCTCCCGTCTATCTTCTGATATTTTTTGAATATAGCCTGTTAGGTGCTATATACCATGTAAAATATTGCCGGGTACTGTGCCAGAGGCTTGGAGTTCACAGATGAATTAATACGGTTTATTTGTAATTCCTCATTTGTCCTGAGAGACATGGAATAGGGGAAGTGTGTTCCCTGGGTCTTTTGGGTACTGCCCAAGAGTAGCCAAGGTCAAGAGCACAGTGAGAAGGAGGCAGCCAAGGACATCTCCAGGGGCTGGGGGGAAGGAAGGCATTTCCCTTGGGGTCTGGGGTCCCCGGGAATGGCCTTGGCTGCTTCTGTCTTATGCTATATTTTGGCACCCAGTAGGCACTCCACACATGGTAATGGAGTACAGTGGTTAAGAGCACGTGGTTTTTGGAATCAGGCAGACCTGGGTTCACAGCCTGCCTTATGCCGCTTGCAGGTGACCCAACTTCTCTAGGAGTACGTTTCTTCATCTTTAAAACAGGGTTAATGATAGAACCTTCCTGATAAGGTGATTGTGAGGATGCAATGAGACTGTGTGTCTAAATCACTTGTTCTCTTGCCTGGCACAGGGTAAACAATAAATGGCATTATTTTAAAATATAGTGTATTGGCTGGGCACGGTGGCTTATGCTTGTAATCCCAGCACTTTGGGAGGCCAAGGCGGGGGGATCACCAGAGGTCAGGAGTTCGAGACCAGCCCGGCCAGTGTGGTGAAACCCTGCCTCTACTAAAAATACAAAAAATTAGCCAGGTGTGGTGGTGCTTGTCTGTAATCCCAGCTGTTTGGGAGGCTGAAGCAGGAGAATCACTGGAACCCAGGAGGCGGAGGTTGCAGTGAACCGAGATTGCTCCACTGCACTCCAGCCTGGGCGACAAAGAAAGATTGCGTCTCAAAAATATAATATATATATATATAGTATTAATAGAACACTTGAGGTACAGTAAGGCAAACAGACCAGTTGACAATTGCCATTAAGAGATAGTTTATTACAGTTCCCAAAAGGAGGGTGTATGCCATGCCATGGGGGGAGAGGGCCACAGGGAAACATCAGGAGGCGGAAGGAGGGGTAAACTGTGGGCAAGAGCTCTTATTGTGGTTTCATGGGAAGGAACAGGTCAGGCAGGGTAAGGGGGCTTCAGATTGACTGGTTTAAATAATTCCAGTGGCTCTGGTGCATAGGGGCTGTCTCTGTTGTCTGGTCCTGGCCCTGGGATGATTAGGGCAGGTGAGTAGTGACCCAGAGCCTTATCATGGAGGTGGCTGGAGCTTGGGCTCTGGATTGATTGGTTTGCATTTCCAAGACATACTCATGGACAAGTTGTTCGCTGTCTCTAGGAATTGACTCATCCAGGGAGGGGCAGTCCCTCCAGAGTCAGCAAGGCCCCAGGTGCCAAAGCATCAGAATACAGAAAGTAAAAGCCATGATTAATACAAGTACCTAGTATTTTTCTATACATATGTACACGGTACGAAGCTTAGTCCATAACAATGGGAAAGTAAGGTTACCTTTCTTCTAAATTAAGTTAAATCTTACTTGGAGACTTGATTCTGATGGGTACAGTAATTCACTCTCAGTTTCTTTTGGAGCTTCTCCTCACTGTCCAAACCTCAGCTCCAGGAAAGAGAGCAAAGGCCTCTCTGTCTTCTCCACCAGAGAAAAAGATGCAGGAAGGCGTCCCCAACCCTTCAAGCCACCGTTCGTCTCAGTTCCTGCTGAGATGCTCCCTGTCCAGGCCCTCTTTGTTCCTCAGGCCTGGGAAGCCTGGTGGGGTTGCTGTTTCTCTGCCTTCTGTGCTACATGAGGGTTATTACAGAGGCCAGGAGTCTCCCAGGTGCACCATTCCCCAGATTCCTCCAAGTCTGGGGAAATGTGGTCACGGGTCTGATGGAAGTTCTGCAGAGGGAGGACATAGACATGGTCGTCAGCTCAACCCCAGAGCCCTTCCCCTAGCCCACCCCCATGGTCTGGCCTTTTGGCTTCCTCATCCTCAACATCTCAGAGCCACTCCTCCCCTCCTTGCTATTCTCTTGGCCTAGAACTCACTTTTCCCTCTTCTTTGTCCAACTTGAGTTCACATTTATCTAACATTTATTGAGAACCTACTATGAGCCAGATTATCTACGTAACTCCATTTTACCTCATTACATCTATTAATTCTCACAACAGCCTATAATATCCTATTGATACCCATTTTACAGATGAGAAATCAAGGTTCCAAGAGGTTAAGTAATTTATTCACAGTCACACAGCTAGCAAAACCCAGCTCTATTTAACTGGAGAGCTGCTGTTCTGAACCAGTATGCCAGACTGTCTCATGCCAGGGTCACCTCCTCCAAGAAGCCTCCTCAGATTTCTCCCCCAACTTTGAACTAAGAATCTATGGGAAAACTCCAAGTTGCTCCTAACCAGACTGTTATGACTTTTACTTGTGCATACAGCTAAAGAACATTTCCCAACATCCCTCGCAGTTAGGTGTGATCATATGACTGAGTTCTCGCTAATGGAAAATTAGAATGAGTGAAGTGGTAAGGATCACCCCCAGGCCTGCTCATAAAAACCTCCCGTGTGCACTCTTTCCACATCAGCTTGTCCAAAGCAACCTTGGGGCCACATGTCGAAGACAGCAGAGCCCCTGGCAGCCTGGGTCACAGATGATTGTGTGGAACAGACTCCTCCCACCCCACCCAATATCGAATTGTTATGTGAGAGAGAAGTAAAATTTTATTGTGTTAAGCCTCTGAATTTATCTGTTTGTTTGTTTGTTTTATTTATTTGTTTGTTTGTTTTATTTGTTTATTTTTGATGGAGTCTTGCTCTGTCACCAGGCTGGAGTGCAGTTGTGAGATCTCGGCTCACTGCAACCTTCACCTCCCGGGTTCAAGCAATTCCCCTGCCTCAGCCTCCCAAGTAGCTGGGACCACAGGCACACGCCACCACGCCTGGCTAATTTTTTGTATTTTTGTAGACACAGGATTTCACCATGTTGGCCAGGATCGTCTCGATCTCCTGACCTCGTGATCCGCCCGCCTTGGCCTCCCAAAGTGCTGGGATGACAGGCTTGAGCCACCGCACCCAGCCTATCTGTTTACTTCTTACTGGAGCTGGTGTCACCTTAACTAACCTTTTGTTCAAATGCTGCATAATGGTTGATTTACATATTCATCAATTTTGAAAAACATTCTCTCATCCTCAACATACATAAAAATTACCTGAGGACCCTGTTATACAACAGATTTCCAGGGCTCCCCTTTCCCCATGTTCTAACTGATCAAGTTGTGTGTGAGGTCCAGATACCTATGTTTTAAATAAGCCTTTTCCATGATCTTGAGGAACATGGCTCACACACAGATCAGACACTTGGACAAACTCCTCTCTAATGCCACCTCTGAGCCTAAGTTCTCTGTGTCTTGCCAGCAAGCCTGGGGTGGCAGTCAGAACCCACAGGCAGAGCTCATGGGGCCCTTTAGACAACCATTCGGATTCTCGGCAACGACTTTATGAGTGATATGGTATCCAGTGTATGTACTGGTCTGGAATTTAATTACCACGTGTTCATGTGTTTCTATAGGAAAATGAGCTCCAGTTTAATTACAAGCTCACCTGGAGATTAAAGTCAGTCTTAAGGAGAAATTATCCACACAGGCAGAGAAGGTATATATGTTGGTACCTGGATGCAATGTGAGGTGTGTCTCAAGAACCTGAAATAAGGCAAATAAGAGGGTCCTCTGAGTGGTCACCCTAAAAGCAGCTCATGATAGATGATCTCAGGAGTGGCAGGAAAATCCACCTCAAAGAGGCAGCCCAGGACTTGGGTCTGGCAGACTTGACCAGAACCCAGTTGGGTGTATGAGTTCTCTGCTGCCCAAGCTTCCGTCTTTGTCCCATCTTCTCAAATCTTGAAATATCTGCCTTCCCCCTATACCATTATTGGCTTAACATTTCCCATTAAATGGACACCCCCCTACACACATACTTTTTAATTTTTTTAATATTGAAAAGGAAGCTCTTGTACAAGACGGAAAATATGTGTATGAAAATTAGGAAAGATCCCGGACTCAGAAAGAAAGTGATGCCGCCAAGAGTGAGAGGGCAGGGGTCAAAAAGACCAGAAGTTTGGAGGGCCTGCAGCAGGTGGAGGAGAGAGAACAGGTAAGGGGCAGGGGGGCAGCCTGGAGAGAAAGGAAGAACTCTCACCAGGAGGGAAAGCCAGCTGGGAGGGTGCAGAGGAAGACAAAAAGGGGTCCTAAAGGCCTGTCTGGGGAGAGAGCCCTGGGCGCTGAGAGTGTGGGCTGCAAGTATGGGGAGCCGGGAGAGAGCTGCAGGACAGCCAAGGCCAGAAAAAGCACAGGCTGGGCGCTGAGGAGGGGCCACAGCAGGGCAGTGTGGGCAGGTGAAGAGAGTTGGGGAGCAGATGCAGGATGTGTGCTCCCACAACACTGGGCTGTGGGGCTTGTCTTCCTGGGTCTGGCCCGGAGCGAGGTGGTACTGCCAGCAGCCAGGGAGAGAGAGGATATGTTGGGGGCTGCATTTCATCCTTAGGGACGTATGACATTAGCATATCCCAAGAAACATCTGTATCATCAGAAGGAGGGCTGCTGAGTGTAGACAAAAGAGAGTACAAGGAGCAGGGAAGCAAATGTCAGCCCTGCCCACTCCCAGCACCATCGATGGGGGACAGGGAGAAGGACCTAACTTGTTTGGTCCTAGAATGTCCATGAGGACAGGAGCTGTTCTATTTCCCACCATCTCTCCTGTGCCAGCACAGTGCTTAACACACAGCAGGAGCTCAAAAGACACTTGTTGAATGAATGAGTGCCTCAGTGGGTGGGCAAAAGGTGGCCGTTACCCATATGGTGAAGATGGCAGAGTCAGGCTTAGCCCAATGTCATTAACCTTTGGATTCTGACAAGCATCTGGTCAGCTGCCAAGCTCTCAAGACCCTTTCGATCCACCTGTCTAAGGAGAGAAGCCTGCATTGGGCAGAACACAGATTTCACTCTGCAGGGAACATAGCACCTTGGAAAGTGCACATCTCTTTTCCAGCTTGAAATATCAGTCTTGGAGACTAATTCATTCTCAGTACTTTGGCAAAACTAGGCTTCTGAGTCTGCCAAATTGATACTAGGCTCTGTAACATGAACATTATGAAAATAATGCTAATAAAACTGCTAAAATTATTGAGTGTTTATTCTATGCCAGTCATTGTATTACAGACTTCTAACATATACTCTCTGACTTAATCCTGACCATCGTGTGCAGTGACACCATCAGAGGGGTGAAGTTCTTGCCTAAGTTCACGTGCTCTTAAGTGGTAGCATTTGAACACTGGCCGTGGGACACACCTGGACCTTCAAACATCAGTCATGCTTCTCCTCACTGTCTGTAGTGAATTTCACCTGGGGACACCCCCTCTGGAGTATGTGCCTCCCCCACTAAAATCTTTTGCAAGGTAGTGAAGAAGCCCTGGACTGGGAGACAAGCACCTGGATTTGACTTTTCTGTCTAAAATTTGTTGACTGTGTAGCTTTACTAGTTGTACAGCTTTGAGCAACAAGTCAGTCAGCTTTTTGAGCCTCAGTTTATTTAGTTGTAAAATAGAGGTGGCAATATTTGCTCAATGAATGAGTGAATCCTCTACCTCATCCCTTTTGCAGTTGTTAAAGAAATCAGATAGTGTAGATGGCAACACTTTGCATAATACAAAACATTGCTTGTATTTGAGGGATTATAATTATACAGCCTCAAGTTGCTATTGTGATTGCTTTGGTTTTAAGAGAACAGCACTGCCTCTTTTTCCTTCTGCGCTGAGCCCTGACTTGGGATTTTTCTTTCAAAGGAGTCCCTAAGGTAGTGGCTCTGTCTCAACGAGGACTCCAGGAGGAGTCCGAGTCAGGCTACCCCAAGGAGGTGAGGACCGCAGGCCAGAGACAGGGAGGCAAAGAGGAAGGAGGCATTCATTCCACTTCTGAGGCAAGGGTGGAAAAATGGAAAACCCTCCCAGAGAAGGGAATCCCCTAGGTATTTGTAAGTAGTTGACTGCCCCTGGGATGGGGAGCATCTCCCTTACCTGGCCCTATCTCTAGGTAAACCCTACTTCCTCATGTTGGAGCTCTTTCTGCAGGTGATAATGAAACATCTTGCCTCTGACCCGCCCACTGGGGTTCCCGGCTGAGTAAGACGGCCTGGGATGCTGCCTCCCAAACACAAATTATCCTTAGGTTTCCTGAAATGCCAGCCTTGGGGCTGGACCTCAGAGCCTGGCATCCTCCCTCAAGCTGAAGGCCAATTTGCCCTTCAGTGACCTGGATGCCTGTCCAGGCTCTGGTCACCCCCTGTATGTGTCCACTGGGCCACAGGAGCTCATGTCATTCCCTGAAAAGCCTCAGGCCTCGGCCCTTCTCTTCAGGGAGGCGACCTTCACCCGGGACAGGGCCATCACCCCCTTGTCTTTTGGGCGGAAACTTCAGGCTTCTTAGAACCTTAACTTCAGCTCTTGACCTCTCTAGCTGTTTTCTTTTTCCACTTAAAGGGCAAAAAATCTTTTGCCAGGCTATTTTAGGTGAACTCACTGAAAAAATGAAAAGGCGAGGGGGAGAAGAAAATCAACTTTGGGACGTCATAGCTATTTTTAGCTAGATCTCCTCTCCCTCAAGGACTCAGGCTCTATTTGGGAACCTTGTGTCTTGGTGGGCAGCCAACCTTGTGTTTTTTCCAGAGAGTAATCCCCTGGCGTATGGCAAAGGCTCCTGGTCCTCCTCACTGTTTTTTTGGAGAGCAGTTAGTGACAGCCTGCCGTCAGTTCTGGCTTCCTGCTTGCAGGCCTCCGGCAACTCAGTATCTTTCATACTTTGCAAAGCACTTTGCAGTCGGAACGACTGTCCTGCCTCTACAGGCTTCAGACACATCAGAAAGAGCAACTTTTAGTAAATTAATGAGTTTGTACCCAGGTCACATGTTGTTAGAAAGCATCGTTCATTGTTCGCTATCCTAAGAATCCTGGTTAACCTCAGAACTAAAATCATGTGAAATGTCGCCTGATCCGGGATCCTTGGTCCCACATACGAACCCAGAAAGTCATGCACATTTTTTCATTCAACCAGAAGAGGCAACTTTGGCTTTGAGATGTGTCACCATGAAAATTGGGGGGAAAAACAAACGTAAATCAATGGAATTGAAATCCAGGCCAAGAACCGGACTGAGGAGAGCTGAGTTCAGGTCAGGGAGGCCCAGCACTGGCAGGGGTGAGATTTGGTGTTGGGGGGCAGTCAGGAATGACACAGGGTCCTGACAAAATGGACCATGGACAGACCCGATATCTGCTGGTCCCACTTACTCCCAGAAAGAGCCATCAAGAATGATGAAGTGCTGCTTCCCAATATTTAGTTTAGAAGCCAACAGAGTTAGATGAGATTTCTGAGAATCAGATCTTGCTCATCAATTTGAGGGGTAGCAGATAGAGTACTCAGAAATGCTGAATATTTGACTAAAGAGGGCAATATTTCTTGGGATACACGGGCAGTTTTTCTTTTCTAAAATGGAAGTAGGCTGGGCCTGGTGGCTTATGCCTGTAATCCCAGCACTTTGGGAGGCTGAGGCAGGATGATCACTTGAGGCCAGGAGCTCAAGACCAGCCTAGGCAACATAGCAAGACTCACCCCGTATCTAAACAAGACAAAATAAATAAAACAAAAAAGCCAGATATGGTGGCATGCGCCTGTAGTCCCCACTACTCAGGAGGCTGAGGCAGGAGCATTGCTTGAGCCCAGGAGTTTGAGGCTGCAGTGAGCTATAATTACACCACTGCACCAGCCTGGGTGAAAGAGCAAGACCCTGTTTCAAAAACTAAATAAATAAAATGGAAATGGCTTTTTGCTCTGAGTATAAAAATAATTTACGCGCATTGTGAAGAGAGTGTAAGTCATCCCAAACCTCACCACCCAAAAATAATCACAGTTACTGTTGTGGGGAGGAACATCGAGACATGCGCTTAGATACACACGTCTACAACTGTCCCTAAACAGGTTCACAGAATTCTTCGGGGATGGCTGTGCTTTTATTGTGGGAAAACTACTATCTGCTTCAACTAAATAAGATAGATAGAGAGGCCTAGATTGCCAGCAAGGGGCAGGGGGACAAATTTGTTTTCCTTAACACCGTCTATCACGGTGCAATCATGGGGAAAGTGGCCTGTTTATCTAGAGGGAGCTGCTTTCTTTTGGAAACACACTGATCCCGATTCAGGCCTCCCTTAGTTCTGCATCAGATGAGACCCTGCTCTTGAACTGGGTGGCAGGGGGTACTTGTATTTAACCTTTTCCAGTGGTGGCTAGGACCCTCTCCCTTACTCAGATGCTGCAAGATGGATGCCACTCCGGAACTGGCCGGGAGGGGACCAGCGGCTTCAAAGCTAATGCACCCGGGGACCGCAGTGGCCATGATTTAAAGACCCTGCTTTACCACTTACTCTAGTGCCCCTAGCAATGGAGTGGGAAAGGACTGCAGGCAGAACTGTGCTCTCTCAAGGGCCTGGTGTTTATTTCTCTGAGCCATCCTCTGACCTTGGGTTATCCAATAATGATAATAGTTAACATTTGTTAACTACTTACTTTACTTTTACAGTATCTCATTTAGTGCTCATAACAATCCTATGAGGTTGTATTATCCTCATTTTACAGCTAAGAAACTAAGGCCCAGAAAGGTTAAATGCCTTACCCAAAGTCACACAGCTGGGGGAGAAGTAACCCCAAGTCCACATCCACACGACTCCAGAGCCCAAGCCCCTAATCACTGTGTTATTCTAGCTGCCTCAGCAGTGACAAACAGTATGGTTTGTGACGGTTAATTTTCTGTGTCAATTTAAGGAGGGAATGGGATGCCCAGATTAAACATTGTGTCTGGTGTGTCTGTGAGGGTGTTTCTGGATGAGATTATCAATTGGATCAGAAGTCCAAGACGAAGACACCAGCAGATTTGGTGTCTGGTAAGGGCCACTTCTTGGTTCAAAGATGGAGCCTTCTCCCTATGTCCTCACATGGTGAAAGGGCAAGGGATGTTTCTGGGGTCCCCTTCATACGGGCACGAACCCATTCAACCCTAAGGACTTCATCACTTCCCAAAGGCCCCACCACCTAATACCATCACATGGGTGACTAAGTTCAAATATATGCAATGTGGAGGGACGCAAGCATTCAGACTGTAAAAAATTCTTAACAAATCGTTACATAAAACGAGGAAATAAAAACATGCTCAAATTTACTCAAGCTAAGTGAAATGCAAACGAAAACTACCGTGAGATACCATTTTTCACATAATCTGTTTGGTACTACTGTAGCTAAGGCTGCAGAGAAAGAGTAACTCTCACGCATTGATGATAGAAACGGAAGTTGGTAGGACCACTATGAAGGGCAATTTGGCACTATCTATCAAGATACAATGTTGAACCCAGCAATTCCACATCTAGGAATATACCTTATGGACACATTTACACAAATGTAAAAGAACACATTTGCACAAATGTAAAATAACACATGCACAAGGTTCATGGCACTGGTGTTTGTAATTGTTAAGTATACGGAAATAACCCAAATGTCCATTAATAGAGGGCTAGCTAAATAATTTGTGATTTACAGAGAATGGTGAGTCTCTATGTTTTAACCTGGAAAAGTACTCAAGATATGTTAGGTGAAAACAATAAGGTCAGAACTGTAAGTATACTCTAAAACCTTTTGCGTAAAAATGGGACAGGAGAAATAGAATATATGTTTATATGTTCTCATATATGTTAAGGAAATTCTGGAAGACTATACAAGAAATTGATAACAATGGTTACCTGAGGCAGGGATGAGATTGTGTGAATGAGGACTAGGGGTGGGAGGGAGACTTTTTGCTACATATATGTAAATACATTAAATTTATAAACCATGTGCCTACATTACATACTCATAAATAAAAGGAAAAAAAGAAGTAAATGAAGTCGGGTCAGGCGCGGTGGCCCATGCCTGTAATCCCAGCATTTTGGGAGGCCAAGGCATGTGGTTCACCTAAGGTCAGAAGTTGGAGACCAGCCTGGCCAACATGGCAAATCTCTCTCTCTACTAAAAATACAAAAATTAGCTGGGTGTGGTGGCGCATGCCTGTAATCCCAGCTACTTGGGAGGCTGAGGCAGGAGACAGGAGAACCACTTGAATCAAGGAGCAGAGATTGCAGTGAGCCGAGATCGCACCATTGCACTCCAGCCTTGGAGACAAGAGTGAAACTCCATTTCAAAAAAAAAAAAAGTCAAAAAGAACAGAAGGCCCAGCCCAGCTTTATTCTCGCAACCTGGTCATCACTGCCAGGCTCCAGTGGCAACCTAGTGAACACAATGCTGACCTTTACCAACAATGGATGCTGAACCATGCCATACGTAACTAACAGAGATAAGTTAAGTTTGCAGAAAATAATAACATAATTAAAAATTTGGAGAACCTGAGGCAAGTTTTTGCAAGAGAAAATCATAAGCTCATTAATTTTCACAAGTGATTAGAGTGTTAATTAAATATCCTGTTAATGAAATAAATTTTATTTTTTGAAAGAAAATTGCCAAGAGAGAATAAGAAATAGTGTTAGCCCACCATTCTTCTCAGTGAACATATTCTCTATGAGAATTTTTTTTTTAACCTTCTTGGAATTCTTCTACATTCTGATGAGTTCCAGGTAAGTCTCCAGCCCTTTCTCCATATTTCAGACTCATAACAGTCTACTGGACATCTCTCCCCAGATATCTCTCAGGCCCCTCAAACTCAACCTGTCTAAAGCTAAACTCAGCACACTTCTCCAAAGCCTGCTCTCCATTACTTTAGGTGGCACTGCCATCTACCCAGTTCCCTACTTAGGAAGCTGGAGGGCATGCCAATTATTCTTCTTTCTTCCCTCTCCCCATCAATCACAATATCCCCAAAATCTTACCTCCTTAGTATTCCTTTACATATTGATAAATTCCCTTCTTCTTCTTTTTTATCCTATTATAACCACCATCACCTCCATCCCTTTCCACCTCTCTCGTGCTATTATAAGGGCTTCCTAAGTGGTCTTCCTGTCCCCAGCCTGTCAAGCCCATCCCTCTAGTTCATCCCAAATGACCCTTAAAAAATAAGTCTAATTTTGCCACCTCTCAATTGCAACCTTATAATGTCTCCTCATTGTGCATAGGCGAGGTCCAAGTTCCTTAGTGTGGACTCTAGGTGAGAGCGACTGTGCATCCCAGTGACCCCAGGACAGTTCCAGTTTATCCCTGTTGTCTTGAGGTCCCACTAACTAGCATCCTCTCTCACATCAAAGTATCCTGATTTGGACAGCAAATTATTTGGTCTCCCTAGCCCTAGGGTCTTCCACAATTTGACCGTTGCCTGCTTCTACAGCTTTATCTCCTAACACTTGGTGTTCCAGAATGCCAGATTGCGGATATGCCACTTCCATATATGCCATGGTTTCTAATCATTGCACTTTTCCTCTGATTGTCTCCTCTGCCTGGATGTGAGAGGACCTTCCCCCTCCCTCACACTGTGCCTTGTTCACTTACACTCCATCTTGCCCTTTAAGATTCAGCTCAGCTTCACTCTTCCAGAGAGTCTTCCAGACTGTTCTTTAGGTAGTTTCCCATCTCTACATTTCTGTTATGTATTTAGCAAACTCGATATGTTTGGCTGTGTCAGCACCCAAATCTCATCTTGAATCTATAGCTCCTGTAATTCCCACGTGTCATGGGAGAGACTGGGTGGGAGATAATTGAATCATGGGGGCGGGCCTTTCCTGTGCTGTTCTCATGATAGTGAATAAGTCCCATGAGGTCTGACGGTTTTATAAATGGGAGTTCCCCTGCACACGCACTCTTGCCTGCTGCCATGTGAGACGTGCCTTTGCTTTCCACCATGATTATGAGGTCTCCTGAGCCATGTGGAACTGTGAGTCCATTAAAACTCTTTCCTTTATAAATTATCTAGTCTCAGGTGTGTCTTTATTAGCAGTGTGAGAACAGACTAATACAAAACTCTACTCTCAAATTTAGTAAATTGCATTGTAATTATTGATCTGTGGATCTGCCTCCCCTCACTAGATTATACATTTCTTGAAGGCAAGAACTTTGTCTCATATGTCTTTACACCCTCAGAACTTGAAAAGTTTCTAGATTCCTGGCATTGCAGGTCACAAGAGTGAAAGCACAGTGACAGAAACAAACTGAGTGCATTTGAGAAGCAGAAAGAAGGTCTGTGTGGCTGGAGCATAGTGAAGGGGAGAGTAGAGTCCAGGACGAGGTCACAGTGGGAGGCAGCAGCCCGACCATGTCAGGGCCTTAGAGCTCGGCGAGGTGCCCTGACTACCCAGACCACCAAGTGGTGTACTAGAGAGGGGGGAACGTGGGATTTGAAGTCTGCTGTACTTGAGTTAGACAATTTGCTTTTTTACCAGCTGAGTTACCATAGCTAACTTTTAAAAATGTCTCCCTCAGTTTCCTTGTCTATAAAGTGAACAAATAAAATTATAAATTTTATATAATATAATAAAATTTATATGACTAAATTGCAATAAGTAGTAAATGAGATAAAATATGTTAACCATCTAGCATAGTGCCTGGCAGATCTGAGCTGTTCATTAAATAAGAGTTATTATGACCATTTCTCAGGAGAAATGGACAGAAGGGAGCCCAGTTCCAGAAGCTCTGAGTCATACTCTCAGAAATTAGTGAGCTTCCTATGTCCTGAAAAGGGCTGAGAGGTTGCAGCAGTCAGGAGACTCTAAGGTTAATAAAGTGTTTCAAGTCTGCAAAGTTCTGCAAAAGCAATTCTATATTGCAAAAGCCAGCATGCTTCAGGCACATGCCACCTCATTCCCTGCCTGATCAGAAATGTGTCCCCCTATTCTTCAATAATAAACTGACCATTCCAGTGTAATTCTGATTTTTATCATAAGAATCAATAAGACAACAGGGTTTATTTGAAGAATTTCACCCTATGGCCACTTTTGCAGGCACACATCCTTTCTCTCCCATGAGATCCTCTTGAGCAAACCTTCACTGGTGCTCACTCTCCCTCCTTCTGGGGACGCACCTCGTCACCCACAAGTTACCTCTGAAAGCAGGATTTTTTTATGCCAGATATTACTTAACTTCCAACAGTCCCCATTACACAGCTTTCATTCAGTCAGGTAGGAATGATGCCAACACATATAATACTGGTACAGCAAGGAACCAGTCAGAGGAAACAATGACCATAGCACTGGGCAGGACCCTGCAACCTCAGTGCCCAAGTGATAGCCCTTTAGTTGCTGGATAGTGAGGAGGTCCTGGGGTACTGGCCAGGAAGAATGGGGTGCTGAGGAAGCACTTGGGTGGCAATTTACCAATCAGACAACATTTTAGCAGTCAGTTCAGCCTCAGTGTGTATCTGCTGCACACCAGGTGGGAACAGGTGAGTTTGTTCATCTGCAGGAATTCTATTGAGCAGTTATCATTGCTTCATTTCCCACACGCCCATGCCCTTTTCATCCAGAGTAAGCAAAATGAGCCTCTAAAGCAATATGGTGTGGTTGAAAGGTGCCCAGATGGAGAGACAAGACCTCTGGCCCTGGTTTGGGCTTTGCTTCTTACAATCTGTGCAACAGTGGGCAAGTTAACTTCCTCATCTGTAAAATAAGATAGTCATGCTCACTTAGTAGAAATGGCATGAAAATGCATCAAATATGAGAATGCATATAAAGTGCCAACACGATGCCTAGCACCTAAGTGGTGAAGACATTGCAGTTTTTATCCCTATTCTCTCTAGCAGCCTGAGAGCAGTTTTTCTTGGGTGCCATCAGCCTTTCAAAGGGAAGTGGAGTCATGGAAGCTGCCCTCTGAGTTGTGTTTTGGAGGATCTAGTGCCTAAAGTCAACTGCTGGGTGGATGATCTCAGGAAGGGGCGATGAGGGAGGACAGCTACCAGCAACCTTCTTCATCCCACCCTCCCAGCCCCCAGGGGAGGCACCCACAAATTCCAGCTTCTGCAATCCGTTTTGAAGAGGGATTGTAGGGCACCAAGCAGGGGTTTAAGAAGTGGGAGAGCAATGCTTGATGACTCACTGCCCAAAGACCATGAGGCTTCTGGGGGACAGCAGAGGGTTGGAGGGATTGATGCTCACCTTGCTCCATCTTGGTTTTACTTGCCTCCTGCTCACCACTGCGTTTGGGCAATTTAATGGGGTTGCCATGGGAACCTGCATGGTAGAAAGAACAGAATAAAGCAGTCTGAAGACTTGGGCTTGCGAATAGCCAAGACAATCTTAAGCAAAAAGAACAAAACTGAAGGCATCATGCTACCTGACTTCAAGCTATACTACAGGGCTACGGTAAGCAAAACAGCATGGTACTGGTATAAAAACAGACACATAGACCAATGGAACAGAATAGAGAACACAGAAATAAGGTCACACACCTACAACTATCTGATCTTCAACACAACTAACAAAAACAAGCAACGAGGAAAGGACTTTCTATTCAAGAAATGAGGCTGGGATAACTGGCTAGCCATATGCAGAAGATTGAAACTGGACCCTTTCCTTACACCATACAAAAAATTAACTCAGGATAGATTAAAGACTTAAATGTAAAAACAAAAACTATAAAAACTCTGGGAGACAACCTAGGCAACACCATTCTGGACATGGGAACTGGCAAAGATTTCATGACGAAGACACCAAAAGCAATCGCAATGAAAGCAAACATTGACAAATGGGATCTAATTAAACTGAAGAGCTTTTGCACAGCAAAGGAAATTATCAATAGAGTGAATAGAATGGAAGAAAACTTTTGCAAACTATGCATCTGACAAAGGTCTAATATCCAGCATCTATAAGGAACTTAAACAAATTTACAAGAGAAAAACCAAACAACCCCATTAAAAAGTGGGCAAAGAACATAAACAGACACTTCGTAAAAGAAGACATACATGTGGCCAACAATCACATGAAAAAAGTTCAACATCACTGATCATTAGAGAAATGCAAATCAAAACCATAATAAGATACCAACTCACAACAGTCATTATGGCTGTGATTAAAAAGTCAAATAATAACAGACGCTGGCCAGGTTGCAAAGAAAAAAGAATGCTTATACACTATTGGTGGGGATGTAAATTATTTCAACCATTGAGGAAGACAATATGGTGACTCCTCAAAGACCTAAAAACAGAAACACCATTCAACACAGCAATCCCATTACTGGGTATATAACCAAAGGAATAGAAATCATTCTATTATAAAGGCACATGCATTTATTGCAGCACTATTGACAATAGCAAAGACATGGAATCAACCTAAATGCCCATTAATGGTAGACCGGATAAAGAAAATGTGATACATATACACCATGGAATACTATGGAGCCATAAAAAAGAACAAGATCATGTCATTTGCAAGAACATGGATGGAGCTGGAGGCCATTATCCTTCGCAAACAAACTCAGGAACAGAAAAACAAATATTGTATGTTCTCACTTATAAGTGGGAGATAAATGATGAGAACACATGGGGAATGACATATACTTGGGCCTATTGGAGGGTGAAGGGTAGGAGGAGGGAAAGGATCAGAAAAAATAACTAGACTAGTGGGTACTAGGCTTAATGCCTGGGTGATAAAATAATCTGTACCACAAACCGCCAAGACATGAGTTTACCTATATAACAAACCTGCACATGTACCACTAAACTTAAAAAGTTAAATTTTTTTTTTTAAAGACTTGGGTTTGAATACTGGCTCTGCTGTTTTCTGGTCATATGGCCTTGGCCATGCCATTTGATGCCTATTTTCTTCCCTTCACAACCTTCACTTCCTGAAACATAGAGATCCTGCCTACCTTGTAGAGTTGTGAGGTTTGCAAAATATGTACATGAAAGCAATTTGTATAATGCACTCTCAAAATATCACGTTAGGATATTTTGAAATGTGATTGTATTTGCTTAATGTAACCTGAATTTCTCTAGACTACCAGCCAGTGAGGTACAACTCCTTCTTTCACCAAGTGTCTATGGACTGGAGTTGTTTTATGTAAGTAATCTCTGTTCCCCCACTTCCAATCAAATTCCTTGGGTTAGAGTCGATGCATACAACTGTCGTTGGGGTATCCATGGAATTCATATACACAGGTTCCAAATTTCACGAACAGTTTTCTGTTTCCTTCTTAAAACAAAAATTTTCTATTCAGACCTAAATTAAAAAGAATTGATTCCATGAAAAACAAATCAAGGAGATTTTATTACACACCAATTTAATAAAATTGAGAAAGCCATTTACTCTTAGGAAAGCATTTTATGTGTCTGGAAGAAATATTTTGATGATGATAAGTGAGGTCAGTTGGAACGGGGGCGGGGGGTTGGAAGGCCTATTCAAATATCAGATGACTGTCACTCTAGTGCCTTTTTTTTTTTTTTTTTTTTTGAGACAGAGTCTCATGCTGTTGCCCAGGGTGGAGTGCAGTGGTGCGATCTCGGCTCACTGCAAGCTCCGCTCCCAGGTTCACACCATTCTCCTGCCTCAGCCTCCCAAGTAGCTGGGATTACAGGCGCCCACCACCACGCCTGGATAATTTTTTTGTATTTTTAGTAGAGATGGGGTTTCACCGTGTTAGCCAGAATGGTCTCGATGTCCTGACCTCGTGATCCGCCCGCCTCGGCCTCCCAAAGTGCTGGGATTACAGGCGTGAGCCACTGCACCCGGCCTCTATTTCCTTTTTAGAAAGGTGGGTGGGTCTAGGTGGTCAGATTTTATCTGTTTTCCTTAGTCTCAAGATGAAGGTAAGTGTGTGAAACTAGGAGCTCTTCCTTATAAGAGTACGTAAAAAATATGATGGGGTGAAGGTGGTATCTAGGAAGAAGGAAAGAAGAACCCGGAGGAAAAACTCCTCCAGCCACATAGAGGCTTCTGATTTAATACAAATCAGAAGTGGTTAAGAGATGTATTTACTAAAGTTGTTTGCGTAAGATATACCATGTAAAATCTTTCTTACATCTTCCCTGTGGGATCTTCAGTACAAGTCTGTATTACTCTCAGTACTTTGGAATGAACTATTTCTTCTTACGGGACACCAAGAAATGCTGAATTCTGCAAATGGATTCTACAGGGAACAAAGAAAATAGGACAGAGCCAGAGGAATAAGGGAAAGTCAGCATGTGGATTATACCTATAAATTGCAATCAATATGAGGTTGAGGAATTTTATGCAGCTGTTAAAAATTACATTTTTGGAGAATTTTTAACAACATGAGAAATGATTTGTACGAAATAAATTTAAAGAACAAGGTTTAAATTGTACATATTCTATGATTTTAATTATGTAAAAATTAGAGAAACAACTAGAAAGAAATGTACAAGAATGTTCACAGTGATTGACTCAAGATGGTGGAATTACGATTACCTTTTTCTAATGCTTTATGCTTTTATGTACTTTCCAAGCTCTATACAACGAACATATCTTACTTGAAAATCAGGTTTCTCAAAAATCCCATTTGATCTATAGAAATGTTTGGTCCTATTTTCACTCTCAATCGTGTCTCTAATGAAATCTGAGGGAACCACAGTGGCCCGGGGGGAAAGAAAGGGTGAGACAGAGGTTGAGAAACCCTAATTCTGCTGGAGCTGATGGTTCTAAGGTGCAAATGGACTGTTCATATAAGACAGAGAGGGTACTGCCCTCAGATAACTAGGGCTGGCTGTGCACCTGTGGGACCCAGTACAGTGAGTGGTTGGAAACTCACAAGGATGGTGATTACAGGTAACCAGTAGATGCAGGGTAAGACCATGGACAGTGCTTATAGGTCTTAGCAGTGACGGTTTTCTTCCCCATTTGAAAAAGTAATTTTATTTGGTATAATTTCAACTTTTATTTTAGATTCAGGTGGCACATCTGCAGGCTTGCTACATAGTTATATTGAGTGATGCTCAGGTTTGAGGTATAATTGATTCCAGCTAGTGAGTATAGTACCCAAGAGTTAATTTTTGGGGGTTTTTGTTTTTTGTTTTTTCGGGTTTTTTTGAGACAGAGTCTTGCTCTGTCACCCAGGCCGGAGTGCAGTGGCGCAATCTCAGCTCACTGCAACCTCCGCCTCCTGAGTTCAAGCTGATTTTCCTGCCTCAGCCTCCTGAGTAGCTGGGATTACAGGCAGATGACACCATACCCAGCTGATTTTTGTATTTTTGTTAGAGACGGGGTTTCACCATGTTGGCCAGGCTGGTCTCAAACTCCTGAACTCAAGTGATCTGCCCACCTCAGCCTCCCAAAGTGCTGTGATTACAGACATAAGCCCCCGCATCTTGGCCAAGAGTTAGTTTTTTAGCCCTTATCCCCTCCCTCTCATCCCCTCTAGTAGTCCCTAGAGTCTATTTTTCCCATCTTTATGTCCATATGTACTCAATGTTTAGCTCCCGCTTACAAGTGATAATATGCAGTATTTGGCTTTTTGTTCCTGGGTTAATTTACATCGGATAATGGCGTCCAGCTCATCCATGTTGCTTCAAAGGACATGATTTGGTTCTTTTTCATGGCTGCATAATATTCTGTGGTGTATATGTAGCACATTTTCTTTATTCAGTCCACCATTCATGGACATGTAGGTGGATTCCATATCTTTGCAATTGTGAATAGTACTGTGATGAACATATGAGTGTATGTGTCATTTTGGTAGAATGATTTATGTTCTTCTGGATATACACCCAGTAATGAGATTCCTGTGTTGAATGGTAGTTCTGTTTCAGTTCTTTGAGAAATCTTCAAACTGTTTTCCACAGTGGCTGAACTAATTTATATTTCCATCAATAGTGTATAACCATTCCCTTTTCTCTGAAGCTTTGCCAGCATCTTTTATTTTTTGACTTTTGAATAATAGACATCCTGACTGTTGTGGAATGGTATCTCATTGTGGTTTTGATTTGCATTTCTCCGATGATTAATAATGTGGAACAGTTTTTCATGTTTGTTGGCCACCTATATGTCTTCTTTTGAGAAGTGTCTGTTCATGTCTTTTGCTCACTTTTTAATAGGGTTGTCTTTTGCTTGTTCAATTGTTTAAGTTCCTTACAGATTCTGGATATTAGACCTTTATTGGATGCATGTTTGCAAATATTTTCTCCCATTCTGTAGGTTGTCTGTTAACTCTGTTGAGAGTTTCCTTTGCTGTGCAGGAGCTCTTTAGTTTAACTAGGTCACACTTGTCAATTTTTGTTTTTGTTATAATAGCTCCTGAGAACTTAGTCATAAATTCTTTCCCAAGGCCTATGTCCAAAATGCTATTTCCTAGGTTTTCTTCTAAGATTCTTACAGTTCAAAGTCTTACATTTAAATCTTTAATACATCTTGAGTTAATTTTTGTATAACTTATAAGGAAGGGGTTCAGTGTTAATCTTCTGCATATGCCTAACTAGTTATCCCAGCATTATTTATCGAATAGGGATATCTTTCAGCATTGCTTATTTTTGTTGACTCTGTCAAAGATCAGATGGCTGTAGGTGAGCAGCTTTATTTCTGGGTTCTCTATTCTGTTCCATTGGTCTATGGGTCTGCTTTTGTACCAGTACCATGATATTTTGGTTACTGTGGTCTTATACTGTAGTCTGAAGTTGGGTAATGTGATACTTCCCGCTTTGTTCTTTTTGCTTAGGATTGCTTTGGGTATTCAGGCTCTTCTTTGGTTCCACATGAATTTTAGAATAGTATTTTCTTGTTCTGTAAAAAATGACATTGGTAGTTTGATAGGAATAGTATTGAATCTGTAGATTGCTTTGGGCAGTATGGCCATTTTAACAATATTGATTCTTCCAGCTTATGAGCATGGAATATTTTTCCATTTGTTCGTATTGTGTATGATTTCTTTCAGCTTTGTAGTTCTGCTTGTAGAAATCTTTCACCTCCTTGGTTAGATGTATTCCTAGGTCTTTTTCTCTTTTTATAGTTTTTGAAAATGGAAATGTGTTCTTGATTTGGCTCTCAGCTTGAACATTATTTGTGTATAGAAATGCTACTGATTTGTATTTTTTTAAAATCCCCCAGAGCATTCCTGAAAAAATGCTACTAATTTTCTGTACATTGTTGTTGTATCCTGAAACTTTACTGAAGTCGTTTACTAGTTTTACAAGCCGTTAGATGGAGTCTTTAGGGTTTTCTAGGTATAGAATTATATCATCAGTGAGGAGAGATAATTCAACTTCTTCTTTTCCTATTTGGATGCTTTTATTTCTTTCTCTTGCCTGATTGCTCTGGCTTGGAATTCCAGTACTATGTTGAATAGGAGGGGTGAGAGTGGGCATCCTTGTCTTGTTCCTGTTCTTAAGAGGAATGCTTTCAGCTTTTGCCTGTTCAGTATGGTGTTGGCTGTGGGTTTGTCATAGAGGGCTCTTATTATTTTGAGGTATGTCCCTTCGATGCCTAGTTTGTTGAGGGTTTTTATCATGAAGGAATTTTGGATTTTATACAAAACTTCTTCCACAGCTACTGAGATGATCATATGGTTTTTGTTTTTAATTCTTTTTATGTGGTGAATCACATTTATTGATTTGCTTATGTTGAACCAACCTTGCATCCCATGAATAGAACCTACTTAACCATGGTGAATTAACTTTTTGATGTGTTGCTAGATTTGGTCTGCTAGTATTTTGTTGAGGAGTTTGCATCTATATTCATCAGGACTACTGGCCTGTAGTTTTCTTTTCTCATTGTGTCTTTGATCTGGCAGTGACTCTTGATGGAGACTCGTGAAAGTTTGTCTCAGCCAAGCTCAGAACAGAGATCCAGGGAGACAGTGCAAGACAGGGGAACAGAGGCTAAAACCTCAACATATAGTCAAAAGAAACATCGGAGGATATGAGAAGGTTGTGGTTTGGAGATTATGTGGATATTCGGGACTCATTCCCTTTCTTTAATAATTTATTGATGCATCTACCTATTCCTTCATTCATCCAACAAACATTTATTGGGCCCTCCAACCTAGATACTAGAGATACAAAGCAAATAAGAGATTGTCCACAAGTTATTGGATTTATGCCACATCCTTTCACCTTGGTGGTGCTAAGGTCATGAGTAGAGTACACTGAGGATTTTTATGGTCTGACCAAGTTTGTGGATAAAGCATGTCAGTTACTCCAGTGTAGTGTCAGTTACTTGTCATTTTTGTCAAGTTCAATGCCTCCTGTGTATGGGGCCTGGGAAAGGGTTTACATCCATCAACCCTCCTTTAGATCATTCACACCTTGTCCCACGGCTTCGTGTCACACAGAATTAGAGAAAACAAGCATTGGGAAATGTCAAGCCTAGCAAGGGCCACAAAAGTTTTTCCCAACCTGACCCTGAATTGCATTTCCTCAGGATTGTGTGCTGATATCAGTAGGAATCTGCCCAGGATTATGTCCAGGAAACACAATTTAATGAAATCAGTAAATGATTCCTGGCATGAATATGTCGAGCTTTAAAGGTCACAAACAGTCTTTAAGTCCATTATATCATGTATTCCTAACATGACAACAACAAGCTAGTCAGGGATTGTCATTCCTGTTTTACAGATGAGAAGACAGGCTTGGAGAGGTTAAGTCCTCTGCCCGTCACCAATAAGTGACAAACTGGATTTCCAATTCAGGTCTTCATTCTACCTCCAGGTCTATGGCTTTTTTTTTTTTTTAATTACAGCTCATCCAGAGGGTCAAGATGATACCCCACACCTCCAAGGGAAATGGCAGGCCCATGGCGTGTTCAGAATGCAGGGTATGGATGCAGAAGAACACATAGGTGGTGGGGGTGGGATGAGGCTGAGTGTATTAGTTTCCTATGGCTGCTGTAACAAATTGTAACAAACTTAGTGTCCTAAAAACAAGTTTATTGTCTCATAGTGGTGGAGACCAGAAGTCCAAAATCAGTATTACTGTGTGGAAATCAAAGTATCCACAGGGCCACAATCCCGCTGAAGGCTCTAGGAGAGCATTTATTCCTTGCCCCTTCCAGCTTCTGGTGGCTGCTGGAATTCCTTGGCTTGTGCCTGCATCACTCATTCCAGCCTTCAAGGCCAGCATCCACAAATGGCCTTCTCCTCCGTGTGTGTCAAATCTCCATCTGTCTCCCACTTATAAGGACAGATGTGATTGCATTTAGGGCCCACCTGGACAATCCAGAATAATCTCCTCATCTCAGAATGTTTAACTCCATCACCAGGCACAGTGGTTCATGTCTGTAATCCCAGCACTTTGAGAGGCTGAGGTGGGTGGATCACTTGAAGCCAGAATTTCAAGATCAGCCTGGGCAATAGCGAGACTCCATCTCTACTAAAAAATAAAATAATACAAGAAAATTGAATTTAAAAATTTCACTTAATCACATCTGCAAAAACTCTTTTTCCAAGTAAGGTGGCCTTTATGGGTACCACGATTTGGATCTGATCACTTTGAGGGACACTACTCAGCCTGTACTGCTGGGCTAGGGGCTTGCACACTACAGCAGCTTCTTCTGCCTCTGGATAAATGTTCAGTTAGAGATTACTATATTTGAGGAAAAGGAAATATAGTGACAAAAGAATTTTGGGAAAGCCACGTAAATGAGAGTAAGACTAAGACAGGCTTCCTTAAATAACATGTTTGGTAATTGTAGCCCCAAGCCAATGTATTGATTCTGTCTTAAATCTGATGCTTCTTCCTATGCACCTGCAGAGTTGGCTCAAGTTCCCAGGCTCTTAGTCTCCTTTCTTTCCAACCAAGTCCAGGGAAAATGTGCAGGCTGAACAATCCTGGAAAACCAAAGTTGAAAAGGTCCCTAGAGATCAACTTGGTCTATCCCCTCCTCCACTGATGAAGAGACTGGGGCTTAGTGAAATTAGGTTTACTGAGTCCCCTTCCCCCAGAAACCAGTACTTCCATTACTTGAGTCTGTATTTTTAAAGAACCAGCACAGCATCCCCTAATGAGGCCTTCAGGTCTGGGACACAAAGATCAAGGCAGGAGTAACCAGGATTGACTGAATCTATAGAAATTATCTCAGGAGAGAGAACCCAGCTGTGTGGTCCCTCCTTGCGTATCCTTTTTGAGCCTGGCTATGGCTCTTTCTGCTCATTCTCCCTGATTCTCTGGTCTATCTTCTCTTCACTCTCTCCCTTTGATTGTGCCACTGCCTCCACTCTCACTCTCTCCTTACTTCCCCCAGCCCTCAGTCCTCACAGCCCAAGTAGGACTCTCTCCTCTCCCTACTCTCCCTTCCTCTCCCACTCCCTCCCCAGCATTCTATTCTGACTTCCTTGGCAATAGGCCTTCCTTTGTCAATTTCAAGGCCAATGTAATGGAACAGAGAAGAATAGTGGCTTTGGAGGGCGAAGAGTTTTTGTCTGTTTGTTTGTTTGTTTTGTCAAGTTCAATGCCTTCAAAACTGAGAGAGTATAGGGATATGAGGGAGGGAGGCTTACCTTAGCTACTCTGTCTGTGAGTTTTATTTGCATGTATTTTACTGTCACCAGAATGACGAGTAGACATCTAGGCATCCCCTTATATAACTAAGGCTTGTGTGCATGGGCAAAACAAGGCCCCAAAGTTAGGGCACTTGAGTGGTCAGACTGAGAGTTAAAATCCTGTCAAAGCTCCAACATCGTGATTAGCCATGCAACTTTTGGACTTACCTTTTCACATCTTTGAAAATCAGGAATAATATCTACTTCACATGATTTTTGTGAAGTATAAACGGGATAATGCCTGTGAAATGCCTTAGCACAGAAATTAGTGCTGTTTTGTCAGTTAATAAATATCATGGAACTCATGATACGTGAGTCACTTTTTCTGTGAAGCCATTTCTGACCTCCTACTCCCAGGCGAACTGACCTCTGTTTCCTTAGTGCACCCTTTGCACCTCATTTATGCCCCTGTCTTGGAATCTATAATCATTATTACCCTACTCTACCCCCATCTGCTCACACCCCTGCCTCTCTCTAGAGGCTCTGAGCCTCTCCAGAAGAGAAGTGCCTTTTACTCATCTTTGTAATCACATGGCCAAGTATAGTTAGTGACTGGTTCATGGGAGATGTCCCGCAAATACTGGGTAAATTTATTTGAAATGGTGAGAATTTCTGAACATAAGCCTTTCAGGCCAGGATTGCTTTTTATTTATCAATCCAGTTTCTGCCTCCTTATATTGATTAAGATCAACGGCAAAACCCATTGAAAGGTATCTGGCTGTAGTAGCCCCAGAAGATTCTGTTGGCTCTGGTCCACCCCAGGCAGACAGGCCTTATTGAGAGAGGTCAAACCCTTTAGCAAGCTGGCCATGCCCAGATTGCTTCCTCTCCAAGCTGGCATGGGGGTACGCCATTCGATGCAGTCGTATTGTTGAGATGACAAAAGCTCAAGTGAGATCCATGCGCCTCTCCAACATTTCCACGGGGGCTGCCTTCTGGGCTCTTTTTTCAACCTGGGGACAGTCTTTTCTGGCTGCCACCAGAGTCCTGTCTAGATGTGATGGGTAGAAGTGCACCCGGGATCACATCTAAACAAGAAGAGTTCTAGGGTCTGGAAGTGCCAGTGGTCATTCTCCAAGAATGTCTGTCGGACATTGTCAACACCAATATTGGAACTTGGGAAGGAATAATTTGTATGCCAAATCTGAAGATAACATTGAAGATCAACAGAAGAATGAGCTACAAAGAGATAGCTAGGAGTGTCTGAAATAGGTCAAGGGAAGAAGTGGGAAACTGGCTAAGTGGTTACTAATAACTAAAACTACCACATACTAGGAAACTGCTAGTGCACCAGGCACAGGTATATATTTTATCTTTTTAATCATCATGGCTACATATATAGTAGGCTTGAACAAGAAGAAACTGAGGCCCACAGAACTAAATAACTTGCTTAAGTTCACACAACAAGCAGATGGCAGAAAAGGGATCAAGGCCAGGCAATGGGCCCATATTCCACTCCTACCACACTCCACTGCCAATATGGGTTGGAGGAGATGTGCTGTAATGCCTCTTCATGTTGTGCTCAACAGGGGCTGTACAGGCATGGGCCCAGCTGATCTGGGGATCCACAGTAGGTGGAAAGGTGTGGCTCACTAGATGTCTTATACTAATCCTCTTATCCCCCTTATAGCCTATTTCTGGCTCTTGTATCAGTGCTGGAGTCATGTCTTGAACTGGGATGGAGTTTTCTTCTCATTCATTATTCAATAAATATTCATTGCAGGTAGGCAACTGTTGTGGCCTTAAGTAGGACTTCTTCCTATGACTGGGAAATGTGGACTTTCCTGAGTCAATCATCGTGTAGGAAGAGGCAGGACCTGAGACAGGAAACGGAGAAGTGGGAGAGAGAATTCCCTGTATCTCTCTTTCTCACACACACACTCACAGACTAGATGTCAAAGAGCATAGATCTCTAAGGCATGACTCTATGATGCTAGGTGGAGCCCATCATATAAAGACTGAATGAAAACCAATGCCACAATCTGAAGAAAACCAAATCACATGTTGAAAACCAGATTATCTCATTACAAATTGTTCTCCATGCTTATTTTCCTATTGATATCCCAGAGCACTGGGATAGGGTTGTTTAAATACTCCAGCCTGCCCTCTGCTCTATGGGTGGAGCTTATAAAAGGATTGTGGTTGGGGAATTAAAGAGGAGCAGTGCCCTCTGAGGTCACCATGGGAGATGACCTTCTGGAAAGAAGAGCGGGGCTGTGTTGTTCTCTGCCTCTCTTCACATGGAGACATGGAGAATCTTCCTCTCCAGCTAGTGTTGCAAAGCATCTCACTTAGTATCTTTGTGGCTGTAAGGAACAGAACATATGGAACCGAACTGACGGAAACAATAAGGAAATGTATTATCTGACATAACTGGAGGCCCAGGCATGATGCAATCTGGGTATCAATGAAGGCATCAAATACATATTCCCACATCTGGATCAGAAACAGATGCCAGTGCAATGCCCCAAGTTGGTAATGGATGGATCCTTGAATAAAATGAGGATTCAGTTGGTAAATTCACTTGGCAACCAGCAGAATTTGCTACAGAGAGTCTGGGTATTATTTTTTCAAGTAAATGGCAATTTCCTTAAAACTGGCCTTTTCTTCTTTTGTTCACTGGAATTTGAGGGCCTCTCCTTGTATCTAGGGTGGAATTTAGGCAGGATGGCAAAGACATTCTTGCCAGGTACATACAGTGCCTAAGTCTTGTGCCTGCAGATGACACGGTGTGGTTTCTGGCTAATCTCTGAGTCACTGTCCAGAATTTCAAAAGGCTATAGTTGTCATGGGCCAACTTGTCTTCATGGAGGCAATTATGATATAAAAGAAACCATTAAAATTGGGTCTCTGGAGAACTGCTAGGTACCAACATGTGCCATTGTCTTGTGCAAAGCCATCCAGGCAGGGACTGCCTGGTGGCTGTCTTTACAGCCTGTAGACCTAGGAAACCATATATATGGTGTGGTTGTGTTGAGCTGGGGCCTCTGTTCCTGGAGACCGTCCAAGTTTTGGGTTGACTCTTTCCCTGCACCATGGTTAATGTGGCCTTGAAAACACGCAGAGCTTCTACACCTGTATCCCCCAGCCCCCATGCCTTTCCTGGAACACACATGTTCTAAATGCCGCCTAAGCACCAGGCACCAAAGAAGGAATGACATTCACATGCTCTTCTGCCTTCTTGCTCTAGAGATTATTACTTACTCCATGTAAGGAATTAAGAAATCGTATTAAAGGAAGGCACTTCAGTGAATCTATGATTTGGGTGGTACCACTAGGAGTGCTTGAGGTGGTGGATAGAGGGTTGCATGGAGTATGAACCACACGTGTTTTTGTGGGGAAGGAGTACTGTGGAGCATAATAAACAGCAGGAGTCTTACGGGTCAAGGCTGTACTAAGCCAGCCTTGCAACTAGCCACTTCTGAAGGGAAGCCAATGAGCCATACAAATCAATACAGATAACACAGAATGGAGGATGTTTTCATCAAATATCCCGTATATTACTCCTGACAGATGAGAGGGTCGCTAGAATGAAATAGAAGGCAAACCTGGAGGCAAGCGTGGGGCCATCAATAGCTGCTGTCAAGGCCACCCTTTGTGAGTCTTCATCTGGTGTGCTCTCACTTCAGAGAGGCAAACAACCTCATTTTTCTTCACTGGTGGTGTCTCAGTGGCTGAGTCAGTGGCAAAGCTGCCAGCACTACATAACCACTCCAGATCAGGATGGTGGAGGTGGACATGTTGCATATTGAGCACACACTCCATCCTCTGTCTACTGGCTCTAAAGACAAAGAGCATGAGCTTCTGCAGAAACTCTCTCTGTGTGTGCAGATATGTGTGTGTGGATGTGTCAGAGTGTGTGAGTATATATGTGCCTATCAGAGGAAATGTGTTAGAGTGTGTGGACCTGATTGTTTCCATCATAAGCATTCCCACGCAGCTTAGATAACTCTATCAAGCCTGAGGGCCCTATCCCCTGGCCACATGGGAATGAAGGCCAATGGCTTTGGCATGCAGGATTCCAGCCTAGGCAGACACCAGAACAAAGCAGCACCCTTAGCGATACAGGCCAGGAGACATCCATGGATTTATTCATTCTCCTCACAGGGATGAGTTACCCTGGGGCAATCTGGACAATTGTTTAGTGTCCTGGTGTCTTAGTCCATTTATGTTGCTATTGATATAAAGGAAAACCTGAGGCTGCATAATTTATAAAGAAAAGAGATTTATTTGGCTCATGGTTCTACAGGCCATACAAGGAGCATGGCACCAGCATCTACTTCCGGTGGGGGCCTCAGGCTGCTTTCATTCATGGCACAAGGCAAAGTAGAGCTGGCATATGCAGAGATAGAGTGGTAAGACAGGAAGCAAGAGGGGATGTGGTGCCAGGTTCTTTTTAACAACCAGCTCTCATGGGAGCTAATACAGTGAGAACTCAGCCAACAACCTCCCCACCCTCTGACTCAGGGAGGGCATTAGCTATTCATGAGGGGTCCATCCATGACCCAACCACCTCATGACCCAAATGCCTCCCATGAAGTCCACCTCAGCATTGGGAATCAGATTTCAGCATGAGATTTGCAGGGGACAAACAAACCCAACTGTAGCACCTGGGAAGGAAATCACGCTCTGTCATTACTGGGCCTGGGGCTTTCCGCATGTGCACTGGTGCCTCAGGCTTTGGGGACTCCAACTCGCAAGAAATCTTAGAGAGTGAGACACGCTTTCTTCCCCAAGATCACCCCTACCCCCATTTCCACCTTTATCCTTTCCTCCTCCTCTAGTATTTCCTCCCTCTCCATCTCTAACCACCATTACCACCCTTGCACCTCCTCCTTCATCTCTACCTTCATCTCCAACCACCATTATCACCACTACCTTCATCATTGGCCACCATCACCTCCTCTGCCAACATTGCTTCCACCACTGGCCTTACTACTTACACTGCCACCATCATTGCCACCTCTACCTCCACTACCACCCCCCATTGTCCTCCCTTACCACCATCACTGCCAGTTCTACCACTATAACCACCAACACCATCATGGCCACTCTCCCCTCATTGTTGTAATTATTGTCATTCTCATCTCCATCATCACCTCCACCTCCATCATGACCATCATCACTGCCACCATCACTACTGTTACCAATCCCACACCACCTTCATCATGACCACTGCCACCACATAATTCTGGGTGTTTGATGTGTAAGTCTGTGCTTTGTGGGGGTCAAATCTCGCTTGTTTCTTTCTTTTTTTTTTTTTTTTTTTTTGATTTTTTGAGACAGAGTTTCTCTCTTGTTGCCCAGGCTGGAGTGCAATGGCGCGATCTCAGCTCACTGCAACCTCCGCCTCCTAGTTCAAGCAATTCTCCTGCCTCAGCCTACCCACTAGCTGAGATTACTGGTACCTGCCACCATGCCCAGCTAATTTTTTGTATTTTTGGTAGAGACGGGGTTTCACCATGTTAGCCAGGCTGGTCTCGAACTCTTGACCTCAGGTGATCTGCCCGCCTCGGCCTCCCAAAGTGCTGGGATTACAGGCATGACGCGCCGCGCCCGGCCACTTGTTACTATTTCTTATAAAAATTCCTCCCTTTATAAAAGTCCTTTACAATCTATAAATCTCCAAGCACAAACTAGCAAACTGTTTATTTTAGGTACTGTAACTTTAATTCATGAATTGGGAATTTGAATTAAATGACCCACACATTTTCCTCCTGCTCCAGAATTTTTGGCCTTTCCATGAGAATTTCTGACAGACTTAGATTAAGACTCTGTAGAAGGGGATAAGGCACAATGACCCCCTCTGCACAAGCAAGCACCTCCAACTCACAACATTCAGCATTGACTTATAACCCAGCAATGTGTCCCAGGAATCCTGGCTTGTGGCAAAACTTGGGGGATGCATGACATGCAGGAACAGTCATCATGGAGAATTAGAGAAAACTGGTGTTAAAGCCTTTCAGGCTACTTACTTTGCTGAATTATCTTAGGCAAGCCACTTTTATCCCTCTCAGCCTCAGTTCTCTACCTGTAAATGGGGACAGTTTTGCCCGCTTTCTAGTATTCCTGAGAGGATTAAAAGAAAAGACAATATGTGAAAATACGTGATGCAAGTCTTGGAACACAAGGGGTGTTGGTTCCTTCCCTCTTCTCTCCCACTGCTCTGAGACCCTGCAGCCTTCAGCTGCTGGGGGAACACCATTCTCGATCTAATCCTCTGAGACAGTGGGCTTCCTGTTCTCAGTTCTATCTGAAATGGCTCTAAAGAAAGAACACAGTGATCCTGTAAAATGTCACTGAATCAGAAGCTCTGCAGCTTTGCCAACAATCTGGGGGAGAGGACTCCAGAGCGGCTTCAGGGAGAGTGAGAGGACACAGTCCTGGGACTGGATTCTGGGATGGGGATGGATCCCAGGACTTTCGTTTTTTTCTGCTTCTCTGGTATGGGAATGTACATACCACACCCACAGGCCGATCTCATTGTTGGACAGAGGACAGGGGCAAGCAGGGAATGGGATCAGAACCCCCAGAAGCTCAGAACGGTGCCTCTGAGCCTCGATTGGTTCATGACCCACATTCGAATGACGCTGCCCGGGCAGTGGCTTCCGCACAGCTCTCAGCCTCAGAGCATACAGATGAGCGGACTGGCAGACTCCCTGCTGCCCATCCACTCAGTTCACTCAGCAGGTTTTCTCACTCTGCTTCTCTCCCAGTCTCTATGTGAGGGTCTCTCCAGCCTTTAGCCCACGCGTCTCTCCCTCCCGGTGGCCTCAGCAAGGCTGGCAGGGTCTCTCAGTGGGAACTGGCAGGCCACAGGGCCACAGAAGTACAGGCTGGGGTTAAGGAGCCATTTAGAGACAATGACTTCATGACAATGGCCTCCCCTCTAGCCTAGCTGTTAGCACTGTCCTCGAAAGCCCAGAATCAGCTCCCAGAATTACGGTAAGGAAACCAGCCGGGTCTGCTTGTGAGGAGCCTTCCTATTTCCTTTTTAGCACAAAAGACCCCACAAAGGGAATAAATTATGACCAAACCCTGGGGTTCATGTGTTGGAATCCACTGGAGGTGGAAACATCACTGATACACTGAGCCCTGGATATGATCCCTGTTCTACTGCTTACTAACTAGATGACTTTGGGCATGTTACTTATTCTCTTTCTTCATGCCTTGCTATCTTTATCTGTAAGATGGGAATAAATAATGACACCTGTTTAACAGGGTTGTCGTGAATTTAAATGAGACTTACTTCCTGGCACGTGAAGATTTTCCAGTGTTCTACAAATGTTAGCTAATGCTTTTCTTACTACAACTACCTCCACCACAGCAACAATCACTGTCATTATCAGCAAAGCTTGTTAGAAGAGCTAACCCCACACCCCAAAGTTAGAATCACCCTTAGCTACCATTTCATTAGCACCTACTGTGTAAACACTGCTGGGTGCCTTTGTTGACATTAACTCTTCTAAGCCTCAAAATTAGCCTGTGTAGTGGGCCGTATAATTTCCCAACCTGAGATGAGAAACCTCAGTGATAATAGAGGTTTTCCTAAGGTCCCAAGGAAAATGAGGATAAGGAAGAGGATTTGATATACTCTTGATCTGAGCATTTCTCTAGTTATTTATGCCTTGTTTCATTCCCAAAGAGGAGTTGAGGGCATGTACAAGTCATCGGTGTGCCAAGCAGCGGTGTGCCCTAGAAAGTACAAAAGCACCAAAACTGAGGACAGCTGGGTCGAAATCCCAGCTCTATCACTTACTAGCCAAGTGCCTTGAGTATGTAAATAAAACCTCTGTAAGTTTCAGTTTCTGTTACCCATGGATTAGCTATGCAAACTGAAAGGTACTCACTATTATGCCCATTTTTCTGATAAGTGACTTAATATTCAGAGATATTGAAACTTTACAAAGTTTACAAAGCTATTAGGTAAGTAAAGCATAGACCTGGATACTGGCCCCAGGTTGATCTGATTTCAAATTCCAAAGTTCTTCCTATGATTCTGGGCTATCTGAATGGTGCCCTTCCCAAGTACAGAGCTGGAGTTTCACGTAGTATAATGCTTCCTATTACATTGTGGTACTGTTGGTTTTCTAGTGGCATTACCCTTAAAGGGAAAAACAAAACAGGTCAATAGACATTCTGACTCCTCCCTTTGCTATTGTCCCTCCCAAATGACTCAATTCCTTTATTCAAGAATAATTAAAAATACCTCCTTCAAAATGTGAGGTGTGAGAGAGTTACCACTAGGGAACATATCTGAGTCATGAGGTACCAAATTATGTTAGCAGCGGCGAATCCATACGGGTCTGCAGCAACCTCAGTTCTTGCTTCCTCACAAGAAAGAATTCAACCGAGGGGCACAGGGCAGAGTGAGAGACCAAGGCAAGTTTTAGAGCAGGAGTGAAAGTTTATTAAAAAGCTTTAGAGCAGGAACAAAAGGGAGTAAAGTACACTTGGAAGAGAGCCAAGCAGGCGACTTGAGAGATCAAGTGCGCAGTTTGACCTTTGACTTGGGGCTTTAAATGTTGGCATGCTTCCAGAGTTTGCATCTCTCCTCTCCTGATTCTTCCCTTAGGGTGGGCTCTCTGCATGCACAGTGGCCTGCCAGCCCTTGGAAGGAGCTGCATGTGCAGCGTGTTTACTGGAGTTGCACGCATGCTCACTTGAGGCGTTCTTCCCTTACCAGTTCAATGTTCCTAGAAGGTCGCACACCAGTTAAACTCCACCATTTTGCCTCTTAGTGTACATGCTTGAGCCCACTCAACCAAATCTTGAAATCTTATTGGGAAGATGCTGATCACCAGTTTCAGGTTTTTTTCCATCTATCGGGAGACTGCTTTTCTCTGGCACTGGCTGTGACCAATTATTATTTTAGAGAGACAGCTTAACGCCACCTGACCACACTTGATGGTTGCCTGACATTCCTGGTGGGGTTTGGCACTCTCCTGCCCTGCTCATGTCTGACTAGCTACCTACTGTAACAAGAGAATGGGCTAGAGGAAAGGGAGGCAGCCCAGATTATAGCTTGAGTTACTGGTTTGTGTTCCCATCACCCTCTGTTCCATGTAACATTGCACCCTGGCATCTGCCCCAGCACATCATGAAAAAATACCCACCCAAGGTTATCAGTGACCTCTTGGTGGTCAATCTCATGGGCCTTTAAAACACTTCCATCATTCAGCCAAATACATACTAACAATGTGCTATGTAAATGCACTATGCTGAGTGACTCACGGATTACAAGGGTGCCAGACCTCAAAAAGATTGCAGTCTACGGCGGAGAATGGCAAGAAAAAAATATAACTAGAATACAAAGGAGAGTAAGAAACACAGAAGTACAGTCAGCTGTGAGGGTTGTCCTCACGACTCATCTCTCTCACCCGCCTTCTCCTCACCCTACTCATCTTTTCTGGGTGCTGTTTCCGTTCCCATGAATGAAACTACCTCCCTGACAACCACACACCATTTAGCATCTTCAGCCAAGACCCCTCTTCCTTAATTGAGTTCTAATCATTTAGCTGCCACTTTGATAACTGCAAAGGTTAATTGCACATGTCAGCTTGACAGGGCTGAGGGATGCCCAGATAGCAGGGAAAACATTACTTCTGGGTGTGTCTGAGAGGGTGTTTCTCAAAGAGATTAGCACTGGAATCAGTAGACTGAGTATGGAAGATCACCCTCACCAATGTGGGTGGGTGCCATCTAATTTGTTGACAGCCTGTATAGAACAAACAGGAGGAGGAAGAGAAAATTCTCTCTCTCTTTTCCTGAGCTGGGATATCCATTTTCTTTTTTTTTTTAATTTTTTATTTTTTATTATTATTATTATACTTTAAGTTTTAGGGTACATGTGCACAATGTGCAGGTTAGTTACATATGTATACATGTGCCATGCTGGTGTGCCGCACCCATTAACTCGTCATTTAGCATTACGTATATCTCCTAATGCTATCCCTCCCCCCTCCCCCCACCCCACAACAGTCCCCAGAGTGTGATGTTCCCCTTCCTGTGTCCATGTGTTCTCATTGTTCAATTCCCATCTATGAGTGAGAACATGTGGTGTTTGGTTTTTTGTCCTTGCGATAGTTTACTGAGAATGATGATTTCCAATTTCATCCATGTCCCTACAAAGGACGTGAACTCATCATTTTTTATGGCTGCATAGTATTCCATGGTGTATATGTGCCACATTTTCTTAATCCAGTCTATCATTGTTGGACATTTGGGTTGGTTCCAAGTCTTTGCTATTGTGAATAGTGCCACAATAAACATACGTGTGCATGTGTCTTTATAGCAGCATGATTTATAGTCCTTTGGGTATATACCCAGTAATGGGATGGCTGGGTCAAATGGTATTTCTAGTTCTAGATCCCTGAGGAATCACCACACTGACTTCCACAATGATTGAACTAGTTTACAGTCCCACCAACAGTGTAAAAGTGTTCCTATTTCTCCACATCCTCTCCAGCACCTGTTTCCTGACTTTTTAATGATTGCCATTCTAACTGGTGTGAGATGGTATCTCATTGTGGTTTTGATTTGCATTTCTCTGATGGCCAGTGATGATGAGCATTTTTTCATGTGTCTTTTGGCTGCATAAATGTCTTCTTTTGAGAAGTGTCTGTTCATACCCTTTGCCCACTTTTTGATAGGGTTGTTTGTTTTTTTCTTGTAAATTTGTTTGAGTTCATTGTAGATTCTGGATATTAGCCCTTTGTCAGATGAGTAGGTTGCGAAAATTTTCTCCCATTTTGTAGGTTGCCTGTTCACTCTGATGGTAGTTTCTTTTGCTGTGCAGAAGCTCTTTAGTTTAATTAGATCCCATTTGTCAATTTTGGCTTTTGTTGCCGTTGCTTTTGGTGTTTTAGACATGAAGTCCTTGCCCATGCCTATGTCCTGAATGGTAATGCCTAGGTTTTCTTCTAAGGTTTTTATGTTACCTAAAACCATAAAAACCCTAGAAGAAAACCTGGGATATCCATTTTCTCCTGCCCCTGACACTGAAGCTCCTAGCTCTTGAGCCTTCAGACTCCAACTGCAGGTATCAATGGATTTCCTGGTTTGCCAGCTTGTGGATGGCAGATTGTGGGACTTCTCAACCTCCACAATGGTGTGAGCCAATTCCTTTAATATATCAATCAATCTATCTATCCATCCATCCTTCTGTCGGCTCTGTTTCTCTGGAGAACTCTGACTAACGCAATGGCCTTCAAAACCAACATGTTCAAAGCTATACTCTCCATCTTCCGGCCACCAGCAACACCTTCTAGGTGAAAGGTGGCATTGTTCACCAGCTGCCCAAACAAGAAGTTTGCTCTCCCTCCTAACACCTTTCTCTCCCTCATCCCCCCAAAATTTAATCAGTCTCCAAAATTCTTTCAACTCTTTCTCCTGGATATTCCTTGAGCACATCTGCCTTCTCATCTCTGCAGTCACTTAGTCTAGTTCCAGCCAGCCTTTCTCTGGATTGTTCAATGAGCCTCCCAGATGATCTCCTTGCCTCCACTTCCACCTATCTCTGATCTGCTGTTCACGCTTTATCAGAGTACTCTTTCTAAAAGCAAAAAAAAATCTGAACTCATACTTTTCATGCTTAAAATCCCCATTGTCTTCAGCACAAAAATCAAGACTCCTTAACCTAACCCACAGGGCTTTTCAAGGCCTGACCCCAGTCTCGTCTCTCCTCCCTCTCCTTTCCCACTCCGCATCCCATCATGGTCCATAATTAGGGTGATTGAATAGTTTTTTCCTCCAAATTAGGATACTTATGAGAGAGAAAGGGATCCTAGTCATAATTATGCTGGGATAAACTGAGATTCTCCATGGCAAACTGGGATGTTTGGTCATCCAATCCATATGGCCATACCAGCACCCAAACCCATAAGTTTGTCCCTCTCTTCCCAGAGCTAACTGGCAATTTCTCTTTGTGTCTCTTGGCTTAGGTTTTCAGAGCAGGAGGATCCTTTTGTCCCAGCTCATCTTTTCAAGGCAAGCCCAAGTTATAACCACTGGCCAACCTCTAGGTTAGTTGGCCATCCTTATGTCAGGTGATCAAATGGCCCAGTCAGGGTGTCAGTGTGTGGGCTACCATATGGCATAGGACATGGGTACTCAAATGTTCATGGCCACTCACTGAGGCAAGGCCTCTGGGTGGGGACTCCCTTAGAATGTAGAGTATGGAGTAGACTAGAAGGTACTTTGAGTTATCTCTAGAGTATTATGAATTCAGCAAATGTCTGTGGAATGAGTGGATGAATGAATTTTAATCTTCTGCTTTTTTTTTTTTAAAGGAGTCTCACTCTGTCACCGAGGCTGGAGTGCAGTGGTGTGATTTTGGTTCACTGCGCCCTCCACCTCCTGGGTTCAAGTAATTCTCCTGCCTCAGCCTCCCAAGTAGCTGGGATTACAGGCATGCACCACCATAGCTGGCCAATTTTTATATTTTTAGTAGAGACAGAGTTTCTCCATTTTGGTCACGCTGGTCTCGAACTCCTGACCTCAGGTGATCAGCCCACGTTGGCCTCTCAAAGTGTTGGGACTACAAGCATGAGCCACCGCACCCAGCCAATCTTCTGCTTTTAAATCATTCCCATCCCTACCTCAATATCTCTCCTGGTCACTCATTCTGTCTCTAGCACTGACATTTTTCATGCTAAAATGATAATTTCAAAAGCCCCAGAGCCAATTGAATGTCAAGCAGGCACTTATCCTGGCCAAAAAAGACACAGACGGGGTTAGCGTTGGAGGATGGGTCTTGAAGGCAATATAGGGCAGCGATTAATAGCAAGACTTTGCAGTTCAAATCCCAGCTCCACCACTTAGTCACTGAGTAACTTTGAGCAAGTTGCCTAACTTTTCTCACTCTTGGTTTCCTTATAAGAAAAATGAGATAAAACTCATCCTAAGGGACTTATTCAAAGATTAAGTAAGATAAAGTGTGAAATTAATGCCATGACATTCAGTAGCCATCATTACTATTATTACTACTGAACAAGGAGAGGTTCAGCCCAACATGACATACTTAGGCATTCTGTAAGAAGAGCCTATCAATCACATCCTGTGCGCTCTAAAACAAAACCTGCAAAAAACTTTTCCTAAATAAATAGGCAGCCTGGCTGACTCTGAGTAAAGCACATGAGGGAATCACATGAAAAATGTATTCTATTCTGCTAGAAGCAGCAGGAGAAACTCTTTCTCATCTCTGACCATTAGGACTTTTTTCTTTTCTTGAGCCAAGATGTATTTCCCTCTAACTTTTGGCTTGTTGTCTCTGATTCTATCCCTTGGGTCCTTTAAGAGAGTTCCGTGGAACTTCCTTCCAGCCCCACGAAATCAGCTGGAGCTTCTATCATCTTCTCCTCCACATAGGCCACAGATGGTTGGTCCAAGAGTGAGCACTTCACTCATGTCAATCAAATTCCTTCCCTGGGATTTTAAAAGTTAGAACCAAGACAAGATATCATTGTTTTCTGCCATCTAGAGAAAGTTGGTCTGGAGTGTGAGAGGATGAGGCTGAAGTTCAGAAAGAAGCAGAGATAAGATTGGGCTTAGGAGGAAAGGGGAGGGGAAGATACAGAACTGATGACATTCCATCCCTGATTCCAGTTGTTCATGAGATCCATTCATTTCCCTGTTCTTCCTGCAGCTTGATAATTCAGCGGTTTGGGTTCACTTTCTGTTGTTTCTTCTTAATAGAGTTTTGACTAACATGGAACCACAATGGATACATCAGACCCTTCTTCCCCAGGATCACCATCAAATGTTAGAAGACAGTTCTGTGTCCTCTGCCCACGAGTCCTGCTCCTCAGCATGGTCCACTTAACTCTGTGTAGTGTTCAGAAGGGGCTCATTGGGGCCACATAGAGCTTTGCCTTTGTTTCACTGTTGGGTTTATCTTAAAGGCTTTGTTTGAACAAATGATTTTGTGGTTTAAAGATATTTGAAAATAATTGCCTTGATTTTAAACTATTTGAGGCAGAGCCCATCATTGTATTTTCAGTGTTTAAAATATTGCAGCACACGGCAGAATCAATAAATGTTAGATAAATGAATGTATTCATTGGGTTCAGCTTCCTTCAATACCCTGGCTGTTCTTTGAGCACACTGGCCTGTAAGTCCCCTGGAGCTGTCCTTATCCACCCTTTAAAAAGTCTCCTCTCTTCCTTGAGAACATTTGCTTGGAGATAATAGGCCTGGACTGGACATCAGCAAGGTCCCACACAGTTCCTCCTCATACCCCAGCCACTCTGCCCGGCATTTACCAGCACAGCCAACTTGTCAGCTGGCTAACTTGGAGGATGTCTTTTCTCCCCAGTCGAATTTTCTTCTCTCTTCCTTTCAAATCCTGCTGTGCTGTTATTCAGTTATGGAAACAGCAGAAATCATTTTAGAAAGGAAGCCAGCTGGTTCATTAGTCTGATTAAACTCAAGCAATGGAATCTGAGCACAGTTCACATGATGAATGGTTTGCTTTCTCCTTGGCCCCAGTGAGTTTTGCAAAGATTATTAATCTTGGGGCTCAGTCACCCCTCACATCTGCAACACCATCTGGGTCAGAGAAAAAGGATAGGGCTACAGTGAGATGATGTCAGGGCTTTCTGAGTCGCAATGTTTCCACCTCCTCCTCTTCCTCATTGCAGACCTGGAGGACTCCACGAAGTACACCAGGCTCCCCTATTCTGTCTTAAAGACCCTGATCTTCAGAGTCAGCGAGGCTTGTCTTTAAAATCAGCTTTTGCCACTTAGCAGCTCTGTGATTTGAGGCTCAGATTCTTCACTTAAAAGTGGGGATAAAAACACATACTTTGGCCAGACACAGTAGCTCACGCCTGTAATCTCAGCACTTTGGGAGGCCAAGGCAGGTGGATCGCTTGAGCCCAGGAGTTCGAGACCAGCCTGGGCAACATGGTGAAACCCCATCTCTACAAAAAAATGCAAAAATTAGCAGGGCATGGTGGTGCATGCCTGTAATCTCAGCTACGTGGGAGGCTGAGGCAGGAGGATCACTTGAGCCTGTGAGGTTGAGGCTGCAGTGAGCCATGATCACACCACTGCACTTCAGCCTGGGTGACAGAGCAAGACCCTGTCTAAAAAGCAAAACAAAACGGAAACATATGTTTCAGGGAGCCACAAGGAGTGATAACTACTTAAACTTCCAAATGAAGTGGTTCAAAATGTGCGGAGCACAGGAAGGAGTGGGAAGAGGTGAAAAATGACTCAGAACAAGGTAAGAGGGGGCCAAATCACAAAGGGTCTTACAGGCTGGCCAAAGTAGTTTAAGATTTTATATTGGAAGTATCAGGGAGACTGTGACAAGATGAAATCACGGGAGAGTGACATGATTAGATCTGTACTTTGGGAAGCTCATTCTGGCTGCAGGACAGAAGGTATAGATTAGGAGATTGGACTGGCACAACAATGCTTGTGGCAGGGAAAATGACCAGGAGGCCAGCACAGCTGTCCAGGGAGAGAGGATGCAAGCCTAAACGCAGGCAGGAAGTGCAGCAATGAGGAATCTTCCTCTTTCGCAGCAGATTTGGAAATCAACAAGAAAGCAAAATGAATTGTCATCGCTCAGGGACTGAAGGTGGAAGGGGGTCCAGGAGAGGGGAAGTCTCAGCTAACCCTGAGGTTCCTAGCTTGACTGAATTTGCAGAGAGTGGGAGCCATTCTCTAAGGAAAGAAACACAGGGAAGATGCAAATGTGTGGGGTACTAGGATACAAGTTGAATGTGGGACGTGTTGAGTTTGAGGTGCTATTTTCAAATTTTCCATTTAATAAAGTGGAACCCAATATGATGGGAAAAACTGGACAGACCCTGTCTGAGAAGACCACCTCCCCAGGTCCTATTTCTGGAAAGATGAACAGCCAAAGTAGCCAAGACCAATATTTGTTTATCCCTCCAGTTTGACATTTTTTTCCTGGGAAGTCCTTTTGGAGGCTATAGCAGTGATGGCTGGGTTTAGAAATCCTTCTAGGTTTCCTACCAAGAAATCTCACTGACTGTACAGAACACCAAAACCTACCATTTCTTTTATTTGGCCCTCACCCTCCAGGTATGTCTGTTGCAGATATGCTTTTTCTGTACTGGTTTCGGGTATGGAAGGGGGAGTGCAGCAGCTCCAACAGAAGGGAACAGCAGCAGGTTTGTGTACCTGCAGAAAGAGGCCAAAGATGACCCCAGATGACGGTTGCTACTTGGGGAGGAAAAACCACAATGATGAGGAGAATGTCAGGGAAAAGCAAAGGGGTAAATAATATGCAGGGACAATGAAATAGAAAAAGAAAACATGACAAGCAACCTACATAAAAAGCAGTCCCCAAAGTGGTCTGCAATGGGAGAGAAAAAGAAAATGGACCTCAAAGTTACCTCCAGAGGATGGCTTGGCACAGTAGAAACAGCACAAACTGGCCGGGTGTGGTAGCTCACACCTGTAATGCCAGTACTTTGGGAGGCGGAGGCAGGCAGATCATGAGGTCAAGAGATCGAGACCTTCCTGGCCAATGTGGTCAAGCCCTATCTCTACTAAAAATACAAAAAAAATAGCTGGGCATGGTGGCATGCACCTATAGTCCCAGCTACTCTGCAGGCTGAGGCAGGAGAATCGCTTGAACCCAGGAGGCAGAGGCCACAGTGAGCCGAGATTGCGCCACTACACTCCTGCCTGGTGACAGAGCGAGACTCAGTCTCAAAAAAAAAAAAAAAAAAAAAAAAAAAGCACAGAGTTTAGAGCCCTATAGTCTTTGGTTCAAATTCCAGGAGAAAACTTTGTTGTGTGACTTTGGCCAAGTTGTGTCAACTCTCTGAGGCTCAGTTTCTTCTTCATCTGTAAAATGCTTATAATGATACCTTCCTTGTAGGGTCAGGATGAGAACTGGCCCAGCAAGGTGACCAGTGCAGAGGAGGGGATAGATTAATTTCAGTAGTTGTTACTGCTCTTTTTGCCTCCATTTCTCCTCTTGCAGCTGCTCATGGGTTGGTCCCCCCTGCTTCACCACCACAGGAATGATCCTGCACCCCTTTGGGGCACTCTGGCCAAATGCCCCCAGCTCTAGGAGGACACTGATGGCAGGACATCCCCTGGACATATCTCCCCACACAAGGAGCTCTAGTCTCTGCTTGGTTTGTGAAAAATTGAGTTTGGCACCAGCTTCTCTGGATTTTGAAAACATCTGGTGATTATGAGGAGAAGCAGCAAGGTGGAAGGAGCCTGGGTCCTGACGCCCAACAGGACTGAGTCTACTTCCTGCTACCCCAGGTGTGTGACCTTAGGCAGCCCATCTCACTTCCCAGACTTCAGGGTCTTCTCTCCCTTACAGGGTGATTGTGAGACTGAAATGGCATAAGAGAGAGTGTCTGGCACACAGTAGGCACATGATGAGTGTCTTCATTCTTTCGTTTCTTTTCTTCTCTGTATCTTCAAGTTTCCAGAGAAGATTAGAAATCAATTGTAAAACTGCATAGGACTCAATGGCATCAATCAATTTCTTAAATTACCATTAAATATAATTGTCAGCAGAAGAGAGCCGAAAAACATGCATCCAGAATCCAACAAAACGAGCTGAATCTCACTCTGTGGACTGATGGCAAATTGGCTGAGTTCCTATTCCTCCCTTTTTTTTTAATGCTGCAGAGATGAGGTAACACCAACACCCAGGCCGCAAAAGCAAATGTCTCAATGTATTTGTTTTTCTAGTTTAATCCATTTCGACTATGAAAGGCAGACTGTCATCTAGAACAAAGTAGCCCAACGATAATTTGAGCTCATCCACAACTCAGCTTTGGGAGTTCAACTCGGGACTCTTCTCCGTCTCCATTCACCACCCAAACACAAAAGGATAAACAGCATGTTTCTACTGTTTATTCCTTTTTTATTTTTTTCTTTTTCTTTTTTTGTCTACTGTTTATTTCTATATTAAGCAATCATGAAAAGATCATGGAGTTGCAGCCCACATTTCTATAAATTGTAATGAACAAACATGATGCCAGTAAAAAACAAACAAACAAACAAACAAAACTAAAGCATGCAGGGATGTGCTTCAAGTTTTGCCTCAAGACCTGAGGAGGAAGACACAAGTTTATCCTCCACTGACAGTGATATTTCTGTGGGAAACATTTGAAAAGAGCCATGTGGCCAGTAGTCTCTAGTTTCTGTACCTGCATCAGCCTTAGGAAAACCCACCATCTGAAACAAGCTTACTGTGATTCTCAACATGGTGCCACAAACCATCACTCCCAGAAACTCATTAGGGCTTCTATTGAGGTATGCAGTGAAGGAAAGGAGTCACTCTGAGAGTCCCCAGGGAATGTTCAACCATAACCTTGGTGGAGGTAGGGGTAGGAACAGCAGGCAGACCATTCATGTTAGAACCAGAAGGTAGGTTGCATCTCTTTCTCATCCCTATGTTAGTTTCTACAGGGCATTGGGGTAGAATGGTATGGTAGGATCTATGCTGTACTAGTAAATATTTGACAATCAGGTATGATGGGGGTGGGAGAAAGAGAGTCCTGATTTATAGCATTTGCAGATTGCTATGGCTTAAATACTCCCACCATGGCTGGCTTGAAACTAGCACCAGATGTCACTGGATGCAGAATTGGGAAGAGATGAGCACCTCTGCCTCCAGCCCACTACTTGGTAGGCCCCTGGGACCTCCACTGCCTGCGGTTGTCAGTGGGTGCCGCCATGTCACACAAGGGCAGATGGAAGGCCTTGAATAGACTTCAGGACACAGATGGGGCACCATCATCTGTCCCTGAGAAGTCCCCCTACCCACCTTTTTGGACCCCTTGTGCTCCTCTCTTGTAGATCACTTGTGAGGCCATGGTGTCACCATGTGTCCACATGCCAGTCCTCCCATATAAACACAGGGCCCCGTTTTCATTTCCATTCTCCCACACCTGACGCAGTTCCTGGAAAAGCAGGCATGTAAATAAATAAATGTTTATTGACTGGATGTTGGAATGAATGAGTGAATGTTCAGTGGGAGGGGAGGGCGGGGGAAGCACGGAAGCTGCCATCACACATCTGCAAAGACCCCCTGCAAAAAAAAGAGTTGACACTTGAGGCCAGGAGTTCGGGACCAGCCTTGGCATCATAATGAGACTCCATCTCTACAAAAAGAAAAATTGTTTGTTTGTTTTTCTAATCAGCCAGGCGTGGTGTCACACGTCTCTAGTCTCAGCTGCTCAGGAGGCTGAGGTGGGAGGATTGCTAGAGCCCAGGAGTTGAGGTTCCAGTGAGCTATGATCATACCATTGCACTCCAGCCTGGGTGACAGAATGAGACCCTGTCTCTAAAAAAATTTTTTAAGAATAGGATTTATTCTTCTGGATATCAGTGGACAAAACCAGGACCAAAAGGAGGAAGTGGCAAGGAAGTAGGTTTAGAGTCTCTGAAGAAATAGAGTTCCTACCTCCTACAAGTCTATAGAAATCAGGGTCGTCTCTGTCTGCTACTTTTCAGTTAGCATCCTCTGCCCATCACCCACTTGAAACATCACCCTAGTCTATTTCCCCTGCCTCTACACCCTAACACAGGGAAAGGAATTTTTGCTACTGCCACAAATATTGAGGGAACTCCACTTGTGCAATCCCTAGCCCAGCAGAGGTTGGGAACATTCAAAGTAGTAGAGGTTACAGTCCACATTGTTTTCTCTCATTATACAAAGCAAAGCCAGGTGCGATAGTTCATGCCTGTAATCTCAGCACTTTGAAAGGCCAAGGCGGGAGGATCACTTGAGCCCGAGAGTTCAAGACCAGCCTGGGCAACACAACGAGACCTCATCTCTACAAAAATAAAAATAAACAAACAAAAATAATAACCAGGCATGGTGGTGCACACCTGTGGTCCCAGCCACTCGGAAGGCTGATGCTGGAGGCAGTCAAGGCTGCAGTGAACTATGATCACACCACTGCACTCCAGCCTGGCAGACAGAGCCAGACCCCCATCTCAAACAATTAATCAACAGAATTCCTGGTAGATGTTTGAGACTCCTCTTTTATTCTCCCTCCACAGACTGTTCAACTCTCTCTTCTTTAGGCCTTTAATCCCACTGCATCTTCTTACCACCAACTTCTCCCCTGTGTGGTCTATAATTTTTGCTCCACCATGAACCTCTCAGAGACAGAAAGCAACACCCCTGTCTGAATCTCGTGTCTAGCACAGCATCTACTCCCTGGAAGTGCCCAAGAAGCATTTGTTAATGAACAAATTCACAAATGAGAGGGGAAAAAAGAGTACTTTCTATACCTCTAATTTATATATCCCCAATTGGCAAACCTCCCAGAAACACCTAGAAATTATTTACGGAATAAAGTAAGCGATGACGCTAGCCAGAGATCTGTGAGACGGTGATTTGGAAAAGTTCAGAGCCCCCCCAGTCTACATCCTTCTAGGGCCAATTGTAAAAATCTTTTTCTCAGGAACAAATAACCACAAAAACTTTAAAATACAGGCAGTTCCCTACGTAGGAACATGCTGTATTCTGAAAATCTATTTATGAAATTGTTGTTTGAAATTCAGAATACACTTTCTCATAGAACTGTGTTCAGAAGAGTAACTGACAACACAGCTCCAACTCGAGAGATTTGCAAAGGAAAATAATAGGAAGCACTAAAGCTATGCTATGGAACCACTCTTTTCTTTTACACATCATAAAATAGACATATGGAATGTGTCAAACTACCCTGTAACCTTTGGACAACGGGCAATCCTTGGAAGCAATAAAATGAAATTTTAAATGGTTTCTTTTTTATTTATATGAATGCTGATACCTGAGAAAAAATGCACGTTGTCTTTGCAGCAGCTGCTGAGGAGATGCTTAGACCAGGCTGTCCTGCTCAGACTCCAGGGCCTGGAGGAATCACCTGCAGGCCTTGTTCAAAATGTAGATTTCTAGTCTCTCCCTCTAGGGAGGCACATTCGGTGGGTCAGGGTAGAGCCCAGGAATATGCATTTTAACAAGCACTTGGGAAAGTCTGACCCAACTGATGAGAGGACCACGTCTAGAGAACTGCTAGCCCAGAAGAGATGCCACATCACTTCTACGTGGGCTGAAGGCTCATCTCCTGAGACTGCCTCTGTCTGTTTGGTACAGAACCATGCCTCCTCTCTCATTCTCCCGATTCCTTCTCCAGTGGGAGGAGAGGGCAAGTAAGGACCTGTCACTCCACAGGCTATGTATAGAGTCAGGGATTCAGGGTAAACAGCATAGGTGAGAGATAAAAGAGATCCCATCACTCATTCAGCAAACATTGAGGGCTGAGCTGAGATGCAGCTGGCATGCTGGTGGTTGAAAGAAAAATTTTTGTAGGGTGGAAAAATAGTCTCTTCCGTGAGTACTGCTCTCCCAGGTAGTAACTTCCTGCTAGCAGCAGCTACCCCAGTGAAACTCCCCATGGGATGGGGTTAATAACGTCTTCATAGGATGTGTGTGTATAAAGTGCTAAAAACATTATAAATGCTTAATACATGTTTATTTATTTCTATTATCATGTTTCCCTACAACTATATTAAAATATACTTGGAGAATCAAGACAAAGACAAAAAATATATAGCCAAGCAACAATAAGCCAGTTTTATAGAATACAGTTCAGTTGGTTGACAAGTGCTGTAGAATGAAAATTAAGGCAAGTTCACTGTGAGAGAAGCTCTCTTAGAGGAAGCTCACAGCACACTGTGGCTTCTGGTTTCTAATGCTGCCTCCACCACGTACAGGCTGGGAGATCCCAGCCATCCGCCTCTGTGTAAAGTGAGGATGACGATTCTCTCCTCACAGGGCTTTTGGGAGGGTTAACCTCCAAGTCTGCATAGTGCCTGGCTCATGATAGGTGCTCAGTGAGAGGAAGCTCTTTAGCAAGATTTGAAAATGAGAATAAGCCTTCCTGTAATTGTAGAATCTCAGAGACAACAGGGACATGTAGTTGTCTTCTTTATATTCAGTTTCATATGATTGATCGCCTACTATGTGCAATACTCTGTGGGTGATAGAAAAACAATTAAGATGTAGTCTAAGGAGGATAAATTGCTGTTCCATGGATTGGGGATGGACAACGGGTATGAAGCATATACAAGTAATCATAATACAAGGCAGTCTGTTGTAAGTACTGGAATAAATTATAAACAAGTTTCAATGGAAGTACGGGAGAGAGAATAATTAACTTCAGCTGAGTGGATTTAAAAGGCACTATAGAAGGAGCAAGAGAGAGAAAAAAGGCAGTTCTCCCAGCCGTGGGAGTAGCCTGAGCAGGACAGGGAGGGGCAGGTGCAAGGTGTGTTGGGAAGACAAAGCCGGGCAGCGTGCACACCATGTCCTCGAAAAGCTTACCGGACGTGCAAGTGGATGAGTGACCTGGGACCACTTCGTGGAGGGCCCTGAATGCCATTTTAGGGACTCTCTATTTCTCTCTATTTAAGGCAGTAATAACAATAATTCCATTCATCCAGAACCTACTATGTGACCAATCCTATTGTAGACTGTTCATAAATATTTCTTCTATCTTCCATAAAAGCCTATGCCTAAGTATTATTATGTCCCTTTTAAGGATGAGGGATCTGAGGCTTTGAAGGCTTTTGAACAAAGAGAGGGGGCTTTGGGGTCTAAACTCTCAGAAGTTACTCTGGCAGCAGCAAATGAGAAGAACAGATGAGAGAAGTGCTGGCACTTGGGGCTCCCTCAATTGCTAACATGTTGTGACATTTTGTCCCCCCAAATTGGTTAACAGGAGATAAAGAAGTGACCAGGATTTCTAAAACTAGACTGATCTTTTCAAAAGTTTTGCGGGCTGGGCAGGCTTTGAAGCAAATGGTCATTTAGGGAGTTAGAACCTTTTCCCCTCTGTGGCTCTTCCCAGCGTTTCCTGTGAAAAGCTTCCCCTCCAGGGACAACAGTGAAGAGTTCCACGGCGGTGTCTCTTGACCAGACATAGCAGAAAACAGACCTGGAGTAATGTAGTGAACCCAAATTAGCCTTTTTACAAGCTCATTAAAGCATAAAGTTTAACATCCTTTGCCCAAAATATAACAGAAAGAAGAAAGCCTCCTTTTTTCTCCCTACTCACTCACGCCTCCTTCCCCTCTTTCCACCATCTGTCTCCGGATAGGCAAGCATCAAAGCAGGATCTTGGATGGGTAGGTGTCTCCTTCACTGTCAAGTAAACACAATCAAAGTTCCTGGGAAATCCACTGTGGGCAACTCCAGTGACACTGTAGAATTCCAGGCAGGGGGCAGATGTGCACTCTGGTAGTCCTGAAGTCCACCAGCATCTTTCATGTTAAAATATTACTATATTTTAATGTGGTGTATAAAGAGTTGCTGACCTGAATTGCTGTTTCTTAGGAAGCAGACACATTAGCAAGTAGTATAATAACTAGGCTTTAAAAAATAGACTACCTTAAGGGAACAGACTATCTTCAATAACTGTATTTTACATTTTTGCATAGCACTTCTAAAACACTTTCAAATAAGCTTCTTCATTTAATCATTACCTTGAGATGCATGTATTACTATCCCCACTTTGCAGAAGAGGAAATTGGAGCTTAGAGACTCAGATTAGCTCTTTTGACTCCATCTAATTCTAAATTATCTATTTATTATTCTGAACCCCATGGCTTCTCCTTTGTGCTTTCCTTCAAGCTTATCAGTTGATATTGTGAGAATTTTCCCAGCTTGCCTTGTGGAGGGCCCCACCCAGGCAAGGGGGCGGTACTTAAAAGTTGTTCAGTTGCTAGTACTTAACAGAGTATCAGTGCCAGAAAGGGTTGTAGGGACCATTTCCAGCCTCCTTATTTTCTAAGAAAACTAAAATGAGGGAATCTCCTGCCTACATTCCCAGGGCTGGATCCCAAATCCCATTCATGGCAAAACTGTGACCAGGAGCTCCTGGTTCTCCTGTTTCCAACCCACAGTCTCACTCCACCACAGCCTTCACAGTCAAAACCAAGAGGAAAGTTAAGGTTCGGACTTGGCTAGTATCTGTTCCCATCCTGTCATTGCTTGATAACATGGAAAGATTCCATTAATTATGAGATCATAAAATATTAGGTGGAAGACAGCTTGGAGATAATCTGGTATAATCCTTTGTGTTCTGTACATGGGAAAAGTGAGGCCTAAGAAGGCGAGCAGAACCCCCCCGGCCCACCTTGCGGTTGGTGACCCTGAACTCAGCTGTGCTCCAACTGTCAAGTGCTGTTCGCTCAGCTTGTCAGAGACAGTGGGACTAAAAATTTCCAGACACAGGTACCTGACTCAGCCCTCGCTTTGCCTTGGCAGTGGAGATCAGGCATCAGCTGCTGGCTTGGATGATGTGTTCCCAGAGCAACATGGTGAGTGTGAGCTGCCAACATTGAAGTCTCAGGGAATGTAAAGTGTTGAACCAGTTAAACATCCAAAAATGCCCCGTCTCTCAGAAACAAGGGTGACTCATCACAGCGCTTGGGCTACAATTGGGAATGGCATTAGGGTGGCTGTGGCGGCTAAAAATCCATGCTTAGAAGCCCCCAGCTTCGTTTCCTCTGGCTTTTTGTTCGCAGGTCTTTTCTCTGGCTGAGAACCAACATACACATGCTCCACTGCCAAACCCAGCCCTCCTCCTCCATGAAGCCTGCCTTGACTCTTTCAGCCCAGAGGAGGTCTCCTTTCTCAAGCCCTGAGAATCTGCCCTGTGCAATTTGGCACTTGATTCCATACTGTCGTTCACTGTTTCTTAACCAGTGGAGCGTTTGTTTTATAACTGACATGGATTGCAAAATCTTTGAGGAGAGGCACTAAGCTTCCTCCTCTGTACCCTACAGTAAGTCTCAGGGTGTCACCACAGAGCAGAGACATGCTCAGACTCACAGATAGTCCTGACCTCAAGACTCTTTCTGCTTTACCTTATGTTTGCACATACAGCAAATGCCCAATAAATCCTCACTTGTTTCACCGTAGCTTCAGCCTTTTCAAATAAAGAGCTCAGTTGCAGGGCCTCTGTCAGCCCATGCAAATTAGAGAAAAGGCATCCCTCCCTCCAGGCAGACATAACCCTAACAGGTTGTGTGGCTGGGCAAGTGGGGCATGAGTTGGATTTCAGCCCCTTAGCTGGGTGCCCTCTGCAGCAAGCCACATAAGCCACCTGGGCTCTGGCTCTTCGTGAGAGCAGCAACAAGGACTCCCTCCCCACAGTGCTCCATTCTGATGGGGAAGGCCTACCTTGGGAAAGCTGGCATCAGATACTTCCCAGCTTGCTTCCCAGCTCATTTCCCATCAAAAACAAACAACAAAAAATCCACACCTGCCATAGCTCCTCACTGTGGAACCCAAGTCTATGCTCCCAGAAGAGCATTTGGAGACTCCCACAATACTGTCCCAGCCTTCTTTTCTTGTGCTGGGAAGACCCAGAACTCACCATGAATTGTCCTACGTCTCTGCTTTTGCTTTCTCCCAGCCTAGATTGCCCTTGTCCTGTTGATCTTTAAGTGAGATCTCTATTCCCCTTTAAAATCCGATCGCAAACCCTACCTCCTCCATGATGCCTCCATTAGCACTAATTGTTCTTGGTGCTTCTTCCCGCCCCATCCCTCTTTGCCTTCCACATTGCTTCAGCCTCTACTACCACCCTTTTCCTCCATGTTATTAGCATGTAACTCAGTCCACACAGCCTTCTCTGAACTCCTTCTGCAGCAACTCAGATGCATCATTTGGCTCCATCCTGATCCTAAAGGAATCCATTTGCAAGCAAACCGATGAACAATATTGACTTTACAAATGATTTCTTTCATAGGACCGGGGGCTTTCATAGCCCACCCCACAGCAAACTACTTACCAATCTTTGCAAGCATCTCCCCTGTCCAAATCCCTGGACAACTTGGCAACCCTGTTGCCTGTTCTCAGGCAAGTTGCTTGGCAACCCTGTCCTCAGAGCTCCTCCCCTCTCGTTACCCTTCCCCAATGTGCTCTCAACGAAGCTAAGGCTCCACACTCAGTCTCTGCATGTCTTCTTCATTTGTTCCATTCAATTTATTTCCTTCCTGTCCTAATAGGCAGAGCAACTCAATGTTGTCCTAACACCTATTTGCAAACATGTACCCCAAGTCCATTATGATGCTCAGCCAAACACAGGGTCTCCTTCAGTTTAGCCTTCTTTAGAAGGAGTCAAGAATAGACAGCCAGAATGTTTTTCTTGTGACATGTATGTGCATTTTCCTCCATTGAGCATGCAGTCAAAAAAAGCAAGGATTGTGTCTTCCACATCCATGCAACCTAGCAGAGTGAAAATATATACCAGAAACCTGTGCTCAGGGCTCCTCTCTTCCAGGGATGAGGACAGTTCTAAGCCCTTTCTGTCTCTCAGTTCTTCTTTCCTCCCAAGTAAGGCCCAGGACTGGAGTTACGGGGAAGCACCTGAAGACAGAGTAGGAGTTTAATAAATAGCTGTAAAATGAATGAGTCAGTGACTGAAGAGGAAAAAAAGAAAGGACAAGGAAGAACTTTGAAGGCACCCTCACCAAGATTATTTCAGCCTAGCTGAAGGAAACTTTGAGAAGCCACCCAGGGTGATAGAATGGATAAGACCCAGAGGATAAGAGGAGTCGCAAACACGGGGTTCTGGTATCAGCTCTGTCTTCATCACTGTGTGGAATCTTAAGGAGATCTCTCAGCTCTGTTTCTCATCTGTCTCACCAGCCTGCCTGCAGATAGCCTAGTATGGACACCACCCAACAGGGTCCTCAGGGCTGTTTGACATTCGTGTTTGAGGCTTCTTCCCCAAATGCACAGACACCCAGAGCCCCTCGGCGCCTCCACACTCTGCGGAAAGCTTTTCTTGGCTGCAGTGCTGGCCCGGGGACCTTCACTGCCCACTGGCAGAAAAGAATTCTCGGCTGTGGAAATGAGTAAACTCCACATATTTTAAAGATGACAGTCTAAACTCCTAATGACTCTAAATGTGGTGTGAAATGGACAGCAGTCATCTTGCTGTGTGACATGCCTGAAATAGTGTCACCACCACCATCACCCCCTCACGTGGACATGCACGTCATGGAAAGAGAAGCAACAAGTCATAGTGCCTTGGCTAATGTAGCTCCCCTATTCCCCCCGACCCCTCACCCCAGCGTCTTTTCTGTGCTCTTCTACATTTTAAAAAAAGAAGAGATCTATTTATTCTGCAGGAATACAGTCCAAGGTCACCTAAAAGCAAAGGAGAATGGGAATTAAACACACCCAGAGACCCGACCCATCCAACAGAGTCCAGCTCAGGCAGGCTGTGCCAGTCTCCACCAGGCTACGAGGGGAAAACCTTTTCGAGTTGAACTGCCACCAATCCACTGCCACCGAAGTCAAGGTTGTCAGAAATGACCCTCTGGACAGGGCTAGTGATTTGGATCCTAGAGATACTGAGTTCCTGGGAAACAAAGAGAACTTGTTGATTTTGTATTTTTATTTTTTCTTCGATTTGGTCGGGATATTACGGTAGCCTTGACCAGAGTTGAGAAAAGGAAACGCCCAGTCGGTATTTATTTGTCAAACAGTTGTCCTTTGCCTCCGGGGTCAGGGGCCCTCTGGTACCCACCACTGTTGCATCCTCTCCACACTCCTAAGCCTGTAACTCCTCCTCCCAAACCGAAGCCCTGTCAGTAAAAAGCGTCCTAATGATGCCCGCGCCCTAGTTGCACCAAAGGGGGTCAGGTTCCCATCGAGCGGATCCACATTCGTGTGTGCGCACGCGTGTGCATGTGTGGAAGCGCGTGTCTGTGTGTGCCGTGTGTGTACGCGCGCGCGCCGGTGTGTGTGGCGGGGGCGGGCTCTGCGCCCGGGGGCAGGGCTCCGCAGTGAGAGTGGCAGCTGGACTTGCCAGGCTGCGAGGGGCAGGGCACAGAGCCGCAGTGCCGTAGTAGCGGGCCACGGAGATAGACAGCTTTGGAGCTGCTGAACTCCGAGCACAGGGTGAAGACCCCGGCGCTACCAACCACAGCCTGGCAGCCTGGTCTCCGCGGCACCCACTGGGGCTGCATCCCCCTCCCCCGAGAGGGCTGCGCAGGCGGGAAGACGCCCAGAGGCCAGCTTCGGTCCCCCTTCTGTCTCTCGGTTCCTCTTTCCTCCCAAGTAAGGGAATAAACCGCGAAGAAGGAGCGCCCCGGGCCACCGCGCAACCAAGTGTTGCCTGGTGAGGTAAGACGGCGGCCGGCGCGGCGGAGGGGGTCCCCGGCTCAGGGAGCACCCGGTGCAGCAACTTGGTAAAGGAGGGCAAAGCGGGAGCCGGTCCCGCGGCCAGGGAAGGGGCTGCAGCCAAAGCCACGGCGCCCACCCCGACAGTTCCACCTGCCACAAAGCCCTGCAGGAAGGGATGCCCCGCTCGAGGGGTGCAGGCTTGGGGAACGCACAGGGTGGGGCTCGGCTCTCTCTGCGACTGAGAGGCCCCCTCAAGCCTCAAAGCTGTGCGGGTGGGAGGCGGCCTTGCTCCAGGCAGTTTGCTAAAGCAACTGGTCGGATTTCCTTCTTCTTCTGGACTTAACCTTGGCTCCTTGATATCCAGTTCGCGCTCCAGGCAGTCCGAGAAGCAGGAGATGCTTTTCCTAATGTCTGGCCGCCAAAGCCTCCGACCGTCCCGCGGGGTTCTAGGACTTTGGGGGCACTCCACAAAGCCCCTGCGCAGGGCGACTTAAAGGGAAGCTGAAGCGAACACGGACACCTCAGAGAATAAAGGAGGGAAGGGTCGAATCTGAGGTTGATCTGTGTAGTCTCAGAGTCACAAGATGTGTCCGTGTGTGTGCTTGTGTCCTGAGGAGTGCGTACCCGGAGTCACCTGTGGTGCTTTCGCAGACTCCACCGGTCCACCTCCCCTTGCCTAGTCTGAGATTTTCTTCGTTTGAACTAGTGGAATAGAATTAGGGGAGGGGGCTGTGGAGTTCTAAAAAGCCCTACAGGTGATTTGACGTGCTGCCCCCATCCCCACCATCACTGCAGTGGAAAGCTTGGGACTAGAGCTAGAACCACCTCCCAGATGGGAGGGATGAGCTGCGGAACTCAGGGTGGCGGTCGAGACCCCTCCCCCAGTCGCCCCCCGCGGCGGGAGCGTCTGCTGCAGCGCGAAGCGATCTGTGGCTGCGCCGCAGTGGTGCCCGGGAGCGCTGTGAACCCGTGGGCGCGCTCTCCCGCGCTGCGCCGCTGCCTCCTCGGACTTCATTAGCATACGATGACCTCTCTGTGGGGAGGAGGGCCTGGGAGGGCTGTTTGTCATTCCTTTATTTTGGGGGCTTGGCGACGACACTTTGGATCTGGAGGTGAACACCAGGGGTCATGATGAGAGACAGTGGTCAGGACACAGGACTGGAAACGACCCCTCTGGTCTGGATGGGGGAATCAACTTTGTTATTTTGGTGCTTGGGATTCTCTGTCTGTAAAATACAGCTGGCAGAGCCACTTGCTGGCACACAGGGCACCCTGGTTGTCAATGAAGGAAATTAGATCATAGAGGGCAAATGTCGAGGTTTGGTCATGAACCCAGGCACAGACACACACCCCTTTATATTTTATGTCCCTCTCACTCTCATTCCAGGCATGTGTCTAACATGGGAAGGTACTTAACTGTTTGTCATATTAAAAGACTACATTTGCTGGAGATTCCATTCCGAATATGAATTATACTCCTTAAATAAAACGGCTGCAACTAAGCCAACTTCCCGGTCGTACTCCTGATCTATGTCTTTTTTGCCAATCACCCTTAACGTTTACACCCAGCACTATAGGCATTACTACAGGTATTTTTCTGGGAGGGGCTTTAGGGTGGGAAGCTAGTAGATGAGTCTTTCCTACCTTAGAATTTTATGGAGTGGTTGGTTCAGATCAACCGAGACATGGGGAGAAAACGACAAACATCAGCGTGTCTTGAAATCTAGACTCTCAGAGATGGGAGTAACTACTAAGATCATCTGTTCCAGCTCCCCCAACTGCTCCAACTCCCCACACAACACCATCAACAGATGGTGAGGATCCCTCCAACCCGGACACTCCCAGAGGCCCAGGCTGTGCATGTGTGAGCCTCTGCGAGGAAAGAACCCAGAAGCCAGCAACTCTCCCCTCTCCTACTGATGGGAGTTGGTGGATGCTGGCCCCATCTCCTCCCCTGGAAGAGAAGGGGGAAAAGGGCGGGGAAGTACCTTTTCTTTGTGGTAAAACTTTAAAACTTTTAAAATGTATATCTTATTGTATTACATCATTATAATGTACTCTTTTAGTATAAAAGTAATTCATGTTCATTGCCTAAAAATTGGGAAGTTGAAAAGTATGCAAAGAACAAATCAATCACCCATGATCCTACCACTCCCATCCCACACTGTTAATATACTGGCATATTTCCTTTCCATCTGTTTTTATGCCTCGAAATTATACAATCCATAGAGAGCCAGCATTTATTGGGTGCCTAATAAGTATACTTTGCATGGTGTTAAATTTTATATTCATTATATCCTTTAATCCTCAGGAGTCCCTCTGAGGTGTTATTACTATCAATCCCATTTTTCTAGGGTTGCATTTTTCTAGGGTTCTAAGACTTCAGGTGACTTGCCCAAGTTACATAGCTAGTATGTGGCAGAATCAAGATTCAAACCCAGGCTGTCTGACTCAAAAGTATGGTTGCTGAGCCCCTGTAGCTATTGGTTCTCTGCTTTTTTCTGAATTAGTGTTGTAGCAAAAGACCTTCATGAACATTGTTTTCCTGGCTGCATATTATTACACTGTTAGTTATTTAAGTTGCTTCCTGTCTTTAGCAACTACAAATAACTCTGGGCAAAGTCTTTACTGCACACACTTCCCATTACTTCCTTTGGATAGATGCCTAGAAATAGATCACCAGGCCAAAGGGCATGAATGTTTTAAGGCTCACAGTATATATGAGAAGCCACTTTTCAAAAAGGGTACACTAATTTAGGATTCCATTCACCAGAAACAACTCGGCCATAGTTCAAGCAGATGACCTTTAGGAATCCAAATAGGCCAAGGCCTCACACGACCAAGCCACATCACACGAGCATTCTTCAGTCTCATGGAAGAAGGAATCACACATATCACCTTGCTTTATACACTCGGGAGGGATTATGGAAACCATACAACATAAAGCTATACCTATTTTTATGTGAGCAAGTATCAGCTGCAGAATTCTCTAGCTAAATGTCACATACTAACTTTGAACAAATCAAACCATCATGTAAAATATACAAATGTGTATAATGTCCCACTTCTCCATACAAGTCATTATAACAACATTCACTCTTGTGAACGTGCATCATGATCACAGCCAGGTTCAGCAAGCTTAACCCATCAGCAACAGCTTCCTCACATACTGGCCATATTCAAAGAGTTGTTTATTTGTACCAAGTATCAGAATTCCACACCCAACCATAGTGAGAGCTGATGTCACTTTATAAGTAACAGAGTTTGTCTGACTAAAAAAAAAAAAGAAATCAAGGCTAGTAACTATTAATAGTAATAAAACAATTTAAAAATAAAGTTATACCCATCATTTAAAAAAAATGTCCTCAGGTGGAAACAAAATGTGGCTGGCAGAAGAGAGATTGAATTAGGCAATACAAAACACACACACACACACACAAAGGGTTAGAAGAAAACAAACTGGCCCTAGCTATGAGTTGTTCCTAGAGCCTCGTTGATCTCCAAGCCACCTCTGCCACCAGCAGTGGGTTTAGTAGCCCTGGAATATAATCTGTTGTTGCTCCCACTCTGAGATCAATTTATGCAAGATTCAGCTCAGGTCCGGAAACATCCTTCAGGGAAGCCCACCCTAGAGATGTCCTGAATCCACAGCACCTGTGCGTAAGCTTACCTCGCTATGGCGAAGTCACTATTTGCATATCTCCCACTGAACTATGAGCCCCCTGAAGGCAGAGACCATGTCTAATCCTTTTCTGTATCCCCAGCACCTGAGATAGTGCCAATCCATAGTCAACAATTAAATGTGACGAATGAACGAATAAGAGAATTTTCCAGGTCCTGTACTGGATGCTTTACGTGCATTTCTCTTTCAGCATACCTTTATTCTGCTCAGGCTAGTCAGTCCCAGAAATATACCTGAAAGGTGTCTAGAGCTGTGCTGTCTGTTTTCACATGTGACTATTTCCTGTTTAACTTTAGTTCATTAAAATTAAATGAAATTTAAAATTCAGTTCCTCGGTCACACCAGTCACATTGCTAGTGCTTACATGCAGCATGTGATTTCTGGCTATCATATTGGAGAATGCACATTTAAAAGATTTCCATCATTGCAAAAAGTTTAACTGGACTGTGCTACAGTGTAAGCTTGGTGCAAGCAAAGTGTGTGTCTATGTCTGTCTCGTTTTCCACTGTATCCTCTGCACTAGCACAGTGCCTAGCCCCGAAGAGATGAGGGAGAGAAAGATAAAGGAGGGATGGTGGTAGTAAATGTTGTGGTAATATTAGCAATAGCACTTACTGGGCACCGACTCTGAGTCCCACATTGGGCTATGTTCTGTGCACGCATAGCTTCACCTGATATTCACATCACTACACTCCTGGTATTAACCCCATCTCACAGATAAGGAAACTGAGTCTCAGAAAGTTTCAGTAATTTGCCTATGGTCACAAAGCTGATAGGAGAGACTGAGATTGAAACTCAGGTCTATATGATTTCAAAGCCTTTTCTCTTTATTTATCTTCTCTTTTTTTCTTGGACCTTTTGCTTTACTGCCTCAATAACTGCTGTGTGTTGTGATGTGGATTAGGATTGCCACCATCTTGGCTTCCTGGGAAATCACAGAAAGGGGACTTTTGAAAGCTTTCCAAGAGAAACAATGGGTATAATTTATGACTCTGAATCACATATCAAGAGTGCAAAATTTTGCTCAGGGTCTTAAGAGAACCTGTCCCTGGATGGGTGAAGGAGGGAGAAAGGAACCCATCCATAGTGTGGCCTGACCTGATTTCAGCGTGTCTTGAAATCTAGACTCTCAGAGATGGGAGTAACTACTAAGATCATCTGTTCCAGCTCCCCCAACTGCTCCAACTCCCCACACAACACCATCAACAGATGGCGAGGATCCCTCCAACCTGGACACTCCCAGAGGCCCAGGCTGTGCATGCATGAGCCTCTGCGAGGAAAGAACCCAGAAGCCAGCAACTCTCCCCTCTCCTACTGATGGGAGTTGGTGGATGCTGGCCCCATCTCCTCCCCTGGAAGAGAAGGGGGAAAAGGGCGGGGAACCAAAAACCTACAAGAGCAGACCAGTCAACCACCATAGTCTGTGCTTCTCCTCAGGGAGTCCTGAACCAGCTCTTAAGATCTCGCAACCTATTAATGGGGTAACTTGGCTCTCAAATCCCTGGCCAACGCCCTTTTCACTGCTCCACCCTACCTCATGGGCCATTTGCTCCAGTGCCCTCACTATTATTATCATCACTCTTGTCCTAGTTTTCTCTAATTTCTTTATTCTTAAAGAATAAAGTGCAAAATTTCAAGGGAGTCCTAATCAGCATGGAGAAGACTGAAATTACCACCTCCTCATTCTATTTCCTATTTCTATTAAAACTCTTTAAGGTCTAATTAAGAATCTATACCATTGACACCTGTTGAGCTTAATATCAACTGAAGTAACCCAATTCTCTTTTAAACTTGCTCTTGAACTGCATTGCCCACCTGCTCGCCTTCACCCGATACTTGCCCACACCCCCTCACAGCCACTCTAGAGACTGTGCATTGTTTCTCATTTTATCTTGTTCAGTTCAGTCTGCCTCGCCAACTTGCCCAGATATTTCTGGCTGTGATTCTAGCATCCAGTGTATTTACCGGCCCTCTCAGCCAGCTTCCTGCCATCTCTGAATCTGATGAGCACGACCTCTTCATCTAAGTCATCAATAAAAATAATGAACACTATGGGATTCTGAGGCATTCCACTGTATGTTCCCTAAACATAGATATTAATTCAATAATTAAACAGCACTTACTTAGAAAATTTATTCAGCTTTCTGTACTATAACTGAGCCCATATTTCTTCATCTTTTTCAACATTATTAGAAGAATCTTATCAAAGGTCTCTGATAAACTCCAAATATTCTTCATCACTGGTATTTCCTTGATCTTCCGTCCAATAATCTTGTCAAAGAAGCAATTTTGTTGGTCTGACATAAACTAATTTCAGTGATTCCATGCTGGTTCCTTGAAATCACAGCTTCAATCCTAAAAGCTCATTCCACATCCCATTCCAGAATGTTCCCTGGAATTAACATCAGTCCCTCAAATTAAGACATTTTTATAAATTTTCCCATTTTAAAAAGTAGAACTTTATTTCTCATGAAGGTGATGGTAGTGGTGGTGATGATGGTGGTAATGGTGGTGGTGATGCTGGTGGTAGGACAGTGATGCTGGTGCTGGTGCTGGTGCTGGTGATGGTGATAATGGGGTAATGATGGTAGTGGTAGGACAGTGATGCTGGTGGTGGTGCTGGTGATAGTGGTGGCAGTAGTAGGGGTGATTATTGTGGTGGTGGTAGTGGTGGGGTGATGGTGGTGGGGGTAATGGTGGTAAGGTGGTGGTGGTGGTGATAGTGGTGATGGTGGTAGTGGCAGTGGAGGTGATGGTGGTGGTGGTGATAGTGGTGATGGTAGTGGTTGTGGGGGTTATGATAATGGTGGTGATGATCATAGTGGTGGGAGTAGTGTTCATGGTGGTGGTGGTGGTGGTGATAGTGGTGATGGTAGTGGTGGTGGTGGTGATGATCATGGTGGTAGGAGTAGTGTTGTTGGTGGTGGTGATAGTGGTGATGGTAGTGGTGGTGGGGGGTGACAATAATGGTGGTGATGATGATCGTGCTGGTGGTAGTGGTGTTGGTGTTGGTGGTAGCGGTGATGGTAGTTGTGTGGGGAGTTGACGATAGTGGTGTTGGTGGTGGTATTGATGGTGGTGGTGATAGTTGTGGGGGTGATGGTGGTGATAATGATAATGGTGGTTGGGGGCAGGGTGATGATGGAGATAGTAGTGGCTTCCTTAACTCTATGATTCTGAACAAATTAAGGAGCATGGTCTAATTACCTCAATTGCACACTGTCTCAGCACCCTGGGATGTTATTCAATTAGGATTAGAGATATATATTAATTTGGGGCAGATCTAAGAATTTCTGGCGTCATAGAAAATGAGATCAGAGAAGGAGCCAAGAGAACATCTGGTTCTAAGCCTTCATCCTGAGAAATAAGGAAACCCCCAACATAATAAGTGCCCTGCCTGGGGTTACCCAGCCAGAATAGGAGCCAGGGTCTCACCACTCTGACCAGTGCCTTCTCCAGGGCATAACTCCTCTTTTCACTTCCTTTTCTGAAGAAGCTTAAGGCTTTATTTCCTGCAAAAATATCTATTTCTCCTCTTGGAATTCGCTTCTTAAGTCATTGATGCTTCAGTGAAAGTTAAAGATTCTTTCCTGGAATCATGATGTGTAAGAGAAAAGAAGGAAAGAGCTTAAGAGCTCTCATTTTCCAAGTGAAAAATGGAGGCATCTAGAAAAGTCTGCTGTGGCAAGAAAAGGGATGGAAGAGAAAAACTCAATGGCCAGACAGCAGCTGACAAAACCCAGACTTGCCTGCCCAGTTAATCATTTGGGTCCATCACTCCTTTCTGTGTGTTTTGCGTTGGAAGTTTTCTTCTCGCCTTGGGAATAAACAGTGTCGTCTGCAGAGAAACCAAGTTTTCACTTTGCTGATGGCTGATCTGGTGTGAAAGTTCCAAGTAGCCAAAGGTCAGTGAGGCCACTTTGATCCTTAGATGCTGAAATACTTGAAATGTTTTTGGCCTAAATGTTTCCATTTCCTGCTGCATTTCTCCACCCCTCTGCTCTGGGAACAGTGGCTCATAGTACTTCACCAGCTCCGTCGTGCCCCTGACTTGCAGTTAAAGTAAATAAGCTAGAGAAAGCTCTTTCCAGCTCCCAGAAGGCCAGGGTGTCCCTTCCTTGGAAGCCACACAAAATGGTTACTCTCATCTAGCCCCCCAAACTCCCCATCCAAAAGTCTCATCAACAAGGATGTTCCTGATCCCCAGAACCTGACATAAAGATATTCACTGGTGGAAGTCAGTCTCTTCCCTTTTCTCATGCCGGCATGTCCAGCAGGCCTGGATGATCACAAAGTGATCTTTCTCAACTATTAGGAAGCTAGTAGCCATATGTTCCTATAGGGGAAAAAGTCCCATGGTGCCCCAAAGACCACACCATTCTTTAATCCCTAAATGATGCAAACCATAGCAATGCTCTCCTGAGGATGCTCCATCGTTTAACCAATATTCAATCAGTAAATATGTGCTGAGCACCCACTTCATGCTAGTCATAGGACTCATTTCTTGGGATAGGATCAACTGGGTTTCCAGGAGCTGAGTGGAACAGAGTCCACTGTTATATAGATATAGATATAGATATAGATATAGATATAGATATAGATATAGACATAGACATAGATATAGATATAGATATAGATAGAGAGTCTATATATATGTGTATGTGTGTGTGTGTATATATATATATATATATATATATACATACATAAAAGTATATATAAAAGTGTGTATATATACTTTTTTTTTTGAGATGGGATCTCACTCTGTCACCCAGGCTGAAGTGCAGTGCTGTGATCTTGGCTCACTGTAACCTCTGCGTCCCAGGTTCAAGGAATTCTCCTGCCTCAACCTCTCGAGTAGCTGGGATTACAGATGCATGCCACCACATCTGGCTAATTTTTGTGTTTTTAATAGAGATGGGGTTTCACCATGTTCAGGCTGGTCTCGAACTCCTGACCTCAGATGATCCACCCTCCTAACCTCTCAAAGGGCTGGGATTACAGGAATGAGCCACCATGCCCAGCCAGAGTCAATCTTTAGATGAGAGTCAGGAAAGGGTCACGTCCTCGGCCTGGGAAGGTATTGGACCTAGGAAATCAGGTAATACGCTCTGGAGTAGATGAGCTTGAACTGAAATTTAAAGGATGCGTGAAGTTAAGTGAAGGAATGAGGGTAATAAATTCTAGGTAAAGGGAACCATGTATGCAAAGCCAGTTTTTGTTGTCTACACTTCAGTGTTGCTGGAGCAAAAACTGTGAGTCAGAAAGTTATGGGAGATGAGTCTGGAAATGTGGACAGGAGCTGGGCCATGGAGGGTCTCGTTTGTCACATTAAAGTGTGCATTTTTTTTCTTGTAGCTAGTGATGAGGGGAGGGGCACTGAGAACTCATAAGTGGGGACTGACGTGGCCACATTTTAACATTAGAGCAACCCCTCAGGCTGCTGTCTTAGAAGGAGAGAAGATGGAAAGTGAGGCTGCCCCTGAGAGGCTTTTGAGGGAGTTCCAGGGAGATGAGGGCTAAACCAATGGCAGTACAGGTGGAGTCAGGGACAGAACCAGGAAAGAACTTGTAACTGAGTGTATGTGAGGGGGCTGAGGGAGGCAGAGAAGCCAAAGGTGGCCACCAGGCTCCTACACCTGGGAAGATAGTGGTTTCATTGACCAAGAGAATTGAGGAACAGGAGCAGGTGTGGGGTTAGGTAACAAGTTCAGTTCAGGGCACGTTAACTTTGAGGTTTCAGTGAGAGATCCAGATGGAGATGTAATTGGATAGATGAGCTCCGTGGCTGGAGGCCCAGATAACGAAGTCCTCAGTGCAAGTGGTGGGTGAAACGTGAAAACTCATGAGATCAGGGGAGAGTCTATTTCCATGTATCTAGATCAATGTATTGCCAGTACCTGAAAGATCCATGTCAAGGAGGTCCATGCCTATCTAATAAGGGAAAGAAACATCTCACAGCATTGAGAGTCTGGGCTTGGCAACTGAGCTGTCCCAGTAGCCGTCTATTGACTCAGACCAATGTCCACTTCTGCCAGGTGAATGGTCAAGCAGGGGGGTGGCTTACAGAAACACTTATGCCCATCTTCCATATTAGAGCTCACAAATTTGTAAGCATGGTCTTTCTCTCTAAGCTAGTGGTTCTCAAGTCTGTTTAACATTAACATTGCCTGGGGGGAGTGGGGAGGGGCCTTGAAAAAGCACCAGTTGTGGGTCCCACTCCCAGAGATGCTTACTTAATTGGTCTGGGGTCAAAGCTTGGGCCTCAGTACTTTTTTACGTCTCCCAGTGCTACCAACTATGCCAATGTTCAGAAGAGTTAAGAACCATTGCTAAACAAAACATTCAGCGATTTCTCAAATTACAGAGCTTTTAATTCCTTAGCTCCTCTGGTAAATCTCCTACATGTGCATTACAGTTTCTCTAAAACTACTTTAAGGTGTCAGAACCGAAACTGGATCTGCACCAGTCATGGTCTTGCTTGCGTGTTGTCCCTGTTTTTGTATTCAATGGGTATTTCTCCATCATGCCTGCAAGGCTCATGAAAACTTTGTCAAGTCTCCTGCACTTACATCCACTGTCTACCACATTTCCCTGAGTTATATAACTAATGTACCTGTCAAGAAGATGTAAGAATCACCTGCCATGACTTCTTGGTGAACCTTGGTTAGTTCCAAGGGATCATTCCCTTCTCTTTTAACTGCTCACGAGTCACCACTGAACCCAGTAGTTCTCTAATTTTCATTTGCATTAGAACTTCCTAGAGATTTCTTTTGTAATGAAACGTGGATCCTAAGGCTCTCTCCTCAGAGACTCTGAGCCAGAGGTGTGGGAAGGGGGCCTCGAACCAGTATTTTTAACCAGTAGTTAGGGTAATTATGGTGCAGGGATACCACTTTCAAAAAATAAGGCCTTAAAAATGGAAAATGAAGCCTACACATTTAACTCTTACCTTCCATGATTTTTACTGAAATAACCAAATTAATATAAAAATATTTGGGAATATTTGTTATAGTACTGACAACTAGCAAAGGACACCAATATAATCCACATGTCAGACGTTCTGAAAACATTCCATAATAAAGAGTGTTCACAACAGTGATTGAGGGAAAGACCAACCAACTGTAAGTCATCAGAATGGAAGGAAAAGTTGGCCTGGAGATTAAATGAAAAGGACTCCTAGAAGAATTCCACTAACATCTCCAAAGGTAAAGCATCAGAGACTGCACAGAATGGAATAAATGTTTGAAAACCGCATATCTGAAAAAGAATTAAAGTCCAGAATATATAGAGAACTCCCAAAACTAAACAACAGCAACAAAAAAACCCAATTCAAAAATTGATAAAGAACTTGAAAGACATTTCTCAAAAAAGGATATGTGAATAGCAATAAGCACATGAAAAGCTCAGCATCATGAATCATCAGGGAACTGTAAGTCAAAAACACAATGAGATGCCACTTCATACCCATTAGGATAGCTATTATGTATATTTTTTAAAAGAACAGAAAATAACAAGTGTTGGCAAGGATGTAGAGCAATTGGAACTCTTGTACACTGCTGATGGGAATGTGAAGTGGTACAGCCACTATGGAAAACAGCACAGTGGGTCCTCAAAAACTTGAAAATAGAATCACTGTATGATCCAGTAATCACACATCTGGGTATATACTCCCCAAAATTGAAAGCAGGAACATGAAGAGGTACTTGTACATCCATGTTTATAACAGCATTCTTCACAATAGCTAAGAGATAAAAGCAACCCAAATGTTCCCTTATGGATGACTGGATAAACAAAATGTGGTAAATGTATACAATGAAATATTACTCAGCCTTAAATGTGAATGAAATTCTGACACATACTGCAACATGCAACCTTGAAAACATTACACTAAATGAAATAATCCAGTCACAAAAGAAAAAATACTGCACATTCCACTCATATGAGGTACTTATAGTAGTTAAATTCATTGAGATAGAAAGTAAAATGATAGCTGCCAGGGTGTGGTGGTGGGAAAGATGGGTAGTTATCATTTAATGCCACAGTTCATTTTGCAAGATGAAAAAGTTCTGTGGAAGGCTGAGCATGGTGGCTCATGCCTATAATCCCAGCACTTTTGGAGGCCGATGCAGATGGATCACCAGAGGTCAGGAGTTCGAGACCAGCCTGGCCAACATGATGAAGTCCCATCTCTACTTAAAAAAACTACACAAAAATTAGCCAGGCATGGTGGCACACATCGGTATCCCAGCTACTCGGGAGGCTGAGGCATGAGAATCGCTTGAACCTGGATGACAGAGGTTGCAGTGAGCCATGATTATGCCACTGCACTCTAGCCTGGGCAAGAGAGTGAGACCCTATCTCAAAAAAAAAAAAAGGTTCTGTGGATGGATGGTGGCAATGGTTGCACAACAATGTAACTGTACTTAATGACACTGAACTGTACGCTTAAAAGTGGTTAAATGGTAACTTTTATGTTATGCATATTTTACCATGTAAAAAAACTTTAAAAAGTGGCAAGAGCTACAGGAATGCTAGGTAGGCAGGCAATGGGAAACACATCTCAATCAAACGTATCCAATGGCCCCTCAGATGTGCCTTGTGCTGGGGCCATGGGACTCACTCTTTGTGAAGCTCATGAAAACAATATCTAGCAGTTCCAAAGAAGGGAGACATCTAAGAATGCAAAGCTAATGTCACTCTTTAAAATAGATGCTAAAAAAAAGAGAGAACATAAACTTAAAAATCTCCAAGTTATATTTATAGAGATTTAAGAGGATATAGCAGGAACTATCAACATGGAGCAATCTGAAAGAGAGCAATCTGAGATTGTGAAACTTTGCCTGCTTTGAAATGAAAAATATTTTGCAGAATTAAAATCATGCAGTGGAAGCACAAACATTGGAACAATGCAGAAAGCTAAAGATGAGCATGAATTCTCACAATTCTGACAAAAAACATGAAAGTGAAATAATGAGGGGAAAACGGAGGCTATTATTCAATACATTAAACATATAAATACAGAATTTTTCAGGAAAAGAAAAAATAGAAGATGTTATAATAAAAATATAGGTAGCTGAGGCAGGAGGATTGCTTAAGCCCAGAAGGTCAAGGCTGTAGTGAGCCAAGATCGTGACATGGCACTCCAGCCTGAGTGACAGAGCGAGACCTGTCTCTAATTTTTTTTTTTAATTTAATTTACCGTGACACATGTGTACCTATGTAACAAACCTGCCTATTCTCCACATGTATCCCAGAACTTAAATTTAAATAATTTTTAAATAAAAAAAAATTTCCTGACATTACTTCAAAATAGTTAATGTGTACCAGGAAAAATTAAAAGTATATTCTGGTGAAAATTATTAATTATAAGAAAAAATCTGTTGGTATGAAAACAGAAAAACAATGTTTTATTTTCAGAGAAAAAATAAGCAAGTGTCAGACATTGTGCAACACTAAATATCAGAAATAAGTTGAGGTATGACTGTGGAATTTGGGGGTAGTAAGATAATGAACCAACCGGTGCCGTGGCTCATGCCTATAAATCAAGCACTTGGGGAGGCCAAGGCAGGCAGTCACTTGAGCCCAGGAGTTTGAGACCAGCCTGGCCAACATGGCAAAACCCCACCTCTACTAAAAATACAAAAATTAGCCAGGAATGGTGATGTTCACCTGGAGTCCCAGCTACTTGGGAGGCTGAGGTGGAAGGATCACCTGAGCCCAAGAGGTGCAGACTGCAGTGAGCCGTGATCACAGCACTGCACTCCAGCCTGAACAACAGTGAGACCCTATCTCAAAAAAAAAAAAAAAAAAAAGATTATGAGCCAGAATTCTCTATTCAGTAATTTGTACAGAAAAAAAAAAGCTATTCTCAGACAAGGAAAAAAAAAAAAAAAAAAGCACCCAGCAAGTAGGCCACTAAAATCCTTTATTAAAAAATGTATTTACTCAAACTATTCTGGTCAACAGAGAAATTAACATTAAAGCTTGGGAATGGAAAAGATGTGATATCAAAGCTGTGGCGTGAATAATAAACCCACACAAACATAGACTTAGTATTTACATGTTATTAATATAGTCAGGAAACAATGCAACTGCCAAAATTACTCTCAACAAAGAAGATACATAAGAAACTTAATGATAATAATGTGGGGCTAAAAACTCAGATTACTCAAGGCAAAAAACCTTGATGTGCTGAATGTCTCATTTTGTGCTGTGGGAAACATTGAATATTGTTTCATTGCTGAACACAGAAAAATACAGGTTTAAATACATTTTTAAATAAGAAGACAGTAGATGAATATAAAACTAGAAATACCATGCTTAACTTCAAAATTAGGAGGAAGATTTGGAACATTATAGCCAAGAATGAAAACTAAAAAAGGGCTGGGTGCGGAGGCTCATGCCTGTAATCCCAGCGCTTCAGGAGGCCAAGGTGGGTGGATCACTTGAGGTCAGGAGTTTGAGACCAGCCTGGCTGACATGGTGAAACCTGGTCTCTACTAAAAATACAAAAATTAGCCTAGCGTGGTGGTGGGCATCTATAATCCCAGCTACTCAGGAGGCTGAGGCAGGAGAACACTTGAACCCAGGAGGCAGATGTTGCAGTGAGCCAAGATTGTGCCACTGCACTTCCAGCTTGAGCAACACGGTGAGACTCTGCCTCAAAAAAAGAAAAGAAAAAAAATACGTAAAAAAGGAAATAGCAAGGAAACATTAATATAAAAAGTATAAAATAAGATGATAGAAGCCAGGTCAAACATACCACATTAAGTGTGAATGGTTTAATCATTTCCTTTTTTTTTTTTTTTTTTTTTTGAGACTGAGTCTCACTCTGTCGCCCAGGCTGGAGTGCAGCGGCTGTGGTCTCGGCTCACTGCAACCTCTGCCTCCCGGGTTCAAGCAATTCTCCTGCCTCAGCCTCCCAAGTAGCTAGGACTGCAGGCGCGTGCCACCATGCCTGGCTAATTTTTTGTATTTTTAGTAGAGACAGGGTTTCACCGTGTTAGCCAGAGTGGTCTCGATCTCCTGACCTCGTGATCCGCCCGCCTCGGCCTCCCAAAGTGCTAGGATTACGGGGGTGAGCCGCCCCGCCTGGCCAATCATTTCTATTAAAAGACAAAGAACCACGCATTGGTCAAAACCCAATTCTAAATATATGCTGTTTTAAACAAAATGGGAGAGAAAGGGATAAAAAATGAAGGGACATAGATATATCAGGAAAATGCAAACAAAAAGAAAGGAGGGTGATATTAGTATTAAACTATAGCTAAAAGTAAAATTTAATACAAAAATCATTAAATGATACAATAAAATTGTCAAAACACAATTGCAGAGGGAAAATCTAACATACATCTGTCAATCTGCAACAAATTGAGTGCCAAAAACAAATTAGTGTATAAAAGTTTTAAGGCTATAAGGAGCTTGATGGAATGGACATATATGGGACTTTACATTTAAGAAATGAAAAAATCTATTAAAATGTTTATGAAATATTGAGATATTTTGATCCCATCGTAAAAAAATTATGATACATTTCAAAAAATGTAGAACTTGTTCTGGCAGTAAGAGGCAAATAAAACTGAGTATAGTATAGTATAGTATAGTATAGCATAGTTACTCTAGGATAATCTATTCTTGAAATTTGATGTAGGTCTAAGACCTGTGTACATCCACTCACCATTATTGATTTCAGCATTCAGTGAGAACAAGACCAAAAAGACCTGTTGTTTGACAAGCACCAAGTTTATAGAATGCTTCCTTCTTTAAGAATGAATAAAGAGTAAAACATATAGGAATTAAAGGAAATGTAAAATAAGGGAGTAAATAATAGCATATGAAATGAAAATGAGTTACTCCAGCTGGGCCTAAAAGAATATTTTAGTAGACTAGAATCCTCATAAGAGGGCACTAGAGGGCATGGTCTTTACAAATCAAAAGACAATAAGAATAAAGCTGAGATGAAAATGAAAAATGGTATTCAAAGATGTGAATGAAATATGGACGGACTGCAAGGAAATTGAAGCACAACAGCAGAATTAAAATTCACTAGCTGCAATTAATGAGCAGAGTATTCTATCAAAAGTCAAACCAAGCATGTGAAGGAAGTGACAGTGTAAAAGATAGGCAACTAGTACTGAAGCAAATTAAAAAAGACATCTAACTAATAATTTGTACATCAAGTTTTAAAACTGTATACAAGGTGAGGGGCAGTGGCTCAGCCTGTAATCCCAGCACTTTGGGAGGCCGAGGCAGGTGGATCATGAGGTCAGGAGTTCAAGACTAGCCTGGCCAAGATGGTGAAACCCCATCGCTATTAAAAATACAAAAATTAGCCAGGCGTGGTGGCGGGCACCTGTAATCCCAGCTACTCAGGAGGCTGAGGCAGAGAATTGCTTGAACTCATGAGGCGGAGGTTGCAGTGAGCTGAGATCGCGCCACTGCACTCCAGCCTGGGCGACAGAGCGAGACTCGGTCTCAAAAACAAAACAAAACAAAACTATATGCAAAAGTAAAATATATTCAAACAGTAGATATGCATTGATACAAAAAATCCTGAGAAAAATTTGGGCCTAAAACCCCAGATAATAATTTTCAAAGCCTGAAAAGACTGGTGTTTGTCTGAAAGGATAAGACAGTGAAAATAAAATATTCTGAATTCCTTGGTTCAATTATGAGACTGTCATTTCATTCCTGACACTTAAATTTAGAAGACAATAGTTACAGAGTTTTCAATAACCCACCTTCTGAATCAAGGGGGTCTAAGAAAACAAACTCTATGCAGCAAACTAAATATTAATTAAACAAAGGAGACAGTAAGGAAGCATTAAAATGATAATAAAATAGAGCATGAAAATGAAGACACCAAACAACTCAGTTATAACAATTAACATAAGTAAGCTAAATCACTCATTTTTAATAAAAGTCTTCATATTGGATCAAAAATGAAAATTCAGCTCTATGTTGTTTACCATAGGAACCCTTAAAACAAAGTGTTGTGCAAAAATTAAAACACTGAGAAAAGGTATAGCAGGGAGATGCCACAAAAACTAAAGCAGAAGTCATTTTATTGATATAAGACAATGCAATTCATGACAAATATCATTAAATAATACAATGAGGATTGTTTTCTATAAGTGAAGAATCAAATTCACAGTGAAGATATAATGGCCATGGAAATATGTACATCAATTAATATTGCACCCCAAACTGATGGAAACACGGTAGAGGTGGAAGATATCAAAACACCACTCTCAGGCTTTCACATATCAAGTAAACAAACAAAACATAATATAAATACAGGAATTGTGTAATATAATGAATACTACTGAAAAAATTATATGCTGCGTAATATCCAAAGCACATAATAAAATTTATTTTCTAGGGCTCGTAGAACATTTATAAAAATTAATTTTGCATCAGGTTATACATAAAACCTCAGCAGGTTCCTCAAAGCAAAAATAGTAAAAGTCATAGTTTCTGTTAGAAATGAATTTTATTGACTTATTTATTTTTTAACTTTTATTTTAGGTTCAGGGATATATGTGCAGGTTTGTTAGGTAGGTAAACTTGTGTCATGGGGGGTTGTTGTACAGATTATTTCATCACCCAGGTATTAAGCCCAGTACCCAATAGTTATCTTTCCTGCTCATCTCCTTCCTCCCACCCTCCCCACTCAAGTAGAATCCGTGTCTGTTGTTTCCTTCTTTGTGTTCATAAGTTCTTTAAGTTCTTATCATTTAGCTCCCACTTGTAAGTGAGAACATGTAGCATTTGGTTTTCTGTTCCTGCGTTACTTTGCTAAGTATCCATCCATGTTCCTGCATCCATGTTCCTGCAAAAGACATATCGCGTTCTTTTTATCACTGTATATATTCCATGGTGTATATGTACCACATTTTCTTTATCCAATCTGTCACTGATGAGCATTTATGCTCATTCCATGTCTTTGCTATTGTGAATAGTGCTGCAGTGAACATTTGCACACATGTGTCTTTATGGTCAAATGAATTCTATTCCTCTGGGTACATACCCAGTAATGGGATTGCTGGGTCCAATGGTAGTTCTGCTTTTAGCTCTTTGAAGAATCTGCATACTGCTTTCCACAATGGTTGAACTAATTTACACTCCCAACAACAGTGTTTAAGTATTCCCTTTTCTCCACAACCTTACTAGCATCTGTTTTGGTTTTTTTGAACTTTTTAATAATAACCATTCTGACTGGTGTGAGATGGCATCTCATTGTGGTTTTGAGTTGCAAGAGATGGATTTTAAAGATAAACAACAGCAGAGGGAACTGTCAATAAATTATGTCTATTTACACAATAAAATACTAGGTAACCAGGGAAAACAGTATTGTTTTGCTGGTATTGAGGAATGTTTAGTAACACCAAATAATGCTCACCATATACTGCTAAGTGAAAAAAAGACAAAAAGAGCTAAAACAAATTTGAAATTTTTTTTTAAAGAGATGCCTACATATATATGGATACATTCTAGAAAGAATTTACAGCAAAATGTTAATTGTCATTATAGTTGGATAATGAGATGATATGTGATTTTTATTTTAAAATCATTTAAAAATATGATTTGGATTCTTAGCTAAGACTAGTATCATGCTCACGCTGTTGATAGTTTGTGGAATATATTTTCTTCCACTTTTTTGATAATAAAAATAAGATAGTCCAGGTGCAGTGGCTCACACATAATCCCAGCACTTTGGGAGGCAGGCAGATTGCTTGAGGTCAGGAAATTGAGACCAGCCTGGGCAACATGGTGAAATCCCGTCTCTACCAAAAATACAAAAAAATTAGCAAGGCATGGTGGTGCGCATCTGTGGTCCTGGCTACTCAGGAGGCTGAGGTGGGAGGATCACTTCACCCCGTGAGGCAGAAGTTGCAGTGAGCCAAGACTGCGCTACTGCACTCCAGCCTGGATGACAGAGTGAGACTTTGTCTCCAAAAAAAAAGAAAAGAAAGAAAGAAGATTAGATTTGCTTGTTTCTGGTCCTCTGGCTTCTTGTTGTTGTTTTTCTCCAAAATTCTTCAAAGATCAACGAAAGTGGTTCAGTAGCCTCCATGGAGGTTCTGGTAATCCTCGTTCACAAGCGATAGACTAAGCTGTTCTTTGCTCTTATGGGTCTAAAATGAACTGGCCCAGTTCCCAGAATTCCTCCAACTTTTTTTGGCCCATAGTGGGGTTTTTTGTTGTTATTGTCATTTAGTATTTCAGATCACTTTCAGCTATTTTTTTCACATTATAATTTTTCCGTTTAAGTTTGTGCCATCTTCCTATATGTTCCTTGGTTGTGTGCCTTTCTTTTCCTTTTTTTCTAAGTGTCTTTTTCAGATGGGAATCTGTGGGTGAGCCTGCAGGCACATTTTTTAAAAGGACCATTTCTTTTCCCTTTTTATTGGAATGATTTTTGAACGCTTCCCCATTTTGGAAAACTTCAGGCTGCCTCTATTCCAGAATCTCATCTAATCATAACTATCTTCTTTTTAACTTTTTAGACTGCCTAAATCTAGACTTCTTGGCTACTTATTACAGCCAGCCTTCTCCTCATTGACAATCATGTCTTCTGAGCTGGAGTGGCTTGTTTCTCCTAATATGTCTCTTCTGCTTGCTTCACCAAGCAGGGTCTTTCTGTTGGTCAGAATGAGGGACCGAGAGAAAAAAAACAGAAATAAAACAAAACAAAAAATCAAATAAAAAAATAAAGAATGAGAGACAGAGGAGTGTATCTAGTTAAGCTTCTTTATTCCATGTCAACAAGGGAAATGAAGAGACTTGTCTGATGCGCTATTTTTAGCTGAAAAGGGCGTTTTGCAAGTGTTCAGTCAGCACAAGACCACTTTCACTGCTGTAACTTCCCTTATGACAGAATAACAGTGGCTAAGAATCCACCCTCCATTTCTTCCTGTGGCCAAGCGGCCTGTAGAAAATGCTCATAATGAACTCACATGTGTTCTTTACCATATTCTGCTCACTCATGATATCTCTAGGTGCTCTATCCTTAGGGTCGTGAATTTCCGTAACAAATCAATCTCTTGCTGTCTAGACTATTCAGCCCATTAATGTAGTTTCTAGTATTTTTTTTTATTATACTTTAAGTTTTAGGGTACATGTGCACATTGTGCAGGTTAGTTACATACGTATACATGTGCCATGCTGGTGCACTGCACCCACTAACTCGTCATCTAGCATTAGGTATATCTCCCAGTGCTATCCCTCCTCACTCCTCCCACCCCACAACAGTCCCCAGAGTGTGATATTACCCTTCCTGTGTCCATGTGTCCTCATTGTTCAATTCCCACCTATGAGTGAGAATATGGGGTGTTTGGTTTTTTGTTCTTGCGATAGTTTACTGAGAATGATGTTTTCCAATTTCATCCATGTCCCTACAAAGGACATGAACTCATCATTTTTTATGGCTGCATAGTATTCCATGGTGTATATGTGCCACATTTTCTTAATCCAGTCTATCATTGTTGGACATTTGGGTTGGTTCCAAGTCTTTGCTATTGTGAATAATGCTGCAGTAAACATACGTGTGCATGTGTCTTTATATCAAACAAATTTACAAGAAAAAAACAAACAACCCCATCAAAAAGTGGGCGAAGGACATGAACAGACACTTCTCTAGTATTCTTTATAATTATGTATACATATGTGTACGTGTCACCAGGTACCTTCCCTCTCTTGTCTTTGTTTTACCAGCAGTTCCTGGATAGATTCATGGTATCATGGTATCATCCCAACTCTTTTATATTTTATTTTATTTCTGAGTTGGTGGTTTCACTATATTGCCCAGGTTGGTCTTGAACTTCTTGGCTCAAGCCATCTTCCTTCCTCAGCCTCCCAAGTAGCTAGGACTACAGTTGTGTACCACTGCATCTGGCTCTATCCCAGCTCTTTGATCCTCTTACTCATCACCCTGTACTAAATACATGTCCCCCATGCTTAGTAGATGCAAGTCCTTCATGACCAGACATGAACTTACCCTTCCAGCATATGATAAATCATGGTCCAGAAATCTACAGCCACTTAGTGATATCTGCTTCTTTGTTATCCCAGAATCCCAATGATCAGCAGAAAGAACAATGACAACATTATCCCTATTCCCAAGTCCTTCACAGTCTCGCCCCTCAAACTAGTGGGAGATCCAGTTAGCCTAGGAGATAAAGTACCTTGAATACTTGGAAAAGGCACTGAACACAAACTGATAGTTTAGTTCTTGACCTGGAAAATAATTGAAGCTTGTGGTTTTCGGTAGTCTCATGTGCAGAACAGACTAAAATGAGTGAGAAGATAGTTATGAGACCAGAGACCTGCTAGGGCCATTAAGAAGCCCCTACCCAGAAACTGGAGGTGCTGTTACAAGGAATTTAATGGAGAGAAAGGGGCAGAGCTGAAAGATAAAAGACAAAACTTGGCGAATTGATGTCTGATTTGGTATTGAGATTTCAGAGAGGGGAAGGAGACTAAAGGTAAATAAAGCCAATGTATCAAGCCCAGGAAATGTGGAGAATGACTTCTTCATTGAAAAAGTTAGTTGTTTAGTTTTGGAGATAGACGTGGGAGGAAGGTAAGTTTGAGAGTAGAGTATTTATATATTTAAAAGTTACATCTAGCAAGTGGTTAGAGGAATGAATATGTGCATGTGATTCCATCAGCAACAGGGTGGCTTTCTGACCAAACTAAACTCAGCATGTGATTTCACACTCTGATCAAAACAATGTCAGTCAATCAAATAAAATGATTTATTTTTCTTTAGTTGGGGCTGGTTTCTGTTGGCTATTTTTGCCTAGTTCAAAGTGACTCACCCAGGGAGCCAGTCCCTCCAATTGGGTTGTAATTTATTAAACACATTCAGCCAAATGACTAACTCTGTGCTCTTCTCCCAACCCCTCCAGTGTTATTAGTCTGGCCCACACATCCAGCCACTCCTAACCCCTGCAAGCAGATGTTTCCATAAAGTTTATAGTTTTTTAAATTTACTTATTCATTAACAGCTTCTAGAGATGAAGGTGAAAATTTACAATGTTTTGTCTTCTACAGCTGGTACTGAAAAGCATCTTCTTTCCCTCCCATCCTCTTCCTCGAAGATTTTTCATCTCTAAATTCATACTTTCTCTCATTTTAAACCACTTCTCCATTTTATGAGGACACTCAAGGGGTCAGGGAATCTTGGCACATTTACCTGTGTCTGATAAAGAGGAAGGGAAGGGAATTAACATCTGTGGAGACCTGTGCCAGGCACGGCCCTGGGAAACCTATATTCATTATCTTTAATCCTACTGTGTAAGGTGATACCACTATTCCCATTTTCCAGATGAGGAAACTTGGGCTCAAGAGATTAGGTAGAATAAATAGTATGCTCAAGACCACAAATATAGGAAATGTCATGGAGGACATGCTGACTCAGGTTTGTTGGAGCTTGGGGTGATACTCTTTTCTGTTTCCTGGCAGATATAGATTTCCGGGTACTGCTGACACTTTGTGCTCCACATCAGAAGCCAGTGGTACAAAGGAGCAGCAGAGAAACCTTCAATATCTCACAGGCCCCAGCGTACAGGCCTCTTGGCATACCACCCACCCCCACAACCCACACACATGCTTCAGTAAGCTGGGCTCATTATTTTGGAAGATTTGGGGGAAATGAAATAGCACATTCCTAATTAGTTTGAACTGAGGAACCCATTAGCTGTATTTTTTATTGAAATTGAAAATACAAAAACATAATCTCATAGCATGAAAAAACCTCTTTTAAAGTTACATCCAATTTAGGAGTCTTGAGGTTTTGATTTTAGTAGTTCCTCTCTCCGGTGGAGGCATGTAAGACACAGTTAGTAAACAGGAGTCTTTTCTGCTCTTTCTTCTCAGTCAACCATGTCAACATCATCGCTGTCTGAGCTCTTCTTTCTCTGAGCTCCACAGCCCTTAGCACACACAGCTCAGTACTATAGCTTTTATGGAAGCTCTGTGATATCCCCAATGGGCTTTAAGTTCACTGATGGCTAAGGTAATCCTAATTCATCTTTGCCTCCCCCATAGCTCCTAGCAGAGTATTTTAAACATACTAAAAGCTTGATAAATGCACAAGCATAATTGCCCATTGAACATCATTATTTTAACCAACTTTATAGGAAAGGATAAACTAACTAGAAGATAGAACAGGATTTCAAGGTAGAATAAGTCCTCTATAATTTCTGGTGTAGGGGAACTTTAGGTGAAGGTGATTCATTTATTTAACAATGGTATACATTCATGCATCGTTCACAGATACTAAAATTCTCATGTATATAAATAATACTCATAAAGAATGAAAAGACATAATACATATTGTTTATCCTATAAGCCCACATACATTACACATGTTCATACATAGTATACATTGATATGTTCCATGCAGTAACTGCTTGGGTATCTGCCTTCAAGTCAATGTTCCGTAAGCCTCCATCTCTAACCAATGTACGTAAACTTTGAAAAGATTGAGTTGTGCCAGAAAAAAATAGAAAGAAGCAGACCTAGATAGTAGAAATAAGGACTTTCCTTCAAATTTTTAAAAAGTATAAATAATACATTAATACATTCCCTTTTTAAAAAAGAATTAAAAAGTTACAGATAACAAAACCTCAACTTCTAAACTTTATGTATTTCTTGGAAGTAACCATGATTACATTTCATGTACATCCTTTCACATCTCTCTTTTTTCAGTTACATAAGAATATTTGTACCACTACAAATATTGCATGTAATTTTGAGAGGTTTTTAAAATGACGTTTACTAGTTCTAATAGTCACAAAAAACTCCACAAGGGAGATTCCATTATCACTCACATGAATAAACTAGGGCTTAGATAGACAAAGATTTCAAAAATTTTACCAGTCACGTAGCTAGTAAGTACCAGAACTAAAGTAAGCCTTCCTATCCGTGAATAAAATATGTATCCATTTATTTAGATTTCCCTATTGTCCTGCTACAAATGCCTATAGGTTTCTCCATTTTTCTCCATGAAGGTCTTGCACATTAATTGTTAGATTCACTCCAATGTACATTCTACTTTTCCTTCTTTCTTTTTTTTTTTTTTTTTTTGAGATAGGGTCTCACTCTGTTGCCTGGGCTAGAGTGCAGTGGCTCGTTCTTGGCTCACTACAACCTCTGTCTCCTGGGCTCAAGGGATCCTCCCACCTCAGTCTCCCGAGTAGCTGGGACTACAGGTACACACCATCACACCCAGCTCATTTTTAAAATTTTTTGTAGAGACAGGGTTTTGCCCTGTTTCCCAGCTTGTCTTGAACTCCTGGGCTCAGGCAATCTGCTCACCTCGGCCTCCCTAAGTGCTGAGATTACAGGCATGAGCCACTGTGCCCAGCCCATTCTACTTTTTATTAAAATTTTGAAAAAGATCTTTTTCTATTATGCTATATTTCCTAATTGGCTGTTGCTAGTGTAAAGGAAAGCAGCAATTTTTTAATATTGATTTTGTGTCAGTCACTTTGCTGAGATCCCTTAATAATTTATATTTATGTGATCTCTTGGTTTTTCTAGGTTTGCTATCATATCACTTAAAAATAATGACAGATTTGCCTTTTCTATTCCAATTTATATACCTCTAATTTTGTCTTATTTAATTGCATTAACTGGGATCTCTCATAGACTGAGACTGCTGAATAGTAGAGTTTCTAACATGCATCCTTATCATGTCCTTGATTTTAATGGTAATGCTTCTAGTATTTCACCATTTAAATATGAAGTTTGCTGTGGGATTTTGGAGGATAGCCATCATGAAGTTAAAGGAGGTTTCATTTACCTTCTGATGTGCTTAAAGGTTTTGTTTGTTTTTTTGTTTGTTTTTTTATTATATTTCAGTGTTGAATTTTGTTAATTTTTTTCTACATATATTGAGATGGTCATATGAATTTCTCTTATATTCTATTAATATAGTATATTGATAGGTTTTATAACATTGACCCAGTCTTGCCTTACTGAAATAAACTGTTTATTGTTCTTTTAATGCTATACTGAATTTTACTATTTTATGTGGGGTTTTACTCTATTTAGATGAGGTTGGTCTATAATTTGTTTTTGTATTTTCCTTGTTCAGTTTGTTACCGGGTTATGCTAGCCTCATAGAATAAATTGTAACTTAACATATTTTTCTATGCTCTGGAATGGTTTATGTAAGAGAAGAATTATCTGTTTTTTGATGACTCTTAGAACTGCCTGTAATATTGTCTGGGCCAGGAGGGTGGGGCAAGTAGACCTTTTAATATTGGTTCAGTTTTATCTATTATTGAACTAGTCAGGCTTTTCTAATTCTTGAGTCACTTTTGATCACTTATACTTTTGCAGAATTTTCCCATTTTATCTAGGTTCTTGAAAGTGGTGCTATAAAGTTGAATATAGTAGTGTCTCATAATTTAATAAAATCTCTTACGTTATAGTTATGTCTTCTTTTTCATTCCAAATATTGCTACTGGTTCTTCTTCTTCCTCTCCCTCCTCCTCCTTCCCCTTCTCTCTCTCTCTGTCTCATACTCTGCCAAAGGATTGCCTATTTTATTAGATTTTTCAACAATATTAACAACCAAAAGGACTTTTGCTTTTAACCAAAACTGTCCAGTTTTTTGTTTTGTTTTGAGTGCTAGTTGATAATCTCTGCCCTTATCTTTATTACTGCCCTCTCTGGCTTCACTTAGATTTCGTTTGTGTCCCTTTTTTAGCTTCTTGAGTTGGAGGCTTCATTCATTTTTGTTTTCATCTACCTTGTTTTCTAAGAAATTTATTTAAGGCTGCAAAGTGTCCTTTAAGCATTGCTCTAACCAAATTGTAATCTACTACATTGATATTTAAAATCTTCATATTTACATTTTTTTTAAACATGGAGTTACTTAAGAATGCATGGATCTTTTTCTTAATTTTCATATTGCTGCCAATGAAATTTCCTGGGATACAGATTCTGAGATGGAGATTGTCATGCAGAAGTGTTAATGAGTTTTATTAGGGAGTACGCTTGGGATCACCCTTCGTGGAAGGGAAAGGACAGAAATGGAACTTGGTGAAGGGAGAAGTTGGACTGAGATGGTCCTGCAGAGTTGCTCCCAGTTGGGGTGAGATGACCAGGCTTTTATACCGTACCACTGTGTATCATCCAGTCACTGGGTGTGGGCTGCCCAAGAAGGGGACATGACCTTGGACAAGGCAGCTTTTTAGAGTTAAGGCAATTCCTGAAAAGAATTGACAGGTGAGAGCTGTCTGCCAGCACCACTCCCAAGTATCTGGGAGATCTGATTGGCACAGTTCAGCACCTACTACAAATATGTATAGTTTAATATTTTAGATGTACATACTAAAAGCTATTTAATCCTATATTGTGTGGCATTTAAATCGTTTCGATTTTTTGCTATTTTAAACAGTGCTGCCACAAATGTCCTGGGAGGTGAAATCTTGTGGAAATAATAGTAGTAGTTGCGAAAGTGATACTGTTATTACTGTCCATAGTTGCTTTCTTAAGATAAACTTATAGAACTAAAATGTCATGGAAATGTACATTTTAAGGCTATTGGCATATAGCGTTACCTTGGCTAATTTACTTCCACACCAGCAGCATTGGACAGTTTCTGTTTCCTTCCTTTCTACCAACAAGGATATTAACTATTTTTAAGTTGTTAACAATTTGGTAGGTGGCAAAAGTATCTTACTGTTGTTTCCATCCAATGGAGTATACTTTAAATGAATATGAAAACAAAAGGCATTCCCCAGCCTAAAATGGTGGCACGAGATACCATGTGGCAAGAGTAAAGGGTTTATGTCTAACATTTCTGGAAGGAAAATGAAATTACTGTTTAAAAAGAGCTTAAATATTACTTATTTCACTCACCACAATTATCAAATGAGAAACTTGAAGCATAGAGAGTAGAACTGACTGCTTAGGCCAAGGCAGGCAGATCACAAGGTTAGTAGTTCGAGACCAGCCTAACCAATATGGTGAAACCCCATTTCTACTAAAAACATTAAAAAAAAATTAGCCAGGTGCAGTAGTAGGCGCCTGTTGTCCCAGTTACTTGGGAGGCTGAGGCAGGAGAATCGCTTGAATCCAGGAGGCGAAGGTTGCAGTGAGCTGAGATCGCGCCACTGCACTCCAGCCTGGGCAAGCTAATAAATACCAGGACTTGGGTTAGACCCAAGGGCTCCAGGTCTTACAACACCTTTTATTTGCTTTAGAAAATTAATTTGTTCTTCCTTTCTGGTTTCCAAACCCCATCAAGCTGTGGTGTTTCTGTAACCGGGGTTTATGAGTGCCCTGTGAAATGATTTCAATGTTGTACTTTATTCAAATGACAATGTTTAAAATTATTACAGATATATTTGCATTTTCTCGATGACTTTCTTATGCCAAGTACTGCCACAAGCCAATGCCCGTTAACTTTGTGTCATATAACATAATTCCAATCCAGGATTGGAATCCTGGATTCATTAATTAATAGCTCTGTGACCTAGGACAAGTTACTTAACCTCCGTGTTTCAGTTTCCTCAGCTTTAAAATGAGCATAATATTTGTATCCACCTAACAGAGTTGTTATGAAGAGTCAACCAGCTAATTTGTGCAAGTTGTTTAGGACCATCTGTCACATTGTAAAGGTTACTGAATATTAATGAAGTATTTATTTCAAACTGGGTTCTAGACACCTCTGGGGTAGAGGAGGCCATCCAGGGACATATTGTCTGGGCTAGGCATGAGGTGTATGCACCTCTAGATGCTGTTGTCCACAGTGCCGAATCATTACTACATAATCGCCCATTAGGACACTGCTGGTTGGTGGAGGAAGAGGCACCTGGCTACCCAGAGCCTTCCATAAACTCAGCCCTAGGTTTCTGGAATGAACCAGTAAATCCACCCTCCATCAGTTTACAATCTAGAGATGGTACTAATAATCTCTGTAGGTCTGAGAAGCAGTACAGATGCAGGGTGGGGTGGGGGAATATGGGCTTTGCATTCAGACAGACATGGGTTTGAATGATTGCTCAGTTTCCTGCAAGGAACCTGGTCCCAGGTGTAATATTACTTACCTTGAGAGATTATTTTAAGGATTGCATTAATATAGAACAGATAGTAGACCCTCAGTAAGCGGCTGCTGCTGTTTATGTTGTTATGGGAAACAAAAAGGGGATGAGGAAAAGGAAAGGAGAATTAGAGAATAGGAGATCAGGCGTTGGCAGAAGAGAGAGGGGAGGGAGAACACAAGCGCTTCATGAAGTGGAGAATGATGACTGGATGGCTGACCTCAAGTTCCTTCTACTCCATGGGAACTTACCAAGCTGAGCGTGGTTTTACACACCGTTCCAAACTTGAGTGTTTTCTCTTTAGTGGGGTTTTGTTGCGGTTACTGTTAAAACACACACACACGTACATACCACGCCGCTATCACCACAATACCTAGGCATTTTTACAGAGCTGTCTTTCTAGACCTGCCCAAGCCCCATACTCATGCCCAGGGCTCTGCAATGTCTCTTCGCTGACAGGTCCATTTCTGGTGTGGGAATGAGCTGCTAGCCTTAATGGAGCTGTCATTTTCTTACCTTCTTGGATTTTTGGTTTGTTTCTTGTCCATTTGCTTCATGATGGAAAATCTTACCTGTTCTATGCCTTCTCTAGATGAATATTTTGCACAAAATGTTATAGAAGGAGTATGAAAAACACATCCAGATTGGAAAGAAAGGAAAATTCTGCAGGGAATATAAGTCATAACATGACAATTTTAGGAGTGTGGCATGATGACAGTTTTCTGGCAGTCATGGGCCTCCAGCTTCCCTATAATGTTTTACTGCCTCAGGAAAGTGGAACTGATTTGACAGACCCAAAATCTGTCTGCTTAAGGTCCCCATTAAGAAAAAGAAATAGCTCCAGATACTCCAAGTTTCTCTTCTTAGTCCTGTTCCTTACATTAATGTAAAGCAGTGATTACAAAACACAGGCAGGTTGCTGACCCTCCCTGAATTTCTCTAGCTCTGGTGCGGGTTCCAAGAATTTGCCTTCCTAACACGTTCCCCCGGTGGTGCTGATGCTGCTGGGATGAGGACCACGCTTTCAAAGCCACTGACAGAAAGTTTTACTAGTGATGCTCTCATAAACACTTAGTCCATTTTCTGCTGCTTATAACGGGATACCTGAAGCTGGGTAACTTACAGAGAAAAGGAACTTATTTCTTACGGTTATGGAGGGTGAGAAGTCCAAGGTTGAGGGACTGCATCTGGTGAGGCCCTTCTTACTGGTGGTGATTCTACATAGAGTCCCAAGGTGGTACAGGGCATCATATGGTGAGGGGGCTGAACGTGTTAGTTCAGATCTCGCTTCCTCTTCTTATAAAGCCACCAGTTCCCCTCCCATGATAGACCATTAATCCATGAATGGATTAATCCATTCACTAGGGCAGTGTCCTCAGGACCCAATTACCTCTTAAAGGCCTCACCTCTCAATACTGCCACTTTGGAGATTAAATTTCAACATGAATTTTGGAGAGGACAAACATTCAAACCATAATAAACATTATACAAATAATCTCATAATAACCTTGGGAAGCATGTGTTAATATTTTCACCATTCCCATTTAGAGATGAAGAAGAACTTGCTAATGTCACACAGTTATATAGGATAGAGCCAAGATCTGAATTCTGGTCTCTAATTCCAAAGTCAGACTTGTGCTTGGTGCTCTGGGCAGAAGTCTCCCTGACACAGGGCATGAGTCTAGGGCAGACGCTTCCCCAGGTAGTAATTTCATAAAGGAGACCTCTACTCACAATCCCTTCCCTACATCAGCCCCTCAGCACTGGAGTTCAGAATCAGACTTTTCCATTGCTATTCACAACCCTGCTTCCTTAAATTTCCACTGTTAAGGGCCCCAAGTGGTGAAGCTGAGTGAACTCTCCCAGGATTCACAGAGGTGGCCCCAGGGCAAGAGCAAGGTTTTCTTTCGAAGTCCCATGTTTTGCCTACAAATTTCCTGGATATTTTGCATTCTATTCCATTCTGTGCTCATGTTTAATATAATATAGCTTTTCCTCCCTCAAATAATGTTGGCTTTTCAGGAACAGGCCATGGTTTTTATTCTGGCTTCCATTCCCCTTCCATGTTGAGGACCAGGGCGTGGCATCTCCACAGGTGGCTTATTAATGGCATCTGTACCTGCACAGGCTCAACACTTAGGTACTCAGCACTCATTCATCCAAAGATGTTACCATGAGCTTTGAACAACACAGACTTAGATTCCTATACAGTCTCATCATTTACTAGTAGGATAACTTGGGAGAATTACTCTGGGCCTGCTTCTACAGATGTTAAATGGGCATAAAACATACGTTCCTCACAGGGTTTGGTGACTATTACAGATGAAGTTTGCAAAGCGCAAGATGTGTTGCAATCTATAAATGGAGGTTGCTGCTATTGCTTGTTATTACAGTGATTTGTTGAGCAAGTGAACAAATGAATGAATGACCAATCCTCAGATTGTGATGCCCCTGAGCTACAAACACTCTTCTTAGACCAACACTGCCTGCCTGTGCCAAAGACAGACCCCCAAAGTAGCAGTCCTCAACTTCTCCTTGGAGCCCAAAAGCTTTTTCTGGGTACCAGCCACTCCCAGCTCCCCCACCTGGGCATTTGGTTCAGCCTGACATTTTCATGACTATCTTGCGGCAGAGATTCTCACATTCACTCTGAGGCCACTAATGGTGTACAAAGTACCTCTCAAATGAAAATCCTCTCTGAATTCTTATGGATAGAATGCAATCCCAAGACTTTTGTGTTTATGTTTATTTAAGGACTACATGCCAGTAATATGCTAAATGAGTTATTAGGTATTACTCATATTTACCACTCATAAACTTAAATTAGATCATTGCAAAGTTCCCCAAGGGCTTTAATTCAGTTATCTGTGAAATCAGGCTGCTTCTAAATGCTCAGCAGCTACAGCCCCCACACTCAAGTAGATGGTTAGAATCCTGTGACCTGGGGAAGGCCCCGTTGTTGTCATTGCATGTCAGTCTTGCTTTGAGTTGGTTGTGGTTTTCAGCTACTGCTATTCTTGCTTATTAATTAGAAATTATAGTTCACTTGACTTCATAATTATCATATTAGTTTGTGAAGGATATTTGGCTAACCCTACAGCAGGCAGTGATACATATTTGCATCGAAGGTATTTTTAGCCTATAATTTTCCAACTACTAGATTTTAAGACATGAATAAGTTGCAGTTCAAGCATGAATCATGCAGATTCTGTTGCCAAATAGACACATGCATAACCTGCCCCTAAAAGTGCTTGTGTAGTTGTCTTGGTTATCTACGATTACATAACTAACTGCCCCAAAATCTTGTTGCTCCACAATTATGTTATTCGTCTATGTGTTTCTGTGCATTGGGAATCCAGACCAGGCTGAGCGGGGATGGGTTATCTCTGCTCCACGTGTGATGTCTGCCAAGGCTGTGAAATCCCAAATGGCTTCTTGTCTCACAACACAGCTAGGATGACTTAGATGACTGGGTGCTGGCTGGAATGGCTTGACTGGGGTCTTACATCTTGGGCTTCAGTTCTTGTCATCAGATGGGTTGCTCAGTTCTCCTCTCTGTAATGTTAGATCTCCCTTCATCCACGTGGCCTCTCCATGTGGTCTCTATGTGATCTCTCCAGCAAAATGGCTGAACTTCTTACATGGCAGTTCAGTGCCCTTAGGAACTCAGAAGTGGGCCTTCTCAAGGCTTATGCTTGACACAGGCACAGCACCACTTCTAATGCACTCTCTTGGTTAGGGCAAGTTACAGGTGCAGCCCGGACTCAAGGGAAGAAACTAGAAAGGGCATAAATATCAGGAAGCATGGTTTGGGGGACCACCAATGTAAATGACGACCACAATAGTGACAGTTCATTGATAAATTCAAGCAACTTATGTAACTTACAAAATACTATCAGATTAAGCATAATAAAGTAACTTGATTATAAGTCTATATCTGTTATAACTTTATAACCCTGATAGCCTATACTTGTGTAGGTCATTATTTTAATATAAAATGTGAGTGTTGATGTATATTTTATGGTAAATTAAGTGACTTGTAAGTGATACTATCAACAATTGTACTGCAACTTGCATCTTCTGTTCTTCTTGAATTCTTTTTATCACCCAGTTCCTCCTCTATAGGGACATGTAAATAGATGTGGTAGGAACTTTGACTCCATGAAAATGATCTTGGTCAATAAAAGGTTGAGAATCATTTTTCTAGTGTCAAAAAATGAACTCTTAGAAATCTTGTAGTAGCTAGAGGTGCAAAGCAGACAGGACACTCTTTCTGCCCTGAAGGAGTTCAAAGTCCTGTAGGGAAGACAGTTGGTAAGTACATGCACTGCAGTAAATGTCATAATGGAGAAAAACCCAAAGTGCTACTGGAGAGCAGACAAGATATGCCCAGCCAGGTCTGGGCAATTAAAGAGGGCATCTTCAGGTGCAATTTGAACTAAACTCCAAAGCCTGCATAAGAGTTATAGAGTTGAAGAAGGAACAGTAGGAGTTAAAGCCAGAGATGGGGCACTTGTCAAGTTGCGACTTTCCACAAGTCTGAGAAGAGAAAGAGGTTTTTATCTTTGTAGCTTTTAGTCTTTCTTCCCTTATGAACATGTACTCATTATGGCTTTGTAATAAACCTTCAAATGCACATAAATAGGCTTCTCCAATCTGATGTCATATTCATGAATTAATGTTTTTAGGAGAGCAAAGAGGAGATGAGGAGGTGTTTGTTCCTGGATAATTGGGTATGGCTGATTCATTCAAATGAATAGAGAGACCCAGGGTGCAATTCAATACTCATTGAATTTGCCTTCTTCCTCCTGACTTGTGATTTCCATGCTGACATCCGTACAGAACAAATAGAATTTGATCCAGTATATAAAATTGCAGAGCTAGAAAATGCATTAGAAACCATTATTCCCACCCCCTCATTTCATAGACAAGGAAACTGAGGCCAAAGGAGCTGAAGCAATTGCTCAGAGTGACATAGCTGTAGAGACATAAAATACTCTTCTCCTACCCAAGTCAGACAATATCCAATCTGAGTTTTATTTAGAAAATCCTATTCAATTTTTTCTGTCAGAAAAGATGCTTGGGGTGGTAATAAGAAGATTGTTCATACTACAAAGAGCCTCTGAGAGGGGAGTGATGGAGCAGGCTGCTGAGGGAAGTGCCGAGCTTCGTGAGCTAGAGAAAGCCCTCCTGGCTGTCAGCTGTCACCTTCATCAAAGGGCAGAAGGCAGAGGCGGGCTGTCACGTGGGATACCATCTGGAGAGTCAGGCAATGTTTTAGGCCCCTAACTTTTCTTGAAGGAAATAAAGAATGGTGTAAGGCCGGGCGCAGTGGCTCACACCTGTAATCTCAGCACTGTGGGAGGCTGAGGCAGGCAGATCACCTGAGGTCAGGAGTTCGAGACCAGCCTGGCCAACATGGTGGTGAAACCTTGTCTCTACAAAAAATACAAAAATTAGCCGGGCGTGGTGGCAGGTGCCTGTAGTCCCAGCTACTCGGGAGGCTGAGGCAGGAGAATCACTTGAACCCAGGAGGTGGAGGTTGCAGTGAGCTGAGATCATGCCACAACACTCCAGTCTGGGCGGCAGAGCAAAACTCCATCTCAAGAAAAAAAAAAAAAAAGAATGGTGTAGCCTTTTCCACTGTGAATTCAAGCACTGAGCTACAATGGAACAACCATGATAATGATAATATGAATATTTGTTGAGTTATAGCAATGTATACCACATCACCTCGTCACCCCTCCTCAGCAGGAGCATCAGCTCCTTCAGGAAGCTTTTCCTGATTATTTGTGCCTGCTTCAGACACATTAGATGACCCCATAAATCTCTGGACATATCTGCACCACTTCTCTTGCCAGCTTGTATGTTAATTATTAATAGCTGTTTGGGTGTCTGTCCCCCACAGGGAATCATCAACCACCGCAATAGAGAAATACATAGGATTCTGTGGAACACAGCTGGGAGAACAGGCAAATTTGCTCAAAGAGTTCCAAAAAGCTATAGAAAAGAAGTGACCTTTTAATCTGGATCTAAAGAGATGAGTAGAGATTTGTTTTAGGAAGGAAGGAGTAAAGGGCATTTCAAGTAGATCAAAGGCATGGTGTGTTTGTCAGGCCATAATGCTTATGGGGTCCTCCCACATCCAGGCACTTTGCTAGTGCTAAGAGTAGACAGAAGGTAGATTTGGCTGGAAGGTGGAGTGTGTGGGGCAGGAGGTAATGGGGGTGAGAATGGGGAGGTGAGTTATTACCACAGGTAAAGAACCTTGTGGAACTAGCTAAGGAGACAGCTCTTTTTTTCCTGGAGGCCAAGGGAGGCTTCTGAAGGATTTTAAGGAGATAAGTGTCAGAGTCCTATTTAATTCTAAATGAGAAAGATCTCTATGAACAGGTATGGTGTGATTCATAGGATGTATTGATTGGTGAAAAAACAATATGCAGATGATGATCTATAATGTGCTACCTTTTGTATTAGAAAGAAAGGGAAGCCAGGCACAGAGGCTCACATATAATCTCAGCACTTTGGGAGACCGAGGCAGGTGGATCACTTGAGCCCAGGAGTTCGAGATCAGCCTGGGCAACATAGTGAGACACTGTCTCTACAAAAAGTTAAAAAAAAAAAAAATTAGCAGGTCATAGTGGCATACACCTCTAGTCCCAGCTACTCTACTGGGAGGGCTGGGAGGGGGCTGCTGAAGTGGGAGGATTGCTTAACCCAGGAGTTCAAGGCTGCTGTGGGCTGTGATTCCACTACTGCTCTCCAGCATGGGTGACAGAGAGAAACCACGCCTCAAAAAAAAAAAAAAGAAGAAGAAAAAGAATAAGGAGGAGGAGGAGGAGGAGGAGAAGGAGGAGGAAAGGGGGAAATAAGATATTCACATATCTTCTCACATGTGCAAAACTAAACACAGGAAGTATAAACTAGATACTATAAGGGTAAGTGAGAATAAGATAGAAAAGAGGAGATGGGAAAAGAGTAAGAGGAATGAGGGATACTTCTCTGAGTATATCTTTTTCTTTTTGTTTTTGTTTTGAGACGGGATCCCACTCTGCTGCTCAGGCTGGAGTGCAATGGTGCAATTATAGTTCAGTGCAGCCTTGATCCCTCAGGCTCAGGTGATCTTCCCACCTCAGCCTCCTGGGTATCTGGGACCACAGATGCACACCACCATGCCTGGTGAATTTTTTTGTTTGTATTTTTTGTAAAGACGGGGTTTTGCCATATTGCTCAGGCTGGTCTAGAACTCCTGGGCTCAAGCATCTGCCTGGCTCAGCCTCCCAAAGTGCTGGGATTACAGGTGTGAGCCACCAACGCCTGGCTGAATATATCTTTCTATATAGTTTTGACTTTGGAACCATACTGAAAAAGAATCAGTGGATATGAAGAAAACATCCTAAAATGAAATACAAACAGAAACTGATGGGAGTGAGAAAGAACTAACCTACGTAACTTTTGAGAGTAGCATTTTGAGGATTTGCCGTTGCCTGAAAACAATAGAACTGTAAACAAATCTTGAAGTCTATTTTGTTTTTCACAGAGGTGTGGACTGGCAATTCTGAAACTACTTTCTGTGTATTAAGCAAATAAGTATGTTGTAGATGATGGAAACAAAGCTTGTTAGAGAAGATAGTTAAAAAATATGGAAGGAAGGGAAGGCTACAATTGACTTTGCAATGTCGGACTGGAGTTGGAGGTGTAAGTATGAACTCAAGGTATTTAACAGAGAGAGAGAGAGAGAGAGAGAGAGATGAGGGGTGTGTGTGTGTGTATCTGTGTACATACATCTATTTTTTTTTTAAGACAGTGTCTCACTCTGTCACCCAGGCTGGAGTGCAGTGGCAGGATCTCGGCTCGCTGCAACATCCAACCCCCACCTCCCAGGTTCGAGCAATTCTCCTACCTCAGCCTCCTGAGTAGCTGGGACTACAGGCATGTACCACCACACCCAGCTAATTTTTGTATTTTTAATAGAGACAGAGCTTCGCCATGTTGGCCAGGCTGGTCTCAAACTCCTGGGCTCAAGTGATCCTTCCGCCTCGGCCTCCAAAAGTGCTGGGATCACAGGCATGAGCCACCACGCCCAGCACACGCATCTATTTTCTAGCTCTGTCCTTGATAGGGCCTAGAAGCAATGACACCCCAGCAGCAGTGAGCATACGTGGTACCCAAGCTTTGGCTTCAAATGCCATTCTTCACCAAAGGAACTCCTTAGAGAAATGACTGATTTTAGCACTTGAGCTGAGGAAGTACGAGATGAGCCTGAAACATTTTGTAGTGCTAGAAAATAAGGATGTGCTGAAAAAATGACTGAGATATATCTAAAGAACAGATCGCCACCTTGACTGAGCTTCCACTGATCAAATCTGGAATAATCTGAGAGTCGAAGATAGCAACAGATTTGTAACCCACAGAATAAAATAAGAATCTGTGAAAATAAATATATATTATATATAAATGCAGTTTTTATACACACATATATATTCTTTATATATTTATAATTTATCTTTATTTATAGTAGACATATAAATTGATATAAATAACAGAAGGGAAAGCTCTTACTTACAATAGACTCCTAACTAACAAATATAAAGGGAATGATGGAATTAGAAAATCAGTATCATTGTAATAATTAATCCAGGCAATAATCATTAGTGGACGCTAAAACTAGTGGATAAGGGTTGATGAGCAATTACAAAATTACAACAACCTGGAGCAGTATCAGATCAAGTTCAGAAACCTGTGGCACAATACTAGAAACTTTCTACTTGACTACTGCCAGCTGATTTTTTAAAATTTCAACTATTATTCAGGGGGTACAGGGGCAAGTTTGTTACCTGAGTATATTGCATGATGTTGACTTTGGAGTATGAATGATCCCATCACCCAGGTAGTGAGCATAGTACCCAATTTTTCAGTTTTTCAGTTTTTCAGCCTTTGCCCCTTCCCCCTGCCCCCTCTAGTAATCCCCAGTGTCTTTTACTTCCATATTTATGTCCATATGTTCCCAATGTTTAGCTCCCACTTATAAGTAAGAACATGTAGTATTTGGTTTTCACATATTTTCTATTTGGTATTTGGTATTTTCTATTCCTGTGTTAATTCATTTTGGATAATGGCCTCAAGCTGCATCCATGTTGCTGCAAAGGACATGATTTCATTCTTTTTTACGGCTGTGTAGTATTGTATGGTATATGTGCATTACATTTTCTTTATCCATCCAGTCCATCATTGGATAAATGGATAAATTGGATAAATCCAGGTTGATTCCATGCCTTTGCTACTGTGAATAGTGCTGTGATGAACATATGAGTGCACGTGTCTTTTTTGTGGAACTACTTATTTTCCTTTGGATGTATACCCAGTAATGGGATTGCTGCATTGCATGGGAGGTCTGTTTTAAGTTCTTCGAGAAATCTCCAACCTGCTTTCCATAGTGACTGAACTAATTTACATTCCCACCAGCAGTGTATAGGCATTCCCTTTTCTCCAAAGCCTCACCAGTATCTGTTTTTGTCTTTTTAATAATAGTCATGGTTTTGATGTACATGTATCTGATGATTAGCAATGTTGAGCATTTTTTCATGTTTGTTGGCCACTTGTATTGTCTTCTTTTGAGAAGAGTGTGTTTGTGCCCTTTGCCCACTTTTTAATGGGGTTATTTTGGGTTTTTTTTTTTTTTCAGCTGATCGTTTAAGCCACATTGCTACATGTTGTATTTGCAACTGGATGATAATAACAATCATTTATTGAGTGTTTGCTATGTGCAGGCATTGCACCAGGTGGGGATTTTGTTTTTATGTTTGTTGCATATATTAACCCACTTAATCCTAACACCAACCCAGTAAGCTTTTTCATTAATATCTTCATGTTTTAGATGAAGAAACCAAAGTTCAAGGGATGAAAAATATGTCTAGGGTGAAATAGCTCAGAAGGGCAGAGCCCAGATTCAAATTCTCTGCCTTCTGGTTTTAGTTCAGTGTTGTTCTGTCATGCAGTGTGCCTATGCGTCCTCTTAGATCTCCCTCTGTGCTTCTGAAGGTGTGCAGAATGCCCAGGCCATGGAGGCATTCTTTTTTTTTTTTTTTTTTTTTGACAGACTCTCACTCTGTCGCCAGGCTGGAGTGCAGTGGTGTGATCTTGGCTCACTGCAACCTCTGACTCCCTGGTTCAAGCGATTCTCCTGCCTCAGCCTCCCGAGTAGCTGGGATTACAAGCATGCACCACGACACCCAGCTAATTTTTTTTTTTTTTTTTTTTTTGAGACGGAGTCTCACTCTGTTGCCCAGGCTGGAGTGCAGTGGCGCAATCTCAGATCACTGCAAGGTCTGCATCCTGGGTTCAAACCATTCTTCTGCCTCAGCCTCCTGAGTAGCTGGAACTACAGGCACCCACCACCACGCCTGGCTAATTTTTTTGTGTTTTTAGTAGAGACGGGGTTTCACTGTGTTAGCCAGGATGGTCTCGATCTCCTGACCTTGTGATCCGCCCGTCTCGGCCTCCCAAAGTGGTGGGATTACAGGCGTGAGCCACTGCGCCTGGCCACACCCAGCTAATTTTTGTATTTTTAGTAGAGACAAGGTTTCACCATGTTGGCCAGGATGGTCTCGATCTCCTGACCTCATGATCCGCCCATCTTAGCCTCCTAAAGTGATGGGATTACAGGCATAAGCCACCGCACCCAGCAGGAGGCATTCTTAAACAGAAGCACTAGTGGCTCCTTCTTTCTCCTCACCATGTTTACTAAATACCTAACCTCATTTTTTTCTCATCCGCAAAACAGGGACAGCAATATTGAATTGACATGTTATTAAGAGGACTAAATTAGATAATGTATATAAAGCATATAGCACAGAGTAAAGTACAGGTCCATTCATTGATAGCAGCAGCAGCGGTGACAGTGGTTGCAATGCTAGATTCCCTGGCACGATGGCAAAGGTTTCTAAAGGATACTCCTCACTTTCGTACTAAATTGATCATCACGAGCCAGATCATAAAGAGCTTTGTGTATCATGAAAAGAAGATTACATCTTATTCTACAGGCAGTAGAAACTACTGAAGAATTTTATTACCGAGAGAGATGTGATCTGGTTGGCAATTTAAAGAGCAGACCAAGGGGAGGAGAACAAAGCGCAAGGCAGGGAGAGCAGCAGGAGGCTGTTGTCAAAGGCCAGGCAAGAGATAAGGAAGGTCTGAGTTAATGCCAGGGCTGGTGTGGTGGACAAGAGGGAGCACACAGTGGACAGTCAAACTCCGGAGCTGTGCCTGGGTTTGGCAGGAGAGAAAAGGGGAGGAGCTTAGCTGAGCCTCCTGCCTCTGACCTGGGCACTGGCTTCTCTTGGGCATAACCCGAGCGGCTGGGGACACTGGAAGATGCAGATCAGGGGTGGTTTGGGACACACAAGGGAGTCACAGTAGATGGTTGGATATACAGATCTGGATTAAGGCATCTGAATATCTGAATATTCAGATTCAGACCAAGGAGAGAGCTCAGGGCTGCCGCAGCATGCCGGGGGTCATTAAAGCTTGGAGGTGGATGAGGTCCATCAGAGAAGGGATGTAGAGTGAGAAGAGGGCTGAGGACAGGATTTTGGAAGTGCCCATTTTTTCTTTAACTTTTATTTTAGGTTCAAGGGTTCTTGTGCAGGTTTGTTATATGGGTAAATCACATGTCACGGGGGTTTGCTGTACAGATTATTTTGTCACTCAGGTAATAAGCATAGTACCCAGTAGGTAGTTTTTCAGTTCTCTCCCTCCTCCCATCCTCCACCTTCAAGTAGGCCCCAGTACCTATTGTTCCCTTCTTTGTGTCCCTGTGTTCTCAGTGTTCAGCTCTCACTTATAAGTGAAGATGTGCTGTATCTGGATTTCTGTTCCTGTATTAGTTCACTTAGGATAATGTCCTCCAGCTCCATCCATGTTGCTGCAAGGAACAGGATCTCATTCTTTTTTATGGCTGTGTAGTATTCCGTGGTGTATATGTACTACATTTGCTTTATCCAGTCTTCCACTGATAGGCATTTAGGCTGATTCTATATCTTTGCTGTGGAAACATTTCAATATTTAAAGATGGCAAAAGAAGAGGCTGAAGGAGACTGACAAGAAACACCCAGAAACATAAGAGAGTCTCTAGGTGGAAGTTTTCTGCCATGGCAAAGAAAGATTGCAGAGAGAGAAACAAGCCGAGGAAGGACTGAAAGGTGCCTGCTGGATTTGGCAGCTAGGTCACTGATGACCTTGACAGTAGCATGTGCCAAGGAGCAGAGTCGAGCTGGCTGGATTAAGGAGAGAGTTGGACTTCTCAGGGCGAGAGACTAGAACTTAATGTCCCCAGGAATGTGGGTCTCTCATTTCCTTGCCATGCATTCTGGTTAATGGAAGGTTTTCTTTATAAAGCTAGAATCTCTCTCTCTCCAGCATCTTCCCTCAGCTCTAGTTCACTCTCCAGGTCCAAAACAACCAGTCTACACATTTCCCCAGAGAATGGTCCATATATACCTCCCAACTTGGTCGTCTCATCCAGCACTGCTCATATGCTCCAGGAACCCCAGACTTGCCTTGCAGTTGGCCCTCAGGATGGATCCTGTTTTGTTAAAACTGTGCTTGTTCTTTGGCAACAGTAGAGCCTGTGTTTCAGTTGGTCTTTATTTCTCACCTTTTTAGGTTGGTGGCTTCCCAACCATGCTTGTAACCTCAACTGAGAATAAGAAAGACACTTCACAATATGATCAGTATAACCATGGGTGTATAACTGAAGGAAAAGTCTTATGACATAATACATCCCCTTACTGTGGTAGATGCACTCTAGTGTTTTCGACTCCATCTCATTCTACCCTATTCCATTTCATGTGTTTACATGCTTGTTGTGACTCATTACATCAATTTCACAACCACAAAACTGATTTAATGACCCACAGTATGAGAGGCTCAAAGGAAAAGATGCTCAGTGTTTGTTTGAATCCATCCCCATTTCCCGGCCTCATTGAGGCCAGCAGCCCATTCCTCTAACTCCCTTTTTATGGCTCTAAGAGGACAGAGAACTGCTTCAGTCACTAGATGTTAGCCAGCCTTGGGGTTATTCCAGAATGGCTCACCAGAGCTATCACGGTGGAATTTAGAAATCAGTGCAGGACAGAACGGCTGCATAGGCTCCTGTTCCTGTAATTACTCATGAAGCATCCAATAGCCTAAGGCATTTTTATGCCCTGAGGATGCTCTTAGGCAGCTCTAATACCACCTCTCATGTGACACATGGAACATTTCCCAGAGCTGAGTAGTATGGCCCACCTATTCATACAGGCCACAGCTTGCCCCTCAACTCTCACCACCAGCCAGACAACTGTCGTTGTGCCCTCTTCAGACCTCTCTAAGGGGAGAACCATCCTTAAGAACCATTGAACAATTGTCCCCTGTAGATCTTTCAGCAAAGAACATTTGGGGCCTTTTTTTTTTAACATTCTCATTTACAATGTCTTTTCTGCTTCTATCTAGGAAGAGCCAGGACTTCTGAATTTACCTTGAATACAGACAGGAGGATGTTGCCTAAGGAATAGCAGAGATCTTGTCTCATCTTCTGAGAGGTGCCTGCTGCTGCTGTATACACTTGAGTGCTCCCAGAAGTCTCCTGAAAGGCTTACATCGCAAACCTGCAATGAGCCAGGCCCTGGGCTGGGCCTCCACTTCAGCCTAGTGAACAAAACTCCATCACTGCCCTTTAGCCACTCACATAAAGTTTAAAAATGGGTGAAGAACGGTGGGTCTCCCTCACTCCAGAAGAATTTGACCAACTCCAGAAATATTCAGAATGTGAGTAAATGCATTGACAGCCCTGGGACGGGATTTCTTCTTGGCTGGAGAAATCATTTCTGGAAAGCATAGCAGTATGATCATTGCAAAGCCACAAAGAATGATGTCAGGCCTGACGGCTTATATTTCCTTATAAACACAGAATTAGTGTATTTAACATAAAAACGCAATTATCTTTAAGCTCAGTAAATACTACGTGCTCACCATAGAAATTTGCAATATACATAGAAAAAAAGAGTAGGTTAAAAATCACTGACAACACTGCAAACATCTTAGAGCACTTCCCTGCTGTGCATATTGCTTTACACCGTTGAGCTCACACTGTATACACCCTGCGTTAAGCCTGCATTTTCCGCCTAATATATCGTATGTATTTGCTCAGGTCATTAAAGCTCTTCAGAGCATAATTTTGAAGGGCTGCATGCTGCATGGCTACAATGTTACTCAATCGTTTACTGTAGTATATTCCTGCATTTGGACCCAAAGCCTTCTTGCAGTAAGATGCTGAATGCTAATGTGTGTTTCTTTCTTGACTTTGTTTTGGGAAGGCTTGGGCTTTTACTTGGGGCTCTTGGTTTCCCATTAGTTGTGCCCCAGAACCAATTCAGTGCAAGACACAGTGGTGGTAGGGTGCACAGCCACACATGGGCCCATGGCTTGTCCCCTCAGGTTACTCCTAATCCTTATTGGTGAGAGGAACCTGCTGGACTGTGGCAGGACACCACCTGACCACTGCACGCTGCCCACACAGAGTGACCGTCACTTACCCTGCATGGCACTGACTTTCCAGGAGGCCCTTCATCTTGTAGAGCTCTCAGCTGCACTGCCTGCTCCATGCCCTTGTCCCATGGCCTCTCCCTTCACATTAACTGTGTTGATGCTTCTGTAAATCATGAGGCCTGCAGCTGTTGACCTGCTCTATTGCTCTTGCACAGGTCCCCCTTCTCACACAGTAGGCAGTCCTTGTCCCCAGCGCTGGTCTAGGAGTCAGGGAATCCAGTTCAGGTGCCAGCTCTGCCTCTTGCTCTCTATGCTGTGACATCCCTGAACATCCCTGGGTCTCAGCAACCTCTTCTATACAATGGGAGGGTTGGACTAAGTGTTCTCTCCCTGCGGTCCCTTCCAGCCCAGCATCCTGTGACTCCGAATGCTCTCCGAGGTCAACAGGGGACCATAGGGCTAATGGTTTGTCACCCTCCTGGTACTCTAGAGCCTGTGGTCTCTCATCTGACCCCCATGGGTTTAGAAAAACTCTAATATATTGACAAGAAGCAAAAAATCACCCTCCAGGGTAAATTCAATTTAATTCAGCTAGCTCTGTAGGTCAGCAAAGCACCAAGCCCTGTCAGGGATGAAGAAGAAGCACAAAGGAGAGGCCTACCCTGGAGGAATCAGAATCTTGTTAGGGCATCAGAAATGTGCTCGTGACACAGAGAACTGCTTTAAGGCAGCAGGCAAACAGCTCTGGTACAGCTGGATAAACTAAGCGTGGAAACGAGAAGGGGATCAAAAACCAAGGGAAACTGGTATGGGGGTTGTTTGCTATTTGGTTCAATCCAGCGTGGGTTTATTGTCTCTAAGCCTTATAGTCTCAAAGTTCTGGGAGCTAGAAGTCCACAATCAAGGAGTCAGCGGCGCTGGCTCCTTCTGAGAGCTGTGGAGAAGGGATCCATCCCAGGGCTGTGTTTTTGGCTTGCGGATGGCCGTATTCTCCCTGCATGCCCTCACGTGACATTCTCCCTGTGTGCATATCTCTGTGTCCAAAGTTCCCCCTTTCCTAGGCGCACAACCTTATTGGCCTGGATCCCCCCATTCGGTCATGACTTCATCTTAACTAATTACATCTGCAACAACCCAAATAAGGTTACATCCTGAGTTATTGAGGGATGGAACTTCAACACATAAATTTGAGGTTTAGGGCACGGTTGAACCGATAACAGAGGATTTAGCTGGATAAACTCCATGGAGGAAAGAGGTTTAAAATGTGAGCAGCAGATGGAAGGGGAACGATGGAAGCAAAAGGAATGTTTGGGAATGTTGATTTTGAGATGGTGATAACACACCCACTAAGCATTCCTGTGGTGTGCAGGGGTGGGTAAGGAGAGCTTCTGGGCTGGATGGTGAGAAGGCACAGAAAATGAGGAGGACATAGGAGGCGTGGGGATAGCAGGAGGTCTTGGGCCTTGTGTGTCAAAGTGTGGGCAAAATTTAGAGCCAGGAATCTGGAGACTGTGTGCAGGGTGCCTTGGATCAGGCAGTTTCCAGGCCAGGGAACTGGGCAGGATCCTTTGGAGGAAACCTAGTCTGAGCCAAAGAGCTAAGGTGGTGAGTGTGGCCATGAACAAATGCTAATTCGTGGGAAACTGTGGTGGAAATATCATCAATGCACGTACAACAAAAGGAAGCCATCAAAGATACCTTGCAGACTGAATCTGTAGAAAATGACATCAGGATGCAGGGCTGATGGGGAATGTTTGGGATTGTTGATTTGGAGATGGTGATAACACATCCACTACGCCTTCCTATGTGCCAGGCTCCAGGGATCCAGCAATAAATGAGACACAGTTCCTGCCCTCAAAGAGATCACTGCCTCACAGGGGAAGACAAACAGGACTCAAGCACGGGTGCTGCAGTATAGCCGGTGCTCAGAAGTGGGCAGCATGGGAGGAGAAGGCCCCGCTCAGCCTGGTGGGAGGCCTCCTGATGCACGCATTGTTTCCAGACTCCAGGAACTGTAGGGCAGGGAGGGAGAAGGGCATTCCGGGTAGAGGACGTGGCTTGGGCAAGGGCAGGGCAGGGTGGAGGACATCATGGGAGCTTCCAAGAACTGCAAGCAGCTCCCAGGCTGGAGCCCAGAGCATGTGTTGGTGGTGGCATCAGGAGTGTTGGGGGAAGAACTAGAAAGGAAAGTAGGACCCCATCCTGGGGAATCCTGCTTTCTAAGAAACATGTCCTGTAGGCCCCAGGAGGGTGTGTGATGGGATTTGAGTGGAAATGAGGGGTCAGTCCATAGCTCTGGTTTGGGAATCATGCGAGGAGATGGCAAGGAGAGAAAGAAAATGAATGAAGGCACTCAGACAGTAGGAATGTTAGGAAAGAAAAGAAGAGGCTGGAGAATGAGGCTTAAGGTATGCCTCTATCAGGATTCAGCAGAAGACACAGAGAGAAGAACCAGAAAGGCAAGTAGGTGGAAAAGAGTGCAGCATGGAGGGCGCAAAGGCAAGGAGGAGCTCCAAATGCAGCAAAGCCGCTGAGCAGGCGGAGGGATGAAAAGGAACCAGAGTATTCAGTAGAAGAGGGTTGTGTTGGGGTTGGGCCTTTTCTTTAAACATTTACCTTTGTCCTTCTCTGACCCTTGCTCGTGTTGTCCATGTCGCGGGACTGGATGAGGCACTCTGCTACTGTTGTTCGAACAGGAGAGGAAAAAAAGATACAATTCTTACAAAATGATTAATCCTCAGAGGAAACCCTGAAAAAGTCATTCCCACCAATTTTAGACACATTCTGGTGTTCAGTCGGATTGCATTGCCATAGCAACCACTCTTCCGTAACCACATAAACAGGAGCTTTACAATAACAAAATAATGAAGTGTACAGCCTGAGAATTGAGAACTTTCTCCAGTGGGGTTACCAGGTAGGAGAGGCTCTTGTTGTTTTCCATTTATATAGTGTAAAGTTGGCACCTTCTCTGGTGACCTTCTATAGGGTGAGGGTGGGGCATCTTAAAACTGCTCTTGGAGACAAGTAACTTAACTTTGTATGTAAACGTACATACATATACACACAGACACACACACATATAGCTGACAGTAAGTTTGTTATCAATCTACAATGTAAAGTACTTATCAAAAGAGCTAATGTGATATTAAGAAATTTGTATTATAAAACGATGAAATTTAAAGCTACTCATGATTCTATTTTCCAGTGATAACCAGCACTAGCATGTTTATGTATAAATATAAGTATAAATATAGATATCAAAATATGCAAGCACATATACATATATACACATATACAACATACACATGTAAAACAAACTTGAGAATATGCATGTTGTGCTATTTTGTATGCTGTTTTCTTTCCCTTAACAATATGTTTCAGTTACCTATTGCAGCATCAAAACAACTTCAAAACTTGTGTGCTGAAACAACCACCATTTTGGTTTCCCATGAGTCTGTGGGTCAGGATCCTGGGCAGACATGGTGGGCATGACTCATCTCTGCTCCACAGTGTTTGGACCTTCAAGGGGGAGGCCTCAAACAAGTGAGGACTTAGACCATCCGTCATGGCTCATTCACTCACATGGTGGGACCTTAGTGTTCCTTCATGGAACCTCTTTCTCCAGCACTTTCTTGTCTTCCAGGGCCTCTCCATATGTCCTTTCTTTTCAGCAGGGTAACCTGGAAATCTAACATGTCAGCTCAGGGCTCCAAGAGCACAGAAGAAGCTGCTGTCAGATCTTTTTAGCACCTGGGATCAGAGATCCTAGAACGGAACTCCCTCCACATTCCACTGGTCAGTGCAGTCACAGGCCTGGCTCACATTCAGTGAAGTAGAGGAACGGACTCCACATTTCAGGGAGGAGGGACTCACATAGGGAGGGAAAGAATTTATGGCAGCCATCTTTGGAAACTGGCTAGCACACAATATCGATCATGAGTCATTCCCACATCATTCTGTACTCTTCAGAAGCATAGCTGTTAGCGGTTGCAGAGATTTTTTTTTTTTTTTACTACATTTGTACTATTTCATCTAACCAAATCAGTCATTGCAATCTTAGGCTGTATTCATAGACTCACAGTGCCTAGTAAGGCAAACTGATATCCACATTCTAGCCTACCCTGATAGACCGTCAGACCTCTCTAGAGAACTGAATTTATTTATGGTCACTATGGTTTACGATGGACATGGACAACCTGGAACTTGTTTGAGAGTTGGTAAGGGGCCTCACAACCACATTATGGAGAAATGAAGATACTGTGCATATTTGTTGGAGAAGGGAAGGGAAAGGTGAAGAAGAGCTCGTTGTATTAAAATAGCTCAGTACTGTTGTGGGAAGAGGTGTGTAGTTAATTTTGAATGGCTTCAAGAGGTAGCCCTAGGACTAATGGGAGGAAGTTATAGGAAGTCTTTAAAGTGTGGAATACATTAATTACTAGTGGTCAAATCTGCCCAAGATGGAATCGAATTGACTTAAAAGTGACTGGGTTTCCTTTCCCTGGAACTGTCTGGGCAGAGAGTTTGTTTGGACACTATAGGGGAGATAACAGCTTTAGTCATCTGGTTGATTAAATGACCTTCATTAGCTCCTCCAATACTTGGTTTCTATATTTAAATAGATTTCTACCGCAGAGGGTGTGTGCATGTGGGGATGCCGCCTACTGACCCTCTTCCTAACAATAATTGCTGGTGGCCATTGGGGGGTGGGCATTTTTTCTTCAATTTTTTGTTAATTCCTTAAAAGTTCCATGATGCCTCAAGGACAGAAACTATTCATTTATTCAGAAAGAGAAAAAAGGAAAAACAACTGAAGAAGCATCCATTAAACTTTTAATTCTCTAAGAAATTAAACCAAACATTTCCTACATCAGCCAGCAGTTGCTTGGACTGTGTAGAACTTTTTTTTTTTTTTTTTTTTTGAGACGGAGTCTTACTCTGTCACCTAGCCTGGAGTGCAGCGGCGCGATCTCGGCTCACCACAACCTCCGCCTCCCGGGTTCAAGCGTTTCTCCTGCCTCAGTCTCCCAAGTAGCTGGGACTATAGGCTCCCACCACCATGCCCAGCTAATTTTGTATTTTTAGTAGAGACAAGGTTTCACCATGTTGGCCAGGCTGGTCTCGAACTCCTGACCTCAGGTGATCCACCCGCCTCGACCTCCCAAAGTGCTGGGACTACAGGCGTGAGCCACCGCACTCAGCCAGAATTTTTAAGTTGGGAAAAATCTTAACCATATCAATGCCAAGCATTACACATTTTAAAACTGAGACTACTACGTCCAGAAGAGCTCAGTGACTTGCCCAAGGTCATATAGAAAGAAGGTCGATAGTAAAATAGAAATTAGAACCAAAAGTCCCTCAATTCTAGTACAAACTCATTTGCTTCAATTCAGCAACAACAAATTAAACAAAAAGTACCCACTGGAGCTCAACCTTCAAACATACATTAATGTGTGTGTGTGTGTGTGTGTGTGTGTGTGTGTGTGTGTGTGTGTGTGTGTGCAGATATGTATATGTCAATTAAATTACATTAAAGCAAAATTTTAAGATGTAATTAAAGAGAATCAATCAGTAAATTGTGCTATTAGGAAATATATTTCTTTCGAATCAGATTATGACAAAGTTTCTGACTTTAAGATGTAGTTACAGTTCAAAATACAAAACTGTCAGAGTCAGAGAACATATTTAGGGCTGATATGTAGAACCATAGAAGGCTCTAAGTAAATGTCACTAAAACCTTGCTATTTATGCTGGCCAGTAGAGTGAGACTTGATCAAATGCTCATGAAGTCCTGGGCCCATGAAGGGTCATATCTAGTTGCTTCTATCTTGGAAGGATAGCCATAACTATTTCTCACCTACATGTGTTTCAGCACCACAGACCTTTTTTTCTTTTAACGATGAGTAGGACTCTGCCCACCAGGAGTCACAGAATCTACGGATAGGGAGGAATTTCTATGGAACAATAGCTCTCAATGTTTAATGTACACATGAATCTCCTGGAGAGCTGTTGAAATGCAGACTGTGAATCAGTAGGTCTGGGGTACTGCTGAGAATCTGCTTTTCTAACAAGCTCCCAGGTGATGCTGATGCTGCTGGTCCAGGGACCACACTTTTAGTTGCAAGATGGTCCAAGTTGTCTGATCCATTCCTCCACCTTCACTTGAAATACGACTGATGAAGCCAAATTATTTGGAGAAAAGGTGAGAAAATGTTCTAGCAATACAAATTTTACTTACACAAATAAGTCATACCAGTGATTCAGATCATTTATGACAAAAAAATTGTGTCTTAAAAAACGTTTTATTGCTATTGACCCCAATTTCCTCTGCTTCTATATAAAGTCTTTTCTTATTATTTCATATGTAACATCTGTGTCAGAGCCATCACTTCCACATGTCAGTGGTCCTCAGCCTCGGCTCATGTTCAAATCACATGGAAGGCTTGGAATACTTCCAATGTTCTGCCCACACCTCCCAGATCATTTAATCACAGTTTGTAGGCAAGGGGCCTGGGCATCAGTATTTTTTAAAGCCCTGCAAGTGATTTCAATAAGCAGCCAAGGTTGATAACCACTAGTCTACCTTTTCTTTCCATACCCCTGAGAATATAGGACATGTGGGACAAGTGTGACCAGCTCAATCCCTTTGCTAGCCTTCATTTATTCAATAGATCTTTCTTGAATATCTATTTTTTTTGCCAGGCAATGGGCTGCATGCTGGGGATGAACAGTGAGCAGAAACAAAGTTTAGATGGGAGAATATGTGTGTAGCAAGTACATCCGTGCTTATGAAGCTGGGCTTCTCCCCTGTGCTTCCCACGTGCTGCTCTGAGGCCTGACTCCAGCTGGCTGAAGAGGTGGGCCTTTTGATGCAGTGCTCTTGGCCCTGGCCCTTCTGTTTTGACATTTTTCAGGACCCTCACAAAACTCTGCTCTTGTTTTTGTGCATCTCACTGTATAACTTCCTAGAGTAATTAGAAAATGTATTCTTACATCCCAGCCTTCACTGGAAGAAGGAAAATCTAGATTTTATTTTTTTGCTCATGCGCCAACTTTCCCTTCCCCTCGTCTCAGTGACTCCCCCTGCCCACCACTTATGGTCTTTCTACTCCATTGAGTATGTTCCTTTGTCCTCGGCATCGTGGTCTTTTCTGGGTTGTGACAGGCAAGCCTCAGCAGTCAGCCCCAGATCCACAGGGACATTGCTTAGAGCCTGCGTATCAAGTGAGGTCCGTGAACCTGCAAAATTGGTGTCACTTAGGATCTTATTCAGAATGTAGAATCTCAGGCTGTGGCCCAGTCCTACAGAATCTGCATTTTTACCAGATCCCAATGTGACTCATACGCACATTACAGTTTGAGAAGCTCATAGAGAACTTTGAGGAATGAAGAGTTATCATGTACCTTAGAATTCCACTCTCATATATGGATTTTCAGATTCACTTTTGAAAATGTTGATTTATAGTTTTTTCGGAGTTTAACAGTTTAATGGTCTAATGCTCAAATACTCTGTGTTCTTTTTTTTTTTTTTTTTTTTTTTTTTTTTTTTTTTTGAGACGGAGTCTCGCTCTGTCGCCCAGGCCGGACTGCGGACTGCAGTGGCGCAATCTCGGCTCACTGCAAGCTCCGCTTCCCGGGTTCACGCCATTCTCCTGCCTCAGCCTCCCGAGTAGCTGGGACTACAGGCGCCCGCCACCGCGCCCGGCTAATTTTTTGTATTTTTAGTAGAGACGGGGTTTCACCTTGTTAGCCAGGATGGTCTCGATCTCCTGACCTCATGATCCACCCGCCTCGGCCTCCCAAAGTGCTGGGATTACAGGCGTGAGCCACCGCGCCCGGCCTACTCTGTGTTCTTAACTAGACAACAGACTATAAACTTTGGGGTCTAGTCCTGGCAGCACAACTAATATTCTGCTGTAAACACTGAAGTCTCTGATTTGTCTGCTTGTTCAGATGGAACGCACCCCTGTCCCACACTGACAAGGCAACAAAGGTGTCTGTGTGTAGGGCCAAATTTTTCCCTTTAAAAGGCTTTGAATTTGCTCAAACACTAGGAACAGTGCTTGGTTTAGGTCCCAGAGTTCTTGGCACATAAAGTATAGAAGACAATTTTGGACTGAAAACTTCTTAGGGCACTGGTAACCTTGATCAAAGAGAAAAACTTTCTGAACACCCGATTTAGGACAGAACTGTATGTGGATAGTCCTGACAGTCTGGGTGAATGCAAAACATGCTCCTACCTTGCCAAGCAGCTGAACAAGTTGACCTGTTGGGTAGAGTTCTTTGGTGTTGTCCACTTAAACAATGGATAATGTCTGCCAAGCACAGCAATTTTAAATTTAGAAGTTATAAGCTTTTTTTTCCCTTGGCAATAAGTATTCAAGTTCAGGGGCTTTTTAGGACAGTCTTCATTTACAACAATAAAATCATGTCCTAGAATGGCAGTCCTCAACCTTGACTGTACATCTGAATTCCAGGAAGCTTTTAAATTATACTGTGTCCTGGGTTCCTCAAGAGATGCTGACTTAATTCACCTGGGGTAAGACCTGGGTTACAGTGTGTATAGAGCTCCCCAGGTGATTTCAACATGCAGGCAGGTTTGAGAGCCACTTTCATAGAGGAAGAGTCCTGGCTTCTAACTTACCAGTGTTCAAGTATCCAGTGAATCCAATAACCATGGCCTATGATTTAGAAATGTTTAAGAAGTGTGACTTACGAGCTGTCTCCTTGAAAGAATCACTTAAATTCCATAAGCCTCGGTTTCTTCTCTAAAATAAGGATAATTATTACATTAGAGGGTAGTTGTGGGGATTTAAATAAAATATATAAGGTGACTAGGACAGCGTCTAGCATATAATAAGCACTCTACAAAATGGGAATTGTTACAAAGAGCTGTGGAAATGGCCCTATTTTCTACAGGCAGAAATGGAACAAGGTGTCCTCTGAATCTAGTGCTGGTATTATGGTAAAGGCTTTGACAAAGGAATTTTCTGTGAGGTTATACTATTGGACCCACAGATGACACCTAAAATAAGACCAAGGGATGCTATTCCCTCGTTGTTCTTTTCTGTCTTAAGATGAAACAGAATAAAGCAGCTGTCACTGAAGCAGATTAGTCATGCATAATACCTACTTACTCCTCATGGAAAAAGAAACCCAACCCAGACATCTATTAAGAAGAAAACTGTTATAAAGTATATAAGGACATCCAAGGAGAAAGTAATGTGTCCCAAATTTGAGAATTAAGTTGATTCCCTTTTTTAAAGGGTATTGATACTATAATCCTATGAAAGCCCATAAAGCAAATTGAAGTAAATGTGTGATGAGTAATCCACCTCACGGAAAGCTAGTTAGAAACCTCCTGGATTCTTGTTGTGTGTGTGTGGTTTTTTTTTTTTTTTTTTTTTTTTGAGACGGAGTCTTGCTTTGTTGCCAGGCTGGAGTGCAGTGGTGCGGTCTCGGCTCATTGCAAGCTCCGCCTCCTGGGTTCAAGTGATTCTCCTGCCTCAGCCTCCCAAGTAGCTGGGATTACAGGCACGTGCCACCACGCCCGGCTAATTTTTGTATTTTTAGTAGAGATGGGGTTTCACCATGTTAGCCAGGCTGGTCTTGAACTCCTGACCTCGTGATCCGCCCGCCTCAGCCTCCCAAAGTGCTGGGATTACAGGCGTGAGCCACCGCGCCCGGCTGTGTTTTTTTTTTCCATTTAATTTCAGGCTATTAATCAGATATTTTAAAATAAATGTCTTTTCTATTTTTTTCTTATTAAAACCTCAGTTTATTTTATGCGAACATATGATGAATTTATGTGTGTATATATATCACACATTTAAATATAAAGCAGGATTTTTAAAATAGAGCAGCAGCTCTTTAGAATCAAAGGAATTCTGCTACAGTGAATGGTGGAATATCCAAAATGAGATGAGAACATCAAAATATCATATATTCAATTGAAATTACTCCACTGGTTCTCAATCAAAATGCTAACTCTACACTCTTCTTGCAGAAGTCACACCAGGGGTACTCATGTTCTCAGATTTTTATTTTTTTTATTTAGCCATTTTGGCTGAGCTAACAACCTCCCATTAAAATAGATTCTAAAATGTAGGATTTGTTTTCCTAAATAATTAAGCTGCTTGTGGAATAACATATATGTGTGATGTTAACTGAGCTCTGGTCTCATTCTAACTTCTCTTTCATCCTGTTTCCAGAGTGGTCTTTAGAAAACAGAGAGCTGGTTATATTATTTCACCACTCAAAAAAATCTTTAACCATTTCAAATCAATGTTCTTAACTCTACATTCAAGACCCCCACAAATCTAGCCACAAATGACTCTCTGGTTCTGACTTGTCCTAAACGTTTTATGGTGCCCATCTCTGCACCGTTGCTCCCTTGGTCTCTTCCGAGAATACCCTTTCCACTTCATATCTGCCTTTATAAACCTTACCCAATTCTTTATGCCTCAGCTCAAATGCTACCTCCTTTATAGGGCAGCCTCAGTTCCCACCCCTACCCCACTTTCATCTTAATTTTTCTTCTTCCCAACTTGGTGTTTCATAGAACTTCATATCATTGTGTCACCCTTAATTACACCTTTCTTTATGTTAACAAATGTTTAGGAAGCTATAGTGAATAATGCTCAAGGGAAAAGACCATACACTTTTGAGCCAGACTAGACCTGAGTTACAACCCTGGCTCTTGAGCAAGTCGAATTAATTTTTCTGAATTTCAGCTTCTTCATCTGTAAACTGAAGAAAATACTTGCATGGATTAGTAGAGGAGAGTTTATGAGACTATGCAGGTGAAGGTCTCCAGTAAGGGACAGCTATTAGTACCACAGTTATTTAGATCATCTTTCCCACTAGTCCATTAACAGTATCTTGCCGCATCTTACCCTCCTTAGTGTTTTCTGAATTGAATGGAAGCAGCCCAAATTGACAGCATCTGCTGCCTGGCTCTTACTGAGCTATTAGTTTTTCAACATCTGTTTTGAATTTCAGAAAGAAATTTCCATTTTTAGGCAACAGAAGCATTTTCCTGTTGTATTTCAATATGTCTCAATCCTGAAATGATTAGAACTTCTGCTTGATTGAATCCAAGTCAGCAAAGCCATGGAGAACAGCCCAGCCCACGAATATGTCTACTTTACCTAGGCTTAAGAGACATTAACCCTCTGTACAAAGAGCCTGGGCAACAAAAAACACTGTGTGAGCTTTTAATAACATCGTCCTTTGGCTCAGATGTTTAAATAGCAACAATAATGGAGCTTGGAAAGCTCTTAATTACCCACAATATTGGAAGAGAGGGATAGCCAAGGTCAGAGAAACCCTGGTTTGCTTTGATGTCTAGAGTGCTGATAGCTGCACAAGATGCATTCATAATGTGTTTTTAATAACAATTATTGAGTCTCTTTTCTGGATTCCCAATTCCTTTATAAAATTCCAAAAAGAAGCAGCCAGTCTTGCCTCCAGTTGCTTCTGAATGATTTCCTATGGAAAGCAGCATTTTCGAAAACACCATGTTTGATGAATTATCTGAGTCTTTCTTTATCCCCTTCCAAAGTAAATGCAACATAGAGGGAACATTAAGGGGAAATCATGGCGGGGGGTGGAGGCCTCAACTTTCAGAGGAAAATCTTCTGGCTGTCAGAAATATGTGAGAAATACCATGGGAACATAAAATCAACCATGCTAATTATGAGACATAATTGAGGTTATGTTTTATGTGTCAGAATGAGTAGCTCAATTTTATCCATCAAGATAAAAAATAAAAATCAGGTAAAAAAAAAAAAAAGGGACAGAGTTGTCAAGATTCCAGAAGTAGAAGAAACTATCTTGCCATAGTGTACAACAGTGTTTCAGCACCAAGGACAGAGCCTTATGGGGTTTAATGCCCACTCATCCTACATACTTAATGAATTTTTAATGTTTTGAAATTTTCACTCAGATGTTTATATACTCATCTACATATTGTTTTTCTGAGCCCTAGTTACACGTCAGACCTTAGTATGATAGACAAAGACTCACCAGCCAGTTAACAGCTCTCAAGGTAAAGCTGAAGCAGGAGATGAGCAAGATAGGCAAGTTAATAAATAATTATAACACTATATGACAAGCACTATTACATAGTTGTGTACAAGTCACGTGGGAGCCAATGAAGGGAATGCTTAACTCTGACTGGTGCAAAGGAAGACTTTACAAAGGAGTTGACATTTGAGCTGGATCTTGAAGAATGAGTGAAATTTGCAAGACAGAGAAGAAACATCATGAGAGAGTGCACAATATGTTCAGGGATGTCTGGAAATGTAACTTGATATGGCTGAAACGTAGAGTAAATAGGGAAATGAGGAATAGGATAAATAAAATCACCAAGGGCTGGTATTCCAAGTTAAGGGCTTATCTTCTAAGCTAAGAATGGTAAGCTTTATCCTGGGGGAACAGAAAGCCCTTGAATGGTTTTGAGTAGGGATATGATCTGATCAGATTTGTGTTTCAGAAAGATAATTTAGATGCAGGGGGGAAGTCAGATGGAAAAGAAGAAGTGAGAGGACAAAGGGTAGAAGAGGGTGACATTTCTCCAGATTTTCTGGGACTGAGGGGCAGCTCCAACATAAACATGGTTACACAGGGAGAATTTACTTGGCCCAGCTTCCATTAGCTATTTGCCAGTGTTTCACATGTGAATTGTGTCTCTTCAGATTCCTCCAAGAAGATAAAAGATGCCTTGACTGAATTTAATGAGGGTGGGAGCCTCAAACAATATGACCCACATGAGGTAAGAACATTTCCATTTTAAGCCTTTAAAAACCCCTGTGTTTTTTAGCCTTTCCATAATTTGTTTCCCTCTTGGAGACTCCGCTTGCCTTGAAGAACTTGCTCCTCAGCATGTTTCCTCTTAAGTCTCAAGTGAGCCATTTGTGCTACCTGGCATTATATGTTTCCCAAGCCCATACACTCATTCCACTGTCCTAGAAGACTACCACTACTTCTCCTCTGCTCATCTCTCACCCCTCCTCTCCTCATCCTCAGTTAACAACTGAGTTTTCTGCTTCACTGAAAAAATAGAACAAACAGAACAGATCTTTCACAAGCTCCCTCACCCCATAGGCCCACCTATCTGTACCTTTTCTTCTATAACCAGAGATGACCTCTCCATGCTCCTATCTACGTCCAACTCCCCCACGTGTGCACTCAACCCCATCCTCTTTTGGCCTACTTACAGGCATTGCTTCAGCAACATATCTTCCCCAGACTCCCTCTTTCCCTCCCTCCTCGTCCCTCCTTTTCTCTATATCTCTACCTCTGTCTCCTTCATATCAGCTTTCTTCGTATATTTTATTTTTCCATCAACATGTAAACATCCTGTTATTTCTTCTATATTAAAAACATTTTCCTGACTCCACTTCCTCCTCTAGGTACCACCTCATTTCCCTCCTGTGTTTTACAGCGAAACTGTACAAAATACTTCTCTATACTCATTGCCTCCAAATTCTCTTTTTCCTACTTTCTTGAAATGCCTTGCATCAGTCTATAACCTTCACTCTTCCACTCAAATCACTAGTCAAGATAGCCAAGGGCCTCCCTATGGCTAAATCCAATAGCAATTTTGCTCAACAACACTGGACACGGTTGGTCAAGTCATCCTCCATTTTCTTCACTACATTCTACATTCTCCTGATTTCTTCTTATCCTTCTACTTGACATTTACACTTAAAAATCAAATGGGCATCTCAAACTTAACATGAGCTAAACTGATGTGTCCTTAATCTTCCCCTATAAAGCCTGTTTTTCCAGCAGTCTACTCCATTTCAGTAAATGACAACTCTACCCTTCAAGTTATTCAACCTGAAACTATGCAGTCATCATCAACTTCTGTCCTCTCACATCCCACATCCAATTCATTGGCAAATTCTGTTAGATCTACCTTCAAAATGTATCCAAAATATAGACACATCTCGCCACTTGCACTGCTAGCATCCCGACCTGAGTCATCACCATATTTTGCCCAGATTATTGCAAGAGTCTCCTAACTCATCTCCCTGCTTCTGCCCTTGCTGCTTCAGTCTATTCTTCACACACATCCTGAGCAATCCGTTAAAACTTATGTCAGAGCTTGTCACTGCTCTACTCCACAATCTCCCATGGTTCCCCCAATCCCTACTCAGAGTAAACATGAAGGTCATTACAAGCTGCACCTCCCCCAGCTCTCTGACCTCATCTCTTGCTACTCTCCCCATCTTCATTCCTTTTCAGCATATTAGCCTTCTTGATGCTATCAAATAAGCCAGTGTCACCGTAACCTCAGCACCATTGTGCTTGCTGTTACTGTTTCTTAAAATGTTCCTCCTCAGCACATCACATTGTCCATTATCTTACCACCTTCCAGTCTATGCTCAAGTCACCTTCTCAGTGATCATCACCTTCTTCATCTAAAACTTGAAGCCCTCTTTCTGACATTTCCTATCCCCCTGCTCTGCATTATTTTCCTCCTAAGTACTTCTCACCACCTGTCACACTATATAATTTACTTAATTAATTGTCTGTCTCTCCCACTAGCATATTTTTGTTCACTGCTGTGTCTTCAGTGCCTGGAAAAGTATCTGGCTTATAGCAGGCATTCAATAAACATTTGTGGACTGAATAAATGAATGCAAGATCTCCCCCTACTTTCAAATTCAATGACTCTAACATTTCTTGGGCTTCTATGCACTGTACTGGGCACTGTAGAAGGCATAAAAATATAGAAGCACAGTTCCTGCCCTCCAGGACTTACTTCCTACTGGCAGGGTCAGGTTTGAAAGCCATGACCCTGGAATTACATGGTCTTAAGTTAGACTTCTACCTCTGCCATCAACAAGTGGTCTTGAATAATATTTCATATCTTTGAGCCTCACTTTCCTCATCTATAAACTGTACATAACAAAAAAAGCCTCGAAGTTTGTGGATGAGTGAATTAAATGAGAGGATCTTTGCAAAGTGGCTAACATTCTACAAGCACTTAAAAATCTGTACCTATTATTATCCCTCTTCCATCCCCTTTCCCCAGAATGTTTTTAACTCAATTCCCTTTTCCCTGCTCCTGAGTCCTTTTATGAAGACTAACCACAGAAAAGTGACTGATCTGCAGGATTCACTTAGGGAGAGACTGGCCACTTTCTTATTCACGTTGTCATCCATTGAACAAAACTGAGTCAACACCTTCTCCGTTGGACACTGGAAATGAATCAACAGAGCCTGTGCCCTCAAGGTACACCTAAAAGGGGCTTTGGATAAAATACACCAGTTGCAGAGAGAATGAAGCAGGAAGAAGGTTGCCAGAACAGGGGCGAGACTGAGAATGCACCATTTCAAAGAACATTCCTGAGGAGAAACCATGCAGAGAAGATAGCAGAGCCAGCAAAGAACTCACTGCCCCACACCCCCCACCCCCAGCTCCAAAAACACGGGAACAAAGCCTGGCGGCGGCTGCTAATCAGCTTGTCCGCCCTGGGGCTGATGAGTGGGAGAGGAACAGTTTGGTCAGGGCCACTGCAGGTGTGGAGGCCACAGGAGCTTTCAGAAGCAGGGAGTCGCTTGGCTGCTATGAGCACGCAGCCGCCCTCGCCTCTGTCGGGGCTGGCCCCCACTTTTTGTAATGCCAGGCACTGCTGGGTCCCAGGGAGCTCTGTCACTCTGATTTCGTTCTCTCACACAGTGCAGCTGACTTCTAGTAGGTGTAATGTCATGGCACAGGGTTAGGGAAATAAGAAGGGTTTAATTTCTCTTGAGTTTGATGGCTTACTGCTGCTAAAATGTCTCAATGAGAAACGAGTTAGCTGTGGGAAGGGGCAGATTGCTAGCAAAGGTAGGATGGGAATAAAACTTTGCAGAGTGGCAGAGCTGCATCTGGCCGTGATGAACATGCGCTTGCCCATCAGTACCAAGTGATTCTCTGGAGAATAGAGTGGTGGCAGACAGCTAGAGAGTGGGCAAAACCCAGAAAAGCAAAAGAGGCAGGTGGCTTGGTGGCACTGTGAGCCTGGACCCAGACACCTGATCACAAAGCCCAGCTCTGCCACACGCTTTATGATCTTCAGCAAGTTATTTATGTTGTCAAAATTTGTTTTATCCCCAGAATGACAGTAACAGTTCTTCCCCACACTGCTGTCTTGAGAATGAAAGTGCCGGATGCCTGCTAAGCTCTCCATCTAGTTCTCTCTTCTTGGTCTGTGTAAGGATTAACACACTCTCTTTAAGTGTGTTGCAGCAGGAGCAAATTGCCCAGCTAATTCCTGCATAAAAGCTGCTGGGGAAAAACAGAGTTCCTTTGGCCTGAACCATGAGTGTGCCTGGGATGTTAGTCCAGGTCTCAGAGAATTGCCAGCATGCCTCATAGTGGTTGGTCATCTGGTTTGGGCATGACCCCTAGCCACTCCCTAGTTAGTCTCTCATCATGCATTTACTAAGCAGCTACTCTGTTCCTGGGCTGTGCTTTTAAAGAACTTTTGTATAACCCAGATATCACCTTGAGAGTGTGGCACATCGTTGCATGTCTTTGCCTGCTGAACATGGGATACTGGGAGGGAGTGTCAGGGAGCACTATGCCAGCTCTGGACCCTGTGACAGATATAGTAGCAGGAGCACTGGACAGGGAGTCAGGAGGTCTGGCTTCTGGTTTCACTCTGCTGCTAGCTCGCTGGGGCTCATCACTGAATTTCCTGAGCCTCGGAGGCATCAGAAGACTGAGTCCCCTCTGAGACTCTTCTGGTTTGCATGTTCTGTGCTTCTGGGTTTATTCTGTGCATCCTGTTCTCTAGGATGGGGACATGCATGGTTGGATGAGTTCCATCAGTATTATTTTCTAAGTTCTCATAACAGTTTGTCAGCTCTTTTCCTATGGCACTCGCCACTGATGACCACACATTGCAATTATTTCAATATCTTTACCTCTTATATAACACTGACTCTTTGAAGATACGGACTCATGCCTAATTCATTGGTGCCCAGCACTGTACTGTGCCCTGCACTTAAGAGGCTCAAGATATATAGATATATAGATATAGATATAGATATAGGTATATACACACACATATATACACATAAATATATGTATGTGGGTATATATATATACATATGTGTATATATATATATATATATACATATGTATATATATATATATATACACATATGTATATATATATATATATATATATATATATATATATATATATATATAGCACATTTCCCCCCTTTTTCCAATCTGTGTCTTCTTCAGCAAATTGTGAGTGGAGATACATATATCCATTCAATCTATACATAGACTGAATGGATCCCATAGTAGTTGATGACATCCAGGGACCAGGCACCAGGCTATTCCTCAGGTGCACTGATTAGGACACATCATCCATTCAAATACCTATGAAGAACCCTGTGGTAGGTGGTGTGGGGGATTCAAAGATGAAAGGAGACATTCTCACTACTTCCAGGAGCTCTGGATTGAGTAGAGGAACCAAGGTCTGTCACAAACAACTATATATCAATGCAGAGCAGCACATATGAGTGTCACAAGGCAGGAACCAAGGTGCCAAGTAGGGAAATTCAGGGACAGACGATCATAAGGCTTTCTGGAAAAAGTGGAATCCGGGTTGGGCCTTAAAGCATGACTGGAACTTGAACATGTAGAGATGGAAGCAGTTCATGCAGGGTAGAGTGCATGGAGGGTTGCTCAGGAAAGAACACAGAGGTCAGCATGGACAGAGTGCATACACGCACATGGGGAATAATAGGAGAGAATATGAGAATCATCTCAGAGCTTGAAGTAACTACAAATCTAGGTTGGAGGGGATTATTGGAGGCTATGAATACCAAAGGTCTAGGAGAGTACACAGGATGGTCCACTGGACTGTAGAACACTGCATATTAGGCCTTCTATTTACATTCATCTAATTTCCACTTGCCAATTTAGTTTTGCAAATATTTTATAATGTATAGTGTAAGAACACAGTAGTACCTCAGTTAATCTCAATTCAGTTCCATGGGCAATTAGAAACCATGGAAAGTTTTTTTCTTTGAGACGGAGTCTCGCTCTGTCACCCAGGCTGGGGTGCAGTGGTGCCATCTCGGCTCACTGCAAGCTCCGCCTCCCGGGTTCATGCCATTCTCCTGCCTCAGCCTCCCGAGTAGCTGGGACTACAGGCGCCCGCCACCACGCCCAGCTAATGGTTTGTATTTTTAGTAGAGATGGGGTTTCACCATGTTAGCCAGGATGGTCTCGATCTCCTGACCTCATGATCTGCCTGCCTCGGCCTCCCAAAGAGCTGGGATTACAGGTGTGAGCCACCGCACCCGTCACATGGAAAGTTTTTGAGAAGAGAAGCAATTTTATCAGAGTTGTGCTTTAGGAAGATCAATAGGGCAAGGATAGGCAAGATAGGTGGGAGGACCAACAGATGGACATGGGGTTAAGGAAGCCTTGGAGAGGTATTGCAATGGCCCAGGTGAGATGTATGGAACAGAAGTCAGAATCCAGGAATTTTGGTGATGGCAGCAGGGACAATGGACATAGAAAAGGTCTGGATGTGACAGATGTTGCAGAAGAACAGTGGACAGAAGGAAGGGACAAGAACTAGTCTCAGCCAACTGACAGTTCAAAGCTCAGCCTGTAATGTTGGGAGCATAATGGTGTCATTGGCATTAACAGAAATTGTGGAGTCAGGAAGAGGAGCTGGTTTTCAGGGAGCAAGCTAATTGAAGTTTAGAACTTGAAATCTTCTAGTTCAACACTCACAATTTGCTGAAGAAGAAACAGATTGGAAAAAGGGGAGAAATGCGCTTGGTCTGAGACCAGTCACGAGGTTTCCTGAATCTCATGCTGATCTTGTTTCATGATCTTTTGGCTTTGGTTTTTTACAGCATTATGTTAGACTGTTTAACTAAACTTTCTTTTTATTAGATCATTTAGTACAGTCTGCTTTCCAGAAATATTTTATTCTGATAGTTTTCATTTGATGCTAGCTGAAAGAGATTAATAGTACACTTTGGAACTGAAAACTACCTTTTAAAATACTACTTGTCAATTAAAGTGGTACAAAGAGACAATGCAAAAAAGAGCTTTAGAAATAAATTAATGAAGAACAGTGCCATATTATTCAGTCAAATCAAAGTAGAGAATGAAGAGAACCAAAACAGAACAATTCCATGGAAAATAGAGAGTTTTAAAAAGAAGAGAAGATGAAATGTTGCAGAGAGGCCAAAGATGAGACAGTCTAAAAAGAGATGATCACGTCTGTGACCTTCAACAAAGCAGTTTCAGAGGTAATGGGCTAGGATCCAATCCGAATGGGATTAAGGAGATGAGGAGGCTAATCTGGTCTGTTTGGAGAAATTTGAAAGGAAAGGGGAGAAGGATGGGCCAGTAGATCTGGTAGACAGCAATTTCTTTGGAATAGTGGACATTTAACATACTTGCAGGTAAATGAAAAGAAAATGCTGGAGATGCAATCAGAGCCAGCGAGGATGGAATCAAGGATCAAGGTGGGTGGGTTACAATTGGAGAAGAGGGGCTGGGCATGGTGCCTCACGCCAGTAATCCCAGCACTTTGGGAAGCCAAGGCAGGCAGATCACTTGAGGTCAGTAGTTCAAGACCAGCCTGGCCAACAAGGTGAAACCCCATCTCTGCTAAAAATACAAAAATAGCCGGGCATGGTGGCACGTGCCTGTAATCCCAGCTACTTGGGAGGAGGCTGAGGCGTGAGGATCACTTGAACTAAGGAGGTAGATGTTGCAGTGAGCTGAGATCGTGCCACTACACTCCAGCCTGGGTGACAGAGCAAGGCTCTATCTCAAAAAAAAAAAAAAAGAAAGAAAGAAAGAAAGAAAGAAAGAAAGAAAGAAAGAAAGAAAGAAAGAAAGAAAGAAAGAAAGAAAGAGAAAAGAAGAAAAAAAGAAAAGAGAGGAGGAAGAAAAGATTTTGTTATTGTATATTAGGAAAAAGGAGGAGGATGTGGGAGGAAGGGACATTCTGAGGCAATGAAGTTATAGAGGCAGAGAGAGACAGAAAGAGTGTGAAATAAAGAGACACAGAGACTCGGGGACAGAAAAGGAACAGAGAGATGGGTAGCTGTCACAAGAAATGTGAGTCCACCATTTGCTTGGAGTTCCCCTAATCTGGTAAGAGCCTCTGTCCAGCTGAATCAGACTTCCTTCACTCTGCAAAGGAGACGGATAGAACAGCCAAGCCTGGTGCTAAACAGAAATTTATTTGTGAGCCCCTCAGTGGGGTGGGGAGGCCATTACTCGCTTTTAAGGCCAAGATTTTGAACTCAAACTTGTTTATACACATGTAAGCCAGTCTCTGGTTCTGGGACGTCTCCCAGATCTCCCAGAACAGACAAGGGGTTAAATGCTACCAACATTTTGATGGGTACATCAAGTAGGCTCCTGCAAAGGGATTTTATTCTCATGGCTGCTATTATTCACAAAAGCCTGCACAGCAGATCTCAGAGTAGTGCTTCCTCAAATGATTTCCAGGAGCATCTGCCGATTTGATGAAGAATCTGATGCCATCAAAGCACAAGCCAGTGATGACTCACTGCAAACTGTTGTTGTTGAGTGTTTGCTGAGTGCAGCAGCCCTTTCTGGCATAGCTGCTCCCAGCCTGGGACCAGAAGCCAGGCGGTACTGGGAGAGACACAGCAGGAAGAGGGTCTAGTTTTTGGCACATCTCTTGGTTCTACCTTCTGTCCTTGGCTTCCTGCTCTTCTCCTGGTGCCTAAAACCTTCACAAGGACATGTTTTGAGAAGCAGCTGAGCCAGAAACACACACCCACCCTTGTTATTTGAGGGTTTTTCCAGGGAAGATCAGGACTATGAAAGTCATGAAGGATGGAGCCTGTTCTTTTCTCTTCCAGGTCTTTCCTACTTTCTGAGACCTGAATACTCAGGCATCACATCCGTCATGGTACAAGAGGGAAACCAAGATACCACAGAAGAACTATTTCTTTGCATCATATTTTCAACTGCATCCTTCTTCATCTTAACTAGGATTCTAGGGCACAGATCTTGTCCCTGCTCATTAGAGCCACATCCCTCACACAGGCCTGGACTAAGGCAGAGCCCTGCACTTTGGCCTCCACTCCCAAGGCTCACTCTCCAACATGTCCCTTTTTATCTAAATTTACATAATATCATTTCTTATTACAGGAGCCTGCCCTGGTTCTGTGCCCCACCAAGCCCCAATATGCAACTGCAACATTTTCTCTCTCTTACACCCATCCCCTGCACCCTGTGCCTCTCATTGTCTATCACTTCCCTGGCCTTTTCATTCCTGTCCCCATCAGCTCCTCCATGTCCTACTGCCTCCCTTTCCATTCCTTTCACCTGCCAGCTTTTCTATTCCTTTTCCTTCTCTCTTCCTCTCTGTCCCTTTGCTTCTCTCCACTGACTTTGCCCTTTTGCCCCTTCTCAGCCGATTAGCTATGATGTCTTCAAGCTGTTCATGAGGGCGTACCTGGAGGTGGACCTTCCCCAGCCACTGAGCACTCACCTCTTCCTGGCCTTCAGCCAGAAGCCCAGACACGAGACCTCTGACCACCCGACGGAGGGAGCCAGCAACAGTGAGGCCAACAGCGCAGGTACACAGAGCTTTCCCCAAGATGGGAAGACCTTGCGCAGCTCTCATCCCCTGCCACAGCCACAGACTGCATTCCTAGAGGGTCCCCTGAACATAGTAACTGCCCCAACGGTGCGAACATGAACCAAGGGACAGGGACGCCTTTCCTCATAGTGCCTTACGGGAAGCCCTGATGAACCTCTCAGCAAGAGGAATAAACAGGAGGCATAATTCCTGCCACTATGGATCAAAGAGCAGGATGGGGAAAGAGGAGACACAAAATAATGTATGGTGGGGGAAGAGAGCCTTCAGCAAAGGCTGACGGTCCACGGATGGAGCACATTCAGCTTCTGTGTCCAGGCTGGGACTAGCTTGGAAGTGTTAGAGGAGAGGGAAGCCATGATCCCTGTCTTCCTGGAGCTTGGGCTATAATGGGGGAGACACAGCCAATCCCAATAAGCGAGCATGAACCCAGCTGACACATAACCCCGAGACACAGACACAATCAAGGCAAACCAGGTCCCATGGGGATGTCCTGTACCTGCCCTTCCAAGAAGCTAGAGGGCCTGGGTTGGTCTTTAAATCTTCTTTTTTTTCCTCAGATACTAATATACAGAATGCAGATAATGCCACCAAAGCAGACGAGGCCTGTGCCCCTGATACTGGTAAGTCTTTGGAATATAAGACTTGTGGGAAAAGTAGGGAATACCTCATCCTTGGGGAGAAGTGGGGAAACCTAACCAACAGTGCTGTCTTCATATAATTGTGCAATCTTATGCAGATCTGGTCCTCCTGTGGCCTTCAGAACCTCCATCTCTGGGGCTCCTGTCATTTGAATGTTCTGGGATTCTGAGGCTGGGTAAAGGTTTTTGCTTCACTTGCCCTAGAACAGAGCAGGTCAGGACTTGGGACAGCTTGCTAGATGTTTATCTCTGATATGTCTGCCTGCCCAGAAAAAGTGGAGAGCCTTCTCAGGGGAAGTGTGTGTGTGTGTGTGTGTGTGTGTGTGTGTGTGTGAGAGAGACAGACAGACAGACAGAGAGAGGTGGCTGTGGCTGTAAGGCTGAGGTGCAGATGACTCTACCAGTGGATGTCTGGAGAGGAACAGAGCAAGAGGGTAAAAATGTGCCCTTGTTGACTTCCAACAACATATATACACTATTTTGAATAAGTTGAGGAGTTGCTAATAAGTTAGCAAAGGAAGCCAGCTCAAATGGTCTTGAAGATATATTTGCCAGGCATCTGCTCATTACACATTTCATCTAAGCTTCACAATCACACCACTTTACACATGAGAAACTGAGGCCTTAAGAGATTATATACCACTGGTGTGACCTGTGGAGCCAGGGATTCAATCCAGAATCATCCAACCTCAAAACTCCTGCAGTCTTTCCTATAGAGAGAGAGGACACAGTGGTCCTGGTGGTGTGGTTGGTTCCTGTGGAATGAGCAAGGCTGCACTCTCAGCGGAGCTGCTGTAGTGGTGCCTGCTGCCCATAGGCCCACTGTTGGGCTGTGAGAGATGTGGAATCTTCCCTGACACATTTATCAATGGGAAGCCATTCCTCTCTGCTGTTGGCTGGCCAGCCCAAGGCCAGAAGCTCCTACAAAAATGAGAGGTGAAGGTTACCATACTTAATTTCTGTTCTCATATTCAATACAAATGTCCTGAGTACTATCAACTCAAGTTGGATCAGGCAACAGAGCATGTTGCTTAAGGAGCCAGGATGCCTGGGTTTGATTCCCAGAGCCAACACTACCTAGCTCTGTAACCGTGGGCATGTTTGAACAACGTCTCTGTGCCTCAGTGTCCCTAAGTGAGATAACAAATGTTCTTATGAAGGTTAAGTGAGTTAGATATGTTAACGCTTAGAACAGTGCCTGGCACACAGTAAATGTTTGATAAATATTAGCATTTATTATTCAGGCCACCTTCCAGAAGTATACTTTATTCTTTTCTTTTTTTTTTTTTTGTCTGAGATAAGGTCTTGCTCTGTCCCCCAGGCTGGAGTGCAGTGGTACAATCTCAGCCTACTGCAGCCTCGAGCTCCCAGGTTCAAGCTATTCTTGTGCGTCAGCCTCCTGAGTAGCTGGGATTACAAGAGTGTGCTGCCACGCCTGGCTAATTTTTGTACTTTTTTAGTACAGACAGGGTTTTGCCATCTTGGCCAGGCTGGTCTCGAACTCCTGACCTCAAGTGATCCACCCAAAAGCGCTGGGATTACAGGCATGAGCCACCACACCCAGCACAGAAGTATACTCTATTCTTAACTCAGTATGGTCTGCCATTATCTCCTTCAGCCTGCAACCTCAGTCTCCAAGTGTGTCACCTGGGCATCCTCTTCCCATGAAAGGTCTCTCATGGGCTTTCTTTCTCCCAGGTTGTTCCTGAAGCTTTCAATACAAAGACTCAGAGAGTCAGACCTTTTTTTTTTTTTTTTTTTTTTACTGTGCATTATCATTTTATTGAAAAGCTTTATGGATATCCAAAGGTGAATTCCAGCTCTTAGGATATGCCCAGGGGAAAAAGAATGCAGTATTATTATTATTATTATTACTATTATTATTATTATTATTATTATTTTGAGACGGAGTCTCGCTCTGTCACCAGGCTGAAGTGCAGTGGCACAATCTCAGCTCCCTGAGACCTCCGCCTCCCTGGTTCAAGTGATTCTTGAGCCTCAGTCTCTCGAGTAGCTGGGACTACAGGCACGTGCCACCACACCCGGCTAATTCTTGGTATTTTTAGTAGAAACAGGCTTTCACCATGTTGGCCAGGATGATCTCGATCTCCTGACCTCGTGATCTGCCCACCTCGGCCTCCCAAAGTGCTGGGATTATAGGCGTGAGCCACCCCGCCCAGCCTATATTTTAAATGTATATAAAACAAGATAGATTAGAGGTACTACAGCTGAAGGAGAAGGGGAACTAATTGCAACAGGGACCTTGAAGAGAGAGTTTCTTCAATGTAGTTCTAATCTTTTCTCCTGTCACAGCAAAAAGAGAAACTGGAAGGATTATCGAGTTTTCAGTGTTTAACTGAGGACTGGTGAGATAAACAGGTCATGATAGATGGAAAGCAGAGCATGGTTGGGGAAAAACAGTTACCCCTGGATCATAAGCTCAGCAAACTCCATGCACAGAGCACCAGAAAGCAAGGATGAGGAGCAGCTGTGCCTTCCCGAAGGCTTCAGGGACAGCAGCAGGCCAAGACTCCACAAAATTGCTGGCTCGTCCATGCCCTGCCCAGCACGCCACTCAGCCATGCTAGTCCATAGCCCCTTGGTGAAATGGACGTAAGGCACAGATAACTCTTATATCTTCTATGGACTAGAGGAGGCATATTCAGGCATCTGTGTAAGGCACAGATAACTCTTATATCTTCTATGGACTAGAGGAGGCATATTCAGGCATAGATCATTCTCATACTAGGGAGGAAAGTGTGAAACTAGGAGCTCTGAGATTTTAAACTCCCAGCAAGAAACTCAGTGGTAAAAAGCATCCTGCCCCAAATTATTTACCTAGAGACTTTTTTTTTTTTTTTTTTTTGAGACAGAGTTTCACTCTTGTTGCCCAGGCTGGAGTGCAATGGTGCAATCTCAGCTCACCACAACCTCTGCCTCCCGAGTTCAAGCAATTCTCCTGTCTCAGCCTCCTGAGTAGCTGGGATTACAGGTGCATGCCATCATGGCCAGGCTAATTTTTCTTTTTTTGTAGAGACAGGGTTTATTTTATCTGGAACTTCAAGAGGAACCTAGAAGAAGATACAATTCATTCACTGAGGTTCCAAATTGTCTGAGCAGGTTGTGTTTTAGTGGCTAATGTTTCTGAGGTACCAAGGAAGAACTTATTGGGGATATGTCATTTTATGTGATATTTGAGAAAAGATGATCAATGATGATAACGGAAATTAGCTGACTTATTTAAGACCTCCATGCGTATTTGCAATAGTTGTATCATTCTGGGACTAAAAGAGAAACTTCCAGAGATTTCCTCCTGGAGAAGTGATTTTGTCATGTACCATTTTCCTTGTGTATGGGAAAAATCAGCCCCCTATAGTAAAATCATGAAAGGGCAATTATCTGACTCTTGGCCCAAGGAGGTATACAGCATTTTTTTATCTTCTTTTGACACTTGAGATTTAAGGGAAAAAAACCTTTTCCTGGTAGGCCCTCTTCCACAGATGTCTTAATTAGATGTCCCTGTTCACCAGAAACAAGAATTATAGGACCAGGCAGTCACCACAGAGAGGGGCCTCTGCCGGCAAGGAAGAGCCAAGCCCTGGACTCACCTTCAATCAGGCCATCTGCTGAAAAGACCAGCCTTTTCCTGTTGCCCAGGTGGAAGCCAGGGAAAGAGCTTAGATTCTTATTTCATGTGGCCTGTCTAGGCCTATCAGATCAGTCTCCAAGCTCAGATCTAGCAAAGCCCACTTCATTCCCAGAGCCATAAAGACAGAAGAGCAGGGCTTTCAGGGTCCAGACTTCGGCTCGGAGGCCTGAGCAATCTATCACTGTCAGAGTGTCAGCTCAGGAAAGGCTGAGCCCACCTTTCCCTTCATGAAGGCCCAGGACTAACTGGGATGAACAAGGAGAACTTCAGTGTCCTGGTGTTTCGTTAGTTTCTCAGGCTGTCGAGATGTTTCAGCGACTTGGAATATTGAAATCTCAAGGAAAGTCCCCCAGTATTTTGTGTTAGTTTTTCCAAATTATAAAAGTAATACACTCACATTGTAAGAAATTTGAAGGACACAAAAAAATAAAGAAACAACAAAGATCAGTGGTGTCAAGGGTCAGGGGAAGGGAAGGATGAATAGGCAAAGCACCGAGGATTTTTAGGGCAGCGAAACTACTCTGTATACTATAATGGTGAATGCATGTCATTGTACATTTGCCCAAACCCACAGAATGTAGAACACCAAGAGTGAACCCTAATGCAAATTATAGACTTCAGGAGATAATGATGTGTTGATGTATTCATCAGCTGTAACAAATGTACCACTCTGGTGGGGGAGTGAGGCATGGTAGGTTATGCATGTGTAGGGAAGCAGGGTGTGTGAAAAACCTCTGGACCCTCTTCTAGTTTTACTCTGAATTTTACAGTGCTCTAAAAAATGTGTTTTTAAAAAAGCACAATAAAATCATCCATAATTTTACCAATGCAATTACATGTGTGTGTGTGTAATCTCCTTGTAGATTTTTCTATAATTTTTTTACAGAATTGGGATCAGACTGTATTGTATAGATAATCTGGGACCGAGTTTCTTCTTTTTTTTTTTGAGATGGAGTCTCGCTCTGTTGCCCAGGCTGGAGTGCAGTGGCACGATCGCAGTTCACTGCAACCTCTGCCTCCCGACCTCTGCCTCCCGCGTTCAAGTGATTCTCCTGCCTCAGCCTCCTGGGTAGCTGGGATTACAGGCACCCGCCACCACGCCCAGCTAATTTTTGTATTTTTAGTAGAGACAGTGTTTCACCATGTTGGCCAGGCTGGTCTCCAACTCCTGACCTCAGGTGATCCACCCACCTCGGCCTCCCAAAGTGCTGGGATTACAGGTATGAGCCACCGTGCCCGGCCTTGGGACCCAGTTTTGTTCTTCACTTAGTTAAGTCATTTACTTGAATGATTTCTGTAATTCAAGACTTTGGGTAAACATCAGTTTTAATGCAATCCCCTCTTTAAACAGATGAGAAAACTGAGGTTGAGTGTGGTGGAGTAAGCCTGCTTGTGTTAAATCACACACACATACTTTGTGTGTTAAATCACACACAACTGAACACAAACTCAGCGGTGGAATCACGGTCTTCTGCTGCCTGGTCTGGTGCTCTTCCCACTATGCCACACTGCCCCACTGAAAGGGAACAAGTAACACAGATACCAAGGGAGAAAGTGGAACAAGTCAGGTCTGCCCAAGAGCCGTCACATGAAAGGGTTTAGGACATGGCACCAGGACAGGACCTCTGTGATCCGGAAGAGGGTGTTGGCATTTTTTACTGGTGGTACCTGAGGGTCGTACTCAGATGGCCATAGGTCAGGGCTATTTCATATAAAGCAGAATGAAGAGGAAGGACACTAATGAGACAGTGTCAGTGCCTCTCAGCCTTCCTGGACCCCTGCATCTCTATGACAGGAGTGAGCAGTAGACTTCAGTGAAAACTAGAGAAATGGTTCAAGATCCAAGGATTGAGTTGTAAATTGGCAAAAAATTGCATGTTTTAAGTGTATAATTAATAAGTTTTGACACACGTATATACCTGTAAAACTAGTACCACAATTAATATGATGAACATACCCATCATCTCTAAAAGTTTTCTTTGTAATCCCTTTTCTCCACCCTCCTTACCCGCCCACCCTTCATCCCCATACAACTACTGATCTGCTTTCTGCCATATATATTAAATTACATTGTCTAGATTTTATATAAATGTTATCATACACTCTCTACTCTTTTGGGTCTGCCTTTTTTCACTCCATGTAATAATTTTGAGATTTATCCATTTTGTATATATCAATAGTTCACATATTTTAGTTGCTGATTAGTGTTTTAATACATAGATATTCCACAATTTGTTCGTCTGTTAACCTACTGATGGACATCTAGATTGCTTCCAATTTATAATTATCATAAATAAAAATGTTATAAATATTCTTGTGCTTTAATGATGTTGAGTATCTTTTCATGTACTTAATTGTTTATTTGGTCTTATTTAATTTCTTTTTACATATTATGAGCCTCAATTTGCTAAAATATTAAGAACGTTTGCCTCTGTGTTCATAAGGGATATTGATTTGCATGTTCATGTCTTATCATGTCATTGTCTGTTTTTGGCTTTAGAGTAATGCTGGCCTCACCAAAAGGGTTGCGTAGGATTCCCTCCTCTTAAATTTTCTGGAAGAATTTGTATAGAATTTATGGTGCCTCTTCACTAAATGTTGAGTACTGGATTTTCACATTCCTACAAAGTCCTGAGCTTTGTTTTTAGGTACAGTTAGGTTACTTGGAAACAGTCTGATCTTTTTGGATCTATCTTTTAAGCTTCACTGGACAGGACCAGAAAGGCATTTACTCACTACTGAGAAAAAATGTTTCTGAATACTCTATCAATGATTCACGAATTATGGGGGGTTTCTACCCTGGTTGGTGGGAATAGGCATTACTCCTGGTTCTCTCCAGGGATTATTCGCTCTAATCCTAGTTCTTTCCCCAGCCTTAGCCTTAGGTGTTTTCCTTCCACAAGTGTGCTAATTACTACTCAGCTGAATAATTGAAGGGAACTCTCTGCTGTTACTCAAAGGGGACCTTCTACACACATTCAGAGCTAGCTCTCTGTGCATACCCTCCTCTCCAGTGCCTGCTCTGTGAATCCTAGCCACTGTGGGCTCCAGATTCCAGCTTCACCTCCACTCAGAGAGACTTCCAGGGTTGGCCTGGCTTCCCCTTCTCTGTGCTGCGGCCTAGAAGCTCTTTCCAAACAGTCTGATGTGGCAGTTGTAGGAGTCATCTCATCTTCTCAGAGATCAGTGTTTGGTCCTCCCTGATAATATAATGTCCTATGAACCATTGTTTCATACATTTTGTCCAGTTTTGTCACTGTTTTAGGTGAGAGGGTAAATCTGGTCTCTGTTAGCCCATTTTAGTCAAGGTAGAAGTCACTGATAGAGTTTTAATTGATGAATAATATGAGGACCTAGCAATAACTTTGGGTGTAATGCACTACACAGTACAAAGGCCTGTTCCCATGTTTTCCTCCAGTGACAATCTTAATACTTCATTAAATATGTAATTTTATTACAACCTCCCCTATCTCACTATCCCTGTCTTTATCTCATCCTATTGTATTTTCATCTCTACTTGCCAAACCCTGAGGCTTTCTGCTTTTGTATAATAGAGGTGATATCTTCTTGCATCCCGCTAAGGGCCTTGTCCAGTAGAAAATTACTTTTGAAAATCTGGTCTTCTGAGACCTCAGGATGAAGCTTTCTTTCCTTACTTTGCAGCCACGTTTCCTAGGCTCCATCTTGGTTTCTTCATGAGGCCCTCTGTAATATACAAATTGTGTCAGTGACCTTTGGTTTCTCCTATTGTCCATCTGGATGATGGTTAACTCCCTCCTCAGACCCACAACTGAATCCCTGGAACCTGGAAGGCTTTCATCTAGCACAGCCCTGCTTGCCTAAAATGGAATATTCACTCCCATTGCTTGGTTATTTGTTTCTCCGAATGAAGAGTGTACAGGTAACATTGCCTTCCTCAACAGACATTACGATCAAGGCTGTCTCTCCCACTGCCTCTACCTTCAGTACTTTGTTACTTGGTGGTATAATATAACAACACCTAAAACATTGGATTTTCCACTGTCCATCTTCCCTTTGTTCCCTGGCTAGTTGTTTTCTGTGAGTTGTACACTCCTAGTAGATATTAAGAGATCATTTCTGATGAGCATGGAGGTAGAGACGGAAGACAGCACTCAAAGTGTCTCAAAAAATAGAATTCACACAGGAAAACAGGGGTGCCCAGTTTTCTTGTTAGTAATAGAGCTTATATTTCTGAACCACAGGACAGAGTGTGGAAGAGACAAAGTGTTTTCCTACCTTAGAAAGGAGAAATTTTAAAGGGAAAACTTACCCCATTCTTGTGGTACAATAATCCACTTTCTGCATTTTCTTCATCCAAATTAGACTTGCAGTTAGTTTGAGTTCTTCCTAGTTTCTGGAGATTCGTTAATTATCAATCCCGGTTTTCTCTTTTGAATATTCATCCTTTATGTGTCTTTAAATGTGTTTGAAAAGAAAATTGCAAGGTCTATTGAGAAATGACTGTTGGCCATTTACCATTTTGAAATCCCAGCCAAAATTACTTCTATAAGTTGGGTATGTTCCCAAAAAAGTAGGCCAAATGACATTTACCTGTTGATTATTGATATTACCAATAATCACTATCATCTTTTCTGAATATTCAGAGTATAGATGAATTTCCTGCAAGGAAATAGACTCTTAAAGGGGTCAGCATGGGATCCCTTCAGAGAATATGAACTCCACAAGTTGGATTTCTAGGGCCACTAATTTGGTCACATCTATGTAACCAAAGCTTTTGAAGACACTTCTACAAAATTCTTGCCTCTACCATGAAAAGGATGGGGTAACAAAGAGGGGTTAATATTTACTAAACAGAAAATGTCCTTGGATGTTTTCCTTTTGTTCATCGCAGAATCAAATATGGCTGAGAAGCAAGCACCAGCTGAAGACCAAGTGGCTGCGACCCCCCTGGAACCCCCCGTCCCTCGGTCTTCAAGCTCGGAATCCCCAGTGGTATACCTGAAGGATGTTGTGTGCTACCTGTCCCTGCTGGAGACGGGGAGGCCTCAGGATAAGCTGGAGTGTAAGTGCTCACCCTGTCAAGGGGCTTCAGCTTTTTCCTAGAGAAGGATCTGGGGTTCTATCCATTATTCCTAAACACACTGGAGATTGAGTTGATATCACGGATATGCGTCCCGCCTCTTTGGGGAGGTTTCTTTGTCCTGTTACCAAAAGTGATATGAACAACTCCTAGAATCCACCCTGGGACATATTGCCAGTTGTGTATCACATGGGAAGGGCATCTGAAACCCAGGTATTGAGAACCAGAATCTGGAAAGGGAAGGGGTCCCATCAAGTGGTCAAGACTTCCTTGCTTTGCTGGCAGGACTTCCTGAAAGCCTTTACTCAGAAAACTGCTACCTCCTCTTAATAGATTTTTTAAAGAAAGATATTCAACATCTGTCCTCCTTCCCCTATTCTGTGCCCAGGCAACTCTTTAACTATGAGGAAATATTCTTTTCTTGAGATCTCATCAACCTCTGTCTTGATAAGCCTTTGTCCATTTCTCTACCTATGCCCCCCCGCCACCCCAAGATTCTTGGCCTCTAGAGAACGAGGGGGCCAGTTAATTAAAGGAGTTGAGCTCAGTTTCGTGGTGCTACTAAAGTAGGTTTTAAAAACATGTCTTCAGGAGGAGAGTAAGAGCTGGGAGCAGAAAGTTCACAGTGGCTGAAACAGCCTGCAGTCTTGTAGATGATTCAGTCCAGTGATGGTTTCCCTGGCTTCTGTGAGCCTACAGACATACTTCTAAAAAAATAGGAGATGACAGGACCTTGTTAAAAAATCTGTATTGTCTTTGCTTCTCTTGGGAACTTAAGTAGACAGTAAGGGGAAAAAAATGTACATGTTACAGCCAAAGTCAAAATTCCAGTTAATAATAAGACTAGTCAACAAAACTTAAACATAAGCAAGGGAAGTCTGCCAAAGGCTAATTCTTGCCAAAAACAAAATGAAACAGTTTGCTCATTAGCTGAGCTTAAAATCTCTCCCATAGGTTTGAAGTGTTAACAATTGCAAGTCTTAAGTGCTAATTTGGTGGCAAATGTAGCAGATTTCTGTTTTCTTCTAGCTAATGTTAAAAGTGAAACATCAAATTATTTCCAGCATTTAGCTGGATTTTGAGTTTCAGGCATTGTATTTGTTAGTGACTACCAAAGAGAAGGTGACAGATTTTTTTATATTAATGACTCTCCAACTGAGTCTTATAATGACCATGCAAAGAAATGTTAAAACTTTTTATTACAGAAAATTTCAAAGATAAAAGTAGAGAGTACAGTGAACATCTGTGGCCCCATCATCCAGTTTCAACAATTATCAACTCATGGTCAATCTTGTTGTGTTTATACTTCCCACCATTCCCTCTGCCTCAGAGTATCTTGAAGCAAATTCCAGGCATCATATAATCTGTAAATATTTCAGTATGTACCTCTAAAATCGCAGACTCTTCTTCTTAAATATAACCTCAATACCATCATTACAGCTAAAGAAAATGATTCCTTTTGCTATTATCAAATAGTCAGTATTCACATTTTTCCAATTATCCTAGATATTTTTAATTGTTTGTTTGAATCAGGATCCGAGTAAAATTCATACATCACCACTGGTTATTATGTCTCTTTACTCTCTTTTAATCTTTTGGATCCCTCTCCATCTTTTGCTAATTTTTTCCTTTATTTATTTATTTATTTATTTATTTTGAGATGGAGTTTTGCTCTTGTTGCCCAAGCTAGAGTGCAGTGGCGTGATCTCTGCTCACTGCAACCTCCACCTCCCAGGTTCAAGTGATTCTTCTGCCTCAGTCTCCCAAGTAGCTGGGATTACAGGTGCCCGCCGCTACGCCCAGCTACTTTTTGTATTTTTGGTAGATACGGAGTCTCACCATGTTGGCCAGGCTGGTCTCGAACTTCTGACCTCAGGTGATCCGCCCGCCTTGGCCTCCCAAATTGCTGGGATTACAGGTGTGAGCCATGGCACCCGGCCTGCAATTTTTTGTTACAGAAACTTGGTCATATAGAGTTTTCATTTTGGTTTGCTTTTTATTAAACCATATCAATTTATATCCTTCCTTAACTTTAAGGACTGAAAACAAATTAAACTTTTCTTTTTAAAAACCAAACATGTATTTTTTGGGAATAATAGCCTGAAATCCCACACCTATTGCCAATGCAATAATAACAACTATCATTGATAAACACCTTCTATTTGCTAAGTACTTTGAATGCATTCTCATTTTAACCTCATTGTAACCTAGAAGGAAGGCACAAGAAGGTTAAAAGACTTGCCCAAGGTTACACTGCTAAAATAAGGATGCTTACTCAGGCCTTTCTAGTTCTATTGTTCATGCACAATAGGACCAGAGAGAGGTCAGCGTTGGAGAGTCGCCTAGGCCCAGAGTCCTGGAATAATGCTAGCAGAAAAGGTCTGTCCTCTATGTCATTCAACCATCTGCTGGGTGAGTCAGCAGCATACGATGCATGCCTCTGACTGGGACCTTCTGAGGAATCACAAAGAATCGAAAGCCCATGACCCTACCTTTAAAGGACTTTGACTTTGACCAGCGATGCACCCCTGAAAAAAACACAAGGTGCAGAGACATTAAAACATCTAGGAGGAAATGATGACACAAGGACAACTTAGCAGAAATAAGGGGACCAGGCTGGTACGTGCCCCAAGTGGTTGCACCGCATCAGTCAACGGGTGCTCCGCAGAGAAAGCAGGCATGATGAAGGGTTTTAAACAATAGCAGGAAAGGCCGGGGAGCGCAGAGGCTCACGCCTGTAATCCCAGCACTTTGGCAGGCCGAGGCAGGCGGATCATCTGAGGTCGGGAGTTTGAGACCAGCCTGACCAAGATGGAGAAACCCCGTCTCTACTAAAAATAAAAAATTAGCCGGGTGTGGTGGTGCATGCCTGTAATCCCAGCGACTCAGGAGGGTGAGGCAGAAGAATCGCTTGAACCCGGGAGGCGGAGGTTGCAGTGAGCCAAGATGGCGCCATTGCACTCCAGCCTGGGCGACAAGAGTGAAACTCTGTCTCAAAAAAAAAAAAAAAAAGAAAGAAAGAAAGAATAGCAGGAAAATGAAGAAATGCTTATCTCTGCTTCCTGCCATGCTGACTTATGAGACCACAGACAGGATCTTTTCCTTTTGGTTGAGTAAAACATAGGTTTCCAGGTCCCATAAGTAAACATGTAGTCCCTTGTCCAGATTTTTCTCCCAGATCTTCCTTATCCTACATCACTTCCCAGCAGTTAGAACGTGATTGAAGATGTTTCTGAATAGCGTATTTCCGAATACCTTTAGAAAAAGGAAAAGATGGCTTCCGTAATAACTACCCCATAGCATTATTGAGGATTAAGCAATAATGAGAAAGTCTATAGGACAGTACCTTGTATATGTTAAATGCCATATATAAATGTTCATTTGAAAAGGAAAATAAAAATTAGTAACATCTGTTGAGTGCTTTCTATGTTCTAAGCCCAGTTGATTTGGCCTATCAGTTACACATTAATCTTCATAATAATCCTAGGAGAAACCAACTATTATTCTCTCCACTTTATAGATAAGGAAGCTGAGCTCAAAGAAGTTAAGTAACTTGTTGGGCACCCCCCAGAAGTGGCAGGGCAGTCCTAGGATTTAAATCTGCCTAACTCTACACTTTCTATGCTCAATAGAAGAAAAATTCTGGTGCCTCTGCCCCACCCCCAGCTGGGCATTTGCTTTAGGTTGTGTTCTAGTGACGCTGAAATGTGTTCATGCTCCCCAGGGAATTACACTCATGACCTGGACTTCATCAGCCACATAGGTATTGCTTAGACAGGTCCAGAAGCCAGGTGGTTCTCCTCCCTTGGCCCAGCCTCTCTGTAAGGAAGTCAGACTCTGTGCTCAGAGGGAGGGAGAGCTGGCTGCCATAACCTTCGTCACAGTGGTGACAGAACTAATCTAAAAACCTGGCAGCATCAAAACTTCAGCCATCCGCGCTTCTTAGAGGACACCTCAAGGCTTACCTCTGTGTTTCTTACAGTCATGTTTCGCCTCTATGATTCAGATGAGAACGGTCTCCTGGACCAAGCGGTAAGTTCTCACTCTAAATATCCCTCATGGACCTGAGAAAGGCTGGGGGAGCAGGGAGCAAGCAGAGGAAGAATCTGAAAATGTTCAGTTCCGTCTTTGTAGTAATAGCAATGTCTCGATGCAGGCTGAGGAAATCCGACTAGGACCTCTCCACCCGCTATTTCCAAAGGGCCGGCCTTGCAGAGCGTGAATGCCAACTTACCTTTTCGCTCTAGAAGCCTGGGATCATCAAATCTCAGGATGGAGGGATGCTTTAGCATGTCACCTAGTTTAACTTCCCATTCAGTTCACAAGCGCCTCCTGCAATTTCCTGCAGGAGTCCTGAGGCCAAGAGGAGAGGGCGGGGGAGGCAACAAGACCAAGGGAAAAGGGCACGAGGAAGGAGGCTGCTGGTTACTGTTGATGTGCAAGGAAGGAGGCTGCTGGTTACTGCTGATTTCAGAGGAAGGAGGCTGCTGGTCACTGCTGATGTGCTTTGCCGTCACCCTTGGCTGCCTCTCCTACTCCAGGGCACTAGCCTAGGAGTCTGGTTCTGTCTGCTCTAAGTACATGTTCCCATCCCATTGCACCTGAGAAAGCCTGAGACTCACCCTCACCCCTTCAGGAACAGGCAAGGATCGATCAAGGCTCGTGGAGTAAAAGGAAGAATGGAAAGAGAAGAAGGCAAACAGAGTCAGACAGGCCCTGTTGTCCTGACTGTCAATGTCAGAGATAGGGCTCATTAACAGGAAGGCCCTGAGGTTGAGATGCATGGGGCTGAGTCAGACCAGAGGAAGGAAGGAAGGGAAGAAGTCCACTAGACAAACTGAATCATCCCAATTCCCTCTAAACCCCAGGGTGCCTCTATGGGATCCCTCCAGCTACATTGCAATGCTGCGGGTTGGGTCATTTGAGGAAACATCCAGAGAATCACAGATTCTCAAGCATTTGGTCAACACATATTTACTGAGTATCTGCATTATGTCAGGCACTCTTCTAAGCACTGAGGGTATGGCAGTGTAGCCAACTGACAAAGTTCCATGCCCTCATGAAGCTTTCATTCTAGTCCAAGCACAGACACTAAGCAGCATAGTAAAAACATGTGTCAGGTAGGGATGGGTGCTGAGAAGAAAAATAAAGGAAAGGAAATGTTGGAAGAAGTTGAAGCTTTAGCGAGGGTCGCCGAGGAAGGCCTCTCTAGGAGGGGGCATCTGAACAGAGGCATGAAGAAGGTGAGGGAGTAATTCTAGGGGAAGAGCCTTCCAGGAGAAAGAACAGTGAGTGCGAGGGTCCTGAGGGTCCCTAGGATGTTAGAAGATTCACTCCGGGCCAGTGTGAATGGAGCAGAATGAGTAAACAGATGAGATCACAGTGAGGAAGTAATAGGGGATGAGATCAGAGAAGTCATGGGATGGGGGTAGGAGAGTGGGGAGTTTGCAAATCTTATTAAACGTTATAGGTGATTAATAGTGTTTATCTTTGGCCAGGCGAGTGACTCTTGCCTGTAACCCCAGCACTTTGGGAGGCGGGCAGATCACGAGGTCAGGAGTTCGAGCCCAGCCTGGCCAATATGGTGAAACCCCGTTTCTACTAAAAATACAAAAATTAGCCGGGCATGTTGGCACACACCTGTAGTCCCAGCTACTCAGGAGGCTGAGGCAGGAGAATTGCTTGAACCCTGGAGGTGGAGGTTGCAGTGAGCCAAGATCACGCCACTTACTCCAGCCTGGGCGACAGAGGGAGACTCCGTCTCAAAAAAATTAAAAAAAAAAAGTGTATCTTTTACTCCAGAGAAATGGAGAACCATTGACGATCTTGAGCAGAGGAGTGATGTGATTGACTTATGTTTTAACAGAATCACTGTACTCTGGGTGCAGTAGTTCAAGCCTATAATCCCAGTACTTTGGGAAGCTGAGGTGGGCGGATCACCAGAGGTCAGGAGTTTGAGACCAGCCTAGCCAACATGGCAAAACCCCGTCTCTACTAAAAATACAAAAGAAATTATCCGGGTGTGGTGGCGGGCGCCTGTAGTCCCAGCTACTCGGGAGGCTGAGATGGGAGAATCACTTGAACCCAGGAGGTGGAGGTTGCCATGAGCCGAGATGGCGCCACTGCACTCCAGCCTGGGTGACAGAGGGAATGCAAGCAGGGATACTGGTTAGGAGGCCGTTGAAATAATCAAGGCATGAAATGGTGTAGACTTGTACAGGGTAGAATCATTGCAGGTAGTAAGAAGTTGTTAAATTCCAGATACGTTTTAAAGGTAATATTGGAAGACTGAAGCAAATCTCAAAAGAGTTATCTGATTCAACCTTTCACCGGAATCCCTGTCATATGGACTCCTACCTTAAGACAGCCATTCCACTGCTGGGGGTGACTGCTGGAGAGGGCTTCCTTCTCGAACACAGGCACTCCTCTTTGTGGTGGGGAATCGTTTTCAACTCAAAACCTGCTTCTGCTCCCCTTCTCCCCCAATCCAACAGGGAGGCCAAAATAAGCCAGTCCTCAACTCCTTCCTTCCCTGCATCCCTCTCTGCTTCCTTCTGTCCCCCATACCTGGCCAGGACAAATGGAATACCTATCCCATACAATAGGCCTTCGAGTATTTGAAGGTGCTATCACATCTCCCCTAAAATCTTCTCCAAGCTAAAATTTCTCTATTCCTACACTGGTTCTCATAAGGCAGGCTTAAATATCCACTTTGGACAAGCTCTGGTTTGTAAATGCCATTCCTGGAATGTGGCACAGAACAGAATCCGTCCCCTATGATTCTTTAAGTATCCAAATGTGGCCTGACCAGGAAGACCTCAGGGGAACTTTTTCTTTTTTAAATCTGCCAACTCTGCTTCTATTTTCATAGCCCAAGACTGAGTCCAATTCTTGGTTCCTGAAATACGTTTTCTCTTTAAATCTTGGACCCAACCAGAGATTCACAAGCTCTTTTCTTTTGGAACTTCTGCCAAAACCTTTCCCCACCTTTGTGCCCACTTTCTTACCCTCATCTACTGGCCTATCCTGTAGTTTTGCAATGGATTGTTTTTTAACTTAAATAAAATACAATTTTTTAAAATCCCTGCTGGGTTTTAGCTTGCTATTTGGACCCGGCATTCTATCTGGCAGAGGTAACACTTTTGAACCTTGCTTCAGTCTACCAACATGTCCTCCCAAAGCAATCTTACTGTGAACATCTTAACTGGTGCCTAAATGGTGCTAACTTTGACACCAAATGCCTCTTCAGTCTGGTGTGTTTCAGCGGGGCTCTCAGAACACTGACTCATTGGCAGCCAACAATTCTGTGAGGTTTTAGATGGAGCCTGGCCTCAGTACCAAAAGGCTCAGTCATCAAGTAAACATATTCCTCATGAGTTTCCTGTTCACGGACTCCTGGGGGCTGGGCTAAGGGCTGGACCATGGTAAAAAGGAAACAGAGGAGATAACAAAAGGAATCAAAATCATGGTACCTGAGCTGAGACACACACAGTAACCCTCCATGCAAGAGAAACTGGCCTCGAGCTGAGAGATGGATCCCAAGTTGCTACAGCTGTGGGGATGAGTGATAAGAAGTGACAGGAGAAATCTGCCTTGATTTGTAAGTATTTGTGGAAGCTATAATCACAAAGAGGGATAAAAATAGGAGTGCTTTCTATGCTTTCCAAGTTAAAGCACAGAATAAGGGAAGGAAGGTGGGTCCAGGAGGAAGTCAGTGTTTATGAGCTTTTTGCATACCTCCAGCTTATGCATGCTCTGTGCTTCTCGTGAGCTTTGTGGTCGAGACAGAAATAAACTGAGCTCCTCACAAAATGGCAGTTACTGCACCAGCTTCTTCTCTTGCCCTGCCCTGTCCCTCTTCCCACTGGGCTTAATTTTGAGTTCGGCTCTTAATGACACATCTCTGGTTGTCTCCTTTTGATATTTTCTCCCTTTGCTATTTTCTAGGAGATGGATTGCATTGTCAACCAAATGCTGCATATTGCCCAGTACCTGGAGTGGGATCCCACAGAGCTGAGGCCTGTGAGTTTCTATAAGGATGGGGTGGCTTTGGAGTGAGCTTCTAAGACGGGAGGGGGACACACTCAAGACATGAATGAGTGTTAACCCTGCAGGTGCTCCCAGACTCATCTTCTTATAGGCAGCTTCTTTGGAGTCCTGCACTTTACCTCCTACCTCTCTGATAGGAAAAATGTAGGCAGCAGGAAAACGTGCAGACATAACTGAAATAACCATGCTAATCTTTTCACCAGAACTAAAATGTTATAGCAGAAATTCATCAGTCAAAGAATTTAGAGAGAACTGTAGAGATTTCTATTAGAAAGAATTGTAGAGATCTTCCTCAATCACCAGATAATATGAATTATAAGAATAATTACATTTGGGGGCTCCTATGTGTCAGGTATTTTGTTATTCACTTTACATTCATTTTCTCTAATCCCTGCTACAGTGCCACAAACACAACAATATTATTTCCATTTTTACAGATAAGCAAACCAGAGCCCACAGAGTCAGGGTGACTGGCCCAAGGCCCAAGGGCAGAGCCAGACCTGGAAGCCTGGCCTCCTCACTCCCAGTCTGCTCTATTCACACTTAACAGGAGGGGAAAGGGGTAAAACACAAACCAGATAATGCAAGATGAACAAGACAGCAGAGGCAGAAGGCAGGTAGACATGTCGATGATGAAAATGGACAATGATTGCTCTTTGGATTCCACAGATATTGAAGGAGATGCTGCAAGGGATGGACTACGACCGGGACGGCTTTGTGTCTCTACAGGAATGGGTCCATGGAGGGATGACCACCATCCCATTGCTGGTCCTCCTGGGGATGGATGACTCTGTAAGTCAACAAGCTGGAGTTCAGAGATCTCTTGCCATTCAGGAACATTGGGCTTCATGTTAATATCAACATATCACTTTGGCTTCTGCTCCAGACTGCCCAACAGACGTGCCATGACCAGCCCCAAAGTCCTCTCTATTTACATTATTTTGTATCCATTAGTGCCTGAAGTATATTCATTTGACAGACATTTACTACATTATTACTACTTTAAAAATACTGTTCTGCATGCTGTGAGGGAATACAGACACATTATCTGCCTGCAAGAACCTTATACTCAACCAGGCAAAGGGCCACAAACTTCAAAGAAGAATTCTGTCTTTTCAACAAATTAGGTTTAAAAATGCTAAGAGAATTGGGGAAGGAAGGGTGAGAGGAAAGAACGAAGGGAGAGAGGAAAAAATACGGATCTGTTGTGGGGGTGGCTTCCATTAGTGGTATCTTATTTAATAATCAAAACAACCAGATAAGGTAAATATTTTTATCCCAATTTATACAGATGGAAAACTGAGGTTCTGACCCTAAGGAGCAAAAGGAGGAGTGAGGATTTGTCTCTGACACCAAAGATGTTGCACTTTGTAATATCCCACACATGAGAGTTAGGCCAGTGGGAAGAAACCTTGGAAGGTGTTGACTTGTCCCTGAAGAATGCATGAGATTTTGATGTCCCATTCTTGAGAATAAAGAGCAGGTGGCCTTAAAGACCTAGAGAGAGTTTATGGCTTGGAGAACAGCTTGATTAAAAACACAAATGAAAGAAAGTTCTGGGTGTGTTAGGCAAATCTCCCATTTGATCAGAGTAGGGCATATGTGTACAGGCTTAATGTGAAACTGATTGTTATATATACCTTCATCTGACCCAGTTACTGTATTCTCCACCTATTTACCAAGTGAACTCACTTCCATGCATGAGGTAGGGAAGACTAAAACTAGTAGGAGCACAAATGGTGACATTAAGCGTTTACTAGTCACACCAGTTGTGTGACAACACTACTTTGAGATTACAGATCTCAAAGATTACACCTCTTTGAGACTATTCCATAGAGAGGAACAGGGCAGCAAGTGCAGCTGGGTGAGCCTCTAGCTGACCAAGTTGCCTATAATATCTTCATTTCATAGCTCTGCAATTCAGGACTAAAGCTGAGCCCCCATTTCTGAAGCTCAAGAACTATGAATCTTGCAATCATTTCATAGCATGTCCAGTGCTTTCCAAGCTCTAAGGAGAAATCAAGGAACCAGGATCTACATGACCCCCTTCTTATTCCTTAGAACCCTAGAAAGTCAAGCTGGAAAAGATCTTTGTGGTCCCTGGTTGATCCCCTTTCTTTTACAAACTGAGACCCAGAGAAATGAAGGAACTTGCCCAAGGACATCCACCGAACTAGCACCAGAGATCATCCCCCTTACTCGCTCACATCACGCCTCTCACCCAATGATCCCTTGCCAAGAAGCTTTATGTACAAGAACCCATGTGATCCAGGAACTGGAAGGGCTCAGATAAGTTAGATATGCTTTCTGCTGACTTTACTCACTTAAGATTATACTCAAGACAAAATGGAAGTTCTGTTCCAAAACACCATTTTTTTTTTCTCATTTAGGGAATAAAGATGGGACATTTTAGTTACAGGGAATCAATTTCCATTTTCTGTTCTACTTTGGACTTGCTGAGGTTCAAAATACCACCAACTCTTTGCATGGAAAAGACCCGCTGTCTTGTGGCAGGAGGAAGGAGAGCCCATCTACTTCCTCAGCATTCTCCCAAATGTCTCCCCTAAATGCCAGATCAGCCTTGTAGAAAACTCTCATTTATATCAGGAAAGTGGCCAATGCAAGTTTAGTTTTATTAATCAAGAGTTTTATGCACTTATTTTTAAATATGTACTTTAAAAGTTTTTAACACTTACTATTTGGGGTTTTGGAGAAAGCCCCCATCAATGTCTTAAAAGTCCATTGCTTCTTGGGCTTTTTCAAAACCCACATACAACCACTGAAAAGTCTGGGGAATCACTGAATGAGATATTTGCAAAACAGACTCTCTCCCAGGAAAATCGTAGCAGCAGCATAAAACCTGGTGAGCACGAGGAAGGCTACGCCCACGTTCTGCAGCCACCATCATGTGGAAAGGAAAGAGCCACATGATGGTGCTATAACCCAAGCAGAAACGTTACTTTATCCCAAGTCACGGTCCATGCACTTCTTATATCCATAAAAATAGTAGCTGAGAAAGGGGGATGAGCTAACTGACTTAGCTACTAGAGGTGTTTTCAGATACACTGACAATCCTTTGGGCTCCACGAAGAAGTCTGCTGAAGAGTGCTATCATTTTCCTTCTACCCATACAGGAAAACCCTGGCTTGTGAGGTAGAGGAGCAGGATGGAAAGAGCATGGGCTCTGGCCAGCAAAAGACCCAAGTCTGACTACTCATTCAGTCCCTCATTATCTATGTGGGCTTGGGCTAGTTACCGAACTTCTCCAAATCTCTGTTTCTCATTTCTAGAATGGGAACAAATCTACCTCCTTCCACGTCAACAAACACTTTTTAGTTTATTTTGTGTCTTCCGGCATCTGGAATGGAATAAGAATTTAATGAAAGTTTGAATTTACAATATGTCAGGCATTGAACTAGAAGCTTTACTTACATGATGTCATTTAATTCTTACAAAAAGCCCTTGAGGTAGATGTTGGTCAAACGAATAAATGAATGAATCAATCTTTTGATGAATCATTATCAGTTTGTGAATGCATTTACTAAAGTGGAGACCGTTAGATAAGAGGGTTTTAATTCTATAAAACTCATGTCCTGGAAGAAGCAGGGTTTGAGGTAATGAGAAGAAAATAGCTTCTCTGGCCCAGAGGAGAAAGCCAGCATTTGGAAAAGAATGTGAGCTCCTCTGGAGATCATAAAAGAAGCCTGGGCACAGGCTGAGGTCTGGTTGCAGTGACCAGCCCAAATGCATACGCACCCCAGAAGTAAGAATTACATTTGAGTCCCGCATATTGGACACTACATCCATGACCATCGATCCTCATCACCTTACCGTAGCTTTTACTGATCATGAAACCAGCCCAAGAGTGTTACTCTTGTAATGGAGCCTATGAGAAAAGTTCAGGGATAGCACATGCAGGAGGGACATTCCTCAAGCTGTGCTGTGTTCCCCTGGGATGGGATGTGGGAGATGTGGGTGTCACTGTGTGAGGCTTGGTGTACCTAGTAGATGCAGATGATTTCACTTCTGAACAAAGTCAGGAGGTGATGGTCTAACCCTTTCTCTGTCTGTCTTTTCACTATTTTTTCTGCGTACCGAAAGTTGATAGGAGAAATACATTGTTTTTACTAAACTCTTTCATCTTGATTATCACACTAGTACATGCACACTGTAAAACATTTGGAACACACAGCAGAAAGTAGAAATCAGAGAATACAATAAATCCATATTGCTGCCAGCTATAGCCAACCTCTGTTAACAGGTTAATGAAATTACTTCCCATCAAAGATCTATTATATAAAACTGAAATCATAACATATCATCGAAATGGCATTCTGTTTTTTCGCTTAACATTGTATCATGAGCACATTCCCATGCCATTAGATAGTCTTATAAATATCTTTTTGATTGCCACCTAACATTACATCAGACGGATGTACTATCATTAGCCTTTTGGTAATTATGAGACCTTTAGGATATTTCCAGCTTTTCATTATTTTAAATAATGCTGGGTTAAGCATCTGGCAGGGCACAAAAAGGCTCATCTGCCTTTTAAAAATTATTTATTTAGGATAAAGTCGAAAAGGAGATATTGGTAAGTCAAAGGTTGTAAACATTTAAAGGAGATAGATAGATAGATGATAGATAATAGATAGATAGATAGATAGATAGATAGATAGATAGATAGATAGATAGATCAGATTGTTGTTCAGTTTATGCTTCTGCCAGCCATGCGGGAGAGGATTTATTTTATCCCACACACACATGCTTCCATTCAGATGTTTCTTGCTTTTAATATTTGCTAATTTTTAAAACACACACACAAAAATTTTGTTTTTATTTGTATTTAAAACAGTAAAAAATATCAATAACTCATCTTCTAAATGAGATGAAAAGGAAGAACATGCAAGAGGCAGCCCCTGGCTTCCTCCATCTCAGGGCAGCCAGCTTGGGGTCTCACCTCCTATTACCCCTGCAGGGCTCCAAGGGGGATGGGCGGCACGCCTGGACCATGAAGCACTTCAAGAAACCAACCTACTGCAACTTCTGCCATATCATGCTCATGGGCGTCCGCAAGCAAGGCCTGTGCTGCACTTGTGAGTAAATTTCCTTCAAACCTCTTCCCCCAGGCACTATCTTGCTCTGCGCATGGTTGGTTGATCCATTGCAGAGAAAATGTTGGTATTTCTGCTTCCCAGCTTGAGGGACCACCCATATTGTCCCAACAGAAGGAATAAAGCGAGGCCTTCATGTCCTGTTTTTACCCTACCCAAGTCCAATGGACAGGTCTTGGACTATTTATTATTGGAGGCTTTTTATGAGCCACTGACCCCCTAGAAGAAATTATTAAAGTCCACAAATAATTTAAAATTTCTCATACTACTTTTAGTTGGGTTTTCTAGTCAATATTTATTCTGGGTATGTTCAGAGGAAACTTATTTTTTAAAAATTAATAAGCATTTGGGGCCAAGTACGGTGGCTCACACCTGAAATCCCAGCACTTTGGGAGGCAGAAGCAGGTGGATTGCTTGAGGCCTGTAGTTTAAGACCGGCCCTGCCAACATGGAGAAACCTTGTCCCTACTAAAAATACTAAGGTGCTGGAAAGGATGTGGAGAAATAGGAACACTTTTACACTGTTGGTGGGACTGTAAACTAGTTCAACCATTGTGGAAGACAGTGTGGCGATTCCTCAAGGATCTAGAACTAGAAATACCATTTGACCCAGCCATCCCATTACTGGGCATATACCCAAAGGATTATAAATCATGCTGCTATAAAGACACATGCACACGTATGTTTATTGTGGCACTATTCACAACAGCAAAGACTTAGAACCAACCCAAATGTCCATCAATGATAGATTGGATTAAGAAAATGTGGCACATATATACCATAGAATACTATGCAGCCATAAAAAAGGATGAGTTCACGTCCTTTGTAGGGACATGGATGAAGCTGGAAACCATCATTCTGAGCAAACTATCGCAAGATCATAAAACCAAACACCGCATGTTCTCACTCATAGGTGGGAATTGGACAATGAGAACACTTGGACACAGAGTGGGGAACATCACACACTGGGGCCTGTCGTGGGGTGGGGGGAGGGGGGAGGGATAGCATTAGGAGATATACCTAATGTAAATGATGAGTTAATGGGTGTAGCACACCAACATGGCATATGTATACACATGTAACAAACCTGCACATTGTGCACATGTACCCTAGAACTTAATGTATAATAAAAAATAAAAATAAAAAAATAAAAAATAAAAATACTAAAAAAAAATTAGCTGGGCATGGTGGCATGCGCCTGTAATCCCAGCTACTCAGGAGGCTGAGGTGGGAGGATCACTCGAGCCCAGGAGGCAGAGGTTGCGGTGAGCTGAGATTGCACCACTGCACTCCAGCTTGGATGACGGAGTGAAACCCTGTCTCAAAAACAAAAAACAAACAAACAAAAAAAGCATTTTACATTCTGTAAAGGCAATAGGAATTAAAACTCTACAGTTGTTTCACTTTTTAATTCCTTTAGTAAAGTCAGAGTGGAAAGGTGGAAAAAACTACAAGTGGTAGAGGAAAAAGCAGAGAGGAAGACTGGAAAGGGAGACAGCAAAAAGAGATGGGGGAAAAGAGTGATAAGGAGTAGGAAAGAAGGGGACACAGGGAGCAGGAGGAGAAGGCAGAGGGGCTGCAGCAAGAAGGCATGGCAGGCACCAGAATATGTGGGTGCACAGAGCCCTGCCGCCCGCCCCGTGATGTGGACAGCAACACTCAGCCTGAACCCACCAGACACCGGGGAGCTGCTGCTGCAGGGAGGCCCGCTGGCTGTGCTCCAGGCTGAAGTGCTTTATCCAACATGCACGTGTGAATTAGGCAGCAAGTGACCTCAGCCACAGAAGTCGCCTTGGCAGAGCTGGGCCCGCTGTCCACAAAGACCAAGCATCAACGGGCTAAAGAAGGGGTCCGCCAGGCCTGGCGCGGTGATTCACGCCGTAATCCCAGCACTTTGGGAGGCCAAGACGGGTGGATCACGAGGTCAGGAGACCAAGATCATCTTGGCCAACATGGTGAAACCCCGTCCCTACTAAAAATACAAAAATTAGCTGGGCATGGTGGCGCATGCTTGTAATCCCAGCTACTCGGGAGGCTGAGGCAGGAAAATCACTTGAACCAGGGAGTCGGAGGTTGCGGTGAGCCGAGATTGCATCACTGCACTCCAGCCTGGTGAAAGGGTGAGATTCTATCTCAAAAAAAAAAAAAAAAAAAAAAAAAAGGGGTACAACAGTCTCCCCAGCGCCAGTTCAAACCCAGCTCTTACCCACATTTTATAGATCAATCTCATTCCCATTAAGTTCTAGGCCCGTGGGCCTCTGCTGTTCACATAATGGTAGTAAAAACAACAGCAATAATGTGTGGAATAGCTACTCTGACCCAGACACGTGATGCTTTACACAAACTATCTCATGTACTACTGCAACAATCCCTGCAAAGAGAAAGAGAAAGAGAGGCCGTTTTCTTCCCTTTTTACAGAAAACCCTGAATTTCAGAGAGGTAAAACAATTTACCCAAGGTCATGTGGATTGTCACGGGGGCCTGCCTAGCCTTCAAAAGCCCTGACCTTGGCCAGGTGCGGTGGCTTACACCAGCACTTAGGGAGGCTGAGGCGGGTGGGTCACCTGAGGTCAGGAGTTCGAGACCAGCCTGGCTAACATGGTGAAACCCCATTTCTACTAAAAATACAAAAAATTAGCCGGGCGTGGTGGTGCACGCCTGTAACGCCTGTAATCCCAGCAACTCGGGAGGCTGAGGCAGGAGAATCGCTTGAACCCGGGAGGCGGAGGTTGCAGTGAGCCGAGATCACACCATTGCACTCCAGCTTGGGCAACAAGAGCGAAACACCATCTCAAAACAAAAAAAAGCCCTGGCCTTTCTATTCATTTTCCAATGTCCCGGGCATGCAATACAGTGGCACTGGCATAGCCAGGAGGATGATGCCGCACACTCCCCTTCAGGAAAAAGCGCCTTTCTGGGGATGTGCTCCTGCTGTGTTCATTGCCTGCAGAGGAAGGCAGTGAAGCAGGTGGAGGTGCAGCCGCAGCAGATAAGCAGGGTCTCTGTCCTCCAAGAACAATTAGAGACTGTTTTGAATTTCCGTTAGGCAAGACCAGCCCCATGTGTCCCCTGCCCCTCGCCAGCCACCCAAAGGGAGGTACAGACCTTGGCTAGGGTGGGAGGGCAGCTGGGCCTTTCCTACGTGGCTATTCACAAGCACCTGCCTTGACTTTTTTTCTTTTCAGACTGTAAATACACTGTCCACGAACGCTGTGTGTCCAGAAACATTCCTGGTTGTGTCAAAACGTACTCAAAAGCCAAAAGGAGTGGTGAGGTTGGTGACATCTACTGCCTTGTTCTACTGCATGCCTCATCCAGGAAACATGTCCATCAACATGGATTCCTGGGCAGGAAGGGGCACTGGGAGCTTCATCCAGTCCCTTCTCTGCCTTGAGGACCACCTGTAAACCATCCCGTTCATCCATCCATCCATTCAGCACCTTCCTGGTACCCACTATGTGCCAGGCACCATGCTAGGGGGTACACAGGTTGTAAGAGACGCTCCCCAGCCTGCTCAAGAACTATGCTGTCTAGAAGGAGAGACGGGCATGTAAGCAAAGAACAGAATAGTGAGATGTGTGCTACAGTAACACAGCTGTGTGGAAGGTACAGTGGAAGCACGGGGCAAGTTGCACAAAGGAGCTGGCATTGCAGTTGTGTCTTGAACACAAATTGGGAGGACTTCATGAGGCATCGAGGAGGACCAGACTCTCCAGGCAGAGGAAGCCTCATGTGTAAAGGCATGAGACACGGCTTATTCCGGGATTCATACTTAGTTTGGCATAGCTGGGGCAGAGGATGCTTAAAGGGAAGTGGCAGGAGATGCACTCAGAAAGTGGTGAGATCTGGCCTGAAGCAGGTCTTATGAGGCCAGCTGAGTGAGAAAGGTGTTTTCTGTGCAGCCGGGGGCCACTGAAGAGCTTCAAGCACATAAAGATGTGATCGAATTTGTGAATTAGGTTAATAGCTCTGAGTGTGATGTGGGAGAGAAATCAGGGGAGGGAAACTCTTCCAATACTTGAGGTAAAAGGCAGTACTGCGCTGAGGGCCCGACTGGGGTGGGATCCACACTCACTGCTCTAGGATGGTCCTGTGCTGAGGGTCCCCCAGGCCATGCTGGTTATTGGGTATTTTGACTGTCACACTGGCTAAAGGAGAGAAAATGAAGGGAGAGCTTGAGAGGTAATTTGGAAGTACCACCACTAGGACCAGGACATGGTGATGGGGATGCGGAGGATGAGAGAAGGGAAAAGGTAGGGAATGGCTCCCAGGTTTCTAACTCGGTCATTGGGTGACGCCATTCTCCAAGTCTGGAAATAGACTTACCTTAAAATTAGCAGGGGAAGGGCACTTAGCCTTCCTGAAAAGGGAAGATTACATGGAGGAGTGTGAGTCAGGAGACAGTTAGCCATGAGAGTGGTACCCAGCCCTCCTGCAGAAGGACTCCTGGTAGAGAAAGGCACCTCCTAGAATTTGTGTGCATGCCCCATGGACACTGCATGGTCTCTCGTCCACGCCTTCTGCACCACCCCATGCACACCCTGCTCCATGTCCATGCCTTTCACCGGGACACACGGTGTACCTGCTGGACGCAGGCCCTAAGCCTGCACTCTGGCCACCTGTCACACAGAGAACAGAGTGAGGCCAATGAGGGGCCAGCAGGGCACACTCACAAACTTCTCAGCCTGCAGGAGCAACCCAGTCTTTCACCATCTCCTCAGATCCCAAAGAGAATGGGTAAGGCGATGTGGTGTTGGGGAAACAGCCCTGGACTTGGGGTCAGAAGACCTGGCTAGGAAACCCTACTTGGCCGCTTACCAGCCTTGGAACCTAGGGCCAGTCACTTAACCTCTCTGAAACTTTCATTTTTTCCTCTGCAAAATGGAAATAATAATCTCAGAGCAAATTCAATTGTGGCCATGTAGATGACAGATTAATTGGCAAACTGAGTTCTTTACACCCTCAGAAGTGCAAGGCACAAGGTGATAAGCTACCAACCAAACGTGACACATCTTCCAAAGCAATAATTTTGCCAAAAACATTCTTAGGGGAGGCCTTAAGCAACTTAATTGCTAAGTAATTTAAAACATTTATTCTTGGACCAAGTGCAGTCACTCACACCTGTAATCCCAGAACTTTAGGAGGCTGACAAGGGCCAATAGCTTGAGCCCAGGAGTTTGAGACCAGCCGGGGCAACATGGTGAGATCCTGTCTTTACAAAAAGAAGATACAAAAATTAGCCTGGTGTGGTGGCATGTGCCTGTAGTCCCAGCTACTTGGGTGGCTGGGCTGGGAGGATTGCTTGAACCTGGAGGATCGAGGCTGCAGTGAGTTGTGATCATGCCACTGCACTCCAGCCTGGGCGACAGAGTGAGACTGTCTCAAAAAAAACACGTTTATTCTTATTTAATACAAACCTGGACAGAATCACGCAGATATTTCCTGGGTTTTTAATACCGTGCTTGTGGCTAGGCACTTCAGGGTATGTCCCCCACCTTCTCCCAGAGTCCATATCCACTTCCTTCTGTTATTTGTGGTACCATAGTGAAAATTTTTGAGTGAGAATTTTGGTGAGAATTCCAGGGGGAGGGAACTGAGGGTTCAGCCTCCCAGACAGTGGGGCTACTAGCCAGCTGCTCTTGCTTTAGCCGCACTGACACACACATACAAAAACAATCCCACTATTCCCACCTGTTTCCAAGTGCCTAGCCTGCCCTGGTGGTCTTTCCTGGTCACGGAGCAGATACAACCAGCTCCCCAGGAAACAGGTGTGAAAAGCACCAATGGACCCTCACTAACTTCTTTGGACTTTTCTCTAACTTCCTTCTAGAGTGCTTTTTAGTCTCGGCTTCACGTTATAATTACCCAGAGTGCTTTAAAACATATTAATCATGTGCCCCACCCTCAAAGACTCTAATTTATTTGGTCTGGAGTGTCGGCTGGGCATTAGGATGTCTAAAAGCTCCCCCAGGTACTTCTAATGGGCAGCTAAAGCTGAGGAAGGAGAAGGGCATTACCCAATTGTGGGTACTCCCAAAGGGCCAGGACTGCACCAGGGAGGCCCTTCAAAATGTGCTATCTCATTGCATTGCCCCAGTAACCCCAGAGGTGGGACTTCTTATACCAATTCCCACAGGTCAGGGACCTGAGACTCAGAGAGGTCTAAGAACTGGCCAAAGGCCACCACTTCAAAGGGACTCCAGCCAGTTTTGTCTGTGGCCTACCCAAGCCCTCCAGAGTTCCTCTGCACCATGCTGCCTTCCAGAAGAGGGCGCATACAAACACATCACTCTGCAAGGCGTTCTGCAAGACAAACAGATGGACTGCCAGACAAGATGCTGCTCAGAGGCCTGCCTTCCAGGGCGATTGAGCTGTTCAAAATGTGGCAAAGCGAGCTTTTAATCTACTTTGATTCGCATAATGGCGGTTAGGCAGGGAGGAACCACATCGTGCCATTAGGCAAGCCACCCAACATCCAATAAGCATCCTCTAAATAGGAAACAGTCCCTCTGGCTCCCCCGCGTCCCCTCCCAGATCCTTCTCCTCCAGCCCAGGGCCCCGGGGACATGGTTCTGCCATTTTCCCTGGCATCGTTCGCTTCCCTCCCGCAGGTGATGCAGCACGCATGGGTGGAAGGGAACTCCTCCGTCAAGTGTGACCGGTGCCACAAAAGTATCAAGTGCTACCAGAGTGTCACCGCGCGGCACTGCGTGTGGTGCCGGATGACGGTGGGTTGGCGCCCAGGGCGGCCCTGCTTCTTTTCAACGTTTTTTTGCCCAAGCTGCAGCCCAGGAGCAGTGAATATCCGGCCAGAGGGCATGAGCAAAGCCAGGGGAGCGAGGCTAGGAGGACCCCACAGCGCCTATTCAATGCCCTCAGCCTAACGATGCTCCAGTGAATTACCAAGCTGCCCAGAGAGAGGGCACCCCCGAACCAGGGGAGTGAGGACTGCTGAAGAAGAAGCTGGCCAGTCCACTGTCTGTGTGGCCTGGCAGCTGGGATCAGCAGCCCCGACTATGAACTTCTTTTACCTGGCTATCACCTAGGGCCGGGGACACTGACAGAGTGGGAGAAAAATTGGACAACAGGAGCATCATAGGAGGGGGTGCCTGCCCTGAAGGCACATTCCTCAGAGCAGCCCCACTGCCTGGGCCAAAGGTTTGGACCTGCTGCCACCAGCCACAGCACATGCTAGAGTCCACAGCCCCACTAGACACCCAGAATGCCACTGGCAGCCACTGAGCTGGCCAACCTGCCTGTCAAAACTCACTGCCAGCTCTTGTCCTTCTCCCCAGGTATCAGCCTCAAAATGTAGGTTTCTCCAAACCAGACTGCAGAACTCTCAAAATACAAAGGTTGAATCACAAGGTTTACTCTCAGCCATCCATGAGTTTGTTCATCAACATCTCCCTCCTCCCAGAGTCTCAGGGCCTGGAGAGCACATATCTAAGGGGGCTCTGGAATCAACATGGGGTGCCACACTGAAGGGTCACAGGCCGGCTCATGACTGTGTCGCTTCAGTAGCCATGAGCGGCTCTTGGCCTCTTTGCTCAGCCCACAGCAGACTTTGCACCCTTAACCACACACACACACGTGCACACACACACACACGGCAATACTGTCAAAGCCAGCAGTGCATCAGGATTTGGGGGAGCACTAGACAGCTCACCTCTCCCCCAAACCTCTCCACCTTCATGTTTGATGTTTCTTTGCTCACTTTCACTCACTCTCTTTTTCATTTCTCCCCCCAGTTTCACCGCAAATGTGAATTATCAACGTTGTGTGACGGTGGGGAACTCAGAGACCACATCTTACTGCCCACCTCCATATGCCCCATCACCCGGGTAAGTGCTCCTGCCCCGGCGAGGGCTGTAGCTTCTCCGGGTTCTGGTTTCAGATGTAGGCAGCTTTCAGACATTCACATCCTTCCCAGGGCTTCCCTGACAACTCTTTGGGTTTGTGTTTTCTTTTCTTTCTTTTTTTACTGTTATTTTAGGTTAGAGAGTACATGGGAGGGTTTGTTACACAGGCAGACACGTCTTGCGGGAGTTTGTTGTGCAGATTATCTTATCACCTGGGTTTTTAGCCCAGTGCCCAGTTGTTAATCTTTTCTGCTCCTCTCTGTTGGGTTTGTGCTTTCAGTATGTGCTTGAAAGAGGTCAGCGCTGCACAGATCAGATTTTGAGAGAAATCTTCTCTGACTAAACTGTTGCCAATTGCTGACCACCCCGAGTACCCTGAAATGACCCAGCAAGGAAAGCACATTTGTTCTAAGCCTTTTGCAGGCAGAGCACAGCACAAGGAACCTCAGTCACCACCTATGCATGGCCAGGCTCCCAACCTCCCTCATCTCTGTCAATCTCCCTGCCACATCCAAACAGTATCTCCCTCTACTTCCTGAGTTTCCACTTGGATGTCTCAGCCTGATTTGGAAATGAAAGCAGCAAAATTAAGCTCCTTTACCCCCACCTGGCACGTTGTCGCCTGTGTTGAAGACTCCTCTTTCAAACAAGCGTCAAACACTTAATTTTGCCATCTTCCCATCTTAAAAATGTTGCAAGTCCCACCCATTCCTCACATCTCACTCTGGACTTGACCAGCTACTTCTTTGTCATTAAAAACCTGAGAAAAAGGCCAGCCACGGTGGCTCATGCCTGTAATCCCGGCACTTTGGGAGGCTGAGGCAGGCGGATCACCTGAGGTCAGGAGTTTTAGATCAGCCTGGCCACATGGTGAAACCCCATCTCTACTAAAAATACAAAAATTAGCCAGGCGTGGTAGTGGGCACCTGTAATCCCAGCTACTGGGGAGGCTGAGGCAGGAGAATTGCTTGAACCTGGGAGGTGGAGGTTGCAGTGAGCCAAGATCACACCACTGCACTCCAGCCTGGGTGACAGAGTGAGACTCTGTCTCAAAAATAAAAATAAAAAACCCTGAAAAATACCAACACATTGGAAAATCATTTAGCAATATTTACTGTATTGGAAATATACAAACTCCATAACTCAAAAATTCTCCTCCAGTGCATCTACCTGGAAAATACAAGCATTTATTCCACCAAAAGACATGCACAAGAATGCTCATAGCAGCTTTATTCATAACAGTTAAAAACTGGAAACAAGTTAAATGACCATTAACAGGAGAATAGATGAATAAATTGAGGCATATCGGCATCTGGCATTCATAGAATGGGAAACTACATTGCAATGGAAAAGAACAAACTATGCATAGAGTAAAAACATGGAGAATCTCAAAAACATAATGCTGAACCAAAGAAGCTAGACTCGAAAAGATATGCTCTATGAATCCATTATATGAAATTCAAAAGCCAGGCAAAACCCATGTGGTATCAGGAGTCACAACAGGGTTATGCTTGAAGAGGTAGTAGTTACGAGGCCATCCCCATATACAAAATTCATCAAGCTGTACAATTTAGATTTGAGCATTTTACTATATGTGAGAAAACCTTAATAAAATAAACATTAGAAAAACAAACAAAACCAAGAAAAATGACAATATCATATCATTAGATAGTGCTCAGCCGAAAAGCCAAGTCGACGGCCAGGCGCAGTGGCTTACACCTGTAATCCCAGCACTTTGGGAGGCTGAGGCCAGCGGATCACGAGGTCAAGGGATCGAGACCATCCTGGCCAACATGGTGAAACCCCATCTCTACTAAAAATACAAGAAAATTAGCAATTAGCTGGGCGTGGTGGCACGCACCTGTAGTCCCAGCTACTAAGGAGGCCGAGACAGGAGAATCACTTGAACCCAGGAGGCGGAGCTTGCAGTGAGCCGAGATCACACCACTGCACTCCAGCCTGGCAATAGAGCGAGACTCCGTCTCAAAAAAAAAAAAAAAAAAAAAAAAGAAAGGAAGAAAAGCCAAGTCGCCAAGTCTAAGAATTTTCTTCTCAGAGCTCAAGCTTCTAAATCAACCAAGTGGAATTCTGCCACTTTCAGTGCTCCCCACTATGTCCCTTGCCTCAAAGGTAAAGTCAGCCCGTGATGTCATCACTGGAGGCCTGAAGAATCCTAGAAAAAGTCATAGGGGTACATTTCTTTATTTAGGTCAGAAGCCCTATGTTGAAAACCTCGTCTCCATACTACACTAGCTTTCTGATCTCTTTCTTTATATCAGCCGTTTGTTTTTCATCTGATCTCTTTCTTTGTGTTAGGCTTCTTTTTCCAAAAGATGCTTGTCTTTCCTTTCTTGTCACAGGACAGGCCAGGTGAGAAGTCTGATGGCTGCGTGTCCGCCAAGGGCGAACTTGTCATGCAGGTACCTCATGAGCTCTAAATCCGATTGCACCTTCTAAGTTGTTCCAGGGCTGTGGCGGGCAAGACGGGGTTTGGGTTCTACAGAAAAGCATCTCAGCATTTGCCTTCTCATCTGACTAATTATACCACCCAGGAGGGCATTTATTTGTGGCCTCTGGTGTTACCTTTGACAGCCACACTGTCAGCAAGTGGTGAGAGGAAAGGTTGACTGATCCCATTGCTGGTCTTATTGGGCTTTATTACTATTTTAGGAAAAAGTTACATAAAACTTTAATATGCAGATGTCCTAAATAATAACAAAGATGTGGCCTAAAAATAGACAATGGGTTTTTCAAGATTGCCAAGCTGTCTCCAGAACATGATCTGCCAAAATGAAGCTAACCAGATCTAAAAGTTCTTCTTAATCCTTAAATGTATACTTAAGAACTCATTTTTTTTACTTGGGTTCAGCAATGAACATTTTTTGTGTCTTCCACAGAGTTCCAAGGAATGCAGGGAAGGCAGCCTGGTGAGGAACAAAGAGTACTAGAAAAGGAAATAGAAAACCGGGGCCTCCTGCTCTGCCTCTGAGCCTTAAGTTTCCTCCGCTCAAAGGAGACACAGTAATCCCTGCCCTGCCCACCTCCCAGAGGTGCTGTAAGATTAAATGAGAATATACAGATTCACGTGTTGTGAAAAGTAAAAGGCCGGGCGCAGTGGCTCACGCCTGTCATCGCAGCAGTTTGGGATGCTGAGGCGGGCAAATCGCCTAAGGTCAGAAGTTCGAGACCAGACTGGCCAACATGGTGAAACCCCATCTCTACTAAAAATACAAAAATTAGCCGGGCGTGGTGGGAGGTGCCTGTAATCCCAGCTACTCGGGAGGCTGAGGCAGGAGAATCGCTTGAACCTGGGAGGTGGAGGTTGCAGTGAGCCGAGATTCTGCCACTGCACTCCAGCCTGGGCAACAGAGGGAGATTATGTCTCAAAAGAAAAAAAAGAAAAAGAAAAGTGAAACATAAGGCCGAATGAGGGGAGAATCTTAATATGTGAGAAAGCTCTAGACACCTAGAAGGGCAGAAAGGTGGGAAACACACACAGGCGCATGCATATCCACACCCGATACATGTATGCCAGTTGTTTAGGGCAGGCAGCCATCGGGTTGTCTTGCATCTGTTCTGATGGGGCAGAGCCCCCACTGTAGGACTGGCTGTTAAATACGTTGAATATCATCTCCAGAGGTGAGGGTTTATTCCTCAGCCTCCAAGATGCTTCTGGGCATCACATAGTCACCCTGGGCAGGTGAGACAAATTTTTTAGATCATCGGAAATGCTACTATCCTTTTCAAACAACATGGCACTGTGTTTGCTGGACTTTTAGCTTGAGATCTGGAAAAGCAGGCATTAGATATTGAATATGGAGCAGAGCTGTGCGTCCACATTGGTGTATCCTTCCACTGAACCCACAAGTATTTGCTGAGCACCCACTCTTGTGTCTGGTGCTATAGGGTCCTTGGTAGTAGGGTTACACACACCCCACTCTGCTCCCAATGCATTTTAAATCCAGTTGATGTTTTGAGTCATTTATCTAAGAAAGTAAAAAAAAAAAAAAATACAAATGAACAACAAAAGAAACTCCAGAAGATAGTACATGGTGCGTTTGTTTGCTTGCTTGCTTGCTTGCTTGCTTGCTTGTTTTTTGAGATGGGGTTTCGCTCTTGTCTCCCAGGCTGGAGTGCAATGGTGCGATCTCAGCTCACTGCAACCTTTGCCTCCCGGGTTCAAGCGATTCTCCTGCCTCAGCCTCCCAAGTAGCTGGGATTACAGGCATGCGCCACTACACCCGGCTAATTTTTGTATTTTTAGTAGAGATGGGGTTTCACCATATTGGCCAGGCTGGTCTCGAACTCCTGACCTCAGGTGATCCGCCTGCCTCAGCCTCCCAAAGTGCTAGGATTACAGGCATGAGCCACCATGCCCAGCCAATAGTACATGTTTTAAGTGCAATCATTTTAGTTGCAATGATGAAGGGAAACTTCATAGAGATGTCTCTTGAATTGAGCCCTGAGGATAAGCAGGTTTTTGTTGGTGGTGGTGGTGGTGTTTTTTGTTTGTTTGTTTGTTTGTTTGTTTTTCTTTTCCGAGACGGAGTCTTGCTCTGTCGCCCAGGCTGGAGTGCGGTGGCGAGATCTCAGCTCACTGCAACCTCCACCTCCCAGGTTCAAGCGATTCTCCTGCCTCAGCCTCCCGAGTAGCTGGGATTACAGGCACCTCCCACCACGCCCGGCTAATTTTTGTATTTTTAGTAGAGACGGGGTTTCATCATGTTGGCCAGGCTGGTCTCGAACTTCTGACCTTGTGATGCTCCTGCCCCGGCCTCCCAAAGTGTTGGGATTATAGGCGTGAGTGATCATGCCCAGCCAAAAATTTTTTTAGTAGTCTGCAAAGAAGGAAGTGGGCATTTCGGGACATGGAATGGGAGAAGAAACAAGCACGAGCAGACCCATGGGTGGGAATGCAAGAGACACACTCTAGACTTACTAGAGGAGCAAGAGCAGGACTTGGCTGCACCTGCAGCTGAGGGTTAGCAGGAATTAGGAGATAACAGTAGAATAGGGCTAGACTGAAAAGGCCTTTGATGCCAGGTTAGGAAATTTACATTTTATCCACAAAATCCAAATCCTCCTTTAATAATGAGATGTCTTTACAAGTTTTTGGGCAAGAGTGGTATGGCTGACCTGGTGTCCTGGGAAGGAACTGTGTGGGGATGGTGTGCAGGACTTACCTAGGGTGGGAAAGGCACAAGCAGCATGGGGCTGTGGCAGCTACCAGAGGTAAAGGGACATTTCAGGGAAAGACTTGGCAGGACAAGACCTTCCTTGGATGGATGGATGAATAACAGAAACAGGGAACCAAGAGAAAGGCCGAGTTTCATAGGGAGAGAAGATGGGTCATGTATGAGGCATGTTGAGCTTGTACTGATGGTGAGACGTCCAGTCGACAGTACTACCCACTGGCCAGTGAGAAATGTGGGACCAGGGTTCAGGAGGAAACTGGGGCCGGAAATGAGCATTTGGAAGGCGCCAGGGTGGAAGCGGGTGGTTCACTCCACGAGTGCTATTTCACTTACGCGTATGATCAGACGGCCGTGCTTTCTAAGATCATATTCAGCTGTGTCTCCCACAAAATTTCATCTTGTGCTGTAGGTACAAGACCACGTCATCGTTGAATGATTTGAAGCTACAGCATCATTGTCCCATCGCTGATCCTGACCTCAAACCCTCATTTCCGTTAACACTACTTAAAGGCCATTCAAACTGGAGACACTTAGCTACTTAGCCCCTCCGAAAATTCAGCCAGTGGAAAAACACCTGACTGCCTGCCCTCCTGCTTCTCATCTGCCTCTCCGAAGCTGTCTTGGCTTCAACTCTCATCTCACGCCCCCTATTGGATGAAGCAGAGCTAATTTCTTTTTCTTTTACCTTTCAAGTATAAGATCATCCCCACCCCGGGTACCCACCCCCTGCTGGTCTTGGTGAACCCCAAGAGTGGAGGGAGACAAGGAGAAAGGTACGTTCTCTTCTGTTTCAAAGTGGAGCAACTAGGGCGACACGACTCAGGCCCTTCCTCCCCTTGGCAGGAACACAGCAGGCTGTGGAGACAGGCAGACTCAAATCCCAGCACTGCCACCTGCCACTTTATGACCTGGCCCAAGTGACTTAATGTCCCCGGGCCTCGGTTTCTCCCTCTGTAAAATGGAGATAATTATCATTCCTCCTCTCACAGGTGAGAACAGACACGGTGCTTAGCCCACAGCCTGCCACGTGAGCCATTATTAAGACCACTAGAGTTAGACCACGCTCTGAGATGCCTGTGCCTTTCTAGCCTCTCAGATCTCTTGATTTAAGAGATGATGGGCAGCCCGTTGATTAGGACCTGCTGGGCTACCGTCACCCGTGAGAAGCCAGTGCATCCACCTCATCAGTTTGCTGAAATGCCCAGTTCAGCGGAGGCTAGAAATTGCTGAACAGCACAGGTGGACAGGGAGAATGGTTAAAGCAGCTCTGCCTCCCAATTCCGGGATCATTAACAGATGGCACCGTGATCTGGAATCCAGGTTAAAAAATAATAATTAGTAGAGTTAAAGCAAGAACTATGAGGACCCCCACCCCTGTCCAAGGGGCAGGACACCCCTCCTGAACTGACCTGACAATTCCAAGCTGGAGCCAGGAAAGCAGGCCTGGGTGCAGTCACGGCCTCTCAGCGCCCTCCCTCCCCCACAGCCCAACACCACCTCCTGCGTTTCCTCCTGATCCCAGGACTGCAGGGGGCCTCTCCCTGGGGAGGAGGGGGTCCTGTGATGCTTTTGTACAGTCTGCAGAGGGCAGAATCACACTGCCTAGACCATACAGAACATTTGGGAGAAGGTCTCTGTGGAGGATAAAGCTTTAGAATGAAAGTTCTGTTCTCTGGGTTTCTCTGCCCTGTCCTCTTTGTAAGGGGCGATGCTTCTGGGCTTAGGAGCTGGAGTCTAGGTTGGTAGTTCAGCCTTGAACCGGGAGTGATAACACGGGTGATGCCAGGTGGAACCTGGACGCCAGGGTCAGCAGGCAGTGCCCTCCCCTCCGGGGTTTAAATGAACCCTCATCCCTGCCACCAGTGGGCTCCAGAGGTGTTTGCCCTAATGTGACTTCTCACGATGACATATTCCTTCTCTGTCTCTCTCTCTCCCTCCTTTTCTTTTTTTTTCCATAGAATTCTTCGGAAATTCCACTATCTGCTCAACCCCAAACAAGTTTTCAACCTGGACAATGGGGGGCCTACTCCAGGGTATGGAGATCACAATCTTTACCTCTTATTTCTCCCCCTCCCTTTTAAACTCCAATGAAGATGCCTCTTTTGTCACCTTTTTTTTCTTTCGTCTCTCAACTTGTTCCTTCCTGCCATTTTACTCCCTTTCTCTGCTTTTTCTCACGTCTGACTCTGACTCCTGGAGATACTCAGGATGCCCAGGAAGGCTAACTCTGTTTGAGAAGTGGCCTCCTGTAGCTTGTCCTAGAAAAAGTTATTTTATAAGAGGGGGAAAACTGCACACACCTTTCATTTGATTGACAGGAGGAACAGGCTGGTAAATTATTTTAACTTATTTGCAAGGCTCTGTTAGCTGGTGTCTTCATACTGAATCATCAGAGAAGAGAAAGTTTTCTTATCATTGTCAGTCAGCAGTTTGGAAATCTAGACAGTGACTCAGAGTTCTGCCTTGGTGTTCCGTTGTGGGGTCATTTTAGGATCAAGACAATTACTTGTTCAATGGAATCACTTTTGTTTTCTAAATCATTCGATTTTGAGGTTGTTTTGCTCCTCCTGCCACTTACTCATTGGCTATTCTCTTCTCGTTAGCATGGGGTTGTAAAGAGGCCTGGTGGGAGGCGTGGTCCCTGTGTCTGCGGCTAATGGTGAGCTGCAGGTCTCTGTGATGCGGCCCCTACAGCACCTGGGCTAGAAGGCCAGGAAAGCCTGGGCTTCCTCCCAGTCCGGGCCGGTGCTCGAGAGCCCTCTACTGGCCGGCCCCGGGCCCGGGGCTGTCTGCATACTCTGGGCTGGGCTTGCCCAGCACGCAGCCATTTGCCCAACCTCCAAACCAGGATTTCTGCTCCGGGTTCAGCTAGACCCCTCAGAGAGGTTGGAGTAAGGACTCTGAAAAGAGAATTTGACCCTGTCTTTGGTTGGCTGACACCAAAGCTATTGTTTATGGCAGCGGTAGTACAAGGCCCAGTTAAAAAGAGAAAGAAACATAAGTGCGGATTCAGTACACCTGCCATGATTTACCTGTAAAAGTAATTTCAGAACAGAGCCCACCTCTGTACACCACTGCAGTTGCCATCACAGTCACCGTGATTGCCATCACTGCTGAACAGTACAGCCTTGTGACGGAGCAGCCCCCCACAGACACCTTTACCAGCCCACTGTCAAAACTGGCAGACAGTCCTCCAGCTTCACCTCGTGTATTCTAAATTGTTTTCATCTGAGACGACGAGCCAGGTGGCTACTTCCCGGGCTGATACGCCCTGAGGGTCTCTCATGCGCATGTCACTCTCTAATCAGACAAGCTGCCTAGCTGGAGGGAGCGTCTGTTCAGAATTCACTTCCCGTCGGAGAGTCCCGTCGGAGAGCAGAGTTCTGCAAGAGAAGGAATGTTAATTTGCCTACACATGCATCAGTGATTCTGAAAGCTCCAGGGCTCTTCTCAGACCACCAGGCTGGGCAGATTGGAAATATTGACCTTAGGCTTCCCAAGTTCCACCCCCAAGGTGTCCGCAGGGCACATTCATTCTAAAGCAGAGGTTCTTAACTTTTTTGTGCCAGGAACCCCCTTGGCAGTCTGGTGAAGCATAGAAACCCCCTCTTGGAATATTTCTTAATGCATAAATTTAATAATAAAAGGTGACCAGGGAAACCATATCAAAAAACAGTTATTAAAACAGTAAAACAAATTAGTGATATGAGAATATATGAGCTTCACCAATACGTCAAATAGGAAGACCCAGAAGTGGGTCTAATAACTACCGTAAATTCCAAGCAGTGATGAGCATGGCAGTGGTATGAGGCATCTGTCACAACCATAATGAAACACTAACATGGCTGTGATTTTGACCGCTGACAAAGTCATGGGTATGGTTCCAACCTCTGTGGTCTGTTGCCTACATGCTGAATTGAAGGAAATACTACTAATTTCAGTTTGAGCTTAGGGAAAATAAGAATGTATTATTTTCTCCTCCAAGTTAATGGCCCTCTGAATCCAATCCATAGAACCCTTGGAGGTTGGTGGACCCCAGGTATAAGCACCCTGCTCTCCAGGGTTAAGGCTCCTGAGAAGAGAAGGGCATCACTCCACTCACTGTGGCCCACAGGAGAGTGAAGAGAAGATCCAGCAAATTCGGTGCATCTTGCTTACCAGGGCGGGTGTCAGGACAGAGCAGGCAGGAGAGCCCGAGAGGAGTGAAAACACTGGGGGCTATTTGTATTGACGCCAAAACTCTGGACTCCTCTGCGTAACTAGTACAGAATTTCTAGAAAACCATTTTCCATTTGTGTCGAATGTTGAGTCAGATTATCCTTGCACAAGGATGGCCCCCTTGGCCTTGGCTCCATATTCAAGGCACTGCATAGTAACTTCTGGTTTCAGAACATTGAGTGACCCTTTCAACCACAAAAGGAATCGAGGTCTTAACATACTCCTGGGGAACAGGGCAGACTCTGACTCAACATGTATCAATGTCAGCTGCAACCTAGTAACAAGCCCATTTTGGCCTTTCTTCTTCTTCCCAGGTTGAACTTTTTCCGTGATACTCCAGACTTCCGTGTTTTGGCCTGTGGTGGAGATGGGACAGTTGGCTGGATTTTGGATTGCATTGGTAAGCATGGGCTGAGAGGGCGTTTGCTGCTTATTTATAGTAAGCGTATTTACAATCAGCAGAAGGCAATAAAAAAGAAAGAGACATGGAGCCATGTCTGTTCATCCTTGTATCTTCCCCTGGACCAACACTTGACTAAATATTTGCTTTGGGTGGAAAAAAAAAAAAAAAAGAAATAAGACAATCGAATGATTCCCTCCAATACGGAGGTAACAGTTTAGTTTCAGGCCTTTCCTGTAAAGCAGATCTGTCATGGCTGGGGTTTGGGCAGTGGCAGGACAGGCCAGATTTGGGGGGTGGGAGGACAGGAGTGGAATTCTGGGCAGACCCTTTGGGGTTGGTAAAGGCCAGAGAACTAAGCATAGATCATAGCCTGGGACAAATCACCTTGAGATGAACACCCGGAGCCTGAGTCCAGAAAGTGCATCTAGAAAGTACAGATCAGTGCAAGCAAAGAAGGACCACACTGAGCTGTGTCCAGTAGAGTACATCTAGATAAAAAGGCCCAGGCCAGAAGGCTGGTAGCCTGAGTTCTACCCAGCTCTACCTGGATCTGTGGGTCCTCGGACACATCAGCCCCAGTAAGTGATGGAAACTGACTGAAATTCTGGGATGGAAGCAGAGTCAAGATCTAACCCTACAGAACCCAGACAAACACTGCAAAGTGTAATATAAGGACAAGAAAGCGGCCGGGGGAGCACTGGGGAGGACAGTCATCAAAGTCAGAGACTGGGCCCTGAGCGATGAGCCCTGGGCTTTCCATTCTTCATCCCAAAAATGCTGCCTGTGCTCCATGATGTGTCAAGCTCTCCCCAAGGCACTGGAGATACAGCAGGGAATGAACGGACAAAAATTCCACTTTCATGGAGCACACCATGTAGAGGAAAGAGACAGGCAATGAACAATTAAATAAGTGAGACATAGTATGTCAGGAAGTGTTTAAAGTACAGCAGGGAAGGGGCACAGGGAGCTCAAGGCTGCAATCTAACACCTGACAGAGAAGACAACATTGGCATGGAGATCTGGAGGAGGGGTGAGTCAAGTGGATACCTGAGGAAGGGCAGTCCAGGCAGAAGGAACAGCAAAGACGAAGGCCCTGCAGTGGGAGCAGGCCAGGCTGCTGGAGGCAGGCCAGCATGGTCAAAGCAGAGTGGATTCGAGAAAAGCTACAGCGGATGAAGCAGAGGTGACGAGGGGCCAGGTGACTAGGACATATAGGGCATTCTATGGAATATGGCTTTTATACTGGGAGGGTCCCATGACATTGGATGGTTTTGAGCAAAGGAGGAACATGACAGATTAAGAGAAGAGGGCAGAAGCGGGGAGATCAGTTCGGAGGCCACTGCAGCAGTCCAAGTGAGAGATGTCCAGGGCTTGGACCACAGGAGAAACAGAGTGGTGGTGAGAAGTGGCCAGCTTCTGGATATCTTTAGAAGGTGAAGGCAATACGATTTGCTGACAGACTGTATGTGGGAGATGAGAGGACGAGGGAAGTCAAGGACAAGCCAGGACTAGACCGTGACCAGGGCAGAGAAAGCCGTGCCTCCGGGGGCTGTAAGTAGACCACCTAGCTGGGCGAGAAGGCTGCAGGACCGTACACCTGCCGCCCGCCACTCCCCCGGGCGCTTTGGTTGCCATGGACACAGCCCTGCCAAGCAGCCACCCACGCTCTCCTGTCACCTTGGGCTCTGGAGTTGTTTGTGGGAGGAGGGAGGAGTCCTCCGGGAGCCAAGGAAGGAAAAGCTGATCTGCAGAGGGTGGATGGCTGCGGTACCGGACTACTCACACGGCTCCCTCTCCACCATGAGGGAGAAGTAGGCTTTGGCGGAGAGCTTTATGCAGTTCATCCGCAGAGGACACAGGTGATAGAAGCTGCTCAAAACAGAAAGAAGGAAGATCACAGAAGGAGGAAGAAACATTAGTTTTTTTCACAGGTTAGTGACCCAAAGAGAAAAAAGCAGAAGCAAAAGGGATAACTGCGTAAGATATTCATCCGTTCACTCTCATTTCAGCACTTGTTCAGTGCTCTGCAGCGCCCCCCCATGGTCCCCTCTCTGATCTGTTCTCTCCCTACACCCATAGCGATCTTTCCTGCATGTCACTGGGTGCATGGTGTGCATAAAGCACACCAGTGGCTTCCATTATTCTTGGGATAAAGACAAAACCCTTGAAGTAATCTACAGGGCCCTGGGTGGTCCAGCTGCTGCGCACCCTTCCAGCCTTATTTCTACCTCCATCCCTCTCCATCTGGACTCAGGTCCCGGCCCATCTCTCAGACCCCTGGGCGTTCCAGTCTCCCTTGCACCTCAGGGCCTTCACACAAGTTGGCCACCCTGTCTGCAGTGCTGCCCCAGCCTTCACTCAGTCAGCTTCCACTCCAGATCTCAGCTGACATGTGGCTTACTCAGGGGAGCCTCCCCTGACACACCCACCAGCCTCAGTCACCTTCTTATACGACAGTGCTCCTCTGTTTGTTTTCCAACGTGAATGTGAAATGATGCATTATCTCCATGGATTCCTCATTATTATCTGTCTGTCCCACTGGACAGTCGGTAAGCACCATGAGAACCCAAGCCACGGCTTTTTTGCCCACTCTCAGAGCCGGAGCACCTAACACTGCATCTGCATATAGCAGGCTTCAGTCGATATGTATGAAGATGCTGTGAGAATGAGACCCAGTCCCCCTCGGGGAGGTTACAATACATTCAGGGAACAAACAAGGAGATAATTACAAGAGAGTACAAAGAGATCATTTCTGGTGCTAAGGAAATATTCTGACGAGGCACCAGGTCCAGGCTGGGGCAACTAGGGAGGGTCTCCCAAAGGCAGCTTCTGAGCTGAGCCACAGAGAGCTTTGTGCTTTAAGGAAGTGAAAACACTTGAGAACGGTTGACATGTTGCGTGGGAGGCAGGATGTGCAGAAGGATGAGGCTAGGGAGAAAGGCAGAGCCTGCTTCCTGGGCCTACTGTGGTAGGCTATGGGGCCATGAGGAGCCACACAGCCCCATCCCAGAAGTGAAAGCAGTGAGCCAGTGCGAGGGACTGTGGTTCATGGACTTCCCTTCTTGGTGAAAGTGTGGGTGACACACTAGGAGGGTGGAACTGGAGGCGGAGAGAGCCGAGAGGAGGCTGTTGCAGCGATACCAGTGGGAAGGAATCATACCTGCACTCAGGCATCACCATGGGGATAGAGAGAAGAGATTGCTTGGAGATCTAGTAAGGAGACAACACATAGAATGTGATATGTGAATGGATGTGTGAGGGAAAAGGAAAAACCTAGGGCGGCATACAGCTTTCTAGCCTAAACACCATAACAACAGTTGACCTGCCGAGGTGGGGACACAGAAGAAGGGGCAGACACAGGAAACAAGAGCCTTCTAGGCAAAGGGAGCAGGCTGTGCAAAGGCAGGGAGGCAGTGCTCTGAACACATGTTCTGAGGACAACGAGAGGGGCCATTGCATTGTTTTGCTCTCTATCTCAAGCCTTCCAGTGGCCATCTCAGTCCTGGGTCTTGCCTGCGCTCAGCCATTTCTGATATAGGTCAGACAACCTGGAGGACCTATGAGCTCCCAGTTTGCCAGGACAACCCTAGCTTGAGCCTTCCCTGCTGATTCCTGCATCTCTCCTCACGCCGCAATCACATTGCTCACATCCAGGGGCACCATGCGTGCTGAGGTCTCATGGAAATACCCACCCACCCCCAAGACTGATGGATGCCTGTGCCCTCTTCAGCTCTCCCAGCCTAGACAATATGCCACGGTAGATCTGAGGCCAGATGAAAACATGTTCTATTGTGCTTTCTCTGATGGTTCTGTCTGATGTCCTTCACAACTGTCAGAAGAGGAATAATTAGGAATCTGTGTCATTGCAATTCTGAGAGGTGGTGGAAGTGACAAACTGGTTGTGGGGGCCAAATAACACCTGGAGGTTTTGTTCATTTAGCTAATGTTAGTTTTTAAACTTTTAAACTCGAGTGGTGAACAGTTGAAGGTGAGCATCTTCAGCTTGTCCAATGTCCCACTATTCCCTAGTGTCCTAGCCCCACCTGTTTTACTAATCTGTATACCTGCCTGGCCCCTGAAGAGAGGAGGGGAATGGACTTGGAGCCATAGAGATCTGGGTTTGAATCCTGGCTCTGGAATTACTTTCCCTGTCTGCCATTCAAGTATTGACCAGGCCTAGCTGCTGCAGTCAGATGAGATTGAGCGTGTTCAGGGTAGAATGGTTGTAGACTACTTTCCCTCTGTCAATCTCAGTTTCTTCAGCTACTTGAAGGAGGATAATCCCTTACAAAGTTAGGCTGAGGAATAAATGGAGTAAGTGCTGATTATCATTAAGGATTAAAAACATGCAACTTAATGTTTTGGGGTGTATGCTGCCACCCCAAAGGACAGATTTAGGATGAAATTTGAATAAACATATGCAAGTTGCAGGGATACAGATTTAGCTCAATATAAAATACAAATGGACAGATTTAACTCAATTAGTGGTGGTTAACACGCTGCAGATGGGATAGATGGCTTTAGGAAGTAGTGTGTTTCCCATCAGGGTGGTATTCAAACAAAGAATGCTATGGAGGGGTTCAAGCATCAGATCAGGGATAAAAAGACAACTCAAACATTCTACAGTCCCATGGCATATGGTTCTCTGTTCCTCTGTGTGTCTTGCAGATAAGGCCAACTTTGCAAAGCATCCACCAGTGGCTGTCCTGCCTCTTGGAACAGGAAATGACCTTGCCCGTTGTCTCCGCTGGGGAGGAGGTGAGTTTGCATGCTAATGGTGGTACCCTGGGAACAGGTGTTCCTGTTTACAGAGATGCTCTACAGAGCTAGGCTGAACTTACCCTTTTATGGATCACATTCCGCAGCATAATACTCAACTCTGCAGTCATGTCAAGTCCATGACCCTTTCTCTGCCCTCCATCCCATGCTGAATCTAGAATAGAAGCCCCTCTTCTGGGCTCTGGGAGCTTTTTCTCCCTCAGCCCCGAGTTTACTATCATCCTGAAACCATCAACTTAGAGCCTGCTTTCCCCAGTAGAAAGCAATCAACTGTAGGGTAAAGACAAAGTCTCATATGTCCCATCCCCAGAGTCCCATCCAAGAAGGTGCTCACTTAGATGTTTTCTGTGTGAAATTCCCTCTCCCACAAATGGCTGATCTTCTGAATTAGGACTAAAACTGAGGACCAAAATGCTACATCTCCAGTTACTTACCGTCACTAGAAGCATTCAGATCATCCTAAGCCCCATAGCCATGGGCCCTCATTTTGAAATTTCCCTAAGAGGAAACACAGAGTGGTAACCAGTGTATAAGACAAGGGGCAGAGAACTTTGCAAACTGCAGTAGCCCCCATGGCGTTGGACATGCGCCAGAAAATGGAGAAGTTCAGCTCAACACATGGAGCAGACAGATCAGGCTGCCGGCCAGAAAAGGGGTGGGGACTCCAGATGGCTGCTAATTCAGAGAATGAGTCAAGACCAGGCAGTGCAATGGTCAGTGTTCAATGATCAGCTATGCTTGGTGGGCAGTGTCAAAGCAAGCAGGACCTAGGCCTAGCGGCCATCTTAAAATTCTGCCTGCCACACTGTCCATCTCCCACATGACACAGCCCAGAAGGATCTGCTGTTCTCCCATGCAGAGACTCCCAGCCATCCAGCCCACCGCTTCTCCAGGGTTTGCTTCGCTTCAGCTACACAGGCCTGTGACCTTTAGCTAGCACCCACTCCCTCCCCTGCCCCCAGCCTCTGATTACTTTCAGTTATCCTGCCCTTCTCTGTGGCTCGGGGAACGTAAGTGTCTCTAGCCCACAGACACAGTGGGGAGTCCCATAGTCACAGATGCCCTGGGCTTACCTGCCCTGACAACTACCTGTGCATTAGCAAGAATACAGCCTTTCTGCTGTGGTGGCAAATGCAGTGCTGTCCTCCACAGGTTATGAAGGGGGCAGCTTGACAAAAATCCTGAAAGACATTGAGCAGAGCCCCTTGGTGATGCTGGACCGCTGGCATCTGGAAGTCATCCCCAGAGAGGAAGTGGAAAACGGGGACCAGGTCCCATACAGCATCATGAACAACTATTTCTCCATTGGTGTGGTGAGTTGGTCAAAGATCACCTTTCTGTATGGAAGGGAAACGCCCAGGAAGGGTTCCAGCCTTCTGTTGTCCCCTCTGGGTCCCTAGTGTCTACCTGTCTTACCTGCCCCCCCAGCCCTGAGTTGGGTCCAAGCATTCTGAAACTTGGCCTGAGTGTGGACACCCTGATTGCACCCCCGCTTTATTCCCCATCTCTTGCTTAGGGAGTAAATTCTCTCCTCTGTCATTTTAACTAACACAGGAAAAGACAGAAAAATTTTCAAAAGACATATTTTCTCCTTCTGCAATTTGTAGCAGTCGTAGAAAAGCAACACCAAGAAATAACCGGGGGACAAGGTTGGTAGGAAACTCTCACATGAGCTTCAGGAACTGGGAATTCTGATCTTCAAAGGAAGACCATGTGGTCCCAAGTTGCCCTGGCTGGCTTAGCCCTCAGATTTCCTTCTCTCCTATTCTCTCTTCTCTCAACCCCATTCCACTCACTCCATGGGCATCATAAACCTCTAGGGGAGTCTCCTCCCAGCTGACCCCTTAGGCTGAATGCTGTGAGCCTCCTTGATGCTCCCACAGCCCTTATGCTCACCCCATTCATGCACACTCTGCATTAGGTTGAAGGAATTGGTTTAATGTGCTTATCTGGTGCCCCCCACTGCCATGCACACACACACACTCCCTCAGTGCAAGGACAGCACTCTGTTCCTTTTTCACCCACTAGCCCCAGCACATCTAGTGTAGCTCAGCTTCTGGTCCAAAGAGGATTGGAGTGGGCACTGCTTCCCAGGCTGCTGTGAACAGGATCGGAACAGGAGGGGACAGATCAATCATTTCTATAAATGAAGCTGGGGGTTGGGAGGGGGTGGGAGTGCAACAAAGACACTAGTATTTACTTTTTTTAAGAATGACAGAATTGGTCAGGCACGGTAGCTCACGCCTGCAATCCCAGCACTTTGGGAGGCTGAGGCGGGCAGATTGCCTGAGGCCAGGAGTTCGAGACCAGCCTGGCCAACATGGTGAAACCCCATCTCTACTAAAAATATAAAAATTAGCCGAGCGTGGTGGTGGGTGCCTGTAATCCCAGCTACTCGGGAGGCTGAGGCAGGAGAATTGCTTGAACCTGGGAGGAAGAGGTTGCAATGAGCCGAGATCACGCCATTGCACTCCAACCTGGACAACAGAGCGAGACTCTGTCTCAAAAAAAAAAGAATGACAGAATTATTGAACTATTTGTTCTTTTTTTCAACAAATATTTATCAAATTTTTTCCCTAAACTTTTATTTTAAGTTCAGGGGTACATGTGCAGGATGTGCAGGTCTGTTATGTGGGTAAGTGTGTGCCATGGTGAGTTGCTGCACACATCATCCCTTCACCTAGGTACTAAGCCCGGCATCCATTAGCTGTTTCTTCCTGATGCTCTCCCTCCCCCAACATCCCCACAGGCCCCAGTGTGTGTTGGTTTCCCCCTCGTGTCCATGTGTTCTCATCGTTCAGCTCCCACTTGTAAGTGAGAACAGCCACTAGCATTTATTGAGTACCTGTGTGCTCTCCACAGTGCTAGACTGTACATATTCCAGCCCTCACAGTAGTCCTGCAGGTATCATTATCCTGCTCATCTCACTCTACAGATGAGGCTTCGAGACCCTTGACTCGCATGGTGGTGCCTTGTTCTGGAGCCAGGTTCTCTCCTCTCTGTTCCCTTGTCTTTGGAGTTGTGCTGCCCAGTTTCACATGCATATGAAACCCTCCAGACGAATCCTCTGCCCCAGACTCTGTGATACCTGCACTCCTCAACCATCCTCAGCTGTGTTTCTTTTGAAATTTTGGTATTTTAATTTTTTTTAAAGGAAAGAGAAGGAGAAATGATAGGTGGCTTGAGGGGATAGCAAGTTTAAGTAAAGGGTGTTGTTTTGTTTTGTTTTGTTTTGTTTTTGAGACGAGTCTCACTCTGTCACTTAGGCTGGAGTGCAATGGCATTATCTCAGCTCACTGAAACCTCCGCTTCCCAGGTTCAAGCGATTCTCCTGCCTCAGAAGTTGGGGTTACAAGCGTGCAATACCACATCCAGCTAATTTTTGTATTTTTAGTAGAGATGGAGTTTCACCACATTGGCCAGGCTGGTCTCAAACTCCTGACCTCAAACGATCCACCTGCCTCAGCCTCCCAAAGTGCTGGGATTACCGGCGTGAGCCACCATGCCCAGCCTAGGTTTTATTTTTTTAATAAGAAGGCTAAATAGAGAACCATGGGAGAAGAAAGGACTAAAAATAATAATACCTTATATTTACAGAAGGATTTAAAATTTACCAAATTCACAGATATATTCTGAAGGGCATTATTATCTCTATTTTATGAATAAGAAAACAGAGACTCAGATTAAGGGATTTGCCTTTATTCTCTGACTCCTAATCCGGTGCTCTTTTTCTATTACTAAAGCAGAAGAGGGAAGCATTGCTGGGCCCATGATCGGGTTCTGAGAGGGTGGAGGTGGTAGACTGGGAGCAAGTTTAGGGGTTCCTATGTCCCAATCTGATTCATCCCACTGGATCCCCGGCCTCAGCTGAGGGGAATGTTTCCCTAGACCTCTTCCAGGTGCCCCCTCCAGTGACCCACGCAGATGCCCTCCCTCCTCTTCGTGCTCAAAGGCCCCTCTCCTTTTTGGACCGGCTGTTCAGGCTCCGCTTCCCCCAGCAGGAACATGTGCAGCCTTCAGCTCCTGCAAATTAGACATGACTGACAGGTCCGGGGTTCTGGAGCGTGGGCTTCCCATCATTACAGTTAAAAAAAACTCATATGTCTTTTTCCTATAGTAACCAGAACATAACTTGCTAACATTTATTGAGTACCTACTGCACACCAGACATAGTTTCCCTGCCAGTGGAGGCAGGCATTATCCATTTGTGTTTTGTAAGAAGGAACCATAGCTTAGAGAGGTACAGAAACAAGTTCAGGCTGGTGAGTGGCAGAGCTTGGAATCATAATATTTGAACTCTAGAGCCAACTGAGCTGTGGACCACTGAGCTTTGTGCCTCCTTGAAGCCCCCTCCGTCTTCATGTTGCCAAATGTAACATGGTTTGAAAGAGGGGAATCTCAAAATTTAGTTGTGGTGGCTCACCACCACCTCTTATCAGAAATGTAAATTCCACCCCCACAACAGATGCTGATTCATATTCCAACTCAGTAGGTCTGGGTAAGGTCTGGGAACTGGCATTTTTAACAAGACCCTGAGATCATTCTGATGCAGATGGTCCTGACCAAGTTCTCAGGGAGTGAAGACAACCTACTAGAGCAGAGAAGAATGGTCAAAGGAAGTGGCTCTTCGCTGGCATGGAAGCCGGAACTGAAATAAATGGAGAGGGAAGCAAGGAAGGAGGGGAGAACTAGCCCTCTAAGCAACGGGCTGGAAGCCAGAGCTGAGGAGCAAGACTGGCAGAGCTGCCTGGGAACTTCTAGACAGCAGGTTACAGCGCAGCTGCCTGCAGAAGCTTCAGCCCCACCTCTTCCCTTTCTAACACACCCAGCTCTGGCTGACAAAAACATGGTTCCCCACACCTCCCTGTCTCAACACAGTGCCCTGTATAAGATGGCCCTCCTTAGTATCTGCTGACCAAATGGATGAACACACAAAGAGGAATGGACAGCCTTCCCTCAACTAAATAGCCAGGCCCTAAACCCAAGAGCCAAGACTATTCAGTAATCATAGTTTTAATTTATTCTAGCAAAAAAAGTAGGAAAAAAGGAAGGAAGGGAGGGAGGAAGGAAGGAAGGAAGGGAGGAAGGAAGGAAAGAAGGAAGGAAGGAAGTCCTGCTGGCTGGCTAATTAATTGTCCCCAAGGAAACACATATAAACAGATTCTCCATCACTCTCAGTGGTCAAGATAATTTACCTACCTTGGGCTGACTTATAATAATCCAATCTATTCATCTTTCCAATTATGAACAACTTCACAATATCTTTCTTGTAATTTTTTTCATACACCTTTAGCTTATCCATGTTTAATATTATGTTGCAGAAGAATGAGAAACCAGGGCTGTTCTCATCTCATTGGTGTGCCCTTGGCTTTCTCTCAATAAAATGTTTGCAGGGTTTGTATGCTCGCTCTTTAAAAGTTGAAAAGAGAAATTCTTGAGAAAACAAGTAACCAACACGCAACCCTAACAGAGTCTGGGGCTGACATTTGCAGAAGGTCTTGCTCCCTATTTGACTTCCCAAACTTTGTAAGAGAAGTAGGTATGTAAACCGAGGAAGTTTTACTTCCTTATGATGATCAAATAGAGGCGGACTCCACTGGCAAAGAGAGCCCTGCCAAGGTCTTTGCCTCTTTTGAAGGACCTAGAATATCTTATGATAGCAAACATCTGTTGCTTTGTATTTATAAAGATGATGACAATGACCTCTGAGACAGTGCCCTTGGGTGCTGTGGGTAGAATTTTCTCTGATGAGTTTACTGAGACCCCTTGATGCCAACAGAACCCATTTAATAGCTGAGGGAATAAATAAGGCAGGGTCTCCTGGCCTCTCCAGGGAGTGACTGTGCCCTCATTGCTACGACAGCCCCATCCACACATCAGTTTCTCACCAGTGAGAAGCTAAGATCGTTGGCCTTATCAGTCCTTCTAACTGATAATATCTACTGGCAGGAGATTTTAAACACAGTCATTCAGGATGCCACTTCCTCTGACTTCTCTGGCCTGCTCCTCCCTGTTCTTTATTTTTAGATTAGCAGAAAATGTCAGGATGGCCAGGTATCAGTGACAGGAAGTTTGGGACTACAAAATAATTCCCAAGGTATGTGTAACTCTGAACTCCTCACAAGCTCTGCTTTCATGAGCCTTAACAGGACGGGTGAACAGCTAATCCCTTGATTCAGTGAAATCTATTTCTGATGCTAGGGGAGCCCAAGGGCCAAGGAGAGGCCACAGTGGTTGCACTGACCCACGCACCGTTTTCCACCTTGCAGATCGTTCCTAGCTATCACCAGACAAGCTTCCCACCATGATAAGCGTCCTACACATAGGGAATTTCTCAACAAGACATAATTTTTCCTGCAGATTCTTGGATTCTGCTGGCACCAGGTTATTTGTCACCTGTGAGAGCCATGAAGATACTAATACAGTGGGACTCCCCAGAGGGACGTGGACAAGGGTCTATACCCTTTTCCATTCCCCAATCTCCCATAATTTTCAGAACAACCCCAATTTCAAATAATCTGTCTTATGGTCTCCTTTCCATCTTTTTATCTCCGTAAATTGCCAAAGTGACTTAGACCTGTGTTATCCAATGTAATAGCCATCAGCCACATGTGGTATGACATGCTTGAAATGGGGCTTGTCTTAATTAAGATGTTGAGTGAGCTGTAAGTATAAAATATACAATACTTTTCAAAAATGTGATATAAAAAATTAATGTCTCAATAATTATTCTATTCCATGTGATGATAATATTCAAGGCTTATTGGGTTAATGAAAATATATTATTAAAATTAATTTCAGGCCAGGCGTGGGGGCTCACACCTGTAATCCCAACACTTTGGGAGGCTGAGGTGGGTGGATCACCTGAGGTCAGGAGTTTGAGACCAGCCTGGCCAATGTGGTGAAACCCCGTCTCTACTAAAAGTACAAAAATTAGCCAGACGTGGTGGCAGGTGCCAGTAATCCCAGCTACTTGGGAGGCTGAGGCAGGAGAATCACTTGAACCCAGGAGGCAGAGCTTGCAGTGAGCTGAGATCATGGCACTGCACTCCAGGCTGGGCAACGGAGTGAGACTCCATCTCAAAAAAATAAAAAAATTTAAAAATTGTTTTAAATATTAACTTCATCTGTTTTTTTTTGTTGTTGTTGTTTTTTTGTTTGTTTGTTTTTTGTTTTTACTTTTTTATGTGGCTACTAGAAAATGGTAAGTTACATTTACATGTGTAGCTTACTCTGTATTTCTATTGGATAGCACTGGCCTAGATACTCCAATATCTCAGAGTCCAAATGACTGATGCATGTACTTGGAAGGGGCCCAAATTTCTTTGTCCACCCATGTGCTTGGAGTTGTAGTTCAGGAAAGAGGCTCTATGTCCATACCTTCCACCATCTCCTCTTCACCCCACACCTGAAAGAAAAGACCTCAGAGAGTAAGGCTGTGAGAAATGCTATCATCACTTCCATGGATTTGTAATTCCCATCTCCTGCCTTCAGAACAGAAGTCTCGCTTTGCCTTAATTATCATCAAGAAAGGGTTTACGCCTTAATAACCAAGAAAGGGTTTGAACCATCGTAGCCCTGGTTTCCCAAATTTAAATGAAGTCACTACTGATTGTAAATATGCTCAGGTCATTGCCTGACATAGAAGCTCCAGAGAGTGAAAGTGAATCTCGACTCTCTTTTTAATCCCCAGATAGAGAAACGTGGTCAGAGTCTTCACCCTCATTGCCTTTTTAAGACTTAGAAAAGGAGCTGCTCTACTCTCCCTTGCTACTTTGTGTATTTGCCAAGGGATTACATTGTCAAATTAGGGACCACGTGCTTCACTAATAATGTTTTAAAGGCTGGTCTTTGTAAAAAGCATCTTTGCAAAACCTAGTTATGGAAAAACCAAAGACAATCAGAACTGCATGGAAGGAGGGGGCCTGTACACATATCCCGGAGAATAAAAAAGCTGGGAGTCAATCAGCAGTATTGGGGGTAGGGGATAGCGAAGTACAAATTGTGCCAGGCAACATGTGATTGCTTTTTTCTTCCCCGCCCCCCTCCACTTTTTTTTTCCTGACAGACGAAAATTAGTGCTTCAAAGGAATAGAAGTAGATGGAATATTTTCTCGAATTTTAGAGAAGCATTTGACAAATGTCACATGAATCTTATTGAGGGTGTTCACTGAAATTTGCTCAGAGAGTGGGAGGTGGGTACAGTCTGGGAGCATGAAGTGCTGCTGCCCAGGGAAGCGGTGCAGGCTGGATAGGCCTCAGGGACAGAGGCCTCTCTGGGGTCCGCACATCTCACCCGTGCACCCATGGGGGTGCCTCTCCAAGACCTTAAACTCTTAATATATCTTAAGCTAAAAAATAAATTGGCCAGGCCTGGTGGCTCATGCCTGTAATCTCAGCACTTTGGGAGGCCAAGTTGGGCAGATCACCTGAGGCCAGGAGTTTTGAGACCAGCCTGGCCAACATGGTGAAACACTGTCTCTACTAAAAATACAAAAAATTAGCCCGACATGGTGGCGGATGCCTGTAATCCCAGCTACTCATGAGGCTGAAGCGGAAGAATCTCTGGAACCTGGGAGGTGAAGGTTGCAGTGAGACAAGATTGTGCCACTGCACTCCAGCTTGGGTGACAGAGTGAGACTCTATCTCAAAAAAAAAAAAAAACATCAATAGCTAAAGTTTAAATTTTAAACTCTCAAAACATCATTTTAGCAAAGAATGTTTGCCAATCACAAAATAAGCCCATCTTCTCCTCTTGCCCTGCCACCTTTCAGATGTGGGCTGCTGGACTCCTATGCCAGGTGCACCTCACCACACAGAGTTCATGCTCAAAAAGCTTCTTCATAGAACTATACCTCTTGATGCTTAAAAACACACACAGAGGCCAGGTGCAGTGGCTCACATTTACAGTCCCAGTACTTTGGGAGGCCGAGGCGGGCAGATCACCTGAGGTTCGAGACCAGCCTGGCCAACATGGCGAAGACCCGTCTCTACTAAAAATACAAAAATTAGCCCGGTGTGATGGTAGGCACCTGCAATCCCAGCTACTCAGGAGGCTGAGCCAGAAGAATTGCCTGAACCTGGGAGGCAGAGGTTGCAGTGAGACGAGATCATGCCACTGCACTCCAGCCTGGGCGACAAGAGCAAAACTCCATCTCAAAAAAAAAAAAAAAAAACACAGAAATTTTCATATAAGAAATAGAATTAATATGCATTTGATGAAAATTCAAAATTCACTGCATGGAATTTCAAGTGTTTTGTAGCCATGTATTCCAGTAAATGGGTTTGTATATTTTTCATTGCAAAACAAATCTAGTCAACTCCCTGGTTTCTGTGTCACCCCCCATCTCCGGCTCAATTAGCCTGTTTATTTCTGAAGCCCAGCACCTGCACCCAAAGTACCAGTATGGGGCCTGAGCGGTGAAGGGGCGTTACACATTCTTCTGCTGGAAAATGAGACCATTGTCGAGGGTGGAAGACCGAGTTTGAGGAGGAAAGACAAGTTCCGTTTCAGGTTTGAGGCTTAGGGTTGGCTCTAGAGATTGACACTTTGGAGCTATCATCATTCAGATGCTGGTAACAGCCACGAGAACTCACGAGATGGCCACGGTGTGGAGTGGGGGCCGCAGGTAGAACCCAGGGTTAGGGAGTTGTGGTCAGAGGATGGAGAGCCCAGGAGCACAGTGCATGACAGCCATCCTAACTGTGAGTGCTGGAGTGCAGGGGGCCGCTAGTGTGGCAAAGGGATGTGCTAATAGGAGGGCAGTGTCCACATGATGTAATAATGACTCTTATTGGCCTTGGAGGGAGTCCTTCGAGTGAAGTGATCAAGAAGCAGAAGCCAGAGTTTAATTTTGTTTTATTATCTAGTAAGCATGTTATCCAGTGCCACTAATTATTTCTATTGGTGTGGATGGTTAAGACTTAATATCTAATAGCATCTACCAATGTCAGGTTTCTGGTTTTGACAATATCCTATAGTTATATAAAATGTTATCATTGGGGGAAGCTGAGTGAACGGGACCTAGGAACTCTATGCTATTTTTGCAACTTAATTGTGAGTCAAAATATTCCAAAATAAAAACTATTTTAAAAAGAACTAGTATGGAAAGTCATTTCCAGAGACTCATGCTCAGCCCCAGACACAGGCTCCTGATCTCTAACTGCTCACAGACTCTCAGTCTCCCCAGAGGGCAAAGGCTTTCCCCTTCACTCACCCCTGAACTATCTATCTGTTCTCAGCGGGTCCGGGCTAGAGTGAAATAGCAAGGACTCCAGAGTCAACTGGCATAGGCTGTAAGAGTATTGGTGGTGCTAGCTCATCCCCCTGGAGGCAGTGTTGAGCCTCTGTTGGCTCCGCGGATGTGACCTGGAGCCCCACCATGCGATAGATAGAGTCCCAGGGTTGGCATGACTCAGCGAGTGCATGCGTGCGTCCCTTCCCTCCGCACTGCACTGTCATGACCACTCACCAAGGATCTGCTTTGTCTCTTTCACTTTCAGGACGCTTCCATTGCACACAGATTCCATGTGATGAGAGAGAAACATCCTGAAAAATTCAACAGCAGGTAAGCTGCAGGCCCGGCTGCGCTGCCACCCACCCAGTGTGGCCCTGGCGGAACAGAGGCCTTTCACCTGCTCTCTGGAAATTTTCCCAGCCAGGGCCGCTGGGGACTTGGCCTTCCTGCCACTTGCCGGAAGGAGGGTTTCCATTTCCAAGAAAAAAAAAAGTGTCAGAAACTTGGCGCAGGCTAACTGCCTGTCCTCTCCCAAAGGATCTGTGCAGAGGGCAGGGCTGGAGGGCAGGAGGTGGGTATGAAGGGCCTGCTTTTGCAGGGGAGGAGGTGGGAGGGCGTCTGCCCTTGTCTAACTGGAACCCCCGTCCTGAGTCTCTGCTGCTTCCAAGTACAGCGCCTCCAACCCCAGCCCCTCATGATTCTTTTGGGGAAGAGCAGGGAGGCTGGAAGAGACCCTAGCTTCTGTCGGTCTCAAATGGGAGGAGGTGGCAGCTCCGGGACTTGGACCAGGAGGACCAGAAGGGTGTCTCCTTTGCCTCCCCCGACAGCAGAGGGCAGCAGCAGAGAGGTACCTGCAAAGGCTGGAGACCCGGAACCCACTAAGTCCCAGCCTCAGCCTGGGCACTCTGTGAAGTCACCAAGTTAGGTTCAAAAATGAAAGGAAAGAGGAAACCAGATCATTTGCAAGAGAAAGCAAACCCTTCTTCCTTGTAGGATGAAATTTGCCAGAACTTAGTTGTGACTGACGTATAGCTACCCCTTTCTCCCTCTTTCCTTCTTTGTCTGTATCTTCTCATTAGTCAATTTTCATTCTTTCTTTCTTTTTCTTTGTTGTACTATTTCAAGATGACCACTATTTCAGACACTGTTCCCACCCCAACCCTAGGTAGGTTGGGAGAAGAATGGATAATGATTTGGACTTTGTTTTTGAGCCTAAAGGTGTTGACTTTTATTTAGCCCACAGAATTGTCTTTTTATTTATTTATTTATTTATTTATTTTTGAGATGGAATCTCACTCTGTCACCCAGGCCAGAGTGCAGTGGCGTGATCTTGTCTCACTGCAACCTCCTCCTCCCAGGTTCAAGCGATTCTCCTGCCTCAGCCTCCTGAGTAGCTGGGACTACAGGCGTGCACCATCATGCCTGGCTAACTTTTGTATTTTTAGTAGAGATGGGGTTTCACTATGTTCACCAGGCTGGTCTCAAACTCCTGACCTCAAGTGACCCGTCCTCCTCGGCCTCCCAAAGTGCTGGGATTACAAGCAAGAATTGTCCTTAAAAGAGAGGTTAGAGTGTTCATTGAAGACATTCATTTAAAGCCCAGGACCCATCATTTTCATCACTGGCCATTTTCATTCCTACTCTTTGTCCTGACCCCACAGCCTGAGAAGTCAACCAAGAAGAAGGAGGTCTTTTTAGAGGTCAGAAACTGAACACTATAGCTTCAGAAAGAGCGATCTGTGGGATCCGATAGCAGCTGAACGAACCTTTTAGGAAGTGCATCCTGCCACAGCATCTTCTTGCTCTCACACACACAGACTATACACACTCACTGCACACTAGGAACACGTGTACTTCCAGCCCCTGATACTATAGTCACAAACTTACAGTTCAGATGATCTCCTCTAACGGTCTTTTGCACTCCCAGATACACACAAACCACTTTTTTAAAAAGTACTCCTCTTCAACCCATTCCTCAGGCTTTTAAGGTCCTCTTTTCACACAAGTATCTTTTTTTTTTTTTTTTCATGGAGTTTCGCTCTGTTGCTCAGCCTGGAGTGCAGTGGCGCGATCTTGGCTCACTGCAACTTCCACCTCCTGGGTTCAAACAATTCTTCCGTCTCAGCCTCCCAAGTAGCTGGGATTACAGGCACCCACTACCACACCCAGCTGATTTTTGTATTTTTAGTAGAGACAGTGTTTCACCATGTTGGCCAGGCTGGTCTCGAACTCCTGACCTCAAGTGAGCCACCCACCTCAGGCTCCCAAAGTGCTGGGATTACAGACTTGAGCCACTGCACCCGGCCTCACACAAGTATCCTTATACGTACTCATGCACATGTGCCATATGCTTGTGAAAGCCACGGGGCTCTGTTCATTCATTCATCCATTCATTCAGCAGATCTTTTGAAAACGTAATGCACACCAGACACTGTTCTACAGGCATTTTGGACAGACGCATGTAGGGGACTCACAGCCTGGTGCTGGAAACAGGCTGGAAAGCAGATGTGCAGAATGGTTTGTGTTAAGTGATGTAACTGGAGGTGACCTATGGGAGCAAAAACCAAGGACACGAAACGTGGCATGGAGGGTTTTCCAATGACAGAGACGCCTGAACCAAGACACGGAAAAAGAGGAGGGCAACACAGGGAGAAGGAAGCAAATGTACGAAAAGATACGAAGGAGTGAGAGGGTGCAGTATACTTGTGGAAGAGCAAGATGTTCAGTGTGATCAGTTGTATGGTCTCGGCAGAGGAAAGAAACCAAACATCTGTAATTCCCAGAAAGCAAGGAAGCAGAGGGAGGGAGAAATTTCTCCATATGCCAAAAATCAATAGGCAGGCCAACATATGACATAAATAGAGCAATCATCCATCACCCACATGATTAAGTACAATTAGAAAGACACATCCGTCAGAAAAAAAAAAAAAAAAAGATTGTAGCGTGCATTTTAATGCAAAGTATGAACAAATTCACTGTGATCTGTAGAACTGTTTTTCCTTCTCCCTTCCGAGATCCTATAAACAATACTTCTCTCTGAGGGTAGGTTCTCAGCTCACTCTTCACCTGACTGAGGTCAAGGTAGCATGGATGACATGGTGACAGGCCCACGGATTTGCACGTAAACCTGCGTGCTCGCCTAACAAACGAAGACAGAAGGGCTGAGGTAGCACCTATTTCACAAGGTCACCGAACGCTTCCTATGAAGAACTTTGCATACATACTGCTTCTACCCTGCCTATTCGCCCATGTCTAAAATACCCAGGAGTGCCCAATTTGTCCACTGAGAGGCAGGCAAGCAGCCATTTTCTTCAGGCTTCCTTATTTAGCATTGGAGATGGTTTTAAATAGGCAGGTGGTTGTTGCCATGGTTACCCCATTACACCAGCGGCTAAACTTAGGAAAGGCCGCAAGGCATAGGAAGAAAGCTTGATACCCAGGATTTGGAAATGTAAACGGCATTATCAAACAAGGCCTATTTTACTCAGCTGAACTGAGGTTCTCCAAAGAGTAGTTACTGCTTGGCCGGAAGCCTTTACCATTACTGCCCAGGTTTGGACTCTCAGGGATAATCTTGAGGTTAAATCTTGGGAGTTGTCATTGCTGTGTTTTGTTCTGTTTTGTTTTGTTTTCAGCAAGGGAGAGTGACTAGTCAGGTCCGGAACACTTACCAGGAAACCGGAATCATTCACGTTGCTGATTCCCTTTTCTTGGCTATTCTAACAAGAATTCTTAACCTGGGATCCAAGGGCTTCAGGGGTTTTGAGAACACCTTGAAATTGTACTAAGGTACTGAATGTATTTTTCTGCAGAGAATGTCCATAACTATCAGAAGATTCTTAAAGGAACCTATACTCCCAAAATGTTTAAAAGTCACAGGTCTGAGGCCTCTTTGAATCCTAAGAGGCATCAAATTATGACTCAAATGTTGGGGTTTCAGGAAATTCTTCCTCCATGGCCTCTCTAGATGGGTTGTTGCCAGGGAAGATAGTGGGTTCCAGAAAACCAAGTTATGTTCTCTGATGGAATAGTTTCATTAATGGAGCAAGAACCAGAACCGAGGAGGCAGGAATACGAGCCATGTATGATGGGCAAAAAAGAAAAGGCCTTTAACGGCAGAGATGGGGTTATTTTTGGCCCTGTCTACCTCCTAGTTATCAATAGGCTAATCATTAATTGCTAATTGAGGAATGTTAGGGAGATTATCGTCTCACTGTTGGCATAAAGAACAAAAGAGAAATTTGATTCAACTGAGATTCTAAAGTGTTTGAAAGTGATCTGGAATAAAGGGCACATAAGATGTGGCCCCTGCCTTCAAGGAAATCGTCGTCTAGCAAAAGAAAAGGAAAAATAGTGCTCAAGTATTCTTTACAAAATTATTTTAACATACAAGGTGGTTACATTTCATAGGTGATATAGTATACAGGAAGTCGTATAATATGTAAGAACTTATTAATGGTCATATCCCAAACATCATTTGCAAATGGATTGTTTTCTTTTTGGGGGATGTTTTTGGTCTTTTTTTTTTTTTTTTTTTTTTTAGAAAGAGTCATTCTGTCACCTGGCCTGGAGTGCAGTGGTGTGATCTTGGCTCACTGCAACCTTTGCCTCTCAGGTTCAGGTGATTTTCCTACACAGCCTCCTGAGTAGGTGGGATTAAAGGCACACACCACCACGCCTGGCTAACTTTTCTTCCTATTTTTAGTAGAGATGGGGTTTCACCATGTCAGCAAGCCTGGTCTTGAACTCCTGACCTCAAGTGATTTGCCTGCCATGGCCTCCGAAAGTGCTGGGATTACAGGTGTGAGCCACCACTCCTGGCCAAATTGGTTGTTTTAGGTGTAGCAATAGTGTTAAAGGGGAACCTGACTAAGAACTGTTTTCATTTTTTTAGCTCCTCCTAGATGCCAAGTGGTGAACTAGGGTCTTTAAATACATTAAATTATTTAAATCACAAAACAACCTTTCAAGATAAATATTAGCATTCCCATTTACAGATAAAGGAACTGACACTGGAAGAAACCAAGTCAACTAACAAAAGTCATGTATTTTTTAGGCAGTGGGGCTAATTTAATTTCTGACCTAGCTCTTCACTCCAGAGTCCAAGCTCTGTTTGCCGCAACTGCTGTCTCACATAGATTTCATTGAGCAAGCACTGATGTATACCAGACACTCTGATAAGTACTTTATACATCATCCCACTCATTGCTCACAATAACATGCAAGGGTAAGTGCTACTGTCCCCATTTTAGAAATGAAGGAACTGAGGCTAAGGAGGATGGAGCTGTCATTGGCATCATCTGCCTTTATGGATTGTCTCTGTGGGAAAATGCCTGCTGAGTTCCAAAGGGGAGGAGAACAGGTACACCATCCAGTCATACCTTGTATGGTGTGAGCATTCTCCCTGTTTCCACGTCCACAGCAAGGAGCAGGACTGGCTGTATGATCTGTGTGACCCAGTGCAAAATTAAAAATGTGAGGCCCCTTCCTCAAAAATGGGACAGCAAAGCATTAAACTAAGCACTGAGCCCTCTTAAGTGTGGGGCCCTGGAGTCCACATCTCACACCTATGAGGTGGCCCTGGCAAGGACAGAGGAATTAATAAAAAGAAGACACTTTTGCCAGTAGTCACAGAGTAGGGTGTTTGCAATAAAGTCAAAAGAATGGAGGAAAGAGGGTTTCAACTTAGGGAGAAGGAGAGGGACTCTCAGTCCCACAAACAGGCAGCAATCAGTACTAGCAGAGGAGCCAAGAATCCCGTCAAAGTCTTCCAGATAGCCAAAAACCAGCCCACCATGAAGTTTCCAGATTAAGTCTCCATGAAGGGTTTTGCATATGAAATCTATACATAAAAGCCACCTAATTCTAATGTCACTGTCAGTGAGTGTCTAGAAAGAGAAGTCTAACTGTGGAATGTTTTCATTGTTGGTTAGAAACTCAGAGTACTTGCGGAATGTGTTATTCTAAACCTGTTGAGTGTATCCACTTGACCGCGTCTCTCAGCAGTTGAGGCTGAAGCAAGTTATTTCCTGTTAGGCCCTTCAGAGGGACCGAAGCAGTGCTTCATTCCTACTAGAAGCTGACCACCTTTCTCAAAAGCCCTTGACTAATTAACAGGTTCTGAAATATTAGCTTTCTTGGAGCAGGTCCCATGGAGTCACTGATGAGGGGCTCCCCAGAAGCCCTAATGTAGCTTGAGTTTTTAAGAGGTTGGAAATATACCTTGTAAATAACTAAGCACTTAGTAACTATTTATAGAAGAAGGCAGCAGGGTATAGAGTAAGTTGGCATCAAAACTTGGCTTTGCCGCTTATTAGCTATGTGACCTTGGGCAAGTTAATCTTCTTAATCCTTTGCTGCCTCTTTTGAAAATCTTGCAATGTTGCTATAAGTATTTAGTGACATAATACCTAAGTTCATAGTACACAGGAGGTTCGCAATAAACATTTGTTGTTGAATATCATTGAATAACAAGCATTGCCTTAAATTGACGATAAAGTATTGACAATAAAAGGGTTGTTTTTAATGGAGTGACAAATTGGATTCAGTTATCACAGAATCAATGCTCCATTGACATGGCCTTTAACCTGAAAAGTTGGAGGACAACTAAAAGTTGGAGGAGACCCCAGCAGTGATGCATTGAATCTGCCCAAATCCTTCTCCTGGGGGTGGGAATATGGCACCACTTTGGTTGGTTTGGATTCTACAGGACAGAAGCTCTAGAGGAAATCCCCTTCACTGGCTCCATGGAAGTCCAAGAGGCAGAGGTTGGGGATCTGGACACTAGAGATTCGAAGTCCAGTGCCAAATCCAGGCTAGCAGGATCAAGGGAGGGGGTCATAGACCCCAGGTGAAATGGCCTCAGGAGGAACAGGGCAGGAGTGAGTAAAGGAGAGTGGCAGGACAGATTCCATGTGCTCCCTGGGTGCTTCTGGCTTACTAGCAGGGGTCATGGACTGCATGGCAGGTAGGCAAGTGGCCCTGTGGTCAGATGCTGGGGATGTGACTAACCCTCCCTCACGGATACTTCTTTCCCCTCACCCACCACGTACCTCTCCCCAACCCTGACCTCAGATAAAGACAGAGATGTTCTGTGGGGAACAAAATAGAAACCGACAAAGCTCAAGTCACACAGTTCTGAAAATGAAAGGAAGGGCTTCCTCTCTTGAATACCTGCAGTATGCTCTGCCGTCACAAGCATAAAATATATCATGATTTACATAAGATTTTCTTCTTATATCTAAAAATGAAACCCTTCTAAGTTATTCTTTCCTGGCGCCCTGTGAGGTAGCCCACTATTACAACCCAGATGTGTGACTTTCTCAAGGCATAAAGGTTCAACAGCAGCAAATATAGCAAAGTTAAAAATCCTTGCCATCAAAGTCTTCATTCTGTGCCCTGAATTAGGCTTTGCCTCTCTTCATCTAATATTTGGCACCTCAAAAGAGACCTGCTGTAGGTAGCCAGAGGTCCAGACTGTCTGCACCTGCTTCCCTCAATATAGCAAACTATTTTTCTTAAATATCTGGGATTCAGAAAAGCCCCAAATGAAATTAATTGTGGGATTTTCTGTGTTTTTTCTTATTCCTGTAGGTATTTATAAAGAAATACAAACCTTATGTTTTGTGCTCAAGAACCTTTGATTTTCAAGTCAATTCTGACAGAGCAACTGACTTAATTACTTGAATGTTTATATACTAAGCCACAAAAATGTTTTGTCCCCCACCCTCCCCACCTCTCTTTGGGAGAGATGCAGAGAGTAAAATGAATGAAATATGGGTTCATGTTTTTTTCATCAGGTGCTCAACGTTACACAAATGCAGAAGTCCAGGGTTTTTTGTTGTTGTTGTTGGATTGTTTATAGTTAACTCTTGATTATTCGCAGAAAAAAGGGAGCAACCACGTGGATCATCTACAGTGGTGGATGATCAAAGATTTTGGGAGTCTGTTATTAATATTTGTATGCAGTTCTCCCTGCCCTAACATTCGTAGTATTTTAAATAATATGATGAAATCACACTGACTCTTAACAATCCTTTCATTTTCCTCCTGGGTCCCTAGTCCGCGTGGGAACAGACAGCACAACCTCTCAGACTGTTACACAGCAGCAGCCTGTGGCGTCTCAAGCCTCCCTACAAGGTTACCCACTGGCCAGAACCGTTTCTTTCTGTAGCTTAATGGGCTTTTTCTTGTAGCCCCTGCTAGGCTAGAACAGGAAAGGTCTTATTCATGTCAACAAAGAGTAGAATCGGTTTGTGATCATATCAGAAGGAACTTGAAAGCACGCTATGTTTTCAAGACTATAGGCCAGATAATCCCAAAGTTATCAGTATTTACTGACTGATTGATTTCTAGAAATATTTCCATCAAAGAACTCAAGATGTAATGTGTAATCAGTTCACAAGAGTTGAGGTTAGCACGATAACCTTATGGAAGAAAATCAAAGCACACAAATTCAAAGTAAGGTAGGAACTGGCTGGATCCTAACGTGAGTGTTGACAGTCTGGATGCTTTCCAGAAGGGAGAGGTTGAGAAGGTGCTGGAACTTTAGATGTCTTCGAGCAAAAGGCTGAATCTGGAATTGTTTCACCCAAAGAAGAGAAGCCTTAGAGAGAAGTGATCATTGGCCTCAAATATTTAAAAGGCTTTTCGTATAAAGCAGGAATTGTGTTATTTTGCACAATTAATCAATGAAAAGGTGACTGGAATGCAAGACTGGGTTAAGCCCCAAATAGGACATTAATTCTACTGGTCAGAGCCATCCTCAAGTGCAGTGAGCTATTGGAGAAGGTGATGAGTTTTCCTATTTTACGTTCAAGCCCATGCTGGCAATGATTTTGGAAGCAAGTGCCCAGTAGGAAAGGTTCCATTATCATACAACCTGGATTCAAATCCTGGAGTTCTCATTAACCACTATGTGTGACCTTGACCAAGTTACTCTCCCTGAACCTCAGTCGGCTCACCTGTAAAACTGAGGTATAATATTATGTGAGTTTCCTGTTGTTGCTGTCATGAACTGCCACAAACTTAGTGGCTTAAAACAACACTACTGGCTGGGCGTGGTGGCTCACGCCTGTAATCCCAGCACTTTGGGAGGCCGAGGCAGGCGGATCACGAGGTCAGGAGATCGAGACTATCCTGGCTGACACGGTGAAACCCCATCTCTACTAAAAATACGAAAACAAAATTAGCCAGGCGTGGTGGTGGGCGCCTGTAGTCCCAGCTACTCGGGAGGCTGAGGCAGGAGAATGGCGTGAACCCGGGAGGCGGAGCTTGCAGTGAGCCGAGATCGCGCCACTGCAGTCCAGCCTGGGCGACAGAGCGAGACTCCGTCTCAAAAAACAACAACAACAACGACAAAAACGGCACTGCTGTGTTACAGTTCTGGAGGTTGGAAGTCTGAAATAGGTGTCACCGGGCTAAAATCAAGGTGCCATCAGGGCTACATTCCTTTCTGGAGAGTCTGGGGGAAAAGCTGTTTCCTTGCCTTTTCCAGGTGTCACCACTCTTTGGCTCCTGGCCCCCTCCCATTGTTGAAGCCAGCAGTGGCCAGTCGAGTCCTTCTCATATGGCGTCCCCCTGACATTCTTTCTCCTGCCTCCCTCTTCCACTTATGAGAACGCTGATTGCACTGAACCCACCCAGAAAATTCAGGATCCTCTCCCCATCTCAAGGTCAATTGACTGGCAACTTAAACTCTATCTGCAACCTTAATTCCCCCTTCGCCCCTTTGCCACGTAACCTAACATACTCACAGGCTCTGGGGATCAGAACGTGGACATCTTCAGGGCATTGTTCCACCTACTAGCCTCATAGGCTTATTTCGAGGATCTATTGGAACAATGCATTTAAAGTGTCTATTACAGAGTCGGGCACATCAGTGGTAGCTATTATGATTGTTATTAATATTCTTATTACAAAGACAGATCCTACATCAGATAATAACCATGTTAGATGATTCAGAAGCCATTAAGACTCTGAATTTTGGTGATTCTCTAATATAGGCAGATAAACATCTATTTAATATTAAATAGGGTGTAAGTCATCAATGTAGAAATATATGGAATTATTTTTCTCATCATTTATCTTGTTTAAACGTTTTTCAATAAAATATCAATACATTTATCATGTAATTAAATAATACATCAGACAGTGTTATTATATAGCACATTGCAATATCATTATAAATAATTTGGAAAGTTCAGAAAAGTTAAAGTAAGAGAAAAAAAACCAATCACTCATATTCCCATCATGGAGAAACACAATATTGCCATTTTGGTGCATTACAGCAGTTAACTTGATAGATATACCTTAAAATATTTGTGATAATGTGTTTTTATAAAGCTATACATATCATTTTTAAACTAATTTTTCTTTATATAAGTCATTCAGGCTCATTGTAAAAAAAATCATATTTTGCATCCCCTCCTCCAAGAAATAAACACTCAGCGCTATAACATATTTTCTTTCAGCATTTTAATTGCACAATTTTATTGACTTGAGATCATGCTCTAGACACTAGTTTAAAACATTAACATAGTAGCATTTATAGGTTATGAAGGGAAGGTGATAGAAAGGAGCTGAATGGAGTGAGTTCATCTGCTGTAGGAGTTTTATTGGCCTTTTCCAATTAAAAAGTCCCAACGCTTTTGTTCAGTCATTGAGTGTTTTAAAGATACCATTACCCAAGTCCCTTCACAATTGAAATAACTATTTCAGATGTTATGCAGCTCTACTATCGTGCAGGGTAAATGAAAAATATTTTATCCTTTCAACACGATTCTGGGTCCTGTCTATAGTTTTGCTGTATCTCAAAAGAACCAGTTTGTGTTTTATTTGACCACCAGAGATAGCAAGAGTTGCTGTCTGAACTATGCAGTAGTATAGTTTTTGTTTTTATTTTTGTTTTTTTGAGACGGAGTCTCTCTCTCTGTCACCCAGGCTGGAGTCAGTGGCTCTATCTCGGCTCACTGACATGGCCGCCTTCAGGGTTCAAGCAATTCTCCTGCCTCAGCCTCCTGATTAGCTGGGATTACAGGTGCGCGCCACCATGCCCAGCTAATTTTTTTGTATTTTTAGTAGAGAGCGGGTTTCACCATGTTGGCCAGGCTGGTCTCAAACTCCTGACCTCAGTTGATCCAACCACCTAGGCTTCCCAAAGTGCTGGGATTACAGGCGTGAGTGACCACACCTGGCCTAGTATAGTTTTTAAAGCATGAATAACCATGAGCTCATTTATTAAAGTGTTTAGAAAGGTGGTTTTCCCAATGTAATCAGTCCTGCTCCAACCCATACCAACAATAGTAGCCATCATTTATTGAGAGCTTTCAAGAATCTCATGTACATTATTTTTAAGTGGCACAACTCACCAAGTGTAAGTATTATTGATCCATCTTACAGATGAGAAAAGTGAGGCTCATAGAGATGATGCAACTTGCTCAAGACCACACTAGTTACTAGAGAAGCTACGATTCACACCTAGGCCTGTCCACTCCACATCTCCTCTTAGCCTGCTACAATTCCCTGCCTCTCCATGTGCCCAGTTTTGTGCCCCATGACCAAAGATGCACCCAAAAAAAGACTAGAAAAGAGCCATAGATATGATTAAAGGGCCCATGAGAAAACCACAAGTTATCCAAAATCACTTTTCCTGGAGAGAAACAGAGAACGTACTGGGAATGGGCCTCAAGTGTGTGAAGGATTCACAACAGGAAATAGTGACTGCACCTCCTTACTCTTCATCTCAGTTCAGGAAAGAATGAGAGAGGGAAAAAATGTGCTCTAAAAGTAAAGAATTCTCTTTTGGATGGGAGCAGGAATCTTCTGGCCTGGAGACATATTAAAGACTGAAATGAGTTATTGAGAGTAGTTTTGGAATCTCTTGCAAAGGCTTCCAAAAACAGAGAGTTGCATTCATCCAGGATGATAAACACACCACCTTCTCTGAGCCCAGCAGTGTACTCATTGCACCCACCAGGTCCCCACCCAGATGGGAGCTTTCTGCCTCCCACTCCACAACTGACCAAGCTGCACAGTTTAATTGCACAATTTTATTTACTTGTGAGACCGCTTGCCTCCTGTGCTCCTCACTTCCCAGTTGGTCCCCAAGATGTTCCATCCTCAGGATTTCCTCAGCCACCCTCTGGCCCATCTCGATGCCCTTCCCATTCAGGCCCACCCTGCCTGGAGCTGCCCATTAGTCTCCCTGGGACACGTTTGTGGTCCTGTTGCTGCTGCACAAGCACCTACTTCCACCACCCCCCTCCCACGTTACATCCCATGCTTGCATTTAGCGCCCTTTATAACATTCTCCTCCTCAAACACCAGCCTCACCTTCTTGCTTGCTTGCTCTGTTACTCTCACCTTCCCCACACAGCTGCTCTCATTCCCTCAATCCCTCAACCTAGATGACATCTCCTCTTGTGACCTAGTCATCACTTGTTTCAAAATGCAGCACAGAATATTCTGAACGAACCTACTTAACCAACCCATTTGGTACTCCACTTTCTCTTACACTCCATCTCCAATGTTTTGTTGTTGTTGTTGTTTTGTTTGTTTGTTTGTTTGTTTGTTTTTGAGACGGAGTCTCGCTCTGTTGCCCAGGCTGGAGTGCAGTGGCGTGATCTCGGCTCACTGCAGCCTCCACCTCCTGGGTTCAAGCAATGCTCCTGCCTCAGCCTCCCAAGTAGCTGGGACTACAGGCGCCCGCCACCACACCCGGCTAATTTTTTTATTTTTAGTAGAGACGGGATTTCACCATGTTGGCCAGGATGGTCTTGATCTCCTGACCTCGTGATCCGCCCGCCTCGGCCTCCCAAAGTGCTGAGATTACAGGCGTGAGCCACCGCGCCCAGCCCATCTCCAGTGTTTTTGACACATTCTGTCCCACTTTGCTGCACCCTCTTTGTCTTCTATAATTCATTGTTTGGGATGCTAAACTACTGTTATGTCTCCAACTTGTTCATAAGCTTTCTCACTCGGAGAGGAGTCTGACTCTCTTCAGGATCCACTGAACTAAATCCAGAAGGGTGATGCTAAGCATGTTTCTTCATTCAGCCAAAATGAGTTGAGCATCTATTTGTGTTAGCATCATGCTAGGTCTGAGAGGAACGATGGAGCACCACAGCCCCTGCTTTTCAGGAGTTCGTGGGTATAACTGGGAAGATGAGCACATACAGAAGTTAATACCAACTATATCAGTGTCCTGGGCTGCCATAACAAAGCACCACAGCTGGGTGGTTTAGAACAGCAGAAATGTATTCGCTCGTAGCTCTAAAAGCTGCATGTCTGGCCTGGCGCAGTGGCTCATGCCTGTAATCCCAGCACTTTGGGAGGCAGAGGCAGGCGGATCACTTGAGGTCAGGTGTTCAAGACCAGCCTGGCCAACATGGTGAAACCCCGTCTCTACTAAAAACACAAAAATTAGCCGGGCATGGTGGCGGGTGGGCACCTGTAATCCCAGCTACTTGGGAGGCTGAGGCATGCGAATCACTTGAACCCGGGAGGCGGAGGTTGCAGTGAGCCGAGATCATGCCACTGCACTCCAGCCTGGGTGACAGAATGAGACTCCATCTAAAAAAAAAAAAAAGCTACAAGTCTGAAGGATGTCAGCAGGGTTGATTCCTTCCCCAGGCTCTGAGAGAGAATGATTTTCTGTGCCTCTCTCCTTGCTTCTAGAGGTTGCCGCCAGTCTGACATCCTTAGCTTGTAGATGTATCAGTCACGCAAATCTTTGCCTCCATCATCACACGGCCTTCTCCCTCTGTATCTGTGTCTCTGTTCAAATCTCCTTCTTCTTATAAGGACGTCAGTCACTGGATTGGACCCACCCTAACCCGGTATAACCTCATTTTAACTTGATGACATCTGCGAAGACCCTATTTCCAAATAAGGTCACATTCACAGGTATAGAGAGTGAGGACTTTAGCATATCATTTTTGGGGGGGACACAATTCAGCCCACAGCATCAGTCTTCCCCCAGACCTTCACACAAGAAGGAAATACAATGTAATATGGTAGCTTTGTTTTCACGAAGGGACGTGAACAATGAGGGTGTTGTGAGAGACTAGGATGAAACTTCAGGAGGAAGGTAACATTTGCATGAGCGCTGGAGACAGAAATGGAAATTCGCCAAGGAGAGAAGCAACCGGGGAAATGCTAGGAGGAGGGAAGCAGTATGGGAGAAGGGCTGAAGTGTGAGAGGACACTGGACATGAGCGGAGAGGCCGGAGGTTCCCGGGTGGAGTGAAAAGGCGGGGGGAGCAGTTGCAGCAGATCTCGCTGGTCTGCACCAGAGTTTGCATCTTATCCTAGGAGTGGGTGAGTGGACAGTGAGGGTATCCATCAGTAAGTGCTTTTTGAACAGATTAATGAAGGAATGGCTTACCTTTCAAAGTATTTGTGGAGCAAAAATTTCAGGGCTCCTAGAAACACTGGGACTTTAAAATACTGAACCTTGCTGAAGTGTTAGAATAGTACAGACAGAGTGTTAGTCAGAAAGACCCAGAAAAGAGGCAATCCCCAGGGGGAGAGAGAAGGAAGAGGGGCATCAGGAGAGAGGAGAAGGAGCCAACTCTGCTGCCCTGGAGGAGTCAGTACACATCAGGGCTGGAAAAACTATGGAAACCAACGACAGAGCTTTCTTATAAACCTTGAGCTTTAAAGCATGCTATTTGGTTGTGAAGTAGAAATCCATATTGAAAAAAAGAATCCGCATGTCATTCTCTCTTCCTCACCACCACAATTTCAGATGCCTTCAGGGAGAGGGCAACTTAGGTGGCTTTTAAAGTTAGTTTAACATGTCTCTTTGTTTGTTTTTAGCTCCAGAAAAAATAATGTCAGAGTTTGTTGGCCTTCTATTGTACTTTACTAATTAAAACTTCAGAAAATTGTTGCCCTTTTGCATAAGAGTATTTTTGGAAAATTATTGCCCTTTTGCATAAGGGTATTTTGGTGATACAACAGAGTCTGTATCTGTATTTACGGCTGATGTGATTAGCATATTCAGTCGCCCATATTTTCTTTAAACTTTTCATAATTGCATGCGTTTTATTATGAAGAAATTGAAAAACAAGGTGAAAAGGTAATAGATGTTCTCAAAAAAGATTCAAGTGATTAATTTTAACTCCCCACTTAAATCAACATTTACTAAAAAACGTTGTAATGCACTTATTATTGGGCCAAAGGAAATTTCAAAAGCAAGCTTTCACTGTACTTATCAGGAAACGCAGTAACTCTCTTCTGTGAAATAATTTACTTATTTCACAGTAAATTATTTCACAGAAACCCTGAACAAATGGCTTTACAACTCTGCTATGCCAGGTCGTGGTCACCCTCATGTGAAATACAGACACAAATTCCTGAGTTTCATTGCATTCAGCATCAAAAGAACTGAGTTTCAGCCCTTACTCTGCCTCTTACTTACTGTGTGCCATTGGGAAAGTTACTCACTTCTCTGATTCCTAATGTTCTGATGTGTAAAATGGAAATTACAACTGCCTGACAAGGTGCCTGTGAGAATTAGAGTAGATAAATCAATGGATTTGAAGTTTATCAGGTATTGGTATGATGCTGTATTGATTACTACAGGGATTTGTAAGGAGAACATGCAGCAGTATATGAGAATCCATTGTAGAATCTCTAATTTAAAGGCATGCTGTCATGATTCCTGTCTGTAATAGTAACTTATAGACTCCTAGCTTTGGATGGGACTTTAGATTTCAACCCCCTTCTCAGTGTAAGCATCCCCTCTATAAACGCTCCTCCAAAGGGGGTCATCAAATCTCTACTTTGAAGACTGTAGATCTCTATTATGAAGATTGTAGGAGTGTTTAAATTTGAAGGGGTTAGGAGGTGCTTACCACTTCATATTTTACTAAGAAGGCATTTTCCCAATCTTCTAATGCTCTTCAATGAAAGAGGGGCTCTTCTCACTTCAAGAATGTACTTATACCCTCAAATTACTAACACAGCAGGGAATTACGTAATTGCTGAATATTCATGTTTATTGAACCTACACTTAGATTGAAATTCTTCACTCTCTAGTAACAAGATGTTTTCTATTCTGTTAAATGGAGTGTCCCTTTAATCCTGAAAGTGGGCCTTTTTGGAGAGCATTCCAAACTGCCAATCAAGCCAAGTACCCTACCTTGCCTTTGAACTCAATAAGCTGAAAGCGGGTCTGTAATCTCCAGTTTTGGGTTACCACAGAGTAAGAGGGAGTGAGAAAGTCCTGGGTAAATGAAAACTGCAAACTGTTGATCTCAGTGAAACTTTTATTGGAGCTCTCAACAGAGTGTTGTAATTAGTCAGGTTCCCCCTTTCCTCTTCTGTACCACCTTGCCCCTGAACTTGGGTGGGGAGAGGGGAAGCGGCTGCTCATAATCACGGTTTCTGTATATGCAGGGTTGGGGTGGAGATAACACCACGGGATGCCCTCTGATTTGAGCTGACGTTCTGGTTCATGCCTTGTACACATTTCCCCCTCTGGCCCCATCTCCACAACTGGTAAAAATTGCACTAAAGAAAAATGAAATGGTTAACAGCTGATGGGTTAGAAAAGAAGAAATTTGAAGGATTGGATTATCTACTTACTAAAGAATTTGTCCCTTAATAATCAAGCCTTGGTGGTATAATCTTAAAATTCACAATAATCATGGTTTGTACAAAGTGGTGAGTTCAGGGAAAAGGTAAATGTGAGCTTAGGCTACTTTTCTAGTAGTTAGAGTCAAGTTCATTTCTCAGTGTTCCATGATTGTGGAATAGTTGATCTATCTACCAGGTTGTGCCCTAACTTCCAAACACAGAGCAACTGCAATATTATTTCCCAGAAGAGGTAGATTTGGATGATATTTTATTTCTGTGCATGTGATCTTTGCAAATGCCAATATGATTCATCTCTCACCCTGCTGCAGCTGGTCAGCCCTTGAAATCAGACATGTATTAGGACTCATAACCAAAGACACCAGCAGCTCAGACAGGAAGGATCTGAGGAAGAAAGTAGCGGAGACACTTTTGAAGCATCGTCCAGGGAAATTCCCAGGGGAAAACTACAGCGGTCTATATGAGGGGTCACAAATCCAAACGCATGCAGAGGCAGGCAGTTCATGTAAATGAGAGAAGTGGGTAGATGTGAGGCTTTAGGGAGTGGTGAGAACTCTAGCCTGAGTGCTGTGTAAAGGGAGCAGCCAGTTCTCAGTGGCCGTCGATCATTGCCAGGTTGGAAAGCAATCCAGTATTAACAGATCTGATTTCTCAAGAGAAGCTGGGCTTCAGGTGTGTATGTAAAATTTTCCAATTTTAAACACCACCATGCAAGCCAAATAAACACATTGCCAGGCCCCATAAGAGCCTTGGCCCTCCAACTTGTCACGTTGATGTCCAGGAAATATAACCTTAGGGTTGTGATGGGGGCCAATTATTTATTTTTCTTGCTTGACCTTGGTCACAAATTATTGGTGCTATAAATGTGAACTGATCTCCTGCCAAAGGAGAGAATGAATGGGCTTGAGGAGAATTTTAAAGCATTGACAAAGGGTTCCTAGATGTCATTAAAAAAAATGATTCAGGGCCAGGCGCAATGGCTCATGCCTGTAATCCCTACACTTTGCGAAGCTGAGAGGGGAGAATTGTTTCAGCCCAGGATTTTGGAGCTACAGGGAACTATTAATATAATCGTACCACTTGCACTCCAGCCTGGGCAATGGAGTGAGACCCTGTCTCAAAAAAAATAAGTAAATAAAATACATTAAAAAAAAAAAGAAAGAAATGATTCAGAAAGAAAAGGGACTCAGGGGGACAAAGAGAACATAAAGAGAAGTCACTCTGATTAATAAATAGATATGGAAATAAAGAGGAAATTCCCAATTCCTGTTTGGAGAAAAAATTAAAAGTATAGTCTCTGCACAAGGAGAATAAATTTGGACCTTCTGGAGAAGGGAGACACAGCAGCTAACAGACTTACCATGAGGTTCAACTCCTCATGAGCCTGCAGAGGTAGCTACCCAGATTGTCTTCTTCCAGCATGTATTAAAGTATGTAGCATTGGTTAAAATGCCTTCCACAGGATGTTAAAAAGAAATTCACAAGAAGATTGGGGGGCGGGGGGGTGTCAATCATTGAATACACTTGGAAAATTGAGTCAAACATAATTCTTTTCTGTTTGATATTGTAGAGCTTTTAATGTAGATTCTAACCTGCTGAGATCATGCAAAAGCAAGAGAAAGTATTTCATTCCCAAATTTACCTGACCACAGAATCCCCTTACCCCAGAGCCTCTTGAGACCAATATTTTACCGAATTCATTGGTGAAAGCCCCTGCATTCGAGTGCACATACTCATATAACTTACAGACTCTTTCTCCTGTCTGCCTGCGGGCATGGTGGCAAATGACACATTTGGAGGAATCCTGGTTAGTATCTCTAGTGACCTTTGATGTCTTGGGTAGCAAGCTAAGGGACATGGGCAAAGGCAATGCTTTAGTCTCTTCCTCAGCCGTGAGTCATAATTTTAGAAGAAACAGGCACATATGGGGAACACAGAGCTGCTCTGTAGCTGATCTGAGAACGACTGTTCTTCTGGACCATGGATTTTGATGCTGGAATAAGAGGACCCTGGCAAGGAATTGGGAGCTTATCACATAAACCAAGCGGAATATTTTTGGCCAGATACTTGAGGACCAAACAGAAGAGCTTTAAAATGAGATTTAAGTAGGATAAAGTAGAGTGTTCAAATTAAACTCTAAAATCACAGCCCACAGAAGGGCAGCAGGTGCAAGCTACAAATAAGAGGCGTGGCTAAGGTGGTGCCAAGCAGCTCTCCCAAGGAACTGGCTGGGAGGACCACTGGGGCCACACCTACAGCTGGGACAAGTTTGCCAACCACACAGTGAGAGGGGCAAACTGAATGATTCGTATTCCTTAGGGGAGAGGAGCACGACCTTAGAGATTGCAGTCAGAGACATGGTGGGGCAGGACACACAGCTGCACCACCAGGCCAGGTGAGGATGACAAGTTCACATAAATTGCAGTCTCTGAAATGGGTGGCAGGGATGTATACACAAGAATAAGAAGTCACAAACGTCAGAGTGGAAGCAAAGTAGAGAGCATATGGATGAGATTTTCAAAAGGATGAAATAGAAAGGATTTTGCTGGCAGGGTCTACCGCAGTCTTCTCAGGCAGAGCGAGGCTCTGGCTCATGCTTTCCTATTTAAGATTTTTTAAACTGGCACAGGAAGAAGATGGAATAGGGAAGAGAAGGGGGGTATTTATCCAGGCATCTGCCCTATCGAGTGCATTTTTGACTTGCCTTGCTAACAATTTCATGATGGGAAAGGTAAGGGAAACAAGGAGGGAGCGACTTACCGTGGACTTAATTCTAGACAAGATGCCTCTAACCAGCCGATGGTGGGGAAGGCACAGGAAACATAGGCAGAAATAACCAGACCATCCTAGAGTTTTAGGATTGCAAAAGGAAGACACAGGATGCATACTTCAGTGTGTGCTCTCTGCTACCCTTTCCACTTCTGCTGCTTCTCACTCTCCCTCTGGCGTCTCCATTCCCCTCCTAAGTAGAACTCCAGCCCAGACTTCAGGGTCACCGCCGGGGATGTAGGGTAGAGGAGTCTCCAGGTTTCTTTCCCAGGAAGTTGAGGAAAGCAAAGATCCCCAATCCCAATTCAGCGGAAAAGATGTGCTCCCTGTACTTTAAGTTGGAACTCAGAATCATGAGGCCACGAAGCCAGTTTTATATACAACAATGGAGTTCTACTGTGCCTTTATTGGAGTGTATATCATGAGACATATATATATATATATATATATAGTATACATACACGTGTGTGTATTCTTTTGTTTGTTTGTTTGTTTGTTTTCCTGAGACAGAGTCTCACTCTGTCGCCCAGGCTGGAGTGCAGTGGCCACCTCTGCCTCCCAGGTTCAAGCAATTCTCCTGCCTCAGCCTCCCAAGCAGCTCAGAATACATGCACCCGCCACCACGCCTGGCTAATTTTTGTATTTTTAGTAGAGATGGGGTGTCACCGTATTGGCCAGGCTGGTCTTGAACTCCCAGACCTCATGATCCGCCCGCCTCAGCCTCCCAAATTGCTGGGTTTACAGGCGTGACCCACTGCGCCTGGCCTAATTTTTGTATTTTTAGTAGAGACAGGGTGTCACCATGTTGGCCAGGCTGGTCTCAAACTCCTGACCTCAAGTGATCCGCCCGCCTCAGTCTCCCAAAGTGCTGGGATTACAGGCGTGAGCCACCGCACCCGACCATGTGTGTGTATTCTTAATTAATATTGCCAGCAACCCCTGCAAGGTAGGTCATATTGTGTCAATTCAAAAATAGAGAAACTAAGAGACAGACTAAATGATTTGCCCAAGGTCACATGGCAGGTAAGTGACTGAACTGTGGCTTGAACCCAGGCCTTTCTGCCTTCCCACCAGAACTCCTTCAGCTCCAGTAAGCTCTCTCTAAAACGAGACATTGTAGTTTGGGTACCTAATGGGTTAATTGGCTCTTGTGGGTTAGCCTGGGAACCCAACCTCAACATCACATTGTTTCTATGGGGAAATGTGCTCAGAGTGACAAACAACTGGCTTAACCAAGGAACTTTTGTAACCCGACCTATCATAAAGCAGGCACTGCCTCGTGTTCAGAAAGACTGGCTGGGGAGCGAGAGGGGAGAACAGGATCAGCCAGCCTGCATCCCCTCAGACTCTGTGATCCCGTTCCAGTCTAGCTGTAGGTTTGCCAAGGAACAACCATCTCACACGTCTACAAATAGCCACCATAGTACCTACCGCAGGGGGTAGACGTGAGGATCAAAAGAGCGCGACCCTTGGGTGCATAAAGCAGCCAGTGCAGGTCAGACCCACGGTCAACATTTATGAAGTGGGAAGTGAGATTCCTCTCAACAGCTGGGGGCCGGCAGAGCTCAGCTGGCTCCCTCAGGACCCACCCGGCGGTCACGGTAGTGTGAGGGTGTGGACCTGCTTCCAGGGTTTGCCTCTGCTCCTCCAGACAGTTCCACCTTTTAGTCTTGGTTGATCAGGACCCAGGAAGTCACCTTCCACAGCGAGAGGCTCAGCTCCAGCAGGACAGCCACCTTCTCTAAGCCTTCAAGGCTCAGTTTCTAACACGAGGCCTCACCCACCTGTATCTTCACTGTCCCCACCGCCTTCAGATACCAGTTCCCAGGGCTGATGGATGTGTAAATGCTGGAAAGCACAGCTAAGGAATCACTACAGAACCTCAGGAGTGAGCATTCCTGTCCGCCTTTTCCCCGTCCCTCCAGGCAGGGATTTCTTTTTGTCCCAGTATTTGACTTTGCTCTCCGTTAACTGCCAAGAGCAAGCTTATTCCATGCCCTCCACCCTCCGCCAAATCAGCCTGAAGGGGATTTTCTTTCCACGAATAACTCTTCAAAGGGAGAAAGGATTGCTAAGAAGCAGCCAAACTGTGAGGGTTTTTTCTTTCTTTCTTTTTTCTTTTTGGATGAGGGAAAGGAGCTATTTTCTCTTGGCAAGGACAGATACTAACTGGAAAAACACCCTGGAGACCCAGGCCATCAGGAAAGGAAAACCCTGACAACATGGTCCTGGCCTTGCCTGCCCCTCAGCATTCTCCCCTGAGGGCCACCCCCAAAGTGGTGCCTTTCACAGCACAGTGGCCATTCTCCAGTCAGGCTGCTGGGCCTTTGGAGAGACTCTCTGGCCTCAGAGGGGCAGTGTCTGCGAGCACATTTGGTAACAGTGGATCATGAGTCTCAGGGAAGCCTTCTTGTTGCGGCCTGTGTGTGTGCCCGCACGTGCACACGTGTGTCCTTGTGTGCTGCACTGGGAAAGGATCCGATTTCAGACTTTGGCAATCTTCGTGCTTGGAGTCCTGCCCTTAGGAGGAGATACTGTCAGGTGCCAGACAGAATTCGGAGATCCTATCAATGGAGAATGTGTCCTTGGTCCGCAGAAACACACTGTCTTATATGGAAGAGAAGGGTCACTGTTCAGAGGCAGTAGATTCTTAGGGGCCCAGAATTACCCTTGAAGGGGTACAGAGGCTGCTCTAAATATGAGGCTTATGGGTTTGGCCCTTTGTTACTCTGGGACAAGAGTGGAGACTGGAGACCAATGGGGAGGCCCAGATCATGGACTCTGCTAAAGAGTGTCAGGGTCCCAGCCAACCTCAAGCTGGGATCCTACAGCCATACCGGTGGCGCATGTGGTAGATGTGAGTAAACCCAGCTCACAGGCATGAATGAGAATGACTCACAGCTTTGCAGTCACTAGCTCTGGTGACTTCGGTTGACTTTTCCATTTCTCTCAGGTGCCTCTGGGGCATAGCAACAGGAGCCAGGGAGAGTAAACCAGTAAGGAGTATGGGCTGGAAGACGGGGTTTGTATTCCAGCTCCATACCTCCCAGCTGCATCACCAAGAACTGATCTCGGTTTCCTAAGCTGTACCGTGAGAAGGCTGCCATGGCTTAGAAGAGAACCACCATGGAGCCCTGGTATAGAGTAGTAATTTTACATGTACCCTTTTACTATGGAATAGTGCACTATTTTTATTCATTCTCCCACTGCCTCCCACCATGGGTGCCATATTGAGTAAGACTTTTTTCAGCCATAAAGCTCTTCTAAGTAATCATTTGTTTCCCCATTTTGATTATTCAGGATTCAATTGCCATTCAATCCGTGTCTCTGGTTACCAAGCAGTAACTGATATAACTGATTTAATTCCATTGCACATCAAAAAAATTATAGTTTAACCCACTAGTTAGCCTATGCTGTCTTTATTATGATTAAATGCACAAATACTATTTTACATTAAGACATATTGACAGCAGCTCCTGGACTCCATTTACACTTTGGAAGAACTCTTTGGAACCTGTGATCCCCTGGCTATAATAAGTCCCTGAACCCTGAAGACCTCTTAGTTGCAAACAGTATGTCATCTGTGATTTTACAGTTAATTTCTCACACATGGAAATGACTCAAGAAGTGTCTTCAGAGGTTATTAAGAGGATTCCATAGTTATACAATAAAATACATCCTACTCAAGTTTCTCCCTCCTTCCTCAGCCTTTTTTTTTCTGAGCCCCTTCTTGAGATCTCCCCTTTCCTGTTCTCCATCTTTCTGCCCACTCTTCCTGGTCTCTGGCCTCCAGTCTTCCCATCATTCACCACCCTAGATTTTTCTGAGTGCCATGAACACCAGTCTTGTCCCAAGTATGGAAACAAGCCAGGGAATACCTCGCGCCTTGAAGCTGAAACACATCGAGCCAACACAAATCTGTTGGCAGGAACAGCAGGCACAAGAGTCACATTCAGAGTACAAAAACAGCTATTTATAAAGCCTCCTTCCTGATTTTTGGGTGTTCACTTTCCCTTGAACCAAAGGGGCCACTGCCCCCTCTTGGAAAAGATGATTCCATGCACAGCTCGGTGCCTGAGGATCACTGCGTGCCTGTTCTGATGAGCAGTGAGAGCTGGGGACAGCATGCAGCGTGGATTAGATGTGGTGACACACTCTCTGATGGGCCAAGGCAGCTGGGTGTGCGGGTGACACAGATGGCCTCTGCAGCACCTGTGAGGTAACAGTCAGGGGCCCCTTATAGGACTTGACATCCTGGCCTCAGAGCAGACCCCACCTGCCTTTGCTTTTCTTTTTTTTTTTTTTTTTTTTAACTCTTGATGTAAACTTCGGTTAACATAATCACTAAGCTTCCAAAGGTATTTGAGATTCAAGTAATGTAAAATGTTAACAGGTAAAGTACTGTCAATATTATTACTAATATTTATCAATTATAATTCAACTCTTGTTGCATTTGGCCGTTCTGCATTTCTGTTATACCTGATTTGCTAAATTATTATTTACCTTAGTAATCCAATGCTAGTCTATTATCTTCAGTAGTGGTAGCAATAACACCGCTAATAACCCAGCAAATCCCAAATGGGATTGAGATCATTTGTTTTATATTTTAATTGAGATGAACCTGATGAAAATTTATAATTCATATACAGAAATGTCCTGTTGGCTAGCTACAGTTTTCCCAAATGTGTAGTTTTTTGGCTTAGGTTCTTAAAAACTTGAATTAGTTGCCAATTCCAATAATCAGGAGATTTTACATGAAAATATATTTCTGGATTCTCTTTCAAAAATGTCAGTTCTGACAATACTTGGGCCCACACTCCTACACAGCAGCAGTTGTAGAACACGTGAGTCCTCCCATCCTGTTCTGAATTGTGTCATCTCAAGTTGTCTGGGGAGCTTGGAGAAACCTTGGAAAGCAGTTGGTCCGAGTCTTTCATTTTTTTTTTTTTTTTTTTTTTTTCAGACGGAGTCTCGCTCTGTCGCCAGGCTGGAGTGCAGTGGCGCGATCTCGGCTCATTGCAACCTCCAACTCCCTGGTTCAAGAGATTCTCCTGCCTCAGCTTCCCGAGTAGCTGGGATTACAGTCATGCACCACCACGCCCAGCTAATTTTTTGTATTTTTAGTAGAGACAGGGTTTCACCATGTTAGCCAGGATGGTCTCGATCTCCTGACCTCATGATCCACCCGCCTCAGCCTCCCAAAGTGCTGGGATTACAGGTGTGAGCCACTGTGCCCGGCCCCAAGCCCTTCATTTTTAAGATGAGGAATCTGAGGCCTGGTGTTGCTGAGTGACTCTCATGAAGTCACATGCTGGTGTGTTTGATAATGGGGTCTGGGAGGCAGCTCTGCCCGCTGGTGCAGCACAGTCTCCACTAAATCATTCTGCCCTCCCCCCATGCCATACAGAACACCATCTTGTGGGTAGCATCTGTTTCACCAGGCCTCCCAATCTAATGCTGACACCCAAGGCCTAACTAACTATGTGAGTTATGAGTCACTCAGAGAACCTGATTATCAAAGTCCAAACCACAAAGAGGAATACCTTCACTTCAAGGGCTTCTATTTCTAGAAATAACTGTAGTGTTCTCTGTGTAGACTTCTAAGCCCAAATAAATGTTTTCATGTTTTGACAACTTCAAAAGCCCAATGCCCTTAAAACTTCCTTGATTCTCAGGAAAGGGTCCCCAGAAGCTCAGGGTGGCATAGGAAGCTGAGTGCGTAGCCTCTGCTGGTAAAGTGAATGGCCAGCAGCTAGCTGGGTTTCACTGTGGACATCCTTGAAAACAGGCTATTCATAGCTGTCAGGATGATGGATTTCAGCCCTAAATTGCTGACAAACATAAAAGAACATTTTTAGTTAGTCTCATTTTTTCTCTCATCTGTCTAATGAAAAGATTCAACTAGCTAGTGTGCAATTGATGTTATTTTCTTATAAGCCAGGGGGCAATTAAGAAAACCCAGAAATAGAGTTGAGCCATGGTGTCACTGTTTGTATTTGCCATTTCTCCATGTGGCTGAGAGTCCCTTGGAGCACACAGGAGGATCTTCTGCCTCAAGAATGGGTTCATCTGGATAGTTCAGAGCCTGACAATGAACCTAGGAGTTTCATGGAACTGGAAATCAGCCTCAGAACAGCTGGTTAAGGATTAGTCATCTCCAGCTGAAAGGTGATTGTAAGAGGGGAAAAAAAAATGGTGGGCCAAAGACTACTCAGGAAGAGAGATGCAGAAAAAGCATTCCAGCAGCCATGAAAACATCGTTAGTTTTATTTTCTTCAAAAAATATGGGCCACCTACGATAGACTCCCCACAGTAGACCCACCCTTACCCCTGCAGCCTGTGGGGAATGCGTCTTCTTCCAGTGATTGTGTCTCCTAGCAACAAGGAAGAACAGCTACTGAGCACTTACTATGCATTAAACACCTGCTTGGTACTTTGCATTTGCCACATAAGCCTCACAACTTTGTGAGTAGAAAATAATGTTCCCATTTTGTAGAAGAAGTGAAGGTTCAAATAATTTAAATAACTTGCCCAGCCAGTGAGTGGCAAAGCCAGTCATGAACCCTAGCCTCTCAGCTCTCAGATGCCATATTCTTGTACAATAGAAGATGAAACAGACAAAAGCTCAGTGCCACATTCTGCAGCAACGGTCCTCCAACAAGGGCTAAGAGTAAAGTAGGAGGGGAGATAGCTTCAAAAGAGAAGAAGGAACATTGCACTCAGGCTCTCTGGTAGTCAGGGAGAGTGGGGGCTGCATCTCCCAGCTCAAATTGTAGGGTACCACGTGCCTATAGGCTTTTCCTGAAGGCTTTGGAAATGGGTGGTGGTGGTGGTGTGCTGGTGTTGACAAAGGAAAAGGAAGACGAGGCAGAGGAGAATTCACTTCCATCTGTGAATGTCCTTATTTGTAGCAATAAGGAAATCTTAGAGTAACCTACCTGTAAGCTTCTTCTGAGAACTGAAGGAGATGGTGTGTGTAAAATGTTTAGCAGAGTGCAAAACCAAAGGGCCATGGGAATAGAATGCATTCACTTCTAGCCAAAAAGTGCCTGAGTTAAAAGAGGAGAAATAGAAGCATTTCCATTTTGAACATATCTAAAAGCCACGTCCCTTGTGGGTCAGAGGTTCAATCTTAGGTCTTGGTGATGCTATTAAAAGTGTATAAGCTCGGCCGGGTGCGGTGGCCTGCAATCCCAATACTTTGAGAGGCCAAGGTGGATGGATTACATAAGGCCAGGAGTTCAAGACCAGCCCGGCCAACATGGTGAAACCCCATCTCTACTAAAAATACAAAATACTAGCCGGGAGTGGTGGCGCATGCCTGTAATCCCAGCTACTCAGGAGGCTGAGGCATGAGAATCGCTTGAACCGGGGAGGCGGAGGTTGCAGTGAGCCAAGATTGTACCACTGTACTCCAGCCTGGGAGGCAGAATGAGACTCTGCCCCACCCCCCAAATAATGGGGGTTTGGGGGGTGGGGCAGGGGTCTTGCTTGTCTTATTCATCACTTATCTCCAAGCCCTACACAGCACCTGGCCCATAGTAGGGGTCCATAAATGTTTAATGGATGGATGGATGGATGAATGAAAAGATTAACCAAAAACAAAAGTGCTGTCTTTCAGTTACAAAGACGACTGCCACTGGGAAATCAATATCCTGTGCCCCTCTCTCAGGAAATGGCACCTGTCATCTATCACGCTGTCTAAGACAAAAACTTGGCTATCACTGTGACCCCTCTTTTTTGTTCCGTAAGCTAAAATAACTCCTAAATTTTAGCTTGTGAGTCTCCCCCACTCTTCTCTTCTAATGCTATTGTCATGACCCTTGTCCAGGCCCTTCCCAGTTATCTCCTGGATTTCTACACCACCTCCAATCTATTTTCCAAACTTCCAGTCTGTACCTCTCTTTCCAGTCCCTTCTCCACACATGGAACAGAATGATCTTTAAAAAACCTAAGTCTGATTAGGTCACTACCATCACCCCATCCCCCTCCCCAGCCACTTGAGGATGGTCCATGACTCCCTATAGAATTTTTTTTTTTTTTTTTTTTTGGAGATGGGGGTCTCACTCTATCACCCAGGCTGGAGTGCAGTGGTGCATTCTCAGCTCACTGCATCCTCCGCCTCCCGGGTTCAAGCAATTCTCCCACCTCAGCTTCCCAAGCCGCTGGGATTACCAGTGCCCGCCACCATACCTGGCTCATTTTTGCATTTTTAGTAGAGATGGGGTTTCACCATGTTGGCCAGGCGGGTCTCGAACTCCTGACCTCAGGTGATCCTCCTGCCTCTGCCTCCCAAAGCGCTGGGATGACAGGCGTGAGCCGTCGCGCCCCACCAGATTTTAAGATAAAGCACAAACCCCTGAGTGTGGCGTGCCCACCCTTCACAGTCTTGCTCCTGTCTGCCTCCAGCCTTACCTAGCCAAGCCCTACCTTGAGTTCTGTGTCCCCTCCAGCAAGACTATTCTCTCTCTTGCCTGTCCCATGGCCTAGCTTCTTTCTTTGCCTGAAATGCTCTTTCTCCACCTTCCCTGTTTGCCTTCTACATCCTTCTAAGAATTGGGTGTCCCTCCAGCTATGAACTCTGGTGCCTGGTTCTTGGCCAACCACACTGTGGTCTGCTTCCTGTCTGTCTTTTCCAGATGTCCAGGAATGCTATTTTGTTCTTTGTTGTACCAGGCACACCTTCTCTAGTCCCTGGCACAATGAATGTCTGTTGAATTGATGAATACTTTGTCTCACACCAAACATGCACTTTCTCCGAAGTATATTAGCAATTAGCATCGCTTTGGCCAATTGTGTGACCAGTCAAGATAATTAATCAAGGATTAGGGCATGGTATGACTCTGGAAAAATCTATTAAGGACATATGGGGAGCATATTTTTTTCACCAAAAATCAAGACACATAATTTAATAAATATGATCACATTTTTTCTTGCCCAGAAAAATATTAATATATAATATCTATAGCTACACATCCTTATCTGTCATTTTTGCCTCACTATATTATCCAAATATGCCAGCTCAAGACACTGAAATAATAATAGCTAATAAGTAAGTAGCTGGCATTCTTGATGAGCCTGCTATACAGCAATCCTATGTGAAGTGCTTTGCTGTTATCTCATTTAACTTTTCAACTACCTCTTGAAGCAGATATTTTTCTTATCTCTATTTTAGAGATGAGGAAACTGAGGCTTAAAAACATTAAATCACTTGTCAAAGGTTACACAGCCAGCAATGAATGAGTAGTCCGTTTGATCTTCTCAGTTATTCTGCGATGCTGACCTAACCGTGACCTCTTAACCTTTATTAGCTCATCAGAAGAGCTACTACTGGGCAAAAATAGCTGTGGCTTCCGGAAACTTTTATTGAAACTCTAAATCTCCTGGCAATAACTTTCAAAAGTCATGATTCAGGCCAGCAGTGATATTTGAAAATGGAATCACAAGCAAGTCTCCTGGCTACAAAGATGCTCTTGCTGCCAAAAAGGAATGCTCAGCTTTGACATTTATGACAATCTGTGTTTTTCCTGTTACTTAGTCTTTTGCCATCATTGACTGTGGAAAGGCACTGACCCTCGTTCTGTCCTCCCTGGAGAATTCTCTCCTTCAGGTTTAACTGGTTCTGTCCTTTTCCATGTTTTCATTTCACTGGGATCTACAGCAATGTCCTGTCCACTGACCATCTGCATAATGATCACTTGGACACACATAAAAATGCACAATCCTGGGCCCCGTTCCACAACTCTCTCATAGAATCTCTACAGATTGGAGCCCTGGAAGCAGCACTTTAATCACATTCCCCAGGTAATTCTTATAAATACCAATGTTTGAGAACCACAGGCATAGTCTCCAGATCCACATGACTCACAGTATCCCCTGGACCAGCAGCACTGAAGATGAGGAATCTTGGGCCCTAACCCTAAATCACTGAATCAGAATGTGCATCTTCATAAAATCCCCAAGTGATTAGATATGCACATGACTGTGCATGCAGAGAACCAGTCATCTAGAACAATGTTTCCCCCAATTATTTTACATCATCATGGCATGCATAGAAAATGAAAATCTATGTGTGGCACACTGGGAATACAAATGAGAATGTTTGCCATGGCATTGGGGCTCAGCCTGTCCCAGATCCCACCTGGCTGCTCTGCAGGCTGAGGAGACTGACATCCCAGGTACGCCTGTGCCACAGCACATGGGTTGAGAAGCACCGGTCTGCTTACAGTACACCCAGCTCTTCTAATTTTGTTCATGAGGCATAATTCCCAGAGCTTGCTTACTCTTACTTTCTTCATCATTTATTAGTTCTTTTCATGCATACTAAGAGTCAGAGAAGCTATTTCCCAACCAACTAGATCTCAGAAGTCTTCATACAATGGAAGAACACAGTTTCATCTTCAAGTTCTAGGTAGACTCTTGGGGAAATCTGCAGAAAAGAGTTGTGTCTATTATTCTGGAGAGTCATCTGCTACAACCTAAGGAACATGAGGAAAAAATAAGAGCCCTCTTCCCTCTGAAGACTGCTCCTTTCCCCTTCATCTGCAAACCTGAGGAGAGAGGATTAGCGCCATGCAAGGTGGCATCCTCTCTTCTGAGTGCCAAGAAGAATGTGATTTTGTTTAATCCTTCCTTAGCAAAATCTGTCAGCTCGTAAACTGGACAGGTGTCCCTTCTCTTAGCCAACCCCTGATAATGGGGTGACAGTTGGGGTGGAAGGAATGGAATACCTTCAGAAACACTTCCCAGTGAGACCATCTGATCAAAAGCACCAAGTGTCAGGACACACCATCTGACTTTGCAAAGCCCCCAGCTACACGGGAACCCCATTGATTGATTTTTTTTTTCTCTCAAGGAAAATGCTGAAAATTTTTAAAGCTCAAAGTAGTGAACTCTTACTTTGAAGCAAATATGACAAGTCTTGCCCTTAACTGAAGGATTGCCATGGCCTAAGCAAATACATTTGAGGAAGAGGGGAGGTGATTATTGCTACCAATCAACTCTTCTTTTTTTCCAACTTGCCTGCAAGTCTGTATCTAATTCTTGCCACTCTGCTTCCCCCAGTCAGAGCCTGGGCAATGCAGCACACATTTTAGCTGGGTTAGTGTGGGGCTATCCCTCCTCTGTCCTAAGACTGCACATCCCTCAAGTCTTAGAAGGATCTTCCCTTTACACCCCAAACATACCCAAAAGAGAGTTCTGCCTGAGTAATGGAAAGGACAGTGGCCAGAGCACTGTATTGATATTTGCCACCTCTGGCTTGACTTCTCGTAGAGCTCTTTCCTTAATGCAGCTACAGAGACCTTCTTCCTGTTCTGACCAGGAAACTCGGGGAGCAGTTGGTAGTTCACCCAGGGTTGCCGTGATGTCTAAGAAATAAGTGGATTTTCTCTAAGTTCCGAGCAAGAACAGTTGGTAAAAAATTTCTATTCCTTGATCATCTGATTAACAAGTGCTGAAAATGTAAGATTGGGGAAATTGCTGAAGGCTTGGGCCTCCCAATCCAAAGAACATAGCTATTTTACATGAGCATTTCAAGTATGGAATATTGAGACATCTCTCTGCTTTGTGGTCCAGGATGAAGAACAAGCTGTGGTACTTTGAATTTGGCACCTCGGAGACTTTTGCAGCGACCTGCAAGAAACTCCACGACCACATTGAGTTGGAGGTAAGTTCCCAAGTGGGGAGAAGGCTTCCTGGATCTTGGTTCTGCTCCTGGACTGTCACACATGCACAGGATGTATCCTCTTGGGACCTTAAGAGGTGACCCAGAGCGTAGTCTCTGTTGTTTCTCCATCCTGTTCCAAAACACCTCCATACGCTCACTCAGAAGGCTCCAGTGGCCTGTCTAGAGAATCCCTGGGGGGCTTTGGGACTCAGAGGCCCCGAGAGCCCAGAGCCACACTTCATTCCAGCCCTCAGCCCTCCTTCCACCGTGGCCTTGCGATTCCCTCTTTTCTGAGAGATAAAGTCTCCATTGCCGTCAGCACAGGGAGAGGGGCTGCTGTTGGAGAGACAATGTCCCAAGCCTGGTAAAAGTCTGGGAACTGGTGTTACAGGGCAGCAGGGGTGGGGAGTATAGGGGCTGCAGCCAGACATCCCCCAGCTGACCTGCCTTGATTTTCACATCTGCTTCAGCGAGCTGACTCACAGGTACCCAGGGTCAGTTTTGTGGGTGTGCAACCTGTGTGGTCACAAAATGTCCTTGTGCTTAGAAGGGCCCTTGATTTCATCCTATGCTGTCACTGTCTTGAAATCCTTGATAATTTTCTAACAAAGAAGCTGGCATTTTCATTTTGAACTAGGCCCCGCAAATTATGTAGCCAATCCTGTTGGTGCACTTGTGTTTCACTAACTCTTCCGGCACTTGTAGGGGCCTGCCTCAGACAGTCTGCCTGCTGGCTCCCCTCCCCTGGTTGATAAGCTGCCCACTTCCCACCCTCTCACCCCACGTTGGCTGGGCTTCGCTCCGGAAGCCCTCTCATTGATTGCCATGAGGACAGCTCCTTGGTGTCTGGCCACCTGAAAGCCCAAACTTCTATGCACACCTGCTCCGTGGGACTTTACGCCCATTGGTTCTCTTGCCCAGAGTTCTTGCTACCAGGCCTACCTTCCCGTGGGATTTAGGCCCGTAGTCTTCTTTTCACTTGAGGAAAATAAGTGGAAGAGGCAGCCAGAGAGTTCAGCCAGGGTGGGCTCCTCTTGGCCCACCAGCTTGGCCTCTAAGCCCGCACTGCAGTCCAGTGGGGCCTGGGCCTCCCTGGAGGAGGCACCTGTGGCCTGGAGTGGTGTAGGAAAGCCCTGCCCCTCCCTGCCGGAAGGGCCCCTGTGCTCCTCACTCACAGGGAGTTTTCACAAACAAAACACGAAGCCAGAGGTTCTGTGCGGCTGCATTTGACTCATCTGCCTGCCTCTCCTCTTCGGTTGCTGGGTTACCAACGCCAGGGTGGGAGGCGCCGATCTGGCTAATCCCCTGAACTTTTGGCCAGCTTGGTAAGAGGGCAGAGAGGCCAGGCGCCAGGTTGTGTGTCCCCAGGTGGCACACAGGGAGTCTGAGAAGCCGGTCCTCCTCTCTTGACGTGTGAACGCAGTGCTGGGAGCTGAGGAAGGAGGAGAGGCCTTGGCAGGGGAACCGAGTGTGGCTAACAGGGATATGTGTGCATTTTTTCCCCTTGGCACAGCCGTCTGGTGAGGTCTCTTTAAATATACCACAAGTGAGGGACAGCCCTGGCCTAACCACAGCCAGCTGCAGGCGCACAGCGACTGCTTGTTCTCCCTGCAGCTGGCCTTGAAATTGTGCCCAGAATACAGCAACTCAGCTCCCCTGCCTCTGGCCTGCCCTCCCGGCTCCAGGCCCCACAGTCCCCTCTGGGTTTGAGAGACAGAGGCTCTTCCTCAACCGCAGAGGGGGCCTCGTTGCTAAAGACACTGGTGGCCTCTGGAGGGGGTGGGGTTGTTCACTGGTCTGGAGGGAGGGTGTTGTTGGGAGCTTTCAGAAGCACTTCCTGTTTTCCTTATCTCTCCATAATGAGTCTTTTTAGTATTTATTCATGAGGATTAGCTGGGGGAGTGGGGCTGAGCGTGTCATGTGATGGGCAGCTTCTGACAGCCCTCAGGATTGGGGCAGGCACCATTTCTGTATCCAGAGAATAGCGGTGAATGGTCCTGTGCCTTGTGATCTAGAGGGGGACTAAGAGAGACGGACAGGGCGAGGCATGGGGGTAACAGGTGTAAGGAGACCGCAGAGCCTTGCAGGGAGATGGGAGAGTGTCAGGGGCCTCAGGAAGAGCTGGTAAGAGCAGCTATGCTAAGGGACCTTCTAAACGTGGTTGCTGCAGACAACAGGCCAGGCCTTTGAGAACCAGCACACGACCCACCAGCCCCAGGCCAGCAAATAACCCCACTGAGGCATTGCTACTACATTTCGCCATCTTCAGTTCCCCACCATAGCCTTTATTTCAAAGTCACACAACCAACCCTGTGAGCTAAGTAGTCCAGAGATTATTATCCCCATTTTATGGGGAAGCAAGCTGAGGCACAGAGATTTAGAAGGGTAAACTAGGCCAGGTGCAGTGGCTCACACTTGTAATCCCAGCACTTTGGGAAGCCGAGGCGGGTGGATCACCAGCGGTCAGGAGTTCGAGACCAGCTTGGCCAACATGGTGAAACACTGTTTCTACTAAAAGTACAAAAATTAGCCAGGTGTGGGTGGTGGGCGCCTGTAGTCCCAGCTACTCCGGAGGCTGAGACAGGAGAATCGCTTGAACCCAGGAGGCAGAGGCTGCAGTGAGCTGAGATGGTGCCACTGCACTCCAGCCTGCGCAAGACAGAGAAAGACGCCGTCTTAAAAAAAAAAAAAAAAAAAAAAAGAAGAGTAAACTGAAGGGAGAGAAAAGTCCAGTGGGACAGGAAAAAGTCACGTGCTTTGACTGCCGACCATAACATGTCCTAATATGCTATGACAACGCAGCAAGGCAACTATTATCACATTTTAAAAATGAGGCTTAGGTACATTCAGTGTCTCAACCAAAACTTCATTGCTGAAAACTGATAAGAGAGAAGATTCCAGGTCTTTTAGAGTGAATTTAGCTTGGAACCCAATAAACAGAGATTTACCTAACAGGTGCTAGAAGCAGTAAAGTCTTCAGCAGGAGGCACTGTTTCTTCTTCCTTAATATGCTGATTTCCTCTCAGCTCATGCAGCTGGGCAGGTGTGCTGAGAAATGCTTTGCAAAGAACAGAAGACTCAGTCCTACTTCTCATTTGAGGAAGGAATAGATTCAGGCTGGATCATAGGAGAGAGAGTCAGAGAGGAGGAAAACTGCGTTAAAGTTTGCAAAAGGTCTTCCCACACAGCATCTCATTTATTTTGATGCACAGAACAGGCAGGGCCAATATTAATGTCCTCACTTTACGGTTGAGGGAACTTAGGTTGACAGGTTCAGTGACCAGAGGAAGGGCACAGCTGTAAGGAACTTAGGGAAACAGTGAAGTCTATTTAGGTTCTTCCTTTTTTTTTTCTTCTTTTTTTTTTTTGCCAATCTGGTAAAAAGTTGGATGGTGAAACTTAAAGCTCAAATGAGAGACTGCAGGGAAGGTTTCCATTAAAAGCCATTCGCGTGGCGAGGCGCGGTGGCTCACGCTTGTAATCCCAGCACATTGAGAAGCCAAGGTGGGTGGATCACCTGAGGTCAGGAGTTTGAGACCAGCCTGGCCAACATGGTGGAACCCCGTCTCTACTAAAAATACAAAAATTAGCCGGGTGTGGTGGTGCAGGCCTGTCATACCAGCTACTTGGGAGGCTGAGGCAGGAGGATGGCTTCAGCCTGGGAGGCAGAGGTTGCAGTGGGCCAAGATTGCACCACTGCACTCCAGCCTGGGGAACAGAGCAAGACTCTGTCTCAAAAAAAAGAAAAAAAAGAAAGAAAGAAAAAAAGCCATTCAGGCGATATACAGGCGATTTCTCTGAGGCTAGTGGCTGTTTGAGAAGGAATAGGAGACTTGGTCTCATCTCTGAAACGAAGCTTGTGGCCAACTGGGCCAACTGGACAAAAGAGAAACTGAAGGGAGTCCACAGAACACACAAAAGCTGTTCAATATGGCGCTTGCTTACCTAGCGCTAAGGAAACTAGATGCAAGGAGTCCTGCAGAGCCACGTGAGTCAAATCACTCCTGGCCCTGCCTGTGACTCAGGCAGGGGAGAAGGTGACTCTAAATCTCCTGCTCACCTGTAGACACATGGCCAGGGCCCTGACTTGGAGTCACAAGGCCTGGCAGTGAGCCCTGGTCTGTGCTTAGGTTAAGCCACTTATTGAACTGTATATCTGAGCCTCAGTATTCTCATCTATAAAATGGGGGGCATAGGGGTTAGTCTACCTCCCAAGGCCATTATTAGGATTGAAGTTTTCAGGGCTTTTTGTTTTTGTTTTTTTATGTAACTGGCAGTGGTGCTAAGTGCCTCATGGAATCTGCAAAGCAGCCCTAAGTGGCAGGTGTCATAATCACCTTTCCAGAGAAGGGGGACACAGGCTGAGAGAAGGTAAGAAGCTCACCTGAGGTCCATAACCTACAAGTGATCAGATCAGCCTTCAAATCCAGATTTGCCAGACACCCGAGAGTTTCGGGGCAGTACTGGCACTTGAGAAGCTCAGTCTAGAGCAGAGACTCTCAACCAGGTTTGGGCATATCCAATGTCCTTATTCCCAGTCTTTATTTTGACATTTCAGATAACGTCAAAAGCAGGAAATAATTTTTTCCATTTGTCAAAATGGGAGCATAAAAAAATATTGCAAACGTTCACCCTAGATGCTTCTTCTATGAGACCACAAAGGAAGGCCTGTGAACGTGAGTGCTGTACCTGGAAACTGGGTGCTCCATAAATCATTGTGGGCCCTAATTAAGAAGCCAGCATGTCAGCTGGGTGCGGTGGCTCATGCCTACAATCCCAGCACTCTGGGAGGCTGAGGTGAGCAGATCACCTGAGGTCAGGAGTTCGAGACCAGCCTGGCCAACATGGTAAAACCTCATCTCTACTAAAAACACAAAATTAGCTGGGTGTGGTGGCACATGCCTACAATCCCAGCTACTCGGGGGGCTGAGGCAGGAGAATCTCTTGAACTCATGAGGCAGAGGTTGCAGTGAGTGGAGACCAGGCCATTGCATTACAGCCTGGGTGACAAAAGCAAAACTCTCTCAAAAAAAACAAAAAAACAAAAAAGAAGCCAGCATGTCCCCACACCCCCACCCTCACCCTCACCATCCCTGGTCTAAGGCAGTCTCTCAGGGTACTCCTCTCTGACATCTCTTCCCTTCCAGAGGCTCTTAATATTCATTCTAACCTGATTTCACCTGATTAAGCAGGTGGGGGGTGGGGCGAGGGAGGCACACAGTGAGTCACCTCCCCCACCCCAGGCCCAGAATAACCTTGTAGAGGTTTCTGGATGGGATCATAGGTAGAGCAAACCAGACAGGCTTCAACTCAAGCACTTATTTTACATTTTGTAGAGATGTTTCATTTCACTGGCTAAAAATAAGAACTTACAAAATTCCTTGTTTTTTTGTTTTGTTTTGTTTTGTTTTTTTGACAGAGTCTTGCTCTGTTGCCAGGCTGGAGTGCAGTAGTGTGATCTTGGCTTACTGCAACCTCCGCCTCCCAGGTTCAAGTGATTCTCCTCCCTCAGCCTCCCAAGTACCTGAGACTACAGGCGTGCACCACCACGCCCAGCTAATTTTTGCATTTTTAGTAGAGACGGGATTTCACCACGTAGGGCAGGATGGTCTCGAACTCCTGACCTCATGATCCACCTGCCTCGGCGTCCCAAAGTGCTGGGATTACAGGCATAAGCCACTGTGCCTGGCCCAATTCCTTGATATTTAATCCAATCTTTAAAACATATTCACAAGGGAAGGTCAGCCAGCTCCACTAATATGAACTAATATAAACTTTGATGGAGGGGAAGTAAGTCCAAATCTGGAAGCTGCTCAAAAAAAATATCTGGTTATCCAGTATATTTTGGGAATCTCTGCACATCAATTACTCCTTTTAATTGAGGATTTTTTTAATTTTTTTTTTAGTATTTATTGATCATTCTTGAGTGTTTGAGGATTTTTTTAATACAGAAAAGTCTTGAGAATAGTATATCAAATACTCCCAACTCCCCCTCACTCAGAATTGATATTGTCATTATTTTGTCTTATTTACTTCAACTATTTTTCCATTTTTTGTTGTTGTGGTTGTTGTTTTGGTTTTTTTTTGAGATGGAGCTCTTGCTGTCACCCAGGCTGGAGTGCGGTGGTGCAATCTCAGCCCACTGAAACCCCTTCCTCCTGGGTTCAAGTGATCCTCCTGCCTCAGCCTCCTGAGTAGCTGGGATTATAGGTGCCCGCCA